>NC_000005.10:123859807-125109807 GCF_000001405.40 Homo sapiens | reverse complement strand
AGTGAATTTTATTTCCCCTGAACAGAGTGATCCTAAAAGGTGTCTACTTATCTATAGATCAAGTTGCATTAAAAATTATCGAATCTACATTTTCATGATTTAAGTTTGCATGTTTAAATTAAGAGTGTCTCTTATTTTTTTATTAATAACTTTAAAAATAAACCTGATCTGAAATTCTAAACAAAACAGTGTTGGCAAGGCAGTGTGGCAGTATATCTGAGGAAAGTTGCACTTGAAAATAATTGAAGTATTGTCTTCTGGAGCTGAAGGTCCTACCTATCTTTACAGTTCTGAGAGTTAATGAGCCATGAAGTGATCATTTAAGGGCTTGTGTCACAGCAGTGGCCATATGAGTTTGTCATTGTGAATGGCATTTCTTAGAAAATCATCTCAATTTGTACCTTTTACTTTTAGAAGAGGGGAAAAAAAACTTTATGCCTCATTCCTACCCATTACCTCCATGTAGGATAGAAGCAGTGTCTGATTAAACATATGGCACATAAACAGTAAATTAATTAAATGTGAACAAAGCCTTTCATGTACCATATTTAAATTTTGAAATGTAGCCCAGTTTTCCTTCTATTTAGAATACATAGAACAACACACAAAAAAGTCACATATTTAAGGACAGATGTGCTGATGCCATGTAAAGTGCTCTTGCTGTGTGACATGGCCTGGCCCCATCAATAGGCAGGCTATTCTAAGTACACTCCATCTTGGCACTCAATAGTGTTGAGTATTTTTGTCCTGACCAACCTATCATTTTAATAAAATTACAAGCATATCTTTGTTCTGATTTCTTCCAATTCTAGTGTCTGAAATGGTTTGATTTAAATCATTTTAGGGTTTTTAAAAGCCAAACCACAAACTAACTAGAGACAATTTACTTAAACTTGTATATTCTCTTGGAAGTTCCTGGGCAAATCAGGGAACAAATACAAGTTTGAAAAAAGAGATGATTGTAGAAACTGCCTGTAGAAAACATTTGAGATTTATTTAGCTAATTACAAGTATTTCTACAACAAATAGGATAATTTGACTAAGTACTCCAAAATGCCAATGGAATAATTGTCAAATGTCCCCCCATCGAGTTGGCCAAAAAGAAAAAAATTAAAAAGACTCAGAGAATCCTGACATATTTTTTTGTTTTTCTTGATAGAAATAATCAAAATTCTACAAAGATCCTAGTTATACTTTGCAAGGTAAAATGTCTGAGACAGATAAAATGTTACATATGAAAGACCATCCAGTAGATTGTTTTATTTTTTTGAAAGCCTTAAAAATTTAAAGCAGTTCACTATCTCTTTTATTCTAATTGCCCAATTACATACCTTTACTCAAGCATCACACTCCCTACAGTAAAATGGATTCCTCACAGTCCAGCCCCTGATTTCCACAAAATTAATTCAGATAAATACCTGTTAGGATATTTCTTTCAGTAATGTAATGAGGTCAAACACTAAAAATATAATGCTTTCAAAATGGAAGCTCTCAGACTAGATGTTCTTACCGCTCAATCTAAGTGTCATGTGTTATATAAACATGTAAAACTCACAATTGCCTTTGATTCCATTGTCTTCATCATTCCTCAGCTTCCATCTTCCAGAGATCATAAGAGAAAAAAGGCAAATAAAATTCAAAATATGTTGTGCCAAGAAATTTTTTCCATTAATTTTTAAACCCACGCATATGGCAAGGGAAATAAAATCCGTGTGTTTCCTGACTCATTTACACTTAATTCACCAAAATGTTCTTTTTAAAAAGAGAACTGACATCCTACAAGTCTTCTGAACCTATTTTCTTTGACATACTGTCCCATCTTGTCAACTCACAGCTCCCAAGGTTCAAGATTGGTTTACAGCTTTGAACCCATATGCTGAAAATAAGCTTGAACTTCACGAAACAAACATGCTTCGCTGTGACCCCTCTGAAAATAATTCCAGTTGAGCTTTGGGCATGACATTTTGTCACTTCTACTCTTCAATCTTGAGTTAGAGTGGGAGTAAATGAGGCAATGAAAGAAAAAAAAAGGAAGAGAAAAGAAACTAGAAGGAGGAGAAGGAGGAGGGGTAGGAAGAGAAAGAAAAGCAAAAGGAAATGATTAGTTAGCTTGGGATGGGATGAAGTAAAAAGAATAGTGGACCAGAAATAAGGAGACACCCTCTGGCTGCTCTTCCCAGCTCAGACACTAGCTAGGGTATATAGCTAGGTAAAAATGTTACCCATCCAGGCTGCGCCACAAACATTCATATTCATAAAAATGAGAAGGATCAGAATTTACAAACATGGTTGAGATGACTACTATGTTTCCTTCTGTCCCTGATAATTCTGTTACTTTCTGGGTTTATCCCTGGACATAAAGCAAATCAAAGTATTCAAGGAGTTTAGCAATCGTGAGGATTACCCCAAAGTGGACTTTCTTCTACCTCTAGTTAGGTCTCTGCCCTCTCCACTCCCCACAGGACCACAGAACATTTTCCTAACTCTTGTGTGCTCCAATTCCTCCAGCTTCATGTTCCTATTGATCCACTTCTATCTCATGTGCCTGGTGATTCATTTCTATTTCTTATTTCTATTGATCCATTTCTCTGAATCTTGAATCCTCTGCTTTGCTCTACAGTCCATTCTTGGACATGAATTGGTTCCTTTGGTCCTAGCATGGGATTTGGCCCCAGAATACCTTATGTAGTTTGCAGTTTCTGAACTCCTTCCTCTCTTCAGTAAGGAAACACCTGGTTCCTGGATCAAATGGCTGTAAAAGTCTGTGCTTATGTATCATGAGAATTGGCTCAGATTTAATTCATGCTTTAAGCTCTAAGCTAAGTGTAAAACTAGACAATCAAACATTAATCCATGATAGATTTTATTCAAATATTCTGGTCTAAAAACATATCCAATCCAGGGGAAAAGAAAAGTTACCTCCAGCCTACATATGTAAACATGTAGGAGCTTTTTAAGGGATATGTGTGTTTAGTATGTTTTACCTAAAAGGAAAGAAGGTCATAAGGTCACCAAAACTTCTGCAGAATATCATTTGCCCTTTTTCATGGAAATATTAGCCTACTGGTTTCTGCACAATAATTGATACAGATTGGTTGTTGTGGGGCTGTTTGTGCTGACCTTGACATTCTTTCCTTTAAGGCACATAGACTCAATATGATATGTATTTTAATCTCCTGAGTAATGTCTTCGCTTTCTAGAGACTCTATTTATGCTTGTGATGATTTTGATGTATTTTGGTCATTTCTCATGTTTATCACTTTAATGATTTTGTAACCATGTGTGTAAAAAGTAATTTGCCAAGTTTCAAACCCCTTGGAATTTCCTTAGTTTTTCATTTGGAACCAGGCTTAAGCTCTTCCAGGTTCTGTTTACTGCTAGCTAATGATGACTGCCTTATCCAAAAGGGGGAAAGACCTTTGAACATACATTAAAATGTGTGTATGATTTCTGAGACATCAAATAGCTGGAATAACAAGTCAACATTTTGATGAGTTAAGTGTAAATTAATTAAAGACATATGAACTAAATTCTCCTTGAAGCACAGATGATTTGAGAAACCAAAAAGTGCCTGGAAAAAAATATGGCTTTTATTTTTATGAACTCCCAAAGTTTGAAAAAGTAGCTGAAGATTAATTTCCATCTCTTATCAATCGTTGCTTTCGATTTTTAATAGATTATATCCTTTTATGTGTAGTTTTTAACCTGAATCATCTAAGCAACAAAAGTCCTACCTTTCTTTTCCTCTTTCTTGCTCAAGCATGGATGGGCATCAAGGGCAAGAAACTCATCTTCCAAAAGGTGAGAGTACTAATCTGATAAAGTAAATATCGAGACACTGTTCAGCCATGCTTTCCAGTGGATGAAACACTAGAAGTATAAATAAACCTATATGGTGCTCTTCTCTAGTCCTGTTTCCTTTATTCTGGCAAAGACACATTTTTGTACTATTACAGTGCTAAGTCTTGATGCTCTCTTGTAGACTTAGAAATGTCATAATAGGTGGCTCACGCCTGTAATCCCAACACTTTGAGAGGTTGAGATGGGAGCACTGCCTGAGCCCAGGCATTCAAGGTCAGCCTGGGCAACATAGCGAGACTCCATCTCTTACAAAAAAAAAAAAAATTATTAATTAGCTGAGCACGGTGGTGCATGCCTGTAATCCTAGCTCCTCAGGAGGCTACGGCAGGAGGATCCCTTGAGCCCAGGAATTCAAGGTTACAATGAGCTATGATCGCCACTGCACTGCAGCCTGGGTGACAAAATGAGATCCCATCTCTCAAAGAGATTAAAAAGAAAAAAAAAAAGAAAAGTCATAATGGCCTGTGTTAAGGCTGCTTTGACTCTGCTCTCTAGGCTTCCATTGGATCAGGCAAAAGGAAGGCTATGGGTGGTAAGGTGAACTCAGGAGATATTTTTCTTAGCCTTCTTTGAACATCTCTCTCTTCCAGGGATTTTATGGAAAGAAGTGATAAAGAAACCAATGTGCTGCACCCATTAACTCGTCATTGACATTAGGTATATCTCCTAATACGTGCAGCACACCAACATGGCACACGTATACATATGTAACAAACCTGCACGTTGCGCACATGTACCCTAGAACTTAAAGTATAATAATAAAAAATAAATAAATAATTAAAAAAAGAAACCAAAATAAGATTCTAGATCCCTAAACAAAAAAAGCAATGTATTAGTGAGCATTATATAGTACCCCATTATTATTACTTCTGACACTTAGAATATTATTACCAACATTCAAAGTTTCTCCTTTTAAAATTATTAAACTTTAAATGACAATAGAGAGAAAGGTATTTTCTATAAAACTTGGTTATCCCAATCATTTATTTTTCCATACTAAGTGTCCTTTGTTCACTTTTAAAAATAATAACAGTAATACATAATTGTTTATCATGGTACATAAATTATTGTAAAGGAAAATGTAATCACATCACCAAATCATATCACTAATAATAGTCATATCACTATTGATATAGGCAATTTTACTAGGCTAATACATTATTTGTGTGTGTGTGTGTGTGTGTGTGTGTATGAGTGTTTCTTGATGTTTGTCATGGGAAATAAAAAATAAGTTCATACTATACTACATGTTTTTTACTATTCTCAAAAGTCCATCCTAAAAATCTACCTAGTTCAATAGCTATAGCACAAACATATCTTTTCAAATGTCAGTTTAGTATTTTATATCATTGTTGACTGTGATATATTCAATCATTACATAATGAATGGACCCTCAGATCATTTCCAGTTTTTTGCTACACTGAAGAGTTTTGCTATACAAAGCCTTGCAACGTATGGCCTTGAATTCTGGGGCTTTGATCTATGCAGCGCTGATGCTCAAAAATGGGATGGCTCAGCCAAATAACAGGCAGCTCTCTATTTTATAAAAGGGCTAACTATATTACTATCCAAAAAGAAATGCAGAAATGTATTACCATGTCCATTTCTCCATATTTATTTTTGCAGATTTGATGAATGAAAATAAAAATTTTCAGAGGTATTTTCTATTTCATTAATTGTAGTTTTGTTTTGCTGAATTAGTGATAAGAATTTATTTCTATAATTTAAAATTATAATACTGATAATGAATTTTATAAAGAGAAAATTGTTAATGCAAAATTTAACACAAATGAAAAAGCCATGTGTTGACATGGGAAGAAATCCACCACAAACTAAGTAATATAATCAAGATGCAAAACAAAACTAATGAAATAAAAAATAAAAAATTTCTCATAGATGAATTCTCAAACAGTGCTCATGGTACTCTTTCTGGGCACTCTCTCTGGAGGGGAGGACTTTCACATTTCACTCCAAATATAGAGTTGTACTGTGTACATTTGTATGTGTATACTATTTTGTACCTAAATGTGATATAAAAACTTTAATTGATTAAAAAAAAACGAGCTGATGGCATACAGTGGTAATACTGTTTTCTCCAGAAAGTGAAACCTCTCTATTTTCTTACCTTGGTAGTACTAATATGTTTTACTGAATTTGACCTTGTTTCTAAAAACTGTCAGCCTCAGGCTAATATTCTCCAGAAAGGATTAATGTCTGTGCTAAATTCTTCTGGTTACTTAGTCCCTGACTCAATCTAATTAAGAGCCACTAGTGTAAGTCACATTACTCAGGTAAGAAAATCAACATCAGGAGTATGCTTCCAAGTGGAAAGATTGTACCTGTTAAAACAGCATTTCAATTGCCAAGTTGCTGTTCTCTTAAATGCCACTTTAGACACTAATATTTGTCAGACCTCTCTGACAACTTTTGACATGGGCCACGTGCTCACTGTTTAGCAATGACATGTATGTATGAGACTAATTTCTAAGTTGGTTCTGTGTTATAATTTTATTCTTTGAGAACATTATTGTCATTCGTAATTTTCTTACCAGGTGAAGTATGATTTGCTCTAGTTAATAATTTTAATCACTTAAGTTCAAAACACAATATCATAAACCAAAAAAAACACAACTTTATACTTTCTTCAACAAATTACACAAATATTTAAAGTTATGTCATACTGGTAAATGAATATATAGACAGATCAAAAAATGACTAGAAAGTCAAAAATAAACGTTATATTATATCTTATTATACCATATAATATATGACATGTTACTATATTACATAATAGCATATATAATAAAATTTATTTTTCAAATAAGGTAAAGGATGGATTATTCAATGAATGGTGTGATACAACTAGGTAACCATCTAGAAAAAAATTCAATCCCTATCTTGCCCCTTACACAAAAATAAAGACCAGATGAATTAAATATTTAAACATAAAAAATGATACTATGGAAGTGTAAATAAATAGCTTGAGAGAATTATTTTTTTTTAATTTATTTTTTTTGAGACGGAGTCTCGCTCTGTCACCCAGGCTGGAGTGCAGTGGCGTGATGTCGGCTCACTGCAAGCTCCACCTCCCGGGTTCACGCCATTCTCCTGCCTCAGCCTCCCGAGTAGCTGGGACTACAGGCGCCCGCCACCACGCCCGGCTAATTTTTTTGTATTTTTAGTAGAGACTGGGTTTCACCGTGTTCGCCAAGATAGTCTTTATCTCCTGACCTCGTGATCCGCCCGCCTCGGCCTCCCAAAGTGCTGGGATTACAGGCGTGAGCCACCGCGCCCAGCCAGGAGAATTATTTTTATAGTCTCAGAGTTGTATAGTCTTTTCTAATATGCCACAAAAACTAAGAAAGAATAGATAATTGATTAATCAGACTACATAACAAAACTTTTCTGCATATAAAAATACATTATAAACAAATGACGAACTAATTTTCAAAAGTAAAATGGCATGCCCAAAATTAAGAGCCAATATTCTTAATTCATAAAGAGTTCCTAAAAAATTACTAAATCATCCGGACACAGTGGCTCAGGCCTGTAATCCTAGCACTTTGGGAGGCAGAGGTGGGCAGATCACTTGAGGTCAGGAGTTCGAGATCATCCTGCCCAACATGGTGAAACCTCGACTCTATCAAAAATACAAAAATTAGCCGGCCATGGTGGTGGGTGCCTATAGTCCCAGTTACTCTGGAGGCTGAGGCATGATAATGGCTTGAACCCGGGAGGTGGAGGTTGCAGTGAACCGAGATCTTGCTACTGCATTCCAGCCTGAGCGATAGAGCAAGACTCTGTCTCAAGAAAAAAAAAAAAAAAATTACTAAATCAACAGATTGATAAAAAGAGAATAAGAACAAATGAAAATTCAAAAGGCTCTTAAAAACTTATACAACGTTCAACTTCACTCATAACAAGACAGATGCAAATGAAAGCTGTGAGACACCATCTTTTACCTCTCACTCTCAAAAATAAAGTTACAATCTCTTAGTAAAGGCAAAGGGAAACAGACATTCATGTTTATGTTGATAAGACTGTAAGAAAAATTCTGTTGCAAAGAATTTGGCCATATCTATCATAATAAAAAATATATTTGACCCAGCAATTTTACTTCTAAAAATTTGTTCTACAGATTAACCTGAACATATTCAAAATAACTTATATTGAAGGATATTCATTACAGCATTGTTTGCGAGAAAAAAAAAAAAAAACAAAACTAGAAACAACCAGTTGGGGTCCGGTTAAGTAAATCATCTTACTTCATTATATTTGAATACTATGCAGCCATTACAAGGGATGAGACTGCTCTATGGGTAGTGATACATACTGATAAATAAATATTAAGTAAAAAATGGAAGATACAGAAGAGTGTGCACAGTATGTTACAAACTGTCTTAAAAATAAAAAATACATATATGAACATGTAAAGGCATAGAGCACCCCTGGGAAGTGAAGATCTAAGACACAAGAAGGGATTATTTCTGTCAAGAGTAGCTGACTGCCTAAGGGACGTGGGCAGATAAAGGCTTGTCTTTTACTGTATACCTTTGTCATATTTTGAAGTGTATCCTTTCCCTAGGGAAGTATTCCTAGAAGGGGTTTTGCTGCAATTCAAGGGTACTCCCTCCCACTCCTACTCCAGTTATTGACTGGATGCAGAGGAGTAAGAGAAAGAAAGCTTTTCTAAATACTAAAATATTGGTCTACGTAGTAAATGCCAAACTGGGGAAACTCGGATCATAAAGTTTTACTACCATCCATAGCCTAGAGACAATGGGAGAATATGACCAAGGGGAAATTCCTATAAAACAGGAAGTGAAAGGAGGAAGACACTCTGGGGACTAGGAAGAGCCAAGGAAAAAAAGAAAATAAACAGAAGAGTGAGATTTTAGAGGTGAGTGTCCTCTCTGCTCTGGGAGGTCAAAACTCGAAGGAAATTCCAGGGCAGATTTTCTCATTTGGTTCATTTCTTTGGGCATAGCCCGAGAACATTTACATCTCTTAGAGAGTTCCCATGTGCGTCATAATGCCTGAACAACAGGAATCTGTCTCAGCAGTGGACTTAAGGTAGCACCATATCTTCCGGCCTGTTTATTGCAGGCTGGGGATTCAGATCATCCTACATGTTTCAATGGGAGGAAAGAAAAGTACAGAGAAAACTTGTGGACCTGGAAAAGACTGAGGTAGTGCTAAGGAGGCTACAAAGTACAGGGATCTTATGACCAGAGTCAAGATGAGAACCTTGAACTTCAGAAGTATATGCCAGTGCTATACCCAAAGGGGACCCAGCAAGACTAGTCACCTGCAGGGAGCACTAGCCCAGAACACCCAGCACAAGACCATTTCAGCCACCCTGCCATGGAGACTAGTGAGGAGCCAGAAGACAGGATTTCATAGACTTTGCCCCTGCTTTCACAAGAATGCATGCAAAGGCCAGCTTTCAGAACTATCGTTTTGCTGTGGCCTGAAAAGTATAGCTTGAAACTCCATGCTAAGCAATGACTTCTATGTTGTAGGTGGAATTTGTCCTCAATTCAAAGCAATGAATGGCTTCATACAATGGATAGGCAGTTATAAGACATAATTTATGGAAATTGTAAAATATGTTATTTTTAATATATTATTCCTTTTATATCAGTGTGTCATTTGTCTGTTGTAAATCACCTAAAATTCTATTAGTTATCAATAAAGTTATGTGTATACTCTTATTATAATAGTGTAAAAATCAATATATTTGGTCAATGAATAGGAAATATTATATATTTGCAAATGAGAATGGTATTTCCCCCTAAATATTTATTTGCTAGGAGGAAACTGCATAGGAAACATCAATACTTGTATTTGTTGGTATCCGCTCTTCTCTAACCTTGAACATCCAGCCAAGACTTCAATTAAATCTCCATTTTTAGCTTCACCGGCTCTGAAAGCATCAACATATCGTTTATCCAAAGCAAGGGCGTAGTGTGTATGTGTGTGTGTGTGTGTGTGTGTGCACGTGGTGTGTGTGTAAAAGTTATTTATCTAATGGCCACAAAAAAAAATCTTCAGGTAAAGCAGCAATCAACTATTTATAGTGCTTTCAAGTATATTTCCAAATATAATATGAATATTCTTGCAAGCTCCCAAAGTATTTCTTGCCTGTATATTCATCAAAGTGCTGGAAAATTACACAAGAGCAATCACATAAGGCAGTTAATATGGCTGGCAGCAACCCGACTGCTTTACTCCTCCCTCTATGATTAATTACAACTAAATTGATGTTACCAGCAATGATTAATTTACAACTTAGGTGCAAAGTAAATGAACTAAGCAAATTGGAATTGGCACTAACAATTTCTGAAGCCTCAGCAAAGAACCCACATCATGATAAGCTATTATGCACAGAAAACTTTCTCTCTAAAAATGGTTAAAATGCATAGGTGTAGTCATTGGTTTATTTTTAAATATAGGTATATTTTCTTAAATCTTCTCAAGCAAAGTTTAAATATCAAAAATAACCTTAGATTTTTATACTTGGATATACAGCAAATAAATGCATGGGAAGAAAAATGTCTCAAGTCTCATTTACCTAAAATAAATGCAAAATGTTTTCTTCTATCCCCATCTTTTAGCATTGGTTTTAAGACTTTAGATCAGGTTATATAGATAAAAGCCCACATGTGGCCCAATAGTGTGTATTCTGAGCCAGTTTTCTATTACCAAAAATGAAAAGAATTCTAATATTCCACAAAGCTGTTAAACAAAATCTAGCTGAGAAGCCCTGGCACACAGAGAGCTTCCTGTGAGATTGCCCAGTAGAGTTTCCAGTGGGTTCTCCTGAACAGAGCAACAGCAATCTAATAAGGGGTTCCTCCTCCTGACTGCTGCACCATTATATTTACTTATAGATCCAAGCACATAGGAGAACAAAAGCCTGAAGGATGGCATTATTTCCCCCAAATAAGCTGAGACACCAGTCCAGAAAATGTATTGATGATGACCGTGCACTCAAATGGAGTTGAGATGGAGCATGCAAATACATAATCTCTTTGCAGAGGGAGGGTAAAGTTTCAATCCATCAGATATTTTGAAGAAACACAGAAATGTAATTATGAGAGCCACTGAAATTCACCTACTCTTAACACATGATTTTTACTATAAGCAGCCTGGGGGCAATTGATTGACCCAGAAAGGGGCGGGGTAGGGGCCAGAACTAGGCTGTGGTTTGGAAAATGCTCTCTTCATTTAAAATCAACAATGTGTGTTCTCACCCTGCAGCACTTACAAAATTCCCAAATAACATCATTTAACCCAGTCAAATGCCTTTTTCTATTTCAAACAAGATTTTTTCAGAAGACATGTAACTCAGCTGAATTGGAGGGGATAAGCAGTTAAGCTTCCCAAAGATTTTTGCTTGCATTTCTCAAAGCAAAGACCATATTTTAGTTATTTATTTCAAACACATAGAATAGTGACACGTGGCATTAAGAGTTGCTTGGATCATTCTTAGTGCAATAACTATATGCTTTATTCTTTAAGATTCAGAATTGTTGGACAAGGAATGGTTAAGAATGATGAATTTTTAAAAAGAGAATATGACAGCTATCTTTATCATTTCTAATTAACATTTGGCCAGAATTTTTCACTACAAAGACACATGTACATCTTAATTAGGACATAAAATATTATTAACGTCTAATATTTCTTTTGGACAGTTAAAATTTTTTCAAGTGCCTTTCAGGTGACATTTCTTACACATTTGAAAAGATCTATTTTGATACTGTTAAAGAAAATGGCTTTATTAGCTGTAAACCTTAGGTTTGACCCTAAAAATACTAGAAGTGAGCTGACAAAAGCTGAAGTTAAGTGACTAAATAATTTTTTAAGAAATTTATGGCAATAGGTGGGATTACTCAGAGGAAAGGTGAGTAAGAGAGTAGAAAACAGAATCAGCCACAAAATGTGAAACTATCCAATAAATTAAATATCTTATTATTTTGCTAAAACAGATCCAGTTTTGAGCAAGGATGGATATTAAGCCTGACTTTCATATTTCACTGTGCAGGGTAGCACTCTCATCTCCTCCTCCCCTTCCACATTTGCCCATTCTAAGGGCTCTAATACTGCCCACCTCCTTACGTGTATTACTTGAGCACCTGAAGCACTCTTTGTCAGCTTTTTGTGGAAAGCTTGTCTAAGTTCAAAGCAAAAACTAGGAACTTTTCTTCAAAAGCTTGGCTATACTTTTATTTCAATATCTTCAGATTAAGAAGAAAAACTTTCTGAACAAGAAGGGTCTTGTTCCTTTTATCATGTACCATGGATACTTGCTCTTAATTTAATTCCCTTTATGACCACATTTGTGTGGCTCTGTTTTCAAGGAATTCAGCTAAGTGAACAAAAGACAGAGAGCACTATTAGGAAATTTAAAGTCTGGTTTAAAAAAAAACAAAAAAAACCCAAAAACCTTGACATATACAGGTATACCTCAGAGATATTGCAGGTTTGGTTCCAGACAACAATAAAACGAACGTAGCAATAAAGTGAGTCACCCAAATTGTTTTGGGTTCCTAATGTATATGAAAGCTATGTTGATACAAATGCACTGTGCAATAGCATTGTGTCTTAAAATATATATGTATACCTTAATTTAAAAATAATTTATTGCTAAAAAAAAAAAACAATGATCATCGGAGTCTTCTGCAAGCCATAACCTTTTTGCTGGTAGAGGGTCTTGCCTCCATGTTGATGGCTGCTGACTGATCAAGGTGGTGGTTGCTGAAAGGTGGAGTAGCTGTGGCAATTTCTTAAAATAAGATGGCAATGAAGTTTGCCACATCAATGGACCCTTTCTTTCCCAAAAGATTTCTCTGTAGCATGCAATGTTGTTTATAGCGTTTTACCCACAGTAGAACTTCTTTCAAGATTGTAGTCATATGTTTCAAAACCTGCAGCTGTTTTATCAACTAAGTTTATGTAATATTCTAAATCCTTTGTTATCATATCAATGATGTTCACAGCATCTTCACCCAGAGTAGATTCCAACTCAAGAAACCACTTTCTTTGCCCATTCATTAGAAGCAAATTTTTCATCTGTTCAGGTTTGATTATGAGATTTCAGTAATTCAGTCACATCTTCAGTTTCCACTTCTGGCCTCTTGCTATTTCCACCACATCTGCAGTTACTTCCTCCACTGAAGCCTTGAAGCCCTCAAAGTCATACATTTGAATTGGAATCAACATCTTCCAAACCGCCATTAATGCTGATACTTTCACCTCCCCTCATGAATCACAAATTTTCTTAATGACATTTAGAATGTATACTTTCCGGAAGTTTTTCAATTTACTTTGCCCAGATCCATCAGAGGAATCATTATCTACAGCAGCTATAGCCTTAAAAAAAATGTATTTCTTAAATAAGTCTTGAAAGTTGAAAGCATTCCTTGATCCATGGACTACAGAATAGATGTTGTGTTAGTAGGCAGGAAAACAACATTAATTGTTAATTTCCTTATACAACTCCATCAGGACTCTTGGGAAATGAGATACGTTGTCAATGAGCAGCAATATTTTGAAAGAAATATTTTCGTCTAAGCAGTAGGTCTCAACAGTGAGCTTAAAATATTCAGTAAACCATGTATAAACAGATATGATGTCATCCAGGCTCTCTGGCTTCATTTATAGAGCACAGGCAGAGTAGATTTAGCAAATTCTTAAGGGCCTTAGGATTTTCAGAATGGTAAATGAGCATTGGCTTCAACTTAAAGTCAGCAGCTGCATAAACCCTAACAAGAGAGTCACTTGTCCTTTGAGGATTTGAAGCCAGGCATTGCCTTTTCTCTAGCTGTGAAAGTCCTAGATGGCATCTTCTTCCAATAGTAGGCTGTTTCATCTACACTGAAAATCTGACTAGTGTAGCCACCTTCATCAATGATTTTAGCTAGATCTTCTGGATAACTTATTGCTTCACCTTGCATGGTTACTTTCATATGTTATGGAGACAGCTTCTTTATTCAAATTTCATGAACCAACCTCTCCTAGCTTCAGATCTTTTCAAATCTGAATGTTCCTCATCTCTCTCAGCCTTCATAGAATTAAAGAGAGTTAGGGACTTCCTCTGGATTAGGCTTTGGCTTAAGGGAATGTTGTGGCTGGTTTGGTCTTCTATTCAGACCACTCAAAACTTCATATCAGCAATAAGGCTGTTTCACTTTCTTATCATTCATGAGTTCACTGGAGTAGCATTTTGAATTTCCTTAAGAAACTATTCCTTTGCATTCACAGCTTGGCTAACTGGTTTAAGAGGCCCAGCTTTTGGCCTATCTCAGCTTTTGACATGCCTTGGTCACTAAGCTTTATTATTTTTAACTTCTGATTTAAAGTGGGAGGCATGCAACTCTTCCTTTCACTTGGACACTTAGAGGTCATTTTCAGGTTATTAATTGGCCTAGTTTTAATATTATTGTGTCTCAGGGAATAAGGAGGCCCTAAGTAGGAGGGAGATGAGGATCAGTTGGTGAGTGGAGCAGTCAGAAGACACACATTTATTAAGTTTGCCATCTTATATGGGTGTGGTTTGTGGGCCCCATGACAATTACAATAGTAATATCAAAGATTATTGATTATGAATCACCATAACAGATAAAATAATGATGAAAAACTTGAAATATTGCAATAATTATCAATATGTGACATAAAATGAGAAAATGCTGTTGGAAAAATTAGGCCAACAGATTTGATCTATGCAGGGTTGCTACAAACCTTCAAATCTTTGTAAAATCTGAGAAGTGCAATAAAGTACAATAAAACAAAGTATGCATGTATACAAATTGGAAAACATGCAAGTTCTATAAAGAGGCACACACAACACTGCACAAACAGTGTTCTTTGTGTCATTCAGGTGGCAAAGCAAATAGCGGTCGTAGATCCAAAATGTTACAATCTGGCTCCTCCTAATCTGGAATTTATTTTTTAAATGGAATGAGAGCCTTCTTCTTCAAGATGCACACACATTATCATATTTTTCTATTTATACAGCACGATAATTCATGCCTTTTTAATGATAAAAGGAAGAATTAAAGAGAGAAAATATTACACAAGTGTATAGTACACCTTTGGCTATTTAAGCCACATGATTGGAGGGAGAGTGAGTTTGATGTTTCACATCTATTTTATAGCACATGTGGCTGTATTTATGCAAAGCCCATGTACTACATTCTTAGGATGCTTACTTTGTTCTAAGTCACAAATATAATTTTAGGAAATAGATGAAACTGAAAAATAAGTAAGCCAACTGATAAACGTTGTTTCCTTTCCTTCGACACTACTGTAATCATGTTATCCACCGGTTAACGTATTTTTTGACTAATATAGATTCATTTATTGACTTTCAGAAATATTTTGTAATTCAGTTGTAGATAGTTTTTGTTAATTAAGGGTCATAGATCTTAGCCTAGTTAAGACATTAAGATTGGTACTACTCTTCCTTTAAAATGTACCATAACTTGTGCTTCTTCAAAATCGTTGCCAAGCTTAGGTGAACATTTTCTCAGGTGTACATGAGCTTTCTGCTATAGTAAACCTCCCAGCCTAGTGTTTACAGATCTTTTTTCTCATTTTTCAGCTACTTCTGGTTTTCAATCGTTGTCTCCCTCTTTCCTGTGCTAAACTGCAAACTCTGGAAGAGCAAGCAGGCATTATTTCACTTCCACAGTGCATTGAGTACCAAGAACACTGAGGGCACTTATTCTCAAATAGGTATAATGTGGATTCACAAACGTCATACAAAATCATCCTCCTCTAACATTATTATGACAATTCCCTCTAGCTCTAGGTACAATGGAGGGAGAAACAATAATTTATAAAAATAAGTAGAAGAAAGAATTTTCCACCATTCCTGAGGCATTAATAATGTCTTCTAGCATGTGAATGCGTGTCCACGACTCAGTATGTGTCACTTCCTGCTAATTCATTGAGCGGGTCCAGCATTTCAAGTATAAAACAAAAGACACAATTGAACCTTCCAGAGTCTTTGACAGAGTGCCCTACTCCCTTTCTCAGAAGTACCTCAGTACTCCCAAGGCTTCTTGCCATAGCCATGTCTCAAGCAATTGTTTTAAGCTGTTTAATTAATAAAGTCACTTAAAGGAATCATTGTGCTCATGGATACTACTTATTAAACTTAAGATAACCAACTAGATTTAATCCCTGAGTTCAAGGAGAGGTTAACATGCAGCCCTTTAGTCTTCCTAGCTAAAATAAAGACCAAGACGGCAACAGATAGCTAAATCAGGTTTCCCGCTTCCAGGCATCGAAATGCTCACGGAAGAAAAAAAAAAAAAAAAAAAAAAAAGTCATACCATTTAAAAACAATTAACTTCCATACAAAAATAACTCCATACTTCCAAAATGAGAGTTTTATAAATGAATTAACAGGTCTAAACAACAACAGAACAAAAGCCTGATCTGCAAACTAGAGAGTATCATTCAATTTATTCTTTTTTTCATTCACATATACATAAAAGATGCGAGGCTATTAATAAAATAGAAATTAATTTTAAGAGTCTGAAGATTTTAGAAAACATTACTATGTTTCCCTATTAAGTATTGCCTGAACAATTTGTGTTTGCCTTCCTTGAGATCTTTTTTTTTTTTTTTTTTTTTGAGACAGAGTCTCGCTCTGTCTCCCAGGCTGCAGTGCGGTGGCGCCTCTCTGCTCACCGCAAGCTCTGCCTCCCGGGTTCACGCCATTCTCCTGCCTCAGCCTCCCAAGTAGCTGGGACTACAGGCGCCCGCTACCACACCCGGCTAATTTTTTGTATTTTTTAGTAGAGACGGGGTTTCACCATGTTAGCCAGGATGGTCTCAATCTCCTGACCTCGTGATCCGCCCACCTCGGCCTCCCAAAGTGCTGGGATTGCAGGCGTGAGCCACCACGCGCGGCTGAGCTCTTTATTTTTTTTCCTCAACTTTTACTTTAAATTACAGGGTACATGTGCATGATGCGCAGGCTTGCTACATAGGTAAGTGTGTGCCATGGTAGTTTGCTACACAGATCAACCCATCACCCAGGAATTAAGCCCAGCATCCATTCGCTATTCTTCCTGGTGCTCTCCTTCCCCCCTCCCCCACTGACAGGCCCCAGTGTGTATTGTTTCCCCCAGTGTGTCCAGGTGTTGTCATCATTCAGCTCCCTTTTATAAGTGAGGACATATGGTGTTTGGTTTTCTGTTCCTGGGTTAGTTTGCTGAGGAAAAACAGCTTCCAGATCCATCCATGTTCCTGCAAAGGACATGATCTCATTCCTTTTTGTGGCAGCATAGTATTCCATGGTATATATGTACCACATTTTCTTTATTCAGTCTATCTTGATGGGCAATTGGGTTAGTTGATTCCATGTGTTTGTTATTAAACTAAAGAGCTTCTGCACAGCAAAATAAACTATCATCAGAGTGAACAGACATCCTACAGAATGGGAGAAAATTTTTGCAATCTATCCATCTGACAAGGGTTTAATATCCAGAGTCTACAAGAAACTTAAATTTACACACACACAAAAACAAACAACCCCATTAAAAAGTGGGCAAAGGATATGAACACACACGTCTCAAAAGAAGACATTCATGTGGCCAAAAAACATATGAAAAAAAGCTCAACATCACTGATCATTAGAGAAATGCAAATAAAAAACCACAATGAGATACGATCTCACTCCAGTCAGAACGGCAATTATTAAAAAGTCAGAAAACAACAGATTCTGGTGAGGATAAGGAGAAAAAGGAATGCTTTATACTGTTGGTGGAGTGTAAATTAGTTTAACCCTTGTGGAAGACAGTGTGGTATTCCCCAAAGACCTAGAGGCAGAAATACCATTTGACCCAGCAGTTCCATTACAGGGTACATACCCAAAGAATTATAAATCATTCCGTTATAAAGATATATGCATGCATATGTTCACTACAGCTCTTTATTTTCTTAACAATCTATGATAAACTTTCTTACATTCTATTCTTAAGTTTTTTTGGCTTTAGATTCCTAAGGTATTTTATTTTCTGTTACATAAGGTGTTCTAGAGTTCATACTCAAGTATGAACTTTCAGAGTAAATTTCTGTAAGTTTACTAAAATATTTTCTGCAATCAGAATGTAAAACTGTACACATTGTTTTATTTATTCATTGTATTTAACAATTTACCAGTCATCTGCAAAATTCCAACCTACTACATTATTTGAAAATATGTACTACTCATTTGTTATAATTCTAGCATATGCTCTTCCTTCATTTACAATTTATTTTTATGTAATTAAAGTATTGACTATGGCAATGGAGGCAGATTAACATTTTAATATAATTGAAAGCCAGGTTTTTAGAAATAAGGAAGAAAGAAGCAGTCTATTCTTCCCTTTCTTTTCTCACCAACCTGTAAGAGTATTTAGGGTCCTGGAACAGTATCTTGGTTTTAACTACCTAAAGATCTAATGCTGAAGATGCTATTGCCCTGATTGCTCCATGCAGCCTTTCACACATAACAGTAAATTGGCCCCACATCTACCCATTCATGATCTACAAGTCAATTGACTCTTCTTTTTTTTTTTTTTTTCTTTTTTTTTAACAATCTCATCAGTAGATGATTATATTTTTCTTTTGGTAAAGAAGAACCAACCCCACCTTTCAGTTCAGTTAAGAAGCTTTTTGCTCTTCCATCCAAATGGGCTTTCTTGGACAGGAGTTTTATCTTGAATACCAAAATGCTTCTGTCCCAGAAACCAGGAAATAGCCATAACAAAGTTCTGGGTACTAGACTTTTAAAGTATAGGGACTAATAAATTCACTAACTTTCCCATCTTTCTTCTCAGCTCCTGCTCACAATGCTCCTAGAGATTGGTAACAGCAATTTCCAATGTCCTAATGCTAGACAAAACTTGACTGACTCTTGCCAGTGTCCTTCTTGGAATCGGAAGTGAGATAAATCCAGTTTGGGGGAAGCCATTTTTGAAGCAGGCAAAGCTAGCCTTCAAAGAGGGAAAGAAGACTCAGCTTCAGAGAGATAGTGCTATGGATTAAATGGTTTGTTCACTCAAAAATTGATGTTGAAACTTAATCCCTCCAACATTCTGGTGTTGCCAATGTGGTAGTACCAAGAAGTCTGGCCTTTAAGAAGTAATTTGGCCATGAGGGCTGCTCCCTCATTAACGGAATTAAGTTTCTTTTAAAAGAGGCTTCATGCAGCACAGTGTTCACCTACTTTTCTCTTCCCCATTTCTGCCATGTGAGGACACAGCATTCCCCTCCTCCAAAGGATGCAGCTTTCACCAGACACCAAATGGTGGTGCCTTGGTCTTGGATTTCCAGGCCCCAGAAGTGTGAGAAATAAATGTCTGCTCTTTATAAATTACCCACTCAATAGTACAGTAGTCCCTTCCTCATCCACAAGTGATACATTCCAAGACCCCCAGTGGATGCCTGAAACCACAAATAGTACCGAACTTTATATACTGTTTTTTCCTCTCTATACATACATGTTAAAGTTTAATTCATAAATTAGGCACAGTAAGAGATTAACAATAAATAATAATAAAGTAGAAAAATTATAAGAATATAATTTCACCAATAGAAGATTCATTCTTACTGTAGATCTTAGCAAGCTCAGCATATTAAGAACTTTCATCTTTTCACTTAAAGGAAGCACTATATGGCTTCTCTTTAGCAAATCCTAATTTCTAGCTTACTACTTTTGCACTTTGGGGCCATTATTAAGTAAAATAAGTATGACTTAAACACAAGCACTGGGATACTGTGACAGTTGATGTGATAAGAAGATGGCTACTAAGTAACTAACAGGCAGGCAGCATAGACGGCATGGACGTGCTGCAGAAAGGGATGCTTCACGTTCAGAGTGGGATGAAACAGAACGGCATGAGATTTCATCACACTACTCAGGATGGCATGCAACTTAAAGTTTATGAATTGTTTATTTCTGGAATTGTCAATTTAATATTTCCAGACTGTGGTTTATCATGGATAACTGAAACCATGAATAAGGAGGTACTGTGTCCGGAAATGGTGGGTTCTTGGTCTCATTGACTTCAAGAATGAAGCCGCGGACCCTCGCAGTGAGTGTTACAGCTCTTAAGGTGGCGCCTCTGGAGTTTGTTCCTTCTGATGTTCGGATGTGTTCGGAGTTTCTTCCTTCTGGTGGGTTCGAGGTCTCACTGGCTCAGGAGTTAAGCTGCGGACCTTGGCAGTGAGTGTTACAGCTCTTAAGGCAGCACGTCTGGAGTTGTTCCTTCCTCCTGGTGGGTTCGTGGTCTCGCTGGCTTCAAGAGTGAAGCTGCAGACCTTCACGGTGAGTGTTACAGCTCATAAAGGCAGTGTGGACCCAAAGAGTGAGCAGCAGCAAGATTTATTGCAAAGAGCAAAAGAACAAAGCTTCCGCAGTGTGGAAGGGGACCCCAGTGGGTTGCCACTGCTGGCTCTGGCAGCCTGATTTTATTCTCTTATCTGGCCCCACCCACATCCTGCTGATTGGTCCATTTTACAGAGAACCGAGTGGTCTGTTTTGACAGGGTGATGATTGGTGCGTTTATAATCCCTGAGCTAGACACAGAGGTTCTCCGACCCCACTAGATTAGCTAGATACAGTGTCCACACAAAGGTTCTCTAAGTCCCCACCAGAGTAGCTAGATACAGACTGTCGATTGGTGCATTCACAAACCCTGAGCTAGACACAGAGTGCTGATTGGTGTGTTTACAAACCTTGAGCTAGATTCGGAGTGCCGATTGGTGTATTTACAATCCCTTAGCTAGACATAAAGGTTCTCCAAGTCCCCACCAGACTCAGGAGCCCAGCTGGCTTCACTCAGTGGATCCTGCACCAGGGCTGCTGGTGGAGCTGCCTGCCAGTCCCACGCCATGCGCCCACCCACGCTCCTCAGCCGTTGGGTGGTGGATGGGACTGGGCACTGTGGAGCAGGGGGCGGAGCTTGTCGGGGAGGCTCCACTGCACAGGAGCGGAGGGCGGGGGAGGCTCAGGCATGGTGGGCTGCAAGTCCCGAGCCCTGCCCCACGGGAAGGCAGCTAAGGCCCAGCGAGAAATTGAGCACAGCAGCTGCTGGAACAGGTGCTAAGTCTCTCACTGCCCAGGGCCAGTGGGGCCAGCCCGCCCCTCCGAGTGCTGGCCCGCCGAGCCCACGCCCACCCGGAACTCGCGCTGGCCCACAAGCACCGTGCGCAGCCCCAGTTCCCATGGGCGCCTCTACCCCCACACCTCCCCACAAGCTGAGGGAGCTGGCTCCGGCCTTGGCCAACCCAGAAAGGGGCTCCCACAGTGCAGCGGTAGGCTGAAGGGCTCGAGTGCCGCCAAAGAGGGAGCCCAGGGAGAGGAGGCACTGAGAGCGAGTGAGGGCTGCCAGCACACTGTCACCTCTCAGTACAACTGGATTCTGTTGTAGCAGCATCAAATGAACTAAGAGAGATGGTATTGCCATTTTCCTTGGCTTCCCTGACAGATTTTATGCTTTCCAATCTCAGTCTCTCATGAAGCTCAACTTTGTTTACTTCCATTGGATTCAATGAGACACCTTGTAGTACCCCTCTTCTGTGAAGACTAGCCCTAGAAGCAACATACAGCCATTTTCTTCCAAGCTCTGTCACATTCTTGGGAGACAACACAGCAGCCGTAATTATGTGCTCAGGGAATTTCAAGTATGGCCATTTCTTAGTCTTCAGAAAAAAATATCTGTTCCCTTTCTCATCTCTTCTGTCATCACTGTCTCCTCAATAATACCAACTTCTCTCTTCCCATTCTAGGTCACCCTACCATGAACCTCTCAAATGCCTAAGCTTTCTAAACTGAAAAAAAAAAAACAAAAAAAAACAAAAAAAAAACAAAAAAAAAACAGGAAGAGAACTGACCTCAGGCTGTTTCTGCTTTGACCCTGCAACTAAACCATGCTAAGGCAGGGAAGACAAAATGCAACTATTTTCAGGATTGGCAAGGGGAAAAATAGAAAACAATGTGAATTACTATCAACAAACTATATAACTTTGATAGTTTAAGTATATATCTGTTACTTGCAAATGAAAAATTATTGACTAAGGGAAAAGATTATTGAAAATAACTAATGGCAGTTTTCACCGCACCATTACCAGAGTCAAGTCTGATGAACAAAGTGGGGTTCAAGACGGGTAATTCTGTTTGGGGTCCAAAATGAGCTGTAACTCTAAAGTAATTAAACTGACATTAATAATGACTTGCAAGCTGCCTCTTAAATCAATTCCAAACCATGGAAATAATTATATAGCTACCTAAAACTACTAAAATCAATAGATTTTATTTGAATATAAAATTGCAGGTGATATGCTTATGCTCCTTTTCTTTTCAATAGTTGCATAATGTCACATCTCACTCACTATTCAACAAATGTTTGTTGAATTCCTATGTGCCAGAAACTATTCCGGGCACTAGGGAGACTTTGATGAATAAAACAAGAAAACAAATAAACAAAAAATGCTTGCCCTCATGGAGCTTACATTTCCATGGATGGCAACAACAAAAAACAAAATAATCAAATCATATATCATGTTGCATGTTGTTAAGTGCGATGGAGAAAAATGATTCAGAGCAAGGAGCAAGGTTAGAGGAGTCGGGACAAGAGACGAAGGTCTAAATAGAGGATGTCTCATCACAGTGACATCTGAACAAAGAGATAAAAGAGATGAGGATTAAAAACCATGAAGAGTATTTTAGAAAGAGATCAGTAAGAGTGGACATGTGTTACATTTTGGGCAGCAAGAAAGCCAAGTGGCTGGAAAGGATCAATAATCCATTTACAGATGAGTAAGAGTCCACGTCAAGCATATCTGGGGCAAGAAGATTGGGATTTAAATTCTGGATACATTAAGTTTTCATACTTAGTAGACAATCAAGTAGTATTAGTCTAAAAATCAGGATTGAGCTACAAACTAAAAATTTTGGGAGCCATGATTCTATAAATATTCTATAAAATATTCAGATTTTGATTTTATGTCCCAGACTTAAATTCTGTAAGTTATCAACTAACTTACAGAATTTAGTCTAATAGTGATACAATTTCTGTTCAATAGAAAACTTGGTCTATTATCCTGCAAAATATTAACCCGTTTTGTTTCTAACCCTGAAACTTATTTTGCAATGTAAATCTGATGCTAAATCTGGAGCTAGTGTAGACTTCACAGGTTGAGGGCACAGTCCTCCATTAGACTCTTTTTACTTCAGACACTTGCTGCATTCTCCAAGGTTGCCAGGTCACCCTCACTTATGACCAGCTGGCTACAAGTGTGGAGGTTCCCACTATCTCATAAGATTTGATAATTGCTAGAATGACTCACAAAACTCAGAAAAGCACTATATTTACAATTACAGTTCACTATAATGGATACAGGTCAGGACCATCTAAATGAAGAGACACATAGGCAAACACAAACACAAAATTTCTTTGTCCTCAGGATGCATCACCCTCCTGGCACATAATTGTGTATCATCAATCAGGGAAGCCCACCCAAGTTTTGATGTCCAGAATTTTTATTGGGATTTCATTACACAGGCATTGTTGATTGAATCATTAACCATGAACTCAGTCTCTAGCTTCCTTCCACTCTTCAGAGGTCAGGTTGATGTCATCTGGCTCAAAGCCCCAACCTTCTAATTATGGGGTGTGTCTTTGTAGAATGACCAGCCCCTGTACCATAAATGTCTAGGGGTACACCATGAGTCACTTCATTTGCATAAATTCAGGTGTGGCCCTAGAGGCTCACCGTGAATAATAAAGACTCTCTTGCCATTCAGGAGTTTCCAGGGTTTATAAGCTCTCTCAGGAACCAGGGACAAATATCAGATGAATTCTTTATTATGCAACATATCCCATATTAAATTGCTAAAATATATAGCTCTTCAAATATTTATTGAACTAGCTTTAACATCTTACTGGTTCCCTCATTAATAAGGGTGATAAATGTTGAAGATGTATTCATTATATATTTGCATAAACTCATGAGTTTTTGAAAATTAAACATTAACAGTAGCATTAAATGAGATAACCAACAGAGTAAATCAAGAAGAGAGATGGTCCGATGAATGACCCTTCAGCACCCCAAATTAAGATTTAAGAGATAAGAGGCAATCAGCAAAGTCGTCATGACCCAGGAAGAAAACCAAGAGAATGTGCACAGCTGGAACCCAAGCAAAGAATGTAGTTCATAGAAATGAATGATCAGCTATGTTGAATGCTGCTGATACATCTAGTTAAATGAAGACTGAAACATCCTCATTGGATTTGGCAACTTAATGGTCACTGGTGATCATGAAAAGAACACTTTTGAAAATGGGGAGGTAAAGAACATTTGGGCTGGGCACAGTAGCTCACACCTGTAATCCCAACACTTTGGGAGGCTGAGGCAGGCAGATTACTTGAGGTCAGGAGTTCGAGACCAGCCTGGCCAATGGGGTGAAACCACGTCTCTACAAAAAATACCACAAAATTAGCCTGGCATGGTGGCACACACCTGTAGTCCCAGCTACTCGGGAGGCTGAGACAGGAGAATTGCTTGAACCCAGGAGGCGGAGGTTGCAGCAAGCCAAGATCACGCCACCGCACTCCAGCCTGGGATACAGAGTGAGACTCTGTCAAAAAAAAAAAAAAAAAAAAAAATTGGAGTAGGTTTAAGAGAATGATGAAACAATTCATTATTATTCAGCCATTAAAAAGAAATGAAGTATTAATGCATGCTGCAACATAGCTGAAAATTGAAAATATTATGCTAAGTGAAAGATGTCACACACAAAAAGGTCACATATTATATGGTTCCATTTATGTGAAATATACAGAATTGGTAAACATATAAAGAGGGAATACAGATTAGTGGTTTCCAGGGTCTAGGAAAAGAGGTAATGGAGAGCCACTTCATTAAGAAGGACCTAGAATTTTCTTTGGGGCTGATAAAAATGTTTTTGGAACTAGACAGAGGTGGTGGTTGCATAATATTCTGAATGCAGTAAATGCCACAAAATTGTTCACTTTAAAATAGTTAATTTATATTAAGTGAATTTCACTTCAGTAAAAATAAGAAAGAGAGAATGAATGGAGTGAAGCTGGAGAGAGTGAGTATAGACAGGCTCCTTATAAGAGATTTACTGTAAGGGAAATCAAAAAGTAAGCTAGAGGGATGTGGGGTCAAGTGAGGGTGTTTTATTTTACTTTTTAATGGAGGAAATAAGAGTGTTTGTAGGCTGATGGAAATGTCCCCATACAAGGGGAAAAAATGGATAATGCAGAAAAATGAAGAGAGATAAAGAATTATTCTATTTTCCATACATTTTGTTTTCATTAAAATGCCAAAAAAAGAAGCATGCCTTTCAAAATCCTCTTATGTAATATTAAGCCAAATATTGCTGGTGTCTAATCCTAGCTCTGCCACTATCTTGTTCTGTGTCTTCATAAAGTCTCCCAAATCCTCAAAAATATAAAATGAAAGAACTGAACTAGACTATCCTTAAGTATCCTCTCAGTCCCAAAGTTCTGTATTCTCTAATATTCACTGATTTATTATTAGATCTAAGAATAGCTTTATAAAGCCTGCTTTCTCCATGTTCATATCATTGGACCTCCACAAACTTCCTATAAAAAAATTCAAAGTGATACTGATTTATAGCAGATTAAAGGAAGAGAACCACACAAGATGAGCAAAGAACTCAAGACAAACTAGATGCAATCAGAGACATCTGGGTGGATTTACCACCACAGCTTAAAAACATCTGGGCAATGTTAGTACTCCAGTTCTGGAAATCATACATTCCTAAGTCTGACATTATTTTGGATGAGTAACTTGTATCCTTAAGCTACAGATGCCTCATCTTGGCAAGAAAACCTAATAAGCACAGGAAAAAGCACAAGAGGAAATAAAAAATCAGAACATTTCTAGCATGCAATAGTGGAATATCTTAATGCAAAAAGTTAGATCTAAATACTAATTATGTGGTTTTGATCTATAGTCTACAGATATTTGATAACCTACTGACACATCAAACTCAATTTGCCTGAACCCAAAACATTACATTTCCCACAATCCTGTTCCATGTGATTTGCCAATCTTCATTGCTGTTCTCACCAGTAGCCAGGTTCAAAACTCAGGAATCATTTTTGACGCTTTCTTCCTTTTTAAGCCCCTTTCCTACATCTAGTCATTTGTTGAAGCCTGTTAATTTCTATCCCTATCTCATTTCTGGCTCCCTTTTCACAGTATTACTGCTACTCTCCTTGCTGACTGCATGCTGCCTGTATCCCAGACCGCCACAAGCTTTTCCTAACCACTCTATCTGCTCCCCACATTCCAGTTCATACCACTTTGCCAATAAATCCTCCTGGTTGGCAAAACTAATCTTTGTAAAACTGTGCTCAAGAAGACTCAATGTCTGTCCCCAGTGAAATTCAGATCACAGATGGAATTGAGCACCAATGCCTAAAGCTCAAAGACAAATCTTGAAATGTGGCCTGATCCTTATTTCTCATATGCCTGGATAAGCACCTTAACCACCTCCAAAATGAATGTATTCACATTCATATCTTGGCATGATAATAATGGTTTTTTTTTTTTTTTTTTTGATTCAAGGTCTTACTCTCATATTCTTGTTGCCAGGCTGGAGTGCACTGGTGTGATCTCAGCTCACTGCAGCCTTGACTTCCCAAGCTGGGGTGATCTTCCCACCTCAGCCTACTAAGTAGCTGGAACTACAGGTGTGTGCCACCACACCCAGCTAATTTTTTTAATTTTTGGTAGACACGGTTTTGCTATATTGCCCAGGCTGGTATCAAACTCCTGGGCTTGTCAAGCAATCCACCTGCCTCGGACTCCCAAAGTGCTAGGATTACAGGCATGAGCCACTATGTCTGACTTGATAATAGTTCTTAAAATATATTCTTGTCTCTTTTTTTTTTCTATCTAGTGTAATTACTTATTGAGAAGAAGCATTCATAATCAGGGAGAGGATTCAGATAACTACAGCAGAACTGTAAAGAGAAAGAGTCACTGCTCAGTTTTGATGTCAAAGCTGGGTCAGAAAGACACAGAGGGTAAAGGCCTTAAAATTAGAAGCTCTGGAATGTCCTTGCTCTGACCTTGGCCCACAAGAAATAGCATGACTGCACTTTTCCCATCAGGTGCTAAATAAACCTAAAAGAAGGACCCTTTTCCGAGAAAGCACTGTATGATTTTGGAAGGAAGAATATAAGTCCCTTGAACAGGCAGGTAAGACCAACAAAGGTCAACTCTAGAAACAGAAGATAGCAAAATTATCCTTTAAGGAGGTTGGTTTTGTTACCTGCAGGGCACATGGTTTTACTTCACTGGATCTACCCTACAGAATCTCCAATAAATTACACACAGGTAACCAATGCTTTTGGAGCCTTTTGGCTTTCTTAATGACATTCGAAGAGGTGCTGAAGACAGTATCAATGTTGTCACACAATGAAATCAGTGATATTTTCATCTGACAACCATATGCTTAGATTGCTGGAATTTATCCTTGAAAGAAAGGAAATGACAAACTTCTAGGAGGTCATGTTATAGTATTGTTTATGAACAATGCTCATAATGGTATATAATTTGGGGTTTCATTGTTTAGTATTGCTCTGTAAGTTAGCTGGAAAAATTACCTCTTCTGGAGGTAGTGCTGAGATACAATAAACACCAATTATTAGAAACAAAAAGAATTGTTAATGTCCCCTTGTCACACTGGTTAAAAAGTTCTTAGTTGTTCAAATGTAGATAAAATAAACTATGGAGAAAGGCTGTGAGACAACCACTTATGAAACCGAAAAAAAAAAGATTAGCATTCATAAAATACTATAAATTTAATTATTTTAGCACTTAGTCAAATTGGTATACAAATTATGAAAAAGAAAACAGACATCAAACTACAAAGGTCAATTATTATAAACCAGTTGACTAACCCTATTGACCTGTTACTAATAATTAAAGGCAATTGAGCTAATCCAAGCTTTTTTAAAAAAAATATAGAAAATTTAAAAACACGGTAAGGCCTAAATTGTGGTTCTGACTCTGAACACTGACATAGCACTTGAGATTTTTAAAATATATTTTATTCTTAAAGAAACTCCAAAAACTATCTAAGAAAGATGTTATCTGCCCCATTTGATAAAGGACCGAATTGAGAGCAGGAAGGAGGAGCTGTGAGTCCCTCTAGAGTGGCAAAGCCATGAATTGTAGGGCTGAGAAGGTGAATGCAGTGCTCTTGATTCATTCTCAGACTTGAATTACTGGGTTTGCTTATCTAGAAGGATCAAATTAATCAAATAGTTTCTTTCCTTTCACTATCATTAGGCAGCCTAAAAGACAAAATTTAAAAGAGATGTTTTTCAAGAGATTTTAATTTTCTATATAATTTGGTAAATGATAAAATATTGTTGAGAATTACTGACTGTCAAGGTTGCTGACAGTTAACAGGCAACTTCGAGATCATTTGGACGTAACAGGCAGCTTCATTCAGGATCATTTGGTGGTGGGTTTCTTTTTTCTTTCTTTCTTAGTTTGAAGTTGTGGTGATAAGATGGATAAGGTCATTTAAAGATGGTGACATGTGGTATCCGTTAACAAATGTTGGGTCATATTTAAAACATGCTGAGAGCAGCACAGAGGCAGGAACAAAATGTTCTTAGCTTCTCAAGCCTAGTATCTCTTTTACTGTATAGATTTCCATCAATTGGTTCTATTAGGTAAATTAAATCTGACCTTTATAACCCAGTAAAGGAAAATATAATTTAAGAGTTTGTGAGCATGGGACTAGGGAAAAAGAAAAGCATCCACTGTGCAAAAGAGGATTTGTGAAATAATTACACAGAAAACTTCAAATAATGCCCAAATGTATGTACTTCTGGTCAATTCCTTTGGGGCAACCAAAGGGAATAAGAGTTTTGTTCTTTATTAGTTTGCTTGGGTTTTTCTCTTTAAACTAAACCTCAGAGCTGGAAACTAATTCCTTTCTTTTGGTCCAAGTTCTCCCTAGAGAATTATCAATTTTTGCAATCAATACATACTGATAGCAGCACGCAGGACAGCAAAAGCTCAAAGAGACAAGCATTCTCTATGCTGCCATAGAGGTGTCAGTTCTAGCTTTCAAGAGGAAAGTTTCCTCTGTTTTTTCAAGGGTCTTGAAAAGACTCATAAATTTTGTCCTGGTGTTTCCACCTTTAAGAATTTACCTACAAAAAAGCAAGGGATGCGCTAATGATTTCTATAAAGGACTTGTTGTCATAACAATTGAAAACAATGTCCCATAACAGGAGAACAGTTAAATGATAATATGCCTTTATAATGGAATAAAATGCAACAATTACAATCAGGTTTTCCAGGATGCTCCCATCTTTTAATCAAGTTAGTCATGCATCATAGGGATACGTTCCGAGAAAAGCATCATTAGCGATTTTGTTGTTGTACAATCATACACCTAGATGGTATGGCCCACTACACATCTAAAATATATGGTATAGCCAATTGCTATATGGAACAGTTCTTAAAACATATTCTTGTCCCTTATGTCAAGATTGTCAATTATTTTGACAATCAAGATATCAAATATTTTGTTAAAATTCCTATGCAATAAAGCTATAAATTGCCATGCAATTATAACAAAATGGTATTTGTATATTTAAACTTATATAAACATAGAAGTTACAGTAAAAATATGGTACTATAATAATATGGGATCACTGTCCCTTGTTTACTGAAATGCCATTATGTAGTGCATGACTATATATATATATAGTCTGGATTATATATATATCTGAATTTATATATATATCTGGATTAAGAGAGAATATGAGGCCAATCACAGTGGCTCAGGCCTGTAATCATAGCAGTTTGGGAGGCCAAGGCAGGCAGATCACTTGAGCCCAGAAGGTTGAGACCAGCCTGAGCAACATAACGAAACCCCATCTCTAACAAAAAAAAAAATTACAAAAATTAGCCAGGTGTGGTGGTCCATCCCATAGTCCCAGATACTTGGGAAGGGGAAGTGAGGGGATTGCTTGAGCCTGGGAGGTCAAGGCTTCAGTGAGCCAAGATCATGCCACTGCACCCCAGCCTGGGCGACAGAGTGAGACTCTGTCTCAAAAAAAAAAAAAAAAAAAGAGAGAGAGAAAATAGAAGACATTTTCCAGAAAGTTAACATGTCTAGGTCTAGATAAATGATGGGGTTATCGGTGGCTTTATAAATGTTTCAGAATAGACGTATTACTTTTGTAATCCAAAAGAAAGCAATAATTTTTTTAAAATTGTATTTAGAGCAGCAGTCCCCAACCTTTCTGGCACTGGAGACCAATTTCATGGAAGACAATTTTTCCATGGACCAAATCTGGGGAGATGGTTTCAGGATGAGTTAAGCATATTACATTTATTGTGTACTTTATTTCTATTATTATTACATTGTCATATATAATGAAAAATTATACAACTCACCATAATGTAGAAGCAGTGGAAGCCCTGAGCTTGTTTTCCTGCAACTAGATGGTCCCATCTGGGGGTGATGGGAGACAGTGACAGATCATCAGGCATTAGATTCTCATAAGGAGCACGCAACCTAGATCCCTTGCATGCACAGTTTACAGTAGTGTTTGAGCTCCTATAAGAATCTAATGCCACTGCTGATCTGACAGGAGGAGGAGCCCAGGTGGTAATGTGAGAGCTGGGGAGCGGCTATAAATACAGATGAAGCTTCACTCACTCACTCACATCCTGCCATGAAGCCTGGTTCCTAACCGGCCACAAACCGGTGCTGGTCCATTCCCCAAGGGTTGGGGACTCCTGTTTGAGAAACTATTTAATGGAATTAGTAATCTTAAAGATTATTTTGAAGGGAAGAGCCAGATACTAAGCGGTACATGCAATAATTCTATTTTCATGAAAAATACATGTTTTAATACAAAGAGAATAAGGACTGAAAACAATAAAATGTAAATAGTATCTGGGTTAAATAGTTATTGGTAATATTTATTACTCTATATTTTCCAAACTTCCTCAAATTGACTTTTTTAATTATTCAATTTATGTTTCCCCAGCTTTAATAATGCATAATTGACAAATTAAAATGATATATATTTACAGTATACAACATGATGTTTTGATATACGTATACATTGTAAAATGACTAAATAAAGCTAATTAATAGATCCATCACCTCACATACTTATCTTTTGCTGTGAGAACATTTAAGATCTAATCTCTTAGAAAGTTTGAGTATATATTATTTATAACTATAGTCACCATGCTATACAATAAATCTCCAAATCTTACTCACTTAGTCTAACTGAAGCTTTGTGTCCTTCAAACCACATCTCCCCATTCCCCCAAACCCTGGCCTCCAACTTCCTATTCCCTGCTTCTGTGAGTTCAACTTTTTTAGCTTCCACATAAAAGTGAGATCATGTAGCATTTGTCTTTCTGTGCCTGCTTATTTAACTTAGCATAATGTTCTCCAGGATTATGTGTGTTTTCACAAATGACAGGATTTCCCTCTTTTTTAAGGCTCGATAGTATTCCATTACCTATACTACATTTACTGTATCCATTCATTCATCCATAAACACTTAAGTTAAATCCGTATCTAGAATTGGCTGGCTATTGTGAATAATGCTGCAATGAATGTAATAGTGCAAATAAATTTTGACATTAATTTCATTTCCTTTGCATATACACCCAGTAGTGGGGTTGCTAGATTATATGGTGGTTCTACTTTTAATTTTTTGAGGAGGCTTATGCTGTTTTACTGTTTTCCATAATGACTATACTAATCTACATTCCCACCAACAGCCTCGCCAACACTTATTATCTTTTGTCTTTTTGATGATAGCCATTCTCCCAGGTGTGAGGTGATATGTCTTTGTGGCTTTGATTTACATTTCTTGCTGACTAGTGATGTTGAACATTTTTTCCATATGCCTGTTGGCCATTTTTATGTCTTTTTTTGAAAAATGTCTACTCAGACCCTTTGCCCATTTTTAAAATCTTATTTCTTTTCTTATTGAGTGCCTGATATATTTTGTATATTAACCTGTTATCAGATGCATAGTTTGAAAATATTTCCTCCCATTCAGTAGGTTGTTCCTTCACTCTGTTAACTGTTTCCTTTGCTGCATAAAAGTTTTCTATTTTAAGGCAATCCCATTTCTCTATTTTTGCTTTTATTGTCTGTGCTTTTAGAGGCAAAAAAAATCATTGCCCAGATTAATACCAAGTAGCTTTTTTCCTGTTTTCTTCTAGTAGTCTTACAGACTCAGATAGTTTCGGAGGCTCAGGTCTTATGTTTAACTCTTTAATCCATTTTGAGTTCATTTTTGTATAAGATGCGAGATAAGAGTCCAGTTTCATTCATTTTGACATGGATATTCAGTTTTTCCCATACAATTAACTGAAGGTGCTGTTCTTTCTCCATTTTATGTCCTTGGTACCTTTGTCAAAGGTCAATTAACTGCAAATGTGTGGATTTATTTTGGGGCTCCCTATCCTGTTCCAATGGCCTATGTGTCTGTTTTCATGCCAGTACCATGTGGTTTTGATTTGTATAGGTTTGTAGTATATTTTGAAATCAGATAGTGTGATGCCTCCAACTTTGTCCCTTTTGCTCAAAATTGCTTTGGCTATTTGGGATTTTCTTTGGTTCTATATGTATTTTAGGATTTCTTTTCTATGTTTGTGAAAAATGTCATTGGAATTTTGATAGGGATTGCATTCAGTCTGTGGAATATTTTGGATAGTATGGGCATTTTAACTATATTAATTGTTTCAATCCATGAACACAGAATATCTTCTCATTTATTTGTGTCTTTTATTTCTTTCATCAATATTTTATCATTTTCAGAGTATATATATTTCACCTTTTGGTTAAATTTATTTCTGAGTTTTTTTTAATGCTATTGTAAAAGGGATTGTTTTCTTCATTTCTTGAATAGTTCCTTGTTAGTGTGTATAAACTCTACTGATTTTTGTATGTTGATTTTGTATTCTGAAACTTTACTGAATATGTTGATTAGTTCTAACAGGTTTTTGGTGAAATCTTACCAGTTTTCTATATATAAGATTACATCATTTGTAAACAAAAGCAATTTTACTTCTTCCTTTCTGATGTGAGTATCTTTCATTTCTTTTTCTTGCTTACTTCATCTGGCTAGGATTCCAGTACTATACTGAATAGAAGTAGTGAGAATGGGCATTTTTGTCTTATTCCTGGTTTCAAAGGAAAAGCTTTCTGCTGTTCAACGTTGAGTATAATGTTTGCTGTGGACTTGTCATATATGGTGTTTATTATGTTGTGACCAATTTCTTCTACCCTTAATGTGTTGAGAATATTTATCATGAAAATATGTTGAATTTTGTCAGTTGCTTTTTCTGCATCTATTGAGATGATCATTTGGCTTTTTTCATTCTGTTAACATAATGCATCATATTTATTGATTTGCATTTGTCACACCACTCTTGCACCCAAGGGTAAATCCTATTTGTTATAGTGTGTGATCCTTGTCTGTGCTATTTAATTCGGCTTGCTAGTATTTTCCTGAGGACTTTTGCATCTATAATCATCAAGGATAGTGGACTGTAATTTTCTTTTTTACAGTGCCCTTGTTTGGCTTTGGTATCAGGGTAACATTTGCCTTATAACATGAACCTGATAGTGCTTCCTCTTCTTCAATTTTTAGGTAGAGTTTGAAAAGAATTAGCATTAATTTTTCTTTAAATGTTTATTAGATGTTACCAGTGAAGCCGTGAGGTCTTGGAGTCTTCTTTGACGGGAGTTTGTGAATACTCTTTCAATATACTTACTTGTTACTGGTCTGTTCACATTTCCTTTCTTCATGATTCTGTCATGGTGGTTGTACGTTTCTAGGAATGTATTCATTTATTCTAGATTGTCTAATTTGTCAGTGTATAATTGTTCATAGTAGTCTTTTATGATCCTTTGGATTTCTGTAGCATCAGTTGTAACATCTCTTATTTGTCTTCTTTTTTTCCTTAATTAATCTAGCCAAATATTGATAAATTTGTTTACCTTTTCGAAAAACCAATTCAGTTTCATTATTCTTTTCTATTGTTTTTCTAGTCTCTATTTCGTTTATTTCTGCTCTGATTTTATTATTTCCTTCCTTCTGCTGACATTGCACTTAATTTGTTCTTTATTTTCTAGTTCCTTGGGGTATAAAGTCAGGTTTCTACTTGAGATTTTTTTTTTTTTTTACAATATAATGGGTTTATATTTAATATAGTACTTCTCATTAGGAGGATGTTACTCAGTTAATATAGTTTTTTTCTTAACATTAAATCTCTTTTCCATGTCAATGTCTATAGTTTTTTTTAACATTAAATTTTTTTCTGCATTTCAGTATCAGATACACCGAATACATTTTTCTAAACATTTTTCCCCAGAGATAAAAGCTTCCCTTTTTGGCTGACTCTCTGATATCTAAATACAATATTAACCTGGGAGACAACAAAACAAAAACCTTATAAAAAGATGCAGAAAAGACTCTTCAATGATCCAGGAGACAGTGATTATAACTGAACATTGGTGATTTCCTAAGATTCTGGGCAAGAACTTCCTTCTTGCTATTTTGCATGCTTGGAGAATTCTAAAACTATGAAATATTACTTACGTAAATTTCAGCCATCTTACTTCTTTGACCTCCTTTCTAACTAGCAAATACAAATTATAGGCTGTATTTTTCAGTGCATTATTTATTGTAAAGAAAACATTTTTTTCAATTTATTTATGTATGTTTGTTACCATTTCATGGAAACAATGAAAAATGTAAAATTCCCTTATTTACTGATTCTTGGAAACTTTCAGATACCAAAGCTCAGGTTTAGCCTCTATAGCACAAAGGTTTTCAGGGTGAGGTTTGATTCAGTAGGCCTTTCAAGGTCACATCTGTCCATTTTCTTTTTCGTGCATGTACCCCCAAGCAGGCACAAATGCCTGTAATGCTGAGAACCACACCTAACAAGAGGACAATTGCATCACTGGCTTCTACCACTTTGACAACAGGCAGCACCAAAAGCAGTGATATGAGGACTAAGGACAACTGTGTTGAAACTGAGGTAATGATGTTGGAATCTTGAGGGCTGAAGGTTCCAAAGAAATGGTATATATAGAATTCTATCTGACTTGAAATTCCCCTTCCTGGAGCTCCAGGTGCTGAGATTAAGAGGTTCCACATGACACTACCTTCCAGGAAGCCGCCATTACAGGAATCTCTTCTGTCTTAATATAGGCATTTATTCCTATAAAGTTCTCCCTTAGGACAGCTTTTGCTATACCCCACAAGTTTTGATGTGTTGTGTTTACATTGTAATTTGTTTCAAAATGTTTTGTAAGTTCTATTTTGATTTCCTCTATGACCCACTGGTTATTCAGGAATATGTTATTTAACTTCCATGTATTTGTGAATTTTCAAACATTCCTTGTGTTATTGATTTCTAGTTTCATACTGTTGTTTTCAGAAAAAAAAATACTTGGTATGATTTCAATTTTCTTGAATTTGTCAAGATTTTTTGTGGTCTAACAGATAATCAATTTATATTAATTTTTGTTACAATGTTTATAACATATGACATAACAATATTTGTAACATATTTATAACAGGATCAATTTGTAACAACTGACAAATTAACCCTTTTATCATTATATAATGACCTTCTTTGTCTCTTAAGGAAGTTTTTGACTTAAAATCATTTTGTCTGATGTTAAGTACAACCACCCCACTCTCTTTTACATGGACTCTTCTTCCATCTCTTTACTTTCAGCCTGGGTTTGTCCTTAAAGCTAAAATGAGTCTCTTGTAGGTAGCATATTATTGGATTTCTTTTAATACACTCACCCAGTCTATGTCTTTTGATTAGAGAATTTAATCCACTTAAATTTAAATTATTGATAGGAAAGTAATTACTGTGGTTTTTGCTGATCATTTTCTGACTGCCTGTAGTCTCTTTCATTCTTCTCGTGTTGTCTTTCTTCACAGTTTGATGATTTTTGTCATTGGATGCTTTGATTCCTTTCTCTTTACCTCTTGTGGTTTTAACACAGGCTTTTTCTTCGTTGCTACCATGAGGCTTACATAAAATGTCTTATAACAGTCTATTTTAGGCTGAAAACAACTTAACTTCACCTGCATACAAAAACTCTACATTTTCACTTCTCTTCCCACATTTTATGTTATTGATGTCACAATTTTCATCTTTTATGGATCATATATTAACAAATCATTGCAGCTATAGTTATTTTTAATAGTTTAGACATTTAACTTCTATAGAGTTAGAAGTGTCTTAAAATTTACCATTACTGTATTAAAATACTGTGAATTTGAATATATTCTTATTCTTACAGTGAGTTTTGTAGTTTTATTGTCTTCACTCTGTTAGTGTTCCTTTATTTCAACTTGGAGAACTTCCTTTAGCATTTCCTATAAGACAAGTCTAGTGATGATGAGCTTCCATAGCTTTTGTTTGTCTTTGCAAGTCCTTATCACTCTTTTATTTCTGAATCACAGTCTTGTCAGATATTCTTGGTTGTCAGGGGTTTGTTCTAGCACTTTGTATATATTATCTGTCTTTCAGCATGAAAGGTTTCTGCTGAGAAATCTACTGACAGTCTTATGAGGAATCTCTTGTAGGTGATGAGTTTCTTTTCTCTTGCTTTTACAATTCTCTCTTTGAGTTTTGAGAATTTGAGTACAATGTGTCTTGGCAAAGATCTCTTTAATCTATTTGGGGTTCTTTGGACTTCGTGTATCTGGGTGTTCATTTCCCTCTCCAGACTTGGAAAACTTTCTATCATTATTTCTTTAAATAAGCTTTTGGCCCCTTTCTCTTTGTGTGTTTTTTTCTAAGACTTCTATAATGTATATATTGGTTTATATGATAGTGTCCTATAAGTTTGAGACTTTTTTCACATTTTTCATTCTTTTTTTGTTGTTGTTCCTCTAACTTGAACGAACTCAAATGCCCTGTCTTTGAGCTCATTAATTCTTTCTTCTGCTTGATAAAGTCTTCTGTTGTAGCTGTCTGTGGATTTATTTTTTTTTTTAGTTCAGTCATTGTGCATTTTAGCTTTAGAATTTCCTTTTTGGTTCCTTTATATGGTTTCTATTTCTGTGGTGAACATCTCCTTTGATTTGTGTATTATTTCCCTGATTTCATTTCGTTGTCTGTGTTCTCCTGTAGCTCACTGAGCTTCTTTAAAATGATTAAGTTTAATCAAACTAATAGGTGCCTACAGAAAAAAAGCAAATTGTACCAAAAAAAACTTCTTATTGGCATTTCTTTATTGTTTTTCAGACCTCTAACATTATTCCGTAACTCTAAACAATAGAGGCATACCGCTTATGGTACCAAGCTCCTAAGATGACCCCCTATGATTCCCACTTCCTGTTATTCACACCCTTGTGAAGTCTACTTCTGGAATGAAGAGAGCTGACCTATGTGATCAATAGGATATTAAAGAAGTGACAGTGTATGACTTCTGGGGCTAGGTAATAACAGGTTTCTTAGATTACTCACTTGGGAGAAAGCAGCTGAGGTCTCCTGTTATCAAGTTGGATGGTGAGCAATCTTGGTAGTAAATTTTATAATCCTAGTCAAGCCTTTAGATGACTGCAATTCCTTGAGAAACTGAGCCAGAACTCCCCAACCAAGCCACAGCAAATTCCTTGTTTATTGTTGTTTTAAAATACAAAGCTCACTTTGCGAGGCTGAGGTGGACAGATCACGTAAGGTCAAGAGTTCGAGACCAGGCTGACCAACGTGGAGAAACCCCCTCTCCACTAAAAATACAAAATTAGCCAGGCATGGTGGCTCATGCCTGTAATCGCAGCTACTGGGAGGCTGAGGCAGGAGAATTGCTTGAACCCGGGAGGTGGAGGTTGCGGTGAGCCGAGATTGCACCATTGCACTCCAGTCTGGGCAACAAGAGCAAAACCCCATCTCAAAAATAAAAATAAATAAAATACAATACAATAAAATACAAAGCTTTGGAGTGATTTGTTATGTAGTTGTAAATAAATATTTATATGTCTTATTAATCCTGAACATTCTATATATACTCTGCTATGAAAAATGAGAATTCACTCACTTTCACATCCCCCATTTGCAGTCTGCTTCTTCTCATTTTCCCAATTTGTGATCATTCTTTCATTTGAGAGAAAGAGATTCTATCTACCTATTATAGTTAAGAGTTCATATACCAAAAACTCGATATCTCTTTCCATTAACTTTTAATTGCATGTCTTAATCTCAATATGTAATATAAAAGTTATGGTTACTCCATCCTATTCTCCACATTCTTACCTCATGACAACCTGCTTTCTTCTGTCAGCTACAGGTGTTTTCCCCTGCCCTTTTCTTTAAGACAATATTATCTGATTACACTTAAGCTGTTTCATAATTGTACATAATTCATTGGTGCTTTATTTATAGGCTGATTCTGATATTTGAAGCATAAAAAACATTGTGCCAATGTCAGAAAACTATTTTCTTAGGAAAAGCCACATTGTATGGTAAGACTATATTTCCATATCTATCGATCCAATGTGATGAATCCTAGGGGAACTGAAGGGAACATATGTTTTCTTAGAGTCCATCAACTTCTCAAAATTATGCCATATCCCAGTTTTCTTCATACTTGGCCAAATCTTTCCTTACAGATTTTTTCCCTTTATCAGTATTTGCATGTTTTCCTCATTTTGCCAATAAGATCTTCCAGCTTTTCGTAGCAATTGAGTTAATCCATTCCACTCTTCCTGATGTCATTCTTGGAGTACTTTGCATTTTCTGCTAGTTTTGACTTGTTTTCCATACTACTTAGCTAGCATTCCTGTATTCCAGTCTTTATATCTTTGGGTTAATTCCATCATTTATTTCTTGACTTCCTATTGTTTTTTGCTTCACGTTACATTTCTGTAAGCCATGTTGTCAAATATTTTCTTCAGATTGGCTATGTAAAAGGGAAACATTATGTGACCTTCTCTAAAATGTCTTCATTTATACCTTTATACTGGACTAAAATGGTTTATATATATAATTCTAGCTTCAAAAAATATTTCCCTCAGCATTTTGAAGATATTGTGTTATATACCCATTGTTACCAAAGAGAAATCTTATATCAATCTGTTTGTTATCCAACTTTACATAACTTTTTTTTCCTGAGAGCTATCAGAGTCTTGTCATTACCTTTGCTTTATTGATATTTTGTAAGTCAATGTCTAGATTGTTTGGCCACACTTGAATCTATCTAAAATAAAAACTTGTATTTTCTCAACAATAATAAATTGTCTCTCATCATTATATGACAATTCTCTCTTGCCCTTTTTCATACTATCTAATAATCAACTATTGGACCTTCTGAATTTATTTTCTAGGTCTCAACTTTTCTTTCATATTTTGTTTAATTTTGCTGTTTATTCTTTTCCCTCAAATTTATGTTCTATTATCTCTAAGTGTACAGTTTTTTAATTTTCTCAAACTTTAATGTGCTATGTTGTGTCACTAGATTTAATGAGGTATAAAGATAACAAGCTAATTACTTCACAGCACAAGATACAATTTCAAATTGAAAACCAGCTTCAAACTGAAAATAGTCTTCGCTGGCTATTCGCCACCCCAGGAAATCTCTTAACTGTCCCAGGTCAGGTGGGTCTAATAAGAAAGGACAGAGACTGCATGATGGGGTCACATGCTGTAAAACAGGAACACTAAGGATAGGGAACCCCCAGGTTTTCTCAGGTTAGCAAGAGACTGGAGGTAAAGATAGACCTTATAGACTGTTTTTCCCATATTGCTCTTCCATGAATCCAGTCTCTTCATTCTTCTCTTACCCTCTTGAACTGCCAAAAGAAAACAAACTAAAACCTCTCCATTGCTTAAATGTGCAGAGCAATTTAAACTGTTTTATTTCAACCTCCCCATTCAGGACCATTCTCTGAGACTTGTCTTTTATAAGCATAACATAAATCTCTAATTTACTAAGACACCCAACAAACCCTGACACTCAAGTGTTCAGTGTGCCCAAGTGCTCCTGTTCCAGGAGCTAGAGATTCAGCAGAAAAGAACAGACAAAAGTGTTTACCCTCATGGCACTCGCATTCCAGTGAGAGAAATAGAAGATATGTAAAATATTGGAATACTATGCAGCCATTAAAAAGAATAAAATCCTGTTCTTTGTAGCAACATGGATGCAGCTACAGGCCTTTATCCTAAGCAAATTAACGCAGGAACAGCAAACCAAATACTGTAAGTGGGAGATAAACATTGCATACTCATGGACATAGAAATGACAACATCAGACACTAGGGAGTAACAAAGGAGGAAGAGAGAAGGAAGGGCAAAGACTGAAAAACTTTTGGGTACTGTGCTCACTGTCTGGGTGATGGGATCAAGCATACCTCAAACCTCAGAATCACACAATATACCCATGTAACAAATCTACACACACACACCCTGAATCTAAAATAAAAGTTGAAATTGTGAAAAAAGAATATGTAAAATAAATAAATATGTAAGATGTTACGGAAAAAATTAAAACAGGAAAGAGAGTGGAAGGGGATTATAATTTTTAATAGAGAGGTCAAGGAAGGCTTCAGTGAGAAAGGGACCACAGAGCAAAGGAGGACAGAGTATCAAACTAGATCATTCAACTTCACATTTCTGACTTCTAAATATCTACCTTAATTATTTGGGTCCAATTTAAAAAGGTCTTTTCAACAAGGGTCAGGGATGTTTAATGAGCAAAGGTTCTTAAGGGTGTAATCAAAATCAGGTCACAAAACTGTCCAGGAGACAAAACTGTCCAGGAGACAGCTGACCCCTCCTAGGCCCTCTGGTACTTGGGATATCAAATCAAGTGAGATTTTTGTATAAGAGGGTGGAAACTTCAGTGTTTTGGTAACCACGTGTACTTTTGTGAAGATCTTCTGTCTTTTCTTACTAGTGCTTTCGCCATAGCAACTAGCCTGTTTGCCTTCTTACCAGGCACATTAACAGCTCAATTTTCAGATAAGTAAAACTAAAAATATAATTTTACACAGACACACATGCACATATACTTTCTTTCACACGATGTCATGGAAAAAACCTATGTATGTGAGTATTAAAAAAAAAAAAAAAGCCAAAGTCATTGGATTCTAATAGACTTTATTTTTTAGAACAGTTTTAGGTTCACAGCACAATTGAAGAGAAGTAACAAATTTCCCATATACGCACTGCCCCCACACATGCATACCCTCCAGGTTTCTTTTTAGTGTACCTTTTCACACTTTAGTCATGAAGAGTACCCACAGTTTACGCCAATACTTCTGGAAAGTAAATTTTTATTCTACTAAAATTAAAATGCCAAAAGTAGTTACTTCTGGTTAGTGATTTTTAAATACAGTGATTTTTATTTTCCAATTTTTATATATTTTGCAACAAATATCTATTACTTCTACAATTGGGAATAGTGATCTAAAATTTTTCTTTTAAATCTGGTTTGAATAGTGAATGAGAGAAAAAGAGGAAAAATTGCTTGCTCATGCAGTGTGTTTGTTCTTGGCACAGGAGAATTTATGTATTTTTGTTTTCCTCTTAAAGGAAATGATCTCCCAAATATGCAAATGATCTCCCAAAATATTTTTTTTTTGAGACGGAGTCTCACTCTGTCGCCCAGGCTGAAGTGCAGTGGCGCGATCTCGGCTCACTGCAAGCTCCGCCTCCCGGGTTCACGCCATTCTCCTGCCTCAGCCTCCTGAGTAGCTGGGACTACAGACACCCGCCACCACGCCCGGCTAATTTTTTGTATTTTTTAGTAGAGACAGGGTTTCACCATGTTAGCCAGCATAGTCTCGATCTCCTGACCTCGTGATCCATCCGCCTCGGCCTCCCAAAGTGCTGGGATTACAGGCATGAGCCACCGCACCCGGCCCTCCCAAAATATTTGATTAGAAACACTTTGAAATCTCTGTTTCAAATACAGCTGGGATCAGGCTTCAAACATACAAAACAACAAGCAACATGAAATGAAGTCTGGCTTCACTGACCACATCCTGTCCATGGTGTCATGGAATGACAAAGAAGGGAAGAAGATATTAAAGGCTTGTGACTTCTCTGTCCAGTCTTTGATCATAATACCTCCCCACCAAAATTGACTGACATTTTCATTTTTGCAAAAATAATTTTATAGAAATCTAGTGATCAAACATGCAGTGATCCAAAACATTTGATAAAATAATCAAAAATTGATCCAGGCATGTCAGATGTTGTATTATGTGGTTGAGACAGGGTTTTTCTCTCCTATATTACTAGAAATGTGACAAAGCATATCATGTTGTACACTTGTACAATAAATTCTTTGACCAGAAAGCTACTATAAAAATAAAATGGTAGGAGAAAAGATCCACTCAATCTTCTGAATTTGCTAAAATCTAATTTGGGGAAAAGGTCCTTTTTAAGACTATTGATTTGAAGAAGTCCTGCAAGTTTACCTACCTTAAGTTGAAACTCCTGTTTTCCATTGTAGCAGTCTTTGATGTTGAATATGGGCAGATTCCCTGACTCCACTAGGATACAGTATATATATCTTGATTATGGCACTCACCACTTTGGACAGGAATCACATGCACACTTGCCTACTTTCCCAACAAGGCTGTTCTCACAGCCTTTTATTTATTTATTTATTTATTTATTTATTTATTTTGGAGATGGAGTCCTGCTCTGTCGCCCAGGCTGGAGTACAGTGGCATGATCTCGGCTCCCTGCAACCTTTGCCTCCTGGGTTCAAGCGATTCACCTGCCTCAGCCTCCTGAGTAGCTGGGACTACAGGTGATTGCCACCACACCTGGCTAATTTTTGTATTTTTAGTAGAGATGGAGTTTCACCATGTTGGCCAGGCTGGTCTTGAACTCCTGACCTCAGGAGATCCACCCGCCTCGGCCTCCCAAAATGCTGGGATTATGGGCATGATACACCGTGCCCAGCCTGTAAGATCCTTTTAGAGAGGAATAAAATCTTGGCCTTTGCACAACGCCCCCCAACTACTTGGTCCTGAATAAATCTTGATTTCATAGTATGTTTCCCATCTGAACTCATCACAAGAACAATAACATCAGTTAGTATTTGTTGAGCACCTACTATTCTAGGCAACTGGCATCACTTTCTGTAATCCTTGTAGCAAATGGAAAAGTTAGGTCTTCTGTACATTTTACCAATAAGAAAACTGAAGTTCAGAGGAATTGTGTCATTTGGCTAACTGCATACAGCTAGCAAACTGAAGGACTAGAATCCCACCCTGGGCATGTGTGACCCAAAACCCATGCTGATACTTTGCATTACATCCTCTGAATCTCTTAAAGAAAAATTTGTGAGAAGTGTCGAAAGGAGGAGGGAGGCCATTTGCTTCTACCTGCTGTTTTCAAAAAGACTAAGGGAACATACTTGGGACATTCTAACACACATTAATGTAGGATTCATCTACCACCGCAGCTCTCTCTCCCTTTCCAAACTTTAATGCATCACAAGCACAGGGGCCGTTGCCCTTTCACCCCTATTCCAGACACATTTAGAAAGAGGTGAAATTGAAGTAGAATGAGGTTAAATGGCTTCTTATAAAAGGACCCACATTCTCTTCGTTTTAGAGCACTTGAACAACTCTATTCTTTCTCTATTTCCCTTTTAGAAAAACTTTCAAAGCCCCCCTAACAGTAAGCAAAGCACACACTGAAGTTAAGAAGAAGAATGTATAAAGGAAATATTTTTCCATTTTGCAAACCCTCACACTGCTTGTATTTATGATACATCTTACCAGAGAGGATGTCCTGCAGAACATGTCAGAATTAGAGACGATGAATTTTCAGCCACTCTTGGCTGCTTCTAGCTGTGCTTTGAGTTTGACCCAGGCAAGTCTAATACACAGTGCTGACATGTGGTTTCCTCCACTTTGTTCATGCTTTGGTGTGTTATCTCTCAGCTGGCAGAATGATCTTATGGTTTATTTGGCATGGTACATAAAGGGCCTGAGTTATGTAAGGCTATTAAATCAGAACCTGTCTAGGCATCTTTGGAAGACTGTTAGCCTGGTTCATTCTGGGCAAATACAATTGAAGTCTTGGCTATTATTTACAGCAAATACCAGTAAAACCTTAAGTTCCTCGGTTTATTAACATTGATGCTGAAGGAGAAGGGGGAGGATCAATGTAGACCGTGTTCAGTGTTGCAGCTTGCAGCGATTAAAACCCTACTTGTCATATTCTATATCGTTGTACTGTAGTTATAGTAAATGTTCCTTATAATGCATTTTCAAGTACAAAAATTGCTTCAGAAAAGAGCATTTAGAAAACTAATTCTATTGAAACCAATGAAGTGTTGACACATTGGCTGATGCAGATTTGTTTAAAGAGGCTTTTTTGAAGTTATAAAAGTCCAGTCCTAGAGGCAAAAATCAGTGACTTCTCAGTCTAGTGACTGAGAGAACAGTGGAGCAGTATGTGTAGTCAGCACCCCTTCATTAATCCTTTCCCGTAATTCTACACTAGTCACCTTCTCCCTTGCCTGACTCTATAGAATTTCAAACCTGCTGCCAGCCCAGGAACTCACTCAGAAACCATTCATTACTCAGGCAAGGCATTTATAATGTTTGCTGATGTGTCGGTGAATAGGAACACAGTGTAAATCCAGACTGAAGAGTGCTCTTTTTTGTCATCTAAATTGCTCCTATGTGATGTGTTCCATAAGCGTTAGAAATCACCAGGGATTCTGACATACTCATCTTTCTGAAAGTAGCATTTCATCGTGCCAAACCCTGGGAAGAAAAAAGGACAGAGAGTGTTCGCAGCTGAAAAGAGAGATACAGCATTAAGTAAAAAGCTGATTATTCACCTCAAACTAGGCCATTGGCTCCCACAGAAAACCTTCAGTGCCTGCAGGCCCTGCTGAAATCAAACATAAAAGCAGGCATCTCTTGCATTCTAACCAGGCTCTCAGTATAACCAAATTAAGCAGCTTAGTGATGAGAGAATGTTAACGAATGAAGGGAGTGGTCAACAAAGAAGGCTGGTCCAGTTTTCCCATGATAAGCTGTGCTGGGGAGAAACATGCAGCGGCCGTTGTTAGGTGGGGACTTCATAATTCATAGCTGCTTTATCCCAGGGTGTTACTTAGGAGTATCCACAGTGAATCATGTGGAAACAGGGTTTCTGGTAGGATAGATGGAGACAGTCTTTTGTTCACATGCCTGGGGAATTTATCAGATTTGCTGTGGCTTACATCCATGGTCATCTGTCTGGACACATGATTGAGTATATCTTTTCCAAATTCTGTGCCTGGTATAACCAGGACATTCAATAGTTTTTTTTAATTGAGGTCAAATTCATGTAACATAAAATGAATTATTTTAAAGTGAACAATTCAATGGCATTTACTATATTCAGAATGTTGTATAACTGCCACCACTACCTAGTATGAAAATATTTTCATCACCTCAAAAGGAAATTCCATACCCATTAAGCAGTTAACTCCTCATTCTCCCTCCCTCCAAGCTCTGGTAACCACCAATCTGCATTCTGTCTCTATGGATTTACCTATTCTGAGTATTTCATATAAATGGAATCATATATGTGGCTTCTTTCGCTTAGTATGTTTTCAAGTTTCATCCATGTTGTAGCATGTATCAGTACTTCATTCCTTTTTACGGCTGAGTAATAACCCATTATATGGATAGATACAAACTGTCTATCAATTCATCCATTAATTGACATTTGGCTTGTTTCCACCTTTTGGCTATTGTGAATAGTGCTGCTATTGATACAGGAGATAGAAAGAAATTATTTAGGCAGATAGTGAGAGCAAGAGAGTCCTCAGCAGAACTTCCCTTCTAACAAAAAAAACAGCCCTAGAAACCATTTTTTTTTTCTAAAAACTGATGGAAAGCCTGAAAAATCAAACTACAAATATGGATAAAAAAGCTGGAAGCTTGCACGGGGAAATGCCAGGAGCTGCACCAATAGAAAAGGGCTACCTGGGGAACAGGCATGTCCACCATGGAAGCCTTCCTTTTTTATTAGCACATGTATAGTAAGAATGAACTGAGCAACATGAAAAAACTTGGCAGAGGATCCAGCTGCATAATAAAAAATTGGGATGAGGGCTGCCAGAGACTTGCGCCCTATGCAGATGGTTCACCTGGTTCTAACCAATTTTTTGCGCCCTATGTAAATCAGACACCGCCTCCCCACAAGCTCATCGATAAAATCCCCTGCATCTCACCAGTGGATCAGCAACCCATTTTTCCAGGACTCCTCTCTGTAGCAGAAAGCTATTCTCTTTCTTTCACCTATTAAACCTCCACTCTTAACCTCCTTGTATGTCCACATCCTTGATCTCCGTGGCCATGAAATAACGAACCTTAGGTGTCACCACAGACAATGAGGCCAAATCACTATGAATATGCATATGCAAGTATTTGTTTGAATACCTGTTTTCAATTCTTTGGGTTATATACCTAGGAGAGGAATTGCTGGGTCATATAGCAATTCTATATTTAACCTTTTGAAGAACCACCAAAATGTTTTCCTTAGCAGTTCAACCATTTTATATTCCCATTAGCAATGTACAAGAGTTTTGATTTCTCCACATCCTTGCCAATACTTGTTATTTCTCATTCCTTTTTATTTTTTATAGTTATCTTAGTGGGTACGAAGTGTCACCTCATTATGGATTTGATTTGCATTTCCCTAATGACTAATGAAGCTGAGCATCTTTTCATATGTTTGTTGACCATTTGCATATCTCATTTGGACAAATATATATATTTGTCCAAAGTACTAAAGTTATTTGTCCCCATTTTAAATTAGGTTGTCTTTTGTTGTTGAGTGGTATGCCATCAGATTTTAGGTCGTTGAGTGGGATGGATAACCACATCCACCTGCCCTGAGGAATAAAACCAAAAAGTAATCAGAACCTGTGGTGATGAGGAATATCAAGTTTCCTACAATAGAAGACAGCTCTGATATAAATTTGACGGTAAAATGGGGAAAGTGTAGGCTTTGGAGACAGAGCAGAGTGCTCCTTACTTTCTGCTAATGTGACCTTAAATAAGTGACTTACCCTCTCTGAACCTCAATTTTCTTGTCTGTAAAATGGAAATGACAATGCCACTATCATAAGATTGTTGTGAGGATCAAATTAACATAAAACTTGAGATCCCTTAGGAGCTACTCTACAAAATAATTTTTGCTCTTCTCTACACAATAAATATGGCCACATGGAAACTTCTATGAAAATCATTTACTTTTTAAATCTATAAGAAATCTGCTTTTTAAAAGGATTTTATGATGAATCTAATCCTGTATAGAAGTACCCTTTTGTAATTAACCTTCTGGGTTTTCTATTAAGTAAATCTTAATTTTCATGTAGAGTTTATATCAGGCTACGTTTTTCCCAAGTTGTGTTTTTAACTCAGAATGTGTTTCCATTGACATGATCTAAATGTAGTGGTTAGAGTCCCACATGGGCCCACTAAGCCTCCAGAACCTGTGATAGACTGAGATATAGAATTATAGGCATCATCCTCATCCTGGATCTCAGGAGCAGTGAGCATCTGAAGCCAGGAGGAAGAGGAGGGTATAAGGCTGGGCCTGGGCAGAATTTTCAAATAAAGGGCATCTTTGGCATTCCCCATATCCTTTTCCATATACCTTTCCTGCCATCCAGGGCCCTTCTCCTTGCACCTTTATGCCCACCACACCCTGGAGCTATCAGAGGCTCCCTCCTTTTCTGTTCTCCCCTCAAAACCCACCCTCCTTTTCCATTCTCCACTCAAAGCCCACTCTCCTGTCCTGCAAAGTGCTCTATCCTCTGAAGATACCGTATCTCTCAGTCAAAAGTTCCAATTCCTCAGAGCCCTCACATCAGTGAATTCCAGAGTCCCTTAAGCTTAAAACAGATATCTCCATTGTGAAAATGACAGATTTGGCAACCCAAATTAATGGCCAATTTATGGAATGTCAGTAATGTATTCTTAAGAACAAAAGGACTCTTCATGAGTAGACCAGTTTTCTCAGTGTTTCTTGGATCGGTGTCCTTATGCCATGATACTTTCTTCCCTTCTAAGCCTGGGTTCTCTAAGAAAAACCCAGTTTCTTTGTAGAGATTCTCACAACATCCCTAGGTTTGGTGGTGGGAGTTTACAGTAAGACAGGTCCAGAGAGGCCATTGCATTGAAAGGACTTTGTATCTCTCAGATGACTATAAATTTAGGATAATCTCTATTAGCTTTGAATGACTTAAGATTTATAACCACCTTCCTCTCACAAATAAATTTTGGGGTAACATTTATGATTGCACATATTTGGCAATTTTTATAATTTTTTAAACTTTGTTCTTTTTTGCATCTACCTCCTTTTAGAAATTCCAGATGGTAAGTATTACAGCTCCATGTTACAACTAAAGAAACTGAGACGTAAAAATCTTAAGGAACTTGTGCAAAGTGCTTTAGCTAGTAGGCAGCAGAGCCAAAATTCCAACCCAGATCTGTCTCCTTTCAGAGCTTGAACCCTTAATCACTACACTACACTACTCCAATCAATCAGCTATTCCAGAACCCTAACCCTAAAGCAGACAGCTGAGACCATGAAGCCCAACTAATTCATTTCTCAAATACGAAAGTGTTGTGAACACTCATTTTTTTAAGTACCTCTCAGTATTAGTGTCCTCTAGAGAAACAGAACCAACAATATGTGCATATATATGTATACATAGACATGCATATGCATATATGTATACATAGACATGCATATGCATATATGTATACATAGACATGCATATGCATATATGTATACATAGACATGCATATGCATATATGTATACATAGACATATACATGCATATGCATATATGTATACATATACATGCATATGCATATATGTATACGTATACATATACATGCATATGCATATATGTATACATATACATGCATATGCATATATGTATACATATACATATATGTATACATAGACATGCATATACATATATGTATGCATATACATATACGTATAGACATGCATATACATATATGTATACATATACATATACGTATACATAGACATGCATATACATATATGTATACATATACATATACATGCATATACATATATGTATACATATACATATACGTATACATATACATGCATATACATATACATACACATGCATATACATACACATATACATACACATACGTACACGTACACGTACACATACACATACGTACACGTACACGTACATGTACACATACGTATACGTACACGTACATATACATCTATGTAGAGAGAGAGGTAGATAGATTTATTTTAAGGAATTGGCTCACATAATTACAGAGGCTTGGTGGGTCCAAAATAGAGTAGGTAGCAGGCTGGAAGCTCAGGGAAAAATTGCAGTTCAAGTCCATAAGCAATCTGCTGGCAGAATTCCTTCTTGTTCAGGTCAGTCTTTGTTTCATTTAAAGCTTTCAGTTGATTGGATGAGATCCACCCACATTTAGGGTATCTTTTTCATTCAAAGTACATAGATTTAAATTTTAATCTCATCCAAAAAAATGCCTTCACAGAAACATCTAGAATCATGTTTGACCAAATATCTGAGCACCATGGTGCAGCCAGTTTGACACATAAAATTAACTATCACACTGCCCTTCTATACCATCATCCACATATCCACATTCAGAGTCACTGGAACTCTGATTTCCCGTATGTGAGTATTCTCTAGCATCACATGTGCACAAACCATGTTTCATTCACCACTTTATTTACCCAGAAGCCGCTAGTGGAGCAGCAGCTTTTGGGTGACTTTTCTGGTGGACAGTTTAATTTTACTTGTGAATTCAACTGTCTAAGCTATGCTACAGGAATCCCATTCTCTCTTGTGTGTCCACATTGGCCTGACCAATGAAACTCTCAGATCTCCTCTGAAGCAAAGAGGCAAATGCTTTAGTTAATTGGTGTGGTCAAGTCTCAGTTTGAGAGAGACATGTTTTCTTGGCTCACAGTTTAGGATTTCATGCTGATCTGGTCGACACAGTTCAGATGAGTTTGACCCACCACTGCAGTCGTTATCCTTTGATCTGGAGTCTAGTTTGTAATTTGACCCATTCAGATGGCTTCCCTATTATAGTCAAGCAAGACAAAACCAAATCACCCCATTTATCTTAATGGGCTTTTTTTTTCTTTCCTTATTTCTTTCTTTTTCTTTTCTCTTTTCTTTCTTTCTCTTTTTTAACATGAAGCCTTGCCGATCTTTTGTTAAGAAGAAAAAGGAATCTGTGTATCTGATGGGCTTTGAAATACCATCTGGTGTTTAATGTTATTGTGCTCTGTTCTCACAGTGGTGTGCTGAATCATATCTTCAAAGTTCAACAACCATTCAGTCACAGTCACCATTCAATATACTGTGTCATTATCAAAGACTTGGATTTACAAAATGCTACCTGGAAACAAAGCACACTTAACAGGCTGTTCTCCCCAAGGCTGGCTCTGCCGCCTGAGATGAGTCTTCTAGTGTGAAGTCTGTTTGTCTGACATTTGTCACTGACCTTTGGATACTCAGCAGAACTTTTAACCCTGAAAATTGCTGGTTGAATTATACCATTTTATGTGCCTTAAGAAATACAACAGCATTCTTACTCCAAGATGTAAGTCTGAGCTTTTCTTCTACAAACACCCATATATTGGCAATTAATGTGTGAACAGATAAACTTCATTTTAATCATTAAATATGTGCCAAGAAAGTTGAATATTCATAGATACTCTAAGTGTTAAATGCAGAAGGAAAATACATCAGTGAAATAAATCCTGTGATGCACTATTTCGTTTCAGAGGAAAAAAATATTTTATAAGAGCACATTTATTCCAGAATGCATTGTTTGGGAGGTAAGAATATTTTTTAAGAGGAACACACAAGTATGGTTTCACAAGTTTAAGCAGCATTATTAAATATCTGGACAAAACTTGTGCTTATTGCTTTTAGAATAACAATCTGGCTTTCTCTTTTCACTTAATAATGATCAGGACTACTTGTATAAAACACACAGTACAGTGCTTTATGCAACAGTCATAAACAACCTCTCCTAAAATGCGTTTTTGCTTTTCTACCCTAGTCAACAGCTCTGTTTGAGTAAATGATCCATCCTTGAATCGTGTATGCAGAGACAAGATCAGCGTTGGATTGTTGTTTTAATAAACTGGAAGTCTGCCAACATTATCTGGGAAGAGGACGAGGACATTAATGCTAGCATGCAATCTAGCCGTGTTTGGATTTAAGACAGAATTTAATCTTCTTGCCTCCTTTCCTTCCCCTCCTCCCCCTTTCCAGTCCTTTCTTCCCTTAGTACACAGTCTCTTTTCATGGAGTTAACTCAAGCTATCTTAAACAGCATGAACTAATAAAGGATGACATTTTTAAAAGGGGAGGCATTCACAAATGCTGGAATATGGAACATTTAAAATTCTATGGTACTTAGTTTAAGAGAGTGGTGATTAATGAGTTTATGTTATCTATCAAAATGCTTCCATCATGCTGCTGATGTGACATGGGATTTATGGTAATGAAAAACCTGCAATCCATCCCCGGTATCTAAATCTATCAGCCCCACATTCATACAAAAAGCACTAAATGATATATTTGTAGCTGTCTGAAAGCAAGATCATTTTTAAGATATGTACTGCCAAAAGAGAACATTCTTAAAATATAGGAAAGGAAACGATTTCCTTTCCAACCTATTGCTCTAGCAAGCATCATACTACGAGTATCAATCTCTTCCTGGAAAAAAAAAATACTGAGCGGATGATGACCACATGATTAGGCTAGTCATTCTCAGTGAATTTCTTGTAATATTCTTGGAAATCCTTTGTAGTACCTTTGCTAAGGGTCATACAAATTTTCATTTGGATAATTTGTAATTGTTTGTTGTGCTTTGCATCTTAGAGAAAATCCACTACTACCTTGAATAAAACTCACTTGGTTCCATCTGCAAATCAAAAGAATTCCAAGTAGGCCAATAGAAAGCTTCATCCATTCTCAGCAATTGTTATGCACCACCCATCCCTCCCTCTTCATTAGGTAGCTATTCCTATTTCTGAACGACCTAAGACAACATATATCAACATAATAAAGTTAATTAGCTGCAAGATGTGCTAAAGAGATTTGTGTGTGCAAATAGTGAAAATACTGAACTTTGCGAATGATTTACTTCTTTAAAACAAATTTGACCAGATCAAGTATATATTCATAAAAAATACCAATCTCTATTACTTATACTCTGAAATGCTTTCATGAGTGGGAGAAAAGAGGGAGGAGTTATACCTAGAAGATGCAGAAATTTTTATATAAACTTAGGGAATATAATCATGTGTTTTGTATGCCCTAGCGGAGGCGGTGGAAAAACCACTGTTCTTGGCATCATGAGGACCATCTCTATATTCTGACTCTGCGGGTAGTCATTTTTGTCAGGGTCATCTACATGTCAGGCATTTGGGTGCCTACACTGCAAGTTAATCCACTTCTGTATGCTTTGGAAAACAGACAAAGAGCCCTGTAGTGAAATATTTTTCTTAAGGCGGAATTTCTACTTCCAAAGAGCAGACATCAGCTTAGTGTGTTCCAGAAACAGCACAGGCTTGTATTCCTTCACCATTTACCCACTGCTTTTGCCACTTCTGCCTTGGAGAGATGCAAAGGATAGAGAAACGCAGCCAAAGAGAAAGGAATCCCAGAGGCCAGGGAAGGCAAGTGGTAACAAGCCAGTGTGTGTATTGTGTTGTACAGGTTTGAAGGGGGTGGAGGAGTCTTGTTAAAAATCACAAAAACTGCCTGTGCAGCAAATAGATTCTCCTCCCACTACTAACACTGCAGAAAATGCCATCTATCAAAATGCTCTTAAAAGCAGTCTCTGATGATGCTGGAATAAAAAGGCTGTAATGACAACTGTGAGGTGGGAGGAGCCTCCTTGCACCCAGCTGTCTGTCAGACTGGGCGTTAGAGACCCTTTAGATTAATAGGGTTGCACCAAGAACGTGACTCCCAGTGAAGAGGTTCTCTTTCTCTACCCTTCCCCCAATCCAACTTCTGATGCTCTCAGGCTTGGCCCATGGAGTCAAAGTCACAGAAGGGGAAATGTCATTTCCTGTTGATCATGACAGTCTTTTTTCTGGTCTCAGTATTTCTGGCCTCATTGGTCTTAATCTGACCCAACCCCAAACATCATCCTCAATACTCTTGGGTGACCCAAGCTCAGGAAAGAAATGGTGGACCATTTTCAAGTTTTAAAACCATTTTTATAGCTTACACTGAGGTTAGTTTCAGTTTTGAAGTAATAGTGTAATGTCAACATGATTGTCCCCAATATATTATCTACCCCACTGGCTCTCAATATTAAAATGTAATGAATTGTTTGTTTTATTTTTTCTAGCTTGGCAAGAAAATTATGAAAATGTTACTCTCTTTTAAAAGGTAGGCCATTTTTTTTCCTGTTACCAGAGAGAAGGAAAAAACAAAAACCAACACATATTATGTAATAGTGAGAAAAAGAGAGAAATGCTTATAAGAAAACATCTTTAATTGCTTAATGTTCATAAGACAAAGAGAACGAACAAAGCAGATACACAATTTTAGCAAAAGAAAAACAACACCATGAAACATTTGTTTCTCAAGTAGTTACAAAGAATATTAACTAATCAAGCCATAGAAATACCTAGAAAGAAAAGGATTAGATGCACTCAAATATCAACATTAGGAGGCTTCTCACTGCTGATCCTGCCACCACATGCATTAAGAACTCTCTCAGTGGCCTGACAAAAGGAAGAAAAAAAAGAGCCCCAAGGTCAGTAGTAACACTAAGACCAGCCACATTGGAGCCTGAGGCAAAAGGAAGAATCAGGAATACTGATGCGATTTTATTTAAAATTTTGACATTTTGTTCATCATGAGTTTTTTGCATTAATTTTGGGTTTTCTTAAATCTTGCATTAAAATATGATTTACCTTGATCACTGAATTTTCGACACCCTCTAAATTTTGCACCCAAGGCAAATGCCTAACCAGCTTCTCTTCCTTCAACCTAGTCTCTGCCCTGTTGTCAAGGAAAAATAAGACAGAAAATGGAAGCACTAACATCACATGATTTTCTTACACTTAGCAAGTTCAAATGGATATAAAAACTGAAGACTAGTTTTTAATTGTTGGAATCACCAACACTTGTTTTCTAAAACACATGCCAAAGTTCTTAAAAGTTGGAATATCTTATGTAAATTAGGTGACTTACAATCATGGGCATATAATGTTTCAGTTAACAAGGAGGACTGCATATAAGACAATGGTGGCCCCTTAGGATTATAACAAAGCTGGAGAACTCCTATGGCCTAGTGATGTGGTAGCCATTTTAACACGGTAGTGCAATACATTACTCACATGTTTGTGATGATACTGGTATAAACAAACCTATTGTGCTGCCAGTTGTATAAAAGTATAGCACATACAATCATGTACAGTGCATGGTTTACTGTTACTGCTTTATGTATTGACTACACTATACTTTTTATTGTTATTTTTCATACTATTTATAAAAAATACAGTCAACTAGAAAACAGCCTCAGGCTAGTTCTTCAAGAGGTATTCCAAAAGAAGGCCTTGTTAGCATAGTTATTCATGATAACACAAATAACTCCATGAGTGTTACTGCACCTGGAGACCTTCCTGTGGGACAAGATGTGGAGGTGGAAGACAGTGATATTGATGATCCCGACTCTGTGTAGGCCTAGGCTAATATGTGCATTGGTGTCCCTATTTTTAACAAAAGAGTTTAAAAAGTAAAAAGTAAAAAACAAAAAAAATTCAAAAGTAGAAAAAGCTTATAGAATAAGAATATAGAGAAAGAAAATACTTTTGTACAGCTGTACAATGTGTTTGTGTTTTGAGCTAAGCATTATTACAAAAGGCTCAACAAGTTTTTAAAAATTTAAGAGTCCATAAAATTAAAAAATCACAGTAAGCTAAGGTGAACGTATTCTTGAAAAAAAATGTATAAATTTAGTGTAGCCTAATTGTACAGTGTTTATAAAATCTACAATAGTATACAGTAATGTCCTAAGCCAGCAGTTCCCAACATTTTTGGCACCAAGGACCAATTTCCAATTTTTTCCACAAAATGGGGTGGAGGTTGTGGTGAGGGGGCGGTTTCAGGATGACTCGAGCACATTACATGTACTGTGTACTTTATTTCTATTATTATTATATTGCAATGTATAACGAAATAATTATACAACTCATATAATGTAGAGTCAGTGAGAGCCCTGAGCTGGTTTTCCTACAACTAGAGGGTTCCACCTGGGGGTAATGGGAGACACTGACAGATCATCAGGCATTCAATTCTCATAAGGAGTGCACAGCCTGTATCTCTTGCATTTGCAGTTCACAATAGGGTTTGCGCTTCTAGGAGAATCTAATGCCGCCACTGATCTGACAGGAGGCGGAGCTCAGGCAGTAATGTGAGCAATGGGGAGCGGCTATAAATACAGATGAAGCTTCACTCACTCACTGGCCCATCATTTCCTGCTGTGCAGCCTGGTTCTTAATAAGCCATGGACCCAGGGACTGTGGACCCCTGTACTAGGCCTTCACATTCACTCATTACTCACTCACTGACTCATCCAGATCAACCTCTTGCCATATCTATTCATAAGTACTCTATACAGGTGAACCATTTTTTATCTTTTATACCATATTTTTACTTTACCTTGTTTATGTTTACATGTGTTTAGACACACAAATGTCATTCCATTACAATTGCCTAGAGTGTTCAGCACAGAAACATGCTGTATGGGTTTGTAGGCTAGGAGCAACAGACTATACCATATAGCCTAGGTGCGTAGTAGGGTGTTCCATCAAGGTTTGTGTAAGTACACTCTGGGTGCACACAACAATGAAATTACCTAATGATGCATTTCTCAGAATGTATCCCCCATCAAGCAAGTGACATGCGACTGTATTTTGAGATGATATCTAGAGATTTTTCTTTCCTACCACTTACTTGTTGCTGGTAGCACTCCACCTATTTAGTCTGTGATATTTGTTGCCTCACAGAGGGGGCATATGCCCAGAAGAAAGAAGTGAATTAAGTGGCTGCATATATTGTATAAATACATAGCAGAGAAAGTCTGAAAAGCTATAGGATTCAATTCCAAGAGCCAAGTGATTGAGAGGGGAGAGATTTTTCTCAGTTCCAAAAGTTTTTAAAATAAGATTAAAAACCAAAACTTTAAACACTTCATAGTGTTTATACCTTAACTGACACAATGGGGAGAACGTGGGATGCCATAAGGACTTACCATTTTCCCACCTGAAATTAAATAAGAATTCAACTAGTCCCACCTGAAATTAAATAAGAATTCAACTAGTCCCACCTGAAATTAAATAAGAATTCAACTAGTAGATGGTAAAAGAGGAATTTTAGGGAATGTGATAAAAGTGCAGATATCAACAAGTGCATGAGAAAGGGTCTTGTACCTGACCCCTTAATGGATCAAACCCTTGCACAAATGTAGATATGCTAAGGTCACACCAGAATACCAGAAGCAAAGAGGTTGAGAGATTTTACACCACAAAGCAAACTTCACAGTGACAACAACTCACAGACCTGTGTGCAGACATGAAACTTCCTTTATTTCTCTGTAACTGATTCAAACTTTGGAGCCTCCATATTTATGGTGGAAAATTTAAACTTGTCAAGGTAAACTCAGCCACATCTAACCTAAAACATGTTTTAGTTGTTATACATTTCTGTCAATTCCGCACTCTAAAACTCTTTCCTCCCATTTCCCTCAGTTGTAATAATGTATTAACAGACACTTAACATAGCACTTTTACCTCCCAAGTATAAATTAACTCATTTAACCTTTACCTCTGAGCAATACAGTATCATTGTCTCCACTTCAGAGGTGTAGAAATTGTTAGAGAGATGTCACGTTAGCAAGTGGCAGAGCTGAGATTCAAACGATGTTTTTGGCAGGGCCTCTAAGTAACGGAAAAGCTGTAACTGAGGGGTGGTGTTGGTGGAAGGGCTCAAGGGAGACATCACAGAGCTATCTCCCCCACGCCGGCATGGAGCTCTAAATCCCTGCAGAGAAGCTTTTAAGTAGATGGGAGTAAGCAGAGTCTCCCAGAGCCCAGCGGTTGAACTGACAAAGACAGAGACTATGCTATGGGACAAGATACCACAGCGGAAGCAAGAGAGGACTGGACTAAATCTGGATTCCATGCAAATATAATATAGAGTCTGGGCACAGTGGCTCACGCCTATAATCCCAGCACTTTGGGAGGCCGAGGCAGGTAGATCATGAGGTCAGGAGATCGAGACCATCCTGGCTAATACTGTGAAACCCTGTCTCTAATAAAAATACAAAAAATTAGCCAGGCATGGTGGCACACACCTGTAGTCCTAGCTATTTGGGAGGCTGACGCAGGAGAATCGCTTGAAGCCAGGAGGCAGAGTTTGCAATGAGCCAAGATCATGCCACTGCACTCCAGCCTGGGTGACAGAGCAAGACTCCGTCTCAAAAAAAAAAAAAAAAAAAAAAAATATGATATAGAAGCCCCCAAGATCATAGAGACCACAGAGCTCTTAGAAAGCAGAGAAGTCGCATTTAGGCGAGGAGAACCTACTCTAGAGTCCTCTTGGTTAGAATCTCAGTTCTGCTGCTTTGGTAATTTGGGGCAAAGTGACCTCTCTGTGCCTCAAATTCTTTACATATAAAGTAGAGATAAAAACACAGTCTACAAGGCCGGGCGCAGTGGCTCACGCCTGTAATCCCAGCATTTTGGGAGGCCGAGGCAGGCGGATTACCTGAGGTCAGCAGTTCGAGATCAGCCTGGTCAACACAGTCAAACCCCGTCTCTACTAAAAATATAAAATTAGCCAGGCGTCGCACATGCCTGTAATCTCAGCTACCCAGGAGGCTGAAGCAGGAGAATCGCTTGAACCTGGGAGGCAGAGGATGCAGTGAGCCAAGATCATGCCACTGTACTCCAGCCTGGGCAACAAGAATAAATCTCCGTCTCAAAAAAGAAAACAGTCTACGTATAAGATTGAATAAATTAACTTAACTTATGCAAAGGGTTTAGAATATTATATTACATCGTGGTTATAAGTACTATTTTAAGTGTTTGCTACTATATTGTTACTTCTAAGAGGAATGCAGAAAAAAACAGTATGAGAATCCCAAATTAATTTAAATTTACAACAAATGAAAATACATTTTAAGCTTAAGGTGACTGAATTTGCCTTGATGAGCATATCTTTTTCACCTTAAAAAATAGAGATTTCAAAGCTAAGTTCAGCTTAATTACAGAGAAACAAACGTACATTTCTATACATTGCATCAACTGGGAGACAATTCTTCTTGGCTTCCCCCTATTTGTACACATCTTGGGAGTAGAGCCACTGCCTGCCTTTTGTCCAGACTATATTTTCAAGGATGTCTATACAGTAAAAGGCCCTGGAAGATAGATATAGTGTTTCCCTCCAAAGAAAATAAGGCATGTTTGGTTCTGTCCAGTAAATTGACGGTAACATCTCTCTTCAGGGCAAAGTTAGGCAGGCTACCTGTTATAAAAGGTTCAGGTCCCCTGAATTCAAGATTTCTCTCCTGTAACACAACCCACTGTGAGTCCAGGAATCAGCTGTGCAGCCCTGTAGGAATCAGGGCTTAGGCAGCTGGGACAATCACTGATACTCTGGCTACTGCTATTGCTGTGACTAATAAATGGTTCTTTGTCTCTGACCCAAGAGTCTCATGTTTTCTGCCAACATCCATGACACTGTGGCAGGATAACTTGTTAGCTTGCAAGGAGGATAAAAATCTCAGAACTTTCACACCTTATTTAATATATTACCAATAAACTAAATAAAGCAAAGTATTTATTTATATGTCTTATTTTATTTTATTTCAATAGTTTTGGGGCAAGAAGTGGTTTTTGGTTACATGGATAAGTTCTTTAGTGGTGATTTCTGAGATTTAGGTGCACCCATCACCCAAGCAGTGTATACTGTACCCAATATGTAGTCAAAGTATTTCATCTTACAAAATATAATTTAATAGAGTCATAAGAATACTCATTTTTCTACTTTCATAAGTTTTTCAGTGTTTTGTTTTGCTCTCAGGCCATTCAATATATATACTTATTTTATTCTTTACACACAATATGACTTTTTAAAAAAGAAAGACACTTATCTATATTTAAGCAATAACTAAAGGTTTATGCCAGTGACCAGAGATGTCTAAATGTGGCACATTTTGAACACATCCACAGTCCAAGGATTTATCATTACCTAAGCTAAGAACACCGCAGAACACAGATTTTCAGAGTACAAATTCCATTTCTCCTTCTGCCACATTCAGATGAGATCATGGAATCAAAATTAATTAATTATTTCAAACCTAAGTTCAAGAACACCATGAAGAAAGTAACAACAGTAAATGATTATTTCAAAACAATGATAACATCCATTATTTTATTATCTCTGACTGAAAACAATTGGGTCACATTTTTAAGTTTATTCAAAGAAAGAGAAAATAGATCAGTTGATAGTTCTTCTAAAATCATACAATGAGATCACCAAAGCAAATACAAGACAAATATTCACACCACCACAAACATCAAAGAATAAAGTCAGTGTTTTTCTCTAGCTCTCCCCAATCCTGACCATTCTGGAATAACATGTTTCTGCTAATCTGCCCGTTTGTGAATCACTTGTAGAAACTGACATCTAAAATAACTTCATGGGGGGAGTTAAACTTAACCAGTCCTGGCTACTTTCTCAAATGTCATAATACAAGAGTGAAATTATATACCAGACATAGTTGTTTTCCAAAGTGGGAAACATAAAACTTTAGGGAGATGAATTATAATGTTATGTCAGCAGTATTTTTACCGAGCAGATCCATGAATGTGGTGTTGCTGAGACATTTCTCCTCACGCCCTGCTGCTGGGAGTTGTTCCTCCCTACTTTATTCCTCCTCCACTTTCCTTACTCAGTCATTATCAAATACATTCATCTTGTTTAAATAACACGGTACTTAACCTCCATTTGATGTCGGGAATGTAGGGCTGCTAAATTACAACCAGAAGAATATGAGAGTGTGAGAGAAACAGGCAGAGAGGAAAATACAAAGAAATGTCATGTTTAAGTCTCATAATAACCAAAAACTATATTAAATCCAAAGTATGACTCTATTTCTAGAAGGAGGAAGCCAAGCTGACAGTAGCTCTTTTCACCTGGTAAAACTGGAGATGTGGATAGCTGTTTATAGGCTGATCACTTTTCTGGGATTTTAACATAGTTATAGATTGATACAGCTCACTGCCCACTCATCAATACCTAATGTCCATCTAAGCAACTTTTCCACAATCATGGAATTTGAAAGAAAATCCAGGAATGGGAATCTTAATCAGGATGCATTTTGTACATCACCTGTGGAGTTTTCAAACCCACTTATATCAAAATTCTGTCTTTTAAAAGGTTTACAGTGACTCCATGGTACCCACTGAGAATCGCTGATCGTGGTTATATTTGTTGGTTTGTAGTTGCCCAGAGGACATATGCAAAAATTACCTTCATATTGAGGATTATTAAAAGAATATACAGAATTGGCGTGGTGGCTTATGCCTGTAATCCCAGCAATTCGGGAGGCCAAGGCAGGTGGATCTCTTGAGCCCAGGAGTTTGAGCCCAGCCTGAGCAACATGGCAAAACCCCATCTCTACAAAAAATAGCTGGGCATGGTGGTGTACACCTGTAGTCCCAGCTACTCAAGAGGCTGGGAAGATCACCTGAGCCTGGGAGGTTGAGGCTGCAGTAAGCCCTGATCAAGCCACTGAACCCCAGCTTGGGCAACAGAGAGAGACCTTGTCTAAAAAAAAAAAAGAATATAAAAGGAATTCTACGTAATGCAATCTTACTTAGTCATAGAGCTTTGAGAGGACTGGGATACACAGTGGACTTCGTGGAAAAACAGAACAGTAGCTCAAAATATTTGTGGAAGGAACCTGAACTCAATTGGCCCACTTCTTTTGTTTATCTAGAATTCATTTTTTTCCCAAGTGAAAGTAGGGCCAGTATTCTGCCATTCAGTAAGGAGCACTGCGGTGAGCCAGGAATTCACACTAAGCCACTCTACAGGCCTCCCCAGTTTCTACCCCATGTGTGACTGGCTTTTTGGATCCCATTAACTAGTTTAATTAATACTGTTTTGACTACAAATGAAAGTAAGTTATATCTAGTTCATATGAAAAGAGGTCTTTGTTGTCTGGCATCTCCCAATCTCAGTAAAGGTGGTGGTAAAGGCCTGAAGTTAACAGGAACCAGGACTCTGATGAAACAGGGTTCTCTAGGTTTCTCTTTACTGTGGTTCTCTGCATGAGAAATTTTTCCTCAAGGCTATACCCACTACTACCAATATCTTACATTTTCCCAGTTCTATCAACAGAGAAAAATATTCTGTCCCCACTGTTGTAAATAAGAAAACAAAATAAACAAAAAAGCCTCAAGAAAAAATTCTTATTTGTTTGGAAGGATCATGTGACCAAGCACTGAGAGTATCCGGTCCAGTGAAACTTCCATGGCTGGAGTGAGGGGCAAAAAGAATTCCTTTGAACAAGGAGTAAATGCTACAGGCAATAGTTCTCTACTCCCCTGGGGGGAAAGTTTTATATCACTAAATACAATGTGGCAGTAGCTGTAGTATCTGTGCAAGAAAGAGTGCCCCTGGGCTACGTTACTTAATATGACAGCTGTAGATGAGGCAGCTACCTGAGACTTATGGACTCATGGTGAACCCTGTCCAGTTCTTAGGCCAAATTCCCTTCATTCTACAGATGGGGAGATAGAGCTGAGAAAAATATAAGGTAATTTACACACCTGAATCTTGCAAATAACAGTAATAAATCCAACTGCCCCCTACACACATTGCAGGGTGAACTGACGCTCCTCCCAACACACGAATACAGGATTTAGGGAGGTATGATTTGAGGTGAGGTCTAACAATGCCAGTTAAGAACTTTCTCCAGAGGTTTCTTAGGTGAGCACTACTTTACCAAGTTAAGTCCCCATGACATTCCAGTGTGTTTGAAGCAAACCTTTGAAGAGAAAAGCAGCCAGAACCCTAAACGGATGCCCCTCCTATTCCACCCTCCATCTCTACCCCACTTCATAACCCTGGGGCCAGCCCATTCTCTGCCTCCTTCCCTGAGGGCAGAGTGACTAGTTCAAGCACCCCGATGACTCCCTTTCTTTCAAACATTAAAGAGCTTATACTTATCTAGAGTTTTAAATTTACAGTCCTAGATGGGCAGTCATCTTACTCTCTTTATGTCTATGTAAGTGAAATCAGTTTACTAGAATGTAACTTTGAATTGGAAAGATAGTTTTTCTGCTAATGTGTGGAAATGGAAACCCTGAGCTAAGTTTTTTCAATTCTGAAAAAATGAAAATAATCTCTTCTGGGCAATAACGGATCAAATTCAGGGCTGGCCTATCCCCAGGCCCATCTTTCTTTCTCCTCTGGGCCTCTATTTTCTAGTGTCTGGTTCGCATGCCACTCTGTGTCCCATCAGCTTCTGTGCAGGTATAGGTTGCCCACCTGGACTTAGATGTGAAATTCTCTCAACCTGGTATTCATCAAACTCTGTTGTTCGCATACAACCACAGGCCTCCTACAGCCTGCTGGTCCTCTCAGCACTTCTGAGCCCCCACTGGGACTCAGGAGCTTGCACCCACCTTCTCTGCACTGCTCTGGGCTCATAGTGAGGCTGTCCTTGGGACTCCCTGACTAAGTGCCTGCCTTAGTCATTGGCTACTGTCATGACAATACCAGCTGCTCCAGTACCAGATTGGCCTTGAGGATAGCTTAGAGCAGGGGCACCAAGTCTGTAGCTCTCAGATTCTACCAAATGTATCTAGGTGTTTCCTTCTCTCTGTCTCTCTCTGTCTCTCTCTCCATGCTCACAGCTCTCTGGGTTTTGGTGTCTGCTCTCTCAAGCTACAAATTTTGGGAATACTAAACACTCTGTCTCAAGCACCTGCTCTTTCACATACGAAACACTTTATTTTCTTGACTATGAACTCTAAATTATCTGGTCAACATTGGAGGATGCTAATAGTGAACCAACTCATTATTTTTAGAAGTGACAAATAAGGTATATAAAAAATCAGCATTTATTTTGCCTTCTTCTATGGTGTGCACCACAATAACCAAATGATAAGTGGATGGAGAAAACATGATCTTTATAAAAAATATTCCAGCTTATAAATGAAGAAGAAATGTTAGAATTACAATATCACCAGTTTGCAACCTCTATAACAGAGGACATTAACAGCCACAAACACCAAAAAGAGAGAAAACCAGACAGTATGGTATGTGCCTATTGTTGGAAAAACCCACCACTTCCTATATTATTGCCAAAACTCACTGAATAAGTAAATGAATAAATCCGATCAATCTCTACAGTCAATTTATGAAAATGCAAAGCATAGTGTAACACAGGTACCTACTCTTCAAGGATATGATCAGAAAAACCTGGATGGCAAAACTGCAGGACAAACTTGTTTCTTCAACAAATAAATTGCAAAGAAAAAAAGAGAGAAATGGAGGGGAAATCTATAGAATAAAAGATATTTAAAAGACATATTTGCTAATCTTATTGTTCAGGTCATGTTTGGATCCAGGATTAGAAAAAAAAAAAAAAAGGTGTAAGAAGGACATGACATTTACAAGAAAATATTTGATTTGATGTTGACGATATTAAGGAATCGTTGCTATTTTGGGGGTGTGATGATTACTTTGTATTTGCATTAAAGCAAAAGAGTCCTTGTCTTTTAGAGATGTATACTAAAATACAGTTGTCCCTTGTTGTCCCTGGAGAATTCATTCCAAGACGCCCACAGATACCAAAATCTACAAATGCTCAAGTTCCTGATATAAAATAGTGTAGTATTTGCATATAACTTACTCACATCCTGCTGCATACATTGAGTCATCTCTTGATGATTTACATTTAATACAATGTAAATGCTATGTAAATAGTTGTATTGTTTAGGGAATGACAAGAAAAAAAATCTGCACACGTTCAGTATAAATGCAACCATCTTTAACAAAAAAAAAAAATGAATCTGCGGTTGGTTGAATCCACAGATGTGGAACTGATGGATATGGAGGGCCAACTATACTTAAAGGTAAAACTACTTGATACCTGGGATATGCTTCAAAATAACAAGGGGCTAAATGCAATGTAGTATCTTGGATTGAATTCTAGAAAAGAGAAAGAATTTTAGTGGTAAAACTGGTGAAATAGGAATAAAGTCTAGATTTAATTAATAGTTTCACATCAATACTAACATATTCATTCTGACAAACGTACCATGGAATCGTAAGATAGGGAGACATAGGTAAAGAGTATGTGAAAATTGTCCTATCTTTGCAACTTTTCCATAAATCTAAAATTATGCCAAAATATGAAATTTATTTTAAAAGCAATGAGAAGAGAGAAGTGGATGCAGGTGTAGATGGGACAGGATTCACCAAGGATGAATGGTTGTTGAAACTGGATGGCGAGTATAGAGGATTACTATACAACTCCACCTACTCTTGAGTGAGTTGTAAATTCTCCATAATAAAGTCACGTAAGTTAAAAACATTATGATATTTTCTATAGACTATTAAGAGCCTACACAGACCTTTGGAAGCCAGTAATTTGACACTTTGCTCTCTGTATCATTTCTGCCATCAGGGCAGTGGTGCCTAAAGAGTAGGGCAAAGGGCAGGAGCAGAAAGAATTGGAAAACAGCGGAGTTAAATATCACCCAGCTACAATCACTCGCTTCTTTTCTTATTAGACCCCAAATTATTTCTTCCTTTATATTTTAAAATCTTTTTTCACCTGTATTTTTATCGCATTTTAGATCTCTTCTAGCACCATGTGCCCATCTAGGCATCACTTGGTGTAAGGTCCCCACTGCAATATAACGAACAACCACAGCGTATTAAGCAAGCTAGAAGCATATTTCCCTACACACAAAATAAGTCTGGAGGTCAGCAGGCCAAGACTGTCAAAGCAGCTTCATGGAGTTTTGGATGACTCAAGCTCCTGCCTGTCCCCTACTCTTAGATTCCTACGATGGCAGCCTGGTCACCACACTTACAAGATAGCTTCTAGAGCACACCCACATTCCAGGCAGCAAGAAGGGAGGTCAATCCACTTCTCTTTAAGAAAATCTCCCAAAAGTCCTACATATTTCTGCTAACCTTTCACTGACTAAAACATACCCACACAGCCACTCCTGGCTGCAAAGTGGAAATGTAGAAAATGGTCTTTTAATTATACTCTGGCTGTCCTCTACAAAAACAGAGTCCTATTACTGAAAAAGGAGAACGAAGTGGATGTTGGGTAGAAAATTAGCAGCCTCTGCCACAATCAGTCGTGGGAAAAATCTGAACATGCAGTGGCAGAGGAGTCCAACCATGACTTATGCCCAAATTAATTATCCGGCTAGTGCAATCAGCAAAGATCTGGAAGTATCTGTCATCCCACATACGCTGCTGGCTGGTTTATGTTGATTGGTTTGACTGAAAGTTAAAAGTAGAAAACTGCCTGTTCGTTCACCCTTCACAGCAAGATATCATCTATCTACATCAGACGCCAATATATGTGCATTTGTGTCAGCATCATGTATAGTACTAGATACGCCTGCTGTGACTATAATGTCCTTTAAACCTAAAATGGAATCATTATAGATTCCTCCTGGCAGCCCTCTTGAGTCTCTGGGAGACCTTCTGGCCTCCTGGCCAGTCTCCAGAGAGATTCCTGTCTGTCTGCCCGGGAGGAGACACATTCTGGGCTGCCTGCCCACATTCTAACCTGCTGCTCACACGGGTAGAGAGCTGTGTCTATTTGGGTCAGTCCTTCCAAATGATTATTCTGTTGCCTTTAGGTAAGTTCACTTGAATGTCCCACACATACCAACTGTGCACACCACATGTTTGAAAGCCAGTTGCCCAGTAAAAGCAATGAAGTATGTTGGAAAAAGCATCTGAAATATGAGACTGAGAACCAAGCTGGAGCTCTTTTTGGTCCTGGCAGTGAAAGCTTAGGAAATTCACTTAGGCTCTCTAAGCCTCAGTTTCCTCATATGCCAAACAGAGATATTGCTACCACCTCTACTTTCCTTGCAAATATATTGCAAAGCTCAGTTACAATGAGATATTACATGTCACAGTGCTATACTTTACACCAAAAAGAGGTTAATATTATTCTTAATCTAGTGAAAATGTGAGTCATTGAAAAAAGAAGAGAAAAACAAGAAACAACAATAATGTAGCTCAAGCTCATTTGACCAGGGTCAACACAAAGAAATATAGTAACTAGTGCCAAATCTGCAGGATATAAAGAATATAGAGAGACAAAAGAATATAAAGAGACAAAAGGATCAGTGAAATTATATCTGCCTCAGAAATGATAGATTCTAAATGACTTCTCTCAGGAAGTAAACTTACAACATTCTTCGAGCCACCATTTCCATTTATTATCAGCCATTCTTCCCATGGAACATCAGTTCAAAGAGGAAACCTATTGTTAAATACTCTGTTCTCCTCCAACTGAAAGGGTGAACTATGTTTTATTTCTTTTAACTAGTCACCTTTAAAATTCAGCAAGATTCCTATCTCAGCAGCAAAGACCCAAAACTCTCACATAAAATTTTACTGCTCAATACCATCAGCTAGGGTCCATTTCCATTCATGAATATAAGCCTTTGGGCACAAGTATGTAAGTAGTTACATAAACATAAATTCATTCAGGGAGATAGGTGACTTCTGTAGGTGTGAATGTACATGTGTATGTAATTCGATATATTGGAGCCTCTAGAAGGTTCATAGTTTTATAGAGACATCAACAAGAAGTAATTTTAAATCCTTTAGTTTTTGTCAAAAGAAGGAGCTTTAGTTTATGCAACATAAAATTAGAATTGCTTTTACTTGCTACCAGTTTAATATCAACATTTTTATCCAGAGTTAGACACAAAGCTAAACTGCTGGGATTTGACATAACAAAACTGCTCTCCATATGTGAACCAAAAGTCACTTGGGATCTATCGGCCAATTAAGACTCTTTGCTCAGATCTAACTTTAGAGGGTGACTTCTGTCAAGAGCTAAGGAAGAACACAATTCATTATGACTGCAGAACTCAGAGAAGTCAAGAAGCAGATTCACTGGACATTTGTAAACTTTTCCTGTGACCCACAGCTAGAGCAAAGTACCTCTTAATTGTGAATAATTTTTCCTGATAAAAGTTTCTCACTCCTTTCTTAAATCTGGAACTTCCCTTTCTTGGAAAGCACCCATACACACATAACAAAAGGAATTCATTCCAGATGTCCAAGAGGCTTTGCATGTCAGGGTCTGGCTTTCCTGGTTGCAAAGGGAAATTTTGGCAGGTGGTCATAATGGTATTTTGTCCCTCTCAAACTTGCTGCCATCAAACCACACTGTAAAACTCAGCTGGTTTACATTTGTATAATTTTTGCCTAACAAAGGGAGGAAAAGACCACAAGAAAATTAGCTGAATACTCACCAGATCACAAGGCTGAAACACAGGTATAGGTAAATTCATCCCTAAGAGTTTTATCAGTGCTGTGTTCCCAGAACTGTTCCATGCTGTGTGGAGGAAACAAAAGTAGGAAACACTGTCCTAAGTCTTGAGAATTTAAAATGACTTACTAGTGACAAGGTTAATCAGAATAAGAGTGCCACTGTGCTCCCATAGTACCCTGCATAAAGCATCACTGCACATACTACTCGTTATAATCAACAGTTTGTGTGACTGATGTCATCCACCATGTCCAGCCCCCAACAAGAAGCATGGCATATCTGTCATAGTAAACACAGAGCCCAAAGCATATTCGAGAAATGCTAACTCAGTGAATGCAGGAAACAACAGTAGAAAAAATTAAAGAGATGTGAGAGCTGTAGGGATTCAAAATGCAGTCAAACATGAGCCCATTATGTTTCTGGGAATTATCAAGTGTTAATATTTTTTATTCTGCTAATAAGGCATCTCTTCATATTCCTAAGAACCAATTTGAATTTTTCTGCCCTTAATTGTACTACACACTGAGAAACAACAGCTACTATGCTAGAATATATAACCTTTAGTCTGGAAGTCCATTGTTAAAAAGCAGGTATTATCTTACTGCAGAAGAAAGGGAGAAGAGATACTAAGAGTGATGAAGCTGATTTCATTGCTGTGTTTTGTTGACAGTGTATTCCCAAGGGGAAAGGCAGGCTTGCTGGGGGCGGGGGCGGGGTGGGGGGTGGTGGGAAGCGCTCAAACTTAGGTGAAGGCGGGAGATTCTTTTTTTTTTTTTTTTAAGTAAATTGTCTTATTCTGTACAAAGCAGTTCAGATAAAACATCTGCTTATCTGCTTACTACATTATAAACAGTGTTGAGAGTCCTAGACCTTCACTGTGACCCAATTATTCAGCATTCTCAGTGTAAAACACTGTTTATAAGAGAACTTCAATAAATATCATCATGCGAAGGGTAGTTGTATGGTGAAATAAGTTTAGGAAACACTAATTACCATATCTCCCTCCTTAGATTTGCAATGTACCTTTATATTGTAAAGAAAATTGTGTTAGTTTACTTACTCGGGGTTTTCCCAAAATTATTTGCCTATGAGCTCATTATTCACAAAGTAGATTAGAAAACACCATTCTCAGAGCCCTGCGTTGACTGCTGTCTAACTTTTCTTTCAGTGCTAAATTCTGTTATCATCTTAGGCCAACATTCTCTCACTTTTTAGAAATCATAGCTAAAATTTGGGTACATATTACTACTCCTAAAGAACGTAAGAACTGAGTTCTAAAGATTGAAGCTTAGCAAGAGTCCACCCTGAAGACCAAGGATGAGAAACAGCACTTGGTATCACAGCCTAAAATTAAAATATTATTGGGGAAAAAAATTGAACTTGAATCTGATCAAGCCTTACTAGATTTTACCACCATTTACAGCGATGACACCATGGAATGCAATCAACAAAATCTCAACTTGAGAAACTCCAGAGGATGCATAACCTGCTGCCTTCAAAAAATAAATTAAAAAACAAAACATAAAGGGAGGCCGGGCGCGGTGGCTCACGCCTGTAATCCCAACACTTTGGGAGGCTGAGGCGGGCAGATCACGAGGTCAGGAGATCGAGACCATCCTGGCTAACACGGTGAAACCCCGTCTCTACTAAAAATACAAAAAATTAACTGGGCGTGGTGGCAGGCGCCTATAGTCCCAGCTACTCGGGAGGCTGAGGCAGGAGAATGGTGTGAACCCGGAAGGTGGAGCTTGCAGTGAGCCAACATTGCGCCACTGCAGTCCTGCCTGGGTGAAGAGCAAGACTCTGTCTCAAAAAATTAAACATAAAAGGGAGGTGTTATCTGTAGATTAAAAGATACTGAAGAGGCACATCAACCTTGTGGTGTTTGAGTTTTTTTGTTTTTGTTTTGTTTTTTTGAGACAGAGTCTCACTCCATCACCCAAGCTGGAGTGCAGCTGCACAATGTCGGCTCACTGCAACCTCCGCCTCCCAGGCTCAAGTGGTTCTCTTGCCTCAGCCTCCCAAATAACCGGGATTACAGGCGCTCATCACCACGCCAAGCTAATTATTATTATTATTTTGTATTTTTAGTAGAGACAAGGTTACACCATGTTGGCTGGCCTGGTCTCAAATTCCTGACCTCAGGTGATCCACCCGCCTTGGCTTCCCAAAGTGCTGGGATTAGAGGCCTGAGCCACCGCACCTGGCCAGTGTTTGAGTTTTATTTGGATTCTAATTTGAGCAAATTAACTATGAAAAAATATTTATGAGACAATCAGGAATCTTTGAACACTTTCAGGATATTTGATGATATTTAAAGAATTACTGTTAATTTCTTTAGATGCGATAGTATTGTGGTTGTAATTTTGTAAATATATAAGAAATACTTTCTGAAGCATTTTTGTATGAATAATATGTTATCTAGGATTTGTTTCAAAATAATCCTGGGGAGGGGGATATCAATAAAAATAGATTTGCCATAGTATGATGAGGTGGATACATGAGAGCTTAGTACACTATTCTCTCCAATTTTGTATTTTTTCAAATTAAACGTTTTCAAAAAGCAGTTGGAAGAAAAAAAGAGGGCAAATAAATTATTACAAACCGGATGAATACACTGAAAAGCCACAAGAGCAAGGAATTGTGAGACGCAGGGACAGAAAACACCATGGATACAACAGAGAAGTAAAGGAGTGTGAAAACCAAGAAAAGAAAGAAATTTCAGTGGAGTTTTGAGAGAGTAAAACAGATTATGAAGCGTTCAAAGCATGATGTCTGGTGAAGAAATGTACATAGCTATACCCTCTCATTTGAGGAAGATGGTTATGAAAAAAGATGGTGGTTGGAGGTCAAGTGAAGGTTTGGCAAGATGTGTAGTGCTATGGACTGAATTGTGTTCCCTCTAAATTAATGTCGTGAAGCCCTAAGCCCCCTCCATGTGATTGCATTGGAGAAAGGGCCTTTAAGGAGGTGATTAAAGTGAAATGAGGTATAAGAGTGGAGCCCTGATCCAATAGACCTGTTGGCCTTGTAAGAAGAACAAGAGAAACTAGAGATTTCTCTCGTCATGCACACAGAGGAAAGGCCATGTGAGGACATAGCAAGAAGGTGGCCATCTACAGGCCAGGAAGAGGGTCCCCACTAGAATGGGACCATCCTGACACTTTGATCTTGGACTTCCAGCCTCCAGAACTGTGAAAAAACAAATTCTGTTGTTTAAGTTACCCAGTCTATGGTATTTTGCTATGGCAGCCCAAGTTGACTAATGCAGGTAAAACATGCACATTTACCTCATTAGCCTTTCTCGCTACTTTGCTAAGCATTTATCATGTACTTTTTTTATTATGTTGAAATTCGACATGGGAAAATAGATGTCACTGAGTGGTATTGTTGTTCTGTGTTCCTTTAGGAAAAGGTCAGTCAAGTACAGCCACAAAAGAAGACACAGGAGAGCCTCCAGGAAACAAGATGTGTGATACTTGCAAGTCCTGGAGAGCCAGTTACTGCATGCTGAGAGGGGGCCATATGGGAGGAGTGCCAAGGAAGCGGGCTCAGCCAAGCAGTGGGGAGAGCCGAGAGAGAGTGAGGACCTGTGGTCAGGTGCCTTCACTGGCAGTCAGGGTGGAGTACACAGGAAAAGGGATTTCACTGGTGCATTTGAATGTTACTAAGTCACGGTTGAGGGAGGGCAGTGATGGGAAACTTGTGATAGGGACCAGCGTTATCACATTAGTGTGCCTGGACACCTGGGCAAGGTGCTCACAGCTCAACAAGAGGCAGCAGGAAACAAAATAGGAAGTTTAAAAATTTTTTAAATTCACAATACAGCTATAAAGACTCAGTAATTGTTCCTCTCAAAGTTTGTTTTCATAACATGCTCTTTTCACTATGTTCACGCTTTACTTCTTTAAAGGAGAAAACACCAGCTTTCAGCTTTAATCATGAGCAGAAAGCTTAGATAAACCATGTAAATCCAGGCCGGGCACGGTGGCTCATGACTATAATCCCAGCAATTCGGGAGGCCGAGGCAGGTGGATCACCTGAGGTCAGGAGTTTGACAGCAGCCTGGCTAACTTGTGAAACCCCGTCTCTACTAAAAATACAAAAATTAGCTGGGCATGGTGGCAGGAGCCTGTAATCCCAGCTACTCAGGAGGCTGAGGTAGGAGAATTGCTTGAACCTGGGAGGCAGAGGTTGCAGTGAGCCGAGATCGCACCATTGCACTCCAGCCTGGGCGACAGAGCGAGACTCCATCAAAAACAAACAAAAAAGTAAAGCCAAATTTTTCTCCCTTATTACTTTCCAAAGCACATAGGCTCACTTAATTCAGCTATTAGAAATTTCTGCATTCAAGATCTCCCGGTTTTTCTGACCAAATTAATGCTCTTAAATTTTCCTCATTCTGATTGTCAAGGGTTCCCAGCACCACTCTCGTGTTCAGTGATTCACTAGGGTTCACGGGACTCAGCATATAGTCACAGCTATGATTTATTAGAGCAAAAGGAGGCAAGGCAAAATTAAATGGAAAAAGGAGCATCGGGTGAGGCCCAGAGGAAACCAGGCACAAGCTTCTAAGGGTCCGCTCCCAGTGGATTCTCACAGAACACACTAAATTCCTTCAGCAACGAGTTGCAACAACACATGGAAATGTTGTCTACGAGGGAAGTTTATTAAAGACTCAGTGCCCAAGGCTTATGCTGGAGGCTGGTCACTTAGGCACTCTCTGCCTAGCACTTGCCAAAATGTCGTACTCCAAGAAGAAATGCAGGTGTTCAGCGTAAGTCAATCGCACAGTTCAGGCACAGTGAGCCACTCATCAGTTAGGCAACTGTGGAAACCTTCCTGAAATTTAAGATTTCAGATGCTAGCCTGGCGCCACCCTTACAAGCAGGCCTAAGAGAGCTGTCTCAGGCCTGCCATGTTAACTTTTCTCTGCACACTCATGGGAAACTTTGCTGTCATTCAGGACTATTCAGGGTCTTCACCCACTGTGACTTCTTTGTAGCCTTTAATACTCTGACCACATCCTCTTTCTGAATTTTATACCTTTTGTGATTTTCATACCATGCTATACCATGAAACTATTTCTTCCCTTTTGTGTCAGAAAAGGGGATTATGAGGGCAGTCCCATGGTTAGGGACTGAGGGAGGTGGGTGACCCCAAACTATAACTCTTTCCCCTTTCCCTCAGTGAATCTGAAATCAAATACAAACACACATCCCCAAAATGGAAACCCTTCAGAAGACCAAACTATCTTGTCTCTATTCAGAATCTGTATCCTCTCATCCCTACATCTCTATTCCTGCCCCTTGTAGCATATCTCCAACCCAGGCTAAAGTGGCATGTGCCCCACTCACCCTGGCTTCTTCAGAAGGCATGTGCTGCACTTCTAATCTTCATGTTTCTCACTTGGCCAGAGGAACGTTATGGAGAGAAGCTTTGCTACACTACGTTCTGTCCGTTCTATTGCCCCAAGATTCCACATTCACGTACTTCCCATCCTCAGAGCAATCATGGCCTAATTGGCCTCTCTCCCTTCATCACTTCCATCCTACTAATACCCAACGTATAAATATCCCTAACCACAGCTGTGACTTTTGATCACGCCACAACTTAAAACTGTCAGTGTTGCCTGTTGCCTATTTCCTAATGAACAGAATTTCCTAATGAATAAAACTCTTGGCCTGGTATTAAGGTCGTCCGTGACTTAGCCACACTCTTTTTCTAGTCCCATCTTCCTCTACCGCTATTCCCATATTCATTTCTGAAGTGAATAAGAAAGCTATTTAATAATGCTCCTCTAGATAATTTAGTCAAACTAGATCAATGGGCTTTTTTTTTTTAATGTACCTTTTATTCTCCAGGCTACCTTAATTGAGAATAGGACCAAGAACTCATTTGTAATGATCAGCTAAAGCCAGGCTCTTTCTCACTTTGCCAGCACACTGGAATCACCTGGATCCCGCTCCTCGGTTTTCTGATTCAGTCGATCTAGGATGTGGCCTGGGCATTGGGGTTTTTAGAAGCTCCCTAGGGTTTCTATAATGCACAACCAGGGCTGAGAAACACTGACACAGAAAATCTGTCTTTGCCTGTGTTTTGTCCGAAATGGACTATGGGACTATTACAACAGAGTCCATGCATGTTCTTTTTATATCTCTATTCCTTATCTAAAGCCACAGTCCTCCCCTTAATCTCCACTTCTCCTCTTTGACACCTAACCCCCAATGCCTCTTTCTTGAGAAGCCTTCCCTGATCTCCAGTGAACAGTATTCTCACCATCCCTGAAATGTAGGACCATCTCGCTCATGCCCCTCCGCTTCTGATGCTGCTCATCTGTCTCGCTTCTCACATTATTCTTGTATTGCTGAAGCCCCTCTTTCCTCAGGTGCTTTTCCAAGCACCTTTCTCATACTTGATTTAGCATAAAATTTTGTGTTGTGGTGTTAAATGAAAATTTGAAAAATCAAAACGTGATTTTTAATTTTTGCAATGGTTGTGTAATGCTTTTAATGAGAGATTCACCCAGCAAGTCAAGTAAACATATTCTGATCTTCCCAAGTCATGAATTGTTCTGAGAGTAAACACTCACCCCTAATCATTTTAAGATCTGAATCAACTCTGGGTACATTTGCTTTACTTCTCACTGACAACTAGTCGCTTTTCAGGCTTAGGCTACCAAATCCAAAGTTGCATATTCAGAATTCCAAAACAAAAGAAAACCAAAATAACCCCCTTTTGCCATGTTGTCTCCTGCTATAAATTAGGCTGGGTTTGCATCCAAATGTGAGGAGACAACAAGGAGATGAGACTTGACATGCATTATTAGTTGGCAGTAGTTTGGTTTTCTTTTCTTGATTGCTTCAGGGCTAACAGCTCACCTGCATTTTAGAACAGGCACCTGCTAATTCAACTTTCCAACCTTTAATCTCACCCTTTCACCCACAGCATTTTAATTACCCTACAATTAATATACTCCTGATTTTACCCACATGGAAGAGTGGGATGGGAGGAGGGTGAGGAGAGAGACTGGCTTGATGGTAATTTATCGTCCAGATACCCCTCTTTTTTGGTCCCTGGGTGAAAGTCTCTATTCTTGATTCATTTTAATAACAGGCCTGAAAACACTCTCACCACCATCCCCAACACAAACACACACACGCACACACAGATGCTAATAAATGAGACATCATCTCCTCGAACAGAATCATCAGTTCTCATTTCTCTTCAAAATCTGTGCCTCTGACCAATTCTCCCTCAACCTCACTGCCTGAAGCTAGGAACCCCATCTCTAAGTGGGAGGAGAAGGGAAGGTCGATTGGCAACCCAACAAAGTGACAAAGAGGGCAAAAGTTCTGAAGAAGTTGGGAGAAGGAGGAAAGGGGGGAAAATGAATAAACAGACTTTTCTTTGCCCTGTGGATGCCCACAACGACCATTGGAGTAATTTTAAATTCTTCATAGAGGAAGACTCAAGGCCCCAGCTGACCCCAGCTTTATTGGTATTCCCCACTAAAGGAAGATCAGTATGCCAAATGGAAACTCTGCAAATGAAAATTAAGCTCTGGGTCATGGGAGGGGTGGGGGAATGGAGCAGCGCTTTTTACCCACCTGCCCTGTAGAAGCCGGCCTTTGGCTGTGGCTGGCACCTGCTGCTGTTGATTGGCAGTCCTCTGGGTGAGTATTCACCTGGGCAGACACAGTGCCAACTGGACTCTGGCCATCCAGCTCAAGCTGCCTGCTGGGGCCGTGGCCCTCCCTCAATCCTGCACACATGAAGACACAGGCTTCGAAGAGAGACTTCATCTCTCTTGGCAAAACTTTTTTCGGTCCATCCTGAGCACTACTGATCTTCCTGAGTAGCCATTTTAGCATTCTACAGGGCATCTTTTGTCCCTTCAACTCTGCTAATACAGTCTTATCCTAATGCTGGCTTTGAATTGCAAAGAATTAAAATGCCAGTCTTCTGTCCCTATGCCTTATTAACGTATTGACCACCAACCACTTGCCATGAAGCTTACCTCTTATTTCAATGAACACTCACAGCAAATCTCTGGTACTGGTCTCTTTTCTCCATTTTACAGAAGAAAGACACTGAGGCACAATGTCTCGCCCAACTTAAGGCACGAGTTCTCTCAATTTTCTACAATGCCATGCAATTTCTCACTTGGTGCTGAGTCTACTCAGTGCTTGAAGTGGCAACTCAGATGTGTTCTTTCCATTGAGAAAATAAGGAGGTAGGTGATTTATCCAGAGGAGCCACCCTTCTTTGTGACAAACTGGCAAAATGAGAACAAGCTGTGTTTATTGCTTCCTAGAAATTAAAGGGACAACATCTTTCCAAAGCACAATCTTCCCCAGGAGTGATTAGGGTACACCCTAAGCTCTAGTGGTTTGTGGTTAAAACTTGCCCTGTACACCAAGACTTCACTACCACCGCAGAGACCATGAATGTGGCCTTGAGCTTCCTTCTTAATTCAACCCAGACTGTCTAATTACATAATATACACATTTTTAATTGATTTACTTAGGTACCCTTATATTTCATACTTTAAATTTTATAGAGCTTTTTCTTTTGAAAAGCATCTTCGCATGTCTCCTGAATATCATTTTTCCTGATTCTTAGTCACATTTTACAGATGAGGCCACAAATTCTGCCTCAGGATTCAAGCTCCTTCACTATTCCATGTTATTTCTGTTCTTCAAAAACTAGGATTAAGAAAATCCTCATGAAGTAGTGTTTGGGGTTGAATTTTGTCCTCCAGAAAGATATGTAGAAGTCTTAACACCCAGTACTAGTGAATGTGACCTGATTTGGAAATAGGGTCTTTGCAGATCTAATTCAACGTAAGTTAAAATGAGGTCATTGTAGAGTAGGGTGAGCCCTTAACCCAAGATGACTGGTGTCTTTATAAGAAGAGGAGAGAAGACACAGAGATAGACACACATAGAGGAGAACAGCACATGATGATGGAGGCAGAGATTAGAGTGCTGCATCTAGATGGCAAGGAACACTAAGGATTGACTGCCAATAACCACCAAAGCTAGGAGAAAGGGATAGAAGAGATCCTCCCCTCCGTCCCTGAGAGATCATGGCCCTGCTGACACCCTGACTTTAGGCTCCTAGCCTCCAGAACCATAAGATAGTAAAGTTCTATTGTTTTAAGTCCCACAGTTTGTAGGACTTTGTTACAGCAGCACTTGGAAACTAACACAGGGAGCATCTGAATACAGGTGTTCCAGAGCCAGGCCAACGGAAGGGATTGGGGCTGCAGTATTTCCCATGTTCAGTCTGTTCTGATTTTTTAAAACCACACATCACGAGTTGCTGAACTCTCTGCAAATAAAGTTTCTTAAACTTCTTTTGAGTTCCGCAGTGTGATGGAAAAATTTCCATCCTAATTGTTCTTTTCCCAAAAGAGTGAAAAACACGGCAAGCCTTTGTTAATCCCCATTCCCCAGCCCTATACTGCCTGCTGGAGCCTCCTTGCATCTGACAATATTTCGAGATATTGCCCTCAATAGTGCTTTTCAAACTTTATTGCGTATTAGCAACCCTAATACTGGAGAGCTTTGAAAATCCCCATGCCCAGGTCACACCCCCAGACCAATTCCCTGTGAATCTCTAGGCCTGAGCGGGTGACTCATACATGCCTATTTTAGAAGCTTCTCCAAGTGATTCCAGTGATTTTCCAGTTAAGTCAAATGTCCTACAAATTCCTCTTGGGGTTTTATTTCATCAGAGAATAAGCTTAAGTAAATCCCTTCCTGATTATAAGCATCTAGAGCAGGGGTCAGCATCCAGCTCACAGCCTGTCTGGTAAATAAGGTTCTACTGGAACATAGCCATGATCATCGATGTACATGTTGCTTTCTGGTTACAATGACAGAGTTGAGTATTACAAAAGAGATCATATAGCCCACAAAGACAAACATATTTACTATCTGTCCCTTTAAGAAGTTGATGAAAGATTGAAATTTCTCTTTTCTTCCCACAGTGAAGATCCAGCAAAGAGCTTTGCACTTAGTAGGAACTCAAATGAATTAAATCGACGTCAAGTGAACTGAAATGAACTGAATTAAATTAAATCTTCCACACATTACCAGAAAAGAATCCAAGGTGTTATGCTTCCCAGGAGTATTTGCATTTTAATAAGTAACTCAGAAGGCCCCAAAGCCTTTATTTGAAGACAGAAAGGAATACCTAATTGCTGAAATTGCAAGCACCTGTAATTATGAATGTGCAGTTCTATTAGATTGAGAAATCTCTTTCAGAACCCCTCAGATTGCAGCAGGGAGGCTGCCACCCAGCTTACCTGAATACAAAACCTACCCTACTGAAATGCACTCACTGGAGGACTTGATCTTACTATTTTAAAAAAAAAATCTCCAATTTTTACTTGTTTTGCTTGCACTTATTTTTGTCAGTCCAACAAGCTCTCCCTGTGGAAAAACTCATATTGATTTTCTTAAAAGATGTCACTACTTCCTCTCTCTAATTGCTAGAATTTTTTTCCCATGGGGATTTTTGGCTTTTTTTTTTTAATCATGAACAGGTATGTCAACATAAGTATGCTGGCAAATGTATTTATTTAATTTTGCTATAGTCTATGAGTGATAGGAAACTGCTCTGAATTAAATTCTCTCAATGCCAAATCAACTTACCTGGAGAATTTGTCAGCTGGCTACGTTGATGCAAAGGTTTTTGAGATCCTTATAACCTGAGAAGTTCTTAAATTTTAAGTAATTGGTATAGATGCATGTAAAGAACAAGTGGCACTCTTGCACCTTCCCAGGGGAAGGGCTTTGGGAGGATGACTTCCAAAAGAGTCAGAAGAGAGAGGACTCTAACCAGAGTCAAACAGATCAAGATTGGAATTCAGACTCTTACTGTTCACTATCCACAAAACTTGAATGACTTACTGAACTTCTTTCAACATGAGTTTCCTCAAGTGTAAATGGGAGATAATAAAGGAATTTTAAAGAATAATGACATGTTAAGAACTTAGCACAGTGCCCAGCACATAAGAAGTATTAAATATGATGTTACTGTTACAGGAGCTTACATCTTTGGAACAGATGACTCTAGAGACTTCTAACTCATATTTTCATAAAATGAAGACTCATGATATGCCATTTTATAATTGCTGCATCAGATCTGTGTCTGCATTTACTTTATAAACACAATAGTCTTACAACACCTACCAGGCAAAATATTATAGTATTTCATGACTTCAACACAATAGCGAAATTTCCCTGTCTTCACATCCTTCCTCCCTAAAAAATCATTCTATCCATTGATTTATCATATCTTTCTCCTGCTCAGAAGGTTTGAATGTCTTCTTCTTCCCACAAAACACACATAAATGCTTCTGCTTGTATTCAAGGACCATGATAATCCAGCTCCCCAGGAACTGAGCCTAAGTCCCACACAGGTAATTTTTCTTTTATTCTGACTTCTCTCTCTATTTCACAAACATGTCATGCTAACCCTCTCCTCTGTAGTCTCAGTTATGAACCTCTGGCTTTACGCACTTTTCCCTCTGTCTTCTCAATCATTTAAGAAAAGATTGTCTCCTCTATCTTTTAAGATTCAGCTTTAGTTCAGCATCCTTCCTGGTAAGTGTAAAATCCTCGGAGCTGGCTGCACCATGGTCAAGCCATCGTGACATTCCCCCGCCCTTGTGATAATGTACTTTGTGATATTCCCCATCCTTGTGAATGTACTTTGTAACATTCCTCCCCGCCCTTGTGACAGTGCACCCTTCCTGCCTCTGTGAATGTACTTTGTTATATTCTTCCCGCCCTTAAGAATGTGCTTTGTAACATCCATCCCCTGCCTGCAAAAAATTGCTCCTAACTCCACCACCCATCCCAAACCTATAACAACCAATGATAATCCCACCACCCTTCGCCGACTCCTTTCTCGGACTCAGCGCACCTGCATTTTTTACTCACACTAAGCCTGCTCAGGTGGTCTCTTATACGGACATGCGTAACAATAAGGATTCCTTCAGGCCTTGTGAATTTCTCTTGTATTTCTAAATTTGATAGCAACTGCAGTCTGTGTCATACAATTTAACATTTAATTAAACACCTTCCATTCTTTATTATTGCTTTATGTGTCCTAGTTGTAGCTGCTTACCCTAACTATACAATTTTTGAAGTAGGAAATATCTCTTAAGATTCTTCTTTAGATCATGTTTCTAAACCATGTACACCCTGTGGTATGAGGGACACCAAATTTGGTATTAGACACACCTAAGTTCAAACCCCGCACTCTGGGACCTTGGGTATGTTTCTTAATCTCTCTAGTCCAAAGTTTCTTCAATTATAAATGTAAATATTGTTATGGAGATTTAATTATATAATATCTACAGCTGGTACACAGAAACCATTCAGTAAATGCTAGTTTTTATTTTATACTTGATTGAATGAATGGTACCTATGAAATCCAGTGCTTTTTTGCCTGTGTCTCACAAAATGTGTCTTAGCTTGGTGCTCCCCAGAAAGCAGAGCTTGAGGCAGATCTTCAGACCACTTTACTGGAGAAGGCAATGCAGGGAAGAAGTGAAATGGGAAAAAGGGCAGAGGAGGGAAGAGCCCAAGTGCCTTAGAGAGCTGGCTGCCTCCGTGTATGGAGTGGTACCAATTGCTAATTCTTGCAGTAGAGTCTTCAGAGAGACATATGAGCTACTGCATCTCAGGACAGTGAGGCCGGGAGAGGAAGGAAGGAAACTACATCCATTGACCCCTGTCTTCAAAGGCTCTTCCCACAGGGCACTAAGTCCCCTGTACTGCTAATTTGTGCTTCTGGTGGGTGCAGAGTAGATCCCCAGTATCTGAAGCCTCAGCTTGCATGGAAGACAAGAGTACATACCGGCCTAAGGAGAGGCCCTACTGGGTTGTGACCCTGAGCCCAGGAAGAGTTGGTCATGAAGGCCAGCAGGGGCAAAACCCGGAGCCAAGGTTTCAGGAAAACTTAAGGCCAAGAAGCCAGATAAACGATCAGACAACTGAACTACTTTATCATTCATTTCTCCCCCATATATTTGTTTTGGATTTTTTCCAAAGGTTTTGTAGAAATCTTATGGCCTTATTATTTTGTATATTCCCTTCCCCATGAATGCTGAGAATGTATATTTTCTTTTTTTATAAATAACTTCTTTTTAATTACAATAGCAATAAACATTCAGTGTAGAGAAATTATAAAATAGGGATAAACGGATAAGACAACAAAAATACTTCAAAGCCAGGCATGGTGGCACACACCTATAGTCCCAGATACCCAGGAGGCTGAGGTGGGAGGACTACCTGAGCCCAGGAATTCAAGTCCAGCCTGGGCAATTCTGGGTATTCCTTTAAAAAAAAAAAAAAAAAAAAAAAAAAAGATACTTCAGGCAGGGCTCACGCCTATAATCCTAGCACTTTGGGAGGCGAAGGTGGGCGGATCACTTGAGGCCAAGGGTTCGAGACAAGCCTGGCCAACATGGCAAAACCCTGTCTCTACTAAAAATACAAAAATTAGCAGGGCATGTTGGCGCACAGCTGTAATCCCAGCTATTCAGGAGGCTGAGGCATGAGAATTGCTTGAACCTGGGAGGCAGAGGTTGCAGTGAGCCAAAACTGACCCATTGCAATCCAGCCTGGGAGATGGAGTGAGACCCTGTCTAACAAATAAAAATTAAAAATACACTTCAAAATCTCCAAAAATCTCTTCATCATGGTATATTTTTTTCTTATCTGGATTTTTTTTTTTTTTTTTTTTTTTTTTTTTTTTTTTTTTGAGACGGAGTCTCGCTCTGTCGCCCAGGCTGGAGTGCAGTGGCGCGATCTCGGCTCACTGCAAGCTCCGCCTCCCGGGTTCACGCCATTCTCCTGCCTCAGCCTCCCGAGTAGCTGGGACTACAGGCGCCCGCCACTACGCCCGGCTAATTTTTTGTATTTTTAGTAGAGACGGGGTTTCACCGTGTTAGCCAGGATGGTCTCGATCTCCTGACCTCGTGATCCGCCCGCCTCGGCCTCCCAAAGTGCTGGGATTACAGGCGTGAGCCACCGCGCCCGGCCATCTGGATTTTTTTAAACAATGTACTTTGGATATCTCTTCTTGTTAATAAACAACTGTCTAGAATCTCATCTCTAATGGCTTTACAATATTTCACTTTATGCTGGAACTATAATTTATTTCATCAATCCTTCATTATTGGACATTTATATTGTTAAAAATTTTTACAATTTTTAACAATTGTCCACACTCTGTCTCTAAGTCCTGAGTTCCCCACCTCTCTTCAGCCCACCACTAGTAAGCTCCTGTTTTTTACTTTTAAAAGTAAACAAATAAATATCCCTAATGATAATTAATTCCTAAGAGAGAAATTTCTGACTTAAATGTTTGTATCCTTTTAATGCTGTAGGTACGTGTTATCAACTTCTCCAAAAAAGCTGTACCTATTTAAACTTCACTACCCGTGCTCAAGATTAAGATAATATTTCCAGATCTGCAGACTCTACTTAATGGCTCTGACCTCAGCTGGGGTCATGCTGAACGTGTTGAGATTGACCACGCCTGGTTCCAGTCAATTAGCACTCCATCTTATCACTGAATAGTGTTGTGAGGGTTCTTCAATAGCATTAGCTCCTCAGAGTCCTGGAACTACCCTTCCTTTTGCTTTCATCTCTACCTGAGAAACTCATCAACCTTATCATCACACTCAATATCATGCAATAAATTCATCTTGGCTTGAATACTTTGGAAGTCAACAGTAGTTATAACAAATGGCTTTATTCCAGGCCTTGTTGGGACCTTTGTGCTCTGGTGAGAGCAATTCCCACATATGCAATCCTGAATAACCTGTCTGCCAAACTTAAAGCACTAAACCACAATTTTCTATGTTGCATAATCCTTTCATCTCTGGGAAACACATTCGCCTGCCTAGCTAGGCTCTTGGTGTGCATAAAACAATAATAAGTATTTACACTGGGTGTTTAATCTTCAAAGTATTCGTGAACATTAACTAATTAATTTTCACAACACTTTTGTAAGATTAGTAAGTGCTACTCCTCCCCTGAAATAAAAACAGCATAAACCATTGCAACATTTGACACATCACAAAAAGCCCAGAACCTAATAGTCTGGGAAGAGAAGATTGTTGATTACCAGCTCAGTCATGAGAGGGGAAGGGAGTTGAGCAGGCCAGCAATTTCTCTAGTGTCACAAAAGAAATCAGCAGCAGGACAGCATTTCGATTTTACTTTATTCACGCCCCTTGCTGTGCTTAGACCAAAAAGCAGTTTGACCACAGTAATTCAGCCAAAATTCTGCACAAGAGTTAAGGATCCCTGACAAATTCAAGGTCATCTACATGCAACAAATAATGTGAAGGAAAGGTATAAAGAAAGAGTCATAAATATTCAAATTAATGGTATCAAGGAAGAAAATGTATCTCAGAAAACAGGCACACAGGGCATTGAATTTAAAGGTTAGTCATTAATGAGGAAATTCAAAATATAAATGCAAATGACAAGTGACTATGCAATGAATTATAAGAGGACTAGCCCATGAATTCTTATTTTGGTGTGTATCTATACCAGCTATAGCAAATAATGTTGACAATTTAAAACTATAAAATTCCAGAAAGTAGATAAAAACACAGCTTTTATGACTCTTAGAAAAAAAATTAACTTGCTTTACACATCTGGAACCTAGAGATTACTTTTGAACTTTGTGCCTTGAATAGATAATAAAATAGAGAATTCTAAGTTTCAAAAATTTCTATCATCAGCTAAATCATTAAATTCATTGTGCTCCAGACTCTAGTCTAAGAAGAGACATGTCACTTGCTGCCACTTTTCTACTTTATATGGACAGCAATTATAATGGTCACTGTAGCAAAATTGTGCAAGACTCCTGGAAATCAGAATAATAACAGCGATAATAATATAATGACCCATTGTGTCTACAAATATTATTTATGATAATATTGCCCGTTTGTGCTAGATACTGTATGCAGAGCCTACCATATAGTATGAAAGAGTGTGGAATTCAGCAACAAAGCCCTGACTTTGAATTGCAAAACTTACTGCCACATATTACCTGTCTATCATTGAGCAGGTTATATACATTCTCTGATACCCAAGTCCCTCATCTGTATAATGAAGGTAATGATACCGTATTGCTCAATGGCAAGTGACTTTTCCTTGACTCCATATTCCCTTCTAATGACTGCTCTGTTTTCTCTGCTCCTTTGAAAGAATTGTCCACACCCTGTCTCTAAGTCCTGATTTCTCCACCTCTCTTCAGCCCACCACTAGTAAGCTCCTGTTTCTACTACCACTCCATTGTAACTGCTCTTTTCAAGGTCAACTTAGAAAACCAATATTTAATTAAGTTCTCATCTTGCTAGACTCTCAGTAGCTAGTCCTCCATGGACATGACTGAGCACATTATTTCCTTGTGAAATACTTTCTTTTCTTAACTCCCTTAATATCACAATTGCCTAGATTTTATATCACCTGAATAATGACGACTTCTATCCCTTCCTGTGATTCCTCTTTTCCTGCCTGATTCTAAATGTTGGCATATTGAAGGGCTCTGTCCTTACCCCTATTCTATATCTATCCCTGCCCCTTGGGAGATTCCATCATATTTCACAGCTTCAAATAGAATATACATTCACATCTCCAGTCCAGATCACTTTTCCAAGCTCTGTATTGGCAAGCCCAATATCCACTCAGAATCTGCTCTTTTATAAATAAGAGACAGTTCAAACTTAGTATGTCCAATATTAAAATTGTGACATCTGTCCACTCATCCCATCCTCCATACTGCCAACCTTGTCTTTGACAGATCTTCTCCATCTCTTTTACTGGCACTACTATTCATCCAGTTGGTTATACTCACTCTTCATCTCTCCCACCCTCCACTCGTATATCCAATCCATCAGGGGGTCCTGCTTGCTCTGCCTGAGAACATTTCCTGCTTCCAACCACTTCCCCTATCTTCACCATAACCACCTTAGTCCAAGCAGGAACATCTCACGTGGATTAATACACTTTTACCTGGTTTCCCTATCGCTTCTCCTCTTATCCCACAGCTGCCCATTCTTGCTATAACAGTCCATACAAAAGTATTGCTTTGGAATATAACTCAAATAACTTTTATAGTTGTGCTATAAAGCCACCAATGGTTTCCTAATACCATTATAATAAAATCAAAACTACTCGGCAAGTTCTAAGAGATCCTACATGAACGGATCATGCTTAGCCCACCAATTTTGTTCACTGTGACCTTCTTTACAGACTTGAACACAAGCTCATTTGGATTTCAGAGAATTTGTACATGTATTTTCTCCTACTGGGAAACTCATGCCCCAGATTTTCACATGGCTGGCTTCCTGACAACCCAGATCTCATCTCAATGTCAATTCCTTAGAGACTTTCTTTGACATTCTAAATAAAGTTGTCTCTACACACTTACACATGCACACATATATATACTTCCTTCTCCAATAACCTTTCTAAATTTTTTCAAAGCATTTATTACTATCTGAAATTACATTAATCATGCAAATATTATCTACCTTCCCCACTAGAAGATTATATAAACTGAGACCATAGGTCTTCTCTTCTACATCCCCCATGCCTAGCAGAGTTTCTACTTTACTCACAAGCATTTATTAAATTTTATTATACTATAAGTGAAAGTCCTACTCAAGCTGGATTAAGGAGAAATAGAAAAAATAAATGTAACCTGTGGACACTTCCTTTCAAGGATCTGGTCCTTCACCTTTAATATTTAGAGAGGAAGCGCAGCAGATCAGATCTTTGAAAGGAAGTATCTTCCTGCCACTACTGCCTGGCCTTGTGACTCCTTTTGAAACTTAACATTCTGCCAATGGACAAAAGAGAAGTATTCATAGGATCCAGCTCCAGTATTTAAAGCAGGACAAAAAAATAAGGATTCAAAGAAATAATAAATTGATAGCTGACACAACACTTTTTCTATTTATCTATTTTCTGTTTCTAGCACACTAGAATACAAGCTCTATGAGAACAGGCACTTTACCTTGTTCACCTCAGTGTTGCAGCATCTAATACACTTCCCGGGATATTCAATCAATACTAATCAAAAGAAAATGTAAATATATAGCCTGGATCTTTTTAGAAGCGATTTGTTCTTTTTGTTACCTGGCATCCAATTCTTCTCTTTCGTCAATCATGCCCCAATTTCCATTAATAAAATCACTCTTTTCTGACTCTCAGGCCATGCAGATGCATCACATGCTTCACTGTTGAGCATGAGTCTTAAGGCAATTAATCATCGTGTTCTATTATTTACTCAATGAGAGTCAGACCCAGATGTTGTCTAGAAATTGTTCGTGAAAAGGAGCCCTGCATCTTGAATTTTTCATGGTTGAGGAAGCAAGCCTGGCAGAAACCTCGGTCATCATGGGAGGGCTTGTCTGAGGTTTAGACCTGACATAGATAAAAGCCAAGTAGGGAGAGGAAGAGATACTAGATCCAGGTGATATTATTCGAATCCCTGAATCCAGCCAGCCATAGACTTTTTAGTTAAATTAGTCAATAGATATTTTGCCTAGCCAATTTGGTTTGGTTTTCTGTCACATACAGCTGAGCAAGTTCTGTTTTACATTCTAACGCAATTTCAGGCTCCTTAGGGAGAGTGTCCTTGCCTTATACCACCTCATCAAGCACCTGACTGCTCCATGGAAGATACTCAATATATGCATAAATTATCTTACAGGGAAATCTGACAAATTTCCAGAAACTGACCTTCCTTTGGCCTCTTATTCTTCATTCCAGATTAATTTATTTGAGATGTATACTTATCTATAGACAGAGAAAATAAAATATTCAAATTCATTTTTGCTTTCTTCATACATGCACAAAGAGAGATGAAGAAAAAACTTTGAAACTGACAGCTAACCTTAACATAGCCAAAAATAACTATTGGTTGCATAAATTCCTATTACAATATTAAAATCCAACAAGAATGGGAGTTCTAAAGTGGAACTACGTCAGGACAAAGAATAAGAATGACGATAAAATTAATGAACGACTGCTTTCTGTCTGGCAGTGTAGTGGATACTGTCGTGTCCCACCTAGAGCACCTTTCAGAGACAACCATAAATCCCTCAGCTGCTGGGAATATCATTTGCTGATGGACCACAGCTGAGACCCTTACTGGAAATTGTGTCTCACCACAGGGAGCTGCCTCACTCAAGATTACACCTCCCCTCAAGGAACATTGATTGGCTGATATGCCTCTTAAAGGGCCAAGCTTCTTGCCTCAATTTGGATGATTCTGAAAGGATATCTCAATTCCAGGGGTCCCCAAAGGAATGCCTGAGACCTCAATTGCAACTGCTTTTTCTATGTTTGCTCATTCACTTCATTATAGGTATATTTCATAAAAGAACTCAATAAACTTTCTGTAGGCAACTCTCCACTCACAGTCCACTTCCAGGAAGCTTATCTAAGACAGGTAAAAGTGAAAAGACATTAAGAGATGAATAACATGTACCTTTTTGTATAAAAAGAAATAGAAGGTGAAGCTGCAACTGAGAGAGATTATCACAGATCAATGGAAAGCCGCAAAGTTCTCATTCAGAATGTAATTTTCAGAATACCCTGTAAACTATTGAATCTTATAATAAGTGGAAGAGGAAATTGAAATATTAATGTTTAAAACTTAGTATTTTAAAGCTGGATTCCTACCTTTGCCACTCCCAAGACCAAAATGAACAGTGAATTAGTTTAAGATTTAAACAAAAAAAACTAAAACATCAGATAGATAGATAGATAGATAGATAGATAGATAGATGATAGATAGATAAGAGATTCATATACAGTATATAACATTCATCAAAATGATTCTGCTTTTCTGACTGAGACATGAATGATATATTATTGAATTGATTTAAACTACATTGAATTGCCAAGCATGAGGGCTTAAGACTTGAAAACTTTGAAAAAGTAATGACTAAATAATGAGGAAGAAAATATTATAGGTAGAGTCTGTATTTGTCTAAATATCCCGAAATGAGAAAAGTGAAAACAGTAAGTCTCCTGGAAATTTTACAGAAGATATTAGAAGGAAGGAAAAAACACAGTTTCACAACAACCTAAGATTCTACTGTCGCTTTAGTTTACTCTTGGCTGGTTCTACCTTCATTTTTGTGTTCCAGACATTGAGTGAGGAAGGAAACAATGTAAATGGAATAAAATGGCTTATGTAGAAAGTACCCAGAATGCCAGATTTTTTAAGACTTAATTTTTTTCTAGAAGTTTTACATTCACAGCAAAATTGAGAAGGTACAGAGATTTCCCATATCCCCTTCCCTCTAAACATGCATAGCCTCCCCCATTATCAATATCCTCCACCAGAGGGTAAATTTGTTAATTTATGAATCTATATTGACACATCACTAGCACCCAAAATTTATAGTTTACATCACCGTGCCCTACATTCTATGTATTTGGACAAATGTAGAATGACATGTATCTATCATTGTAGTATCATTCAGAGTATTTTCACTGCCCTAAAAATCCTTTGTGCCCCACCTATTCATTCCCTCCCGCCCCTAACCTCTGGCAACCACTGATCCTTTCACTGTCTCCATAGTTTCGCCTTTTCCAGAATGTTATATAGTTAGAATCATACAATACCTAGCCTTTCAGATTGGCATCTTTCATTTAGTATTATCCTCCATGTCTTTTCATGGCTTGATAGCTCATTTCTTTTGTGTGCCAAATAATATTCAATTGTCTGGAAGTAACACAGTTTATCCTTTCACCTACTGCAGGACATCTTAATTGCCTCAATGGTTTTACAAATAAAGCAGCTGTATCCATCTATTTGCAGGTTTTTGTATAAGCATAAAGTTTCCAACTCCCCTGGGTAAATACCAAGGAGTGAGATTGCCAAATCATATGGTTTTACATACACATATTTATTTTTTTAAGAAACTACCAAACTATTTTCCAAAGCGGCTCTACCATTTTGCATTTCCACCATCAGTGAATGAGAGCTCCCGATGTTCCTCATCCTTGCCAGCATTTGGCTTTGCCAGTGTTCTGCATTTTGGACATTCTAACAGTTATGTGGTAGCATTTCATTGTTGTTTTAATTTGCATTCCCCTGACGACATATGATGTAGAGCATCTTTCATATTCTTATGTGCTATCTGCATATCTTTCTTCAGAAGGTGCCTGTTAAGGTCATTAGTCCATTTTCAATTGGGTTATTTTTAATTTGTTGTTTAGTTTTCAGAGATCTTTGTGTATTTTGGATAACAGCTCTTTATCGGATGTGTCTTTGGCAAATATTTTCTCCCTGTCTGTAGCTTGTCTTTTCATTCTCTTGACATTTTTTCTTTTATAGAACAGAAGTTTCCATTTTAATGAAGTCCAGCTTATCAATTCTTTCTTTAATGTATCACACTAATGGTGTTATATCTAAAAAGTCATTACCGTACCCAAAGCTATTTAGGTTTTCTCCTGTTTTCTACTCCAGGATTTTTATAATTTTGCATTTTATATTCAGGTCTATGATCCATTTTTAGTTAATTTTTGTGAATGGTATAAGGTCTATTTCTACATTCTTTTTTGCATTCGAATATCCAGTTGCTCCAATATCATTTTTATGAAAAGACTTTCTTTGCCCCATTATATTGCCTTTTTTTCTTTGTCAAAGATCAGTTGACTACAGTTATGTAGATGGATGCCAGATTTTTATCACTAAATTTTACTTTCCTGTTTTTAGATTATTTATTGTTTCAAAATATATATATTTCATTTGTATTTCCCCAGAGGAGTTGAGGTTACAGCTAAAAAGAAAAGGAATTTGCATCTTACACAGTGTATAACATAGTAAAAATATTTCCATCAAAATTACTTCTGATTCAATTTCTTCACAACATCTGTTTCCATTGAACAAAAATAATACGCTGTCATGTATCTGGGACATACTCACACTTTCTATTTTCATGTTAGCAACACAAAAACTGTCATTATTAACTTGATGTAACTTACTGCCGCCAACACCACCTTCAGCACACGGACACTCACACTGCATACTCACAAACTGATATTACTCTATACTTGGAATGTTCTGCAAAAATCAGCAACTTCCCTAGCTCATTTCAACCAGTTTTGAATCTTATAATCTGGATAAAAAGTGACATTTTTACTCAAGCAGACACAATAAAATGTCTCTATAATGGAAAGTAACATCATCATTCTTGCCTATATTTTTCCAAATTTTCTACTGTGAGTAGGTATTAGTCTTCTAAATGGAAAAATGTAACATTTTTAAAGATAAAACAGTGTAAATTCTTTATCTTTAAATTGAAGGGGAAAGTCATAGTAAAAGAGGGACTTTCAACAAATTAGAAAACGATATTCAAAATGGATATATCTTTTACAATATCTTCCCTGATTAGGAACATCCCACTCTTAACAGTACTTTCTACTAATTCTTTCTTTTTTGTTTTGTTTTTTTTTTTTTGAGACTGAGTCTTGCTCTGTCGCCCAGGCTGGAGTGCAGTGGCGCTATCTAGGCTCACTGCAACCTCCACCTCCTGGGTTCAAGCGATTCTTGTGCCTCAGCCTCCTGAGTAGCTGGGACTACAGGCACCCGCCACCACGCCTGGCTAATTTTTGTATTTTTGTGGAGACGGGGTTTCACCATGTTGGCCAGGCTGGTCTCGAGCTCCTGACCTTAAGTGATCCACACACCTTGGCCTCCCAAAGTGCTGGGATTACAGGCGTGAGCCACCGTGCCTGGCCTCTACTACTTCTTTAAACACCTACACATCCATTTGTACCTTATAATTTACAAGTGCTTATATACTTCTTAAATCTTCATGTTGTTTTGTATACATATTATATCTATTACATATATAATACATATATACACATATAAATTTATATATATGTATTATATAGGTATACATAATATATAACACAAATGTGCATTATACACATTTATTTTTGTATGATGTGTATATATCTGTATACATGCATGATGTATATATATATGTATACATGCATGTGTGTGTAGATATGTATATAATACTATACATTTGTATGCCTGCATATATGTGTGATTTTCCTAACTATACCTTTAAGTGTGATTGGGGAGAAAAAACATCCATTCACTCTCCCTTCTGACCATCTCCTCCAGGATTCTCCACAAGCACTTCAAACTCCAATCCTACATGTCTCTTATCCTCTTCTACTCCACCTGTATTCCCCATCTCTGTTAACTTCAATACTAGGCACCCAAATTAGAAACCTACAAGTCACCCTACTCTCTCACTTTCCATATCCACTCTGTTGCCGAATCTTGCAAATCTTAACCCCTAAGTTTCTTTTGAGCCCAGTCCCTTTTCTCCATCCCCTTTGAGACACTTTAATTCTGGTTCTATCAATTTTGAGTTGACTGATTACATGGACTTCCATAATCTGATTATTGGAGAGTTCAATTTACTGGAGTTTAAACCTAAAAGGTTTTGGTTTCTTTTATTAACTGTCCCCCCCATTGAAAAACCCTTTTTATATAAGACTTCCATGACTTTCCTGATTATTCATTACAAAAATAATGTTATTTTCTATGTAAGGTTCAATTTTGTTCATTTTTAACATCTCCGACTCCAGGCAGGGTTCATCACCTGTTCACCATCATTGACGCATGGATCGGTAGTTCCAGAAGCTTAGAGGAGGGGTGGGAGATATGGAGGCATCTACTCCTCACTCTCATTCTTCCCTTTAATAATGAGCTTTATAAGTGTGCTAGGCTCAGGGGGAGAACAAGGGAAAACACAAACATCTCTTTATTAAGCTGGGCAAGAGTACAGTCCTCTCCTTAGTTGGTGGCAACCGCTGGTATCTATGGGTTCAATAAGAATGGATGGAGAGCCCAACACTAAACAGTAATGGTCTTTTGTGAGATTCAGTCAGCCCCCCCACTGGACTCCAAGCAGGTGCTGTACTTGCTACGTTCCTCCAATGTGTCTACATCTTTGCTCCCTGCATGCCAGTGAGCCAATCAGCATGGTGGCCTCTGATCTCATCTTCACAACACGGCCAATTCTAGGACCTGCTGGCATGAGCAGGTGCTATCATTCTTACCTCAGGGAATGTGCTAAGCCCATTCCAATGTCTGTCCTTCACACTGTCTCTCTTTAATTCTTTTTCAACCAAATGGCACAGGACTGAGTCAGCAAGGTCAAAGGCCAAAAAGACCTAGAAGACTTTCAAAGGGGAAACAAATGTCAGTCTTCCTTTCTTGTGTACAGTGTCAATATTTAAGAGTGATTCTCTTGTAGCCCCTCCCCTTGGCTTTGGGAAGGGAGCAGCCTTTCTCCAAGAATGCTGAACTCCAAACAGCACCCAGACTGTGCCCTATTACTCTTGGCATATGGGAGGGTAAGAAAGGAGTTTTTGGTAGGACTAGTTTTGATTTTGTTATGCTCTCTAATAAGCTCAATAGCTTGTAGTTCTTTATAAGTTGTGGAAATTAAGGCTTTTGTCCTCAACTTTAGTCAATATACAACTCTTAGACCCCAGAAAAAATATATACTTGATGTCTTATTGTACCCCTCATTCATATTCCCATACACCATCTTGGTTTTGTTCCATTTATCTTTTCTGGGAAATTGTGGAAGAAACTAATTCCTTGAAAAATCAATTTTCTAAAAGCCAATTGACTAAATGACCAACTTGCCAAATTTTTCAAATTCACACATTTACCAAAAGCTTATTTTTCAGAAACCAGTTCACCAAAAATCAATTCATCCAAGGCCTTTTTGCTGAAAGTCTATTGACCAAAAGAAAAAAAATAGCCAAATTACAGATTTCCCAAATACTTGTTATCTACTTAAAGTTTATAGCAAAGTTGTTTGGGAAATTTCAACAGTCTTTAAGGCTTTGTTTTGAATTTTTAGTTTATTTTAGCTTGTCCTTAGTTTTAGATTTAATGTAAGTTTTTCTTTCACTTGTAGCCATTTTATCCAGTTAATTAAACAATAAATTTGTTAGTCTCTCAAAGTCGGATGTCAACTTTGTGCATGGTTCACATCTCAGACATTAGGCACTTCTCAAACTTTTGAAACACATGAAAAACATTCCTTGAATTGAGCCAGACCAAAAAAAAAAAAAAAAAAAAAATCTGTGAATTCTAAGTGGTAAAAAGGCAACAGAATATTGTATATGTTTTAACAAAATCCCCTCAATTGTTTATAAAATTCTTGACATCAAGATATGCATACTTGTAATTCAAAACACACTACAAATAGGCATTTCCAAAAGCCTGAGACAGAAAGTACAGAAAAATCCAGACATTAATAAACTTTGCCTGACCACAGTAAAATGTTTGCCACCGAAATCAAACTACACTAAAACTTCATCATAGCCAAATATAATTTCACAGAAATCTTCAAAAATTGTTAAAACCATTTTTTTCCATAAGAATTGCCTAAAACTTTGTAAATAGGTAAAAAAAAAAAAAAAAAAAAAAAAAAGTAACTTTTGGTAAATTAGTGAGTTTGGCAAGTTTGCCAAGTTGGGTGTTTGATGACATTTAACTGAGTATAACAATGAAGTACACAACTCACATCAGGCCTGATGTTGATTCAGAGGACTGAATTATAACCAAACTGCTTGGGAGGGATGCTTTATGTTCAGCCAGCATGAGAATATGAGCTCAATATGTGCCTGAGAAACCTTTCCATGCCTAGGAACATACATTTTTAGCATATGCAAATGACAAAAAATCTATACAAAGGAGGTTATATGCAGAGAATTACACAGGGAAGAATGGGTGGTCCACTGTGGCAGGCACAGGTCTAGCAGGGGCAGAATCTTGTGTGTGTGTGGAGGGAACAGAACACTGGCAATATCTTGCTGAGTTAGCCAGATCCAAATTTTCCTTGGAAGACATGGCAGGGCCAGCTTCCCTAGGCAAGCTTAAATCAAGTAGGAAAAAAAAAAGCCTGGCTGGAAAAAAAGTAATAATAATTAAAATACTAGCTACTTTTCACCAAAAGGCTCCTAAGTATCTAGCGTTGGCTATGAAAAATATCAACTTAGGCTTACCCTAAACAATATATTCTTAAAACTCAAAACTTTAAAATCTGTGGTGCTTAGCCTCACTAGACAATCCCAGGTGAGTACATGTTCCTCTCCTGTGACTTTCAACAGTCCCCTACTTACATTACTTGGGAGGATGGCAGTAAATTTTTAACTCCATAATAGGCATTTGCTGCCTACCAAATATGGAAAAAATAGGCAATACAACATGAAATGAATGACAACATATTCCAACTAGGACACCTCCTATCTGAGGAGAAAGGAACAGGAGCTCAAGCAAACAAAAACTCACGGCAAGTGAGCTCAAAGTATATATTTTGATGCAGTTTTTCCCCCTTTCGAAACAGTCTCACTCTGTCCCCCAGGCTGGAGTGCAGTAGTGTGATCTCGGTTCACTGCAACCTCCGCATCCGAGATTCAAGGGATTCTCATGCCTCAGCCTCCCAAGTAGCTGGGATAACAAGCATGTACCACCATGCCCTGCTAATTTTTTGTATTTTCGCCATATTGCCCAGGCTGGTCTCAAACTCCTGGCCTCAAGCCATCCTCCCACCTTAGCCTCCCAAAGTGCTGGGATTACAGCCATCAGCCACTGTGCCCAGCCTTTGATGCAGCTTTTCAAAATTAAACTTATTCCCAGTCTTGCTGATTTCTGCAACAACGTAATAAAATAAACATGGGATTTTCCTAAAGTGAGAAATGCCTTGTAATTTATTTTCCTGGACGCTGGCTGCATGGCCCTTCTGGAGTACCTGGGGGTATGGCCACAAAGCACTGGGGAGGCGTGGGGGCACTGGCTACAGGTGCACTAGGTCACCTGGTGTGGCATCATCACAATAGCTCTGGGAGGTAAACATGACTCAAGTTTTACAGAGAGGAAAGCTGGAGTTTAGAGCACTTGTTACTTGCCCAAAGACACATTGCTAGGAAGTGACCATTGATATTTGATTGTACTTCTACCACTGGCATTTGATGGTACTTTGTTAGTTTGCTGTATGTACTGAATTCTATTTGGCACAGAACTTAAAATAATAAAACTGCATAGTATTTATTCCCCACTCTCATCCCATATTTATGTGGGTTTTGTTTATTCACTTCCCCTGGGTCTTTACATTTCTAGGTAGGATGCTCTAACTTGTAGCTTACATAAAGGGCATTATCAAAATATTTTCCTCTTTTTTTTTGTTATTTGATATTTCTCCATTTTTCAAATAATCCTGCATATTCTAAGTATGAACTATTAGATTTTGTAGCGTCTACTATTTTACTTTATAAGTTCTTTTATTTTTTAAAAAAAGAGTTTTTCTAAATAACAGTAGGTCTACTAAAAGCTAGGAAACCTAGGATGAGTTCAGCATTGCATTGAACTTGTCAACTGGCTAATGATAAATGCTAGAGAGGTGTGGATTTCCTTCTCTGTAGACTGAAACACTAGGTCAGCAATCTCTCTTCCAGCTCTGTCTTTTTCTCCATGCACCCTGGATGGACAGGTAACCTAATTTGCTTCTTACTTACAAGGAAAAATGCAACTGAGTGTCAAGCCTCTCTGTAAAAGCTGGTCTCTGGAGGTCACCCCATGGTGGTGCTTAAAAATGAATTAAAATTGTCTTATTATAGTAAGCAATGTTTCTTAACTCCTCATCTGGAAAACTGTTCCTTGCCCCAAATCTTTTCTCCTCAGCTTAACACTATTTCTTCTGATTCTGTTGTCAGAATACAGTTGGAATACCACTGCCAGCACGTTTGACATATGCTAGGTATTAGCCCTCACCTGCAGATGGCAAAGCTCTTTCCTCATTCAATATGTCACAGCTGCATAAGTAAAACATTGTTATCACTCCCTTATAAAGGCATAAATTGTAAGATAAATTTTTTAAATTGAAAATATTGACCTATACCACTCTGAAAATCTAGGATATAACTGTCAAATTTTTAGAGGCAGTTAATTTCTTACTGATGTATATAGCTGAAGAAATGACATGAAAAAATAGTTAAATAGGATTAGTATAAAATATCCAAAGTATCCATTGTTTGAAAGTTTTCTCAAATTTATGGGGCTGAAGTTCATATGCATTTTATTTGGTTTTGTTCTGCTTTATAGGAATGGATTCATCTATTTTTAGAAGAGTCAGAGATGCGAGGAGAAAACGAAGCACTTGCTATGCTTTTAAAAATATTTGGGTGTATATGTGCTCATAAAGTTGCAAAATAATCAACATAAAATTTGGTTTTTTAAAAATGAGCATCTTTTCTGCAAGTTTCTTTTAAAAAGCAAATAACTTAATATCAAATATTTTTCCCTTAATTTACAATTACTTGAATATCAATATAACTAATTAGAAGCACTTTTTTCTTATTAGAAATATAATTATTTATCACAAAATTGATGTCATTACCCATTTTAGACAAATCTATTCCAACATGGTCTTGTTGTGCTAAAAAGAAAATAAATTCCAGATTTTCTGTTTTCTCTGTCTTCATTTTTCGATGTATTTTTCCTTTCAAGAAATACAGAGCTTCTGTTTATGAGAGATGCCTCATCGTTTTTCAGTTTAATTGCTGTGCTCACTTTTTAAATTTATTTACACATCCAATGTTATGCACATATTTCAGATGTTAAAAACGTTCAGGCCCTTATCCTTTCATCGGTGTCCCTTTCATCAGTTTAAGTGAAAAGTAAAGAAAATGGACCCAAGAACAGAGTTCTGGGGCTGTTTCCACGCCCAGGAGTCATAACTTCCCATCCACAAAACCTCTCAGGAAAGCTTTATTGTACTAGCTTCAGCTCCTGGCTTCGTTTCTCCTCCATCAGACACAGGCTTCAGAGGTGCAGCAAATCTCAAAGCAGCTCTTACCAACCATCTCTCTGGTAATAGTCATAGCCATTGTTTTTAAAAGGCTGAAAGAAAGTAGATGGCTGCCACAAAATGTGCCCTATCTGGTACTCCCCAATCCACGTTATGAAAAGGCCACATGATAGACCCAGCAGCTAGTAGAAAGGGTTGTGAGTTTGTATTTGTATGAAGAAAAAGAAGGAAAGAGAAAAGAACACAAGGGTATATTTCAGACAGGCAAGTATGAGAAAGGACAGCTGGAAACAGCACTTGGCTTTGACATTTGGGTACTGCGCTTCAAAGATTAGGAGGCATGTCCTTGCCTTGGGCACTGTTAACGACCTTATTGGCTGTGAGTTAATATTTGACAAAAGGATTTGAGCCAATATTAGCTGGTTGTCCTGAACGGGAACTCTTCAGCCGCTTCCTGAATACTTAGGGCTAGTTGGGATCAGTCAGACAGGGTTTGCACAAGTTCTGACTGATCAAGTCTTAATCAAACCAGAAGAATGAGAGCAGACTGGTCAAAACAAAAAGAAAACCAGAAAAGGAAATATTTTCCAGTGTAAATAGAAATTTTACTTCTACAAATTGATCAAGAATATTTTCAGATGATATTCTTTGGTGTTTGATAGTATTTCATAAGTTACAACTAGATGACTGGTTTTATTTTTAAATACTTGCCATTGTTTGTTGTGAGACATACATTATTTGCATTGAATTTTGATTTTTTATGGCCCTAATTCAACTTCTATCTCTTCTTTAGCCAGTGATTTCTTAATTAATGGTTGCCAAAAAATGAAGAATCAAATCTGATATGGGCGTACCTGGTCCTGAAACTTTTGTTTTGCACCATTCAATCAGCTGACTAAATTGCCATTAAAAAAAAAATTCTAGTATGCTTCTAAGACACTATAAATAATCATGACAATATCTAATAAAAATAGATGTCATATCAGAAAACCACAGTGGAGTTTAAACTTAGTTTAGCAAAATCAACAACTTCCTCACAAGACTGATGAACTGCAGTTACGTGTTTTTAACAAAAGCATTTCTAGCAACCAGATAAGCAAGTGTCTTCTTGACATAGACGGATGATAGCGCATGTGCCAGAAGCCAGTGGAAAATAGGAGCTGTCATCTAGAAAATGACAGAGCCATTTCGAGTCCCCCTAGATTAGCACTCCATCTTCAGCTGAGCAGATATACTATTAGTTGAAGGTCTATTGCCAGCAAATCAGAAGCAAGAGGGCAGAGCCCTATCTTTCTGAGATGACTGGAATCATCAGAGGCTCAAAGGCAGAGAATGCACATGATGACATCCCATCTTTTTGTAAGAGTTGTGCCATAAGAAGCCAATCAAATAAAAGTTTGATCACATACATCATTAAAAAGTATTAATATTTTCACCATAGAGACTAAACAGTATTCAAAAACAGTGTAAACTAGAGTAAATGTTTTTCATACCCTGTGTCATTCAAAACTGTCTTGCAGATAGGTACCTGATTATAACATTACAGGCTTTGCTACTTAGCTTTATGTAAATAACTGAGCGTGAGGATATTCATCTTCTCAGCCTCATGTCACTAAATAAACATTGTTGGACTGACCAGCGTCTAGAGAGGTAACTCTGAAGTTAAAAGGAAGGTCCAAAGTGCACTAAATTTAGCAAAACAGGTTTTCAGTGCAGCTGGTTCTGTCTTCAGCAAAGGCTTTTCCAACTTGTCCTGGAGCCCTCTGGGGACCACCTCTTTGTGTCTGTACTTAATGGCTAAGGATAATATGTTTCTCCCAAGTGGTCCTCTAGCAAAGATGGAGCATTGCTATTCTGTTAATGGCTAGATACTGTGTGGCACACTACTTATAACGCTGGTCTAGTGCCTGCTAGGCAGAGTGCTGCCTCGTGGTCAGCTACTAGGACGTAGCTGATTTCCAAGGATCAACTCAGGCACCATCAAGGAGGTCAACTCAGAACCATGTGGTCATGAAGACGGCCTCCACATCTGAAAGTGAAAGTTTCCACTGGACACTAATGGGCATACCAACAGTTGTGCTGCAAAACAAAACAAAACAAAAAACTACCTTATACACATTTTGTCTTAATGGCCTGGGTTAGTAAAAATGAAAGAAATACGTTTAAGTGTTCAGAAGCTAAAAATAACAAAGAAGCCAATCTCCCAGGGAAGAAATGACTGCCTTCCACTTCTGGGTAGTTAACAAAGGCATTTTAATTCTAACTTGGAGTTACATGAGGTGATAGTCTGTGTATAATTTAGGACCCTCTGGAGCTACATGAGGTGCCAGTTGTGTATAATTTAGAACTCTCTGGAATCTCCTTACTCCTATCAGGCCAAGAAATGCTACACAGATATTTCTAATTAATATTATAAGCCAAATAAAATCCAATTACATTGATGAAGCAACTTTAGAAAGAAGTATTCTTCTGACTACGTATTTTGCCTGTAATGACATTATTTATCTACAATGTAATGGATAAACAAGAAAATCCCCATTTTTGCAGCATTATCATTTGATTTCAGGTCTGTCAGTTTATATCACACAAAAGCCTCCTTTCCCCCTCTCTCTCCCACGCTTTTCTTTTTGTCAATGACATTCCCTGCGATGAGCATTCCAAAAGAATAGCGTTTGCTTCTCTCGTCAGCTTGGTTTTGTCAGTTCTGAACACAGGGTCTTGCTTTGCCATTTTCAAGGTCTCTTTCAAACCCTGGATCACAGCTGGTGCTTCAATCACGAGTTCACACCATGAAGAAGCTGGCAGTTGATCCCCAACCAACTCTGCGGAAGATATATAATCTCTTTCATGGCACACAGTGGAATACGCCTTTCATTTCATCCCTGAGAAAGACTGCATCCTTCACAAGTCCTTCTTGACAAAAATATTAATAATGTCCCAGCCTCCTAAGGGACAGGAACATTTTGGGGTTTGAACTGAAGTGACCTTAGCTTGTCAAGATGATTTGACTTTAAGAAACGCAACAGTGAATCCTGTTTTCTATTGTGATTTTAAAATCTGCCATAGTAATAAATTTAAGGACATTTTAATTATGGTTATCATGACTAAATGTGCCGATATGAATGAGTGGAGGTTTTATAAAAGAAATATGCTCATATAATGGAATTAATATTCTTCCCCAATGTACAATGTGGAATTTGTTGTAAATCATTTTCAGAGAATCTGTTTAAGATAATATTCTCAATGCTTAAAAAGTGTTTTATTTATACATGGGGGATGAGAATGAAAGAAAAATATTTAGTGACCAGGTAGGAAGAAAAGCCTAGCAATGCTAGACAGATGTGATTTCAGGATTTATATTATTATCTGAAATCAACATTGAAAGTTAGTAGGCAAATCAGAAAACTGAATTGGAATACAATCATACATAATAAGAATTAAGGATCTGAAGTAAAATTCTCCTTCCTTTGCTGTTAACTATTTTTTTCACATTTTGTGGCTTTACTATAGTATTTGTTTAGCAATTAATGTTCTAAGTTGTAACGCATTCAAAGAAATTAAGCCTCCCTCAAATACTGGTATAGGCTGAATCTAAATATGCCAAATGAGGCAGAGAAGTGGTAGATTAGATGCCAAAAAATCACTTTGACCTCAATTATCCAGGTAGTATTTCAAGAATCACTTTGCATGGCCAAAGAGCGTGTAATCTAGTTGTCTTCAGCATAATCACCATCTTCTATGGAAAACCATCTTTATACATTATACCATCTTCCATTCACAACCAAATCAGAGCCCAAGGTTAAAAACATAATCTCTCGGTGTCTTCAGGGTGAGAATGAGCTTTAAAGTCCCATATTTCTTGGGTAATTACTCTTATTATTAATGTTATGTGTAGCAGAAAATGAGCATTTTAAATACCGCATTTGTGAACATAGATGTTTTTCAATGAAAAAAAGCTATTTTGTAAGGTTACTCTAATAATGACCAGATATGTATTCTTATGTCACCACATCTGAAATTTGACCAAAACCAACAATTAAAAATATCACCAGAGGTGCTGGGGGAGGGAAAAATGGGAAGTAGTTGTACAATGGGGATAGCATTTCAGCTTCGCAAGGTAAAAAAAGTTCTGGAGATCTGTTGTACAACAGAACTACTGAACTGTATGTTTTAAAATGGTTAAGATGTTAAATTTCATGTTATATGTTTTTTAACACAATTAAAATTTTGTCAATATTTAAAAAATACTATCAAGGGGCAAATTTCCCTGGAACTAGGCAAATGGGCTAGGTGGGGTGAATTATCTACTTGCAAAAGCCAGTTTTAATTTATATGTGGCATTTATAGAGAATGCTGGTAAAGCTGCCAGAGGGGTCAAGGAAAACAAGCAACGAGAAGATGATCAATGCCTTTGTCTCCTTGAATAATTTTGATTTGTGCAGAATGTCAGAAATCACCTCTCAGAAAAACCTCTTATCATGAAAAATATGGCTGGAGAATCTATGAAAAACATTACTCCCTAACAAGGCTTATTGATTCTCAACACCATCATTGCTTAAACATTGACAAGGCCAAGTTTCTAAATGTCAGATATGCAACAAGGACTGCTTGGATGAAAGTACAAGAGAGGGAAAGATGACTTGTTGAGCTTGCACTGAGTGCTTTACACGTGATATTTCATTTAATCTTGTGAGGTAGGTACTGTTAATTCCCATATTTCCAAAAGAGGAAATTGGATCTGGGAGGTTAAGAAACTTGTCCTATTTCACCAAGAGAGAACTGACATCATTAGAAATGGAACTCCAATTTAAAGAGTCTGATTCAGTTCAATCTTAATTTTCAGTCTAATCTTAATTTGTTACACCATTCTGGAAAGTCAAAAGTGAAATTGAAGGAGAGAAGTATAACTAGTTTCTCCTGCCAGCTTTCATACTCTATGATGGTTGTCATACTCTATGACGACTCTCTATGAACCCCGGTCCCCAGGACTCTAAGCCAGCCTTCTTGAGTGACCATCTACCCATCACTGAACTGCATTAGTCATTATCTTATAATCCATCCTTTCAGCAACCAATCATCAATATCCTAATTCTTAGGCACAGAAAAGAATCTAACAGTCTAGTGAGAAAGCTGCCTGTATACAAAGGTACCTGTCACAATGGGAGTATGCCCAAGGTTCCATGTGGGAAAAATTAAAACACCAAAATGGAGGAAGGAGTTAAAGGAGAAGGAATAGATGGGATATAGTACCTACAACCAGGGGCAATGAGAATTACAAGTGTGTTTTCCATCTTCCAAGTCCAAGGCCATATCCGAGGTCCACCTCTGAATTTTGTGAGCAAGATTCATAAAATTTTTTGGAAATTAAGCAGTACTTAGCATTTTAATTTTTGCCATATTAGTATCTGACACTGACCAAATGACAGACCAAGAATATTTCTTATTCTGTTATTGAGGACTAAATAGGGTTCTTACTTAGAAATCAGGTTGTTGAGGGGTGGGGAGGTGGTGGCTGGTAACAGGGAGATGGGAGCATAAGACTCTATTATTTGTGAAAATCCAAATTTCTTAAGTAATCTTTGTTGGATATAAACTGACAATGTGACCTTTCCCCTATGCATACTGTAAATGTATAACATGGTAGACAACTAAAGCTTCATTCTTTTGTCTTCTTTCATTATTCTTTCATGAATTGGAAATACATCTTCCAATTTTGTATCATGTTTCATATATAAAACATGACAAACCTTGTAATATATAACCTATATAATATATAACCTTGGAATATATAACCTATATTTTATATAATATTATAATATAAAATAGATATCACATAATTTTCCTACCAACTTAATTAGGCCTCCCAAAAGGATTACCTTAAATACACCAAAATGTGATTTGTTGATCATACTTGGGAGAACAGTTTTAAAACTCCCCGTATTGCCTTGGGCTTTCTTTGGATTTCTTGGGTCTGATTTTCACAATAAGTTACAATAGATATGCTGATGGGGGCCCGTGGAATAGGGAGCATCACTGGACAGATCCAGGCTAAGGAAAGCTTGCATTGCAAGTGGGTGATGCTGAACAACTCTCAGGGGGAAAAACAAGAAGAAAGCTAGAGAGGTTCACCAACTATAATTAGCTCCATTAAATCCCTTTAACTGAATTTCTAACATGCTGTTTAAAGAATGGAAACATTTATGGGAAAAGGTAGCACACCCCTTTTTGGTCACTGTTATTGGATGTAAAAAGCAAACTACATTTACAGGTCCCATGGCTATCAAATCTATTTTCTCAAAACAAAGTTTTCTTAGCATTGTTTGTTATCCAGGAAATTTCACAGCTTTAAGGGACCCAGACTTCAAAGTCAAGGAAGTGAATTTGGGGCATGGAAGACTGGGGGCACCGAGTGAAATTACCCATCAGCATTAAAAAATTACTAGATTTTTTTTTCTGGTCATTTGTTGACCGCAGAGTCAGAATAGCTACATATAATTTTGAAAGCATGCATGTATCTTTTTAAAGACGCATAGATATATTCATTCGCTTTATCATTTCATAAAAAATCTGGCCGATCAGACGAATACTGTTTATCAGTTGTTGATGGAAAGAACCTTCCTTTGCTAAACATTGTGTAGGAACAGCAGCATGACCCTTGGGTCATGGGATAACACTTGTGCACTCATGCTCACAGGGGCCTTTTTTTGTAAGTGGCACCTGCTGTGAGGCTCTCCTTATAAATACTGACTGCCTGCAGCAAATCACATATGTTTTAGGCACTAGAAAAACCGACAGGAAGTAATCACTAAACGAAAGACAGAAACAGTAAGGGGTATGTGGGGGGAGGGGGAGAAAAAAAGCCTCCAGTAACTGTTTGGGGGATGTTTGGAGGAATTAATTTAAAGTGTAGAGTATAAGTAGCCTTGCTGTGCTGCTCAATTTGGCCCAGACCTCAGCTCAGCTTAGCTGAGAAGGCACAGGGCATCTAAGGAGGATGGGACGTCGTTACCTAATATGAGTGGGGGCATCAGGCTGGAAAATCCCTTTCATTAGTTTTGGTAGTTTGAAGTCCTTAACAATTTTAGTTGTTCTTGTTATTTTGTGGCATTTGGGTTTTTCCATTGAACACCTTCCCCATGATTTTAAGTGTGAAAATAAATGCTTTTATTGTGGTGCAAACCTTCCTTATTAGCCAAAGACCACTTCCCTTTATGCTTCCAGGGGACTGCCCCCACCACCTGGTGTACTGAACGTTGGATGTTAAAAAAAAATCATGCTTGAGTTTATCTTGTTTTTACACCAGTTTATTTTGAGTGTATTTCAAAGCCATATAATAACATTATTTTATAGACTTCCAATTAAGTGCTAACAAAGAAAATATTTGTCTACTCTCCATTCCCCCAACAATTTCTGGACCTCATTTCAAAGAGATGCATGTTACCTGAATGTTAATTGCTTTTTTTTTTTCCCAGAGAAACCAAAGCATGTTGTTTGTTTTCAGAGGAGTATTTATATTTAATATGTTTACATTGAAGTCACATTTGCTCTCTTCCTTAAATGACTTCTCTAATAACTATTTTTAGCTTACAATCACATTAACAATCTGCCCCTAAAGAATTCCTCAGTCTTATTTTTTATAATTTTTATTTTAATATTTGACAGTTTCTTTGTAAAAAGGAAAGAGCATTTGAAATAATATTGGGTATTTTGCCAAGTCTGTCAAAGGAGTAACACTTCCACTTTCTCAGCTCCGTCTCATTAAAATTGTATTCTAATTCTGTCTTAACTTGGTCTCGGTGCTTCATAAGTCATTGCCTGCTCATTACTTGTAGTGTGGGAGATGAAATTTATTCAAACCTAATAGCTGAGATAAAGAATGGAAAGGCAGGCAGCTGGCAGAAATGAAATTAGCCTATTTTAGTACTTTTCCGGCTGGATTTTTGCACAGCCACCAGTTATGCCATGTGTCAGTTTGCATTTGTGACACTATCTATGTTTAGTTTATAGATTTCCGTTAGTATGATACTCTTAAAATGAAAATACAGGAGATTCTCCCCTTCCCCCCCCCACCCCGCCTTTTTTTTTTTTTTTTTTTTTTTTGTCTTTGGCATTGAAATGTCACTGAGTATCTGAGTTGATAAACGGGAAAACATGATTTTCTATAGTTTTCTATAATTATAGAATCATTAAAATTGCCCAAGAAAGATTAATTGTTTCATTGTGTTACAATTCATATTGGTATGTCTTACAGAAAAGAACATTAATGACAGAGAGTAAATGTTATACCCTCAGCATGGTTTGAGGGGAAATGGATTTAGAATGTAATGTGACTTACAAGCAATTTCAGGTAGAATACAGGAGGGAGCTACGCTTCTAACCTAAACACTCCATCTCCAGCTTTAAATGTCAAAAGAATACACTGTGGAATTCCTAATTCTGAATATAGAGGAGTATTTGAAGAACATTGTCTAAAAGCATTGTACTTTTCCATTATAAATTGAGTTGTTAAGGAATTATATGGTCTAATTACTAAACTTGGTATTTTTGACTACTTTGATTATGAACATACATTGTCATTAGCTAGATAATTAAATTGACTGCAATAACAAGTCATAATTTAGAAATATGTTTGAAATTACTTTCTATATGAAAGCAAAGTCTTTGTTGATCTATGTATGTGATTAATGTCAAGTGTCACGAGTTAGCTGAGAGATTTCAGTGTAAAAATATGTGCATTTATATAAAAGAAAGAAGTTCATTTATACTCTAATTCTTAAAGTAAACAATGGAGCTTGATATGTGCCTAAATGTAAGTACTGATGGATTTTTTTCTGCTTACTCAAAGAAAATATAGGAAGAAAAATACTTTTCTTAGAAATGTGATGGTTATGTTTAGGTTAGGTTTAACCATTTATGCATACAGTGCAATGTTTACACTCAACCTAGAAACTTTACAAATAATATACTTAGATTTAAATTTAAATAGATAGAACCAGTCAAAGTATTACGTAAGATATGTGGACATTTCTGTCAAACCCACTGTAGTACGAAATTACAAAATATTTTATGTGACCAATAAATTGTGCAGATAAGCAGCGGACCACAGTCATAAACAAACTTGTCTTTGTTGTAGGTATTCTCTGGTAACAGTAGCTGGATTAGAAAGGTGACCTTCTTGAGAGCATTTAGCATGGTGGATTTTTATTTGCTTTTTATGTCTTTAGCATTGTGAAATTTTGTTCGCGGTTTTTGTAAACCATCTAGCAGAAGAGTAGGTCAAGTTATAATCTAGGACTAAACTAGAAATCAATAGACCATACAAGGCTAAGCCCTGGTATGATTTAATAAATTCGGTCCAATGAATTATGTAATAAATAAACTATGCAGTGTGTTTGTTTGTGTGTGTGTGTGTGTGTGTGTAACGTAAGTAAATGTCAAATACCAAACTGATGTGGATGTAAACAATTATATATAGGGTTTGTTCCTAAATATGTATTTCTGGATTTCCAGATATACAGCAATCATATGCTATAACTAATATACCCAGATCCATTCGAACTCCATCTGTATCCTTTCTCTTCCCCATCTTCGCCACTCCAGGCACTCGGAATGCACACATATCCCAGTCCTATTGCTTATATAGCCTCTATCAAGCAAATAAAACATAACAGTAATGTGAAAACTGATTTGTTACTCAACTAGAATATTTTTGATGCCAAGCTTGGGTCTACATCAATTTCAAATTTGCAATTTGGGACTCAGAAATTGACAGACTAATGGGCTCTGTCAAGAAACATACTAAAGAAATGTAGCATATGTTCCTACAAAAGACTTTGATCTATATTCTCATTAACAAAACATTTTTCCTTTTTTCAGGCTATGAGAATCTGGTTGCCAATTATACTTAAATTATTATGTTTGGCCCCTTGATTCTTTTATCAACTGGATGTCTTCATAGAAATAACAGCTGCATGAGCAGCACTTTTTCAAAGCAACAAGGAAAGAATCTATTCCCACCCCAGAGTCCCACATTAGCCAGTTCCTTCTCACCAGAGAGGAACAAAAAATATCTACAGAGGCAATGAATAAGAGAGGAAAGGGCTATTATAGATCTATTGTTAGTATAATTCCCTGCTGTGGCCACTGGTCCTTGAGGTTGTGTTCTTTGCTAGGGACTACTGGTTGTATCTGTCCTTTATGGCTGGTGGTAGTGGTTCAAATCTATTTAGCACTAATGGCTGCGGCAGTCAGTGTCAAGAAATTTGGTTGATGACTCAGATTTTGAACTTACCCTCTTCTCTCTTGACATTCTGAGTTCTTCATATTTCAACAATAGTTGCATACCTTCTCATGAATGCCAGCCACATTAAGGCATTTGTGGTATCAGATCTCAAATCTCAGATCTGTGGTATCAGAGAAAGCAGAAGTTTCATTGGACTATTACCACATTATTCTTATGAATAGGCATACCCACACCCCCTCCCATTAGCTTTAATGCATACAGCATAAAACATTATGTATCTGCTTCTCATCACTCTCTGGATCTTCAAAAACTGTTTGCCCTTCTAAATATTTTTTCTTGTCCACTTTTTTTACTTTTATATTTCATTTTCTTTGGATATGATTTTATCTTTCTTTAACTAATTCCAATGTTTGAATCAACTATTGCAATCATAAAAAGTGCCCTAAATCTAAAGATTTTCATGCTCTGAGAGTCCTGATTCAGCATCAGACCTACTAACTGGCCTCTGTCTGTGAAACCTGAAAGGATCTCAAAGAAGTAACTGATTTCTAATCAACAAATACATACCCTCTTCAAAGGCAACATCTCCTCCCAGCTTTTAGAATTTAACATCCAGTATCCTCCCACATTTTTACTCAACCTGGCCTTCCAATCTATTTCTTCTATGTCTCCTTTACCAACATGCCTTTATACTTCCAATATATTAGTTCACTTAGTCATCACAGATGAGCAAACCAACTCAAAAACATCAAGCACCTAGCTCTAAAATGACTTCACCAAAGATACACTTTGACAAAATAGGTCACATTCAAGCATAAGGTATATTTCCAAATTTGTTAAAAAACAAATTTCCAAAAAGATAAAATCATGACTCTCATACAAATATAAAATAAACACATGTCAAAGATTGTATTTAGCTCATTGAGAGAACTGATAAGCGATTGCTAGTTCAAAGGAAAATCCACAGAACAGACACATATATAGATGAAGAATAGTGAAATAAATTCACAAATGTGTAAAAAACTGGTTTCTTCGACAATGGGGAAGACAAGTTGAATCTTCACAAGACAGAATTGATTTGCATGTTGAAGAAAAACATCATTTGCATTACTACCAGTTTTCTACAAATTACTTTTAACTTTACACCGTTGTAAAATGACACATATCCTATAAAGGACCAAGTAATCCTGGAGGTTCCAGCATTTGTTGGAGACAGAAACAAGATTTGTTTGATTCTCTTTGATTCAACAAATGAATGAATAAACACCCTTGATTATTGTATTTAGGATTAATTATTCATTCATTCAACACATACTGTTTCTTACTTACTATACCAGTCCATGTTCTAGGTGGGGGAGACAGTACGGTTAATAAAACAGAAATATTTTTGTCTTATATCCTAACGGGGAAAAATAGAACATAAGTAAATAAATAAATTATAAATATATATTAAATGGTATTAGTGCTATGGAGGAAAATAAAGCAAAACAAGGTAGATAGAATGGGGATAATACAGGGAAAGGTACTGTTTTAAAGAAGATGTTTAGGAAAAATTACACTGATGTGGAGCTACTTGAGCAGAGACATGAAGGAAGTGAGGGTCAGAGTTGTACAAATTGCTGGAAAAAGAGCTTTCTAGGCAGAGAGAAGAGCAAGTGCAAAGCCTGAGACAGTAGAAGATTCACGTATGTAGGGCCAGCAAGGAGGCCAGCATGATGGGGCAGAGTGAGCCTGCAGTCAGAAGGGACAGGGCAACAGAAACAGGCAGAGATAGAAAGATGGAAGCCCTTGAAGGCCATGATAAAGACTTAGTGTTTCGAAGTGTTACAGGAGGCAAGTGGAAGGTTTGGGTCCTGAGAGTGGTGGTAGCAGAGGAGACGGGAGGAGAGGGGATTATGCTTTTCACTGGCTGCTGTGGGAAATGGGGCCAAGATTTATTGAAGATTAGTTAGGGGGGCTCTCACAATCTTATGAGAGATTACAGTGGCTTGGAGTAGAATGTAGCTGCGGAAATATGAGAAGTGCACTCTTTTTAGCTATTTTTTTTTCTTTTTGTGTGTGTTTGGGTTTGTTTGTTTGTTTTGAGATACAGTGTTGCTTTGTTGCCCGGGCTGGAGTGCAGTGGTGTGATCACAGCTCACTGCAGCCTCAACCTTCCGGGTTCAAGCGAGTCTCCTACCTTAGCCTCCCCATAGCTGGGACTAGAGGTGCATGCCTGGTTAATTTTTTATGTTTTGTTTTGTTTTGTTTATTGCTTTTTTCTTTTTGTAGAGACAGGGTTTCACCATGTTGGCCAGGCTGGTCCCAACTCCTGGGCTCAAATGATCTGTCTGCCTTGGCCTCCCAAAATGCTTGGATTATAGGCATGAGCCACCGGGCCCAGACGTTTAGCTGAATATTTTAAAGGTGAGGCCAGCAGAGAAATTTCTGCTCCAACCAGCAAGAATAGGAAATAGCTTTGCAACACACACACACACACACACACACACACACACACACAGAGCCCACCTTTTACTCTTCAAAATTATTTCCTACTTCAAAGAAACAAATTTGTTGAAATGCAAAAATATTCCCAGACGATTTTTTTTTTTCTTGAGACAGGGTTTCGCTCTTGTTGCCCAGGCTGGAATGCAATGGCTCGATCTCGGCTCACTGCAACCTCTGCCTCCTGGGTTCAAGGGATTCTCCTGCCTCAGCCTCCCAAGTAGCTGGGATTACAGGCGCCCACAACCATACCTGGCTAATTTTTCTATTTTTAGTAGAGACGGGGTCTCGCCATGTTAGCCAGGCTGGTCTAGAACTGCTGACCCCAGGTGATATGCCCACCTTGGCCTGCTAAAGTGCTGGGATTACAGGCGTGAGCCACTGTGCCCAGCCCCAGAAGATTATTTTTATCATCTCTCATGAAGCGTGTAGAAAATTAACCTGTCTGTGCCTTTTTTTTCTTTTTTACTAAGTCCGTAACACAGGTGCTCGTTTGCAAACCAAAGAGCTTTATTTTGTGTTACACATAAAAGGGCGATTGAAAGAATATCATTCAGTTATGGAATCTATGGCAAATGGAATCAAGCTTTTTAAATGGGCAGGGAAATATGTTTCCTAGATTTTTCCATGGGAGAGGTAGAGGAAGAAAACCTTTTTTCCTCTGCCCTTCTTGGGTCTCTGCCTGGAGCCCTACAAATTGTACTGACAAATGACAAATTAATAATCGAAAACAGAATTGTATTGACAAGTTCACCTCTCATATGTGTCAAAAAGTTAGTTAGAATTTGAAGTCTATACACCTAACTTACTTAAAAGGGAAGAGAGAAAGAGCACTTAGAGAAAAGCAATGACATTTTGGAAAGCCAAAGGAGCCACAGGTGACTAGATGGGAGATATCATGATGGTCTTGTGAAAATGTCCTGTTTGGGTGTAGTGCTGACTTCTCCTCTCCGGGAAGAAAAGATTAGAGATGCTCCCACTAAGGGGATTTCTGACAATTTCATTCTTTTGAGTTCCTTTTGGTATGCTCTGCATTTAGATAGATGAGATATTTATTTCAGAAACTCAAATGCCTTTGGCTCAAAAGTAATTCTTATACCAATGTAGCATATTTTGGGGTGGCACACCCTGATAACGTTCAGAGATGAATATGAAAATAAGTGTTTTATATACAATAATAAAAATCTTAAAAAGAAAATCAATTTAATTAAATAAATTAAATGAATTAATGTATATAAGACACAAAAATAAAATGTATGCTTATGAGCTGGGTGCAGTGGCTCAGGCCTCCAACCCTAGCACTTTAGGAGGCCAAGGTGGGAGCCCGACTTGAGCCCAGGAGTTCAAAACCAGCCTGAGCAGCATAGCCAGGAGACCTCGTCTCTATGAAAAATAAAAACAGGCCAGGTGCAGTGGCTCATGCTTGTAACCCCAGCACTTTGGGAGGCCAAGGAGGGTGGATCACCTGAGGTCAGGAGTTTGAGAGCAGCCTGACCAACGAGGTGAAACCCCACCTCTAGTAAAAATACAAAAATTAGCCAGGCGTGGTAGCAGGCACCTGTAATCCCAGCTACTTGGGAGGCTGAGGCAGGAGAATTGCTTGAACCGGAGAGGCGCCGGTTCCGGTGAGCTAAGATCATGCCATTGCACTCCAGCTTGGGCAACAAGAGCAACACTCCATCTCAAAAAATAAAAATAAAAACAAAATTATCCAGGTGTAGTGGCATGCACCTGTAGTCCCAGCTACTTGGGAAGCTGAGGTGGGAAGATCACTTGAGCCCAGGAAGTCGAGACTGCAGTAAGATATGACTGTGCCACTGCCCTCCAGCCTGGGTGGTGACAGAGCAAGATCCTATCTCAAAAAAAAAAAAAAAAAAAGAAGAAGTTTGCTTAAGCAGTTGTGTATCAAGTAAGAATTGTGCTTATCACAAAAGTCACACAATTTTATCAAGTAACTGAGATCAGTATTCAGTATGCAGTTATAGAAAATGGAAGCTCTGGGGGTTCTGTCTCTTGGCTTTGGAGTGCCCTCCCTCTGTCTCTGTACAGAGGAGCTTCTTCTATCTTTCTTCCCCCTTCTTTATTGCCTATTAGACTCCCTGCTCCTTAAAACTACAAAAAAAGAAAACAAGAAAGAAAATGGAAGCTCTGTGTCACCAATTTAGAGTTTAGTGTTTGCCAAGAGAACTGTTCCTTATTGCAATGACAATAAAACCCCAAACCAAAAGGAATCTAGCTGGATGGAGCATAGTTTTGGAAGTTCATCATAATCCTCTGGAGAATTTTTACTAAAATTTTTGTCGAAACCATAAATTTCCAGACCCCACTGCAAGACGTTTTCATTCAACACATTTGGGTTGATACCTGGACATCTGTACTTTACAATTTTGATGATCATCCACTATGGGGACCTGTAAGTTAAGCCACAATCTGCACCTGAAAAATTTTCAAAATTCACCTACTCAAAGACAGAATCTGAAAATGAAGTTTTGTTTGCTTATTTGGGACACATAGTGCTACTCATTTTATTGAATGATAGAATGTTGGTGCTGAAAGATTATCTCGTCAAAAAGAAAATAAACAGATGAAACAACCAAGGCCCAGAAAGTGCCCATTATCCACAGAAAGCCCAATTCTCCTACACTTTCCTCACCACACTGCCTGCATTCCATCTGGACATTACTTGAAGAATGTGTTTGAATATTTTCCACATGTAATGTGTTTTCCTTACTATGTTTCTATTTATCCAATTTCTACCTATTTTCAGAATGTAATCAAAACAGCATCTACAGATACATATACAACAAATACATATACATACACAGCAAATACACATACAAAAGAAAAAAGAAAAAAGGGAGGGAGGGAGGAAGGAAGGGAGGGAGGGAGGAAGGGAGGCCAAAGAAAAGGGAAGGTAAATATGGCAATGACAATTCATCAACTTTGCAGCGATGCAGTTGAAATGGTGCTAAGCCCTTGAGAGTCAGAGCAAAAAGAGACAACTAGACCATAAGCTTCAGTGAAGGTACGTGGCATGATTTCTTTCTGATTATTTTCCTTCTTGTATTAAGCCATGCACTGCTCAGTCAATAATTAATAGCTATGACCTGTAATCCTGAAGCCAAACCACATTAAACTTTTATTCCATATTACTCAGGACCTGCAAATTTCAGGAGGAAATGTAGATGGTAACTAGGATTATGGAGAAAACAAAATGACCTATGGCTGTGAGTATGTACTATCACATTGGTAAGGCATTCCATCACAGTTGAACAAAGATGATTAAAGCTGTCCTAAAAGGAGTTATGCTTACCCTTGTTCTATTTTTTAGATCTAATAGCCAAGCCTGAATATACGGAGTTTCAATGTCTCTGAACCACTGTTAATCAGGTTTCCTTTTAATTTTCTCCTAAGACACTACTTAAAATTCTTCGGTACCTTCGGTTGCTCAGGCTTCATCTTTCCCATTTTTTAGGTATTTTCCCCAAAACAACAGTGGGACATAAAAAGAAAAGAAAAACAATTCAATCCTCCTCTCCTAAAAAGTACAGCTTCCCCAGTTTGTTGTGGTTGTCGTTGCTGCTGTTGTTATGACTGTCCTGTCTTTTGTGTAACTTGAATAGTTCTTGCTTTTAAAAATGTTTATCCAGGGCCCTACATACTTCCCATGGCTCCCTGCTGATAAAGCTTCAGTGTAATTAAAGTATTTATAAGAACACTGAGGAATTCAACTCGCATTATTTAGACACACAAAAGAAAATTCTTCGCATTTCCAAGTCACAATTGTGTAATCAGATGACATAGTGTCAGTTGGTTTAAGAATACCTTTACACTCAGAAAAAAAAAATGTAAAATTGCTATGTTTTCTCTTTCAATTATATGGCATTTGTTGGTGAAATTTACTTTACTGGATTGTACTTCAACTTGTATTGAATGTTTTAAACTATGTAGTCTAAAATAGTCTTGCTGGACTATATTTGTTTGTTTAATTAACCCTGGAAAATGAACGCCAATGGACAGGGGGACGCGAACTCATCACCATTCAATTAGGCCTAAAGGCAAGCTTTTTTTTTTTTTTGCTTTGCCTTTAAATGTCTTGCCCCTTGACACATCCTTATTATGGAAATAAATGTAACATTGAATAAGCTAATGCCATGCTTTTGGAATGATGACATGAAGGGGAAGAATTACAGCACACTGGGAATTTTGGTAGGAATTGATTTACAAAAGAAGTTGCCACATTTGTTTTTATTGTGGTTAAAGCTCTAGTTTGGGAAAAGACAAAAGGGCAAGGAATTGGGGAGTTTCTGGATGAATGTGGATCTAATGAAGACAGACCATTGGTTCCACAGGCCAGGGTAAGATTCCCACAGTTCTGAACAAACAGTTCTCAGCCAATAATTTCTAAGCCTTTGTTTCCCCACTTTGGAATTCTGACTACAGGCATGTTACCAAGCCAACTGGGTTCACTACAAAGACCCAGAGAACGCTTTTTATCACAAAGATCAAGACAACAATTGTGTGCCTACAAGAAAAGAACAACTAAAACCATCCAACAAGCATTAAAAGAACAATTCTAGAGATAGTTGCCTTTGAACTCCAATAATGGGTAACATTCAGTCCCGAGATTTGAATTCCAAGTTAAAAGAATTCATTATCAGTTGCCTTATCTTATAGTTATAAGAGCTGCTGGCAGCAAGTATTTTCAGCAGCATTATTTTTGTCCAATGTAATATTTTACAGTGATGTCAAATCTCATACAATAACCATATTGTAAATTGACTTTATAGACTTCGTTTTGTTTATTATAGAGTTCATCTATGAAACAGAAGAAATCTAAATTTTGCCTTGGCTTCACCCCAAACTACAAAAAGTACTGTTTTACAAGAGCTTATTCTGAAATATCACTTCCTGAACGTAGAAGTATGCTATTTGCACAGATACATTCCATAGACATACACAATGTCCAGCTGAGAAAATAAAGGATAGTCCATCTGGATGTTTCTTTCTTTCTCCTAACTGTGACCTGTGAGTAATTTCAGTTCAACACGGAAAAAAATAAATAAAACTTACATTGTTGTGTAAACATGGCATTTTCTAATGACGTGGGAACAATTTAAACTGAATCTAAGCAGACACAATAATTAAGAATACATATTCTATTTGAAGAATTTGACCACTATTATTTGTGGGGGTTCTACATATTCAAAACCTTACAAATAGCTTCTGGGATTCAGTCTTTCCTTATTATAAAATCCATGGCAAACATTTTTTTGCTTTTGTTTTTATTTTGAAACAGGGTCTCACTCTGTCACCCAGGCTGAAATGCACTGTCTCAATTGTAGCTTACAGCAATCTGGAACTTTTGGGCTCAAGGGATCCTCCTGCCTCAGCCTCCCCACGAGCTGGGACTACAGGCACATGCCACTGAGCACAGCTAATTTTTTTTGGTAGAGACAGGGTTTCATTTTGTTGCCCAGTCTGGTCTCAAACTCCTGGACTCAAGTGATCCTCCCACCTCAGCCTCCAACATATTGGGTGTGAGCCACCACACCCAGCCAAGTATTTATTTTTATGTTTTGAGTGTTCACTCTATTTTTTGTCTGCATAAGAAATGCAAGAGAATCACCTTTTAAGCCAATTATCCCGGTGGTTCATTTTGTGGAAGGATTACATGAGTCTTGCATTTGATAAAAATTCAAAATTGCTACCCCAGACCACAGCACCTTGTTTTATCTAATGAGAGTATCTTACTGCTTTTAGAAAACTTCTCAGAAACACTTTTCTTGCCAAGAAAAAAAAAAGAAGAAAGTTCTTTAATAGAATGAGTGCACTAGATTTTTGTTTTTAACTTAGATTTTAATGATCAATTTTTTCTTATATTCATGCATGCATTCCAATGCTATGCCAGCAACATTTATGCCAGAATCAATATGGAGAACTGTTTTGGCATATATAAATTAATTTCATACATGGGAAACTGTAAATTTGGCAAGTAACTTCTCCTTATTTGTAAATAATTAGATTTAGTGCATTGCCTACCAGATTTCAGATTATCGTGAAAAGAATATTTAGATGTTTTTAGGTCTACATTTAAAGACTAGCTGTTGGTGGATAACAGAAATCCCTTGATTATCAGCCAACAAAACAATTCTTAACTAAAGGCAGATTGGTATATTACGTCCATAGAGAAAAAAAATCTATAAATCAAATCTGATTTTCCCATAGATGTAATGTAATGTTATATCCCCATCAGGACCTTGATGACAGGAGACGCCACCAGGATGGTAAAGGAGGAGATACCAGCCTTCATCCTCCCACAAAAAAAGAAATGCAGACAGCCATCCACAAGCGTAAATAGCACTGAGAGGGCTCAAGGGCCTACTAAAGAATCTGCAGCAACACAGTAGAGTGAAAAAAAATAGAGAATATTCACATAGAAATGATTGCTGGTAGGCTGGGCACGGTGGCTCACGCCTGTAATCCCAGCACTTTGGGAGGCCAAGGCGGGCACATCACGAGGTCAGGAGATCGAGACCATCTTGGCTAACACGGTGAAATCCCATCTCTACTAAAAATACAAAAAATTAGCCGGGCGTGGTGGCAGGCGCCTGTAGTCCCAGCTACTTGGGAGTCTGAGGCGGGAAAATGGTGTGAACCCGGGAGGCAGAGCTTGCAGTGAGCCGAGATCACGCCACTGCACTCCAGCCTGGGCGACAGTGCGAGACTCTGTCTCAAAAACAAACAAACAAACAAAAAGGAAATGATTGCTGGTGACATTAGCATACGTGAGATACCAGGAGTCAGCTAGGAACAAAGAGGTAGAGGCTATCAATACCAATCGTGTAACAGGAACTACTCTGGTCCCCAGCAGCCTGCTCCAGAGAGGACACCAGCATCTTTTGCTACTGAGGTATCAAACAACCATTCCTGCTGGGGAACCTCAGGGAGGGAGAACCAGATGTATATTCTTCTCCCTCCCAAGAAGCAGCCACTGTTGAGCCACTTCAGGAACAGAGCTGTCACCTCTCTCAACCCCACCAGGCCCAGGTAATATACACTTCTCAAAAGAGGACAAAGAAATGACCAACAGGCATATGAAAAAAATGCTCAACATCACTAATCATTCAGCAAATGCAAATTAAAACAACAATAAATTTGACCTCATAACTGTTAAAATGACTATTACCAAAAAGGAAAAAAGATAGCAAGTGTTGGTTAGGATGTGGAGAAAAGGGAACCCTTATACACTTGTTGGGAATGTAAATTAGCACAGCCATTATGAAAAAGAATATGAAGGTTGCTCAAAATATTAAAAACAAAACTACCACATGATCCAGCAATCCCACTGCTGGGTATATATCCAAAAAGTATGAAATCAGTATTTTGAAGAAGTATCTACACTCTCATGTTTATCTCAGTACTATTTACAATAGCCAATATAGCAAATCAACCTAAGTGCCCAACAATGGATGAATGAATAAAGCAAATGTGTTACACATACATAATGGAATACTATTCAGCCTTGAAAGAAAAAGAAGATAATCCTGTCTTTTGCAACAACACATGGATGAACCTGGAGAATATTATGTTAAGGGAAATAAGCCAGGCTTAGAAAGACAAATACCATATGACTTCACTTACATACTGAATCTAAGAAAAAACTGAACTTGTAAAAACAGAGAGTAAAATGGATCGCCAGAGGCTAGGGGGTGGGGGCAATGGGGAGCTGTCGGTCAAAGAACACAAAATTTCAGTTAGACCAAAGGAGTAAGTTCAAGAGACCTACTGTACCTCATGGTGAATATAGTTAGTAGCAATATAGTGTATACTTGAAAATTGCTAAGACAGTAGATTTTAAGTGTTCTCACCACACAAAAAAAAGATAAAATGAAAAGTGTGTGAGGTAATGCATATGTTAAATAGCTTCACTTAACCATTCCACAATGTATATCAAAACATCATGTTGTACATCATAAATATACACAATTTTTACTTGTCAATTTAAAAAATAAAAGTTTTAAAAAGACTTTGATGACAAACTGTTTAGAAAAAAAAAGGACCAAAAGTTTTACATTTAAATAATGATAAACAATTTGTTTATATTCTGTACAATATAATCAGGTTTATAGACTAGCCAATCCTAATATTTTATTTAAAAGAGATATTAGAACAGGAATTATATCTGAGTTTATCAGTCAAAATTCCAGCAAGACTTAGGCCAGGCAAGTAGAGAAGAGGGAGGAAGAGTATTATTATGCCTCACACAAGAGGGAAGCCAACTGATAAATGTAATTTGTGACCTTCCTGCTTTCAGTTCCATAATTACATAGGTGTCTTCGTCCATTTTGTGTTGCTATAACAGAATATCTGAGACTGGGTAATTTATAAAGAAAATAGGTTAATAGACTTCTGAAGGCTAAGACCAAAAAGCACAGCACTGGCATCTGCATAGCTTCTGGTGAGGGCCTCATGCTGCATCACAACATGGCAGAGAAGCAGAAGAGGAGAAGGTGTGTGCAAAGAGAGGGCAAAGCACAAAAGGCAAACTTGCTTTGTAACAACCCACTCTGGTGGGAACCAATACATTCCCATGAGAATTAACCCAATACTGCAAGAAATGCATTAATCTCTTCACGTGGACAGATCCCCCATGACCCAAACACCTCTTAAAGGCCCTACCACCCCTAAATAGCACTACACTGACAATTACATTTCAACATGAGTTTTGGCAGAGATGAATCACACCCAAATCATAGCAATGGGGTGCTCTAGGCAAAGAGCTTTGGGTGTGAATGGCTGCAAGTCAAAATCTATTGCTATTATTCATACTGACTTTCAAATGTAAAGAAAATAAAGTAAAAACAATATATAAAAAATGTATTTCAAAACACTCACTCTACTTTTAGATGTTGGTAAATTTATAAATGTTTCCTGGTATTTTTGGTACCAATAATACAAAAGAGAAATTATTGAATTAGTATGTATATTGTTAGATCAATATATGTATCTATTTGATATGCATATATGTGTGTATATATCTATATGTACATATCACACAAAAACATATACAGGCAAACCTAACGCTTCTCATTTGTCTCTGAAGAGTATGAAAGAAATACGGCTACAATCAAAGTATATGTTAAGCACTAATCTTTTTGTAACATTATCTAATTTATATAGGTTGAAATATGTATGAGCCTTTGGTTTGGCCATGCATTTCTGAGGAGCTGCCATTGAGAATATAATCTTTATGGATCAATGCATAATTTATATGTCTTTAAGTGTAGTATTAGCACTTCAGATTGATATTTTTTCCCAAAAAAATGTACATATAAACTCCTCCTAAGCATATGTCAATTACCCATCTGCCTTTTGGAGTCTTTCAAAAATTAAAACAGAAAAGAAATTTAGTTTAATGCTTTGCTTTCTCTTATAGAGAAACATTTCTAATATCCAAAGGGGAAATTTCATGACGGAAAAAGTCTTACTGTGGATTTCCAACTCTAGAACTATGGTATGTCCCCAGGTAAATCATAAAGTTAACCTAGAGCTCTATTCAACTACAAATGGACCGTCTTCCCTTTTCAGTTTTCACCAGTGAGCAGGGCAGGGTGTGGCACCATAAATGGGAGCTAAGTCCATTGCTCTCTTCCCACAAGAACCACCACAGGCAATTCTTCCTTGACAATTTATGTGACTCCTGCCCTCATGGTCACAGCTCCCTGAATGGTGATCTGGGCCTGAACCAAGACAGACATCTTCACATGTCCAGCAGTCCTGGAATCAGACCAGCACATGCACTCAAGCTAGTAGATAAGAAAGTAGGAAGAAGCAGAGATGGAAGACCTAAGTGTTGATCACTGAGTTTCATACTTTAAATATATTATTTTCACTTCTCACAAGACCCCATGCTGTTTTATGATTGAAACACTGACAAGCAGAAAGAGTTAGATAATCTTCCCAATATCATCTACCCAAGGAGTGGCTGAGTAGGGATTCACTGTTTGACTCCACAGCTGCCCAGCTAATTATTTTGTCCATGCTGCTAAAGATTATTAGCTGTAAGTAGATTACTACTTGCAAGTGGGAAAAGTGCAGCACCTATCCAGTCAATTGACAGAATGGAAAATTCCTGAAATTCTCAAAAATTGAGAATTTTTTTTTCTTTTTTTTGACATGGGGGTCTTGCTCTATTGCCCTAGCTGGTCTGGAACTCCTAGGCTCAAGCAATCCTCCCTCTTTGGCCTCCCAAAATGCTGGGATTACAGGCGTGAACCACCATGCCTGGGCAGAAATGGAGGATTGGGTCTTAGATATCTCTGCATCCCTTATGGAAACTAGCTAAATGTTAATACTGTAAGTGTTCAAGAAATAATGGTTAAATGGATCATCCATAAATGGGAATATATTTTTTCAGCTTGCTTTAGTTAGAAATGGCATTAAAACAGTACATATGTGTAAATATAAGATATACAGTTAAAATTTTTGAATATGCTAGTGATTAAACAATGATGTAACACAGAAATCATTAGCTACCTGTTTTACAAATTCACAGTCCCGTGCCCCCACCATCTATTACTTTATTAAGAGATAAATAAATCCATGGGCCAACTGCACTTTTTAAAATGGCTTTGACTTTGTTGTATCTCTGAAATACAATTTAGAAGCAAATTTGTAACACTGTAGACAACATCTGGGGGGAAAAAGACTTTATCATATGTCTGATCATTTAAAATCCAAACATCAGCATAAGGAATCTGTTAATGAGATGTCAAAGCCTGTATATCTGCTTATGGGTGTCTCACGTTTGCCAAAATAAAACAAAATCTAATAATAGAAAAACTTTATGTAATGCATTACTGTTTATAAAGCATTTCCCTAAGTTTCTCAAACTAAGGTACTTGTTCTTCATAGCAGAAATCAAAACATAAACATGGTTAAGTGTCAAGTTGTGTGAAATATTTTTATATGAAAACAAATGGATCTTTGATGGATAAAAAAGGCAAAATATGTATTCTCCTTTTTTTGGCTCCTGTAGATTCATTTTTAATATACAAAAGAGAAGACCTCAATGAAATTGTTCTCTAATATGTTCTTTGGGTTTCTCCCAATCCCTCGCCTATCACGAAAGATCATGGTGAAAACATCTGAGAAAAACTACTATATATTATCCCCTTTTGTCTTCTGGAGAGCTCTATGATGTAATTGTGTTCATGCCAATTTACAGGTAAGTAAAGAAGCACTGAGAAGTTAACTTCCATCATTGTGGAGAGAAAAAGTTTTAAAGAACATTCTTATTTCCGGGAAGAATCTCCTTTTACCCCCTGCAAACTCAACTATTTATAACACATTATCAATATCCTATGTGAGATTTAAGAGTGTTCTGGAAAAAATGTATGTGAACAAGGATTGCTGTATATCAAGTGTATAAAATAGGGATAGAATTATATTCATTCTCAACCTACTTTCTCTTAACCAACTTTCCTATTAATCAATGTTCTTTCTTCTCCCTATAAAACGTTACATATTTGCTTTCTGTAAAGTATAATGAAAATCCATGGTGGTTTTCAGAGTGATCCCTGGGCCAGCAGCATCAGCATCATCTGAAAACTTGTGAGAAATGCAAATTCTCAGGCCCCACTCCAGATCTATTGAACCTAAAACTCTGGGGATGAAGCTAAGAAATCCAGATGCCAACATTTGAGAATCACTTATCTGGAAAGATTCTACTTGCACATTGTCTATACACTCTCACCTCACTTGAAAGAAACAAAAACTGCAAACTATAGACCATTAATTTGTAAGTATGTGCAAGAAAAACTATGCTGTATTTCTCAATAGGTTGAATAGCCCTTATCCCTTCATAAAAAGATTGATGGATGGATGTGTAATGTATATATATATCATTTTTCACGTTTTCCTACCTTGGCAATATTTTTGACTAACTGACCACTGCCAGGGCTCTCCCTAGATAAAAGTAGACAATAGAGAGGCGATAGATGGTAGGTAGATCAATAGGCAGGTAGGTAGATAGATAGATTGATAGAACTGTGTGTGTGTGTGTGTGTGTGTGTGTGTGTGTGTGAAGTAAGGGTATGAGCACACCTCTGAAAAATCCCTTAAGATGCACAGAGAGGGCATTCACTTTTTAAAATGTCTATATTTGAGGTATATCTTGGGAAATGAAATAAAGAAATGTGATGTTGAGAACTAAGAAAAAACAACCTGCCAATTTGGGGGCCTCAGGGTACAGAGGAGCTGGGAGAGCTGCCCCATGAGGTACTAGAAAGAGGCAGAACTCCCACCTGCCCGAAGAGATAGCCCCTATGCCTTGCCCCTTAGGCCACCTCCTGGCTATTTCTACTTGGAATCAGGACTATACCTAGTTGACTGAAGACAAGCTTTGAGCAGACTAGTCTAGATGACAACTTGTATTAGTCCATTCTCATGCTGCTATAAAGAGCAGCCTGAGACTGGGTAATTTATAAGGGAAAGAGGTTTAATTGACTCACAGTTTCACATAGCTGGAGAGGCCTCAGGAAACTGACAATCATAGTGCAAGGGAAAGTAGGCACATCCTTCTTCACATAGCGGCAGGTGAGACAGAAGTTCCGAGCAAAGGGGGAAAGCCCCTCATAAGACCATCAGATCTCGTGAGAATTCACTCAGTATCATAAGAACAGCATGGGGGTAACCACCCCCATGATCCAATCACCTCCCACCAGGTCCCTCCCATGACACATAGGGATTATGGGAACTACAATTCAAGATGAGATTTGGGTAGGGACACAACCAAACCATATCACAACTGCTCCATGGACACTTCCATCTGAGGGTACTTTAGAGACTGTCCTTGCTGGCTTCGCCCAGGCGTGCCAAGCATGTGGGTGGGATTTTTTTCCCTTGTCAATGCCTAGTGAGATGCCACCACAACTCGTGTGAATCCCCTGGAGACCCTCCATCACCATCACCATCCCTTCTCTATGTCTGCAAGAAAAACAAAAGGAGATGTGAGTAGTAGTGCCCCTCAAGGAATCACAAGCCTCTCTGTGTGTGTCTCTTCTCTCCCTCTCATCTCATCTTTACCTGTCTTAGGGATCAAGAACCCCTGCTATAGAGACAAGCTAAAATCTTTTACTGTTGGACTGAAATCCTCTTCTACAACAAATGGATATGCAACTTAGTAATTCAGAATTCAGTATGTTCTCCACAACACACTTATATTTTAAAATATAGTGAAGTCAACAGAACAAATGAAAAACAAGAGTTTTCTTCAAGTGAATGTAGACTCACTCTCTCCAAAACTAAATCTGAAGCTTTGTGTTAAGCGTTATGGGGGAGGGAGTAGGGCAGGTTGGAGAGGGGAAGTAATGGTATTTATTACCAAATGGGTACTATTTAAAGCTCTCTGCCTTTGGGCTTTTTTTTTTTTTTTTAATCTTAAATACATTCCCTTCAAAAGAACTGTAAGTGATTACACATTATTGCTTCAAAGATACCCTAATATTATTTAGTAGTTGGTTTTAGAAAAAAGCAAAAGGAAACTGTTTCTGCTAGTACTGAGTGATAGTTCAACACTATTTAACTGGGGTTTAGGGAACAAAGCCTTCTAATTACCCAGGTGTCAATCTAGTCCTCTCACATCTGGCTTCCTGTGTTACTTTCCCTCCCTTCCCTAGCAATGTAAGAAGCAGAAAAATACTTTGAGTATGAGTCTGAGGTATGAAATTTATGCCCCGCAGGATACAGTTTGGTTTAAATTGCGTAATTGATCACAGATCTAGAATTTGGCAATGTTCCTCTTTGCAGACTAGTTGCACAGGTACACAGTGGTGGGAAGGGAACAATAATTATCACCTTGCTGGTTTTGACTTACCTTTGCCCGCAAATGGATATAAAGCTGCATTTCTTGGCAGAAAATAGCCACACAGAGGAAATGAACTACAAGGGTTATGACTGGAAAGAAGACACGAAAGGGTCGAAAAAGGAAAATGTAAGTTTTATTGGAAAAATCATATGCTGCACTTCTTATCAAATCTTGAGATTCAATATCCAAAAGAACTGAAAGCAAGAACCCAAACTGATACTTGTACACCCATGTTCATAGCAGCACTATTATAATAGCCAAATGATAGGAGCAAACCAAATGTCCACCAACAGATGAATGGATAAACAAAATGCAGTATATACATGTAATGGAATATTATTCAGCCTTAAAAAAGGAAGGAAATTCTGATACATGCTGCAAACGGGATGAAGCCTGAAAACATTATTGTTACGCTAAGTAAATAAGCCAGCCACAACAGAATCAACATTGTATGATTCCACTTATATATCTAGAATAGTCAAGTTCACAGAGACAAGAAGTGGAATCGTGATTACCAGAGGCTGGGAGGAAAGAATGGGGAGGTATTGTTTAATGGGTAGTGTTATGATTTGAGATTTTAAAAAAGCTCTGGAAATAACAGTGATACTTGCACATGTAGGAGAGAAAAAAAATATCCTTTGTCTCTATCCTTTTAGGTTATCTGACTGGGACCCTGTAAATTAGACTAACGAAAGACAGATTAACAAGAAAAAATATGTAAAAATTTATTTAATGTAAGTTTTATGTGGCCAAGGAAACTTTATAAGGAAATGAAGACAAAGCAACAGTTAAGCCTGTGCATTTTTCTACTAGATTTGAGGAAGAGTAAAAAGTCATGGAAAAATGTAATAGGACAAAGGCTATGAGCTAAGGGTAGTAATCTGGGGAAAACAACAAGCCCTGTTCATTCAGATTCCTCTCGGCATCCCTCCCTCTTCAGAGGTAGGGATGCTCTTTTCCTCTGAGTATAGCAAGGGCACCTCTTACATGAGGGTCTTGGGATCTGCTTCAAGGGAAAAACAGGAGGTCAGAGAGTCCTTCTAGCACCTATTTCTCAAATTCCTTCAGTTTAAAATACTCAATATGCCAAAGTGCCATATTTTGGGGCAGTGTGTTCTGAACCACATCATACAACATTGTGAATGTTCTTAATGCCACTGAATTGTATACTTAAAAATGGTTACAATGGTAAAGTTTACGTCGTATGTGTTTTATCATGATTTTTTAAAATGAAAAAAAATTATTGAGATTTATGAAGGCCCATTGAATGGGCATCCAGTGAATGTCAAAAGTCTATGACATTACTGTTCCTAAATGGAATAAAAAACCAAAATGAACAACCAAAGAGGTATACACAAGTTTATTTAAGAAATTAGATTGAATCTCATTTTTTAAAAGTAATCTCACAATACAGAATGTTAACTAAAAGTCTGAAACCTGAAAAAGCATTAATCAAATATTGTTGGGGAGGAGAAAAACATCTTTATCTTTTACTCATTTTAGGTTCATTGGCTGGGGCCCCTGGAACAAAAGACAGAAAGAAAGAATCATAGAAATGTGTATGTTTTGCGTGACACTGGAGCCTTCAATAGGAAATGAAGACCCAAAGAAGTGCTTAAAACTGGGTTGCTTTATGCTAGGTTTGATGAAGAGTAGACGGTCATGGGGAAATATGATAGCATAAAATGGGCATGTGCTAATTATAATAAACTAGGAGAAACGACAAGGCTTGTCCATTCAGATTCCTCTCAGCATCCCTGTGTCTTTGGAGATATGGATGCTCCTTTCCTCCAGGTATAAGGAGGGCACCTCTCACATGACCTGCTTTAGGGAAAGTCAGAAAGTCCTTCCAGCATAGGGAATTTCTCAGATTCTTTCAGCTTAAAATATTCAATATGCCAAGGTGCCATATTTTGGGTTAGTGTGCCCTGAACCTAATCAATATTATAGAACAAAGTTATTCTAAACTCACAATAAGTGGAAGGATTGTCACTATCAAATTATATATGAGTACTGGGATGGATATCAAAGTTTAATAAACTAATTTTGTTGATGAATTTTAAAGGAAATGACAAGAAAGCAAGCAAAAATGTAACAAAAAAAGAGTGACAAAAAAAAAAAGAGTATGGCCAGCTCTGCAGAGGAAGGAGAAGAGAGAAGTGAGAGCAGCAGTTGAGTGGTCTGAGATGACAACTGTTGGAAAAGCTAAAAAGAGAGACTTTAATCTGGGATGAAAGTAACTGTGTGCAAAACTTGATGGCAATTCATGAAGTCTCATTCTATGGTGTTCTTTGCTCTCATTATCAGTGAGGAATATTGAGACGGGAGAGTTCCCTTGACCCCCTCATGGGACTTGCAACAGGGGTGTCTCCTTTGCTCGGCCACCGCACTCAAACTCCTTACAGGAGGGGAAGCTTGCAGGTTGGCAGGTGCAGGAGCAAGGAACGAACCTGGTACTGGCCCATGGCAGTGTCTAGGGGTTGCTAGTGACCTCTAGAGCCCCAGAGGGCATGTCTTACAATGATCTTTTAGCATTTGCCATCCACAGATGGCTAAGTGTTAAACCAGGTCAGTGGAGGATCAGGGTGACAGGCTTTTACACCCTGCCCTCTTGGTACCTGGGTTCTTGTCCAGCATCCAGGAAGAATCAGTTCACACAGACTTGAAGGATAATCAATGTGGAGATTTTATTGAGCAGTGGAAGTGGCTCTCAGTAGGATGGGGAGCTGGAAAGGGGATGGAGTAGGAAGATAATCTTCCCCTGGAGTTCAGCTGGAGACAGCCAAACTCCTCTCTGACTGTAGTCTCCAATGTCCAGCTGCCTCTTCTCTTCTCTCCTTTTCTGCCACACCACTGGGCTCCTCTGCCAGTGGAGCTTGGAGTTTTTATGGACACAGGATGTGAGGGTGGCAGCACATAAGGTAATATTTGCGCAGAAAAACAGGGATGTGAAGTTCTCATTTAGGGACGTGGGTCCAGGCTTGGGGGTAGAACACTTGCCAGAAGCCCCACCCTTTTCTACCTAGTATTTCTCTGCCTCCTGTCCATATCAACACCAATTATAATGGGAAAGAACAGTTGAGACAGAGTGTCAGGGAAAATTGGTTTTGGCCAAGAATCTTTGATATGTTCAGTAGAGGATGTGGGACAGAAAGGTATGATCCCTTTCCTCATCCATCATAAGGGTCATGGCCAACACTCCTATAACAAAAGACAGTACATATATACCATGGAATACTACACAGCCATAAGAAAGAAAAAAATCATGTCGTTTGCAACATGGATACAGCTGAAGGCCATTATCCTATGTGAATTAATGAATTAACACAGGAACAGAAAAACAAATACTGTGTGTTCTCACAAGTAGGAGCTAAACATTGAGTACACATGGACACAAAGAAGGGAACAATAGACACTGAGGACTACTAGAAGGAGAAGGGAAGGGGGCGTGGGCTGAAAAACCACCTATTGGGTACTATGCTCACTGCCTGGGTGACAAGACCATCTGTACCCTAAATCTCAGCATCACACAATATACCCATGTAATACATCTGCACATATACCCTCTGAAACAAAAAAAAAGGTGGGGAGTGGGGGAAGCTTAACCAGAAAAAGGCGTAACAGGCTGGGCACAGTGGCTCACACCTGTAATCCCAGCACTTTGGGTGGCCAAGGCGGGCGGATCATGAGGTCAGGAGATCGAGACCACACTGGCTAACACAGTGAAACCCCGTCTCTACTAAAAATACAAAAAAATTAGCCAGGTGTGGTGGCGGGTGCCTGTAGTCCCAGCTACTCGGGAGGTGAGGCAGGAGAATGGCGTGAACCTGGGAGGCGAGGCTTGCAGTGAGCCGAGATCGCGCCACAGCACTCCAGCCTGGGCGACACAGCGAGACTCCAACTCAAAAAAAAAAGGCATAACAAAGTTACTTGATATAATCAAGTTTTACATGACAAAGATTGAGTCTTCATATCTCAAACTTTGAGATATGAGGAGTCAAAGACTGAGGGAAAATTGTCTGTTTTTATGCTTAGATTCAATGAAGAATAGACAGCCACGTAGAAATGTGACTGGACAAAGGGAATGATCTAGTGGTAATAGACTGTAGGGGTGAAAACCCAGCAATCCCTGTCTGTTCCAATTCACCTTGGCCTCTCTGTGTGGCATTCCTTCCTCCTGGCTACAGGGAAGGACTCCTTTGGAATGAGGGTCTTCTTTATGGCTTGCTTTTTGGGGAGAGGAGATCTAGTTTCTATAACCTGCCTTGGGGAAGAGAAATTCTAGACTCTATAACTTGTTTTGGAGGAGAAGGAGAGGGAGAGGACGAGAGAACAGGAGAAGGTCAGAGATTTTGCTTCTGAAGCAGCTTCTAAGGCCTTCTGATCTCCAGTTCAAAGTGCTCAGCAGTGCCAAAGCACCATGTTTTGGGGTGTTGCTTTCTGAGCCCCAACAAGGAGATATGAGAACAGGTACTGGCAAGAGCTGCGGCAGGAAGCTGCCCACACAGGGGCAAAGGTTTGGACAAGTTTTGAAGGGGAGAAATAGACAATTTCTGGCACCTATGCAGAGCAAAACGCAGCAGGATTTGGCAAGAAGAGCCAGGTAGGAAATGTAGAAGGAAAGATAATTGAAAGACAACAGTGAGTCAATGAGTCTTTAATCTGATAGCCAGAAGGAAAAGGTGACGAAAATAGAACATAGTTACAACCAAAGCAAAAGTATTAAGTTACTAGTTAATTATTAATTTAGCAGGATGTTAAATGTAATGACCTAAATCTCTGTAAGGTTTTTCTCGTTGTTGTTTTTGAGACAGGGTCTCATTCTGTTGCCCAGGCTAGATTGCAGTGGTGTGATCATAGTTGACTGCGACCTCGAACTGCTAAGCTCAAGCAATCCTCTGCCTCAACCTCCTGAGTGGCTGGGACCACAGGCATGTGCCACCAAGCGTGGCTAAGTTTGTCAAAAAGTATGTTTTAAAGATGAGGATTTCTCCATGTTGCCCAGACTGATCTCAAACTCCTGTGTTCAACCCATCCTCCTGCCTCAGCCTCTCAAAGTGCTGTGATTACAGGTGTGAGCCACCACACCTGGCCATTTCTGTAAGTTCTAAAGGTGTAAACAGCAAAGACAAGGAAGTAAGTTGAAACTCCCAAAACTCTTCTTTCAAAGGAAATGTCTTATCCAACCACACACACCAACACGTTTATGCTATTTGTTGAGTGTTTTTTGTTTTCCTCAAAGCTTTGGAGGATTTTATTGAAATCTTCATTTATGACTTTGAACCATATTTGAGGCCCCTTTGTATGTGCCCTGGTGTGGAAAAGCCTCCTATACTACAGGGTTCCGAATAAATAATGAGACATATACCAGGTCTATGCTTTTGTGTTACTCACCATAATAAAAATAGCGTGCTTGGTGTACCAAATAAATAATGTGTTGAGATGTTACATTACACCAAATAAATCGATAAAAACAAATGTCTTTCAGCACAATAATTTTGTCTCAAACTCTAACCACGTAATAGAAAATAGATTTCCTGTGTTCTTGAGCATGGATTGTAAACAGAACCATACCAGTAGTCTCTGTTTATTGTTTTGTGTAAGTTCAGAGGGAGAGCGGATTGTTTACTAGAACAAAATCCTTTAAAAAGAAAAAAAAAGGATTCTCATCTTTCATTTAGGTTAATAACACACTACATATATTTGTCCATCAAATTAGAATTACTGTCAGCCCATAATGCATTTTAGTTTAGCCAATATCAGTCAGTCCTGATTTATTTGCTTAATACAAATCTAATTGAGTTTCAGGCTGCTCTTCTCCTTTCAGCTGTTAACCGACCAAGTACATCTTTAATTTCCAAGACCGATGGTGTGGTAGCAGTTGAGAGGAAGAGCGATTTGCATAAGGCCCCAGAAGGGTGCCAAAACTCTTCACGCTTTAAACAACAGCCTTTATTATTCTGTAAGTGGATGTGTTGAATTTTCATGCTTTTGTTTCCAGTTCAGTCCTGACAGAAAAGAATAAAGTAGATTTTGCCAGCACCCCTGCTGTGCCCTGGGGGAGAAATTCAATGTGCCTCATTTGTCTTAATTGGAGAACCGCCCTCAGCACCAGCTTTTTCTATGAATACATTAGCATAACAGACAGAAAATTCAAGCCCACTTTTGTAGAAACAGTCTCCCCCACACACCCACCTCCCATTTTTAAGACTAATAAAAACTGCAAGAGGGGAGAAGTGTTTCATCTCCTGAATTTCTTACAGTTGCTGTTGTAAAATTCTCTGTACAGGAAAGATGCATCAAGCCTATTTTATCTCTGCACTGTTATTAGAGCCAGTCGTGGAAAATGTGATAAATATCATCCATGACGGAGAGCTGAAAGCTTCTCTTTATTCTTCATAATGTGCTAATCCTATATACTTGTTCGTTGACTGGTTATGCTGCTTTTTCAGAGGGGAGAGTAGGTTTTATATAGAGATGAATGTGTAGCAGCTATGAATGAATCTAGAAGAAAAAAAAAGAAAAATTCTCACCGAGGTGAATTTATTAACACTAAAACAAACGCAATTATCTCAGTCAAAGCAAGATTTTAAACCCTGTGCCAATTCATTGGAGAAATATTAAATTCATCTTCACGTTTTTCATATTACAAAAGGGCTCTAAGTCTGGACAAACAACCTGTGCTGTGTAAATCATTTCCCTAATCCAGGCTCTTTCAGTATCAGATTGAACTAATGGAATTTAAAGGTAGGTATTTCAAAAGAAATATTTCGTCTACGTGTTCCCAAGACTGGTATTAATTCTTTTATCACATCTGCTCAACCTGCTTGCCATTGCCAGCATGTGAAAGAGAAAAGGAAAATATGGGGAAAGATGTAATTTCTTAATAAAATGTGGTGTACACATTCTCTTGGAAAGATGGCTGCCTTTCAAAATAACAATGAATCCATATTTTGTCTTGATTTTTTCTCCAGCAGGCCTAATTTACCACGTCAGTCACATACTGCTCTCACTAGATGCCTTCCAGGGATTTTAAATAAGGTTTTGTTGTTGTTGTTAAGAGCTTGTTTTGTTTTGAATTATTTGTATGCTCATTTGAAAACTAAATACCTTTTGGGTCAGGTCCTTGTGGGTAAATGGAAAGCAAAATCATTTTGGAATAATAATTTTGAGATACAGAAGCTTCTGCGGCCTAGAGAGAAGCAAACAGTTCTTCCTTCTGTGTAAATCCTCATTGTGTCACCCATTTCAAATGTCTGGTAATACTAACAGAAAGCCTGAAGGCAATGCTGAGAGACTGTCAGCCTCCCATCCCCCTTCCTCCTCCCATCCCTCACTTTCCACTCACTCAGCCCCAGTAAACATTCCAAGAGGGTGTGGTGACTTGGTCAGTATTAGAGACTAGGAAGTAAACGTCTGCTTTCTAGCATAAGTGAATCTAAAAAATAATTATTTGACTTGATTTGTCCTGCAAGCAGATGTCAGCTTTTCACCTTGCTAATAGTTTCATTTACATTGTAAAGCTGACAAGCAGTTTACGCAGTTTATCAGATAATTTCTGCTCCTCTTTAAACAAGCATTCTGGCCACTCTGAGTTCTTCCTTGAATCCTCCTCCCGACACTCTCCTGTAACTAACCTTGATGTCTTGTCTGGGATCTGAACTCACATCTATTTCGCATGGCTAAGCCTGTTCTGCACGTCAGTTAGAGAGATGGTCCCCTGCGAACACTTGAGGCTCTATTCCATACTATTTTATTTCTTTTTTCTTTCCTTTTTTTCTTTTTTGAGACAGGGTCTCACTCTGTCACCCAGGCTGGAGTGCATGTGGCAAAATGGCTCACTGCAACGTTCGCTTCCCAGGCTCAAAGGATCCTCCTACCTCAGCCCTTCAAGTAGCTGGGACGACAGGCGCATGCCACCACGCCCGGCTAATTTTTGTATTTTTTGGAGAGATGGGGTTTCCGCCATGTTGCCCAGGTTGTTCTCAAACTTGTAGGCTCAAGTGATGCTCCCACCTTGGCTTCCCAAAGTGCTGAGATTATAGGCATGAGCCACCGTGCCCCACCTATATTCCATACTATTTTTTTCTTTAAAAAAGTAAATACATATCTTCCAGAATTTTCATACTCTTATCCACTTTCTCATCCTATCACCTTTCAAAAATTATTCCTATCAATGTGCAAAAATTATAAGAGAAATGGGATGAGACGTAGAATTGAAGACCGAAAGCTTTTCTTGGGAAGTTGTTGCTGTTTTTCTTAAACATATTTTGCTTTTAAAGATGGTTCTTTGACAAAAGCTTTCCATTTGTGAAGAAAAAAGATTGTTCCTAACATTTGCTATTGTGAGAGTAATGTGTGTTCATTGTATTAAAATGAGAAAATTCCAAAACTCATTTTTAAAAAGGGGTAAGAGCCATTTATATTTCTTTGTTTTTTTGCTTTTGTTTTTGTTTTTTGAGACAGGATCTCACTCTGTTGCACAGGATAGAGTGCAGTAGTGTGATTACACCACACTGCAGCCTCAAACTTCTGGGCTCAAGTGATCCTCCTGCTTCAGCCTCCTGAGTAGCTGGGATTACAGGTGTGCACCACCACACCCAGCTAATTTTTAATTTTTTTGTAGAGACAAGGTCTCACTATGTTGCTCTGGCTGCTCTCGAACTCCTGGGCTCAAGAAATCACCCTGCCTCAGCTTCCCAAAATGCTAGGATTACAGGCATGAGCTACAGCACCTGCTCATGTTTCTTTATATTGCTCCAGTTTCTGAGAAAGACACCACATTTATCATTGACATAACAGGCAAATTGGTATTTCAAAATGTGCTAATGACAAAGACTACCTCCTTGACCAAGTGTGGCTCCTTTGAGCTCTATTTTTCAATTAGGCCCTGTCGCTGGGCATGCCCTCAGGAGCCCAGTTTTAGCAAGAATTCTATCAAGTCAGTTCAGCCAGAATCTTTCACCCTTGATATCTGATAACCCTCTATAATCTGACCAAATTCCTCATTCCCCATCATTTTCCAGATGGTGTCTGATCACCCTGGCCTGACTTCAGCAAGAATCCTGTTAGGGCAGTTTAGCAAAAATTAGCCTACCCTCATAACAATTTTCTATACAGAACCCCTTCCTCCCCTACCTCTACTCCTTCGCTGTAAATTCCCACTCTGTTTTGTTGTATGTGGAGTTGAAGCCAATCTCATTTCCCCACTGCAAAACCCCATAGCAGTCCCTACATCTATTGCAATAATCCCTACATCTATTGCAATAGTCCTGACTAAAGTCTACCTTATTGTTTTAACAAGTCACAATACTTTTTTCTTTAGCACTCTTAAAAGAAAAACTTTAGACAAAATACATTTAACACAGTTTATATGAACATTAAAGATTTATGAACCAGACACCACTCAAACCTGGAAGAGGTTCAGAGAGCTCTGCTTCAGCAACATGAGTGGCAGGATTTTATAGGCTGAGCTCAGAGGCAGAGTAAACAAATTATTTGATTGGCTACAGGTAGGCATTTGCCTTATTTGGAATCCTAGTTAGAGGTTAGTTGGCAGTTTTTGATTGGTTAGGTTTAAGTTTCATTTATTGTTTACGTTGAATTGGGTTTTGGTTTTTTTACCTAGGAACCCAAGGTACAGAAGGCATCTCAGCCTAATGGCGTTCCAATTAACAACACACCAGGTACAGTGGCTCATGCCTGTAGCCCCAGCACTTTGGGAGGCCAAGGCAGGAGGATCACTTGAGCCTGGGAGTTTGAGACCAGTCTGGGCAACATGGTGAAACCCTGTCTTCCCAAAAAATACAGAAATTAGATAGGCATTGTGGTGCATGCTTGTAGTCCCAGCTACTCGGGAGACTGAGGTGGAAGGATCACTTGAGCCTGGGAGGTCGAGGCTGCAGTGAGCTATGATCATGCTACTATCCACTCCAGCCTGGCTGACAGAGTGAGACCCTACCTCAAAAACAAACAGACAAATAAAAAACCCAACATTAATATGTTCATTTTTTGCTTGCCCACCCCCATTGTCAATTTGGCCCAACTCCCCTAGTGAGAGGTGACAATGTGCTAGCAGCCCTCGCTCACTCTCGGCACCTCCTTGGCCTCGGCATCCACTCTGGCCGCACTTGAGGAGCCCTTCAGCCTACCGCCGCACTGTAGGAGCCCCACTCTGGGCTGGCTGAGGCCGGAGCCAGCCTCCCTCTGCTTGCAGGAAGGTGTGGAGGGAGAGGGGCGGACAGGAACCGGGGCTCTGCCCGGCGCTCACAGGCCAGCATGAGTTCCTGGTGGTGGTGGACTCGGCAGGCCCCACACTCAGAGCGGCCCTGGGCAGTGAGGGGCTTAGCACCCGGGCCAGCAGCTGCGGAGGTTGCACCAGGTCCCCCAGCACTGCCAGCCCACGTGCGCCGTGCTTGAATTCTTGCCAGGCCTCAGCTGCTTCCCCATGGGCCAGGGCTCAGGACCTGCAGCCCGCCATGCCCTATACCCCTACCCCGTGGGCCCCCACATGGCCCGAGCCTCCCCAATGGGCGCCGCCCCATACTCCAGAGCGCCCGGTCCCATCAACCGCCCAAGGGCTGAGGAGTGTGAGCGCGTGGCGCAGGACTGGCGGGCAGCTCCACCCGTGGCCCCAGTGTGGGATCCACTAGGTGAAGTCAGCTGGGCTCCTGAGTTGGGTGGGGACTTGGAGAACTTTTATGTCTAGCTAAAGGTTTGTAAATGCACCAATCAGCACTCTGTGTCTAGCTCAAAGTTTGTAAACACACCAATCAGTGCTCTGTGTCTAGCTAATGTAGTGGGGACTTGGATAACTTTTGTGTCTAGCTAAGGGATTGTAAATGCGCCAATCAGTGCTGTGTCTAGCTAATCTAGTGGGGACTTGGAGAACTTTTGTGTCTAGCTAAAGGACTGTAAATGCATCAATCAGCACTCTGTGTCTAGCTCAAGGTTTGTAAATGCACCAATCAGCACCCTGTGAAAATGGACCAATCAGCTCTCTGTAAAATGGGCCAATCAGCTCTCTGTAAAATGGACCAATCAGCAGGATGTGGGTGGGGTCAGATAAGGGAATAAAAGCAGGCTGCCCAAGCCAGCAGCGGCAACCCACTCGGGTCCCTTTCCACACTGTGGAAGCTTTGTTTTGTTCTTTCGCTCTTCCCAATAAATTTTGCTGCTGCTCACTTTTTGGGTCCACGCCGCCTTTAAGAACTGTAACACTCACCGCGAAGGTATGCAGCTTCACTCCTGAAGCCAGCGAGACCACGAGCCCACCAGAAGGAAGAACCTACGGACACACCATCTTTAAGAACTGTAACACTCACTGCGAGAGTCCGCGGCTTCATTCTTGAAGTCAGCGAGACCAAGAACCCACCAATTCCAGACACACTAGGTTGAGAGATGCTCTTTCAAAAGACAAATCTGATGTTAACCTGGACAAAGTTAAGGAGAACTACTTTGTAATGATTAATACATTATCTTTTTGTTCCACCACTCTCTGAAAAGCTATTTTCCCCACAAAAACTGAGCACTTGTAGTAAAGGCTCTTGAAAATCAGGCATAGGTATTTGGGAAGGAACAGCAGGTTAGCCAGGAAGAACAGATGGATGGAACATTAACTTTCTTCATAGCCACAAAATATAAATTTGTCTTGAAGACCTAAAGTAAAAATAATCCTAGTGGCTTCACATGGCATATTTCTGTGGGCAATATATGGGGTAACAGGTAAGTGGGTAACTTGACGAGACAGGTTTTGACGTGCCATGTCTCCCAGAACAAACCCTGGGATTCTTTTATGAATCTGTACTTTTGAAGAGTAAAATTTCCAAAGTCATATAAATATTAGTAGGGAAAAATCTAGAGTAATTGACTTTGGAAAGCACACTTTCAGCTATAAAACTTACTTAGTTTATACAGGTTTGGTCAACACACAAAAGCCAAACGATACTAAGAATAGGCCCACTAGTAGGACCAGAGTTTAAGGTAAAATATTCCTAAATTTAAACAAACAGTTCAAACAACAATGACCTAAAATTCCACGTGATGATTATTTCTGTTAAAGTTACAAAGAAAGAGACATATAAGTGCTAATTTAACATCAGCAAATTAACAGTAAGATGCAGCACTTCCTGTAGTAACCCGCATAATGAAGCAGTGAGGGGGAAACTTATATTCTCACCTTAGAGAATTTGAAACAAATTAGGCAAATGGGAAACTCCTGTTTATTTAGGGAACACCCTCACCATTATTTTTTTCTTGTTTTAAACTTCTTTGAAACTTATTGATTGAATATTTGCTTTTCGGTTGATGATGTCTTTGCAGCTGATTCTTAAGACAAAGCTAAAGTAAGCTGGGAGAGTCACTTTAAGTAACTTCTGCTTTATCTGTTGATGAGGTTCAGAATATGTTGCCCCCAAATTTGGTAACTTGACATACTGCATATTCTAAACAGAATTTGAGAAATGGCAGGTGTTGAAAGGACTGACCTCCCTCTTTTCCCTGAAGCAGATCACAGAACCCTCCTGTGAGAGGAGCCCTCCCTGTACTCCCAGAAAATGAGCACTCCTATCTCTGAAGATGGAGGGATGCCACGAGGAAAGTAATGAACAGGCCTTGCTAAGTTTCCACCAGGTTATTAACCTTAGCCCAAAAGCTTTTGTCCTGTCATGTTTTTCCATGACTTTCTGCACATCAAATCTAGTATGAAAGTGAGAAGGCTTAACTGTTTCTTCAAGTCTTCATTTCCTTATAAAGACCCGTGTCATATAAAACTTACATTAAATAAACTTATTTTTTTCTCATGTTAATCTGTCTTTTGTGAGTCAGATTTACAGGGCCTGACTTAGGCGGTAGGGGGAAAGGTTTTTTTCCTTCCCTGTACTGTCAGCATTCTTCAGTGATGTTATCTGTTCTCTAAAATGGGAAGGCGGCCATGCGCAGTGGCTTACATCAGTAATCCCAGCACTTTGGGAGGCTGAGGCAGACAGATCACCTGAGGTCAGGAGTTCGAGACCAGCGTGGCCAACATAATGAAATTCCATCTCTACCAAAAAATAATACAAAAATTAGCAGGGCATGGTGGCTGTAGTCCCAGCTACTCAGGAGTCTGAGGCAGGAGACTCGCTTGAACCTGGGAGGCAGACGTTGCAGTGAGCTGAGATCGAGTCACTGCACTCCAGACAGAGCGACAGAGCAAGAATCCATGTCAATAAATAAATAAATAATAAAATGAGAAGGAACATCACGAATGAATGATGGATTTTAAGTAATTATCTCCTTTAGGTGTTAACCTATAAAGAGAAGACGAGACACCTGTGTGAGGCACGCAATTGTGCACAGTGTTTTCCATCTGGAAAACAAACTTGCTCCCTGTAAGGTGTTACAGGTCTTTTCCTTAGTTTAGCTAAAGACAGCGTTCTTGTCCATCCCGCGACAACAAAAATTTAGGTTCGCAGATGGTTTAAAGGGTGAGTAAAGCAGGGTTTTATTGGGTGAAACAGGGAAAAATGAGGGGGGGAACAGGGGTCCTCCGCAAGTCCAGAGTCCCCTGCTAGAGCACTTCCCGCCCGACGTCCGAATCCCAGGTTCCACACAGGAAGAGGCAAGGCCAGCTCCTCCCTACTGCAAAGGGCTCAAACTTCCCAGGCTCCACCTCAGTAGACAGGCTGGTTGGAGTTTCTCCAGGGACCCCCTCCCACCTGGCTGTCTCATTCCCCCGTCTAAAGAAGTATATCTAACTCCCGTTAGATTAAGGATAAGGACTAAGACCAATCTTAACCACTTTCTGCAGACGGGGGCGCTGTTTTGGGGAAACGGCAGTCAGAGCTTCCTCCGAGGCCTATGTGAGGATCCCCAGAAGAAGGGGCCATCTTCAGAGGCTCTGGTTGCCTGTTTGGAATTTGATGGCCTGAAGGCAAGAACAGAAAAACAGGGTTATTAGAAGACATGCATCAAAATGAAACAAGGGGGAGGGGTAAGGACAGCTAAAAAATTCCAAGGCCTTTTACCAGTTTGCACAGGGAGAGACAGGCCAAAAGACCAATTGGCAAAAAATCTTTACCCTTTTGCCGGCATGTTGAGTTTCTGGGTTCCCTTCCCCTGAGCCCAATCCTAAGCCAACCAGTTGAAGGTTTAGGAAATTAACTCTTTCCAGTTTGGAGGATGCATCTGAAGGGAGTGTCCTGCAGTATGGAAACAAAATTACCTAACTGAACAAAGGAGGAGAAAGGGAAAAGAAGGCACTTTTCAAAGGAGTCCCAGTGGTTGGCCACGCATCTAGAAAGAGGGAAGCAGGGATCCCTGGTTCCCTTCTCATCCTAGCTGATACCCAAGATACATGAGGGAGAGAGGAAAAAGCATCCTTTTTCCCTCTTCCATCCTTGCATCCCCGAGTCCTGGCAACCTTGGCAGGCACCGCCACGTGTGCCAAAGTGGCTTGCACCCATGAAGCAGGGAGGGCCTGGAGAATAGGAATTATCTGCTTGTCAGGCCTCTGAGCCCAAGCTAAGCCTTCATATCCCCTGTGACCTGCACGTATACATCCAGATGGCCTGAAGTAACTGAAGAATGACAAAAGAAGTGAAAATGGCCTGTTCCTTCCCTAACTGATGACATTACCTTGTGAAATTCCTGCTCCTGGCTCATCCTGGCTCAAAAGCTCCCCTGCTGAGCACCTTGTGACCCCCCACCCCTGCCCGCCAGAGAACAACCCCTCTTTGACTGTAATTTTCCTTTACCTACCCAAATCTTATGAAACGGCCCCACCCCTATCTCCCTTCACTGACTCTTTTCAGACTCAGCCTGCCTGCACCCAGGTGAAATAAACAGCCTTGTTGCTCACACAAAGCCTGTTTGGTGGTCTCTTCACACGGACGTGAGTGAAATTTTGGTGCCGTGACTCAGATCAGCGGACCTCCCTTGAGAGATCAATCCCCTGTCCTCCTGCTCTTTGCTCCACGAGAAAGATCCACCTACGACCTCGGGTCCTCAGACTGACCAGCCCAAGGAACATCTCACCAACTTTAACACTGCTAAGCAGCCTCTCTTTACTCTCTTCTCCAACCTCTCTCACTATCCCTCAACCTCTTTCTCCTTTCAATCTTGGCGCCACACTTAAATTTCTCCCTTCTCTTAATTTGGGAGTTGTCAGTGCATAAATGGAGGCTGAAGCTCAGATGTCAGGCAGACCACCAGGAGCAAGAGCAAAGACTGAGGGGAGGGCAAAGACAGAGGGGAGAGCAAAGACAGAGGGGAGTTTCTTTCCTTTTCTGGTAGACACTAAGGAGACGCGTTTTATCCATGAACCCAAAACTCTGGCACCGGTCATGGACTCAGGAAGACAGTCTTCCCTTGGTGTTTAATCGTGCAGGGATGCCTGCCTGATTATTCACCCACGTTTCAGAGGGGTCTGCACAAGTGGGGACACCTGCCTTGGTCCTTCACCCTTAGCAGCAAGCACCACTTTTCTGGGGGGCAAGCACCCCCCGACCCCTTCTCTCCATGTCTCTACCCCTTTTCCACTTTCCTGGGGGGCAAGCACCCCCCAACACTTCTCTCCATGTCTCTACCCTCTCTTTTCTCTGGACTTGCCTCCTTCACTACAGTCAACCTTCTACCCTCCATTCCTCCTTCTCCCTTAGCCTGTGTTCTCAAAAACTTAAAACCTCTTCAACTCACACCTGACCTAAAACCTAAACGCCTTATTTTCTTCTACAATGCCGCTTGACCCCAATACAAACTCGACAATGGTTCCAAATAGCCAGAAAATGGCACTTTTGATTTTTTCCATCCTACAAGATCTAGATAATTCTTGTCGTAAAATGGGCAAATGGTCTGAGGTACCTGACGTCCAGGCATTCTTTTACACATAGGTCCCTCCCCAGTCTGTTCCCAAGGCAACTCGTCCCAAATCCTCCTTCTTTCGCTCCTGCCTATCCCCTCAGTCCCAACCCCAAGTGTCGCTGAGTCTTTCTAATCTTCCTTTTCTACAGACCCATCTGACCTCTCCCCTCCTCCCCAGGCTGCTCTTCGCCAGGCCGAGCTAGGTCCCAATTCTTCCTCAGCCTCCACTCCCCCACCCTATAATCCTTTTATCACCTCCCCTCCTGACACCCAGTCCTGCTTACAGTTTTGTTCCTCAACTAGCCCTCCCCCACCTGCCCAGCAATTTCCTCTTAAAAAGGTGGCAGGAGCTAAAGGCATAGTCAAGGTTAATACTCCTTTTTCTTTATCCAACCTCTCCCAAATCAGTTAACGTTTAGGCTCTTTTTCATCAAATATAAAAATCCAGCCCAGTTCATCACTTGTTTGGCAGCAACCCTGAGACGCTTTACAACCCTAGACCCTGAAAGGTCAGAAGGCCATCTTATTCTCAATATGCATTTTATTACCCAATCTGCTCCCAACATTAAATAAAGCTCCAAAAATTAAATTCCAGCCCTCAAACCCCAAAACAGGACTTAATTAACCTCACCTTCAAGGTGTACAATAATAGAGAGGAGGCACCAGGCAGCAACGCATTTCTGAGTTGCCAATTCCTTGCCTCCACTGTGAGACAAACCCCAGCCACATCTCCAGCACACAAGAACTCCAAATGCCTGAACCGCAGCTGCCAGAGGTTCCCCCAGAACCTCCTCCCCCAGCTTGCTACAAGTGCCAGAAATCTGGCCACTGGGCCAAGGAATGCCCACAGCCCAGGATTCCTCCTAAGCCGTGTCCCATCTCTGCAGGACCCCACTGAAAATCGGACTGTCAACTCACCTGGCAGCCACTCCCAGAGCCCCTGGAACTCTGGCCCAAGGCTCTCTGACTCCTTCCCAGATCTTCTTGGCTTAGCGGCTGAAGACTGACGCTGCCCGATCACCTCAGAAGCCCCCTGGACCATCATGGATGCTGAGCTTTGGATAACTCTTACAGTGAAGGGTAAGTCCATCCCCTTCTTAATCAATATGGAGGCTACCCACTCCACATTGCCTTCTTTTCAAGGGCCTGTTTCCCTTGCCTCCATAACTGTTGTGGGTATTGATGGCCAGGCTTCTAAACCCCTTAAAACTCCCCACCTCTGGTGCCAACTTGGACAATATTCTTTTATGTACTCCTTTTTAGTTATCTCCCCCTGCCCAGTTCCCTTATTAGGCCGAGCATTTTAACTAAATTATCTGCTTCCCTGACTATTCCTAGGCTACAGCCACACCTCATTGCTGCCCTTTTCCCCAGTTCAAAGCCTCCTTCACATCCTCCCCTTGTATCTCCCCACCTTAATCTACTAGTACAACTCTACTCCCTCCTTGGCGACTGATCATGCACCCCTTACCATCCCATTAAAACCTAATCACCCTTACCCCACTCAACGCCAATATCATATCCCACAGCATGCTTTAAAAGGATTAAAGCCTGTTATCACTCGCCTGCTACAGCATGGCCTTTTAAAGCCTTTAAACTCCCCTTACAATTCCCCCATTTTGCCAGTCCTAAAACCAGACAAGGCTTACAGGTTAGTTCAGGATCTGTGCCTTATCAACCAAATTGTTTTGCCTATCCACCCCATGGTGCCACCCATATAACTCTCCTATCCTCAATACCTCCCTCCGTACCCATTACTCTGTTCTGGAACTCAAAGATGCTTTCTTTACTATTCCTTTGCACCCTTCATCCCAGCCTCTCTTTGCTTTCACTTGGACTGACCCTGACACCCATCAGGCTCAGCAAATTGCCTGGCGTGTACTACCGCAAGGCTTCACAGACAGCCCCCATTACTTCAGTCAAGCCCAAATTTCTTCCTCATCTGTTGCCATCTCAGCATAATTCTCATAAAAACACTCGTGCTCTCCCTGCTGATCGTGTCCAACTAATCTCCCAAATCCCAATCCCTTCTACAAAACACCAACTCCTTTCCTTCCTAGGCATGGTTAGTTCGGTCAGAATTCTTACACAAGAGCCAGGACCATGCCCTGTAGCCATTCTGTCCAAACAACTTGACATTAGTGTTTTAGCCTAGCCCTCATGTCTGCGTGCAGTGGCTGCTGCTGTCTTAATACTTTCACAGGCCCTCAAAATCACAAACTATGCTCAACTCACTCTCTACAGTTCTCATAACTTCCAAAATCTATTTTCTTCCTCACACCTGACGCATATATTTTCTGCCCCCGTCCACTACCCCTCAGCAAACTGAACTCATTGCCTTAACTTGAACCCTCACTCTTGCAAAGGGACTATGCGTCAATATTTATACTGACTCCAAATATGCCTTCCATATCCTGCACCACCATGCTGTTATACAGGCAGAAAGAGATTTTCTCACTATGCAAGGGTCCTCCATCATTAATGCCTCTTTAATAAAAACTCTTCTCAAAGCCACTTTACTTCCAAAGGAAGCTGGAGTCATTCACTGCAAGAGCCATCAAAAGGCATCAGATCCCATCGCTCAGGACAATGCCTATACTGATAAAGTAGCTAAAAAAAAAAGCAGCTAGTATTCCAACTTCTATCCCTCATGGCAGTTTTTCTCCTTCTCATCTGGCCACTCCCACCTACTCCCCCACTAAAACTTCCATCTATCAATCTCATCCCACACAAGGCAAATGGTTCTTAGACCAAGGAAAATATCTCCTTCCAGCCTCACAGGCCCATTCTATTCTGTCATCATTTCATAACCTCTTCCATGTAGGTTACAAGCCACTAGCCCGCCTCTTAGAACCTCTCATTTCCTTTCCATCATGGAAATCTGTTCTTAAGGAAATCACTTCTTAGTGTTCCATCTGCTATTCTCCTACTCCTCAGGGATTGTTCAGGCCCCCCACCTTCCCTACACATCAAGCTCGGGGATTTTCCCCTGCCCAGGACTGGCAAATTGACTTTACTCACATGCCTCCAGTCAGGAAACTAAAATACCTCTGGGTCTGGGAAGACACTTTCACAAGATGCTAGAGGCCTTTCCCACAGGGTCTGAGAAGGCCACCACAGTCATTTCTTCCCTTCTGTCAGACATAATTCCTCGGATTGGCCTTCCCACCTCTATACAGTCTGGTAATGAACCGGCCTTTACTAGGTCAAATCACCCAAGCAGTTTCTCAGGCTCTTGGTATTCAGTGGAACCTTCATATCCCTTACCGTCCTCCATCTTCAGGAAAGGTAGAACGGACAAATGGTCTTTTAAAAACACAACTCACTAAGCTCAGCCTCCAACTTAAAAAAAAGACTCTGTCAAGAATAGAGCCAAAAACTCACCAACCAAGCAACTAATTACACTGAACCCCCTTGGACACTCTCTAATTGGATGTCCTGGGTCCTCCCAATTCTTAGTCCTTTAATACCTGTTTTTCTCCTCCTCTTATTCTGTTTACGTTTTCAATTCATACAAAACCACATCCAGGCCATCACCAATAATTCTACATGACAAATGTTTCTTCTAACAACCCCACACTATCACCCCTTACCACAAAATCTTCCTTCAGCTTAATCTCTCCCACTTTAGGTTCCCACGCTGCCCCAAATCTCGCTCGAAGCAGCCCTGAGAAACATCGCCCATTATCTCTCCATACCACCCTCCAAAATTTTCGCCACCCCAACACTTTACCACTATTTTGTTTTATTTTTTCTTATTACTATAAGAAGATAGGAATGTCAGGGCCTCTGAGCCCAAGCTAAGCCATCGTATCCCCTGTGACCTGCATGTATACATCCAGATGGCCTGAAGTAGCTGAAGAATGACAAAAGTGAAAATGGCCAGTCCCTGCCTTAACTGATGACATTACCTTGTGAAATTCCTTCTCCTGGCTCATCCCGGCTCAAAAGACCCCCTGCTGAGCACCTTGTGACCACCCCCCCAACCCCTGCCCACCAGAGAACAAACCCCCTTTGACTGTAATTTTCCTTTACCTACCCAAATCTTATAAAACGGCCCCACCCCTATCTCCCTTCACTGACTCTCTTTTCGGACTCCGCCTGCCTGCACCCAGGTGAAATAAACAGCCTTGTTGCTCACACAAAGCCTGTTTGGTGGTCTATTGACAGGCATACGAGTGAAACTGCTCTAACATATGCCTCTATTCCTCCTACTGTCAGTAGCATTGGAGTTCCCTAGACCTCATTTATGCTATGGATACTAACGTGCCTTTATCCATGAAACAGGAAGCTTGGGGTTGGCTTAATCAGCAGGAATCAGCCACACTCACCTGCGCTGTGCCTTTTAACCTCTATTGCTGTCTACTTCTGGATCCCTTAAATCCAGTTTTCTTTCTAGATCTTTAACCCAAAGCTTGGAATTGGATCTGGGACAAAAATGTGTCTCTGGGGGTGTTGCATGGACTCCTTATCATAAGCTAAATGCTAAGGTGAAGCTGTGGAACTGATTCCTCCTCCAACAAGGGAGAGGAAAGGGGATGTCTTGTGGCACACCCTGCTAGCTGGCAGCTATAGTTATGCTTGCTAGGATTTGGGTGTATGGCGCTTGACTTTGGTTAGTTCCCTTGGTCTTACTTTCCCCAAAAGGAAACCTTCACATCATGGGAACCCTATTTATTCCAACACCTGGCAGGATTTGCAGAATAATTGCTCAGAACTAAAATACTGATCCAGATTTCCACATTACCCATCCCTTTCATTCTTTCTGAGCTGCAGCCAGAAATTACTGGTAGGTTCACAGGAACAAGCAGGGTTAGTCTAAACGGTAGGCAAAAACTTAAAAACAACTTGTGAGTTTAGAATTTAATGACAAATATATAAGTTTTGAAACATAATTTCTCTCTCTCCAGTCCTCATTTTTGTTAAGAAACAAATGATCATAGGACCGAGTTATTTAAATAGACTTTAGTCTTATACTTGGCCTGATTATTTGCATAAAATGCAGCAAGAATAATTATTTCTACATAGGCCTTTTGGATTGGCTTTGATGGAAGTGTGATCCACGAGGAATCACAGATAAGACCTTTTAAAGCCCAGCCCAGCCATGGGTTTGTATCCTCAAATACCTGCGAGTTGGGTGATCCTCCCTCTTAAGGTCCCAAGATAAACTTGGAGCTCCTGGACCTGCTAGAAAGTGACATTCTTTACTGACCACAGGTCAGGAACCCTGTACAGGGACTGCATAGACAAGGGTATGAGGCCAGTTTCCCCATGGGCCTTTTATTGGCTCTGCAAGTCGCGCTTGACTCCTTAAAGGGAAGCATACCCTTCTAGTCAAAGCCTTAGTAAAATAACTACTTTCTCCACTTGTGTCCTTTTGCAAAAGAAAAATGGATTCTTATTGCACTGATGCAAACAACTATACTGCCTTAAGAATACTCATAGTTACCAAATTCTAGAGGAACCAGGCAGAGAGAAACAAACATGCTCCAAATTTTGATCACAGGAGTATATACCTTAATTATTAAAGGCTGTAAACAGTTCAAAATAAGTTTCCTTGACTCTGAAAAACAAAACATGGATCAGCAATATTCCAACCAAAAGTCAAAAAGGTTGCTTCAGCTTTCTGAGTTCAGTCTATATTTAGTGAACTATTGTTTTGTTTGCTTGCTATTCATGAGCATTTCAGCTCTTTATGAGTCCTGTACATTTTCTTTTATTCCAATGTTACAATCTCTAAAGTTATCAGAAGCCTACATTTGAGAGCACCTGTTAAAGTTCTATACCTCATTATAAACCATCTTTTGAAAAGGATTAAAACAAGACAATTGTTGGTGAATAGCAAATGTCCAAGGTAGTTACAGTTAGAAACACAATTGACAAAGAAGTTTGGTTATCTCTGTAGTTTACAATAACTTAACATAACAACCTTAATCGTGATTGATAGCATATACTCAGACATTAGAATTCTAGAAATCCCATACAATCTTGGAATATATATTAGCACTATTTACCAAAAATATAACCTAAAGATTGAACATCATTTTGGCAATCCCATGTACCTGTCAAATAATCCCATTTACCTCTCTTTTCTGGATATTTCAGGGGCCCTCTGAAGTATTCGAAAAGCCAGGTGCCAGGGAAGACAATTTTGAAACTGAAGTTTGATTTCGGGAAAGCTGTTAAATGTTCAAGGTTTAAAACACTTGATATTATGAAGTAGAGTTCCAGATTACATGAAATAGAGTTCCAGATTACCATAAATTATTTATTTTGCCAAAATGATGACTTAGAAATGTAAAGAAGCAAAAACCTTTTACAACCCCTGTGAATTTAATGTGTTCACACAAAGAACCTCTTCTGCAAGATTAATTTCCAAAATTCTTCCACCACTTCATTGAACCTTCAACTTTTTCCTAATTTAAATCAAAACAATCCTTTAACCCTAGGCAAAAGTTTGCATTTCCATGCCTTCTTATACCCTTTTACTAAAAAACACATTTTACTTTTCTTACACACCTTGCATGTAAATCTACTTTCAGTAGTCTCAATTATATGTTACAATGGTAACTCCTAGCAATTTTTAACTTTAAGGTAAAACTTTGTAGGTTGCTTTGTGTGCTAACTGCAACCAAGGTTTGCCTTCTTAATTAAGGGCGTGGTTAGTTCCATACATCCCCAGGCCATACCAGTTGTGAAGCCGGCAAGTCAAATAGTTCTCAAAACCCAAAAAGCTGTTTGTAACCTCACAACACTTAGCAAACCTTGCATCTGACCTGCATTTTACCAATATTTCTTTAGGGCTGTTTTTATTTCTCAAAGATTAAAGTCACATGAACCGAAAGGTACCACAGCTTTTCACTTCCCATTAAAAAAAACTAAATTCAAGCACTTGTCCTTCTTTAGGCCAAATTAATTAGAACTCTTTTAACAGACGTCATATACAAACACACATATAACTACATGGACAGGCAGGAGAAAACCCAGTCCCCGGATGGGGTTCTTCATGAGACAGGGCTGGGAGAACAGGCAGATATTAAACCAGGGAGAAACTTACTCCCTAAGGCAGGATTGCGAAACAAAGCTTTGCTAAGCGGTTATGGCCATGCCCCCAGGATGTAAAAAAAGATGGAGGCGTGATTTCACAACCAAATCTTTGCAGAAAATATAAACAGTGGTAGTTGTGGGGCCTGGCCTAGTAAAAACATCCTCTAAAAGGAAAAAAAAAAAAAAATTAAAAGTTAGCTGCTGTCAAGGTGGAGAAGAGGAAAGAAAAAAAAAAAGTTTAAAAACGCCTGGGGAGAAACCTCTTCTTATGCAAGTGCTTCCTCTACCAGGGAGATTAGTTCAATTACTGAAAGATGGAGTAAAACCCCTTGGCTGGGGAAGGGAAAGGCTGCAGCAGTTGCGGCTGGCAACCAGCCAGCCCGCTGTGCGGACCCTGGGCCTATGCCTCCCTGCCTGGCAGGGAGAGGACAGGGGAGCGAGGAGGGCCGCCCCCGCCCAACCCATCGCCTGTCGGTCCCCAAAAAAGAAGGGAAGGGCCTTTCCCTTGACCCCTGGGAGCGACAGGGTTTGGGGGCCTTTCTCCCACATTCAGAAGTCCAAGGATGAACATGCTTAGGAGCAACAGTGAGAGGTTTTGAATCCCCATTTCACTCACCTCCTCTCCAGCCCCCACTCTGCGTGCCAAAAATGTTGCAGGACTTTTCCTTGGTTTAGCAAAGATGGGGTTCTTGTCTGTCCCACGGCCATGAAAATTTAGGCTCATAGACAGTTTAAAGGGTGAGAAAAGCAGGGTTTTATTAGGTGAAAAGGGTTTAAAAAAAAAAAAGGAGGAAACAGGGATCCTCCATAAGGCCAGAGTCCCCTGGCTAGAGCACTTCCGGCCCACCCTTTGAATCCCAGGTTCCACAGGAAGAGGCAGGGCCAAGCTCCTCCCCGCTGCAAACGGTACGACTTCTGGAGGCTCCACCGCATTGGCAGGCTGGTTGGAGTTTCTCCAGGGGACCCCCTCCAACCTGACTGCCTCAAAGAAAGGGTGGAAGCTGCCATGCTGGCCTGTACATGGTATTTGGACAAACTCAAGAGGGACCAAGATTCTGTTCCTCAGTATTATTTAATCAGATGAAGGAAAGCAAGGAATACAGAGACATGGGCTGTCACTATTACTAGATGCTCTCTAGAATGTTCTGAGAAACAAAGAGAACTGGAGAGGAGAGTAAGAGATCATATTAACATTTCTGCCTCATATTGGAGGCAAGTAGAGGAAAAGCAATTGCCAAAGGCACAGAAATAAAAGGAAATTTGGGTGGGAGTGCTAAAGAAGCTCAGGCTGTGTCAGGGAAGACGCTGCAGGATGGGTGGCAGGCAGGAAAATGTAAAACCATGAGAAGACAGTAGGCCCTTTCTGGGACTCTCTGAACTGTTGACAGAGCTGTCGTCCTCATTCATTTGAATATATTATTCACCTCTATATCACAGATTCTGTCCTAGAAGCTGAGCTAAAATGGAATGAAACATTAAAAATCCAATTGGTAAAACTGCCACAAGGGAGTCTGCTAACCACTTGGCTGGAGATGAGGCTTGGCTGTGATAGCTTCAAAACTTCGGCAATCCTTCAGCTTCTGTCTAGACAGAAAGAAGTCCCCTTTCTCCGCAGTTTTGTTTCCTGTGGTCTCATTTATCCAGTCAACCATAGTCCAAAAAGAGGTGAATACACTACAAGAAGATATTTTGTGAGTGAGACCACATTTATATAACTGTTATTAAAGTATTATGTTACAATTCTTCCATTTTGTAATTAGGTATTGTTGTGAACCTCCTGCAGTGCCTAATTTATAAATTAACCTTATCATAGTTATGTATGTATAGGAAAAAACAGAGTATATATGGGGTTCAATGCTATCCAGAGTTTCAGGCGTCCCCTGGGGAGTCTTGGAACATATCACCTATGGATAAGGGAGAACTATTGTATTACCTTGGTTGGGCTGTTATAACAGAATGCCATAGACTAGGTGGCTTATGAACAAGAGGAATTTATTTCTCATACTTCTGGAGGCTACAAAGTCCAAGACTAAGGTGCCAGCAGCTTCAGCGTCTCTGTCAAGGGTCCGCTTCCTTATGTAGTTGTCTTGCTGACTCCTCACCCAGCATAGAGGAAGTAGCCACGGAGTTCCCTGGGATCTTTTTTATAAGGGCACTGATCTCATTCATGAGGGCTCTGACCTCATGACCTAATCACCTTTCAAAGGCATCAGCCAAATACCATCACACTGGAGATGAATTTAAGGGGGGACGTTCAGTTTATGGCATATATCCACTGATTTGTACAGGTTACAGCAAACTCAAGGGCAAGATCTTGAACCCTGTTCACGATCTGGGTTTAGACATATACTGATTGGTGCAAATGAGGGCAATGGAGGTTAGATTGCAGAAGAAACAATAAAATCCTGTAGAATAAAACCCACGATGAGAAAGGAGTTCTGCATAGCGGACCAGATACAAAACGAAGTCTGGAGTTGGATACATTTTGACCTACCCTCAGAGATTGTTTGTGTAAGCCGAGAAAAAAAAAAAAAAAAGCTATATGTGGTTGTGAAATAATAAAATGAAAGGCTGGGTGTGGTGGCTCATGCCTATAATCCCAGCACTTTGGGAGGCCGAGGTGGGCAGATCACCTGAGGTCAGGAGTTCAAGACCAGCCTGGCCAACATGGCGAAACCCGTCTCTACTAAAAATTAGCCAGGCGTGGTGGTGGGCGCCTGTAATCCTAGCTACTCAGGAGGCTGAGGCATGAGAATTGCTTAAACCTGGGAGGTGGAGGTTGAAGTGAGCCAAGTTCCTGCCACTGAACTCCAGCCTGGGGGATAGAGTGAGGCTCTGTCTCAAAAAAGAAAATGAGAATAGGAAGGTGAACTGACAGAATAAAGGCCCGAAAGCCCAAAACTATGGAAAAAATGTGAAGGAACTCTGTCAAGCACTGGTATCAGAACTCCTAAAGTTTGGGAGTTTAAGAGCAGGTAAGCACCACCATTCACGTGGCCAGAATGAAGTAGGAGGTGGGGCTCAGGGACCCGACCAAGTTGAGGACCAGCTAAAACAAGTGGGAGAGGAAGCACCTTCCCATAAAACATCCACCAGTGTGCCTTATCAGTTTATCATTTCCATGGCAACACCCAGAAGTTATAGCTCCTTTTCATGGCAAAAACCCAACAGCCCAGAAGTTACCCTTATTCTAGAAATTTCTGCATAAACCACTCCTTAATTTGCATATAATTAAAATTCGGTATAAATATGAGTGTGGAACTACATCTGAGCTGCCACTCTGGGCATGCTGCCTACCAGGTAGCCCTGCTCTGCAAGGAGCAGTACCTCTGCTGCCACCGCACTGCCGCTTCAGGAGAAGTTGTGGTTTAATACCACTGGCTCACCCTTGAATTATTTCCTGGGTGAAGCCAGGAACCTTCCTGAGCTAAGCATCATGAACACAGCAGTGGTGATCTGCTGCCACAGTACCAGAAGCATCACCGGGTCACACTGAGCAGCAACAGAGCTCAGGAATTGCAGGGTGCAGGGAATGGCACATAATAGAGAAAGAAGAAACGGAGAATCTGTCAAGTTGGAGTTATTGATAAAAACCTTAAATTGGCTGGGCACGGTGGCTCATGCCTGTAATCCCAGCACTTTGGGAGGCTGAGGCGGTCACATCACGAGGTCAGGAGATCGAGACCATCCTGGTAAACATGGTGAAACCCCATCTCTACTAAAAATACAAAAAATTAGCCAGGCGTGGTGGCGGGCGCCTGTAGTCCCAGCTACTCGGGAGGGTGAGGCAGGAGATTGGCGTGAACCCGGGAGGCAGAGCTTGCAGTGAGCCGAGATCACACCACTGCACTCCAGGCTGGGCAACAGAGGGAGACTCCATCTCAAAAAAAAAAAAATCGTTAAATTGACTTTACCTACAAATCACAGTGTTGCGGCCTAAGGGCAGTTTGTATATGGCGATACCATGTGTTGTTAGAACACGTCAGGGAATGTATTAGTCTTCTAGGACTGCCATAAGGAAATACCACAAACTGGATGGCTTAAAGCTATAGAAATTTATTTTTTCACAGATCTGGAGGTTAGAAGTTCAGAATCAAGATGCCCTCAGCCTTCTCACTGTGTACTCACGTGCCCTTTCCGCCATGTGAGCACGGAAAGAGAGGAATCTCTAGTGTCCCTTCCTCCTCTTATATGAACACCCATCCTATTGGATTAGGGCCCCACCTTGGTGACCTCATTTAATTTTAAATGCCTCCTTAAAACTCCTATCTCTGGCCGGTGGCAGTGGCTCACGCCTGTAATCCCAGCACTTTGGGAGGCCAGGGTGGGAGGATCACTGGGTCAGGAGTTCAAGACCTGTCTGGCCAACATAGTGAAACCCCATCTCTACTAAAAATACAAGAAATTAGCCAGGTGTGGTGGTGCACGCCTGCAGTCCCAGATACTCGGGAGGCTGAGGCAGGAGAATTGCGTGAACCAGGCAGGCAGAGGTTGCAGTGAGCTGAGATGGCACCATTGCACTCCAGCCCAGGCGATGGTGCAAGACTCCATCTCAAACAAAAAAAAGTCCTATCTCCACATTGGTGGTTAGAGCTTCAACATATGAATTTGGTGGAGACACAATTCAGTTTATAACAGGGAGCCACAATGGACCTTCATGAATGAACCTAAGAAATGAAAAATGCTCCAGAGTTCTACTTTGTCCCTACCCGAAGGCTAAAGATAATCATCCATCTTCAAGGGATTGCACATGACCTGTAAATAAGAAAGGCTTATTGCATTTCTTATCTGGTAAGAAGCCCATTCCTGTCTCTCAAGGTTTCCAAAAAATGGTCTTGATTCACTCTGTAGTCAAATGAATATTTAACTAAAAGTATTTATCACTTACATTTACTCTTTGTTTATCCAGACTATAATTTCTTTTCTGTGACAAGTTTTGCAAAGTATGACCAAGTATCTTTTTGAAAATATAGATGAAAAGAATTGAAGCAGTGTGTAAATTCTGGCCATCATGAATTTTCTTTGATTTTAAGAAAGTTTTTTCCCATCTCAGGCTCAAGCTATTACTGTCTTCTGTATCTAGTCCTTCAGAAGGCATAGAAATAAAACTATGATCACTTGCGTCCAGGAGGTCGAGGCTGCGGTGAGTTGTTATTGTGCCACTGCACTCCAGCCTAGGCAACAGGGAGAGACCCTGTCTCAAAAAAAAGAAAAAAAAAGAAAAAGAAAGAAAGAAAAATATGAGTGTGAAATTGGTATATTGCACTGTGAGCTCATATAAATATGACTTTTCAATGAATTTTTTTTCAAGAGAAAAAGGAAAACCAAAAATGCACCAAAATTTCAGTATCCTAATTGATTTTTCTCTAAGAATAAGTCAAAGAGCAAAAAAGATTTGATTCTAGGCCAGGCGTGGTGGCTCACGCCTGTAATCCCAGCACTTTGGGAGGCTAAGGCAGGCGGATCACAAGGTCAGGAGATCGAGACCATCCTGGCTAACACAGTGAAATCCCATCTCTACTTAAAATACAAAAAAAGTAGCTGAGCATAGTGGCGGGCGCCTGTAGTCCCAGCTACTCGGGAGGCTGAGGCAGGAGAATGGCGTGAACCCAGGAGGCGGAGCTTGCAGTGAGCCGAGATCACGCCACTGCACTCCAGCCTGGGTGACCGAGCGAGACTCCGTCTCAGAAAAAAAAAAAGATTTTATTCTACTAGATGCCAAAAACCTGTGTTAAGTATGGCTCAAAGTACTGCCTTACCTCATACTAGAGGAATATTAAATATTCTTGATTTGTTCCTTTAGTAGCTGGCTATGATTTGTGAATGGTATGTCATTTAGATTTGGTTTTAAGCAACATAAACCAATTCTGACTTAAGCAAAAAGAGAATCTTATAGATCATAGGGAACAAATAACAAAATTAAAGGTAAGTTTCTGAGTAGCTAAGTTCTGGAGCTCCAGGAGCATGATCCAATAGCCACTCTCTTATAGGATGCCACTGCTGGGGTGAATCATAACTGCAATATCCAAACTTCCTCTAGAAAGAGTCAGATTAGCAAAACTTCACTGAGGTGCCCATTTGATTAACAATTTTACCAACACTGCACATGATGGGGAAGTGATTGTTTTTCAAAGAAAGTATGGGATGTTGCTGGAAAAACAAACGGGACACTGGACAGGAGAAAGCAATAGATCTCCACCAGGAGCAACCACCTGAATACCGACTTTGAAAAGCTGAGAGTATTAATATTAGCACTGACAATAGAAAAATATGACCTTGCCTTTCTTTCCCACAAATCCCCTCCACAGAGATCGTCTACCTCTGAATACATTGTAAGAAAACCCAGAAATAAGGATGATATGTAATGGCAATGAGCATGTGCCTAGCTAGCTGCATTTAAATATTGGTTCAGTATTTGCTGACTTTGAAGGATTTGCCTGCCTTTTTCCTGATTGGGTACTGCTGCCACTGCTATTTTGTCACCTTTCTGAATTTCGGTATGATCTTCATTATTCATCTGCCCACAGACCTTCTCACCAGCTCAGGTGTCTCAACAATGCCAGACCCACATCAAAGGTTACTTAGCTTTAGTGTCCAGTGAATCAGCCAACTTAGTAAATGTGGAAATAAGCAGATTACCTGAGGTCAGGAATTCGAGACTTGCCTGGCCAACATGGTGAAACCCCATCTGTACTAAAAATACAAAAATCAACCAGGCGTGGTGGCAGGCGCCTGTAATCCCAGCTACTCCGGAGGCTGAGGCAGGAGAATTGCTTGAACCCGGGAGGTGGAGGTTGCAATGAGCCAAGATCACACCATTGCACTCCAGCCTGGGTGATAACAGTGAAACTCCATTTCAAAAATTAAATAAATAAATAAACTCCAACCTGACTATCCTCTAATCTCTGATGTCCAGGCCCTGTAACCTTAGCTATCATCATGAGACATCATGTTGGTCTTACTATATAAATCTCAGCAAAAACATTGTTATGATGCAATCAAGAAAAGTCTAGGTACAAACTAAGCAGCCTTTCAACTATGTTTGGGCATTCTGAAGGCTAGCCTGTTTTTCAAATGGCTCTCTTAAAGACCAAATGGGGAAAAGCCAAGAGCTCCGGGCAATACTTCAAAAGTCAACAGCTGCTGTGCACTCCCAGGCAATCCCAATTTGCCACTTGGCTGCTTGCTGATGAGCTGCTTGTATGAGTATTTGATAGCACCATAGTGTATTTCCCAGTTCACCCATTGACTTGTCAAGCTTTGGGCAGGTATCTGGTATCCCAGAAGTTTGGCTTCCCTGCAAAACAGCTTGTTATAAGGGAAAGAGTATTTGATTGGAAGTCAAGAGTCCAGTTTCAGGTCTGAACTGCTCCTAATTACATACATAGTATCGGGCAAGTCACTAAATGTCTTTGGGCCTTGGCTTTTGGAGTTTTGTTGTTATTAACATTTTATAATGTGACTTTCAAATGTACAAAGGTAGAAAGAATAGAATAGCTCATTCGATTACTTATTGTCTAGTTTCAACAATTATCAACTTGTGGTCAATTTTTATTATGCTGTAACTCAACTTCTGGGTTATTATAAAATAAGTCACAGTTCATATCATTATATCCATAAATATTTCATAGTATATTACTGAAAGATTAGGACTACTTTGCTTTTAAAAAGCCAAAATAACATTAAATACTAAAAAATTAACAATAATTATTATTTTCACATATCCAGTGTTGAAATTTCCCTGTCAAATTTTCAAAATACTTTTTGAATAAAATCTAAAAGATGTCCGTAACATTTAATTGTTAAAAATGTCTCTTAAGACTCCTGTAAACTATAGATTCCCTCTTTCTCTTCTGCTCTCACTCTCTCTTATTCTTTCTTCACCCCTTCCCCTCTTCTCTCCTTCAGTTCATTTGAGGAGAAGAGCCTAGGTCATTTGTCAATAGAGTTTCTCAGTCTGGACTTTTCTAATTGCTTCCTTGTAATGATATTGAATATATTCCTCTGTCTCTTGTACTTTCTATAGTTAGATCTAGAAGCTTGATCATTTCAGGTATTAAATTTTTGTAAGAATGCTTCTTAGGTGGTATTGTGTACTTCCGTTATGATGCATTTAATGTCTAGTTATTTCTCCTTTTGAGTTGTTAGCTGCCATTGATAATCATTGTCTAGATCCATTATTTTCATTAGTGGAAACCTCTTCAATTAGGCTACTTAGTCCCTGCAACATGACCCCTAAAGTCTTCAATAACTTTCTTCATTTCTGGAATGATAAAATCTTTGTACAGTTCCCCAAATCTGCATTTTTCCAAGGAATCCTGCTTTAGACATGGTTTTTACATATTCAAAATGAGAATTTATTTCTAATTTTCCTTATTAAAAATTGTGAATATATGCAAAAGTAAAGAAAATGGCATAATGAACTACTTATTATCTATGCATCACCCAGCTTCAACAATTAAAACCTCAAGTAAATTTTGTTTTATCTATATTCACAGCTACTTTTCATCCACCACTGTACCATTTCCCACTGAATTATTTCATGCGAATCTCAGATATCATATTATTTCATCTCAAGATATTTTGATGTATATCTGAAAGATCAGTACCATTTTCTTTAAATATAACCACAATTCCATTATCATACCTAGATAAATTAACAGTTCCTTAATATCATCAAATATCCAAGACAGTATTCAAATTTTCCTGATATTTGTTAAACGAAGTAAGTCTTTAGACCTGTAGAATTTCCACGATCTAGATTTTGTTAATTGCATATTCACAGTGTTGCTTAACATGCTCCTCTGTCCCTAGTTTAATTATACAGCTCTCAGCAACACTAATTCTTATGATGCAATCAAGAAAGTTAGTAGTTAGATCTGGAGTTCAATCAGATTCAGGATTTTTTCTTTTTTTTTTTTTCTACAATAACACTTGTTAGATGGTATGTACTTGAATTAGGAGGCCATAGTATCTGGCTATCTCTGTTTTGTAAAATTAGCAGTCATTAATCATCAATGCCTAGGCCTATGTTTGTATTATGAGTTGCAAAACAGTAATGCTGTAGTTATATCATTTCTTCTTCACTTCTTAACTAAATGTGTTTATAAAGAAAAATGTCCCGGGCCGGGTGCAGTGGCTTGTGCCTGTAATCCCAGCGCTTTGAGAGGCTGAGGAGAGAGGATCGCTCTCAGCACTTTGAGAGGCTGAGGAGAGAGAATTTAGGAGTTTGAGACCAGCTGAGGCAACATGGCAAAACACTTTCTCTAAAAAAAAATTAAAAATTAGCTGGACATGGTGGCGCGTGCCTGTAGTCGCAGCTACTTGGGAGGCCGAGGTGGGAGGATTGCTTGAGCCCAGGGGGCAGAGGTTGCAGACAAGATTGAGCCACTGCACTCCCATTGTGGGTGACAGAGTGAGACCTGTCTTTAAGAAAAAAGAAAGAGAAGTGCCCCTTTGCTAACTACTGGATTGCCCTGAGGTACAAGTCATTTTGGAAAGACAGGATATATCCCTGCATTTTTACAAATTTTCAAAATAGTGAGTTGCTTCCTCAGCATCCTTCAAAATGGAGCAATGAGGTTACTTTCTTTTTCTTTCTCTATTTTTTTTTAAATTTAGAGATGGGGTCTTGCTTTGTTGCCCAGTCTGACATGAGACTCCTGGCCTCAGGTGACCCTTCCACTTCAGGCTCCCAAAGTTGTGAGATTACAGGCATGAGCCACTGAGTCCAGCCTTTTTTGTTATATACTGTTATGAACTCCTGATTTTAAGTATATTTGATATGATCAAGCTATTGATTGAAAACTTGATGCTAACATTATCCTAATTTGGACAGGGACAGCATCTTTAGTTACGCCCCCAGGCCCTTTAGACCTAACCAGTAGTCTTTAGTAACTACCTAGATTTCTTGATATGATAAGTTGTTCCTGGTACATAGTGTACATTTTTTTTGCCCCGAAAAAGAATCAACCACTTGCCAAAGAAAGTAAAAATAACAGGTTTGATAAACACAAAAGTCTCTCCTAGCTGTAAAACAAATTGGTTTTATGATGATTCTTCATTTAGCAAACATTTTTATTGTATATAATTTTAAAGTAAAATACCTTATAGGACCTTGTCACTGTTTTTCAATTAACAAGCAGTTTTCACAACAAGGAACAGAGGAGACTTTTAACTCAGAATCTGCATTTTTTTTTTTTTTTTTTTTTTTTTTTTTTTTGGAGAAGGAGTCTCACTCTGTCTCCCAGGCTGGAGTGCAGTGGTGCAATCTCAGCTCACTGCAACCTCTGCCTCCCGGGTTCAAGCAATTCTTCTGTCTCTGCCTCCCGAGTAGCTGGAATTATAGGCACGCGCCACCATGCCCGGATAATTTTTGTATTTTTAGCAGAGACGAGGTTTCACTATGTTGGCTAGGCTGGTCTCAAACTCCTGACCTCAAGTGATCCACCTGCCTCGGCCTCCCAAAGTGCTGGGATTACAGGCATGAGCCACTGTGCCCAGCCCAGAATCTGCATTTTAATACTTGCTAGTCTTTTTGCCAGACCAAGGCCGCTGAATTCACAATACTGAGTTCTCATTTTGTACTTTAAGTTTGTGCAAGTCCCTAAGGTCATCTCATTGCAAGGTAATATATCTCAGAAAATATTTATGTCATTGAAATAATTCCAAAAAAACAGTAGAGCAGATCCCAGAATTTAAAATTAATCACCAAACTTAAACTTAAGAAAATGTATCATTCACAATAGTCTAGGTTATGCAACAATAGCAAACTACGGCAAAGCCCCAGTGGCTTCAAACAACAAAGGTGTACTTCTTGTTTATTACTAGCCTGCTGAGATTTCTTGGGGGTGCGGTCCTCTACCTGTGAGCTCAGCATCTCAGGCCACTTCCACATCACTGCACCTCCACATCAACACAAGCCTCCATAACTGAAATGGCAGAGGAAGAAAGAAATTGAGGGTTGAGCATTAGGAAGTAAATACTCTGACGCCAAGTGATGCTCATATATGATTGGCTAAAGCAAGATAGATAGCCATGCCTACATTTAAGGGAGCACATCTTCCATTGGACATTTGAACTAGATACATTGGTTAAGATTTGTAAAGTCTACCACAAAAATATTTCAGAAACTACATGAAGAGAGAAAGAAACTGATGTAGAAAGTGGAGACAAAGCAAGTTAAATCACGAGCAGTTTTGCTGCCATACAGAGTTTGAAGACATACTTTTAGGATGGACTTTATCAGAGAGACACTTTTATCCTGAGTGCTTTCTAATTCTGGCAATAATCTTTTGCTTTAAAGCCATTTCACCTTAATTCTTAAAAAAAAATAAATAAATAAAACAAGCAAATAGATGAAGGGTATTAAGTAGGTGTTAGTGTGTTCGCTTTAAGAGTATATGTGGGCGCCAGCGAACACTGCTACTGAAAAGTGTCTCTGCACAAGTGAAACTGAAAACTGTTAAGTTTAGCCCAGGCCAGGTGCAGTGACTCACACCAGTAATCCCAACACTTTGAGAGGCCAAGGCCGGGTGAACTGCTTGAGCTCATGAGTTTGACATCAGCCTGGACAACAGGAGAAACCCCATCTCTACAAAAAATATTATACAAAAATTAGCCGGGTTTGGTGGCACACACCTGTAGTCCCAGCTACTCAGGAGGCTGGGGTGGGAGGATCACCTGGGCCTGGAAAGCTGAGGCTGCGGGGAGCCGTGATCACACCACTGCCTCCTAGCCCAGGTGACAGAGTAAAACTCTGTCTCAAAAAAAAAAAAAAAAAAAGTTTAACCCAAAGCTGCCTCCTTACATATTTTAAGTTTGGTCTAGAGGTTTCTCCATACTGCAGTGAGCTGTAACCTAGCTGGATGTGTAAACGGACTGCAACCTACTCTTGTAACAAGTAGCCAAGTCACAGCCAATCACAGAAGCGCTACTTTAACCACACACAAGCAGCCAACTTTTCAGTGTTCAAGTAAAGCAAACGCCAAGCTGTAACCAATCAGGGTGTTTCTGTACCTCACTTCCATTTTCTCTACTTCACTTTCCTTTTTCTGTCCACAAATCCTCTCTGATCACATGGCAGGAGGGAAATCACTCTGAATTTATTCTGGTGGGTGAGGGGAGGATGTGGCATGTGTTGCCCAATTCATAAATTGTTCTTTGCTCAATTCACCTCTGTTAAACTTAATTTGTCTGAAGTTTACAGAGTTTGAGCAAAGAACAATTTAACAAAACATATAAATTTACTTGTTAAAAAAAGCAAAGCCAATAATATGTAGCTCTTCTACACAGTCTGGAAAAGACAGAAACCTCCTGTATTAGTTTCCTGTGGCTGCTGTAACAAATTAGCACCAACTTGGTGGCTTAAAATGGAAGAAATGTATTTTCTCACAGTTTTTTGGCCGGAAGTCCAAATTCAGGGCCAGCCATCGTGGCTCATGCTTGTAATCCCAGCACTTTGGGAGGCCAAGGGAGAAGGATCACTTGAGGCTAGGAGTTTGAGACCAGACTGGGCAACATAGCGAGACCCCATCTCTAAACAGAAAAAGAACAAAACAGTTAAAAACAAAACAAAAAAACTAAATCAGTGTGTAGGCAGAGGCTCTAGGGGAGATTCTGTTCCTCACCTCTTCCAGCTTCTGATGGCAGTCAGAAGCTTGTGACTGGATCACTCATCTTTGCCTCTGTCTTCACTTGGCTTCCTCCTGTACATCTGTCTCCTCTATGCATCTCTTACAAAGATCTGTCATTGCATTTGGAAGCTACTTGAATAATCCAAGATAAGCTCCTCTTCTGAAGAAACATAATTATATCTCCAAAGACCCTTTTTCTGGATAAGGCAATATTCATAGGCTCTGCAGGTTGAGAGGTAGACATATCTTTTGGGAATGGGGGCAAAGGAGAAGGGTCACCAATTAACCATCTCCACAAGAGACATAACTCAAGAAGAAAGCATAAATGGGATTGGTATTTCTGTTTTTGGAATTTTAGATTTAGAAGTTTAATATCTATTTTCTGAGATAAAAATCAGAGTAAGCAAAAAAGAAGAAAGCATAATCACTGACAAGAAGGCAGGGCAAAAGCAACACCTTCTGACTCTGAAGTGCTGAAGGTTGAAGGTAGGTCCAGACAAATCCGTAAGACTGTCTTTAGTGCTCCTTTCCCCGACTTTAGTAATAAAAAAGCTAATTACACAAAAACTTTAAGTCATTAGGAAGCTCAATTGTGGAGCTGATTCTGTTTAAATCAAGCCTGAATGAGTAAAAGTTAGTTTTATAATTTTGGAGGATTTCAAAGTAAAAGAAAGGTATTCAAGAAAATGTGTTTAAGTAGCGCATCTCCATTCTCAGTGATTTTGGACAAAATGATGTGTGGCTGTAACTTCCTTTATGGTTAAATTGTAAGATATTATGTATTACAACATGATCGAATATATGCCATTTCAAACCATGCCCAAGATAAATGACCCATATTTCAAGTTAAGCTTTTTACATTTGAAAAGAAGACAACAACCTTGGACCATTACTGAATCCCGGAGCAGAAAGACTGATGTAGCACATATTCTAAATATCATTTGAGTTGAAGGCAATGAAATTTGTTATATTCTATGATATTTGAGAACGTATGTGAGCTTTTTAAATGTGCTCCATGGTTCAGTACTATTAAGTCCTGATACATCCAGTTGATGCATCGCGTCATCAACCTGCCAGCAAGCCCTTGGAGAGCCATTTGTCCCTGGATCCAAATCAAGTATGTACCCTGACTGCTAAAAAATATTTTGTTAGACTAAATGACTGAGCTATCTTTACGGGCCTGCCAAATGAATTATGACAAAGGTTGACCACTTTGGGCCCTCAGGCAGTATTACCAAAAGAAAAAGAAAAAAAATCTGTTCTTCCTAGTTGCTGGTCTTCTCCAGAACAAATGCCTCATTCTTTCTTTTATGAATCTTAGTTGAGGTTCAAGGTTCTTGCACTTTTTTATCTTGGAACTTAACAACGTACAGATGTCATTTATCCTGTACATTGTGTCAAGAGACATATTTTAAAGTTGGTATATAATGTGATTTCTCTGATTCCTGAATCTAAAGGAAGTTGAGGCATAACGGAAAGAGGACAGGTGTTGGAGCTCGACTTACCTGGGTTCAAATTCCAGCATTACTACTTAGTGGGCTCCACATCTTTTTAAGTGGGATAATAGTATCTACCAATGGGATTGCTGTTATGGTAAATGGTGATTAAGTGCCTAACAAACTGTAGGCACTTATACAAAGGCGGCTTTTGTTATTACCTGACAACAACAGGCTTTCTCTAAAATTGCTAACTAAAGATTTGCAAAGATAAATATACTAACTTTGAATATGTATAAAATAACAGGGAGCAGTTGGGCCTATGGCCAACGGAAAAATACATAATGTACCTGAAGGCATTCAAAAACAAAAAACAGCAAAACAATTACAAATAACAGTAACAACAACAACAAACCCACTGTGCCTACCTGACCAAACCATTGGTCTCTAAACATTCAAATTCAAACACTGTATAATTTAAGAAAGGTCATTAGAAATTAATTTGCCTTTCAGCAAATTTATGTACCAGACAGGCAAAAGGCTTTTACATTTTTTAACAAATAGTTTTCAAACTCATTTTAAGTTTCCCCTTGTTCCTCTGACCAACACATCCTAACTTTGTTTTACTGCTCCCATGCCGATTCAGAGATCTTGAACGTTCAGACAACCACAAGAAGGGTATTCAGTTTCTCTGTCTGACTACCTGAATTCCCGGGAAAGCCAACAGAAATAGAACAGAATGGAGTTACAGAGGATGTTTCATTTCCTTCAGGCTTCTGCCACATTTCTATGATTTTCTTCACGGTAGAGGCCCATGGAACTATGTAAATAGCTATGACTTCTCTAAGGAAAAGACTGAATTTTTAGTTGTATTACATTTCCTTGTATTTTATTATTGTTCTACATTGTGTTTCAGGAAAGTTTTGGAAAATACAAAGATTTTACCCATGGGAGGGAAACTGCTAAAAACAATTACCTGGGTTTGGAGCTTTTTTTCAAAAAAGGTTTTCCTTTCGCAACTATTTGGGAGTTTACTTCCTTGCAAAAGATGCGTTTTCTGAAAATTTTCCATTGGCAGCGGGCCAATGCCATAATTACTTTCAATTAAACCCTCAAGTGTTTCCCTTTCTCTTTGTTATCACCACAAACAATTCCTTCCTCTGAGTGGCAGATTTAGTCTAACTCAGCAAGCTTCCAGAGCAGCGTATGAGGCCACAAGACAACAGAAATTAAAACTTTTGTCTTGTTTTATGTGTTCAATCCAGCTGTCGTTGAATCTCCAGTGTCCAGCTCAATGTGAGGGACACATTGGAGGCCAGAGTGTTTGTAGAAAGAAGAGGTTGCAGATGAAGATTGTGGGAGACAGAGAGGTTCTGTTTCCCAAAGTTTCGTGTGGCTGGGCAGGAATGTGAAATTATTAGTCAAAAATTTATCGCAGGATAAAACCACAATCAGATCAAATATATTAAAGAAATGACTCATAAATCAAGACTACGTGTGCACCCATTAAGTTGGAAATACCTACACTCTCCCAGAACTTATTTCACGCTCCAAATATATTCCTAACCATACAATTTTATGGTCTGTCTCATGTAGAGTAGCATACCAGCCCTAACTATTTTAATTCCATTATTTAACTTTTCAAACCATGTTTCTACAAAGTATTTAAGATTTCTTGCAGGTAACTTCCACAATTGTAGGAAGGCAGTGGCAGCTTAACAACTTTTCCCCACCTTCTCTCCAAACCAGTCCTCTCCCATTTCCACACCAGCCCAACTCTAGCCCTCGTGTCCTAATTAAGGCAAAAAATACATATCTGAAGAACAAAAGCTTCAGCTTAACCAAAGTACTAAGCCTAGAAGTTAGGCCTAAACCTCATGGGTCAGGAAAACTTAAAAAGGCAGAAATTGTTCACTTTCACAAATGAAAATCCAAGATGGCTTCTTTGACTTGCTTGGGTGAAAATTGCTTTCTCTCGTCTGGACGAGAAGAGATCAGATGTGGCTCTTAGATCTGCTTTCAAATATTCTGTTCAGTACTCTCTCAATTCTTCACTACATATTTCTTTAGAGTTTGCCTTTCTTTTGAATTTTGCACCTCACTGGCCCCTTGGCTGAGTTCTGTTGCTGATAATTTGAAGACGTCTCTAGTTCCCTGTGATCTGGCTATTAAGTAGATTTACAGGTGGGTCTCTTTAGTCATGCCCTAAAAAGGGGATAAAGTTTTTGTAATCTATTTAGAAGCCACGCAATTTAACATAATTCTACTCTTTCATTTCTCCTCACCTTATACATATAATCCATTAAGCTATTTTATAGAGGCTAAATATGATAGGGCAGTGGCACTATAGTATTTCTCAACCTGTTATCAAGACTGCAATATTTTAACAGGAGTGAACACCCAAATGCAAATTTCCATTCTCTTTGTATAACATTTATGCAATAAAGAATGAATTGAGTACATGATTTTTCATTTCAGGAGTACTAGGGCTAGTAATGCATGAGCTGCAAGAAGCAAGCATTAATCTATCTAGCTGCTAAGAAATGAAATGTCACTTAGAGGAACTTGTTCTTGCCAGCACACTCTTTCATAGAATTCTCCATCAAAAAGTGGAGAAAAAAGTCATTCTTTTTCCAATTGCATTAAATCATAGCACATCTAGCCTTTTTCATGTGTTCTGACTTAGTTCCTGCATACAGAGTGTACTGAGGCTTGAGTTTTTCTAGGATACCTCTTTTGATTTCATTTTTCACAAGGAAGAGGTGGTTTTTTAAAAAAGAGAGGTAAGATGGAAGCGAAAGAAATATTTCTTCAAATGGCCAGGCGCAGTGGCTCACACCTGTAACCCCAGCACTTTGGGAGGCTGAGGCAGGCAGGTCACGAAGTCAGGAGATCGAGACCATCCTGGCTAACAAGGTGAAACCCCATCTCTACTAAAAAAATACAAAAATTAGCCAGGTGTGGTGGCGGGCGCCTGTAGTCCCAGCTACTCAGGAGGCTAAGGCAGGAGAATGACATGAACCCGGGAGGCAGAGCTTGCAGTGAGCCGAGATTGCGCCACTGCACTCCAGCCTGAGCAACAGAACGAGACTCCATCTCAAAAAAAAACAAGGAATATTTCTTCAAAAGAACATGTTTCTAATTGTGTTGCTCAATCGCTGTTGCTACTTCTGGGCTGGCATCTTAGTTGCTGTGGGTTTTGGATAGTGTCACAGGGGTGTATGTGTGTGTCCGTGTGTGTGTGTGTGCACCTATATATACCGAATTAGTTCTGTTCACTCATGAATGAACATATTGAATGCATTATTCCTCTAATAAATTGGGATAATAAATTTTTAGGTGAACTAAGGTTATAAATAATATTAATAATAACAAAGCCCTTTAATACAACAGGTGACTGAAGGCGGGCAGATCACTTGAGGTCAGGAGTTCAAGACCAGCCTGGCCAATATGGTGAAACCACGTCTCTACTAAAAATACAAAAATTAGCTGGGCATGGTGGTGGGCACCTGTAATCCCAGCTACTCAGGAGGCTGAGGCAGGAGAATTGCTTGAACCTGGGAGGCTTCCAATCCCAGCACCAATCCCACCCATGAGAATGGAGCCCTCATGGCCTAATCACCTCTTAAAGGTCATACCTTCTTTGGGCATAGTGCCTCATGCCTGTAATCCTAGCTCTTTGGGAGGCCAAAGTGGGAGGGTCACTTGAGGCCAGGAGTTCTAGACCAGCAAAGGCAACATAGCAAGACCCTGTCTCTACACAAAAATTTAAAAATTAGCCAGGCATAGTGGCATGTACCTGTAGTCCCAGCTCCTCGGGAGGCTTAGGTGGGAGAGTTACTTGAGCCCAGGAGTTCAAGGCTGCAGTGAGCCATGACTGCACCACTGCACTCCAGCCTGAGTGACGGCAAGACAGTGTTTCTTAAAAAAAAAATAATAATAACATAAAAAAGAAGAAGGTCCTACCTCTTAATACTGTTACTACAATAAGTTTCAAATTAAATGAGTTTTGGAGGGGACAAAGATTCAAACCATAGCAGCCCAATACTGCTATTATGGCCAGAGAACCCAGAGAGATGAGGCTATAGTGTTCTGGGTAAACTGGGAATGAGCTGGACCTAACGAAAACGGAGAACTTATCTGTGAGTACAGAACTTAATTATGAAGAGAATGGTATTACCGTGGTATTTGTGAGGCCTATGCCAACTGTGAGTCCTCCTCTTTTCCCTCTTTCCCATTTCTTAAATGAGTTCCAGTTAGCTGAGATAGCAAGATAAGCAACCTCTGGAATACTAATACTCTACTGTACCTTTGAAGGAACGTGGCTTCAAAATGGACAGTAAAAAACAAAGAAGACCTTCCTAAATTACGTAAAGTTTTCGCATTGTACTTTAAATAGAAATAGGTTTTTGTTTTTTTGAGATGGAGTCTCACTCGGTCACCCAGGATGGAGTGCAATGGCATGGTCTCGGCTCACTGCAGCCTCCGCCTCCTGGGTTCAAGTGATTCTCCCGCCTCTGCCTCCCGAGTAGCTGGGACTACAGGCGTGTGCCCCACACACGGCTAGTTTTTGTATTTTTAGTAGACAGAGTTTCACTCTGTTGGCCAAGCTGGTCTAGAACTCCTGACCTCGTTATCCACCTACCTTAGCCTCCCAAAGTGCTGGGATTACAGGTGTGAGCCACCGCGTTCGGCCAGAAGCAGTTTTCAAATTTGTTTGACAGCAAGAAATTGAAGCGGAGATGCATCCCACCTATTCATCATCTCCTTCTCCCCAAAATAGGCCACCAAAAGAGTGACCACAGAGCCCAGGTCTTGTTACCCCCTTACACCAGAACAAAATGTTTGCTAATTTTTCAAACTCAAATACTTTTTGATTCTCCATAAAGGCAAAAAACCCCAAAAACAAAAAGTAAGATAGTAGTAAATAAAGGGATTGTGGTATCTCTAATAGGGGATGACCTTCAATCTGTATTTCCTCATGAAAAGAAGGCAAACTTCCCACTTCTCCCATATTCCGGAATTGTATAGAGGAAGTTTGACTTCTTTTATAATCTTGATAAATGTGTATGTTTCTCAACAGTGAATTTCTCTACATGCCTTTCAATACCTTCTATCCATGGAGAAGCCAACATATTCAAGTTAATACTTAGTGTCCATTAGGTCTACTGAGCTCCTACTATAGTCCTGGTCTCAAGGAATGAATATATCTTATTTTTATCTCTCAGTACCAATTTTTTTTTTTTTGAGGTGGAGTTTTTGCTCTGTTGCCCAGGCTGGAGTGCAATGGTGCAATCTTTGCCCACTGCAACCTCTGCCTTCTGGGTTCAAGTGATTCTCCTGCCTCAACCTCCTGAGTAGCTGGGATTACAGGTGCCTGCCACTACGCCTGGCTAATTTTTGTATTTTTAGTAGAGATGAGGTTTCACAATGTTGGCCAGGCTGGTCTCAAACTCTTGACCTCAGGTGATCCACCCATCTCCCAAAGTGCTAGGATTACAGGCGTGAGCCACCGCACCTAGCCTCAGCACCAATTTTAAGTAGTCCTTTAAGTCTTATTTTATACAACATGGAGTAATAAAAAGAATATTAGAGTCTGAGTCAGAAAACCTGGAAATTGCTGTGACAATTAATAAAATAATGTTTGTGAAATGTCTTTGAAAATGTAATGTATCATTCTTTGATTTATAAGGAAGTCTTCACTGAGAGGCCATTGTGTGACAGGCACTGTTCTAGGTACTTAGGAGCAGCAGTGAACAAAACATCTGTCCTCATCAAGCTCACATTCTAATAGGGACAAATACATAAATAATTTTACTATTGTTATTATTTTTTATTACATCTTCAGCATCATTGTTAAATAGAGAAGCCTCAGTTACTTGTGCTATACTTCACATTTGAATTACGACCATACAGAGTTTAAAGTATGAAGGTGAAGACTTGGGTGTGTGTACTGGCTCCTTGCCATATACTACCTGGACATATCCACAAGTAAATCATTTCGTCTTACCAAGGATAATTCCTCATTCATAAATGTGGGGTAATGAAAATATTTAACTCACAAGAATGTTTTAAATATTTTATTTAAAGTGAGAATGTATTTGAATTTGGTGAGGAAGGTTAGATATTAAGATGTATTTTGTACATCTTAAAGTACTATACAATACTATACATACTTAGTACAATTACTGTTAATATGGTGGCTTTCTATGGAGAAGCATGATGTACTTTGATAGCCTTAGGCTAATTTAGGGTATCTCTTTTTTTCAAAATATGTGTGTTTGTTTTTTTTTTTTTTTTTTTAAAGCAAATTGGAAACAGAAGTGTTCCCTGTTTCGGATAACATGAATTATGTTCATGTTACAACATTTAACATGCATAGCCATGAATTGGTCAATGTTTTGCTAAGAACAGAGTAAATGGAAACTATTCATATATCAGTTCTCTATTGTTCTGATTACAAGCTTATACATTAGGATGATTCATGGTTTACTTGCTTTTCAAGTCACAATTTCAAGCAGCATCATTTGTCTTCTATTAGCAACTAGTGCTGTTTTACTCATAACACTGGAACATAGGAAAGGGGGTTTGGAATTTGTTATCATGAACCTAGAGTTTTAAGATTTGGAGTTTGTTCTTAAATTCCCAGGTAAAATGCAGTTCTTGAAGGTTTTTGACCTAGAAAATGAACTGAACTACATGTTAAGAGAATTAGTATGGTGACAACTGGTAGGATAATTTGGATTTAAAAGAGACAAGAGGTAGAAAAAAAAAGGAAAAACTGTAGAGAACATTTTGGAATGAAAATCCTCAACTTGTGTAGGGAACCCATTGCCTCCCTTTTTTTAATCCACAACACTGTAATAGTCTGCCTCTAAAGCTTAAGAATAGTAGAAATATTGACTGTGAACATGGATTGTTATGTAAAGAAATTATACAATGGAAATAGATGTGCATTGTTCACCAGTAAAAAGAAAGAAGTAGAGACAGAGGATATTTTAAGAGATGCAATTCTCAGAATTTGGTGATGAAGGTTAGATATCCTAGGAAAGAGAGATACCAAGAAGGGGTTCTGGTTTGTGGTTTGCATAAATAAAATAAGTATTAATAACTTATTTACTGAACAAAAAGGATGTTGGAAGAGGAGCAGGTTTAAGGAAGAAGACGTCATGAGTTCAATGTTGTACAGGTTGAATTTGAGATGCTTTTGATTTATCCAATAGTGTTTATCTAAAAGACCTGAAGATCACCTGCGAGTCTTTGTGTAAGGGAGTAATTAAAATTAGGAATGTGGATAAGATCTCTTAAAGAAAGAAAGAGTGTAGAGTAAGATGAGCAAAAAACTTTAGGAACAAAACTTAAAGACTTATGAATTGAAGATTAGGTGGCTAGGCACAGTGGCTCACATCAGTAATCTCAGCACTTTGGAAGTCCAAGGTGGGAGGATCGGTTGAGGCCACCCTGGGCAACAGCAAGACCCTGTCCCAGCAAAAAAATAATAATGATAATAATAAAAGGAACAAAGAAGATGAAATGGAAGAGAATGAGCCTACAAACAATACAGATTGGGAGAGGCCAGAAAGGAAGAAGGAAAACAAGTTTTCTCTGCTGAAAGTAAGAGAAGGGACGGTTTTAAATGAAGGCAGTAGTCAGTAGTGTCCAATATTATTGAAAAGTCAAGTTAGATGAAGATTTGGCTACAGGGAGTTCACTGATAACTTAGCCAGTTAAATACCATTCCTATGCTGACAACTCCCAAATGTAAAACTCTAGTCCAGTTCTTTCCTGAGCACCAAACCCATACCTTCAGTTGCATATTGAATGTCAACTAGACATCTCTAGCTTAACATGTTCCAAAGAGTTCTCGAAACTTGTTCCTCCAGCATTCTTCCTCACCTCACGTAATGTCAGCGCTCCACCCTTTAAGTCACTCAGTCAAAAAAAAAAAATGTGGCATTATTCTTGACTCCTTGCTTTCTCTCATAGCCTCTCACCCAGTTTTCAGCAAGTTCTATTAGTTCTACCTTCAAAGTATTCTCACCTCTGATTATGTCTCACCATCTCCACTCCAACTTTCCCGTGCCAAGCCTCATTACCTCTTTTTATTTTTACTAACAGCTTTATTGATATAATTGGCATATCACATAATTCATCCATTTAAAGTGTGCAACTCAATGGTTTTTTTTTACTAAAAACCGCAGAGTTGTGCAACCATTGCCACAGTTCATTTTAAAACATTTTCTTCGCCCCAAAGAGAATTTACTCTTCATCCCTCCTCCCACTAGCTCCTGACAATCACTAAACTACTTTCTTTTTCTACAGAACTGCTTATTCTGGGCTTTCCATATAAATGGAATCATACACTTTGTGGTCTTTTCCGAATGGCCTCATTCACGTAGAATACTGTTTTCAAGGTGTATCCATTTTGTCGCATGTATCCATACTTCCTTCATTTTTATGACTAAATAACATTCCATTATATGGATATACCACAATTTTTGTATCCATTCATCAGCTGATGGACATTTATTTGTGTTGTTTCCACTTTTTGGCTTTTAATAACGATGCCATGAATATTCATGTTTTGTTTAGACATGTTTTCATTTCTCTTGGGTATGTATTTAGGAATGTAATTGCTGGTTTCATGTGGTAACTCAATACTTAACCTTTTGAGGAATGCAAGACTGTTTTCCAAAGCATCGCCCATTATCTTTTGATAGGATCAGCATTGGTCCTGCTTCCCCTACTTCCACCCTTGCTCTCCCAATCCATTTTCAACACATCATTTGTCTGTTCAAATTCCTCCGGTGCGTCCTCATCTCACTCAGAGTAAAGTCAAAATATGTGGCAATTACTACATGCTCCCACACAATCTAGCCACATATGACCTTGCTGGTTTTACCTGCTGCTCTGCCTTTCGCACTTGCTCAGTCCACAGTGGCCTCCTTGCTTTTCCTTGACTCTATCAGGTACACTCTCTTGCTTATCTGCTCCTTTCTGGAAGAGACTTTCAGCTAGATCCATAGGGTTTTTTCCCTACCTCCTCACATCTTTGTTCAAATTATCTCCTTCTTAGTGAGGCCATCAACACTCTCCAGCTCCCTGCTATTGTCTGAATGTTTGTGTCACTCCAAAATTCTTATGTTGAACCTAACCCCAATGCAATGGTATTACGGGGTGGGGCCTTTGGGGAGTCATTAACTCATGAGGGCTCCACCCTCCTGAATGGGATTAGTGCCCTTATGAAAGAGACTTAAGGGAGCCTGTTTGCCCCTTCCACCATGTGAGGGGACATAGAAGGCACCATTTATGAGGAACAGGGCCTCACCAGACACTGACTCTGCCCAGAACTGTGAGCAATAAATTTCGGTTGTTTGTCAGTTACCCAGTCTAAGGTATTTTGTTGTTACAGCAGCATGAGTGAACTAAGAACCTCACTTTCCTGCCTGCTTTGTGTGTGTTTGGTTTTTGTCCATTACACTTATCACCAGTGAATGCATGGTGTTATTTATTTGCTTTAGATATGTTTTCCCTACTAGATAGTCAGCTCCATAAAGACAGCTATTTTTGGATTTTGTTTAATGATATACTCCCCAGGGCCTAGACCATATAGTAGGATTAAAGAATTTTTAGATGAATGGGTGAATGATTGAATGTGTGTTGAGCCTGGAAGCCAAATTGGAATAGGTAGAAGAGTGAAGGAAAGTGAGGACATGAATCATTAAGAGTAGACAACACTTCCAGGAGGTTTGAGAATGAGAGAGATGTTGAATATATGCAAATGCCTCCGCCTTCCATCCTGTTAGTATGGATGAAGTGTCTCTGCTCCTACTAAGACCAACTCTCCACTTGTACCCAGGATCTTGTTGTGAGGAAAAACTTCTCCTCTGTCAACTTAGGTCTGAATAGTCCCAGGACCTGCAAATTATCCAGCCATAGGCAGATTAATTGAAGAAAAGATAAAAGTTTATTTTCACGTGCATGCAAGAGTTGCTCAGTCACGAGTAACTCACTGAATAGCCAGAGACAAGAGGTTTATATAACGATTTCACAAAAGGAGGGGAGGGTTTCACTGCGAAGGTATAAAGGGTTCTATTGGGCTTTTTGTTGTTAATGGGAATAGGCAGTCTATCTCTTTCCTGGCTGGAAATTTTCCCACGGAGGCGATGGGTGTTATGGCAGCTGAATTCATAGTTCCCAGTGCTAAGGGTTAACCTTTCTTCAAATGGTAAACTCCCTCAGATGGGGGTCAACAGCAGCTGTATTTTGGGAGGGTTCTACTCAAGTGTAAATAATGTTTCTTTCTGTGGCTGCTGCCTGTTCAGATGTTTTCAGTTTAAAATAGTCTTCATAGCACTTTGGTGGGCAGCTAATTCCTTCAATCTAACCCCTTCGGCCTGTGCAGACAGGCCCCCATGATGCATTACTCACGAGGCACCTTTCATACAAAAGAGCACGTGACGTCTCCCTGGGACATTATCTTTATACTGAGCATGGTGTAAGGCCCTGCTCAAGGACATCACTCTGGTAAATGTCTCTGCTCAGTTCTGAATCATCAGCTTTTTCTTCTCAACTGCATCATCCTGTTATATACAAACGTATATACATCCTGTTATATACAAAACAGCCTTTTTTTTTTTTTTGAGGCGGAGTCTTGCTCTGTCACCCAGGCTGGAGTGCAGTGGCATGATCTTGTCTCACTGCAACCTCCACTTCCTGGGTTCAAGCGATTCTTTTGCCTCAGCCTCCCGAGTATCTGGGATTACAGGTGCCCGCCACAGTGCCTGGCTAATTTTTGTATTTTTAGTAGAGATGGGGTTTTGCCATGTTGGCCAGGCTGGTCTCGAACTCCTGACCTCGTGATCCACCCGCCTCAACCTCCCAAACTGCTGGGATTACAGGTGTGAGCCACCACGCCCGGCCAACCTTTGATTTTATAAGGAAAATTTAAATATGTATTAGGCATTCAATGGTACCTAGGAATTACTGTGACTCTAGTCACAGGAGACCCTCACCCTCAGGAAAGATAGGAGACCACGCAAATACAACGCACACAGAAGGCATTCTATTCATCCTGCTTGTTGAAAACCCTGTCTTCTCCCACAAGCCTAGGGTCAAGCCTGCTCAGAAAGGAGGAGAAAAGGTACGGATTCAGACCAGTCTCCATATCAGATCTGTCTCCAACACCTAGAGACAGTGTAGCAACAAGCCCACAGAGACAGCTCTCATCAGAAAGGCATCTCCATATGCCTGGCAGTGAGATCTAGTGAATCAGTGATGCTTGAGAACTTCGGATGTTGTCCTTGGATCAAACATGTAAAACTGGTCCACATATATTACACTCTGTATATCATTATATATTATATATGTTGCTTAACAACAGGGGTACATTCTGAGAAATGTGTCAATAAGCAAATATGGTGCTGTACAACTATCATAGAGTGTTCTTACACAAAACTAGGTGGTGTAGCCTACTTCACACCTAGGCTGTATCAAATAGCCAGTTGCTCCTAGGTTACAAACCTGTGCAACATTTATTGTACTGAGTACTACAGGCATTTGCAACACAATGGTGTCTTACATATCTAAACATAGAAAAAACATACAGTAGAAATACAGTATTAGAATTTTATGGGACCACCATCATATATGCAGTCTGTCTTTGACCAAAATGTTGTTATGCAGCACTTGACCATATATATATATATACATACACACATACACAGGCATACCTCAGAGATATTGCAGGTTCAGTTCCAGACCACTACAATAAAATAAGCATCAAAATACATCAAGTTGGCAGGGCATGGTGGCTCACACCTGCAATCCCAGCACTTTGTGGTGCTGAGACGTGCGGATCTTATGAACCCAGGAGTTCGAGACCAGCCTGGGCAACATGGCAAAACCCTGTCTCTATTAAATAGAAAAATTAGCCAAGCTGGTGGCACACATCTGTAGGCTAGCTACTCGGGAGGATGAGGTGGGAGAATTACCTGAGCCCTGGGAGGTTGAGGCTGCAGTAAGCTGTGATCGCATCACTGCACTCCACCCTGAGTGACACACTGAGACCCTGTCTCAATAAATTAATTAATTCAAAATAAATCCAACCACATGAATTTTTTGGGTGCCAGTGCGTATTAAGGTTGTTTACACTATACTGCAGTCTATTAAGTGTGCCATAGCATTATGTCTAAAAAACAATGTACATATTTTAATTTTAAAATGGTTTATTGCTAAAAATGCTAACAAAGTGAGCATATGGTGTTAGAAAAATGGCGCTCATAGACTTGTTCAACACAGGGTTGCCACAAACCTTTAATTTGTCAAAAAAACACAGTATCTGTGGAGCAAAATAAAGCAAAGCCCAATCAAATGAGGTATGCCTGTCTATAAAATATTTTGTCTCAAAAAAAGTTGACTCAATTTTGAGTGGCTAAAATTTTAATACATAGTCCTATGAAGTTGAAAAATAATATCTCTAGGCAGCCATCCTGGTTTTAATCTAATAAATTATGAAATACAAATTAACAAAGACTTGAAGGACTAGGTTAAATAGGCGATCCTAAACGTTAATCATATCACCTACTAGACGCAATTAGCTTTTGGAATAAAAGAGTAAGCATAAATATAATCAACTAATTTGTCAGATTCACCAAATACTATATTGATGTTATAAAAACTAATTCTTGGGCCATCCTGAGATTGACAACAAAATATTGACAGAATTAGACATTCATAAACACAGCCATGCCACTGCCATCCGTGCATTTCTCTTTGTGGCCTTTCCTTGCACTAAGCTAATATTTTTTTCTATTAATTTCCTTATTAATTCAAAATTAGCTAATGGTTTTGATAGATATAATCAAGGGAAAAGAAAGATGATAAACGCAAAAACGTTTTTGTGGTTTTTGCTGTTGTTTTATTGTTCTTCTCAGTGATGGATTACATTTTAAAAGGACCAGAATGTTGGTGCATTGCTAAGTCCTACAACGTGACCTTCTAAGGCCACTGAAGCTGAAAAGTGCCACATTAGGACTCAGAGTGAAAGTCACACTAATAGACTTTAGGCAAATTATTGTTTATTTTTATTTTTATTTTTTGAGATGGAGTTTCTCTCTGTCGCCCAGGCTGGAGTGCAGCGGCGCGATCTCGGCTAACTGCAAGCTCTGCCTCCCAGGTTCAAGCGATTCTCCTACCTCAGCCTCCCGAGTAGCTGGGACTACAGGCACCCGCCACCACGCTGGGCTAATTTTTTGTATTTTTAGTAGAGACAGGGTTTCACCTTGTTAGCCAGGATAGTCTCGATCTCCTGACTTCGTGATCTGCCCACCTCGGCCTCCCAAAGTGCTGAGATTACAGGCGTGAACTACTGTGCCTGGCCTAGGCAAAGTTTTTTATGTTGCCAAATTAACTGAAAGAAAAGATCTGCTGGGGTACCAGGCATGGTTTCTCCATTTTGGGGGCACAGCCAATGGATGAAACATACACTGTTGTATAATGGAGGATTTGGCTGGCTTGTGCCCCTGGTTCCTGTGACAGAGCCTCTAAACTCTTGGAATTTCCCAAGTGATAGAAGCGTCTTTATTATTCATGGTAGACCTCTCTGACCACACTGGAGTTTATGCTAATGATGTGACTCATAGTTCTAGGTATTTTCAGCATGGGGGCTTTCCATGCTGGAGAGAAAAATTATGTGGTTAGAGGGTTGGGGCTTCAAGCCATATGTTATCAACGTGACTTCCCAGCCTCTGGGGAGGGAAGGGGGGGTCTAGGGATTGAGTTCAATCATGTGGCCAGTGATTCAGCCAATCAAGCCTATAGAATGAAACCCCAGTAAGAGCTCTGGACACCCAAAGCTTAAGTGAGCTTCCAGGTGAGTGACACATATTGATGTGCCAGGAGGGTGATACATCCTGAAGACATGGAAGCTCTGTGTTGGGGACCCTCTAAGATCTCAACATATGTTCTTCTCATTTGGCTAGTCTTGACTTTATATATATATATATATATATATTTTTTTTTTTTTGATATGGAGTCTCACTCTGTCACCCAGGCTGGTGTGCAATGGCGCATCTCAGCTCCCTGCAACCTCTGCTTCCTGGGTTCAAGAGATTCTTGTTTCAGCCTCCCTAGTAGCTGGGATTACAGGTGTGTGCCATCACACCTGGCTAATTTTTGTATTTTTAGTAGCAATGAGGTTTCACCATGTTGCCCAGGCTGGTCTCAAACTCCTGGCCTCAAGTGATCCACCCGCCTCAGCCTCCCAAAGTGATGGGATTACAGGTATGAGCAACTGTGCCTGGCAACTCATGTCCTTTATAATAAAATTGTAATCCTAAGTGTAACACTTTCTGGAATTCTGTGAGTTATTCTAGGAAAGTATAGAGCCTGAGGAAGTAGTGGAAATGCCTAAATTTGTCACCAGTTGGTTAGAAGTGCAGGTGGCTGGAAAGCCCAGAGCCTGTGGCTGGTGTCTGAAGTGAGAGAAGTCTCGTGGTGGACTACACCCTCAACTTCCGCAATTTGACCTAATTCCAGGTAGTTAGTGTCAGAATGGCATTGCAGATACATACACAGAGAAAGTCGAGCACGATGCAATAAATGTGATGAGATAGGCAGGCACTGAGAAAATGCAGTGAGCACACAGAGAGAAGCCCATAACCCAGCACCTTCCCTGAAGTCAACAAAACCTTTCAGCAATGTTACTTGAGATGACTCCGAGAATGTTTGCTTTGTAAAATTCAAAAGTTAAAAGAAGAACATAAATCACCCAACCAAGGATCATCAAATCAATATTTATGTTTCTGTCATATTTTCTTCTACACATATTTCTATGGATTTTTACATATTTGAGGTACTACTCGATGTATGATTATTTTCACTTTCATTGAACATTTCCTAAGCGTAACCTCTTGGCATGAAAGGCTTATCACACATTTTCATTTAATGGCTATACGCTACGCTATCACATACATTCAATGTAATTTATATAACTGTTTTCCTAATTTGGGGCATTAAGGCTGCTTGTGGGTTTTAATATAACAAATAGTGCTAGGATAAATATCTTTACACATATATCTTTGTCCACATTTCTGATTATTTCCTTAGGATAGACTCTCAAAGTAGAGTTACTGAGTAAAAGATTTGTTTGTGCTGAGCACAGTGGCTCAACGACTGTAATCCCAGCATGCTGGGAGGCCAAGGTGGGCGGATCAATTGAGGCCAGAAGTTTGAGACCAGCATGGCCAAGATGGTGAAACCCTGTCTCTACTAAAAATACAAAAATTAGCCGGGCATGGTGGCACGTGCCTGTAATCCCCGCTACTTGGGAGGCTGACGCAGGAGAATCACTTGAACCCAGGAGGTGGAGGGTGCAGTGAGCCAAGATAGCGCCACTGCACTCCAGCCTGGGCAACAAAGCAAGACTCCATCTCAAAAAGAAAAAAAAAGAAAGAAAATAAATTTGTGCACCTCCTGAAGCCTGGTGCCAAATTTATTTATAGAAATATAAATTTACCTTCCTGCTAAGCATGTGTGAGACGCCTCTAACTTAACACTCACCAGTCAAAATTAAATTGTTAACTTTAAAAATTTAGAAGTTTGGGCCAGGCGCAGTGACTCACATCTGTAATCCCAGCACTTTGGGAGGCCGAGGCAGGCGGTCACAAGGTAAGGAGATCGAGACCATCCTGGCTAACACGGTGAAACCCCATCTCTACTAAAAATACAAAAAATTAGCCGGGTGTGGTGGCAGGCACCTGTAGTCCCAGCTACTCGGGAGGCTGAGGCAGGAGAATGGCCTGAACCCAGGAGGTGGAGCTTGCAGTGAGCTGAGATCGTGCCACTGCACTCCAGCCTGGGCGACAGAGCGAGACGCCATCTAATAAAAAAAAAAAAAAAATTTAGAAGTTTGATAGGTCCTTCAAATGTATTTGTTTTAATGTGCATTCAACTACTTGTAAGACTGTATTTTTTCATGTCCATTGGTTATTCCTATTTATTCTGTCTTAGTACTTGTTCTAAGTATTTATTGGAATCTTAAGTGTTTAGCTTTAACTATTTGTTAAATATATCATATAAAGTTCATGTACTATAGATTTTTCCTAAAGAGTGATGCTATGATGTAAGGGTGTTAATCCTTTATGAAGTTAGTTAGGAAGTTAACCCTTCATATTATTTTTAATAGCTTTTGTTTCAAATTGTTGAGTTTTGAGAATTTTACTTTTTGTGGAAAAAAATTTTTTGGGATATTTTTGTTCATGATTGTGTGACAGACATTGAGGTGACCTGCTCAGATTGCCTTTCCAGAAAGAACTCCTGTCCAGTGAGTAGGAGTGTGTTTAGCTGATGGCCTCTAGTTATCAGTTCCTTCAGGTTTTGCCTCAGCTTTTGAGCTGAGGGCACATTATTTTGGGGGTGGTCCTCAACCAATGACTGAGCCAGGCAGTTGTTTAAGGGCCTACCCATCTTCACCAAACACAGGACCCCTCTAACGGGCATTTTTAATATTTTTTTACCCAGCACTGGAGCTTGAATGCAATTGCTCCAATAAAAATGTCATGATCATTTGCCCAGTTCCTGAACCTGAGCAATTCCAGACCTGGAATCTATTAACCAAAGAAGTGGCTGGGTTCCCAGGGGGAAAACCCTGCCAACACTGAGACAAATATACAGAGCACTGACACTCCAAGTTCTTCTCTAAAGGCATTTATGGCCATTTATTCAAGTGAATACATAATATGGTAAGAATGACCAGACCCTTTAAGGGGTATTAGATAAAGAGTCCAAGTGGTCACTGAAACTCGGGGACATGGAATGTCATCATGGCCTCTCTTCTTAGAGTGGGGTCACATAGGAATCAAGAAATAATGAGGCCAGGCACAGTGACTCATGCCTGTAAACCTAGCACTTCGGGAAACGGAAGTGGGAAGATTGCTTGAGCCTAAAAGTTTGAGACCAGCCTGGGCAACACATTTCTTTAAAAAAAAAAAAAAAAACATCAGCTAGGCATGGTGGCACGTGCCTGTAGTCCCAGCTACTTGGGAGGCTGAGGTGGGAGGATCACTTGAGCTGGAAAGGTCGAGGCTGCAGTAAGCAGTGATCACACCACTGCATTCCAGCCTGGGTGACAGAGACCCTATTTAAAAAAAAGAAACAAGAATGAAGAAATTTCAAGGCCTAGAGTAATAATAATATGTCCTCTAGGTTCACAAACCCTCCTGGTGGTCAGTTCCCTAGTCCCTGAATGTATAATTAGATTTAACACACTTGAAAATTAGAAAACCATCTATATTGAGACATTGGCTTATAGGAGTAATAGTTATCAGAGTGTGGAAAGCCAAATTGGAGGCTATGAAATAATCCACCACCACTCTCCAGTCAGCATAGCAAATCAAAAACATTACTGCATCCCAGGTAAGAAAATGAGGAGCACCAAAGACTAGTGCTTTTGTTTTGTTTTGTTTTTTGTTTTTTGCAATGCAGTTTCACTCTTTTTGCCCAGGCTGGAGTGCAATGGCACAATCTCGGCTCACTGTAACACCTGCCTCGCGGGCTCAAGAGATTCTCCTGCCTCAGCTTCCCGAGTAGCTGGAATTACAGGTGCCCACTAATTTTTGTATTTTTAATAGAGACGGGGTTTCACCATGTTGACCAGGCTGGTCTTGAACTTCTGACCTCAGGTGATCTGCCCACCTCGGCCTCCCAAACTGCCGGGATTACAGGTGTGAGCCACTGCGCCCAGCCCTTAGTGTCATTTTTAAAGGACTAAAGGGTCCAGGGATGGTGGTACCTAGCATATCTCTATTTAATTCACCAGTCCAGTTCCTGCAGAAAGTAAATTGGTTTTGGAGAATGACTGAGACTTCAGTAAGATCAACCAAGCTGTTGCCCAGTCACAACTGCTGTACCATGTGTGGTATCATTGTTAAAGGATATTAATATAGCCTCTTGTGTGGTATATGGCCGCTGATATAGACAATGCATTACTTTCTTTTTTTTTTTTTTTTTTGAGATGGAGTTTCACTCTGTCACCCAGACTCGAGTGCAGTGGCACAATCTTGGCTCACTGCAACATCCACTCCCTGGGGTTCAAGTGATTCTCGTGCCTCAGCCTCCCAAATGGCTGGGATTACAGACGTGAACCACCACCCCTAGCTAAGTTTTTTGTTTTGTTTTGTTTTGTTTTCATAGAGATGGGGTTTCACCCTGTTGGCCAGGTTGGTCTCGAACTCCCAACCTCAGGGGATCCAACTGCCTTGGCCTCCCAAAGTGCTGGGATTACAGGCATAAGCCACCACACCCAGCCAAGAATTCATTACTTTCTATCCCAATGAAGAGAAAGGATTAAAAACAGTTTACATTTTCTTGGAAAGGACAACATTATACAATTACATTATTGCCTAGAACTATACTGTCTCCTCTGCCCTCTCTCATAATAGAGCCTGAAAAGATATGAACTGTTTGGACATCCCACAAAACATCAGATTGATCCATTACATGATGATGTCTTACTGATCATTGGTTTCAACATCACCTAGAAATACTGTTCTGACCTATATACCAAGTAGCATAGAAGACTTCTAGCTTTAAGTGGGACCCAAAGCCAGAGAAGACTACACAGCAGTTCCAGGATGTGATGCAGTATCCCTGTCACTTGGGCCTTACAACCTGGCAGACCTTAGGTAATGTCAGTGTCAATGATGGAAGATGATGTAGTGCAGAGTTTATAGCAAACCTCAACAGTAGAATCACAATTCAGGTCCCTGGGGTTCTAGAGCAAGCCCATGTTATCTGTTGCTAAAAAAAACAAAAAAAAAAAAACAAAAAAAAAACTTGTTGAAAAACACTTCCTAGCATGCTACTGGGTCCTGGTAGAGACAAAAATGCTTGACCATAAAACACTAAGTGACTGTGTATCAGAAAATGAGCTGGGACCTTCTTGGACCCACCAAGTCATAAGTAAGTCCTGGATGTATCATATCTATCTTATGATGGACTACTATCATAAATGCCAGTATTCCATCATAAGATGGATATGATACATCCAGTACCAAGCAAGAGCAAGTCATGAGGGCATGAGCAAACTGTATGGATGAGTAGCCAGATTCCCATCACCCTCGACCAATGTACCAGCACCCCTCTGTCAGTTCACACCTATGGCCATATGGTGGTCCCACATGAGGAGCTTAAGGTGGAAAAATTAAACAAGAAGGAATAGGATGGCTGGCTGGTCAGAGAGCTAAAGAAAAAAGATGGAAAGATCATGGACAAGGAGATTTAGGCTAGGAGTCTGCAGATGCACACAATGTGAATACAGAGTGTCAAGATCAGTGCCCACCAGAAAGCACCCACTATAGAAGAGGCACTAAACAACCATGAAAAAACATGAGCCAGGAATGGTGGCTCATGCTTGTAATTCCAGCTCTTTGGGAAGCTGAGGCAGGAGGCTCTCTTGAGGCTAAGAGTTCAAGACCAGCCTGGGAAACACAGCAAAAAAAGCCCGTTTCTATAAAAAAATTAACAGGCCGGGCGTGGTGGCTCACGCCTGTAATCCCAGCACTTTGGGAGGCTAAGGCGGGCGGATCACCTGAGGTCAGGAGTTCTAGACCAGCCTGGCCAACATGGTGAAACCCTGTCTCTACTAAAAAAACAAAAATTAGCGGGGTGTGGTGACAGGCACCTGTAATCCCAGCTATTGGGGCGGTGGCTGGGGGGTGGTGGTGGGGCGAGGCAGGAGAATCACTTGAACCCAGGAGGCAGAGATTGCAGTGAGCCGAGATCGTGCCATCGCACTCCAGCCTGGGGGACAAGAGCGAGACTTCATCTCAAATAAAAAAAAAAAAAATTAACAAATTTGCTGGGCATGGTGGTGAGCACCTGTAGTCCCAACTACTCAGGAGGCTGAGGAGGGAGATTACCTGAGTCTGGGAGTTGGAGGCTGCAGTGAGCCATAATTACATCATTTCACTGCAGCCTGGGCAACAGTGAGACCCTGTCTCTAAAAGAAAGGAAGAAAAATGATGCAGCCAGTTGATGATAGCCATCTTTCATGCAGGCACCCCAGTGATAAAACAATGGGCACATAAATGAAGTGGTGGCAGAGAGGGAGGCCCTGCATATTCCCATCAGCATGGACTCCTATTCACCAAGGCCTCTGTAGCTACTGCCACCTCTGAATGTTCAATCCGCCAACAACAGAAACCAGTGCTGAACCTAAAACATGGCATTATTTCTTGAACGGACGAATGGGTGATCTGGTGGCAAGCTGACTACAGTGGACCCATTCCATCCCAGAGGGGCCAACTAACAGTGTGTTCTCACAAGAACAGAAACCTATTCTGAATATGGGTTTGCCTTTTCCTACCACACAGCCTCAGCCAGCACTGCTATTCAAGGGTTATGGAATGGTTAATACACAGTAAATCCCACACAAAGAACATCTAACCAGGGAACCCATTTTAAAACAGAAGAGGTGAAGGCGTGAGCCCATGCCCACAGCATCCACAGGCTGAATCACCACCCAGAGGCTGCCAACCTGACAGAGCATTGGAGTGGCCTGCTGAAGTGCCAGATCCGAGGCAGCACTCTGTGAGGATGAAATGCCATCCTTCAGGGTATGTGCATTGAATCAGAGACATGTATATAATTCTGTGTCCGCAGTGAGACGAATACTTGGGGAAACCAAGAGGCGGAAGCAGGAATAGCTCTGCTTACCATTACCACCAGTGACCATCTGTAAAAATCTTTACTTCCTGTTCCCCATAACTCTGAGCTCCAGAGTTAGAGGACCTGATCCCAAATGAAGCACTCTTAACAGGAGAATCCAGATCCCATTGAGCTAATAGCTATGACTGCCACCAAGTCACTTAGGGCTCCTTTTGTCCAGGAAACAACAGGCAAAAAGAAAGTCAGCTACTAGTCATCTGCCATCATCTGGAGGAGGTCCAACCGCTGTCACTCCATGTATGGAACGCAGGTGACCCACTGAGGTGTCTCTTAAGATACTTTCTTGTCTGAATAGGCAGGTGCTGTAATTCCAGTGTTTTGAAAGGCTGAGGCAGGAGGATCACTTGATCACTGAAGCCCAGCCTGAAGATTTCGGTTATCAGGGCTCCGAACCTTCAGATGAGGGTTAGAGTCCCACCTCAGATAAGCCACCAAGACCAGCAGAGGTGGTAATTGAGTGGCAGGGGTTTTAGAATGGATGATGGAGGAGAGAGAGGATGAGCGCCGGTTGCGTCCTGAAGAGCAACTGCAGCGATGGGGGTGCAGTTCTTCCCACTGACTTCTCACTTCTCAGTTTCTCCTCGGGGAGGGAGCCTATAAGAGCCCCACAGGAGCTACTCCCTATGTGTGTACAGAAAAGTGGATTCATAGATTGCAAGGGGTAGACTGTGGCAGGGACGGAAACACTCTGCTCAGATCCACTCTCAAAAATAGGCCTGCAGCCCAGGTAAAGGGTGTGGACAGCAGACAACCTCTAGCTATTAGTTCCTCAGGGTTCTCCTCAGCTTTCAAAAAGAGGCTGCTCTAATACTCAGGGCAGCCCTTAGCCACTCACGGAGCAAGAAACTGGTTCAAGGCTCAGCTATGTCGCCCAACCTGGGACTCCTCTAACGGGAAATCTTTGTTCTAGAGCTCCTCATTGGACTACTCGACTTTTTTCAGATTCACCTTTCCCTGCCCATTCCTGCTTCCTCCCTTTCTCCCTTCACAGGCATGACTCACCAATAAGCCTCACATACTAGGACAACTGCAGTGTCTGCTCCCTGGAGAACCCAGCCTGTGAGCGAGAGCTTCCATTGTTTTAAGCTTAGAACATTCCAATCTGATAAAAAAAAATACCCACACACATATACTTTCATCTATTTTTAGGAATTACTTGAGTTTTTACATTTTAATGTGTTACTCATCTGCAAATTATTCTGGTACAGTGTTAAGTGAGATAGTGTTAAGTGAGGATCTAAATTGATTTTTTTCCTGTGGTAGGCAACCTCTAATATCTCTACCTCCAGACCTTCATGCCTCTATGTAATCCTCTCTCCTTGAGTGAGGGCTTGTTTAAGCTAAAAGATCAACTCTCTCACAGTTAATGGTGTGGGCCTGACAAGGTGGTTCTGCCATCCTTGACAAGTGGCTCCCGTCTCTGGGTCTCGGGCAATTGTTCTAAATCTCATTTTCTCCAAACTAAAAGGACAGCAGAGTGAGGCTGGAAGGTACACAACCCTAATTCATTAAGGAGCAAGACTTGGAAGTGGCATTTATCAATTTTGTTGACATCTCATTAGCCAAAATGTGGTCACATGGGTGTACCCAGCTGCATGGAGGATTTGAAAATACAACATCACTTATTGATCATTCATTCCTTTCCCCCCACTGAGTTATCCTTTCATCTCTATCATACATTGTATTCTATCCAATGATCCCCTGCTATTGCCAGAGCATTTCACTCATTCCTGCTTTCTTATACATTTTATATATGATACAGCCAGTTTTCATTACTTTTCTTTTTGAATAGTCTCTAAGCTAATTTGTTACTGTCTAGTTTGCAGATGAAAGGTTAAATTAGTATGTCCACATTTTTAAAAAACAATTGATATTTTTAAATTAAATTTTTATCAAACATTCATATAGAAAAGGGCACAAATCATACATGTAATTTCTTTTTTGTTTGTTTGTTTGTTTGTTTGAGACAGAGTCTCACCCTGTCGCCCAGACTGAAGTGCAGCGGTGCGATCTTGGCTCACTGCAACCTCCGCTACCCAGGTTCAGGCGATTCTCCTGCCTCAGCCTCCCGAGTAGCTGGGATTACAGGCGCATGCCACCACGCCCAGCTAATTTTTTGTAGTTTTTGTAGAGACGGGGTTTCACTGTGTTAGCCAGGAAGGTCTCAATCTCCTGACCTCGTGATCTGCCCACCTCAGCCTCCCAAAGTGCTGGGATTACAGGCGTGAGCCACCGCGCCTGGCCCATACATGTAATTTCTAAGAATTTTTGGAAAATGAATACATGCAATTAGCACTCAAATCAAGAAATAAGCCCAAGGCAGGCAGATCACCTGAGGTCAGGAGTTCAAGACCAGCCTGGCCAACTGGTGAAAGTGAAACCCCATCTCTACTAAAAATACAAAAATTTGCTGGGTGTGGTGATGGGCACCTGTAATCCTAGCTACTTGGGAGGCTGAGGCAGGAGAACCACTTGAGCCCGGGAGGCAGAGGTTGCAGTGAGCCGAGATTGCACTACCGCACTCCAGCCTGGGCAACAGAGCCAGATTCCCTCTCAAAAGAAAAAAGAAAAGAAGCATTACCAGAACAAAAGTCTCCCTTGCATCCCTTCCAGGCATCATAGATCATTTGGATCTGTTTTGGAACTTTATACGAGTGGAATCACAAAGTATATACTCTTTAGTGTCTGCCTTCTTTGTTCATTATTATGTTTGCGAGATTCACCTATGTTGATGCTGTAGTTGTAGTTCAATCATCCTCTTGCTGTATATTATTTCATTGAATGAATATACAGTTTATTTACTCATTTATGGACATTTGATTGTTTCTAGTTGTTGGCTATTAAAAATAGTGCTGCTATGATCATTACTGTACCAAAAATTTGCCCATCAGAACTCTGTTTTGAACTACGATAAACTCATATATTCAAGAAAAAAATTAACACTTTTGCAATACTCAGTCCACCTGTACATCAACAATTATGTATCTGCATGAAATCTTTTACATTTTTACACCTCTCAGAATATACTGTAAGTATTCATACATGTCTATCACGTTTTTTGTTAAAGCTATTCATTGGTATATAAAGTTTCTGTTGACACCAAGTTTCATACTACTAAAAAAGTGATTATTACTAGTATATAGCACTGCTATTTAATACATATTTTCCTTTATTCTAGACACTTCTAAATTACTCTAAATTCTAAAGGAAATGCTTCTAATGTTTCATCATTCTATAATTTAAGTGCTCTCTTCTACTTTGCTGCAGGATCACCATTGTCTTCATAACTCTTTCTCTAACCTGAGAATATCACTGTGGGTCATGTAAACTTGACATGCATTTGTTAGCCTACTTTTGTAACTCTCTTTCTTCCAGTAGCTTCTGACCTCACTTCTTTTCAGTTCCTTTTGCAAGTTTCTTATCCAATCTTTTAATGTGAGAATGTCCCAAGGATAAGTCCTTGGACTTCTTTTAGCTTCATTCCCTAGTGGGCTTACCTAGGCATGTGACCTTAAATACCATGTATATGCTAACGACCAAAAATGTAAATACGAGGTCTGTACCTCTCCCCAGAACTCCAGCCTCTCATATCCACTTATCTATCTGTTATCACCACTTTGATGTCTAAAGGCATCTCAAACTCAACATATCCATAACTAAATCTTCCTTCCAAATCCCATTCAACCAGCAGTCTATCTTATCTCCATTAAGGGCCACTCCATTCTTACAGTAGCTGAAGCCAAATCTTCTTTCTCTCATATTCTATAAATGCAATCTATCAGAAAAGCAAGTAAGCCTCACTGTATACCCAGAATCTGACTACTTCTTAACTCCTCTGAGGCATCAACCTGTTGGGAGTTTCCTTGTCTCACTTGGATCACCGCAGAGACTCCAAAATAACTTCCTTCTTCCATTCACACATCCTTTCCTCAAGAAAGTAAAAACTTAAACAGGACTGAATTAATTCTCTGTTCAAATCCTTCCTACACTCCCATGGACCTCCTCCTCCCATCATTTCACAAGCCCCATCTCCTACTGCACTTTCCTTTGCTCATTCCACATCAGCCAAGTTGACCTCCTCACTGTTCCTTAAGCCAACCAGCCATGCTCCTGCCTCAGGGCCTTTGCACTGGCTGTTCCTTCCACTCTGGCCTCTCTCCTTTGAGATGTTTTCATGGGTTACTCTATTACTTCTTTCATGTCTTTGCTGAAATATCACACTCTTAGTTAGGCCATCCCTAACCTCTGTGTTTCGAACTTCACACCACCTTCCACCTTCAGTACCCCTCTTGCCCACCTTTCTCATTTCTTTTATTCTATACCCCTTTTCACTTTTTGATATGTGATATAAATTATTCATTGATATTTATTATCTGCCTCTCCTCATTTCCACTCCAGTGGAATGTTCAGCTTCAAGGGGGCAGGGACTTTTGTCTGTTTCGTTCACTGTTGTATCTCAGTTTTAGAACAGTATGTGGCAAACAGTAGTCACTCAGTGAATATCTGCTGAATCAATGAATGAATCAATCAATAAATACTATTATAAGGCCAGGTGCAGTGGCTCACACCTGTAATATCAGCACTTCGCGAGGTCAAGGTGAGAGTATTGTTTGAAGCTAGGGGTTTAAGGCCAGCCTAGGCAACAATGCAAGATCCTGACTCTACAAAAGTAAAAATAAAAATTAGCTGGGCACAGTGGCACATGCCTATAGTCATAGCTACTCAGGAGGCTGAGGGGCTGAGACAGGAGAATCACTTGAGCCCTGGAGTTCGAGGCTGCAGTGAGCAAGACCCCAACTCTAAAAAAAATAATAATAATTTAAAAAAATTCTTTAGAAATACTATTATAAGCCTTTTATTTAGGGTTAGGAAGTAATCTCCAGAAGAAGAACTAAAAAATAAAAAGGTCTTTGCTGCTAGTAATAGGCCTGAGTGTGGAGGAGGGTACTTTTCTTTATAAAGTACTTTCTTATACTACTTGATGGTTTTTATCATGTGCATGTATTACTGTGATAAAATTTCAAAAAACTTTTGAATATGCCCCTGTGCCTGGAAAAATCATAGGATAACAATGCAGGAAGCCTAGCCAACAACAATTTGCTTTATAGTAAATTGCTCTAAATCTGTTTTGAGAGCAAACTATTGAATCTGCTAATGGTACATACAGATGGTGCAAAACAATAAACTTCTTTTGGGTGTTGGGTGTAATTTTAAAGAGTATCTTTTATCATGCTTTAAAGCAACTTCAATCTATTTATATGATCAAGCTTCATATTATTATGTTAAGTTCCAAATATTTCACAATGGGTATAAAATGCACAGGGATGTCATTATTCAAGACTTTATATAAAACATGATTTATTGATTCTCTAAATGTGGGTGGAGAAATAATGGAAATAATTTTTCATATGCTGATAACTGACATATGTGAATGCTTGCTAATTTGAGGGAGGTAGGAAGGAAAGGATGGAAGTAACAAAAATAATTTTGTCTAAGGTTGCAAGTGACATAAATTCAAACAATTGCTTTTTCAGTCTTCTGGCTTGCTCTATTCAATGTTTGCTGAGCTTTAGAGAAGGCTGAATCCCACCATGGCAAACTGCCATCTTTGTCAGAAGCAAAGAGCTGTTTACATTCAAGGCACATAATAAGTGCAATGTGAAGTGAAAAACAGTGTGAGTTCTATTATGGCTGATTAGCCCATTGTACACTGTTACAACTAACATCTTCCTTGTGCTAAAAATAGTGTGAAGTCACGGGACCTCAAGCAGCATGATCCATCAGTACTGTACTCTTTCACAAGATTGCCAACAAAAGCTGCCTCTAACTCCCCAGAAAACTAAAAGGGCCACTTATTCACTTCAGTTGTCCTCCAAAATATGTAGTTTATCTGAGCTGTTAGGAAACCTGTCAGAAAATGAGGTGCAGGGAATTGACAGTGTCCAAAAAATAGATTTGTCTTCTCTGCTGTTTCCTTTTGAAAACTAGATCCTTAATACAAGCATCATAAAAGTCAGCTGGTTGCTGTTAAACTTGCATTGTTAGCTGCTTCTTAATCACAGTAGTGGTGGAATTAGTGCATATTTTGATGCATTGGCTACCAGTAGCCCAAACAAATAAATAAATCTCCCTGAAGTGACAGAAACAGGAGGCAGTGGTTTGAATAAACTCTGAGTCCTAGGTCATTTCATCACCAAGTCAATAGCCCTTCTCGTTGAAGGGGGGAAAACAAACTGCTTTCTATTCTATTGAAAGCCTGGAAGAATTTGCACCACAGTAATCCTAAATCCAGAGGCAATCTATTAAGAACTCAGCATTACCAATCCTGAGACTCAACTGATAAGCACATTCTTTTCCCCCCTTCCACATTAATCCTCTTAAAGACTGTGCTAAGTAATGAAAAGGTGCGATGAAAGAGGCCCCCCTTTTTTATTACAACCATATAAACTGCTTGTGTAAATGTTTCATTAACAAACTGCTGGACTCATATTTAATTTCCTTGGCCTTCCTCCCCGTTCCTCCCGGTACGGTGCTCCTGGGTATGGCATGACTAAATGTGTGATTTACACGTTTCAGAGAAACATTCCCACACTTGAATGCTGTAGCATGACAAAGGAAAGGGAGGGGCTGAGAGAGAGGTGTTGAACCTATTGTAGACATTTTAATTTACAATTCTCTTTTTATGGGCTTTAAAAAGATGAATGACTTGCACTCACTTATCAGTTTATGTTTCATTTCTCAGTTCTTTCTAATAAGTACTGGTCTGCATGTAAGTGCCTTTGGCTCACTCATTTGAGGCTGACCCTTTTGAAGACATAGATATTCTAACATACTAAGAAGAAAAGGAAGATGAATTCCAATGTATATCCAGTGTGCAAAGAACTCTTCTGTGAACAACATAAAGGCCAAAATACATGGCTTACCTTTACTTTGAATATGTCAAATGATGCGGGATGTTTTGTGGAAATATACATCCTGTGTTTTTCCCCGAGGTCATCTAGTTACAATCTGATGTTTTGTTGCTTTAGCTAATCTGGTAAATCCTAACAATGCTTTCATTATCTATTTTAATGGTGGCATCTTAGTATAAAATTAACTTTCCTTTCAGACAAGCAAGATATGCCTGTGGCACCTACTGAATTCGTCAATATCCAGTCACAGGATGTATGAATGTAACTTGAAGATACAGAATCAGTCACTTACAAGAGTAGTTTAAGTTAAATCATGATACAGGAAAAACAGGTTATCACATCCAGACGAGTGCCACTGGGCCAAATTCTTAGAAAATGCATTTACCTTGTATTTGAAGAGATTCCAAACTTTGAAAAATTAATACATCAGTAAACCAAATAGAAATGTAGCCTCTTTATAATACAAGCGTCTTTCCCTGGGTGTCATTCATGTAATTTCAGTTTACTGTGAGCACTCCGGCTGCAGCTGGGGTCACTTGGTCTGGGGAAGAACCGTATCTGGGTCAGTGTATGTAGTTTTGTCTCTAGCGGCGACTATGGTCTCGTTTCAAAGTGAATACATTCATCTGGATCAACAATGCCCTGGGGAATAAACGCTTAAATGTATTCAACCTTAGGAAGAGCTGAAAACATCAATACCTTCATAAAGCCACTTTGATTTGTATTGACTATGGTTGTGCTGCTAATTCATATACATCATTGTTTACTTCACAGAGCTTTTAACATGACTTTTGATTTATAGAAAAAAGTGATTCAATTTCTACCAAGAAGTGGTGAGCTCAGACCTCCCCCAGATTCTTACTTTCTCTCTGATGTGACAAAATTGAAAGAGGAACTATCTTGTCACAGCATAAATAAATTGCTGTCAAACAGCTTATGTGCACTTTTCTTTTAACTTTCATGGTCACAGGTAATAGCAAAGTAGAACGTCCAGATTAAGGGGAATCAATTATCTAAGCATGTTATTAATGTGTTCACAGCAAAAACCATTGATTAACACTGGAGCAAAGACTGTGAGCTAGATGCACTTTCTACTTAGAAGATCTGTGTTAGGCAAAGAAGAAAATTCAACGTACACAGCCATATTCTGCCATTTGTTTAGTGACAAGCCCTAAAAGGTTTTGTTTACAGAAACCACTTGGGCAGACTGCAAAGCTCCACAAATAATGGAACCTGCCTTTAGTAAGAGTTTTAGTTTTGTTTATTTGTTTGATGCTATGTCAAATGGAGAGGAAAAATTCTTTTCTAGCAGCTTATTTATTTCTAAGCCATGAAAATAAATGGCTTTAAAACAAGCTAAATGGACTGAAGTGACTAGAACTGGATTTTGTGGTTTATTGATTAGTTCCCAAACTTATATGAGAATTGAAATATCTTGGATTTTCATGTGTTGAAGTCTTATCCAGAAGTGCAGTAGAGCAAAGATGTTCATTTTGTCAAGAAAAATGTTCGTTGCTCAAGAAGTTGCAGGAAAATAATATTTAAGCAGACACAGAATTGAGAATATAAGAAGACAAAATGAGAATATGATAGCTGGTGTCACTTCTTGGCTATGCATAGACCTGAAAGCACAACATATCTATGGCCCAAGAAAAATTCACAGTTCTGATGCAGACAAACTTAGAAAGCCTCGAGACAGCCCAGACTCGTCAGCATCTCACAGTTAATTAAAGAAGTGAGTGAAGGCATCAAGGCTTGCTCCCTTCTGCCTGAATAATTCACTGCCTGTATCCATTATTAAAACCCGTTACTTCACCACAATGATTCCCAGCTCGAGATGGATTGGTCTCAAAACCGGGAGATAAATTGTAACAAGGCCTACAGCTATATTAATAAATTGAAATGAACATTTATTTGCTCATCTAATTAGAACTGTAGTTTTTCCAAATAGTGTAGTAATGCATTACCTTGACAGGCAGCACTACCTACCTTGTGTGAGATAAAATGAACAGGAGGGCTTTGCCCCAGATTTGGGGTTTCTCTGCATAAAAAGTTCTTTGGTCGCTGCTGTTCCTTTTAAACCATTCATTCTGCCACTATGCTCTGCTGATTCTATCTCTCCAGGATTGATGGGAGCTTAGCTTTTGAGGTACTTCATCAGAGGGCTGCAAAGAAATGTGCATATAGAACATGCATTCTTCTTTTGTCCTGTCTCTTTTTAAAGTGTTGCAGAGGAAAAAAAAAAAAAAAGAATTTAAAGATTTTCTTCACCCCCTCCCCATCTCCATTTCCCTTCATCAGGATTACAAAGCCTTATAGCTCAGAGGTTCAAAGGACTTGTGCTTGGGGTCTGGGAGACATAGGTCTGATTCCTGACTCAGTCACTAACTTTATACAGCCTCAGTTGCTCCCTCTGCAAAATGAAAATAATAATTCCGTTTGTGCAGGGTCCATAGGAAGTTTAGAAAAGATATCTGTAAAGTAAGAAACTCAGAGTGGGTTTTTCATCAATGATAAGTGTCATTATTATTCAGCAATTCTTGCTCTTCTGTTTGCAAATTAGATCTTTAAAATCATTTTACCACATTAGCATGGAGGGTCTTTATAATAACACAACCAGCTCTCAATTTCTTAAGGACTCAAATGAATAATGTATTCTATGGACATAAAACTTTTTGATTATGAATTATTTCCACAGCAAAAGTGCTGTCTTCCCCACTGCTAGATTATAAAATCTCAGACAGTAGGTTTTCTGTCTTTTCCCTTCCTCCAGTAGACCTACAACATAGTAGATGCCAGTAACTGTTTTTCTACCAGAATGAGAAGTGTGGCTATTATGTAACCTCTCGTGAAATAAACACTTCTCTGTTGTGCCCTATGAGGCTCTAAAGCATACAGAGGCTAGGTAAGTTGGGCCTTCTTGATTTTATACAGCAGATTCAAATTCATGCTTCTTCAGATTCCAGCCACATGCTCTCATAAGAGGAATATACTTCCTTTCATAAAATTAGCAGAAATGGTATTTACCACTCACTCATTTCAAATTTGAACTCTGGTTTTTGGGTACTTCTCCTTTGATAAAATAAGAATTTTTTGAAAAAAAGTTTCTGGGTTGTCAAAATGAATATCAGGTCCCTTATATGCTCTTTACTTTACAGATAAAGGAATTACTGATGTTTTCTTCCTTGGCAGGTTCCGGCCAAGGCTGCACCATTATAAGGAATAGTATTAGATTTGGCTTAAGAGAAAAAGCACTTCTTGTTTTTCTCCATGTGTTCCAAAACTGATGAGTAGGACGCATTTCACTAAGCCCAAATTCTTTCTGCAAGTAAAATTTAGAAGAAAGGAAAATAATTTGTGAGATATTAAATGCATTACTAAGAGATAGCATGGTGCCCTTTTGCAATGGCTGTGCTTCCAGGACAACAGTATCAATTGAACAAATCAGTCTCAAGTCATAATGTTATCTAAGCACATATGCAAATACAGTGTTTTGTCCTACAGCAGACTCTTAGTCAATAACAAGCAAAAAGAAGCAGGATTCAAAGTAGTCCCTACTTCAGTAATTCCTTACGCTATTTACTCCCTGCACAATAACAGTATTTAAAGACAATATACATTGCAGCACAGTTGTTTTTATAGATTTTCATTAATTTTTTTCTATTGAAAACTAGAGCAAATCTAAGATTAAAAGTCTAGGCCAGGCACAGTGGTTCACGCCTGTAATCCCACCACTTCGGGAGTGGGAGGCAGGTGAATCACTTGACGTCAGGGGTCTGAGACCAGCCTGGCCAACATGGTGAAACCCCATCTCTACTAAAAATACAAAAATTAGCCGAGCATGGTGGCGGGCACCTGTAGTCCCAGCTATTCAGGAGGCTGAGGCGCGAGAATTGCTTGAACCTGGGAGGAGGAGGTTGCAGTGAGCCAAGATCACGCCACTGCACTCCAGCCTGAGGGACAGGGTGAGACTCCGTCTCAAAAAAAAAAAAAAAAAAAAGATTAAAAGTCTAAAGAGTACATAAGGTCATACAGTAAAAGGTAAGAAAAGTCCTTCATTTTTCATAACAGTACAACCAATCCCACTATCTGGTTGTACGCATTATTAATAGTTTCTTGTACAGATGCTCCTTGACTTATGATAAGCGTACATCCTGATAAACCCGCCGTAAACTGAAAATATCGTAAGTCAAAAACGCTTTTTTTTGAGACGCAGTCTCACTCTGTGGCCCAGGCCGGAGTGCAGCGGCATGATCTCTGCTCACTGCAACCTCCGCCTCCCGGGTTCAAGCGATTCTTCTGCCTCAGCCTCCTGAGAGCAGCTGGGATTACAGGCGCACACCACCACGCCCGGCTAATTTTTGTATTTTTTAGTAGAGACGGGGTTTTACCATATTGGCCAGGCTGGTGTCACTTCTGGCCTCAAGTGATTTATCCGCCTTGGCCTCCCAAAGTGCTGAGATTACAGGTATAAGCCACTGTGCCTGACCTAAAAATGTATTTAATGCATCATAACTGAGCCTAACCTACCTTAAATGTGCTTAGAACACTTACATTCGCTTATAATTGGGCAAAATCATCTAGCAATGGCTGTCAAACCATTGTAAGTTGGAGACTGTCACTTTACCTTTCCAGAATCTTCCATATATCATATACATACGATTGCATGCAACTATATCTATGATTTCTGTTTTATTTTACACAAAGGAACTTAAACTTAACATACTGTTTTATAATTTTTTAAAACTTAAAATTATATCTTGTAGATCTTTCCATATAGATGTTTTCTTTTCTTTTTAATTATGCTTTAAGTTCTGGGATACATGTGCAGAACGTGCTGGTTTATTACATAGGTATACATGTGTCATGATGGTTTGCTGCACCCATCAACCCGTCATCTACATTAGGTATTTCTCCTACCTAATGCTATCTCTCCTCTAGCCCCCCACCCGCAGACAGGCCCCCGTGTGTGATGTTCCCCTCCCTGTGTCCATGTGTTCTCATTGTTCAACTCCCACTTATGAGTGAGAACATGTGGTGTTTGGTTTTCTGTTCCTGTGTTAGTTTGCTGAGAATGATGGTTTCCAGCTTCAACCATGTCCCTGCAAAGGACATGAACTCATCCTTTCTTACAGCTGCATAGTATCCCATGGTGTATATGTGTCACATTTTCTTTATCCAGTCTATCACTGGTGGGCATTTGGGTTGGTTCCAAGTCTTTGCTATTGTGAACAATGCTGCAATAAACATATATGTGGATGCGTCTTTAGAGTAGAATGATTTATAATCCTTTGGGTATAAACCCAGTAATGGGATTACTGGGTCAAATGATATTTCTGGTTCTAGATCCTTGAGAAATTACCACACTGTCTTTTACAATGGTTGAACTAATTTACACTCCCACCAACAGTGTAAAAGAGTTCCTATTTCTCCACATCTCGCCAGCATCTGTTGTTTCCTGACTTTTTAACGATCACCATTCTAACTGGCATGTGATGGTATCTCATTGTGGTTTTGATTTGCATTTCTCTAACGACCAGTGATGATGAGATTTTTTTCCTATGTTTGTCGGCTGCATAAATGTCTTCTTTTGAGAAGCGTCTGTTCATATCCTTCATCCACTTTTTGATGGGGTTGTTTTTTGGTTGTAAATTTGTTTAAGTTCTTTGTAGATTCTGTATATTAGCCCTTTGTCAGATGGACAGATTGCAAAAAATTTTTCCCATTTTGCAGGTTGCCTGTTCACTCTGATGATAGTTTCTTTTCCTGTGCAGAAGCTCTTTAATTAGATCTGATTTGTCAATTTTGGCTTTTGTTGCCATTGCTTCTGGTGTTTTAGTCATGAAGTCTTTGTCCATGCCTATGTCCTGAATGGTATTGCCTATGTTTTCTTTGAGGATTTTTATGGTTTGGGGTCTTACGTTTAAATCTTTAATCCATCTTGGGTTAATTTTTGTATAAGGTGTAAGCAAGCAGTCCAGTTTCCGTTTTCTGCATATGGCTAGCCAGTTTTCCCAACACCATTTGTTAAATAGGGAATCCTTTCCCCATTGCTTGTTTTTGTCAGGATTGTCAAAGATGAGATGGTTATAGATGTGTGGCGTTATTTCTAAGGTCTCTGTTCTGTTCCATTGGTCTGTCTGTTTTGGTACCAGTACCATGCTATTTTGGTTACTGTAGCCTTGGAGTATAGCTTGAAGTCAGGTAGCGTGATGCCTCCAGCTTTGTTCTTTTTGCTTAGGATTGTCTTGGCTATACGGGCTCTATTTTGGTTCCATATGAAATTTAAGGTATTTTTTTTTAATTCTATGAAAAAAGTCAATGGTAGCATGATGGGAATAGGACTGAATCTATAAATTACTTTGGGCAATATGGCTATTTTCACAATATTGATTCTTCCTATCCATGAGCATGGAATGTTTTTCCATTTGTTTGTGTCCTCTCTTATTTCCTTGAGCAGTGGTTGGTAGTTCTTCTTGAAGAGGTCCTTCACATCCCTTATAAGTTGTATTCCTAGGTATTTTATTCTTTTTGTAGCAATTGTGAATGGAGTTCACTCGTGATTTGGCTCTCTGTTTGTCTGTTATTGGTATATAGGAATGCTTGTGATTTTTGCACATTGATTTCATATCCTGAGACTGCTGAAATTGCTTAACAGCTAAAGGGTATTTTGGGCTGAGATAATGGGGTTTTCTAAATATACAATCATGTCATCTGCAAACAGAGACAATTTGGCTACCCCTCTTCCTATCTGAATACCCTTTATTTCTTTTTCTTGCCTGATTGCCTTGGCCAGAACTTCCAACACTATGTTGAATAGGAGCGGTGAGAGAGGGCATCCCTGTCTTGTGCCAGTTTTCAAAGGGAATGCTTCCAGCTTTTGCCCATTCAGTATGATATTGGCTGTTTGTTTGCCATAAATAGCTCTTATTATTTTGAAATATGTTCCATCAATACCTAGTTTATTGAGAGTTTTTAGTATGAAGCGGTGTTGAATTTTATCAGAGGCCTTTTCTGCATCTATTGAGATAATCAGGTGGTTTTTGTCTTTGGTTCTGTTTATGTGATGGATTACGTTTATTGACTTGTGTATGTTGAACCAGTCTTGCATCCCAGAGATGAAGCTGACTTGATCATGATGGATAAGCTTTTTGATGTGCTGCTGGATTCGCTTTGCCAGTATTTTATTGAGGATTTTTGCATCGATGTTCATCAGGGATATTGGCCTGAAATTTTCTTGTTTTGTTGTGTCTCTGCCAGGTAACAGGATGATGCTGGCCTCATAAAATGAGTTAGGGAGGAGTCCCTCTTTTTCTATTGTTTGGAATAGTTTCAGAAGGAATGGCACTAGCTCCTCTTTTTACCTCTGGTAGAATTAGGCTGTGAATCTGTCTGGTCCTGGGCTTTTTCTGGTTGGTCGGCTATTAATTACTGCCTCAATTTCAGAAATTGTTACTGGTCTATTCAGGGATTCAGCTTCTTCCTGGTTTAGTCTTGGGAGGGGGTATGTGTTCAGGAATTTATCCATTTCTTCTAGATTTTCTAGTTTATTTGCATAGAGGTGTTTATAGTATTCTCTGATGGTAGTTTGTATTTCTGTGGGATCAGTGGTGATATCCCCTTTATCATTTTCTATTGTGTTTGATTCTTCTCTCTTTTCTTCTTTATTAGTCTGGCTTGTAGTCTATCTATTTTGTTAATCTTTTCAAAAAACCAGCTCCTGGATTCATTGAATACTTTTAAGGGCTTTTCATGTCTCTATCTCCTTCAGTCCTACTCTGCAGATTTGTTTTCTTTTGAGGGTTACATTGTATTTTTTGATAACTATACAATATTGTATTTAACCATTCCTCTTTTGATGGATATTTAAGTTGCTTGAAAGTTTTTGGAACTGTAAATAACGCCTCAGTGGACATACCTGTAGAAACATATTTGCTTACATAATGTTTCAATCAACTGATTTGTCCAATGTGTGGTTTCTAAAATGGATATTACCTATTTTCCTCAAAATGTAGGTTTTAGAAAGGTTTTTCCACTATTTAATAGGATGCTTCTACAAGTCAAGGAATATAATTAACATCCAGTCCAGTAATAGTAAATTATTCTTTAACAATTACCTATGAATTATATTTAAGAACAATTATGCTGTTTGACAAACCTAATTTTCACTCATTGAGTAGAGAATTATTAATCCATCTCATTCAAGACAAAATGCAATGTCTCAGAGTGCAAGGTCTCAGCTCAGTTTGTGCTCAAGGAAGAGCAATTTTAGATGCTAATTAGAACTAAACCTTGAGACATTTCCAGTCTTCAATTTCTTCGAAAGATGTTTTAGGTGTTGCTGTTTTTCTTCATTGGAATTGCCAAAGAACATTCCAACACCATCACTTTTTTCCCCAAATGGAAACACAAAATACAAATATCATGTATTGTGATCTTATTAAAGTTTCATTATAATTTTGAATATAAAGCCAAAGGGAACAAGAACAGTACATAGAGCTTTTTAAGCCCATTTGTTTGTTTCTTTTAGAACAGAAAAAGAAAGCATGGTATGGTCCTAAACTTATAATGGTTTTGATACAGAAGGGAAGTGCTGGGAAGGGAAGGGCATGGTCCCTTTAAATGATACAGAATGGGGGAAGGGAAGTGCTGGGTAGAGGAGGGCATGGTCCCTGGCTAGGGCTCCACTGCCAGGCCTGTACCCGCGGATCAAGGTGAGGACAGGCATTTTTGTTTTCCTGCCCAAATGTTGCATTTCCCTGGAAATGCCTGTAAAAACCCCCAAGACCCTAGCAGGCAGACACACAGGCGGTTGGACGTCAAGAGGAGCACATCAGTGGAGGAACATGCGGGCGGCTGGATGACTAGAGGAACGCACCGACAGGCACTGGCATGTTGGCAGGCCACCGACTGGCAGAATGACACACAGTTTGGCCGGGACAGTTGGAGAGCCCAGGCTGCTGAGCGGCCTGACTCCAGGGTAAAACCATCTCCCTCTGGCTCCCTCATCTGCTGAGAGCTACACTTCCACTCAATCAAACCTTGCACTCATTCTCCAAGCCCACATGATCTGATTCTTGCGGTATACCAAGGCAAGAACCCTGGGATACAGAATGCCCTCTGTCTTCCGATAAGGCAGGGTCCAATTGAGCTAACAGCCGCCTACGGACAGCTAAACTAAAAGAGCACCATATAACACACGCCCACTGGGGCTTGAGCTGTAAAAAACCAGCCCTAGACGCTGCCGTGGGGTTGGAGCCCCACAGCCTGCCCGTCTGTATGCTTCCCTAGAGGTTTGAGCAGTGGGGCACTGAGGAAGTGAGCCACTCCCCCATCGCCCGCTGTGTGAGGGGGACAAGGGAACTTTTCCCATTTCAGTTTCCATTTGGGGTAGAAGAACTGTTGGCATTTCAACACCAAAGGAGCCAATTTCAGTTCTTCTTATCTTCCACAGAAATAGAATTCGTGATTTTTTAGCTGAGAATATAGGAGCCCCGATAAAAAACTTTACAGTAAGGGATGGTCCTATTACTAAATTATGTCTAAAGAGGTGTCTGCAGAAATAATGTGTGCAACTTTGAGATTATGGCTATAGAGGGAAAGATGTGTCCTTTCTTTCCCTCTTTCCCTTCCTATGGTTTAGAGCCATCTGGGATCTTTAAGATAAGGACAATACTTTGGAGACTGAGAAGCAGTAAGATAGAAAGCCAACATGAAGCCATATACCAGGCCTGACCTGCTTATACCTAGACTATTACTAAGAGAGAACTAAGCTTCTATTTTCCTGTACATGGTATTTTGGGTTTCTTTTCCAATGGTCAAACATATATACCAGCAAATAAAAGGCTCCAACTTTCGGAATTCTCGAACAACTTAGATTGCAGGACTTGAGCAAAAGTACCTATCTCAGTAGTATGTTTTATTCCATATCTGTTTTTATACTGTGTGTCTCTTGAATAAGGTACTCTGTCTGAGGGCTTTATTAAAAGAAACAAGAAAGTCCAGCAAATGCCAGCATTCTGTGTGTGCGTCAGTGCACTGTTTTCCTAGAGTCTACAAAAATGTTTGGCCCCATTTAATATGATCACATTCTTTTACCTGCCTGCCTGCAATAACTGCCTTCACTATTCCACCTCTTCCATTGTGGAAATGAGACATTTTATATTCCATTACTTGAAGAACCTCTTCCCACAGTTCTCATCAGCTGTGATACCATATTCTATTTCGGTTAGAAATTACATTTGTCTGTGCAAAACACAAAACTGAAAATTAGTGGCTTGCACAGTGTGTGTGTGTGTGTGTGTGTGTGTGTGTGTGTGTGTGTGTGTGTTGGAATAGGGGGTGGGCGGCTTACATAAAGACAGCCCCAGAGGACCATCACTGCTAACTTGCTAATTATCTTCACCTTTCTCTCATGATCCATTGCCAATTGGTTCCAGCGACTACAGGAGAACACACAAGAGCAAAATGTGCACCTATAGCTTCTTCTGTCCTATTTCTACTAGCTCTAAGTAACCTACTCTTATATACTATTGGCCAGATGTGTGTTATGTGCCCATCTCTAACTACAAAGAAGTCTGAGACTGTGGCTTTTTAATCTGGGCATAGGGCCACTTCCACCAAATCAGGATTTTGGCTGTCAAGAGAGTGTAACAGAAGATTGTTTTATTTCACCTAGGTCATGATCCATTCTAAAATTCAGACATTTTGAGGATTTATTCTTATGGAAGATTTTGTATTGGCCCCATCCAAAAAATACATTCCCTTTATATTTTGCCACATACATACAGAGCAATTAAAGACCAACTAAATGAAATGCTTTTATCAGTAGAATCTCTCATTTGGCATCTTCACTGACACGCTAAAACGACATACATTATTCAGATAGTATAACTTGTTTGTGATCACGTTTCAGAAACAATGTCACGTATGAAAGAGCCACAGATGCCTAACATTCCCTTGTCTGGAAGGCTTCTTTTTGGTCTGAAAGCAGAGGCTCTCATGTGCTCAAAGAAACATTGTAAAAGAAAAAACACAAACCATTTTTCCTTACTCTAACCTCACACTTGTTAACAAAGGATCATGAGATCTTTGGAGGAAAAGGGTAAGCTGTACCTTCTATAACAATAATCTGCAGATTGGGGAGGCACAGCCTTCAGTACAAGTGAGAGTGTGCTCTCCAAAGATCAAAGGGAAGGTCCGGCTTCAACAGGGAACGTTCTCACCCTGGTTCTCAATCAGGTCTATTTTATGCAAATGAAGGATTCAAACTTGTTCAGTTCTGACTGGTCAAAATATTCAAGCCCTGATGGTGTGGTTTCCAAGCCCCAAAGAAGTCTCTGTCAGATATTTCTAGCTATGGGAGGTTGGGGTGGAGAGGGTTCCAGCCACAGTTTATCTTGGCATGGAATACAGGACAACAGTAACTGGTTTGTTTTGATTGTAGAAAAGGAGGTCCTATGACACTTTCACAACATCTTTCTAAGAACACAGAGTATGTGACCCTCACCCAGCAATGGCCCCTTGATTCTGTTTTAATTTTGAGCACCTCAGTTAGCTATAGGGAGTCCATTTTGTCTGTCAGCTGCGGGTACACTTTAACACATTCAACACAGAACTCTTCTGTGACTGGATATGTGAGGATTTTTCCCCACACCAAGCAGTTCTCCACTGGACACCAACTGGAAGTTCTATTAATTCAAGTCAATTCTGACACTATCTAACTGGAGACAATGTCACATCCCACAGGTTAAAGGATCAGTCCCACAAGACTGCCCCCAACTTCAGATGCCAATCAGCAGTCCAGGCCACTCATAGTTCTGACCAACTGGCTATAGCCACAACCCCTTGCTTGGGTTCAATGAATTTGCTAGGATGGCTCACAGAACTCAGGGAAACACTTATATTTGCTGGTTTATTATAAAGGCTATTATAATGGATACAGATGAAATGACAGATGAAGAGATCCATAGGGCGAGGTACGGGGGAAGCGGCATGGAGCTTCCATGAACACCTCCACGTGTTTAGCAACCTGGAAGTTCATCAAATCGTGTTGTTCAAGAGTTTTTATAGAACTTGACCTCAAGCCCTCTCCTTCCCAGAGATACATAATACATGAGTGGGGCTGAGAGTTCCAAACCCCTAATTATCTAATCACCTGGTCTTTCTGGTATCTGGCCCCATCCTGAGGCCATCTAGGGGCCCTACCCTAAGTAATCATTAGCATAAACTCAGGAAGTATCAAAGGGGCTTATTATGAACAACGAAAGATACTCCTATCAGGAAATGCCAGGGGGATTAGGAGCTCTAGGCAGAAACCAGGGACACAGACCAAATGTATTTCATATTATACCATGTATGTCAAACTGCTTTCTGGAAGAAAAATAAAGAAGGGAATGGAAGGGGAAAGGGAAGAGAAGGAAAGGAAGGGGAGGGGAGTGGAAAGAGAACAGTAGACTAAGTGATATGAGTTAGGTTAGGTGAGGTTATCACAGTCTTTATTCTTACAACCCTAGGAGCTGCAGTGAAGAATTTCAATAAAACATGTAGTATTTCCAGCACATTGTTAGTGATGTTCTATGGTCACTATCATTTTTCTCTTTGTGGGAAATTCAATTTGTCCCTATTAAGCCAAGGTCACAGATTGAAGAATCTTAGTGGCCATCCAGGCTCTGCCTTTGAAGCAAAGGGTCAGTGCATTAGTACAAAAGGGAATTAATCCAGTACACTGGCTCACCACACAGTGTTTAATTCATTTAAAAGAAATGACCTATTCTAGGTTTCCATCTGAACAATCAGAAGCCTCCCTTCTCCCAAACAAGAACGTCATTAATGAATATTCAACGGAAAGTATTACTTCATTGTCAGCTCTAATTGCTAGTTTTACCTTATTAGTAGAAGCTTTTCTGTGGCTGAGCCTGACATACATTTGTTTGCACACTGTTATTAGTCAAGACTCAGTGAAGTCTTGTAATTAACACCTCCACATTATCTCATGCAGTGAAAGCAAAGACAAAACCAGATGACTCACTTTGTTTCAGCTTTGCTCTTGTTTTCTGATACAGAAGCACTTAAGGAGAAGTGTAAGCTCATCAGAATGCCATATGGAGCCAACAGAAACCATAAAAGGGTTTTCAGGAAGCAGTGCATGGAAGTTCATTAAGTGAACAACACTATAATCAACATCCTGATTTGAAACTCTTACCGGCTACTAGTAAATTGTGCAGGTACATTACCTGCATCACACTCAGCGCCATCCAGGTCGCTGATGAAGGATCCATGTCCCCAAGAAGCAGGGGAGATAACATATTCTCCGTAAACATAATGAAGTTAATGATTCACATGACAGTTAAATAGCTTTCAGAAATCTTATCAGTTTAGAGATAAAGCAGACCAAGGCAATAAGTGTGTTTTAATCATTCCTACTATTGAAAACACTGTGACTAAAAGCTGGCTTCCAGCAGCCTATAAATGATATTTCCGTAGAAAATGGGGGAGGAGGAGTGGAGGAAATGTCAACAGTTCATATTTTAGTTTTATATTTGGGAAGAGCTCTTTCTCCAAATGTCTCTGTTAAAAATAATTTCTAGCAAAAGAGATTTGAGAAAGCAAGATATCACATTTTTTCCTTTTATAAACTTAGCCTAATTGTCTTATTTTTATTTTTAAATGCAAAAATAAAACACCAAACCTTAAAAGAAATACCATTATCTGAAATTTTAACAATTAAATATACAAAATCTGTCACAGTTTAAAAGAAATAATTGCTTACTTCCTGCTTGCAAGTGTTTCTTTCCTAAAATAATATACACAAGGAGAGAATCAGCTACAATAGGAAAGAGGAATAATATATATGTAATGGTATAATGACCTTCCAATTAGCAAGAACAGTATTCCCAAAGCAATGAAGAATCTGGGCATTAAATTAAAATCATTATTATACAGAATTTGCACGGCTTGAATGGTCAGATTGCAAATCTTATTTACAAGTGGAAACAGGCCAAAAATGTTATGGACCTCTATATACACGAAATTTCCAGTATTACAAAAGTAATCCATCAGAAAGTAACAATCAGGCCGGGAGCGGTGGCTCGCGCCTGTAATCCCAGCACTTTAGGAGGCCGAGATGGGCGGATCGTGAGGTCAGGATATCGAGACCATCCTGGCTAACACAGTGAAACCCCATCTCTACTAAAAATACAAAAAAAAATTAGCCAGGCGTGGTGGCGGGCGCCTGTAGTCCCAGCTACTCAGGAGGCTGAAGCAGGAGAATGGCGTGAACCCGGGAGGCAGAGCTTGCAGTGAGCCGAGATCACGCTACTGCACTCCAACCTGGGCGACAGAGCGAGACTCCGTCTCAAAAAAAAAAGAGTAAGTAACAATCAAAAAGAATGCCTACAAGTTGCCCGACTCTTCTGGAAACATCCTGGTGGGCTTGTAACTAACTGATCATGTCATAAGGAAATCACCCTTTCTTACAGGCATTTTACTTTGTCACCTTTATCATCCAAGTCACAACTCTGTGCAATATTGGTCTATCGTTCTGTGCCAGCACACAAGCTGGTTTATTTTTTTATTTATTTATTTTCATTTATTTTCACGACAGGGTCTCCCTCTGTTGCCCAGGCTGGAGTGCAGCGGCGTGTTCACACCTCACTGTAGCCTCCCACGCTCAAGAGATTCTCCCACCTCAGCCTTCCTAGTACCTGGGACTACAGGTGCCCGCCGCCAAGCCTGGCTAATTTTTGTATTTTTTAATACAGACGGGTTTCACCGTGTTGCTCAGGCTGGTCTCGAACTCCTGAGCTCAGGGATCTGCCCGCCTAGGCCTCCCCAAGTGCTGGGATTACAGACATGAGCCACTGAGCCTGGCCAACAGGCCAGTTTAAATGACTGAGTCACAAATGTTACTACACAGTTGCAATTTGGGAAAATTATTAAATTGGGCAACTTCATGGTAGAGATCCCAGGTATTCTATCCCAACCCCAGCAGTAACTTTCCGTAAAAACCAGCACAGGTTTCAGCAGACAGAACTTTGGCCAGCTCTGTATTTTGCCTCTGCCTAAAAATACTACCATTAAAGCATTTTCACATTTGTGCCACTGTGCATGTTTTGGCTTCAGGTGCCTACTTTGCCCTGTTGGTCCAGTGCTAGCCCTGAGGCTTAGGTTTCTGGCAAATCTATTGCACCAGAAGAGAACAGTCTGAAAATAGAAACATGGACTGTTTTGTCGCCATTGAATGGAAAGGCTAATAATAGCATTGCTTCATTGTTTGGCACTGACTCAAGGCTACCACAGCCAAGGAGCAGCGCGCCCTGCTGCAGTAACCAAATCATAAAGTTTCTCCAGGGAATGGTGCAGCTTTTCAGAACATGTTTTATATTCTGGGATTGCTCAGGAAGGAACTAGTTCAGAAGCCGTTTTGACATAAGTGTGGTTTGTTTCCAATTTAAAGGGAGGGGGAGGGGCTGGAGAGCCAAGCCAGGAGGTCAGTTGCAGAAGGGATGCAAAAATGTCGTTAAGGAGTTCCTGACAGGTGGTGATAGGGCTGTGGCAGTGCAGCCCGAGGCCTGGCAGGGAGTTTGTCCCTGTCAGGTTCTCAGTGTGCTCTCAGGGCTGCCTTCACACTCCTATTATGTTTATTTCTGTTGAACTTAAAGAGTGACCTTTTCAAAACTGCAGTGCATTGTTGACCCACATGCATTTTTGAGACCTAATTTTCCTGAATGCCTTCCTTGTTCCTGCATAAGAGAACTTTGTTAGAGAAAATGGGAAGAGGCTGAGGATAAAGAACACTGGAATGGAAATCTTTCAGGCATTGAATTCTGCCTGCTATTAATAATTTAGAAGTGTTTTTAATGCCCTGATATGGAAGGAAGGTTTTTTGACACCAAAGGCATCTAAATATTAATTTCAGAGGAATTGGTTGTTACAAGCAGTTAACATCCATTTTGTTAGTTGACCTCCCAAGGAAGGTTAATGCACTAAAATCTGGTCATTAAGTATAGTAACAAATGTTTTTTCAGGGAGGTTATTACTATCATAAACTCTAATCCATGGTTCACAGGCAGCAGCCTCTAGTGCAGTGCTCTGACTAATGAAGAATTAACTATTTCTGAGCAGTTAATAAAGATTTTTTTCCTCACCAATCAACATACTCTACATGATCCTTATAATTACTAAAAGCATTAAGCCCCTGGTATGAGTGCCCACATGTCAGACGGGAATTCTACTCTGAGTAAATGACAAATGGCAAACCTAATCCCATTTCACTTAATTTTTTCTAACATGTTCACTGAAATAAGAAATAATGGAATTCCTAAGTATTAGAAAAAGATGGTTCAGTCCAAAGCATTTGTTAAATGAGTATTGATGAGGTCTTTAGTCATATTTTATTGTGATGGAAGATTTTATACTCCAGTTCAGTTCTTGTTAGAATCAAGAAGTTAATTGGCTCCAAACAGGGGTTTTTACTTGCTTGTTTTGTTTTTCCTTTATTAAGAAGTGCACTCATCCACAACAACACAGGAGAGAAAGACTTGTGTGAGGAACACTAATATCTGCCTCATAACAATAAGAGGGAAAAGGTACAACCTAACCTTTCTAAAAAGCCTTGGGGCAGTGTTTTGCTTTTCAATGGAAAGGTCGTCCAGAATTAATTAAAGTCACTTTCCTGCTGAGGAGCAAGCATTTGACTTTACTTTGAAGGCTCAAAGAAAGTTGCTCATACTGATTTCTTAGAGACCCACATTTAAGACAGCATAGCCAAAGCAATTGGTCAGCCTTTAAAAAGTAACCTCCTTTTGGAGTCAAAAGTCTGAACAATTAATACACTGAAGACTTAGGTGCCTCTGAAGACACAGGCCAGAATTGGCAAGGCAAAACAAAAAGGGTAAGAACAGCTTACTTTTCCCTAAGAACTATTACCTCTCATTCAGGGAGGATCAGTCCTCACATTTACGTACACCATTTTCCTTCTTATTTTTAACTTAAGCTAAATCCTGTCGTTGGGACAGCTGCTCCCATTAAACAGAGAGGAGGAGGATAAAACCATACTTAGCAAAAATAAAAAGGATGTCATCTTATCGAAAAGAAAATGTATTTTGTAAAGGTTTGCATTACATAGGGAAAAAAAGGGGGTCAAATACACAGACAGTAACTCACCTTCTCAAAATATTCCTCTGCTGGAAGATTCTACACACTGTGCCTACCTAAATAAATAACCAGTAGGGTTGGCCACCTGCAGTGGCTCACGCCTGTAATCCCAGCACTTTGAGAGGCTAAGGCAGGCGGATCACTTGAGGTCACGAGTTCGAGACCAGCCTGGTCAACATGGCAAAACTCCGTCTCTACTAAAAACACAAAAATTAGCCAGGCGTGGTGGTTGCATGCCTATAATCCGAGCTACTCATGAGGCTGAGGCAGGAGAATTGCTTGAACCAGGGCGGCAAGGGGGAGGTTGCAGTGAGCTGAGATTGTGCCACTTTACTCCAGCCTGGGTGACAGAGCGAGAGTCCGTCTCAAATAAAATAAAATAAAAAACGAGCATGGTGGGGTGATCTATGCACATTATGATTTGTCTGAGAATCATTTGTTTGGCGCTTTGCTTGCTTGAAGATGACTCCATTAGTTTCCCACTTACGAGTGAAGGTTAGTGACTTAGTCTTCCTGAGCTTCAGTTTCCTCATCTATAAAATGATATTATAACATCTATTTTGTTGAATAGTTGTAAAAATTAGTGACAGCATAAACCTGGTATACCAAAAGGCTACAGACAAACTAGTATAAATTTGTTATTCACTATGTCCATTGCTTTGTGTATTTACCACATTTTATAAAAGCGACTAGAATCCTAGAATGCCCCACAAAAACCTTCTGGGCCTAAAATTGCAATCAAGTGGGTCATAATACATTAGCCTGACTTCTGAATACTAGAAGTTTGACAGAGCCCAGCTCATCCATCATGGACCCATCACTGGACACAAAACCTTCCCTGGTTGCCTCAGCCAGAAATAAACCTTCCAAACGTGGTGTTCTAATTTGCCTTGTACTTTTCCCATACAATTCTTCACACCCCGTCTTCGCTTAGAATTATTTGTAGACAGATCTTGGATCTGTATTCCCAGCACTTAGCACAGTGCCTCAAGCACCAGAACTAAAAAGGGGTTTGTGAATTTCACTGTCTTGTGGCAACTTTACAGCCTAACCCCACGTGGATGACTAAATGAATCAAAAAGTGAATGTATTTAGAGATTATCTGCTCTTTCTTTATTCTTCTGTGGTGAACCCTCTCTCCCACTTTTTTCTCCACTGGCTTCTAAACTGTGTCTCTTGAAGTTTGTCCGCCACCTCCCGCCCACATCATTTCCCCACAGTTGATCAGTTGACAGTAAAAAGACAGCAAGGAGGCTGATGTCTGGATGGCTGGATCATTTCTAAGCTGGGTATTTGCAGATCAGGGGTTTCCTGCACTTTGACAAGGATTTTTAAGCGAGTATGGTAAACAGAAAGTTGTAGATTGAGACTCTATAAAGGTGAATCAAAGTGTCTTTTGAAATCACTGGTTTCCCCATATCCCTATTGCCATATCCCTCATTATTCAGAGAAATTACAGAAAAGAGAGGTTAGCCTTCCAGGGTTACTAGTGATTTGCTGTGTTGACCTTTGACATGCTCTTTAATCTCTTAGGACTTTAGTATTTTCATCAATAATAATAACAACCTGTTCTAATTACATCACAGCCTTGCTAGGCAAATCATATGAGAGTAGTATATAAAAGATATACTACTATATTACTAGAACTAGATATTAAAAAAGGACTAGGTTAGCTTGTGTAAATAGCTTTTTAAATAATGAATGCTATGTGAATCAATATATTAATAATGAGAAAAATTAGATTTGCTTGAAAACAAAATGCTATTAAAAACAGGAAGAAGCCATGGGAAAAAAGTTTAATTTGTCATTATAACAGGTAAAGAATATTGCTATAGTCACCTTCATAATGCTCTGAGCTTCCTACCCTTACAGTGAACATTCAATACATTTGGAATAAAGAACACGTTTGAGATACACTATCAAATCAAAATGGTTTTCCTGGTTTGATCAGTGGTGGAAATCGAGGCTATTAATTTAATATCCACTCCTTCTCACCATGCACACTGGGTCATTATTTAACTGTGAGCAAATGGTCTAGGTGACTCTTAGCAAATCCTGAAAATATGTAATTTCCATTCCCACTACCAATTCCGATCAAGGCCATTCTGAAGTGCAGCAAATGAGTTTAAGTACAGGGTTGACACTGCACCGAGTACTGGCACTTTCTTGCTCCAGAGGAAGACAAATGTAAATGCTTGAAAAAACACAGTTGAGAGAATAATTGAAAATGCGTTCAATGTCTTCATCCTCTGAGAATATGTGTGTGCATGTGTGTATTTGTAGTTGCTCTTTCATAAAATGTGTATGTGTCTGTTTTGATTCTGAAGCTTCCCTCTGGTGTGGGTAGGTTTCACAGAGGGGTTCTGGCTTGTAAAGGTTAACCATGCAGAAATCAAGGCTTTGTGCATTTTTGCAAAGGTCACACTCATCAGCAGTTCCGGAAAGACTGCTGGGCAGGGCCATGGTAACCACCCCATGAGTGAACCATGGCTCTGGGTTTCATTTCCTTTAAGAACACCGCTACAGCCCCTGGTTGTGTCACCAAGAGATAAAGAGGCTGCTCAGTCACTTGAAATTCAATTTGTACATTACTCCAACCTAGCCCACCTCTTTCCTTCATGGTGTTTGGCAGCTGCTTGCTGGCACTCTGCATTTCAAATGCCTGAGCTGCAGGAAGCTGTTTAATAAGTGGGATAGGTTTTGATTAATGTAACAAGCTAAAAATAGACCATGATGTAATGCATATCTCAGCAGGAATCACAGAGCAAATTGGACGGTTTCAAAGGACCATGCTGCAGCAGAGAGTTTCTCTAAAGAAATATATTTATGTTTTTATAGCACCTTGAAGGGTCAAATTGTAGAATGAGTACATTTTGGACATGGAAGCTTGTCCTGTGGGTCTTTGAATAGCAATTATAGGTGACCACACAAGAAGCTCCAGAGAAAACTGGATATTTGACACTGACTCAGGTACACTAAGGGTCATCTATACTTCACCAAACACCCTGGTATTATTATTTTTAAAAACAGCAAAAGCGAATAGAAATGGTAGCAGTAAAATTCTGGCAGTATCTGTAAACTCAGTTATTTAAGTATTGCATTTAGTTTCGTCTAATGATCTAAAAGCCTCATGTAGTCCTATGTTTAAAGGCATTGATTTAAATTTCTCATTTCTTAGTGGATAAAATAATTAGAATTCATGTTGCTTGGTTTAAGAAAGACCAATGAAAAGAAAAGCAATAGACTTGTACGGCAAGATTCCCTTATATTTACTGAGAAATGGCACAATATGTAAATGAAATGTGGGATCACTTTTCTTAAGGGAGCAATAATTAAAGATTAAAAACAAAGTCTGGAATGTACTAAAAAGAAATGAAGGAAATAAATTCATTGTTTGTAATTGTTGTTTACTAAATCTATACATTGTAAGTTGCTAAAAATCACTTTGGATATTTAGTCAAAGTATGTGTGTCTGTGTATGTGTGTTGATGTGGTGTGGTGGGGGTAAGGGATGGGGGAAAATCTTCCCTTGCTATAAATGCAAATGAGTGTGTGGAAAAAATTATGTTTTTGTATTTTTCTCTACAAGTAATTTCACCTTCCCACTATGAGAATCTGTGTACTTTATAAATGGTCCCACACTCTGGTTACTGTAAAGATGTTGACTTGTTACCTTGCCAGTGAGGGAGAGCCAAAATTAACATTCTTAGGCTGTATGAGTAATATTTTTCCTAGAGAACTTGCCTATCTACTCAAAGTACTCATCTCATGGGATAGTCAATTAATACAACCAAGGTATAGATTCCATGAAAGTAAGTTAATGCCAAAAAGAGCAAAATTTGCCCAGCCAATGACCACAGTCCTAACCAAGCCATTCATTTTAAGAGTATCAACAATCAAATAAAATCCATCATCATTATTCCACGACAAACAACACAAATTGATTAAACTGTACTGTAGTGGGTTGAAAGGTGCCCTCCAAAAGTTATGTCCCTGGAGGGGATGGGGAAATGGGAAGCAGCTTTTCAGTGGGCATAAAGTTTCAGTTGTACAAAATGAATGAATTCTAGAGATCTGTTGCACATTATGCCCATAGTTAACAATATATTGTGCACTTAAAACTCTGTTAAGAGTGAAGTATTCTTACCACAATAAAAAATACATTTAAACGAATGTAAAGTTATGTGTCCTGGAACCTGTGAATGTGGCATTATTTGAAAAAAAGGGGTTTTGCAAATGTTAAATTAAGGACAAATGTTATTTGATTTAGGAATCACCATAATCCAGGATCCTAAATCAAATGATGTGTGCCCTTCAAAAAGAAGAGAAGAGAAGACACACACTCAAAGGAAATGTTGAGGTGAAGACTAGGGCGGAGGTTGGTATGATGTGCCGGTGGGCCAAGGGATGCCAGAGATGGCCCCAGCCACCAGAAACGAGGAGCATGGTGAGAGGCATGGGATGGATTCTCCTTCAAGGCCGCCAGAAGGAATGAACTCTATCAACTATTTAATTTTATTCTTCTAGCCTCCATAACTGTGAGGATAAATTTCTGTTGTTTTAAGTTGCCCAGTTGGTGCTAATTTGTTACAGTGGCCCTGGAAAACAAATACACACAACTGAGAGTATTATCTTTGTGTGCACAGAAGAGGAAAAAAACTACGTGAAAATGTGGATTGGTAATATGTTGCATGAGGGATATCTGCAAGTATCAACTTCTAAAAATATGTATTGTTTATTTTTGCACTATTTAATATATTTGAGACATCTTTTATTTATCTATTTTTGAGACAGTCTTGCTATGTCACCCAGGCTGGAGTGTGGTGGTGCAATCATGGTTTACTGCAACCTCTGCCTCCTGGGATCAAGCTATTCTCCTACCTCAGCCTCCAGAGTAGCTGGGAGTACAGACACGTGCCACCATGCCCCGCTAGTTTTTGTAATTTTGTAGATAAAAAGTTTCTCTACATTGTCCAGGATGGTCCCAAACTCCTGGGCTCAAGCGATCTGCCTGCTTTGGCCTTTCAAAATGCTGGGATTACAGATGTAAGCCACCATGCCAGGGCTGTTTGAGACATCTTACTATCAAAACAGAGATACATTAAGAACAAGGATGATTAACATAGAAGAATAAGACAAAAAGACAAAATAATAATAAAAAGGGATAGGGAGAAGTGAAAATTTACCTGAAAACTTCAGCTTGGGACAAACTAGAGAAGATGAGAAGAAAATTGTAGCAAGGAAAAAATAGGAAGCTGGGGTTACAATGATCTTAGTATCTAATAAAAGGAATATGGATTTCTTAGATAAATTTAGTAAAATTTACTTAAAAAGCAATAATTTAAATCAATAAGTGGTTTTATATAAAATTGAATTGATTTCACATATATAAAATCATTTGATTTGTATTGCCTATATATAAAAAATATATATTTTATATATAAATATATAAAAATTATATATTTATATATAAATATATAAAAATATATTATCTATAGAAATATATAAAATTTTATATATATAATATATATAAATATATATAAAATTTATATATGTAAATATATATAAAATATAATTATATAAATATATAAAATATAATTATATATAATATAATATATAATTATATATAATACATACATAAATATATAAAAATATAATTATATATAATATATAATATATATATAATTATTTAAACTATTTAATTTTATTTATTTAAAGTTATGTGTCCTGGAACCTGTGAATGTGGCATTATTTGAAAAAAAGGGGTTTTGCAAATGTTAAATTAAGGACAAGTGTTATTTGATTTAGGAATATAAATATATACATAAATATATATAATATATATATTACATATATATAAATATATATTATATATATTACATATATATAATATATATAATATATATAATATATTACATATATATAAATATATATAATATATATTACATATATATAATATATATAATATATATATTACATATATATAAATATATATAATATATATATTACATATATATAAATATATATAATATATATATTACATATATATAAATATATATAATATATATATTACATATATATAAATATATATAATATATATAATATATTACATATATATAAATATATATAATATATTACATATATATAAATATATATAATATATAATATATTACATATATATAAATATATATAATATATATAATATATTACATATATATAAATATATATAATATATATAATATATTACATATATATAAATATATATAATATATATAATATATTACATATATATAAATATATATAATATATATAATATATTACATATATATAAATATATATAATATATATAATATATTACATATATATAAATATATATAATATATATAATATATTACATATATATAAATATATATAATATATATAATATATTACATATATATAAATATATATAATATATATAATATATTACATATATATAAATATATATAATATATTACATATATAAATATATATAATATATTACATATATATAAATATATATAATATATTACATATATAAATATATATAATATATATAATATATTACATAATTATATAAATATATATATAATATATTTTAAAATATATAAAATATAAGATTTTATATATAAAAAATATAAGATTTTATATATAAAATATATAATATATAAATACATAAAACATATATATAACATACATATACACACACACATACAAAAACACACACATATAGTTAGAAGTGAAATACTGTCTGTTTTGGTACCACACACACACATATTTCTCTGATGGGAATAAGGTCATATGCAATTATAAAAAAGAAAGTGATGCTAATATAACATCATGGAAGTCCTGTTAGTTCTTACGTGATTTTTCCAAGCACATTAGACACAATGTTTTGTGTCACTAAGGAACAGGAGTTGAGTGCAACAAACCACTAAAGAATAGTTCTCTACATCAGCGGTCTCCAGCCTTTTTGGCACTGGGGAAGACCATTTTTCCACGGACCAGAGGCAAGGGTGGAAATGGGGATGGTTTCAGGATGATTCAAGCACATTACATATTATGCATTTTATTTCTATTATTATTACATTATAATATACAATGAAATAATTATATAACTCACCATAGTGTAGAATCAGTGGGAACCCTGAGCTTGTTTTCCTGCAACTAGATGGTCCCATCTGGGGGTGATGGGAGACAGTGACAGATCATCAGGCATTAGATTCTCTTAAGGAGTACACAACCACAACCCAGATCCCTTGCATGCACAGTTCACAATAGGGTTCACGCTTCTATGAGAATCTAATACCACCACCGACCTGACAGGAGGCATAGCTAGGTGGTAATGCTAACTCACCCGCCGCTCACCTGCTGCTCTGTAGCCAGTTCCTAACAGGCTATGGACCAGTACTATTCCATGGCCTGGGGGCTGGGGACACCTACTCTACATGATGCTAATTCACTGCATGTTCTTCCTCTTGGCTCAATTTAGTCAAGAATTTCACAGAGGGGCATATGGCCTGGTTCGGGCCATATGTGCATTTTGTCCTTATCTCTAACTGAGCAGCCTCAACCTGTTTTACCTTATATCCTCTTCCATCAAGCATCCCTCAGCTTTTTTTTTCTTTTTTCTGAGAAGCAGTCTCGCTCTGTCACCCAGGCTGGAGTGCAGTGGTGCAATCTCAGCTTACTGCAACCTCTACCTCCCAGGTCCAAGCGATTCTCCTGCCTCAGTCTCCCAAGTAGCTGGGACTACAGGCGCGTGCCACCACGCCCAGCTAATTTTTTGTATTTTTAGTAGAGTTGGAGTTTCACCATGTTAGCCAGGATGGTCTTGATCTCCTGACCTCGTGATCTGCCTGACTCGGCCTCCCAAAGTGCTGGGATTACACGTGTGAGCCACTGCGCCCGGCCCCTTCACCTTTTCTATAAAAGGAGAAAATCTTATATTTACTAAGGTATTTATTTTTCAAGAATTTAGAATGTCTTTTTAACTGCACTGGTGTTTTTATTATGATTATTACTGTGTTCTTGGTATTCTTGTTACAAAGTTGCATAAGTTTGAATGATCTGATCTGATTTATTTTGTCAGTGGGCCCTATTATTTTCAGTGCACCCTATTATTTTCAGTGCACAATTTTTCAGAACATAAGGTTTTTTAGAAGCACATGTATTGCATAATAGCATAAATACTTATATATGACACCTCCCTTTTAGACATTATTCTATAAGACAGGCAAAGTAAATGGTCTAATTTTAGCTTTGCTACCCTCTACACACATTAAGAATCTCTACTGTCTTTTGAGTCACCAGCAGCAAAGACTCTACTTTTTGCCAAGCTGATTATTCAGGGACTAACAAATGGAACTTATCTTTCTGGAAACTAGAATCATGACTGCAATAATCATCTGAGTAAAACCCATTCAAGTAATGTTCCCTTAATATGCCTGTAAAGTTATTCTTTACAAACATTTTTTAAAATAGCAAAACAGAAGCGTTGAAAAGAATTAAATCCATAAAAGGATATGAACTAAATGTACTGAACTCAACTTTTATCTTAATCCACACTGGGTGCTTTCAGTGTTATTTCAATACTTGTGAAACGGTGAAAGCTTTATTCAGGTATTGGTCAGGTATAAAATAATCCTGTTTGTTGCTTGCCCACTGATCCCTTATGGATCCCATACTGACCCATGATGGACCCATGATAGACTGTTAACTTTGTTGTACCAAGACTGACATACTGACTACAGAGAATTCTTATTCTCTTTCTTCAATTTAAAGTTTATTTTTAAGAATCAGAGTTCCTGCCGGGCGCGGTGGCTCATGCCTGTAATCCCTGCACTTTCGGAGGCCGAAGCGGGCAGATCACCTGAGGTCAGGAGTTCGAGACCAGGCAGGAGAATTGCTTGAACCTGGAAGGCGGAGGTTGCAGTGAGCCGAGATCGCGCCATTGCCTCCAGCCTGGGCAACAAGAGCAAAACTCCGTCTCAAAAAAAAAAAAAAAAAAAAAAAGAAAGGAAAAAAATCAGAGTTATTATTGACTATATTAACAGACTTTGATTTCAGTTTCCATTTGAAAAGCACTACAAAGATGTAGTATCAAATTTGGACAGGTTTAAATTTCCTTCAGTGTGATTCTAATAGTAATAATAAAACTACAATAGACAAGATGCTCAAAGCAGACAAGGTTACATAAACTCAATGTTTTCTAGTCCAAATCATCTGGTAATTTAACTAGAATTCTGAACGAGAATTGCATTCAAACTTCCATGGGGAATAAAAGGTGCATATATACAATATATTTAACTTAATGACAACTGTTTGGTGCTAGCAAAATAAAATATGGCCATTTAAATAGTCTGCCTGACTTGGACAGGCCTGATAAAACAATCGTAAGCCAAAACTAATTATTGTCACAATACTCAAGCTTTGTGGACTCAGTCAAAGAAATGTGTATTCAGACTTGATGGCCTTTGTGTTTACTGGGACTTTTCCTCTCCTTTCTCTGGGTCTTGCAAAGCTGACCCTAACCTCTTTTGAAGTCTGTGGTTACCCCGGGATCACATCAGATGCATTGAAGTGGGTTGTGCAAGAAAGAAGAGAGCTCATTAAGTGCTCACATTTTAATGCCATTTTCAGTGGATTACAATGATTGTTGAATGAGTTCTAGCTCTCCATTCATAGATTTAAAGGTTAGTATTTTAAGGTATCAGCTTATTGTTGTAGTAACATGAGCACTAATGTTTTGAAAGGGAACAAAAAGGTTTTCAATGATAAAGTTAATTTTGTATTACTCAATTATAAAAAATATAATCATTCCAAAATGTATTCAATATATCTCTTTCTCCTTTTTGAGATCTACTAATGTTTTTATGCACGTGGCTATATATTTTTACGCACCGTGTACTTAAACTTCAACATAGCATGTTGCACAGTTTTTTGTATTTCATTCATTTAAATGACTTCTGTGTACCAGGTTTGGTACGCTAGGAACTTGAGATATAACGACAAAAAGAGTTTAAATTATGGTAGAGGAGACAGAGAACAAGTTACAAAATGAATGAGAGTTTTAGAATGCACTTAAGGCTGAAAAAAAAGAATACAGAGCAATAGGGTAGAAAGAGCCAAAGTGAGGGTTTACTTTATGTAGAGTGGCCAAGTAAGGCTCTCTGAGTGTTAACCAACATTGGGTAGGCGCCAAAGAAGCTGGCAATGCAGAGATTCAGGTGTAAGCACGGGCCAATACAAAGGTCCTACGAAGAGCACAAATTTTATTTGGTAATTTTTGGTTTATGTACCTTCTCTGGCATATTACAAGCAAATGTATCATGTCATCTGGGAAGTACCAATTATGTGTTTATAAGTAAATACATAAAAAATGATGATGGTAATGTAATTATTAATAGCTAACATCTATTGCTCTTAGTACCTTCCAGAAACCATTCTGGATCTTTGGCTGTATTCGCTTATTCAGCTTATTAGCTCTGGGCTTTGCCTGTATTAGCTTATTTAATTCTCACAACAACCTTACAAAGCAGACGAGAAAACTGAGTTTCAAAGTGGGTAAGTAAATAGCCCAGGGTTACACAGCCATGTCAAACTAGCTGATCTGGAATTTGAAGCTAGGCATTCTGGCAATTAACTACCTCCACCATTAACCTCCCATTATGGACTGAAACGTATCCCACCCCACTAAAAAACGTGGTATGTTGAAGTCTTAAGAACGTAACCATATGTGGAAACAGTGCTTTAAAAGTGGTAATCAAGTTAAAATGAAGTCTTTAGGATGGGTCCCAATCCTACATGATCAATGTCCTTATAAGAAGAGGAAATTTGGACACAGACACACACAGAGAAAAGACAATGTGAAGACACAAGGAGACGACAACCATGGACAAACGAGGGAGATAAACATCGGCCAACACCTTAGTCTGGAAATCCTAGCTTCTAGGATTTTGAGAAAATATATTTTTGTTGTTTAAGCCACCCAGTCTGCAGTACTTTGTTATGGCAGTCCTGGCAAACTAATGTGCCATCCTACTAGGCTAACAGGAAAAAAAAAAAATCAGTGGCCTAATAGCAGTTTTATGAAAAAGGGGAAATAAACTGACTTGAGCCCAGATCATTTAACTAAATGTATTTAACTCTGCAATATGTAAGAACCTAAAAAAGAAGCATTAATACTTTTTTGTTTACTGTTTGTGGTTTAGGTGTAACATCATTGTCAGAATATGATGTAAATGACACAAGAGGGTAAATTTAGGCTTTGGTAAGTTAGGTGATGTGTTTTGCCTACACTGTCACCATTTGAACTGTTCCTCTGAGTAGTTACCTCCTGAAGATAAAAAAAGAACCAAAAAAATGACTCACAGAGTGTTCGGAATTGGTGGGTTCTTGGTCTCGCTGACTTCAAGAACCAAGCCGCCGACGCTCGCGGTGAGTGTTACAGTTCTGAAAGATGGTGTGTCCGGAGTTTGTTCCCTCAGATGTTCACATGTGTCCAGAGTTTCTTACTTTCGGTAGGTTTGTGGTCTCACTGGCTTCTGCAGTGAAGCTGCAGACCTTCTCGGTGGTGCGTGTTACAGCTCATAAACGCAGCGCGGACCTAAAGAGTGAACAGCAGCAACATTTATCGCGAAGAGCAAAACAACAAGAACTCCCGGGCTGGAACAGGACCCAGCAGGTTGCGCTCCTGGCTCGGGCAGCCTGCTTTTATTCCCTTATCTGGCCCCACCCACATCCTGCTGATTGGTCCATTTAACAGAGAGCTGATTGGTCCATTTTACAGAGCTGATTGGTCCGTTTTGACAGAGTTTTGATTGGTGCGTTTACAATCCCTGAGCTAGACACAGAGTGCCCATTGCTGCCATTTACAAACCTCTAACTAGACATAAACTTTCTCCAAGTCCTCACCAGATTAGCTAGATACAGAGAGCTAATTGGTGCATCCACAAACCCTGAGCTAGACACAGAGTGCTGACTGGTGCATATACAATCCTCCAGCAAGATATAAAAGTTCTCCAAGTCCCCACCCAACTCAGGAGCCCAACTGGCTTCACCTAGTGGATCCCGTGCCCACGTGGCCCTCGGAGCTGCCCGCCAGTCCCACTCCACGCGTGCTCTCTTCAGCCATTGGGCTGTCTATGGGACCGACCAGGAGCCGCCCTGGAGCAGGGCTAGGCTCTGGCCGGGGAGGAGCCCACCGGTGGGAGGGTTCGGGCATGGCAGGCTGCAAGTCCCGAGACCTGCCCCGTGGGGAGGTGGGTGAGGCCCGGCAAGAATTCGAGCGCGGCGTGAGCGGGCCTGCAGTGCTGGGGGACCCGGGGCACCCTCCGCAGCTGCTGGCCCCGGGGCACCCTCCGCAGCTGCTGGCCCGGGTGCTAAGCCCCTCACTGCGGGGTCCCGGGTGCGGGACCTGCGGAGCCCGGGTGCGGGGCCTGCGGAGCCCACGCCCACCCGGAACTCGCGCTGGCCCGCGAGCGCCCACTTCCCGCCCGTGCCTCTCCCTCCACACCTCCCGGCAACCAGAGGGAGCTGGCTCCGGCCTCATCCAGCCCCAGAGGGGGACTCCGACAATGCAGTGGCGGGCTGAAGGGCTCCTCAAGCATGGCCAAAGTGGACGCCGAGGCCGAGGAGGCGCCGAGAGTGAGGGCTGCTAGCACGGTGTCACCTCTCAACAGTATAACCATCATCTCACTATACAGAAACCCTAAATGTGTTCAAGTTTTCAGTGGAAAGGATTGTAATGATTCTAAATGAACACTTGCCAGTTATGGATTTATTACCTGTCAACTTCAAATTCAACCTTTGTGCCTTGCTTCTTGAATATGGATCTGGGGCCTTTAAATATTTCCCCTTTGCCAGTAGACATGATGTTAAGCTTTGTCTAGGGACAGCACTAGAGAGACGCTGCAGGAGGAAAGGGGTTTTGCGTCTCGGTTCAGGTGTTCTTGCTTCTCATGTTCCCTTAGCATGGGCATTTTCTCCAGCAGTTGACAACTGGGGCATGGGTGGCTTCTTCAGCACTAAACTTCTGAAGCACTCACAGATGCTCCGGTACATGGTCCCCACAATGTCTTCATGCACCCACCTCAGGAAATTTTGGACTGGAGTGCTTCCAGTGAGACATCGTCCTGTGAACAGCCTTCCCTGGCATCCTAGAGGGTGTGGATTCCTAGCAAGTTCCACTAGTGACTTTTCCTTTTCTGCCATCAATAAGATCGAGATCTCAGCCCTGGGGACTCTTCTTTGATTTCTTTATCTCAGCCAGCCATAAGGGCAGTGACTAGTATACATGATATAATATAATATAAATATGCTATTCTTTCTTTAGAGTTGTTTTTACTTCTAATCAATATCTTGTTAGTCGTATTCCTTTTATAATTAATAACTCTTTATATTAAACTGTCCCTGTTCAAATTGCTATGTGGCTCCTCTCTCTTGCCAGGACCCTGACTAATACAGTACTGAATAATCTCAAGGTTTTACAATCTCTCTTAAGGTATTGCAATACGCTGTCAGTTAGATTGTCGTAAAAGTAAGAATCATATAGTAACATCATTTTTCACTTCAAGGGCAATAAAAAACTGCCCTACCCTAAACTTGTAATCCTGGAGAATGTTAACATAGGACCACAGGTTCTTTGACTGGCTTATTTTTATTTTCCATACTCTGCAACACAATCCCTGGCGAACCATCTTCACAGTGTTTACAAAGTTGATGCTCCAAAAACACTAATATAAGACCCCACTCCTGATGGTTCATATTTCACCTCCTATCCATGTGCCTGTACATCAGACCTCCCACACTCCCACCTCCCACCAGGAAAGCTTTTTATCTTGACCATACTAGAGAGAATTATTTTCTCTTCAATTCTGATTTGTGCCCCCATCCTTTGTCAATCATGAGTCCTTGCTTCATATTCCAGAACCATAAAATTATATATATACACACATATATAATTATATATATACATTTATACATACAAATACATATATAATTCAATATATACATTTATACATAAAAATATATATATACATTTTTATATATGAATCTTTCATTTTCTCTTCTTTCTTGATGATTTCATAGTGGTCATCTGTTCCTAGTAATATTTCTTACACCTGCCTACATTTAAAAATGCCCTAAGGAGCTAGAGCTGCTAGCTTTATTTCCCTCTTACTCAGAGGTTTACAGTTGCAGGTTGCTTTCTACAAATCCATTATCTGAATCTAAATCAGTCTGGTGGTAGTTTACTGATACTAGCATAAGGTTGACCTGAAAGTGCTATGTCTCATTGCCAAATACCACAAGTTTCTTTTTTTCTTTTTCTTTCTTTTCTTTTCTTTCTTTCTTTTTTTCTTTTTCTTTCTTTTCTTTTCTTTCTTTCTTTTTTTCTTTTTCCTTTTTTTTTTTTTTTTGAGACAGAGTTTCACTCTTGTTGCTCAGGCTGGAGTGCAATGGCGCGCTCTCGGCTCACCACAACCTCCGCCTCCCAGGTTCAAGCAATATTCTCCTGCCTCAGCCTCCTGAGTAGCTGGGATTACAGGCATGCGCCACCACACCCGGCTAATTTTGTATTTTTAGTAGAGACGGGATTTCTCCATGTTGGTCAGGCTGGTCTTGAACTCCCAACCTCAGATGATCCGCCTGCTCGGCCTCCCAAAGTGCTGGGATTACAGGCGTGAGCCACTGCGCCCGGCCCACAAGTTTCATTTCTACTACATTTAGAATGGTTTTAACATGGAAAGTCTTAGAAAATGTACATTCAAATGATGTCAGTCCATACCTCACTTGGTCAAGCTCCTGTTTACAACATATCAAGTACTGGATGCGTTTAATACTGACTGTATCAGTACTTTCCATCTTTCAGTATAAATTTATTCCACTGAGTCCAGGAAAAACGATATAAATTTTCATTAAAGAAAACACCATATTATGACAGCAGTAAATGAATCATCTGCAATCTCTTTTAAAAGGTTTGATTTATTTCCTGCACTTGGGAGGCACTACGTTGTAAAAATATTTTCACTAACAAGTATGAAATATTGCAATATATATTTTTATACATACTGTATTTGGCTATGTAATACATTTCATTTTTGTATCTGCACACACGTGCATATCGATGGTGGGCCCTCCAGATAATTTCTTGGTTACATTTACTTTTTTTCATGAAAAAAAGGAAAACAAGTTGGCCAAGCAGCCTAGGCAAGCATCAAATTCATCATAGCTGAAGATAATATTTTCCTGAAGTGATTCATTCTCACATCTTCCTGCAGGAGTTTTCTCCACCCAGTGACATAGTGAAATGTCACTGAAGTGAAGGCTATTTTGCTTAGCCTTGACCAAACATAGAAGCTGACTGTGGATATGCAGTTATTTTTCCTCTTGGAAGACATGTTTTTTTATGCATGTGTAAGTAGAGTTAAGCTGAATCTAGAGAGCTGCTGCATGATAAGAGCTTGGTTTGAAAACATGTTGTGCAGCTGAATGACTTGAATAACAAAATCCCCGGCAGAGTGTTTCTGAGCTAACTGCATTTGCACTCTGCAAGGAGATCAATGCTTCCCCTCATTGATTTTCCTCAGTTGCAGAGCCAGGATTATGCACATTGTGAAGCTGTATTCCCAGATTCATCCCATCTGATTTTCTAGTCAGCACTAAAAAGGCATAGAGCTCAACTGTAAACTGAAGGTTATAAAAGTATAACTGTATCAAATTTGTACTTTCACTAAGGCTGCATGTTAAACAGAAGCACAATAATGTATTCCTAGTGCGATGGAAGGGCTGCATGGGACAAGACAGATTCTGTTTGTGCGCAGCTTCTAAATAAATGGCAGAGATGCCAAAGATAAATCTGAGATGCCTTGCATACGTTTGTGTAACTCCCAAGATATTTTCAAATGTGCTAGGGCTTCCTTTCTGGCGGACTTGAAATGCAAAGTAAGCATGTAAAGAAACGATTTCCTTCCTAAATTCAGGAATTGACTGTCATCTTTCTGAATTTGAAATTGCCCTAGAATTTATCACTGGAGAAGGTTAGTGGTTGGAAGGCTGTAAAAATCAAGGATCTAAAAAAAACATCAAGGATCCATTTCACTGTAAACAACTGGCAGCACTAAAAGTTGGTGAGTTTACTCTGCAGTTAACACAAAGTCTTGTCTTCCATAAAGTTGTGGAACATGTTATAATTCAGCTTAGCACTAACAGCCAATAGCAAAATGAAAGCACCCCCCAAAAAAGGTGACTTCAGCTCTTCCAAAATTTTCACCTTTATTATTTTTATATATCAAATAAGTATGCTGCTGTTAGTGAAGGATAAGAGGGGAAAGCTGACTCCTATATTAAATTTTCTCTTCCTCATTGCACTTTGAGGATAGAGAAGGTGTCACATTACAATGAGGATTTCAAATTTGCTTTTGAGAAAATTGTGTAAAATAAGCCATTTCCTACTAAGACTAGATAAATGATTACACAGCTGCTTGCCTTTCAAAGAGAATTTGCTCAGAATCTGGGCTTGCCACGGTGCTCACTTCATTATTAAAGAGTGCTGTCATATCTCACTCCCTGTGTCTGCTGGGGGCCGGGGCGCTCTCCCACACACCCACCCCTAGAGGCTGCTTTCGCTATAGAAACAAAGTCTGGAGACCAATGAAAGACAGACGTTTGGGCAGATCCATATCCAGGGTTAAGAATTTCCACTTCCTAGGCTTAACGTGTAAATTGAGCTGGTAGATCTACCCTAGTAGCTAAGAAATATAAACATGTTTCTAAGTTACCTAATCAGTGGACATTTTCCTGGTAAAAGATTAACCAAGCTGTGATCAGTTTCTCAGCAACTGAAGGTAAAAAGCAGATTCTGTATTCTAAATGTCAACACTTACCCCAAAGATTTTCTTCTTTCTTTAAATCATTCACATAGATTTTTTTTAAATCAAATGAATATTATTTCCCACTGTAAACTTAAATGAGACCAACCCACCCTTATAACCAACAAACATACCTTGGTCTGCTTTTATTTTTCTAGTCTGCCGTAAGCAAAATCGGCATTTATTTGCAGGCATTGGCAACTAAATGCATTTTTCCAGTTATTATTGTCATTCTTATCTACAAATGTCAGTGATATTTTCAATTAACTGTGATGTAGCATGAATTACACTAATATTTAAGTGATGGTCTTCTAAAGAGCATTAATTTTTTAATAAAAGTAACATATCTCTCTCATCCAGTAATTTTGAAATACTTGAAACTCAAGTTGGAATTGATTTTCTTGACTGTAAAGGAATGTTCCTAACCAGAGTACTTTCCTCTTGGAGTGTTCTCTTTAATGAAGTCTTACTTCTGAGAAAGTTGAGTTTTTATGAGTTGGTGCCCTTGCTTCAGTGATAGTAGTCTAAATAAATATTGTGAAGAAATTTGATAATGGGTAAGTAGCAGGAGACACCATTGTTTAACCTCCAAACTATGCTAGTAAGTAGGGTGATAGACTTGCCATGCTGAATAATGGAGCTGTTATTCTAGCCCAGTAGGATTGTTTCCAAAGGCCTGCAACAAGGATCTGCCAGGCCCTGGCTGTGTGTTGCCCTTGAGTGTGCTCGTAGTCTCCAGTATCAAGTAACGGCACATTTATCAAAGGAAATCACAATTTGGAAGAAAACCACATTTTCTACTCTTTCAAATAAGAAACATCCCTGTATGCTACTTTCATTTTTACTTGTTTTACCTAGGTGGAACAGAAGACTAATCTGGAAAAATAATTGTTAATAAAAAAACTACAACATTGAGAGAATTTCATTCCCTTGAAATATATACTTTTAAGGGGCCATTTTAATACTGCATGAAAAAAAGTATATTTTCTTTATAAACCCTGAACATGCTAATATATTATTATACACAGCATAAAGTTAAGGGTGTTTGAACAGTGAAAATAGAAAGCATTCATAGCTATTCAACCCTGAATACTTAGGACATTTCATTTCTTTTTACAGCAACCATATTCTGTCAATAAAAGATCAAATGCTTTTGGTTACTGGACTGAAAAAAATCAAATCCTCCAAACTTTTAGCACTTGACGTTCCCGGAGTATTTGCTCTCAGCTATAGCTCATTAAATGAGCTGATCCACCACTGAGTCTATAAATTGAAACAAAAGCAAAGAGCTCTTTTTTTTTTCTTTTTTCAAAGTAGATGGCACCAAACTGAAATGCACTTAAGTCTGGGCTTTTTATAAGTTCTTCTTACACATAGTGGGTATTCTGCAGAATAAATACATGTCATTAATCCAGCCATTTTTCAATACCAATCTGGTTGGGACGTCTCTGGGTTGGAGTGGTGGAACCATGATTATTAACTGGTAACTGGATGAGACTGAGGGGAGACCATGCAAATGACAAATGAAGTTTGACAAATTGGGTATTTGGTAATCACATGACCACTACATTTAATTACAAGCTTCTACTGGATTTTATGTCATTTCACACAAAAATATATTGTTAGTCACTATTCTAGGCACTTTATAGAGTATGTAAACAACCCTATGAAATGGATATCATGATATATACTCATATTAAAGGTGATGAACTGGGTCACAAAGCTTACAGAGCTAATAAGGAACAGAGTTAGGACTTGAACTCAGGGAATATTAGCCTAGAGTTAATCCCCTTAACCACTCTATTACTCTACCTCTTGTGTCTTTCTTAGGGATGCCAAATGAGGAGCTTTAGAGTCCAAGGAAATTGAAATAGATTGACCAATATATAACAGTCAAGGCCTTCACGCCACCCTTTTCTTCAGCCTTTCCTTATGTCACACATCCTATTAGATGAAATGTAAATCTAAGGTCCTTTGCATTCTGGTGCACATATGAGTACAGATTCATTCATTCATTTTTAACCACATTTCCATCTGAGAGGTGATACTGGAAATATCACCAATTTGCAATTCCAAACATTATTTTTCCTTTACTTTATATCCCAAATCAAAGAAAATATTTTCAACAACTGTTGAGTGTTAACCAAGCCAAGATGGCATTGCAACAGCTCTGCAACATTCTCTTCAAAAAGAGCTTGGCCGTAGTGTTAGATTTTAGTAGTATATTCAGGCCATATAGTTAGAATCATGCCATATGAAGCCTTTCAGATTGGCCTCTTTCACTCAGTAATAAACATTTAAAGTTCCTCTGTGTCTTTTCCTTGCTTGATAACTCATTTCTTTTTAGTGTTGAATAATATTCCTTTATATGGATATACCACAGTTTATCCATTCAGCTACTGAAGGACATCTTAGTTGCTTCCAAGTTTCAGCAATTATGAAAAAAAGCTGCTACAAATATCCATGTGCAGGTTTTTGCACGGACTTAAGTTTTCAATTCATTTAGGTAGATACCAAGGAGCATGATTGCTGGATCATGCAAGCTCATCATGGTAAGAGTTTGTTTAGTTTTGTAAGAAGCTGTCAATTGTCTTCCAAAGTGGCAATACCTCTTTGCATTCCCACTGGCAGTGAATGAGAGTTCCTGTTGCCCCACATCCTTGGCAGCTTTTGGAATTGTCAGTATTTTGGATTTTGGCCATTCAAATAGGTGGGGAGTGGTATCTCATTGTTATTTCGATTGGCACTTCCCTAAGGACAGATGATGTTGAACAACTGTTTATATGCTAGTTTGTCCTCTGTATGTCTTCTTTGATGACATTTCTGGTCATATCTTTTGCCCATGCTTTAATTGGGTTGTTCATTTTCTTATTGCATTTTAAAATTCTTTGTATATTTTGGATAACAGTCATTTATCAGATATATCTTTTGCAAATATTTTCTTTTAGCGTGTGCCTTGAATTCTCATTCACTTTGTGCCTCTTGATTCTTTTAAGTTTAGGGTAATTAGTTCACTGAAGTGATATACCAATATGTGAATTTTTAATTTGTACCATAAAATCCCATTTTCTTGGCTGGGCACAGTGGCTCACACCTATAATCCCAGCACCTTGGGAGGCTGAGGCAGGCAGATCACGAGGTCAGGAGATCAAGACCAGCCTGGCCAACATGGTGAAACCCTGTCTCTACTAAAAATACAAAAATTAGCAGGGCATGGTGGCACGCACCTGTAATCCCAGCTGCTCAGGAGGCTGAAGCAGGAGAATCGCTTGAACCCCAGAGGTGGAGGTTGCAGTGAGCCGAGAATGTGCCACTGCACTCCAGCCTAGGCAACAGAGCAAGTCTCTGTCTTGGGGAAAAAAAAAAAAATCCCATTTTCTCCTTCAATTAATTTATTAATTGAAGTCTTGCTAGTCCCATCTCCAACCAGTCTCCCAAACTTAATTCCTTAAATTGCCTAGAGTGGTTTTACACTCACCTCTGTGAAAGTCTGAGTAACTAAATTTTCCATATAAGAGTGAGCCTGTTATATGTTGCCCTTTGAGCTCTGGATGTCTGATATAAACACAAAGGAAATCTCTACACTTTTATTCATCTTACGTTCTTTGTTTAAATTTCCTTTTCCTGAACCAGTTTCCCATTTGCTTCAATAGTTCCACTATTCCCTACAGAGCTATAAAATAAAATGTGCACCTTCATTTCACAACCAAAGGGGAAAAAGAATTGGATATGGTTGTTTTCACGTAGAATACAGCGCTAGAGCTGACAGCAGAGCAAATTTATTTGCTCGTTTATGTAATCATTTCCAGGTATTAGCACATTACTTATTAACAAATGATTTAAGGACGTTGGTGGAAAAGGGGCCTGCATGGGGATATTTATTTAGATTTTCAAATAGTTTGAAAAATTAAAGCATAAGTCTAAACTTGGTGTCGATACTCTGTTTTCCAGGCATGTCTGCAGAAATGATCAGACGTATGGAATTACAAGATCTCCTGCTCGTTTAGGGTGTTCAAGGAAATCAAAGAACTGTGGAAACCATTACTGTCCAGGAAACAATGTTGTCTTTGAAAGCCTCATCACCTAAGACATGTCTCTGAAGTAGATGAAAAAGCCAACCCAGGCATAGTGGTGGAGCCCAGATGTCTCACATGTTTAGCATGAGCTAGAAGACACTGTTTAAGTAAAAATGACTAAAGCCAGCCTGCCAAAAAAGCTTGTATTTCAGGTTCTAAGAGTTACTTGCTCATTTGACAGATATTTATACATTCCCTACTTTGTGTAAATCAGCTCACACGGCAAGAAAAACATATTTAGACGGTTATATAAAAGACACTAAGAGCTAAGTGACATGAGAGGAATAAACATAATCTTATTAGAGTTCTTAGAGGGAGAGAGTACTCTTCATTTAGTAGATGTGATCAGACAGGCTTTAAGGAGGAGCTGCATCAAGAGGGTAAAGACGGTGGCAAGTGGAGGTGGGAGGAAACAGTAGTTTGGATGGAAGGACATCTTAAGGAAAAGGTGTAGAAGCAAAAAGTTCACATCTTCTGGTCCTGTTTGGGGAAAAAGAAGCAGTTCAGTCTGGATGGAGCTTAAACATATATAAAGATATAAATAAGATGAGAAGAGAGGTGTGGAAAGAGAGCATCAGGGCCCTGTGTTTGCTGTCTATTGCTACATAACAAAGTACCCCAAACCTGAGAACTTCAGACAGCAAACTATTGCTATTTTACAGTTTCTGAAGATCAGAAATCTTGGTGCAGCTCAGCTGGGCTTCAGGGTCTCCCATGAGACTCAATCAAGGTATCTATGAGTCTGGGCTGCAGTCGTCTGGGCTGCAGTCGTCTGAGCCTTGTCTGGGGCTGGAGGATCCACTTCTAAACTCAAGCGGCTATCAGCCAGAGGCCTCACTTCACTTGCAAGCAGGCCTCTTCATGACAGCTGGCTTCCCCTAGAGAAAGTAATGAGTAGGGGAGACAGAGAGCAAGTGGAAAAGAAGTTTTAATGTCTTTTGTAACCTGATCAGGGAAATGATGTACCATCATTTCTGCCATATTCTATTGGTCACACAGACTGACCCTTGTACAGCGTGAGAGGAGCCACACAAGGGTGTGGGTGCCAGGGGGTGAAGATCATTGGTGCCATTCTAGAGTGTGACTTGCACAACTACCATTTCAGTTGTGCAGATGAGGCCCTGCACATCTCTAAGGGCTTTATGGATAATGTAATTATCATGAAAGAATTTTTGAAAAGTAGAACGTATGAGCAGATAAACAGAACTTGATGCCTCATAAGATGTACTTAGTGACATTGAAACATATGCATTTGATGAATGGTAGAATGAGCAAACAGAATGGGTGAACAGCTGGAAGGATAACTGAAGGTCTAGATGAGAACTAATAAAGCCCCAGCTAGGTTGGAGACAGTGGGATGAGAAAGAAGGGCCAGATGCCCAAGTCAATAGCACAAAGGCTGAATTGACAGGATGTGCTGTCTGTCTCTAAAATAATTCAAGCGGAGGTCTGATGATGTCTCCATTCTCTCAGCAAACATTGTGTACATGTTAAATACCACACACTTTGCTATAGATTAGGGAGAAGAACTGAGGAAAGTCAGGAGCTCTCCGTCTATTTGGAGAGAAAGATAAGTAAACAGAAGGTTAAAATTCTAGGCAATAAGCACACTCCTGGGAAATAGAAAAGGGCATCTGGGGGCTTGAGAATGTGTTGTCACTTTAGTTGGTGGGCCGTGCCAGAAACAAAGGGCCCCTTAACTGAGTCAGGAGAGATGAGGTTGAGGAGATCAGTAAGGGTTTTTCAGGCAGAGAAAATGCACAGCTCAGAAATCCAGAGCTTAAAAAAGTGGCCCCACTGGCAGACCAGCACAGGTCTATGTGGGTATGGCAAAAGGTGGGCCTGCAAAGGTAGGCAAAATTGAGGGCCAGAAGTGTCCTTGGTCCCAACTTATGGAGTGTATGTTTTATTCAGCATGTATCAAACAAGGTAATCATCACATAGACTTGGTGTTTCAGAAAGAGCTCTTGGGCCGCTATCTGAAAAGAAGATGAAAGAAAAAGACTGGAGACCAGAGAGCTGTAATCTGGAAGTAATCTAGGTGAAAAATAATTAAGATCTAAACACAGGTTGTTATTGTGTGGCTGCAGGAAAGAGGGCATTTAAGAGATATTTTAGAAGTAGAGTTGATCAGATCATGTCATTGATTAGATGTGGGGCATGAAAGAGAGGTAGGTGTCTAGGATTACTCCGGCCTTGGTAACTAGTGGATGGTTGTCCTAACCATGGGAGCAGATAATGCAGGTGGAAAAGCAGTTTTGGGAGAGAAACAGTGAGCTTCGTTTTGGATGTGCTGCATTTGTGAAGAGCGTGCTATTCCGGCAGGAAAGACAACCATGCAAACTTGGAAGGCAGAAGAGAAACCTGGGGCTGGGCAGATTGGCTCAAGAGTTATCAGAATGCCCTCCTGTATAGGTGAGTTCATTGGCATGCATGTAATTGCCATGGGAGAATATGTTATGTGGAAAGTGAAGGTGTGGCCGGGTGGGGAACACTAACCAGTGTGCAGCTGGTGAAACAGACTGTTGGGACTGAGAACAGGAGATTCAAAGATGGGAAAAGTAAAGACAGAGAGGCTAAGGGAGAAACTGGTGCTGAGAACCAAGAACTTGCAGACAGGAGTTACAGACAGTGTCAAATGTGTCAGAGAAGGGAACCAAGATATGGATGAAATGATGTCTACTGGATTCAGCTGCTGGTCTCTCTCTGGCCACAGAGGCCAGAGTACAGAGGGCTGGCAAGTGAATGTAAGGCAAGAGAATGTAGAGATTCAGCAAGAAATGTGACAGTGGAAAGAAGGAAACAGAAGGTTCTGTAGCTAAAGGGGAACGTGGGTTTGCCGGAGACTGCAGACACCACAGGAAGGATCATATAAGAAGCTGATACGGAAGTTGGGCAGGGAAATGCTGGGAAGGGAAGGACAGGTCCCTGGCGAGGGCTCCACCCCCAGCCCTGTGCCCAGGGACCTAGGTGAGACAGGCACTCCTGCCTTTGTGCCCAAATGTTGCATTTCCCAAGACCACCCTGGCCTGCCACGCCTCCATCCTGTACCTATAAAACCCCCCGAGACCCTTGGCTAGGCGCAGTGGCACACGTCTGTAATCCCAGCACTTTGGGAGGCCGAGGTGGGTGAATCACTTGAGGTGAAGAGTTCTAGACCAGCCTGGCCAACATGGTGAAACCCCGTCTATACTAAAAAAAAAATACAAAAAATTAGCTGGGTGCTAATTAGCAGGTGCAGTGGCTCAAGCCTGTAATCCCAGCACTTTGGGAGGCTGAGGCGGGTGGATCATCAGGTCAGGAGTTCAAGATCAACCTCGCCAAGATGGTGAAACCCCGTCTCTACTAAAAATACAAAAAAAAATTAGCCAGGCATGGTGGTGGGCACCTGTAATCTCAGCTACTAGGGAGGCTAGGGCAGAGAACTGCTTAAACCTGGGAGGCGGAGAATGCAGTGAGCCGAGATCGTGCCACTGCTTTCCAGCCTTGGCGACAGAGTGAAACTCCATCTCAAAAAAAAAAAAAAAAAAAAAAGTAAATAAAAAATAAAGGGGCCGGGCGCAGTGGCTCATGCCTGTAATCCCAGCACTTTGGGAGGCTGAGGCAGGCGGATCACGAGGTCAAGAGATCCAGACCATCCTGGCTAACACGGTGAAACCCCGTCTCTACTAAAAATACAAAAAATTAGCTGGGAATGGTGGCGGGCACCTGTAGTCCCAGCTACTTGGGAGGCTGAGGCAGGAGAATGGTGTGAACCCGGGAGGTGGAGCTTGCAATGAGCCAAGAGGGCGCCGCTGCACTCCAGCCTGGGTGACAGAGCGAGACTCCGTCTCAAAAAATAAATAAATAAATAAAATAAAATTACCTGGGTGTGGTGATGGACGCTTGTCATCCCAGGTACTCAGGAGGCTGAGGTAGGAGCATCACTTGAGCCTGGCAGACAGAGGTTGCAGTGAGCTGAGATCGAGCCCCTGCACTCTAGCCTGGGCAACAGAGTGAGACTCTGTCTCAAAAAAACCAAAAACCAAACAAACAAACAAAAACCCCCGAGACCCTTGCAAGCAGGCACACAAGTGACTGGACGTCGAGAGGAACACGTCGGCAGAAGAAGACACAAGCAGCCGGATGGCTAAAGGACAGCTAGGGGAGCACGCCTGCGGAAGAGCACCTGGCATTCTTCCGGCACACCAGCAGCTAGGTGGAGGTTGGCCAGGGCAGTCGAAGGAGAGTTCAGGCCACCTAGCAGCCTGACTCCAGGGGAAAATCATCTCCCTTCTGGCTCCCTCATCTGCTAAGAGCTACTTCCACTCAATAAAACCTTGTACTCATTCTCCAAGCTCACGTGTGATCTGATTCTTCCAGTACACCAAGGCAAGAACCCAGGATACAGAAAGCCCTCTGTCCTTGCAATAAGCAGGAGTCTAATTGATCTAACACAGCTGCCTACGGATGGCTAAACTAAAAGAGCACCATGTAACACATACCCACTGGGCCTTCAGGAGCTATAAACATTCACCCCCAGACACTGCCGTGGGTTCGGAGCCCCACAACCTGCCCGTCTGTATGCTCCCCTAAAGGTTTGAGCAGCGGGGCCCTGAAGAAGCGAGCCACTCCCCCATCACTCACCCTGCAAAGGGGGACAAGGAAACTTTTCCAATTTCAAAGTCATATCACTAGGAGAAAAGAAGAAACAGACACCAGATCCTATGTGGGGAGACTCACTAGTATGTGTGAGGGCAAGAGAAATGGATAGCGGGCAAGACGTTAAAAGAATTTCTAACCTAATTAGTAGGTTCGTTTTCTGTGAAAGAGGGAGAGTTGCTGGGATGGAGTGCAAAAAAGAGAAGTTTCAAAATAACTAGTGTGAAGTAAGGGGGAAGGAAGTGTCTAGGGCCACAGCAAAAAGGATTACAAAGCAAACTGAGGAACCATTTGAGCGTCTGAATTTATCGTGGCACCAATTAATTGATTGATTGATTCAGTCATTATTGGATGCTTCAAAAGGTTTAGGTAATGTTGGTGCTGAAGGATTCACTGAGGACTAAAAGATTCAGACAAGCAAGGGTCCATCCACCCCAGAGGAGGCAGAAAGCTGCCATGCTAGGCAAAGGCCAGACAAATGTATCAAGGAAAGCTTTGCTGAGGTTTTAAGGTCCAAGATGAGTTCTGATTGGTTGATAGGGGTGAGCCAAGACAACAACTGTTACTCCTGGGTAGATTTCCCAAGCCATATCCACATTCATGCATGGCATGAAGTCCCATGCCAGCCACTATTGTAGCTGTTGGTAAGTATAAGTCAATTTTCATTTGCACTAACATGCTTACTCTATACCTGAATATGTGAAAGATATGAAATATTTCATATTTAGGTGGTTGGCAAATACAGAAATAATATCTTTATAAAGGTCTACTAAAAATAGTTTCAAGAATTAGTAGCTACAGTCATATTCTTTTTTTTAATTATTTTCTAGGAGGTAATCTAGTTTCATGAAAGCAAAGAAGAGAAGGAATGGAATATGATGTGCGTGTTCCAATCCCTTTGTTCATCACTAGCACATTTCACTCCTTGCCTGCTTAGAAAGCCAATAAGCCAACAAACCCCCAGGCCAGGGCCCACAAACTGGCATCCACTCTAGCCCTTGGAAGCAAGTCAGACCAATTACAGGTTGTGGAGACACTGCAGTTTGTTTGAAAATATTAAGTAGGTCAAATTGTCCTGTGAAATGTAGGCTGACAACTTCTTTATTAGTAAGAAGACCATTTATTAATGTATTCAACATCTGTTTCTTGAGTGCAAGACAATTTGATGGAGATTTTGGGTCTTACTAAAATCAATCAGAGGCCCTGTCCTCTGGAGACAACCTGCAGTCTAGAAGGGAGATGTCTACAAAAGGCTCATACAGGGCAGCAAGGTTATATGCCCAAGAAATTTCACAATAACACAGAGTAATCAGCCCATTGATGTTTTTGGGATCTCCCACTGGCAGCGAAGTTCAGGAGTGGTGAAAAAAAATACCCAGATTTCCAGGTCAGCATGCAGCTGCTAAGCTGGCCCATGATACTATATATAGTCTAGGTGTCCTGAAACTTTACAGCACCTTTTAAAATCATGTCCAGAAAAATTAGTTAAAATCAAACTGGATTAATGAAAGTCGTGCGCTGATCTAGAGGCAGGCAAAAATGCCAAAATGTGCCAAGAGAAAAGCAGAAAGAAGCAACATCATACAGCTTAGAGGTCAGGGGTGATCTTCTGTAGATGCCCGAGCAGAACATTGGCAATCAGGAGGATGAGTACAGGCAGCTTATCTGTGAACAAGCTGAGCTGCAACTGAGCAGCAAAAGAGCAGTAGAGCAGATAGTGGAGAGGATTATGAGTAGAAAAATAATGACCTCTACGGAGTCGCACGAAAAGGGTATGGCTGACATCCTTCCATCCTACAGGGAGATACTGTTGCAAAGTTTAAAGGAAGCTTTCCCTAAGATGTACAAGCTGAGGAACCTAGAGAACATGCTGGTAGCAGGACCTAAATAATGCTATGGGGCATAGAACAGTAGGTAGCAGGGCTTCACGGATGACCGGAAGAAAGGGAAAGGCACCAGCAGTCCTACCTTGCCTAAATTGAGGGAAGAAATTGTCACCTCCACCAGGTAAGTACCCTTCATGGGCATTCCCAGAGCATCTCAAGGTTTCTTTGTTTTCTTTGTTTTTGTTTTGAAACAGGATCTCTGTTGCCTGGGCTGTTGTCACTCTATGCCCAGGAATAGCTCACTGTAGCCTCAACCTATTGGGCTCAAGCAGTCCCCCAGCTAAGTCTCCCAAATAGCTGGAGTAGCTGGGGCTACAGGCACGTGCCACCACACACAGCTAATTTTATTTTTAGTACAGACAAAGCCTTGCTATGTTGCTCAGTCTGAGCATTTTGAGTTTATGCTTCGCATGGCACAGGCTTATAATTGCCTGCTTACTTGTATATGCTCTTGCCTAGACTAATATCTCCTTGAAGTATCCATTATTTCTCTGTTTTCATTACCCAGCACATTACTTAGCATATAGGTATCATTCAATGTTTGCTAAATGAAACAGTGATCAAATGACTTTTTGTTGGGTTTGACTTCATGTTTGCATGTAGGATATAGGAATGTGAATAGCAGGGCATTGGATCAGGAAGACAGAGTGAACCTACAGTGAATATTTGCCCTTTGCCCAGCATGTAAATCATCTCCCTTTGCTTTTGAGGAATTTCCAGTTTCCTCTGTGGAATTCACTACTTTTGAGTCATGGAAGGAGGCACATCTCACCTACCACTAAAGATGGCCAATCTGCCAATTGCTCTTTCTCAACCTCCCTTGCTGCTGGGGCATGAGCATATCACCTAAGTTCTAACAATCAGACCACTCCCCTGATTTTGGATAGAAAGCGTGTAATGCAAGGAGGGACAGAAAAAAATCCACTGTGGTTTGGTGACAGTTGCAGAATTGAGAGCTTGGTGCAGTAGCATGATGGCTGCCATAGAAGACAGTGCACATGGCAATCACATCATAGTGAGAACTGACTCTGCTAGCATTCTGTGACAGCAACTGTGGTGTCCTCATCCAGCCAGTTCTGTGGCATTATTTTGAGAATTCATTCTGGCAATACAAGCTTCTAAGTCTGTTTCTAGCCCTCCTGACAAGTCTGTAATCTGCCCAATATCTTTTTTTAAAAAATTCCTTTCTTCTTTAAGTCAACCAGTCAGTTTCTGTAACTTGCAACTTGGAACCCTGACTGATATAGAGCTAACTCCTGGGGCACCAGGCTAGAACTTTCACATATCATCTGCAGGCAGCAGGGGACCATTTAGACTTCTAAGGGTGTCATGACAATCACAGAAGTGTTCTAAGAACATCAAACTGTCAGTGGTATGTAGTATGAACTAGAAGAAGATGGATCTTGAAGAAGAAAAAAGATCAGGTAGGAAGGTTTTACACCTACACAGATGAGAAGTAATGCAGTAATGAAGGACTGAGCTAGGAGATTTGTAACTAGAATGAAGAAAAGAGGTCTATTTCTAATTCCTTGTCTGGTTTTCCACAGGGAATTTGGTCTAAAATGAGGGAAAATTGTGCTTCTGTAGAAAATGCATTATTTATATCACACCTTTCCATGTTATCTTATTCTAGTCTTTCATAGTCTTCCAGCTATTTTACAACTCTGTATATTGTGGACAACTGATTGCAATGCAAAGTAATTCTTGTCTGTAGATATGTAAATTATGCCTACTAGAAGTTCTATTGACTTTCTTCCCCACTGTGGAAGAGGCCAGTTTTGCCTCCATTTGCACATTTGTTTTAACATTTCTGATCCATAAATTAACATTTACAAAATTATCCCTTGAACTGGTTGAAACACCTCACCAGTTTCCTCTTTAATGAATCAAATAAAACCTTTACCTTGTGTTTGTATTTATATCTGTAGGAGACCTTGTTTTTGAAAAATTTAAGCCTTCATTTCTCTCTTTGTACATGGCTTCTTGAAAAAAAAGCTCCAAAATGGACATAAGTTACTGTCATTCCTGCTATTATCAATTGATGTTTAACTAGAAGTAAGTGTCTAGTACATGACAGGATTTATCTTAAAGAGGCTGTAGAGGAGGAAAAACTTTCCCTATACTCTCTTAGGTTCAGTATCTGGAGATTGCAAATTAAACAGAGAAAAGAAAGATTAACAGGAGAAAAGGTTATTTCACATGGACACAAGGAAGTGGGAGACTCACAGAATAAAAGTGAAAACGCCAAAGTTGTGGTTAGACCTAGGGACTTACATACTATTTTAGCAAAGGGTGATAAAGTATGAAGAAAGGACTAGACAAAGGAAAAGAGGAGTTTGGCTTCTAGAGAGGGTAACTTGTGGGAAGGTGACTAGGAAATTGTTATGGTCTGAATATGATTTGTCCCCACCAAAACTCATGTTGAGGCTTGGTCCCTAATGTGGCAGTGCTGGGAGGTGGTACCTTTAAAAGGTGATTAGAGGCCAGGCGCAGTGGCTTATGCCTGTAATTCCAGCACTTTGGGAGGCCGAGGTGGGCCGATCATGATGTCAAGAGATCGAGACCAGCCTGGCCAACATGGTGAAACCCCGTCTCTACTAAAAATACAAAAATTAGCTGAGCTTGGTGGTGCGTGCCTGTAGTCCCAGCTACTCAGGAGGCTGAGGCAGGAGAATCACTTGAACCTGGGAGGCGGAGGTTGCAGTGAGCCGAGATCATGCCACTACACTCCAGCCTGACGACAGAGCAAGATTCCGTCTCAAAAAAAAAAAAAAAAAAGTGGGGGGGGTGATTAGATTGTTAAAATGGACTAATGTCTTTTTTGTGAGACTGGGTTAGTTCTTGCAGGGATGGATTAGTTCTCATGGGAATGGATAAGTTCCCAAGAAAGCAGTTGTTATAAGGTGAGATTGACTCTCATGTTTTGCCTTTTTTTGCACATGCCCAGTTCCCCTTACATTATCTGCTATGTTTTGATGAAGCAAAGGCCCTCACTAGAAACCACCAGATGGGGCGACCAAATCTTGAACTTCCCAGCCTACAGAACCATGAGCGAAATAAACCTTTTTTTAAAAACAAAAATTAAATCTGTATCAGAAATTCTGTTATAACAACACAAAAATGAACTAAGAAATGTATGGTAAATAAGCATTATTTACTAAAGTCTGTTATGTAGACTCAGTCATCTCAAGTGATAAGAATTGTCTCCTGAGTCTTTCTTCTCTTCCTCTTATGGAAAAAGGAGGTCACCTATACTTTGCAAGTGTGGGTTTCCTTTACAAAGATTTCCTTTACAAAGGGGAAATTTATGCCCTTTTAAGCAGAAAAGGGAATGGCCTAGAGTGTCTCCTATGTTTGCTGTTTCTTAATTGCCTTCAGTTCAAAATAATCCTTATGCCAAAGTGACATATTTTGGGGTGATATTCTGATCCCTTCCAACTGCCGTAACAAAGTACCACAGACTGGAAGACTTTCACAAAGCTGACTCATTTATATGTAAAGTATTTGTCACTCAGTGTCCTAAATACATAGAAGTGCATGAGGGATTAAAATCCCTGCATATCCGATAGAGCCCTAAGTGGATCTCAATCAATATGAATGAATGGATGGGTGATTATGTTTATAGCGCCTGTCTTATGACTGCATGCTAAATCCTTTTCAGTGGACTCCAAGGAAGTGACCCAATTCTCTGGTTATATTAGAATTTTGTTATATGGAATATAGCTTAAAATAAGTGGACCATCAGCTGAAAGTAAGAAATCTTTGAGTCTTACAGCTATTTCATTGAAATAGAATTTGATTTGTACCACAACCATAAAAGGTGGTCTAGCAGTGCAAGATATTCTTCTATGGGATCATGAATACTGATCTATTTTTTACACAGATATATCTCAGAAGCTAACATTCAGAAATGTGCTAACACAATATGTCACAATATGTTGTTTAACAAAAATATAGAAAAAAGCCATATCTGCCACAAATGAGGAGTGTCATTAAAGCATCAGCTACAAGTATTCACAGGCTTCTGACTTGGCAATTGGCTGCAGAGAACCACTTACTCAAGCAATTCCTCACTATTAGCTTTTGCTTGTTGCTCTTGGCTTCAGCACAAAGTTGCTTTTAAAAGCAGGTGACAAAATGAAAGCCTCAAGTATATGACCTTATTTCAGGTCATTTGTAACTTCTCAGATTGTTGGTTAAAAAAAATGGTTTGCAAAGAGTATTAATAGGCTTGCATGGTTTTCATAAACCACCTGAATAAGGTGCTTCTCAGAAGGAACCATGCCATTCATAAAGTAAGGACTCTGGAGCCAGATGGAATGGGTGCGAAGTATGGCTCTAACATCTCCTAGCTGTTTGATGCTGAGAAAATTATTTAAATCTCCCTATGTCTTGGTTACTTACCAGTAAATCTCAGAATCCTCATGGGGAGTGAATATGTAAAGCACTTAGCATAAAGTCTGGTCCACAGAAATGCTATATAAGTATTTACTGATAATATGGAGATGTGTATTTATTGATTGAAAAAAGAATTCCTGCAAACTACAATGGCTCTGGCTGCTTCCCAACATGGGGAAGAGAAGGGGCAGCCTCAACATTGCCAACAGCTGGGGAGGACCAAGATGACTGGCCATTCGCTTCTGTAATACAATATTTCCTCTCTCCCCTCCACCTTTCCCACGTTTCTGGGAAAAGTGCCCAATAATGAAAACAAGTTGTTAGGAGGACCTCCCATGTGATATGAGAAGGATGGTACCTGATCTGGAGCCCATTCTTCAGGGGAAATTTTCTGATTCTTTGTCAGCTTAGTGGGAATGATCAAAATGTCTTTTGATAATGGTTTCTGTTCATTTTAGCAAATCTCATCCCAAATTGCGAACATAAAAAAAAGTGGATAGCATCTTCTTTTATTTCCTTTGCTAAATAGTTGAGAAGCATGAGATAGGTCCTTACAACTTCAGGCTTGTCTTCAAGAGTAAGTCCAAAAAAGAGGTAAACAGATTTCCTGCTTCAGGGACAGGCTGACAAGGGTTAACATTTTGCTGAGGACTCCATTTGTGTGCTCTGTAAGGAAACAGGCAATGCCTCACAGGATCCCATTACCCAAACAGGAGAAGCTAGGAGCCTTGGGAAGTATTTAGCCGGGGCATGAATGGGTCACATAACTTCATATAACTTGCAACACAGCATTTGTTTAACATTCAAGTAAGATTAGAGGGGAAAAAAGGTGTGTGCGCGCGCACACACACACACACACACACACAGAAAGAGAAGGAGGAACTTAAACCAGCTATGGTAAAGACAACCTAAAGGTCAAAATTGTAATATTAAATAAATCTTACAAGATTTTATAAACCGTAATTTATTGTCTATGTGCAACTGACATTTTAGCTCTTGGTTTAATACCTGACACTTCAAAGTATTCTTGTAGAAGAATGGTTGATAACCCTCTTACACAGTATAATTGGAATTCTGCATGTTAGAACATTTGGTTTCTGAAAGATTTTTGTAAATGTTAATAGCTGTCTTTTAAAATGGTGTAAGTGTGAAATGCTATGAAAAGCAAAGGTTTAAATGTCACTCTGTCTATAATTTTCATATTGTAAAAACTAAATAAGTTTTTTAAAATGGAAAACCTAAAAGCCTGCTGCAAGTTTGAAGATATCAGCTCATTCATTCTTCCTTTTTGAAATGGATATGACATTTAACCAAATGAGCCAAATTTAGAATTAAAGGTGATCTGTTTTTTCTAAAATTTAATATTGAACATTTCGCCTAAACTGAGAAGCAATTATATTTACAGAGTCCCTACTTCTTCCCACACTGCATGAGCTTATGATTAAAGATCTGCCTTTAAAGTATTCATCTGATGAGCCACCCAGCTACACATAGTCATTACCATCTGAATTTCCATTCTGGACTCCAGCCAGTCTGGCTGAGGCAGTATCTGGGCTCTTTGTATAGAGGCAGAGCCAATGCATTTCTTCCCAGAGTACATTTCTTCCCACTATGAAAATAAAAAATGCCTTTCCCCCCTTCTCCTTTCTCCTGTTTTTTTTTTTTTTTTTTTTTTTTCTCAGGTTAGCTTTTACTTCTTTGTGAATATTTACTGTGTAAGCAGGAAAGGGTTCATTTCCGTCCATTACCCCTCCTTGGGAATCTGAATTCTGCATCATCTCTGGTACTTGGCAGCCTGCGTACATAGGCCAAGAGTGAGCATCCTACAAACAAGAAAATAAATAAACCTGATACACCTAGAATAGGGTCCGAACATTACTGCTCAAACCCCATTTCACCTAAGTCCTGTTTAATGGACCAGTGTATTTGGTGTTGGGTATGTGGCTGCTATTAGAAATTTGTTACTTTTCATAAGTACCAAAGGTTGCAGGGGAATCAATTAATAAAAATGTAAATGAGATGGCATTCAAGAATTTCCCTCTAATCCATCACACTCATTCAATGCAGTAGTGTTACAATATGTTTTGCTGGTTGAAAGAGAAAGGAGCCCAGTTATTGTTCAAACGCCAGGAAGTACAAGTAACTTGTACCTAACTTACCTCTGCTCCTGTAAGCACATGCTCTAGATCTCAGCATCCTTTGCCTTGTGCAGCTAACAAGAGAAAGTCAGTTGGGTACAGCTGGTTAATACATACTAAGGCTATTTTCACAGAATCATTTATTCATTCTCCCTCAGCCTTTAACTCTATGAATAGAAACCAGTTTTAGGCTAAGCTCCTATTAGAGGCAGAGTCAAGAGATACAGTATTGGCCAAATCCAATATTTTCTATTGGGATAAATTGGGGATGTATGTAATCTGTTCTTCTTTCATTTTAACTTACATCTTAAGAATATTATATCACTTTGACCCAGTACACTGGACAATGCCTCCCTCTTCACCACAGGGAAGGAAAAAAGATGCATCCTTCTATATGAAATTGGGATTTTTTTTATATCCTGGGAGAGGCCTTAGTAAGTGATTAACCCTGTTATTTAATTATGACAGAGGAGCTGAGGTTCTCAAACTTTAGCAAGCATCAGAATCACCTGGAGGGTTTGTTAAAACACAGATTGCTGAGTCCTGTCCCAGTTTCTGAGTCAGTAGATCTAGAACAGGGCTGAGAATGTGCATTTCTAAAAAGTTTCCAGATGGTTCTGATGCTGCCTTTTCCACACTTTGAGAACCACGGAAATAGTGTGTTTTTCCAGCACCAAAGCCAAGGATTAACTGGGTTATAGCTAACAACCCTAAATAGCACACTCACTAAGTCACCTAAGGGCATACTTTATATTCTGCTTTTCCCGGTTTACTAAAGAGACAGCACCACACTGGATGATTTACAAAGATCATTTTTAATGGCATGGGTCATGGACTGGTAAAACTGCTTAAAAATGTTCCCAACTAAATTATTGTGAGCATGTTCTATTTGGGGCTTTAATTAATCATTCATTCCTATTTTTCTTCCTGAAAAACAAAAATAATAATATAATAACTTCCATTTGTTAATTTCTTCCTACAATGCTACTGGCTCTGTGTTGCCTGGTTCCCATCAGTTTACCTCATTCAACCTTCACTGCAATCAAGGAGGAAGCTTTATCATCCCTATCTGACAGAACTGAGGACATGGCTGAAGGAGATTAAAAGCACATTTGGAAATACCGCTTTAGATACTCTACAAGTTAACCTTGGAATAAACCAGACTATCAGAGGGCATTGTCACTCACTGACGGATTTCTTTCATTCCTCTCTGCTTTGGCATTAGGCAGTCAGCCACATCAAGAGACTTCATAAGAAACAGCCCTGTAACTCATTTGTTGCTTTCCTGTAAGAATGTTGTCAAGGACATTATTTACTTCATTACAAAGGGTCTTCTTTGTGCTGGAGAAACTTCTCTCAGATCTCTGTGCCAGGAAGAATGGTGTTTCTCTCAAACACTGGGTTTGATATTACAGATAGTATAAACTATATATCCAGGCACATCCTCCTTTAGTGAGTATATACAAACTGGCTTCACTTCATTTTTTTCATCTTCCAACTTCTCCATAATAATATTTACTTTTAAAAATGTTCTTAACAATGAATATGACCAAGACAATTTGAGGAAACCAATCATAAACTTTGTGTCAATATAGTAAGCATGTTTCCTGCAGGGAGATACCACTGTTCCCACTAAAATAGAACACAACAAAAGGAGGCAGGAGAGAAATGAATGACTTAGGACCTGTCTAGGTTGAAAAGGCAAACTAGAAGTGGGGCACACCTAACTTGTTTAAAAAGACTTTGTCAACTATTATTTGTGTACTCTTGGCATTTCTGTGTTCTCCTCATTCCTATTTCATTCCTATTCCCCTTTAATATTTCCTTTACATACCTGATACCTTCCCTCCCAAAAATGGTGTGTGTCTATGTAGTTCCTTGATGATTTTGTCAACGAATAATAAACCCTGGGTTTTGGATAAGGAGGTGAAAAGAAAGGGCTCTGCTTGATTCTGCACAGGGCTATACACCACAGGGCGAGGAAAAAAGGAAAATCCAAATATGTTTAGTCAGGATGTTTTCCTAAACTATTGAAGAAATCTTATCTGGCCTCCTCTTAAAATATGTAAGAACTGTTTCCAGCTGCTTGTTATTTGGCTGTGCTTATTTTAGACCAAAGCCAATAAAAAAAATGAGACTCTTCCCACAGTTTACTTATTAATTATACAGGAGAAAATAGTAGCTTAACAGGAGAACTCTGGTGGACACCCTTTTACCCAACTTAGCAATACTACCAGTGGGATGAACAGGCACCATGTGTCTGCTTGTGTGACAGTGTGACAAAACACAATACCACTTACCTTTCATTCCTGAGGGGAGAGAAAAGTGCATCCTGAATCTAATTATAGGGAAACATGGGATAAACCCAAACTGAGGGACATTCTACAAAATAAATGGCCTGTATTCTTCAAAACAATATCATGAAAGACAAAAAAAGGTAAGAAAACATTCCAGATTAAAGGAGATTAAAGAGTCATAAAAACTAAACCTAACACAAGATCCCAGATTGGGCTCTGAACCAGGGAGAAAAATGCTATAAAGAATATTATTGGAGTAGTAGCTCGTGCCTGTAGTCCCAGATACTCATGGGGGAGGCTAAGGAGGGAGGATAGCTTGATCCCAGGAGTTCAAGGCTGCAATGAGCTATGAGTAGAACACTGCACTCCAGCCTAGGCATCACAGCTAAACCCTGCCACATATCCCCCAACCAAGGAAAAGATATTTTTGAAGCCTCTGGCAAAATTAGAATAAAGATCTGTAGATTTGATAAGGGATTGTATTAATATTTCACATTTTGATAATTATAACATTGTTATGTGAGCAAATATTCATGTTTTTAGGAAATACACACTGAACTATTTAGGGGTAAAGAAGAACTGTGCCTACAGCTTACCCTCAAATGATTCAGAAAAATAGAATCACATAATCATTTTATGTAGATGGTAGAGATAAATATAGACATAGGTGCATTTACCCCATGTTCACGATGCAGCACGTTCATCACACAGCACGATGGGATAGATGGATGGATTCACAGATGGATGGATAGTTAAAGAGATGAAAGTAAATGAGGCAAAAGGTTAAAAACTGCGAATCCAGGTGAAGAGTATACAGTAGTTCTTTGTACTATTATTGCAATTTTCTCTGTTTGAAATTATCACAAAATGTTTGAGGTTTGTTTTGGAAAAAATAATAGCCACAGAGTATTTTTTTTCCCTAAGTAATAGTGCATGAAGTGTTGTTTGTGATGTGGCAAAGCAAATAGCTGCAAAATAAAGTTATTCACATAACAAGTATGGTCATCTTAAAAGCATGATGCCTAGTGAAAACCACTTCCTTTCATGCACAGACTTGGCTAAATCTTTTTAAAAATTTTTTGAAGCACTGGGGTTGATTATTCACACCACAGAATTCTCACGTGGTAGCAATGTTATGCACGCCATCTTTAAAACATGCTTGGCTCTCAAAAAGCCCTTCCCCCTACCCTCTAAAAAGCACTGGAACACACCAAAGCCTAGGAGGTACCAGCTGGAGTCATATATTCTGTTTTCTCTGACAAGGGTAGTGCCATTATAATCCAACAGGCCCATGTGAATGTGCGGCAAACATTCGCTTCGATTTTTATTGTGGAGCATGACAGAAAAGAACATTTGTTCCTTTTCATTCCTGAATGTTTTCATGGTGACATTTCTCAATCTGTGGGTTTGGGTGTGTGTGTGTGTGCGTGTGTGTGTGTGTGTGTTTACTGCTTTCTTTTCCCTCAAAGAGATCACCCAGTGACCTTGAAATCTGCACTGGCATTTCGCTGGCAGGAAGGGAAGCTCCCTCTTTTCATTTGCAAAATGTATAACAATTTGATCATCCTTAAACTTCTAAAAGGTTAATTATGCTCTCTTCATGAGTATCGAATAAAAACCTGTTTTATCTCTGCCCAAATGAAACCCACAGGGCTCACCCTCCCTCCAGCTCTGCCAGAAGCCCGAGTCCTTCCGGCTGTCAATTAACCACTATCAACTCCTAGATCTGTGTGAGCTGCTGTAGATTTTCTCATCCCAAAACTATGACAGCCCTCATTTGTTAGAGCTGTGTGATGACTTTAAAAATTTCTCAGCAGGAAAGTGTTACCAGCTTTGGGTGTGATGGAAAGAAAAGGGAAGCATGAGGAGCAAGCTGGAGAGAAAGAAAGAGAAAGATAAAAAGGTGTTGGATTACTAAAACTTCATTTCACTCTAAAGATTTCCACACCCAAACAAGAATTCAAACAACATAACGAAAATTGGAGGGAAACGCTAATAAACATAACAACCATAAAAATTAAAAGCAAATTTAAAATATTTAAGCTCTGCTGCAGCCAGAAGCATTAGATTCTTGCTAGTTCTCAAAGAAGGTACACTTCTGCACACTCAACGATGACGGTGCCCGTGTGTCAACACTCGTGGTGGGAGTGGTCAACAAGACTTTGTATGGAAAAGGCTCAACATCTACCCCCGCTCGCCTTTAACATTTCTAAGCTGCTACTATTTCTTGGCCATAAACAGCCTCTTTAGTTATAAGCCAGAAGCCATATCTTTAAAAGTAAGTCTGAGAGAGTTACATTTCATTTTTATTACAAGAAAACGTCATCTTTCAAAGAAAAGCAATGGCAGAGAATGGCAGCTCATGCTAGGGGGCAGGAAATCCTGCTTTTGCCTGACACTCATGGCTCCTTGTTTTAATAACTCATACTATTTCACATAAGCCAACCAAGCATTATTATATTTGAAAACATAAACAGAAGATGGAACAAGCAACATAGTTTTTTTCCAGAGGAAGCATGTTACTATACACAACAGCTCAAGTGTTTTAACAATTGCGTAATTACCAAGATACCCTACAGAGCCCGATCTTTTGACTAGACTGAAGCGTGTTATGTGTGTAAAAATAAAAAAGGCCTCTGTGCAACTTCACCCCATGTTCACCATGCAGTGAGTAAATGGGTGATAAAACAGCAAGTCTCTTAGTCTCTTATTTCTTCTTTTCTTTTTCTTTCTTTCTTCCTTCCTTCCTTTCTTTCTTTCTCTTTCCCTCCCTCCTTTCCTTCCTTCTTTCTTTCCTTCCTTCTTTCTTTTTCTTTCCTTCTTTCTTTCTTTCTTCATCTCATGTTCACCATGCAGTGAGTAAATGGGTGATAGAACAGCAAGTCTCTTAGTCTCTTATTTCTTTTTTCTCTTTTCTTTTTCTCTCTTTCTCTTTTTCTTTCTTTCCTTCCTTCCTTCCTTCCTTCCTTCCTTCCTTCCTTCCTTCCTTCCTTCCTTCTTTCCTTCCTTCTTTCTTTGCTTTTCAGGTGTCACCCAGGTGGGGGTACAGTGGCATGATCATAGCTCATAGCCTCAAACTCCTGGGTTCAAGTGATCCTCCCACCTCAGCCAATGTGGGGATAGAGATGCTCACCACCATACCCAGCTAACTTTTCTCTTTTTTGTAGACACAGGGGTCTCATTATGTTGCTCAGGCTTGTATTGAGCTCCTGGGCTCAAGCAATCCTCCTGCCTCAGCCTTCCAAATAATGCCTGAGATTACTGGTGCAAGCCACCAGGCCTGGCCCTTTATTTCTTCAGCAACGTCTCTGTAAGAAGATCTAGTGGAGACTACAACTTTCCAGTGATTTCATGAAAAATGAAATCATTTTTACCAAGAAGCACTAATGCAAATTCGGAGTTTTGGTTGTTCTTCTTCCTGGATGTGTGAGTATGTGTGTGTGGCAATATACGTAACATAAAACTTACCAATTTTACTATTTTCAAATGTATATTAAACACATTTCAAGTGGTGTTAAGTACATTCACAATGTTGTAGGTACTTCACCACATCCATCTCTAGAACTTTTTCGTCATCCCAAAGAGAAACTCCCCCATTACCCCTTTCCCTACCCACTGGTAACCTCTGCTCTACATCCTGTGTCAATGAATTTGCCATTTTAGGTACCTCACATAAATTAAATTATATAATGTTTGTCCTTCTGTGCCTGGCTTATTTTACTTAGCATGTTTTCAAGATTCATCGACATTGTAGCATGTATCAGAATCACATTTCTGTTTTTAAGGCTAAACATTCATATATATATATATATATATATATATATATATATATATATATATATATATTTGTATGCCACATTTTGTTTATCCATTCATCTGTTGATGGGCATTTGGGTTATTTCCACCTTTTGATTATCATGAATAATGCTGCTATGAACATTGGTGTGTTTGAGTCCCTACTTTCAATTCTTTGGGATATATACCTAGAAGCGGAATTATAAAGTATATACTGTAGTTTTTATGTACAATAATTGTGTTAGCCAGGCCAACACACATGTGTTTCTTTATGTGAGGTAAAAAAATAGAATATAAATTTTACTTAGCAAATATTGGATATTATCATGCTTACATTTCATTTCAACATGGTTTTTTTGTTGTTACTCAAGTATTTGACTAATTATAGGAAGATTTTAAAACTTTAGAAATGGGGGAAGAAACTGAATTCACGCTCTTTCTAATTTTCTTTTAGCAAAAATATAGAGTTTAGGTCTGTCTTAGTCTGTTTTGTGTTGCTATAACAGAATACTTAAAACTGGCCAATTTTTTTTTTTTTTCCGAGATGGAGCCTAGCCCTGTCGCCCAGGCTGGAGCACAGTGGTGCGATCTCGGCTCGCTACAAGCTCCACCTCCCGGGTTCAAGCGATTCTCCTGCCTCAGCCTCCCAAGTAGCTGGGATTACAGATTCACGCCTCCATGCCCAGCTAATTTTTATATTTTTAGTAGAGATGGGGTTTCACCATGTTGGCCAGGCTGGTCTCAAACTCCTGACCTCGTGATCCACCCCCCGCCAGCCTCCCAAAGTGCTGGGATTACAGGCGTGAGCCACCACACCCGGCCTGAAACTGGCTAATTTGTTTTTAAAGATTTATTTAGCTCATGGTTCTGCAGGCTGGGAAGTTCAAGATTGGGCAGCTACATCTGGTGGCTTCTGGTGAATGCCTCATGCTGCATCAGAACATGGCAGAGAAACAAAAGGGGAAGCAGGGCTGGGCACGGTGGTTCACACCTGTAATCCCAGCACTTTGGGAGGCCAAGGCAGGCAGATCACCTGAGGTCTGGAGTTTGAGACCAGCCTGACCAACATGGAGAAACCCCATTGCTACTAAAAATACAAAATTAGCTGGGTGTGGTAGCACATGCCTGTCATCTCAGCTATTCTCGGGAGGCTGAGGCAGGAAAATCGCTTGAACCTTGGAGGCAGAGGTTGCTGTGAGCCAAGATTGTGCCATTGTACTCCAGCCTGGGCAACAAGAGCCAAACTCTGTCTCAAAAAAAAAAAGGGGGGGGGAGGGAAGCAGGCACTTGCCAAAAAGGGCAAACATTAGAGGTGTCCTCACTTTGTAACTACCTGCATTCTTGGTAACTAACCCAGTCCCTTGAGAGTGAGAACTCACTCTTGAGACAAAGGCATTGAGACCTCTTAATGACCTAATTGCTGTTTTTTTTGTTTTTTTATTTTTTTGAGACAGAGTCTTGCTCTGTTGCCCAGGTGGGAGTGCAGTGGCGCGATCTCGGCTCACTGCAAGCTCCACCTCCCAGGTTCATGCCATTCTCCTGCCTCAGCCTCCCAAATAGCTGGGACTACAGGTGCCCGCCACCACGCCCAGCTAATTTTTTTTTTTTTGGTATTTTTAGTAGAGATGGGGTTTCACCATGTTAGCCAGGATGGTCTCCATCTCCTAACCTCGTGATCTGCCCGCCTCGGTCTCCCGAAGTGCTGAGATTACAGGCGTGAGCCACCGTGCCTGGCGCCTAATTGCCTTTTAAAGGTACCACCTCCCAACACTGCCACACTGGGGACCAAGCCTCAACATGAATTTTCGTGGGGACAAATCATATTCAAACAATAGTAAGGTCCAAACTAAAGCACTAACATGGGCAATAAGTATTTTCCTCTGAGTGGTGCATGGAGGAAGAACTTCATGTTTATCAAGAGTTATTATCAGTTGGCAGGGACAGTTGACAAGGTTTCCAACTGCACCCTTCTGTATGCCACTTTTCTCCCTGTAGTGGGAAGATTTTCCACTGCCCACGCAGGGTGTCATTTGGCAAACTGTCCCCCGTTCTTCCTTTTATATTTTTTTCTTTTTAGAGACAAGGTCTTGCTCTGTCACCCAAACTGGAGTACAATGGGATGATCTTCGCTCACTGCAACCTCTACCCCACAGGCTCAAGCAATCCTTCCACCTGAGCCTCCTGAGTAGCTGAGACCACAAGCACATACCACCACAATCAGCCAATTTTTAAGTTTTTTGGAGAGATAAGGTCTCCCTGTGTTGCCCAGGCTGGGCTCAAGTGATCCACCCACATTGGCCTCCCAAAGTGCTAAGATTACAGGCATGAGCCACTACATCTGACCACTGAGCCACCAAGCCCAGCCATCCTTCTTTCCTCCCTACAACCCACTATGCCTTTTGTGAACCAGATAATGCCACTGTTCTGCTCTCAGCTAATGAGAACAGATGGGCACATAATCCAAGGAGGATCAGTCTACAGATTGGCTAGGTGACCAGTGGCCTATGATCCAGGTTTTGGATTGCAAACGTGAACAGAACTAACTGGACTCCTATCTCAGGACATGAGAATCAGAAAACTGTTAATGAATCATGGAGCCACCGAAGAAGTGGGCAAAGATGGTACTAAGAATGCTATGAGATTGTCAGGTTTGGAAAGGACACTGTAAGCCAAAGTTACATGCAAGCTGAAATTATGAGGGAAAAGAGAAAGTCATATATTAGAGAAAAAATGCATCAGATACACAGGGAGAAGTAGATACATCTTGTGAGATGACACAGTCCATGAGGATGATGGCAGAGCTGCTTGCAAGAGCTGCCTTTGTGTCTAAGTCTTGCCATTTCAAGGTCTCTCCATGTATTTCTTTACCAATAAACCCTTTTGTTGAGTTAACTGGAGTAAGTCTCTGTCCCTTGCAGTTTAATAAACCTAATTGAAACTCTCTCTTCTATTGTTTCTTCTTCTATATCTACCATCTTCCAATGTCTCTTATTATCCTTCTAAGCCCCTTTCTTTCTTTTTTCTTCTTTTCTCCCCCATGCCTCATCCCTACCTATGCCTCAGGCATACTGCTAGGGCCCATCCTTATAGAAGACCCTAAAAAATGGAAAAGAAATAACACAGCAGTCTGGATATTTTTTAAGTGGCAACTTTATTGAGATGTGTATCATAATTCAGTATTTTAAAGTATACAATTTAGTGGGTTTTAGTATATTCAGAGTTGTACAGTCATCACAACTGTTTAATTTTAGAACATTTTCATCATCCCAAAAAGAAATCCCATACCCATAAGCAGTCATTCTCCATTTCCTCCTCCCCCTAGTCTCTGAGAACCACCAATCTACTTTCTGTCTCTACAAAGTTGCTTATTCTGGGCATTTCATATAAATACATTATGTACAAAATACAATAATTACAATACATGAGTAGCTTCTTTCACTTAGCATAATGTTTTCAAGGTTTTTCCATGTTGTTGCATGTACGAGTACTTCATTTCATTTCATCATTGAATAATATTCCATTGTATGGGTATACCACATTTTGCTAATTCACTCATATGTTGATAGGCCTTTGGGTTGTTTCCAGTTTGGGGCTGTTATGAATACTCCTGCTGTGAATATCTGCATACAGGTTTTTGTGTAGACATGTTTTCAGTTATCTTTGGTATATACCTAGGAATGGAATCGTTGGGTCATATGGCATAATGCAATATATTTAGTTGTCTTTTTGCTCCCCTTTCCCTTCTGCAGACCTTTGGCAGGTTTTGCAGCTATCACTCTATTATTTTCTTTATATTTTCTTTGCACGTTCCTGTTTTCAGTACATCTTTCCATTTTTCTCTTCTCTCTACTTTTCCTTTTATCTCATTATTTGAGTACATTTTTTAAAAAAACTCATCCTTAAGTAGCTTTCCCTGATGGCTTTTATTATATTTCCTTTACAATATTTTTCTTCTCTCTCCCTGTTGCTGATAATGCTTGAATAAACCCAGCTTCACCTAGAGGGAAATAAGTATCATGTTAGATACTTATTTCCCTCTAGGAATAGAATGACTTGAAGTAGTTCCGTAGAGTAAGAACTTCATAAACAGAAGCACATATTTAAGGGTGCATAGACAGAAGACTACAGTAGCTCATATTTAAATGACCATTGTGGTCATATTTTTATTCCTGTATTTGCCAAGTCTGACCACAAAACTTGATGTTGACCTGCAGTCTCTTCCATCCATCCATCTAAACAAACTGCAAATACAATGTGACTCCCAGGTAATTGCTGCGCTGCTGCTATAGGCTATGTCACCATCAGCAGTACTAACCCTTTGCCTCGGGCACCATATGAACAGTGACAGGCGAATCACCCTGATGAGATGAAGAACTCTAAGTGGATTGAGGGAGGCCTTTGACTCATCCCAGCCCCACAGCTTCCCACTCAGATGTGCTCTTACATTATTCCCACTGTAAACTCAAGTCAGAAGCCGAAAAGCACCAATTTTGCTCAGGGAGATGATTCAGTATTTTTAAAGTTTTTGACTGCTGACCAATTAAAAACCAGATGATACTGTTAACAACCTCTAAATAAGCCACGATTTAGAACCATAGAAGGCACCAAAGCACCTACCAGCCCTCCATGCTCAGTGTGAGTTTGAGAGAAATTCAAAGATAATTACAATGATGAGGAGGATGCTGATGACCTTAGGGATACTGGGCATGACTCACATCATTAACTGGAAAGCAGCAAATTCTGTTTCCTAAATATATCTCCAGTGAGCCTCCTATTTACTCCATTTCAGTATTTTTTTTCAAGATTCTGAAATAGTATCCATTTCCAGTTAATGATTTGACTGCTGCCCAATGTCCCTAAAGCCTTCACCATCATCTTTACCATTGTAATTATCATTGAATGTTTTTATACTCATACTGGGTACGGCTGCATATTAGATGAAGTAATGTGGCTGATTTCACATGTAACTTAAAAAGCATAGTTTCATCCATATTTAGTCAAACCACGTAGTTTATGCTATTGAAAATCTACCATTACTAAGACATTTGTTAACAAGCACTTTGCTAAGCCTTTCAGTCTGTGAATGGGGAAGTTGACACATTTTTCAAAAGGGAAAGCCACACAAGCTCATATTCCTAAAATTCATTAATATCATCATTTTGTAAAAGCCATTGGAGATTTTTCAGGACAAGGAGTGACATAAAGAAGCCTGATCCCCAAATTGGTTGGCATTGCCCTTAACTTACAATTTTGAATACTATTCATTGTGTCAGGCAATAGGACTTTTGAGGGTATGGTGGATACGAACAGTAATGAGTTTTGCTTTTATTTTAATTTTTGTGCTCTTTATTATCCAATATACCAAACCCCTTTCCAAATAAAGAGCTGGTGCCAATATCAGTCAGGGATTTTCTATCCATGAGTGTATTCTTATTCCTGTGTGATCAGACTTCAGAAAGAGTTCTAAAACAAGCAGTGCTGGTGGTGCTGGATTTTAGAGCAGAGATGCTATAAAAAGTGCACATTAGAGAAGTTTTGGATAACACAGCATGATGCAAATTGCTACCATACGCATCACTTACTGGAACCACGCCGATCTCAGCAGAGGGGACAGGAGTGACATCACCAGCACTGTGACTTGAACCACCCTCAGGAAAACACAGCTGATGGGACAGCAATGGTTGTAACAGCACAGAGACCTAGCAATGCACGCCATGTGAGACCAATCAAGAAGCAGTTGCTGGAGTTCTCAGTTTCATTTCTCAAATTTTATAGCTAGACCACATAAAAAAATTTATAAGAGAAGCCTGGGACATTTGGAGGCAATGAAGGGAAGTGGCACACTGAGCATCATTTTATTTTGTTCTTATCAGGTAAGAAATCACCAGAAATGAAAGCTTTCATAGTATCAGCGTTAATAACAAAATGACCTGTACAACAAGAACAGTTCAAGGGCTACTCTGTCCATTTCCTATGCCAAATAGCTCTTGCATTAACACTCTTGCTCTCTTCCCTAAAAGCTCACAGTGTTGAAATTAGAGAAGCCCCAGGGGTTACAACAGGCCAGAATACTGGGACAGACCATATCTAAATGATGCCAGACACTGAGAAATGCTATCAAGGACCAGCATTTTAAAAAATACCTAGAGAATTATCGAAATTTGTTCTGGCTTATTTTATTTTATTTTATTAGTATTTTTTGAGATAGTCTTGCTCTGTCACCTAGGCTGGAGTATAGTGGTGTGATCTCGGCTCACTGCAACCTCCACCTCCCGGGTTCAAGCAATTCTCTTGCCTCAGCCCCCCAAGTAGCTGGGATTACACGTGCACACCACTACACCCAGCTAATTTTCATATTTTAGTAGAGATGGCGTTTCTCCATGTTGGCCAGGCTGGTCTCAAACTCCTGACCTCAGGTGATTCGCCTGCCTTGGCCTCCCAAAGTGCTGGGATTACAGGTGTGAGCCACCACGCCTGGCCCTGATTTATTTTAAATTTAGTGTCAGCTCTCTGGCAATCTCAACTTCTCCTCTTTCTCAATCCAGTGGTTGGCTGGACATTCATTCTCTTAATACTCAGATGCAACCACTAGCTGACCATGAACTGACTCTGTTTCCTTTTGTTCAAAAATATTTATTAAATACGTTCTATGTGCCAGGTACTGACTAGGTGCTGGAGATGAAATGATTAACAAAACAAACATGATCCTTGCCCTCATGTTGTTTATATATTTACTTGTAGGGGAAGAGTAAGGGATATCAACCGAGTGCCACTCAAAAATGTAAGTAGGAACCACTGTTGTAGGAAAACAAAACAAAACAGGTGTTATGAATGAGTGTATGGGAGGAACATGCTTGGTCAGGGAAGACCATACCAGGAAATAGAACCAGATACCTCTTGCCACCTTCTCTTGTAGTGGCATCATCCATGATCCCTTCGTTCTATTGCCAGGACCATGGCAAGAGCCTTTGAAGCAGATTTTCTGATTCACATCCTTATCCCCAACTAGTTCATTTCCATATAGCAGCCAGAGGGAGCCTCCCAAAATGCATGGGAGGTAGTTTCTCTTTTTTTGAGACAGAGTCTTGCTCTGTCATCCAGGCTGGAGTACACTGGCGCAATCTCAGCTCACTGCAACCTCGCCTCCCGGGTTCAAATGATCCTTCCACCTCAGCCTCCCGAGTAGCTGGGATTACAGGTATGCACCACCACACCTGGCTAAGTTTTTTGTATTTTCCTAGAGATGGGTTTTCACCATTTTGGCCAGGCTGGTCTCGAACTCCTGACCTCAAGTGATCCACCCACCTCGGCCTCCCAAAGTTCTAGAATTACAAGAATGGACCACTGCGCCCAGCTCATGGGAGGTAATTTCCTTCCCCTGCTTGAACTTGTAGTGTAAAGATTAAAGTCCTTTCATGGCCTTCAAGGCCCTAGAAGACCTGACGTCCTGCTATCTCTCTGCCCTCATCTCCAACCACTGTGTTTCTGCCACACCGGCCTCTTTGTTGTTCTTCAAAAGACCGAGACTGACCCTTTCTCAGGGCCTTCCAAATTGTGGCGCCTCCTCCAACAAAGCTCTTCCCCCAGATGTCTGCAGAGTGTCCCCTTCACTTAACACAGACTCTACTGAAATGTCACTTTGCCAGGTCCGCCTTTCCTGCCAATCTGTATAAATGAGGAGCGTCCCACCAGCACTCTCAGGCCCCCACTCGGCTTTCATTTTCTGTACCATACGATATATTGTGTTTCATTTACTTATTGTCTGTTTTTTCCCACTAATGTGCAAACTCATGAAAACAGGGAGCAAACTATGAGGAAAAGCTGAGCAGAGGGAGCAGCGTGTGGGAAATCCTGAGACAGGAGAGCTTGGTGTGCTGAGCCACTGACAGCATTGTGGCTTTATGATTTATCTGGAACCACAGGTGCCTCCAACTCTGAGAACTGATCAAGGGCTTGGACAAAAGAGTGAAAATACCACTAGGAAAAAAAGAGTCCCCTCTGTGCAAAAAGAAGTCCAGATACATAGAGGAAGAGAGGGAACAAGAAGAGAGAACTCAACTTCCACTGCTCAGCAAGGCACAAAAAAGATCATGCTTTAAGAAAGAAATTCTCATTAAATTTCATGATTATTGTTTGTTCTTTATTTTCCTGATAAGATCAAATGAAAAACACCTGCCTTTAAAAAAATTCCTTTGAGAAAGTTGGTTAGGAGAGATAGTTGCTTTAGTATGACTCAGTAGCCCACATTTTCAATATCTCTCACCCAGTCTTCATCATTGCCAGGCACTTGTTAAGTTTACAGTGCCATTTTTTATGATAAAAGTTAACAAAAATGTATCAGAAATGAATTATAATCATTTTATTTAACTATTTTTTTCTGGGTGCACTGTGCATTGAACAAACATTGAGTATCTACTAAATGCCAGGCCCTGGGTTAAGGTGCCAGGGACACGGGGACTCTGCCTTCAAGGGACATCCTGGTCTACCAGCAAGTCAGGTAAAATACCAAAGATAACAGAATTGGTGACAAGGCTACGACAGGTAAACTGATCTCGTAAACCTGAACTGGAAGGAGAATCAAACATAACACTTCCTGAATCTTGAAACAGGAGCAAGCATCACTAAGGCCAAAATTGGGGGAAGACTCTTACAGGTGGAGAGAGCCAAGGAGCAAAGCTCTGAAAACACCAGAGAACAAGAAGTCCTAGAGGCCCGGTGGCTCATGTCTGTAATCCCAGCACTTTGGGAGAGTAGTACTTTGGGATGGCTGGAGGCCAGGAGTCTGAGACCAGCCTGGAAAACATAGTGAGACCTTGTCTCTACTTAAAAAAAAAATTAGTGGGGTGCAGTGGTGTGTGACTGTAGTCCCAGCTACTCAGGAGGCTGAGGCAGGAGGATCACCTGAGCCCAGGAGTTTGAGGTTACAGTGAGCTATGATTGAGCCAATGCACTCCAGCTTAGGCAACAGCAAAACTTTGTCTCAAAAAAAGAAAAGAAAAGAAAAGCCCTAATGGAGGAATCCTTTAATTATGTGCATCAGGGACAGGCCATTAATGGGCTGTAATTTTAAAAACCAGTTAAAATGAGGGAGCACACAACACGCACACACACAAAAGTGTACACTTCCCTCAAATATTTAAATACTCATTAGCCACTTTAAAAGACATAGGACCTCCACATTGACCATGGACTACCACATGGGCTTTCTTATATAAATCACACCCAAAATAGATCACCAATTTTTTTTCTGTAAGAGAAACTTAATCACATTTATGAAGCAATCTGAATGTAAAACACTTCTAGATGTCTAGGATTCCCTCACCCTAATATTCACAGTAGTCTCTACCACATCTAATCAAATGCATTTCCCTTAAAGCAACTTCATGATGCCAAGTTTTTCCAGCACTTTCAACTTAGTTTTCATTGTAATAACAAGTTTCTTTTGGATCTCATATTTTATTTGTTTGAATAAATTTTAATTAAATGTAATAATTACAATGGCAATTACAACTTGCATAAACAGGTTCAGGAACAAATGCAACCAGCTTCATGAAGCAGACAACTTAATGGGTAGGAGAAGACGGTAAGACCATACAGCAAGCTTGTCCAACCAGCTGCCCAAGGGCCACATGTGGCCCAGGATGGCTTTGAATGTGGCCCAACACAAATTTGTAAACTTTCTTAAAACATTATGAGTTTTTTAGTGTTTTTGTTTGTCTTAGCTCATCAGCTATCATTAGTGTTAGTGTGTTTTATGTGTGTCCTGAGACAATTCTTCTTTCAGGGTGGCCCTGGGGAGCCAAAAGATTGGACATTGCTGCGGTAGAGTAACTAGCCTTCAGCTCTAAATCAACCATGTTTTCTATGGGTTCCTCTCCTTAATAGCTAGTACCTAAGAACTAGGTAATGCTAACATTTTTATCAAGAGGATGCAAACTACTTAGCATCCTCTCTTACATCTCAGTCAATTCACCATATGTTTTATATCTATTATGTGCAGAGATTTACAATAGATTGAACAGGAGGGTTTAAATATAAATGAAAGGACTATTCAATAGCACAATAGGGTGACTATAGTCAATAATAACTTAATTTTACATTTAAAAATAACTTAAAGAGTGTAAATGGATTGTTTGTAACTCAAAGGATAAATACTTGAGGGGATGGATACCCCATTCTCCATGATGTGCTTACTTCATATTGCATGCCTATATCAAAACATTTCATGTACCCCATAAATATACACACCTATTATGTACCCAGAAAAGATAATAAAAATAAATGAAAGGGAAAAAAAGACATTATTGACCTTAAAAGGTCTCTAGTATTATTGTACAAATAACTACCATCATCATTGTTATTATCTGACATTCATTGACTACCTACTTTATGTTAGGCATTACGCAAAATACTTTGCACACATTATCTCAATCTTGACAATATTTTTTTTTTCTTTCTTTCTGTATTTTTTTTTGAGACAGAGTTTCGCTCTTGTTGCCCAGGCTGGAGAGCAATGGTGCACAATCTTGGCTCACCACAAGCTCTGCCTCCCAGTTTCAAGCGATTTTCCTGCCTCAGCCTCCCGAGTAGCTGGGAATACAGGCATGTGCCACCACACCCGGCTAATTTTGTATTTTTAGTAGAGACGGGGTTTCTCCATGTTGGTCAGGCTGGTCTCGAACTCCTGACCTCAGGTGATCCGCCCGCCTCGGCCTCCCAAAGTACTAGGATTACAGGGGTGAGCCACCGTGCCCGGCCTGACAACATTTCTTTAAGGTAGATACAAATATCATCAACCCTGTTTTACGGGTAAGTTAACTGAAGCTGAGAGCCACTTAACTGGCAAAGCCAAGTTTTGAATGAGTGAAAGTTGTTGCCACTTTGCTTCCTTGCCCTTTGCTGTTACCAATAATCAGAAACCCCAGATCAGTCTTTCAGCTATTAAACTGTAATAAGCTTTCCTCCTTTGGTTTTTTACTATTAGCATAGAAAGATTTCCTTAAATCATTTTCTCCACCTGAAATTATCACTGGAATGAATGAGAACTAAAAACTTGTGAAGTCTGTTATGGATTCATTGAGTGTCCTGCAGTGTGCTAGAAGCCCAAACACTGAAGCAGTCTCAGGCCCACAATTTCAGTGGTCATGACCAACAAATGGGACCATGGCATGACCGATGAGCATTCCATTCAGGAACCACAATGCCGAAGAGTCGACCCTGATTTTTATTACTTGCATTATGCTTTTGTGTGTTTGTTTGTTTGTTGTTTTTTGAGACAGGATTTTATTCTGTTGCCCAGGCTAGAGTATAGTGGGATGATCTCAGCTCACTGAAACTTCTGCTGCCCTGGCATAAGCAATCCTCCCACCTCAGCCTCTCAGGTAGCTTGGAATACAAGCACACACCACTATGCCCAGCTAACTTTTTGTATTTTTTGTAGAGACAGGGTTTCACCACATTGCCCAGGCTGGTCTCAAAGTTCTGGACTCAAGTGATCTGCCCAACTCAGCCTCCCAAAGTGCTGGGATTACAAGCATGAGCCACAGCTGCATTTTGCTTATTTTAACAGGACTTCTTTAGAATTTTTTAGAGAACGAAGTAGAATAAAGAAAAAAGAGAATGAACAAAGCAAACCATTAATTCAGTGGTGATGACCGACTTCTAAGACATCATTAATTTAATACTCTGATTTTTTTAACAATGATGAAAAATGTCATATGCTGCATTTATACTCATATGTTCGAAATAGTCCCAACAATACACAAAAACATAAGAGATAAAATAGAAGCACTGAAATCTTTCTACCCACTGACAACCATGATTAATATTAATTGATATATAATATTCTGCATGCATAAGTGAAATTTTGATGAAAATATTTTGACTACTCTTTCTATAAATAACGAATCCAATTTTCACCTTTGCAAAAGAGCATGATGTATCCATATCAGCTATCAGGCATCATCTCCTGATGGTATTTCGGGGACTCCCCTCTACGAATCCAGTTAGAATGAAACACTGTGATGCAGATACAATAATGTCCTATTGCAAACACCTTTGTATTTAGACATAACCTGTCTAATATATTTGTTTCCTGTGCATGTAGTCCTTGAATAAAAATAGTCTCCTTTTGCACCTCCTCCAAAGAATTGATCAGAGTTTAAATTTAATTCCATTGATTTATTGCAGTGAAATGAATTGAGCTGAATTAAAGAGAGTCATGTAGGAATTGCTGAGCAGTTGTTAAAATGTATCTCTATTCTTGTGACAATGTGATGCCTTCAGTCATATGGACTTAAAATGAAAAGACTTATAATCTTTTAAGATAGCAAAAACTCTTAAAGTTTGGGTGAACAATGTACTGTTTTATTCAAATATCCAAAACCAAATAAATTAGAACACCATGATCCTCACAATAGTTGAATGAATCAAGAAAAAGAATTTCTTCTTTATTTTCTTCTTAAGTATGTGTATTATCTTCATTCTCAGAATTACCCTTCCCTCATGCCTTAATCTGTTCCTGAAATCCTATCCCTTCTAAAATAGAACTATAGCTAATAAATATTTTAAATACTGAAATTTGTTAGGCAAGTTCAGAAAATCTGGAATAGTCCAAGCCAACTACAATGTCTTATGATGGGTCTCTGGGGGTCACTGGACAGGCGATGCTTTGGGATTTTGGCTGTTTGGGAGAGTAGCAAAAGGATGTCATCACTGCCTTTGAGACAAACATATGTCCTGTGCTTAGTAATTGCCACTAATAATCCCTAACATGGCATTCTTTATGCAACCTGGAGGTTCTAGAACTTTTTTACTACTTTCACGGTATTCCAGTTTTTATTCCTTCTCTAGATAGAAACCAGAGCTCTTTAATACATGGCATGACCAGGCTACTAAAGTGTGTCCCACGAAGGGATCTGCACTTGAAGAGCATCCTGATAATCTTCAGAAATAAGCCACCGGGCACGGTGGCTCATGCCCGTAATCCCAGCACTTTGGGAGGCCAAGGCAAGTGGACCACTTGAGGTCAGGAGTTCAAGACCAGCCTGGCTAACGTGGTGAAACCTCGTCTCTACTAAAAATACAAAAATTAGCTGGGCATGGTGGTGCGCGCCTGTAATCCCAGCTACTGTGGAGGCTTGCTTGAACCCAGGAGGCAGAGGTTACAGTGAGCCAAGATCACACCACTGCACTCCAGCCTGGGAGACAGAGCCAGACTCCGTCTCGAAAGGAAGGAAGGAAAGAAGGAAGGAAGGAAGGAAGGAAGGAAGGAAGGAAGGAAGGAAGGAAGGAAGGAAGAAAGGAAGGAAGGAAAGAAGCAAGGTAGGAAGGAAGGAAGGGAGGGAGGGAGGGAGGGGAAGGAGGGAGGAAGAAAAGCAAAGAAAGAAGCAAGTACCCAAAATGTCAGGGGAAGAACAGGTGTATCCTGTCTGAAAATCAATTTCACTGAATGCAATGAGCCTGGGAGCAAAAAAAGATAAATTAGAGCCCTTTCATCTATAGAATCAAGACAAACAAACCCAGTGGAGAAAATGTAAACCCCTATGGCTGGTAACTAACTAACATCTGTCTTCCATAAATCCCTTGGAAGTGGAGAAGGCATTTCAGGTGCTAAATTGATCAAGGGTTACAGCCTGTATGTTGCAATCAGTGCATTTACAAATAACCACACCCTCAATTATAGTGACTTGCAAATGGCAGCGACAAAAGCTGATTGCTTCCTAATAGTCATTCTCCCCTTCTCTAGTAGCAGATCCCAACTTTATTTATCCATGAGCCCAGACATAACACCCTACTTTTCAGCCCCCTCTTTAAGTTTGATGTGACCATGTGAAGAAGTTCTGGCCAATGATATGAAACCAAAGTGTTGTACAGTGTTTACAGAACGTTCCCTCAAAATGCAGGGAGTGAGCCCTTTTTTCTTTTTTTTTTTTTTTTTTTGAGACGGAGTCTCGCTCTGTCTCCAGGTTGGAGTGTAGTGGTGCGATCTCGGCTCACTGCAACCTCCACCTCCTGGGTTCAAGTGATTCTCCTGCCTCAGCCTCCCCAGTAGCTGGGACTACAGGCGTGTGCCACCACGCCCAGCTAATTTTTGTACTTTTAGTAGAGACGGGATTTCACCATGTTGGCCAGGATGGTCTCGATCTCTTGACCTCGTGATCCATCTGCCTTGGCCTCCCAAAGTGCCGAGATTACAGGCATGAGCCACCACGCCCCGCCCTTTGTTCTATCTACTTTATCCTGCCGTACAGAACATGAAACTGCAGACCACTCCTAGGAAAGGTGGAGCAGAAAATGAGAAGAAACCATGCCAGTCCTTGACTCGCTACCTCCAGATTTACTTTACTTCAAAGAGAATTAAACTTTTATATTGTTTAAGCCACTGTTGAGGGTTCACTATTATCTGCAGCTGAAACTAATCCCAACTCATACAGATTAGAAATAAATAGGGATGTATACAATGCCGAAGATGTAGTGGTAGTGCAGAGAAATTGGCCCAGGTTCTTTACACAGGCTAATGGAAATGAGCTCAACATAAGTGCCCAAAGCAACAAAAGGGTAAGGCAGGGAGGGGGAGCGGGCAAGGAGTGCCAAGCCCAGAGGCCAGGAAGGCAGTCATTATACTCACCCCAGGCTGGGCCTGAGCACAATCTCACAAAACTTAACTCAGTGAAGATTCAGGGCACCACCACCAATTCTTTAGATTGGATATAAGCCAAGAGAGACATAGTACACAAAGGCTCTACGGCAGTATTTTCAACTCTTATTCCACACCACTTATGGTAAACATAAAAAGCTCCAAGCTCTCGCCCTTGAGAAAATGATACACCCCTGGAGGATTGAAACCCAACTCCCCTCTCTCCCATGCCCACCAAGAATAACTAGAACAGAGCTCCCATCAGCTGCCGAGGTACTGCTAAAGGTACTCATTAAGGGGTTTTGTTCTTTGTGTATAAAGCAGTTCTCAACTTTTGTTTTTTCTGCCTCATGGAACAGAACAGATGATATTCATCATGTGAAACACCCATGGGCCTGCCCAGAGTGAGAAGAAATTTCCAGCTTGCTAACTGTAACTCCATCATTTTCAATCCCACTCAAGAAAGCATACAAGAATTGGAGTGAGAATGACATTATTATAAATGATGTAATGATAGTGACAACTTTGAATTTGCTTTAATATATAAAGATATTAAATCACATCAAGTGTTCCTAAATAATCTTCAAGTCACTTGAAGATAAAAGTATTTGTAACAACCCTCTTAAAAACAGCAAGAGCTCAGAGCAAGTCACCCATTTACAGATGCTCCTCAATGATTTCCAAGCCAGAAACAGATTTACAGTGTAGAAAACCATTCACCAGGTAAATAACCGAGCAAGCTTCCTCATGCAAATGAGTTCTGAATAAAACTCTCTTTAATGATAATAATGAGGATGCTGATCAGAGCCAATTATTTCAAGCTTCATAATTTGTGTATTAACTAAACATCCTCATAATTAAGCAAGTTAGCCTAGGGAAATACCATTCATTAAAGGCTCTGGTGTATTTTGTTTCTGAATTTTCTGCTCTAAAATATTCCTGTGAGTAGGAAGTGAACTTGCCTGTAAGTAACAGGAAGCTGAAAAGAGGGAACTTAAATTTGAGGTACTATTATTATAATGTAGCCAGAAGTCTGGAGGTAAGCTGTTCAGAGCTGATGCGGTGTTTCCAGGCAGCAGGTAGTGATCCAGGCTCTTTTCTATTTCTACTCAGCATGTCCTTAGGGTGAGTTCCTCTCCTTAGGGTCCCACGATAGCTGCTCCGATGCAAATTTATGACCCCATTCTGAGCAGGAAGAAGAGGAAGGCAAAGGGCAGAAGGAGCCACCAGCTGAGTTGGTGTCCTTGAAAGAGCTTGTCTAGAAGCCCTACCCAGTAACTTTCCCCTACATAGCAGTGACCCAAACTGTCTCGTGGCCACCTCTAGCTACAAAGTGTGACTGGGAGGAGTGAGGATTTGTGAGAGAGATGATGAGGAGGGTGGGAGGGTGGGTAAGAAAGGGTGATGAGAAATAGCTTTTCAGCAGGGGCAAATCTCTTCTCTACACAAAATGAGGGTTATATTAGGGAGGAAGGTGGGGGAAAGGTTGATATTACATGAGCAACCAGCCTTGTCTTTATCTCCTAGCACTTGGAAGAGTAAAGAACAATAAGTAAGGAATTCTAGAAGTCTCTTAAAAAAAAAGAAAATCTATGTTTGAGATCTCCAATAGAAGTCATCAGAACCCTGTTAGGGAAATGCATGACATGAAGACACATGCTTGTCTCACTTTGGAACTGGAGGAAAGAGTTGAAACCTACATCTGTATGGAAACGCTCACAGACCTAGAAGAAACGAATCTAAAAAACAGTCAAGCTGCCTATAGCAATATCACAAATAGGGGAATGTTGAACTTTTTTTAAGTAAAAGATAAAAGAAGACAAAAATGTAATTTTTTCTGTATGAAACCTTTCGTTCTCTTTGTCCCTAAAGCATCTTTGTAATTTTTGTTTAATCTTCTGTTTTCTCCAATTCCTTTTTATGATTTAAAAAAAGAAAAGTTCCAAAAAGGTGACATAATTGTATCTTTCTTATATTTTTTTAGCCTACAATGTTCTTATCAGTCGGGGCCCTCTTTACAAGTCAAACTGTACACGTTTTTTATGTGTCAGTGATGGAAACCCAGCTTGACATCTGACAATCATACTCAGTCCTTTCTGCTTTGCACATCAACAACTACTGGAACACTTCTGAATTAGTGCTTCGCTGTCAGTTTTGTTAATGATGTTTGAGGCAAAGAGGAACACAACCTACTCTTCTGGGAATATGATATATTGACTCTGTAGAGCTGACAATAGTAAAATGTTGGTTTAATGCCAAATTTGCCTTTCAGATATGTCACAAGTTCTAAACATTTGAAAAAAAAAGAATTAATAGAGCTTAACACCATATTAGCAACTCGTGAAAAGCTGGATTTAAATGTTGGCTTAATAAGAGTTTTGTTTAATTATTATTAATCATTAAGAAATCTCCATTACAGGTGACATACAAAAATGAACAACAGACTTTGTTCTTATATAGTATTTTCCCATTTGAAATAAAAACAATTTGCTAATAATACTTACAATGACCCCTGAAGTAAGCATAGACAAAGATTTTTTTTTTTTTTTTTTTTTTTTTGAGACGAAGTCTTGCTCTTGTTGCTCAGGCTGGAGAGCAGTGATGCGATCTCGGCTCACTGCAACCTCTACCTCTTGGGTTCAAGCGATTCTTCTGCCGCAGCCTCCCGAGTAGCTAGGATTTCAGGCACCCACCACCATACTCAGCTAATTTTTGGTATTTTTTAGTAAAGATGGGGTTTCACCATGTTGGCCAGGCTGGTCTCCAACTCCTGACCTCAGGTAATCCACCCACCTTGGCCTCCCAAAGTGCTGGGATTACAGGAATGAGCCACTGTGCCCGAACTAGACAAAGATTATACAAATTATTTATTTATTTATTTATTTATTTTTATTTATTTATTGAGACAGGATTTCTCTCTTTCCCACAGGTTGGAGTGTAGTTGCGTGATCACAGCTCACTGCAGCTTCAATCCCCGGCTCCAGTGATTCTCCCACCTCAGCCCCCGAGTAGCTGGGCCTACAGGTGCACATTACAACACCCAGCTAGTTTCTGCAGTTTTTGTGGAGAGATCGTTTCACCATGTTGCCCAGGCATTTCTCAAACTCCTGTACTCAAGCAAACCTTCCACTTTGGCCCCAAGTACTGGGATTCAGGCAAGAGCCACCGCGTCTAGCCAATTATACAATTTTTAAAATAAATTGAAATGGTCGTTGAAAATGTTCAGTAAAAGTTATATACTTTCATCACTTACTTTAGAAAAATGAGTCATGTCAGAGTCTGCAGGTCCCATGCTATATTTTGGTTAAAGCAGCACGTAATAATAAATTGTTTTCTTATCATGAGAGCATAAGTCTAATAATTAGAATTTAGCCTCCAGCTTTCTTGGTAGAATTTCTTTTTTTTTTTTTTTGAGACGGAGTCTCGCTCTGTCAACCAGGCTGGAGCGCAGTGGTTTGATCTCGGCTCACTGCAAGCTCCGCCTCCTGGGTTCACGCCATTTTCCTGCCTCAGCCTCCCGAGTAGCTGGGACTACGGGCGCCCGCCATCATGCCTGGCTAATTTTTTGTATTTTTAGTAGACATGGGATTTCACCGTGTTAGCCAGGATGGTCTCGATCTCCTGACCTTGTGATCCGCCCATCTCAGCCTCCCAAAGTGCTGGGATTGTAGGCGTGAGCCACCATGCCCGGCCTTTGTTAGAATTTCTAACTGACAATTTGCTAGTGGAACAACTTAGAATTTACTATATCTTTCCTCGAATCTTTGTTCACAGGTATGTTGGACATGTTTGTCCAAAATGCACAAATGCAATTACGGCAAACACATCCAGCTCTGAAATGAAGACCCCAGCACCTTACATTCTTAAATTTCTATGCTGTCTGTCCATGGAAATAAATACATTCCTAACCTTTTCCCCTTTACCAAATAGATTTAATAAATCTACAATGTAAAACTACTTAAGCGGATCAAGTACATATTCAAATTTTATTTATAGGACAGTTTGATAAACTGAAAGCATCACTTTCATGAAAACATTATATTAAAAGACTCATCAAACATAGTTCTTTTAAAGAATGAAACAATGGCACAATCATGAGAACTTTGCCAGTCTTTTCACCTAGAGCAAAGATAATGGTTTCCTATGTACTTTTTAAAACTATTGCGGTAAAATACACATAACATAAAATTTACCATCCTGACTATTTTTGTTGTTGTCGTTGTTTCTTTTCTGGTTTTTTTTGAGACGGAGTTTCACTCTTTTCGCCCAGGCTGGAATGAAGTGGCCTGATCTCCACTCACTGCAACCTCTGCCTCCCAAGTTCAAGCGATTCTCCTGCCTCAGCCTCCCAAGTAGCTGGGATTACAGACGCCCGCCACACCTGGCTAATGTTTGTGTTTTTAGTAGAGACGGGGTTTCACCATGTTGGCCAGGCTGGTCTCGAACTCCTGAACCTCAGGTGATCCACCCACCTCGGCTTTCCAAAGTTCTAGGATTACAGGCGTGAACCACCATGCCCGGCCCATCCTATTTTTAAGGAACCAGTCCAGTGACATTAAGTATATTTATTTCTTGTGCAGCCATTACCACCATTTATTTCCAGAACTTTTTCATCTTCCCCAACTTAAACTTAGAATCTATTAAACAATGACTTCCAATTTCCCCTCCTCCTCAGTTCCTGGCAACCACCATTCTACTTTCTGTCTATGAATTTGACCACTCTAGGTACCTCACCTAAGAGGAATCATATAGTATCCTTTCATGACTGGCTTATTTCACTTAACATCAATGTCCTCAAGGTCCATCTATGTTGTAGTGTGTGTTAGAATTTCCTTCCTTTTTAACACACTGTGTGTCTATACCACACTGTGTTTATCCATTATCTATCTATGGACTCTTGGGCTGCTTCCACCTTTTGGCTATTGTGAATAATTGAACATGGGTGTGCAAACATCTCTCCAAGTCCATGCTTTCAATTCTTTTGTTTTCCATGCAATTTTTTTTTTTTTTTTTGAGACAGTCTCGCTCTGTCGCCCAGGCTGGAGTGCAGTGGCGCAATCTCGGCTCACTGCAACCTCCGCCTCCTGAGTTCACGTCATTCTCCTGCCTCAGCCTCCCGAGTAGCTGGGACTACAGGCACCCACCACCACGCCCAGCTAATTTTTTTTTTTTTTTTTTTTTTGTATTTTTAGTAGAGACAGGGTTTCACCCTGTTGGCTAGGATGGTCTCGATCTCCTGACCTCATGATCCACCTGTCTCAGCCTCCCAAAGTGCTGGGATTACAGGCGTAAGCCACTGCGCCCGGCCTTTCATGCAATTTTTAAGTGGTAAAACTGAGTACTAGTGTTTATTTTATATGTGAGGAAAAAAAAACTTTAGAAATATTTGGAAAACATTTCAATACTAGTAGGTAGCAAAGCAACTGCATAAGACAGTGGAAAGAATAGACTCATCTCTGCGACTTCCCCTTGTGAGCTTGTAAGAGTAATTTGTGCTCTAGTTTCCTCATTTGTAAAATAAAAACCTCTACTTATAATTATGTAATTATTAAGTCTCCATTCCAGTTCTAAAATTCCATGGTTTAATGGCTCCAGTCGACTCAGGACATTGACTCACCAAAGCTTATGAGATAGTTCATGATGGTCCAGGGCCAGATTCCAAGTCTGACGTACTTTTAAAATTTAACTTTACTTTTTAAATTCTGAAATTTTTTTGCTCAGATGTAGGGAAGAGGAAACTAATAAGAAATTCATTTGAAAAGCAACTTGTGTTTGTTTTTTTTTTTGAGACGAAGTCTCACTCTGTCGCCCAGGCCGGAGTGCAGTGGCACAATCTCGGCTCACTGCAACCTCTGCCTCCCTGGTTCAAGCAATTTTCTGCCTCAGCCTCCCGAGTAGCTGGGATTACAGACGCCCACCACCAAACCCAACTAATTTTTTTTTTTTTTTAATTTTTAGTAAAGACGGGGTTTCACCATCTTGGCCAGGCTGGTCTTAAACTCCTGACCTCGTGATCCACCCGCCTCGGCCTCCCAAAGTCCTGGGATTACAGGCGTGAGCCACCATGCCCGGCCCAACTTGTGTTTTTCAAAAGAAGTAATTAATAGAAAAATGAATGCTCCAAGGATCTTTGCAGGTTATATTCTATCTGAAAAGAGAAACGAATTCACCTGTAGTATCACCGTAAGCATTGTGAGCTTTGGCAATATATTAAAGTGTTATTCTTCAAAATTGTACACTGCCTTACTCTTCTGAAAGTACAGTTTAGCTAAAAGAATCTCAACAACTATGTTACTCAAGTGAGGTTTTCAAATTGCATTTTACTCAAACAAAGCTTTGTGTGTGTGTGTGTGTGTATGTGTGTGTGTCAGAGAGAGAGAAACACATTTTCAACCCTTCTCTACTGTAACCGGTTTATGTCTGAGAGTCAAATTACCCGGTTTGGATGACTGCTTGGTTCAAATAAGCTACATAATTGCAAACTTTCCACTTCGTTTTCTGTTGGGTAAACACAGAGTTTGTGTAAGTCTGTGGTTTTGTAATGCTACCGAGCCCACTCTCCCCAAACTGGTGCAGAGGCCACCAATCTCCTGTCTCCCAGGCCTGGCAGAGCATCACAGTGGCAGGATCGGCCTGGAGTGGTAAAACAGATTCACGCAGCCGCTATTCTCTGAGTCGGGAGAGGTGAGAAACTGCTCTACTATAAGTCTTTCACATTCTGGACTTGGCTAGCACCCTTACAGGAAGTGTGCAGGAAGCCTTCTGATTGGACCACAGAGTTAACCTGTGTACTGGGAACTTTATTTCTGATCTACACACATAAATCTACCTCACCCCACCTCTTCCATTCCTGTGAAGTGCCAGGAGCTAGCCCAAATGCTCAGCCTTTAAGCCACTACCAATGCTATCATCTTAACCTTGGTGTGCCTCAGTTTGCTCATCTGTAAAATGGGGATTATAATAGTACTACTTCATGAGGGTTTGTGATGATTAAATGAATTAATATAGTCAAAGTGCTGAATCTGTACCTGGCATTTAGTGAACCCTGGGTACATGTGATCATTACTCCCTTACCACGCCCTCCTCGCTCCTTAACCACCTCCAGGGTTGGTCCCACTGCCTTGATTTTACCGTAACTCACGGGTGTGCTCTGATTCTGGGTCTCTTCTCCAGCCGAAGGCCCTTGCAACTTGCCTAATGCTTTTGGGCACTTATTCCAGAGTCCTACCAATTTCCACACCAAGCATGACCTTTCTTATCACACTCTCCCAGGCCTCCACCCTACTTCCCTGACCAGCTGCTCCATGCAGTTCCAACACTAACAATATTCAAGTTTTGGTCTTGATGACAGGCTCTCTTTTTACATCCTAACCTGAGGGGAGACTGCCCGTGGCACATGTGGCTTGGAAGTTATCTGTTGGATAACTTTCCTCATCTTATAAAAGATAAAAGTGCTGGAGCCATGTACAATCAATCCCTTGCACCCCTCTGCCCCCCGTCCAGCTCTAGAACGGATATGGGGATGAAGCCATGTCTCTTGCCCTGAAACATACAGGATGTCAGTAACAGAGCCAGAAACTGGGGCCAGCTCTCGGCTTTCCCATGGCTATGTTCTACCCACTCAACTATAATGCCAAAAAAAAAAAAAAAAACCCACAGACATTTCATCAACCTGTCTCTTCTGTCAAATTGCGTTATTCTCAAATTGTGTAAGCCTTATGTAAACAATATCACTTCACACATGGGGTTCCATAAGTACATTTGCTGCGAGGTTCTCACACAGCAGGTTTTCTATAGATGGATAAATAAAAAGTGCCAAGATTTCAAACTTAAGAAAACACTTAAAGGGCGGCCATCCAGCAGCATTACAGTCATTTTTTGCCCTGAGGCACAGAAGCATGAGTTCTTTGCAACTGGACGGTTCTAGCTGTTGCTCATTACCAAGTGCTTCTAGGCAGATGGCTTCCCTACTCTACTAATCCACTGAGACCAAATGGCTGATGGATCTGATTTTTAAGGCACATAATTTTTATACTCTTGCTGCATTTTTCTTCTTTCATTTTCTTCTCGTCACTCTTCTGCTCCCCCACTCTCTCATTCGCTCTTCAGAATAACCACTATCTCTGTCCTCTCTCTCCGTTTTCTCCACTCCCTCTCTCGTAAACAACCCATAGTACTGCAAGTTCGCACATGTTTATTTGAAACTATTATGTCTAGGGAAGGAGAGTCTCTGTTAAAGCTCTCTTAAATAATGCAAATTCATGACCTAAAAATGGTCCCCCATCTATCTGATGTATATTTATAAGGTTGCTGGATTTTTATTGTTTTTTGTGCAAAGATGGAGTTTCCTCCTACTAGTTACTAGCTAAAAGTCATTAAATTAGCTTTCACTGTAATAAAATGAAAGCATTTACTTGATTGTTAAATAATTTAAAGCAGGCTCACTAAGGTATATTGCCACAACATAATATGTTGTAGCACAAAATGAAGATGCTAAAACCCTGACAAAGAACAGCTTTGGAATTCAGCAGCAGGTATGATAGTATATATATGTTATGCTGATTAAGATGTTATGTTTTAAAATAGACTTTCCTGCCTCCAATCTCTTCTCTATCCAATCTAAACCACAGTTGCCACCTTAATCCTACAGAAACATCACTTTACATACCTTTCAGAAATCTGCAGCTTCATATCATTTAGAGCATCGTTCTCCAGTGAGCATCAAAATCACCTGGAGGGCTTACTAAAACAGTTCGCTCAGCCCCATTCCACCGTTTCAGATCCAGTGGGACTGGAGTGGGGCCTGATAATTTACATATATAACATGCTTCAGGTGAGGATGAGGCTGTTGGAGTAGAGACCACACTTTGAAAAAGCATTGACATTGAAACCCAGACTTTCAGTTTGATTTTAATGCCCTTTTCTTTTAATAATATGGCCTTTCTCTATTCTTTGAAATGGACATCCATAAGTTCCTTTCACAGAGACCTGCTATTTTGGTGAAACTCTTCTCTTCTTTACCCCCAGAACAGATGTTGCCACCAGGATTGAGATAATTTCTGCTGTTTAAAACATACACTTACTCTTTCTGTAAAACTCAATCCCACCACTTCCGTGAGGTCTTCTCCAGATTCTACAGGATTTCAGGATTTCTTTCATCTGTGATTATAGTAGTATTGGCTTTTCTCTGCTGTGTATTTGACCATGGTATAAACTGCCTGGTATTATTACTTATCTATCCATAAATGTGATCAAGTAAACTAGTTTGCAGTACAAAGCAACCAATAAATTTGAAGATCCTAGTCAAGGTTTAATTTATATAGCAAAACAAAAATTAACTGTTTTTTAATTTGTTGTTGTTTTTAAATAACCATGATAATGGTTAGTCACCAAGAACTCTAAAATTGTACCAGCCGTCCTCCTAGTAGAATCAAATTGGCCACATAGTGATTCCACAAAGTCCACTGCTATGTGCTGCGCAAAATCTTTCACTAATTCATCAATATATGATTTTTCCCCAGTGCTTTTTCTAGATAACATGACTAAGTAATAAAACTGATTTCCACAAGCCACACACAAATAAATCTTCTAATGGGGAGAGTTACTACAGATGCATATTCCAGTTTTTTATGCATATAAGTCCAGAGGTGGATTTACCGTGTAATGAAGCTTAATCTTCAGGCTCATCATTTGCATCACGGCTTCATCATGCCCTTTTGTGGCTCAGTGAGAAGCCCTGATATTGAGTTAATGTGGTCAACTATTTTTGTAAATTTTGCAAAAGTAAAATATTTTTTAAACTATTTTCTTGAAGAGAGCCTCCAAAATTGTATAAGCATCAAACCCTACATGACTTGGGTCTGGCCCTAGAGATGGTCCATGGATATAGGTCCAAGATGAGTAAGGCAACCAAGTCAGAAGCAGATTTAGGGTTTCAAAAATAAATGATTACTTTGCTCCCAGTTCTCTGTTTTTTCCTTGAATCCATCAATGTAATTCTAGAACTATTAATCAAATGAAGACACATGTTTGCTTTTAAAAATTGGCAGCCATCTTACTCATTTGTGAAAATGGACAATATTAATTTGTATTCTCATTGATTTTATGTAATTCATATTACAAATAACATTACTTGAAATACAGGTAATTACAATTTTAACAACAGTTGTCTTTGTAAATCAATGTAGAGCTTGAGAAAAAGGTTTTTTATTTATTTTAGGAATTGAAACTCTGAAGATGACCTATTAAAAACATATGGACAATTCTGAATCCTCAAAGAGTGGAACAAAGGGAGAGAAAACCTCATATTTTAATGACCACTTTAAAGAACTACAAAACTTAAACTAATCAACAAAGTCTTGTATGTTTGCATAATAAGGGCATGTGAAAGAGTAATACATCACTAGCAATGATAACACATTACTCAACTCTGCAGCCACAAAGAACATAGGTAGAAGGTTTAGTAACATCTGAAAGTCACAAACTAGAAAAGATAAAATTGGCCCTCTTAAGCTTATGGTCAGATAATATTATTTATAGATACTGGAATAAGTCTAGCCCTTATATAAATTTGTTTCAAAAACAAAAAGTAGTGTTTTCTTTCAAAGCAATTCATTGTGAGCAATTTGTCATTACAATGAGCTTCTGGCACTTGACCAATTCTTTTCAGAGACTTGCTTCAAAACAAATGGCCATTAAAATCTTACCATGTCACAATAGAAAATCCTCACTATAATTCATTCTTAATGCAAAATTTACTTAAATTACTGTATTCATTGAGAGATTGCCAAACTTCATTTCATAAACAAAGTCATTTTCATAAGCAGTAAATCATAATTTAAATTTCTCTTTATTTTCATCGGATGCATTATTTGTTTCCCATGTGTAAGATACTAATTGTTTTTCTTCATGCAGTAAGTAATTCCTAAGAACAAAGATTTTCATTTCCAACCCTCATTCCTTGAAGAAATGATGGAAATGAAGTGAAATTTACATTACTTGGTACAGTAAAAATTAGGCTTACATTTTTAAAGACAAGAAACATGAAATGTTAAAGCTGGGGCTCCTGAAGTGTTTAGTAAAGCCAATTGTAATTTAAATGAAATGGACACTATTAAGTAATCACTATGTACACAATCCTTGCACAGAGAAATGAATGTGTAAGTTACCAAGAATAAAATAAGAAAATGTTGAGATATTAGCCATATTAATTCAACTGAAAAAGCTCTAATAAATTAATAATTGGAAGATGGTAATTCACAATGAATTTAAATTATAATTGTCTGTATTATCTCATTTTTGGAAAAAATTCTCCATATTCATATATATGTGTATATATATACATGTGTAGACATAGATTTAGATAGATATAGAATAAAGCCTGGAAAACAGATGCCAAAATGGATGCAGTGGCCATCTTTGGTGATGAGTTTCTAAGTGATTTTTATCTTCTTCCTCTGGCTTATTTATCATTTATAAAATGATTCTTAAAACAAAATATTTTAAAATTCATCTTTGATGGCAAATGATCGCCAGTTGTACAGATCCATTTTCTGTTATGAGAAGTCTGGTTTTGAGGTTGATTTTCTATTTTGTGCATAATGAAATTTCCTTTTTTGCACTCTGCTCCCCACTTTGGTATAGCATTTCACTTGAATACGTATGAGTACATATTAGAATCACCAAAACCTTCTAAGAAAACTTAAATTAGAGAAGAAGAGGCACTTTGGGAGGCCAAGGCAGGTGGATCACTACTTTGTATCTGCTTGGCAGTTTTCCAAATGAGAAGCTGTATTTTGTTAACAAAGGAGAAAGTCTTCTCAGTCTAGCCTTGGAACATGAATAAGGGTAACAGAGAAATGTGATATGCTAGAAGCCTCCTTTTCAAGGTGGGCTTACAATTAAACAGTTTTTTTCTCAAAAATAATCGTGAATTGAGGTTTCACACCCTCAATATGGGTGGTAACATTTCTTTTGCTACATTTGATTTTTTTTATATTTTGTATTTCTATTTATTTTTTAAATTTTTATTTCCATAGGTTTTGGGGGAACATTATTTGGTATTTGGAATGGTATTTGGTTACATGAGTAAGTTCTTTAGTGGTAATTTGTGAGATTTTGGTGCACCTATCACCCGAGCAGTGTACACTGTACCCAATTTGTAGTCTTTTATCCCTCACCCCATTCCCACCCTTTCCCCCAAAGTCTATTGTATTTTTTTTTTTTTTTTTTTTTGAGACAGAGTCTCTGTCATCTAGGCTGGAGTACAGTGGCACGGTCTCAGCTCACTGCAACCTCTGCCTCCTGGGTTCAAGCGATTCTCCTGCCTTATCTTCCCAAGTAAGTGAGACTACAGGTGTGTGCCACCATGCCCAGCTAATTCTCATATTTTTAGTAGAGATGGGGTTTCATGTTGGCCAGGCTGGTCTCAAACTCCTGACCTCAGGTGATCCAATTCCACCTTGGCTTCCCAAAGTGCTGGGAATACAGATGTGAGCCACCACACTCGGCCCATTGTATCATTCTTACACCTTTGCATCCTCATAGCTTAGCTCCCACTTATGATTGAGGACACATAATGTTTGATTTTCTATTCCTGAGTTACTTCCCCTAGAATAATACTCCCTAATCCCATTCAGGTTGCTACAAATGCCATTAATTCATTCCATTTTATGGCTGAGTAGTATTCTATCATGTATATATCATATGTAATATATGATATATATATTATATATAATGTATGTATGAGTATATATTATGATATATATAATATTCTATTCTATTCTAATATATATATATATATTCCATAGTTTCTGTATCCACTTGTTGATTGATGGGCATTTGGGTTGGTTCCACGTTTTCACAACTGCAAGTTGTGCTGCTATAAACATGCATGTGAAAGTATCTTTTTCTTATAATGACCTCTTTTTTTCTGGGTAGATACCCAGTAGTGGGATTGCTGGGTCAAATGGTAGTTATACTTTTAGTTCTTTAAGGAATCTCCACACTGTTTTCCATAGTGGTTGTACTAGTTTACGTTCCCACCAGCAGTGTACAAGTATTCCCCTTTCACTGTATCCACGCCAACATCTATTATTTTTTTATTATTCCCATTCTTGCAGGAGTAAGGTGGTATTGCATTGTGGTTTTGATTTCCATTTCCCTGATCATTAGTGATGCTGAGCATTTTTTCATGTGTTTGTTGGCCATTTGTATATCTTCTTTTGAGAACTGTCTATTCATGTCCTTAGCCCACTTTTTGATAAGACTGTTTTTTTCTTGCTATTTGTTTGAGTTCCTTGTAGATTCTGGATATTAGTCCTTTGTCAGATGTATAGATTGTGAAGATCTTCTCCCACTTTATGGGTTGTCTGTTTACTCTGCTGAATGTTCCTTTTGCCATGCAAAACGCTCTTTAGTTTAATTAAGTCACACCTATTTATCTTTGCTTTTGTTGCATTTGCTTTTGGGTTCCTGGTCACGATATCTTTGCCTAAGCCAATGTCTAGAAGGGTTTTTCTGATGTTATCTTCTAGAATTTTTGGTTTCAGGTCTTAGATTTGAGTCCTTGATCCATCTTGAGTTGATTTTTATATAAGGTGAGAAATGAGGATCCAGTTTCATTCTCCTACATGTGGCTAGCCAATTATCTCAGCACCACTTGTTGAATAGAGTGTCCCTTCCCCCACTTTATGTTTTTGTTTGCTCTGTTGAAGATCATTTGGCTCTAAGTATTTGGGTTTATTTGTGTGTTCTCTCTTCTGTTCCGTTGGGCTATGTGGCTATTTTTATACCAGTACCGCACTGTTTTGGTAACTAGAGCCTTATAGTATAGTTTGAAGTCAGGTAATGTGATGCCTCCAGATTTGTTCTTTTTGCTTAGTTTTTGTTGTTGTTGTTGTTGTTTTTTGTTTGTTTGTGTGTGTGTGTGTGTTTGTGTGTATTTTGAGACAGAGTTTTGCTCTTGTCGCCCAGGCTAGAGTGCAATGGTGTGATTTCGGCTCATTGAAACCAAAGCCTCCTGGGGTTCAAGTGATTCTCCTGCCTCAGCCTCTCTAGTAGCTGGGATTACAAGCACCTGCCACCATGCCTGGCTAATTTTTGTATTTTCAGTAGACACAGGGGCTCATCATGTTGGCCAGGCTGGTTTCAAACTCCTGACCTTAGGTGATCTGCCCACCTCAGCCTCCCAAAGTGATGGGATTACAGGCGTGAGCCACCGCACCCAGCCCTTTTTGCTTAGTCTTGCTTTAGCTATGCAGGCTCTTTTTAGGTTCCATATGAATTTTAAGATTTTTTTTTTTTTTTTTTTTTTTTTTTTTTTTGGTGAAGAATGATGGTGGTATTTTGATGGGAATTGCATTGAATCTGTAGATTGCTTTTGGCAGTATGGTCATTTTCACAATATTGATTCTATCCATCCATGAGCATGGATGTGTTTCCATTTGTGTCATCTATGATTTCTTTCAGCAGTGTTTTGTAGTTTTCCTCGTACAGGTCTTTCACCTCCTTGGTTAAGTATATTCCTAAGTATTTTATTTTATTTTTTTGCAGCTATCATAAAGGGATTGAGTTCTTGATTTCATTCTCAGCTTGGTTGCTGTTGGTGTGCAGCAGAGCTAGTGATTTGTGTACATTAATTTTATATCCTGAAACTTTGCTGAATTCATTTATCAATTCCAGGAGCTTTCTGGAGGAGTCTTTAGGGTTTTCTAGGTATACAATGAGATCATCTGCAAACAGTGACAATTTGACTTTCTCTTTACTGATTTGATGCCATTTCTTTCTCTTGTCTGATTGCTCTGGCTAGGAATTTCAGTACTATATTGAATAGAAGTGGTGAGAGTGAGCATCCTTGTCTCGTTCCAGTTTTCACAGGGAATGCTTTCAACTTTTCTCCATTCAGTGTTATGTTGGCTGTGGGGGTTTGTCATAGATGGCTTTTATTACATTGAGGTATGTCCTTTGTATGCTGATTTTGCTGAAGGTTTTAATCATAAAGTGATGCTGGACTTTGTCAAATGCTTTTTCTGCCTCTATTGAGATGACCATGTGATTTTTTTTCTAATTCTGTTTATGTGGTGTATCACATTTATTGACTTGTGCATGTTAAATCATCCCTGCATTCATGATATGAAACCCACTTGATCATGGTAGATTACCTTTTTGATATGCTGTTGGATTCAGTTAACTAGTATTTTGTTGAGGATTTTTGCATCTATGTTCATCAGAGACATTAGTCTGTAGTTTTCTTTTTTTGTTATGTCCTTCCCTGGTTTGTGTATTAGGGTGGTACTGGCTTCATAAAATTATTTAGGGAGGATTCCCTCTTTCTCTATCTTGTGGAATAGTGTCAATAGAATTGGTACCAATTCTTTGAATGTCTGGTAGAATTCAGCTGTGAATCCATCTGGTCCAGGACTTTTTGTTGTTGTTGTTGGTAATATTTTTATTACTACTTCAATCTCTCTGCTTGTTATTGGTCTGTTCAGGGCTTCTAATTCTTTCTGATTTAAGCTAAGAGGGTTGTATCTTTCCAGGAATTTATCCATCTCCTCTAGGTTTTCTAGTTTATATGTGAAAAAGTGTTCATAGTAGCCTTGAATGATCTGTATTTCTGTGGTATCAGTTGTAATATCTCTCATTTCATTTCTAACTGAGCTTATTTAGATCTTCTCTCTTCTTTCCTTGGTTAATCTTGCTAATGGTCTATCAATTTTATTTATATTTTTCAAAGAACAAGTTTTTTGTTTCATTTGTCTTTGTTTTTTGTTTGTTTGTTTGTTTCAATTTCATTTAGTTCTGCTCTGATCTTGGTTATTCCCTTTCTTCTGCTGGGTTTGGGTTTGGTTTGTTTGTTTCTCTAGTTCCTTGAGCCATGACCTTAGATTGCCTGTTTGTGCTCTTTCAGACTTTTTGATGAAGACATTTAAGGCTACGAACTTTCCTCTTAGCATTGCCTTTGCTGTAAGTGTGATAACATTTAAATGTGAGATCATAGATATGTTACAAAGAAGGATAAATTTGGGGGAAATTTTCTGTATATGAGGATGCTTTTTTTAAAAATATTACTTATGTGCCTGAAAGGCCTGAGGTATTAACCTAGAGTAGACTTGAACCTCTGAAGGGACTTAAATGTATAGAAAAGATAAGAGCTGAGTCAGGATCAAAGTGTAACATGGATGGCCAAAGGCCCATCCTACCCAGAGATGGAGCTAAGCAAAGGCCACTCAGAGAATTCCTGTGGCCAAATTGCAGGGAACACAGTGTGGGGACTGCATATCTCGTAATTTTTAGTACCTTCTGATTTCAAATGGTTTGTCCCATTTTTCCTTTAAGGGCATAAGCAATAAATACACCATTTTCTTTCCAAATATACAGTTTGTGTAGTGCTTGGCTCCCTTGATGTTGATGTTTGCTTGAATTTAAAATAGGTGCCTGTAGGGCTTAGGAAGGCAAAGATTCCATTTGTCCTGGGTCCTGTAGGAATAAAAAAGTAGTACAGGCTAGGCTACATGGATGGTGGAAGTGTACACTGGCAAAAATAAACAATGACATCAAGCATCTGAATGTAGAGCAGTGATCCTCAACCCTCACTGTGTAGCAGGGTCTAATACTTGGTGCCTGGCACCTGCACTCTACTCCCGCTAAATTCATGTTCAGTTGCTCTGTAATGAGGCTCAAAACCTTCCTTGATATGGTACCACTAAGGAGCTTCTTAGAAATGTGGAATGTCAAGGCTCCAGCCCAGATCTACTGAATCAGAGTCAGTATTTTAACAAAAACTTCAGGTGATTTGTATGAACATAAAAGTCTTGCCAGACATCATGGCTCATGCCTGAAATCCCAGCACTTTGAAAGGCCCAGGCAGGGAAGACTCCTTGAGCCCAGGAGTTCTAAACCAGCCTGAGCGACATGGTGAAACCCCATCTCTAAAAAAATATTAAAAATTAGCCAGATGGACTAGCATGCACCTGTAGCCCTAGCTACTCAAGAGGCTGATGTGGGATAACTGCTTGAGCTCAGGAGATCAATGCTACAGTGAGCCTAGATCATACTACTGCACTCCAGCCTGGGTGACAAAGGGAGACCCTGTTTGAAAACACAGAAAAAGGAAGGAAGAAAAGAAAAGAGAAGGAAGGAAGGAAGAAAGTTGGTTAGTTTGAGAAATACTGCTGAAAGGGATCAGAATATGCTAACCCAAATATGCTACTTTAGCGTAAGGATTATTTTTAGTTGAAGGCAATTGAGAAACAGCAGAAACAGGAAGAGCTCTCTGCCCTCCCCCTTTCTGTCTAAAAGCAGGGCATAGATTTCCTTTGTAAAGATGTTCCCTTCTTTCTACAAGGAAAAAGGGAGCAACTCCAGAGACAATTCTTATCACCAGAGACAACCCAAGTCTGCATAACAAACTTTACAAAACAAAACTTATCTACATTTCCTAGTCACTTTCACAATTTATCACACTTAGGATCCCAAATCCCTTTTTCCTTTGTTTAGTCATTTCTCCACAATTTATCACCCTTTGTTAAAATGGTATATAAGTCACCAGGTCTAACCACCTCTTTGGGTTTTCATTTCTTTTCTGTGAAGCCCCTATGCAAGTAAAAATGTTCACAAAATGTGTATACCTTTTCTCCTGTTGATCTTTTATTAGTTTAATTATAGGCCTCAAGCAAATAACTGAAGACAGTAGAGGAAAAGTTTTTCTCTCCTACACTACTTTGGGAGATGTTTGTGACCTGGAAAGGGGTTTAATGATAGGAAATGCTTGTAGGTTCTCTTTAATACTTTAAACTTGTGCCAATTAGGAGGCCACAAAACATTTGTGTCTGATCCACTACAGGATTATTTACTAGGAAATTTCCCCCCACACTGGAGTACAGTGAGGACTTCAGCTGAATGTATATATTTAGCACTTCAAACAGGCTAAGATCAGGGCCCAGGAGCCAGCAAAAATGGCAGTAGTTGAACAGAGCTCACCTCTGAATTTAGAACAGAGGCTGCTATCTTTCTACTATTTTAGACTTCCTGCTGGCTAAGATCATCCCTTAGCCTAGAGGTATTGATTATAGCCAGAAATAAATCAGAGACTTCTATGCCTGCTTGAGTTAAGAGAAATCAGACTTCACACTCTTGACAGCTCTGCTGGAGCTGAGGTCTGCACCCAGCCAACACAAATCATTTATAAACAGAAATGAGAAGGCACTCTCACAGCATGGTCACAGTCATGGAAAGCATTAAGCTAAAGCAGAGGCTCAGTCCCAAAATTAGCAGTGTCAGCATCACCTGGCCACTCCCAGACCTACTTAATCAAAATCTCAGGAGGTTGAGGCCCAGTAATCAGAGTAATTAGAGTTTTAACCAGACCTCCAGGTGATTCTATTGCAAGCTAATTATTGAGAAGGAAGCTTCTTCCCATGTGTACTGAGCCTTGGAACTTATGTACCAGGCACATTTCTAAGCATATTAACTCATTTAATCTTCACACCAGCCCTATAAGGTGGATACCATTTTTATCCCTTCTTATAGATGAAGACAGTGAGGCTCAGAGCACATTTTACATCATTTTACAAAACTGAAACCAATCAAGTGCCTGGCACTGTGGTGTACTAAGCACTTGGGCACAATGGGGAGCAAAACTCATATAACTGTTCTAGTGGAACCCACAGGCTAGAGTAGCCACTAAGGATATAATCAAACAAACAAGAAGTAAGAGACAAATTGTGTTACATAAAGAGATATCTGAGCCATAACAGTGGTCCCAAGGTTGCCGTCTCACATAGGCAGCAGATCGCTGCTGGCTAGTGGTAGGAAGCCTCAGCTCCTCTCCACACTGGGTCTATCCACAAGTCTATTTGAGTGTCCTCACAACATAAACAGCAATTTAAAAGAAGAAGGTGGAAGCCAAAATGCCCTTTATAGGGCTGCCAGGTTTCACAAATAAAACTACATAACACCCAGTTAAATTTGAATTTCAGGTAAATAATAAATGAAGTGTTAGTATAAGCATGACACATGCAATATTTGGGACACACACTAAATTTTTATTATCTGAAATTCAAAGTTAATTGGATATACTGTATTTTATCTAAAAACCCACCCTTCATTACCTAGGTTCAGAAATCATACACCATCACTTTTGCCATACTTAATTAGCCATGCTGAGCAGCTGTGATTCAATGGGAGAGGAAACTACACAAAAGTGTGGACACCAGGAGGTGAAGATGACTGGGGGCTACTTTGGAGGCTAAGACACCAGATTTGCTACCTGTCACCAAAGGGTTTCTCCAGGGAGCCATTCAGTTTCCTCACATTTTTCCCCAAAAAGGAGTGATCATTCAGCATCTATGATCACAGCATTATGGTATCAAGACACAAAATAAGAATAATAAGAGTAATTCCCCTGAAGGAAGGGGAAGGTGAACAATTTAAGCTTTTCTTGAAGCCACTTCCTCAACAGTGAGATCAATGTTTGCATGTGTCTAATTTTAATATCTATTCAAAATTATATTTTTACCTACTATGCAAAAGGCTTCCAAACAATAGGGATGCTTTTCTCTTTTTTTTCTTTTTTTTTTAATTTGAGATGGAGTCTCACTCTGTTACCCAGGCTAGAGTGCAGTGGCGCGATCTCGGCTCACTGCACGCTCTGCCTCCCGGGTTCATGCCATTCTCCTGCCTCAGCCTGCCGAGTAGCTGGGACTACACGCGCCCACCACCACGCCTGGCTAACTTTTTGTATTTTTACTAGAGATGGGGTTTCACTGTATTAGCCAGGATGGTCTCGATCTCCTGACCTTGTGATCCATGTTCCTCGGCCTCCCAAAGTGCTGGGGTTACAGGTGTGAGCCACCATGCCCGGCCGAGTGATGCTCTTCTTATATTCCCTTTATGGTTTGATTGATGATCAATGTGGGTATTTTTTAATCACCTTCTATGTGGACTTTTTCCTCCCTCTTAAACAAAACAGTATGTCGCTTTTCAAGATCTTTAAGTCACTACAAACCTTTATTCTCTTGGCTAATAATATTGTGAAATGAAAGACTTAACATTTTCATAATATGAATAACATAATGTATAATGTATAGAATTTTATCAGCTGTTTCGACTTGGAAAGCAATTGACCAGAAGTAGAAATATTAACCAGCATTTCTTGAGTATTTACTAACATTAGGGAATTTTTCATGCCTTTTAAGCCTCACTGAAAATCTGCAATGTAGGTATTGTAACTTGATTTTCTCTTCTCGCATTACAATTTACCCCACTAATAGATAAGCTGAACACATACATCATTCTATTAAAATATTTAGAGATCAGTATTTAAATACCTGCTTCATTCTGCCCAGCTATAGGCATTAAAGAAGAGCAGGCCTTGAGCCAGTCAGAGCAGAGGTGTGAAATGGCAGCTAGGTTTTTATGGTAAGATTGACCAGGTTCTGAAAATCAAGATGTCAAATACTAGAAAAGAATATGGCAGCAAGAAATAGTTTGATAATGGGCAAGATACAGGCTGAGGTGGGCGATCATGAGGTCAAGAGATCGAGACCATCCTGGCCAACATGGTGAAACTCCGTCTCTAAAAATTATCTGGGCATGGTGGTGGGCGCTTGTAGTCCCAGATACTCAGGAGGCTGAGGCAGGAGACTCGCTTGAACCCAGGAGGTGGAGGTTGCAGTGAGCCGAGATTGCGCCACTGCACTCCAGCCTGGCAACAGAGCAAGACTCTGTCTCAAAAAAAAAAACCCAAAAAACAAGAAAAAAACCTTATATCTCAACTCCTGCAAAAGTGTTCTTTGCCTATTTTATATTGGATTTTATTGTGACTAATTCTGAAAGCTCTCATTCATTGAGCATATTACATATGTAAGGCACTGTCCTAACTGCCTACCTATGTAGGCACTGTCCTAAACAGGGTGCCCATATATAATCCTAATCCTCACAAAGGCTCTTAAAAAATGGCTTTTTCCCGCACATGGTAAAACTGTTTCAGAGATGCAAAGTAACTAGCCCAAGTTTTCAAAACTGTTCAGTATTATAGTTGCAGCATGACCAAATGTTCCAATGCAGAGTTCTTGGTCACTCTAACTGGTTGTATTCATATGCCAGATCCTTCTGAATCCAAAGCTCGTGTTCTTTCCATTACTCAACAGTTTCTTTGTTGAGTTGTATAGTATCTACTTACCTCCCACCCCCATTACAGCAATGCTTAGCACAACACTTTACATAACAACACTAAGTAGATATTGAATAAATGAAGGGATGGATGAATGGATAGTTTCTATAAATAGAGTTGTGTAATGATAATACCTACTAACTATATTCAGTAGTATGGGTAGGAGAGGTTACAGTCATAGGGCTTAGATATCCTGGGGGTTTGTGTGTGTGTGTGTGTGGTTTTGCTTGTTTTGTTTTTTTTGTCCCATTAGCTTTAAATAGAAAGCTGTTAAATGTGCTGGTAAATGCTAACAGCCCTTGGGGACAAGAAAGGATAGATGTTTACAGTGTGGGAGGATAGACAGTTCGAGTTTTTGTGTTGCTGATTTCCCATCTATGATGGTCAGTTTCAAGCTACCAAGGCAATGTCATTGCACACAGAGTTGGGGAAAGATGAAGCAGTACACCATTATATTACATTTCTATCATACACTTACAATAGATGGAGATAACCTCAAGAACATGGAAATAATTAAGAGGTGGTCGATTTTAATATATTATCTTTGTTTTAACATCATTTATTTAATTTAAAACTTGCATAATCTAATTTTGAAGAATGACTGTGTTTAACAATCAGCTCACCAAAATCCTAAAAATGGAAAATCAGTTCGTAGGAACAATCCATTGCACTAGTTGGCATGCTCCTGGTCTACGTAGTAGCCCTACAGATTTCTCCCACTGGAGAAATTACTAATGAACAAGCTGGTTCAGGCCAGCCCTATCATCATACCTGAACCAAAAAAAAAAAAAAAAGAGGAAACTCAATAAAATCCCTCTGATATAGAAAAAGAGCAGGGCATCCCTACCAGAGATAAGTACCAAAATCATCTAGGTGAAACTTTAGAGGATTTTAGAAATTTCGTGGTCCATTAACATTATGTAATTATTTCTAAGGTTGGCTAAATTTCATAGAAAAGAATGGTATTTCCACATACTTGTGCATTTTTATTTTAACTGACTGATAACAGACTTCAGCCAATTTTCTGGAGAAATGTGATAATATAGCTTACTCTATTTTTATATATGACACAAGGACTGACTTATTACCAAATTTATAAACTGAAATTTAAACAACTGAAGAAATCCATAATGTCTGGGATATTTTGTTAGTTCTATACAATTAGTTTGCAAATGAATTTCATATAATAAAATAAATCCATAATTAGGAATAAGAATAACTAGTTAAGAGACTGTAAATACTTCTCTAGTCTAAAGGAAAATTTATGTATCTATCGCTCTGTCAAAGGCTTCAAGTATAGTAACATTGTTTTTACTACGGATTTAGTAAGATTTGTTTTTGAGAGTCTGAACTTTATTTTGAAGAGTAATTAACTCTAAAATTGTGTCTATCCACAGAAGAAATGAATCTGAAAAGCAATTGTTCCTCTCTAAGCAAAAGGAACAATAATTGAACAAATATGCTTTTCCAGGTAGGTCAGCTTTGCCCCTCATTTTTTTCAGGATAGGCCCAAGGTAGAAATGTTCTTGTATTTAGTGAAGATTATGCCCCAAAAAGCTGCCACCAAAAAGCTGAGCTTCTAGAGAACCTCTATAACTACTCTCAAGATGAAAGAGGATCTAAGAAGTTTAGAAGATCCAGTGTAGACCCTCTCATGGAATTGACCAACACAAAATAATGCCACCAATATTCATGAAGATCTTTAGGGCCTTAGAAAGCAGGCGTGGCTCAACCTGTAATCCCAGCACTTTGGGAGGCTGAGGTGGGCAGATCACCTGAGGTCAGGAGTTCCAGAACAGCCTGGCCAACATGGAGAAACCCCATCTCTACTAAAAATACAAAGAAAATTAGCCAGGTGTAGTGGCGGGCGCCTGTAATCCCAGCTACTCGGGAGGCTGAGGCACAAGAATCGCGAAACTCCGTCTCAAAAAAAAAGAGAAAAGTCTGGTTTATTGAAGTAAAATTTACATCAAGAAATAATTTACCCTTTTGAAGTACACAATTTTATAAATTTTGACAAATGTACACAATTGTGTGACTAGTACCCTACTTCAAGCTTACTTCTTATTACTAGACCACACCACCTGTACTACATTACAAATAAAAATATTTTTAGGCCAGGCTCAGTGGCTCATGCCTTGTAATCCCAGCACTTTTGGCAGCCAAGGTGGACAGATCACGAGGTCAGGAGTTCAAGACCAGCTTGGCCAACATGGTGAAAACCCATCTCTACTAAAAATATAAAAAGTAGCCCGGCGTGGTGGCACGCACCTGTAATCCCAGCTATTCAGGAGGCTGAGGCAAGAGTATCACTTGAACCTGGGAGACGGAGGTTGCAGTGAGCCAAGATCATGCCATTGCACTCCAACCTGGGTGACAGAGTGAGACTCTGTCTCAAAAAAAAAAAAAATTTAATCCTATTACTATCTTATGAATAGCATAATTATGCTGCATTTGATATTTTGTGGGTAAAAGCATTTAATTTGTAAATATGTAAGTTTCTAAATTACTTTAATGTTTATAAGCCTGTCTTAGTCATTCTCCATTTTTAAGTTAAACCAAGTCTATCAAAAATACAAGGTAGTCTTGGTCTCTCTCCTGTGCTCAAATAACTTGGCCTAATTATGTGGTTGGCTTTACAGACAACTGAAAAACCGTGTATAAAGATTATGCATTTACTTTTTTACAGAAAGTTGAATTGTATGTCTCTTACACTACTCTTGCCATACTCCATCTCTCTCATCACCCTTCCCAAGTCTAACTAGCAAAAAGTTAAGTTACATAAAGTAATATTTTAAAGCTAGTGGGTCTGTGCATTCTAAATACACAAGACACTGGAATGGCCTATCAGTTCCTCTTCTCCCTCCCCATCCCCCACTTTTATTTTACTCTTTTGAGAATCAGTGAGGCCACACTTACTGAGTGTTACTGAGGCTTTTCAGGCCACTTGAATATCTACATCATAGCAATATTGCACCTCAAAGAAACTGTTCTCAGCATAGATGGGAAAAAAATCACTCACTTGAGCAAATGATCGGACAAAATTGTACAAAAACATTTTTAAAACTGCTAGGGTTTGAACATTTATCCCCTCTAAAACCCACATGGAAATTTAATTCCCAATGTGGCAGTATTGACAGGTGGAAATTTTAAGTTGATTGGGTTATAAGGGCTCTGCCATCCTTAATGGATTAATCTATGTATGGATTAATGGGTTCATGGATTAATGGGTTATCACTGGAGTGGGACTGGTGGCTTTATAAAAAGAGGAAGAGAGACCTGAGCTAGCATGCTCAGCCGCCTCACCATGTGATGCCCTGCACCACCTGGGGACTCTGTAGAGAGTCCTAGCAGCAAGAAGGCTCTCGCCAGGTGCAGCCCCTAGATCTTGGACTTCTTGGCCTCCATAATTATAAGAAATAAATTCATTTTCTTTATAATTTACCTAGTTTCAGGTATTCTGTTATAAGCAACAGAAAGTGGAAGAAAATACAAACAGTTGCAAGCATAGATAGTAGTGGAAAGATATATCTTTGTGGTGAATATTTCCCCAATTCAATTCTCAATGACTTCACAATGTGAATGGGTGCTGTGTACTTCAGCTTCCGTGTTTAATGTGCTTATTTGTAAGATGTAAATCATATATACCTCATGGGAGTTGTTCGCAAAATTCAATAAAAATAACCTGTTTACCAAGCAGAGCCCCTACCATGCAGAAGATACTAAATCAGTTATTTTCCTCTCGTCCTCCTTAAAAATTAGTTTCAAAATCCATTTCAAATATTCAAAGCTACTTGTAGACTCCAAAATCTACATTTAAATCAAGAAAACACGGTAAAAAGGTGGTCAATAATGCTGACCCTTAATGAAAGTACCACACTGTTTTGAGAGTATAGATCCCCTCTTCATGGATTTTGTGTCTCATAGCTTCTTATTGCAAGTAAACAAGAGCCTTTTGTGGTAATCTCTCCCACGTGAGCAATGGGAACAGATTGTTTTCAATCTAACACAAACAAGAAATTGCTTAAGTAAAGGTAGTGACTGTATGAATCATAAACCACTTTCTCAGATAACAGCCATTATGTAAGTCTGTGGATAAATTTGACAATTTTTATTTCATTGCCTTTTGACAGCCCTTTAGAAGGGTTTAAGAGAACAAGATCTGACTACAGCTTTCAAAAATTCATCACTGAATATTTGTTACCCTTGCTCCCTGTGATAGCTGAAGAACTAAGATAATGCCCTTCAAATGGAGATAAATTACAATCTTTCAAAAGATTATCACGGGCTTAATCGAGTTTGCTCCAGCAGCTGAACAGCCTGTGACCTTGTTAGTTACACAACAAACATATCTGTTACTTTATGTTTCTATAGGTAGCGGGGTAGAACCTTTAAACTACATGTTTTCTGTATATAAAATGACAGATTTTTTTAGATAAAACAGAAGATGTTTTATTTTAAAAGAATATACCAAGCTACTTCATATATTTAGTGTAATTTTTTAATGATTTGTGTTGAAATAACTTCAGAATTACCAAAAAGTTGAGAAAATAATATAAAGACTATATGGATACCTCTCACTCAGATTCCTCAAATGTTAAAATTTTATAGATGTGTAGTGTGATTTAAAAGAGGACGATGATTCCTGATTCAGAAACAGGAGTCTTGTATAATTCTGTGATAACATATTATATGTCTAATAAAGGCATAGGGATTTCACATTGAAAATAATTTAGGAGAATGTTAGAGAATCCACATTCTCAATTTCTTTGAAAGAAATCAACTGACAACTTTTACATATAAATGTAACTAACTGCAGGTGTATGAACACATCCCAGCATATGGTCCAGTTTATGAAAACTACAATACTACATCTTGGGAAATTAAAGTACTTTTATCCTGAATATAATGTTACAAATAGCATGGAAATCAGCACTTCGGGTGTTCCAGGATGTCAGCACATCAGCAGTTATACCAGAGTGCCAGCCTTCAACAGAAGGGAGGGAGAGTTTGAATGGAATTAATTATTAAATGGTAACATTTAATCCTAGATCCTTATTATGAGTGCCAAGAGAAAACATCTGTGGGTGCTTAGAACAGACAGATTTGGAGCATCCATACAGATTCTGCTAGGTTTGATGAAACCTCCCAGGGAACAAGGTGATTTGGGAAGCTAAACATTTATTCTCCCACTTACACTCATAACCTCTCTGGAAATAGATGAGTCCGTGGTACCAAGAATGACTTTATGACTTACCCCATGTGGCAGAGAAGAAAAGGAAAGGCGCTTCCTTTCCACTTTTGCCGTGTCAGGGCTATTTGAAACGAGTTCAGTGTCCATGGAAGAAAACTAAATATCACTGTATTGGACAATCTAGCAGCAGCTGCCATCTGTATGACAATATCCATTTATTCTGTTCCCTGCCACCTCTTGCATCTCTGTTGCAGTGTTCTTTTGTAAGTGTTCCTGACATTTTGTTTATCTTTCTTTTAAACATTCTGCCAAGATTATGTCTGAAAATGAGGGGAAAAAAAACCCTCCATTTTTCACTTGCTAAATCTGTTACAAGGGAAACAATTCAGTGCCATTCTCAAAATACTAAGGAGCTTTCAAGATACTGAAAATTCTCCAGTAAGTTGCCAAGCAAAATCAGGGCTAGAGTATAAATGTGAAAGGGACAAATAAGTTCTCATACATGATGCTAGTTGGATGGGATCAAACTCTTAATGGATGGCCTATTCTCTCCATTGTTTAAACGGCAGGCTTAAATAAAAACACATTTTCCCTCTTAGCCTCATAAGTAGACACATATATATAAACACTTTCTATACTTCTTAATGAAAGAGAGTCCTTTCTGAGGTACCTGAAGAAATTTAAAAATTTAGTATTAAAATTATTTTGATTCACAAATCATAATTGTGCACATTTATGGGGTACAATGTGATGTTTTGATATATGTACACAACATGGCATGATTAAATCAAACTGATTCACATATCCATCATCTACCTTCCCTATCATTTTTTATGGTGAGACGTATGAAATTTACTCTCCTAGTTATTATTAACTAGAGTCACCCTGCTGTGCAATAGATCTCAAAACCTAACTTCCCTGTCTCTCTGAAACTTTGTACCCTTTAATTAACAATTCCACATTTCCTCCATTCCCATCCTTTTACCCCACCCCAGCCGCTGGTAACCATAGTTCAACTTTATTGGATCCCACATATAAGTGAGATCATACAGTATTTGTCTTTCTGTGCCTGGCTTATTTCACTTAGCATAATGTCCTCTAGATTCATCCATGTTGTTGCAAATGACAGGATATCCCCCCCCCTTTTTTTTTAAGGCTGAGTAGTATTTCATTGTGTGTATATACCACATTTTCCTTATCCATTCATCCACTGATGGACACTAGGTCATTTCCATATCCTGGCTATTGTGAATAATGCTACAATGAACTTAGGTGTGCAGATGTTGCCTCAATATATTGATTTCACTTCTTTTGGATATGTACTCACAGGTGGGATTGCTGGATCATATGGTAGTTCTATTTTTAGTTTCTTGAGTACTCTCTAGATGACTGTTTTGATAAAATGTTTTTATGACTTCATAAATACAATCCAAGATCGTCTTACTTTGATTTAATTGATTCCAAACATTTGACAACAGAGTTTTTCCTTTTCTTTCTCTGGAGCACCTTGAAGACTCCCAGGGCATTAGAATTGCAGCAGCACTACCACAATGTTCATTTTGTTAGATTTGGATGATTCGCTCAGTGATGGATGCCCCAAATGTAGTGCTTAACCATTCCATGGTGAAAATGCTGCAATTTATCAACAGAAGGAAGTTTGTAAGGAAATCAAAGAAAAATGTTTCGCAAGTGACTGTAAAGACTGCTTTTGAATTTTAGACTTAATTCACCATTGTAAATCTGATTTCCATGTTATCATATTTCTTGTCTGTGTTTTTCATTAGCTAGATTGGTTCGATGCCCTCTCCTCCCCTCCACCTTTTCTGACCTTTCTTTGATTCTTTCTCCTAATTTCTGAATCATGATTTTTCTTCCCAAGATTTGGGAAAGAGGGTAGAAAACTTACAGCAGAACGGCTAGAAATTTCTACTAAGTTCTATATAATCCGTGTATAATATTTACAAATCAATGACTAAAATTAAGACCAGTTTTGCAAATGTATCTCCACTAAAGAAGCACAGTGCAAAAAAGTAATTCCTAATTTTTATCGATCTTCTTAAATGCTTAAGAATATCCAAGAATGTTGTGTTCACTAATTCATTTAAAATCTTCTACTCTTGTATTTATTTTCTAAGCCTGTGAACTCTTGGGAGCTTCTCACTTTATTGCCTTAGCATTAAGTTCTATGCCATCACAGTAACTTGTCATAGTCTCCATTACATTAATCCCTTTCCCAATAGAGTCCCCTAAGACATGGTTCTTCAGCTTTGATTGTTTCACCAAAGATCTTCATGCAGTTTTTATCATTTCCACACTACCACACTTGCTAGGTGGGGGGCCCTCAAATAGAGCCACATTAATTTTAGTTAACTGTTATTCTAGCTCTCCTTTCTAACTATTATTGCAAATCTTTGAGCCCCATGCAAAGCCCACGACTTAACTCTGTGTATCCCCAGGGTTGTCTCTGAAGTGGTTATAAACAAGACTTAGTATCAAATAAACAAGGGTAGTAATTAGATTCTTAGCCACATAGCTGTGAACTTAAGCGTACGATTTCCTGACCTCCTCTAGTGGATGGAGTAGTATTTCCCCAAAATCCTTGTCCATCCTGAATCTCAGAATGTGATCTAATTTGGAAAAAGGGTCTTTGCAGATATAATTAAGAAAATGATTGGCTGGGCTTGGTGGCCTCACGCCTGTAATCCCAGCACTTTGGGAGGCCAAGGTGGGCGGATCACGAGGTCAAGAGATCAAGACCATCCTGGCTAACACAGTGAAACCCCATCTCTACTAAAAATACAAAAAATTAGCCAGGCATGGTGATGGGGGCCTGTAGTCCCAGCTACTCGGGAGACTGAGGCAGGAGAATGGTGTGAACCCAGGAGGCAGAGCTTGCAGTGAGCCCAGATCACACCACAGCACTCTAGCCTGGGAGACAGAGTGAGACCCTGTCTCAAAAAAAAAAAAAAAAAAAAAAAAAAAGTCAACCCGGGAGGCAAAACTTGCAGTGAGCCGAGATCATGCCACTGCACTCCAGCCTGGGCGACAGAGCGAGACTCCATCTCAAAAAAAAAAAAAAAAAAAGACCAAGATGAGCTCATACTGGATTAGAGTTGGCCTTCAGCTAATGAAAGTGTCTTGGGAGAGACAGAATAGAAGGCACAGAGACACAGGAAAGAAGGCCACATGAAAACAGAGGCACACGGCAAGGAACACAAGGAGCCACCATAAACTGGAATAAGCAAGGAAGGATTCTCTTCTAGGGCCGTTGAAGGGCGAATGGCCCTGCTGACACCTTGATTTTAGACTTCTGGCCTCCAGAACTATGAGAGAATTTTACCTACCTCATCAAAGTGTTGTGTAAATTAAATGAGACAATGCACGTGAAGGGTGTGTTAGTCTGTTCTCATGCTGCTAATAAAGACATACCTGAGACTAGGTAATTTATAAAGAGAAAGAGATTTAATGAATTCACAGTTTCACATGGCTGAGGAGGCCTCACAATCATGGCAGAAGGTGAAGGAGGGGCAAAGGCATGTCTTACGTGGCGGCAGGCAAGAGAGCCTGTGCAGGGGAAGTCACCTTTATAAAACCATCAGATCTCATGAGATTTATTCGCTATCATGAGAACAGCATAGGAAAGACCCACTCCCATGATTCAATTACCTCCCACCTGATCCCTCCCACAACATGTGGGGATTATGGCAGCTACAGTCAAGATGAGATTTGGGTGGGGACACAGCCAAACCATATCAAAGGGCCTGGTACAAGAGGAGGTCCAAGTCTCCACTTAGTCACTCACTAGCAATGGTAGGGAACATTACTCAATTTCTATGTGCCTCCCTTATCTTAAGGACAAAAAACAGGGATAATAATTTTCACCTACCTTCACTGAACAGTTTTTGTGATGATCAAATGAATTCACAGACATGAACATTCCTAGCATATGAGAAACATTCAAGAAATGTGGAGATCTGTGCTCTTCCTTCCCCATGTCCCTCAAACTACTGGGGGTGGTAAAGTAGTGGGAGAGAAATAAGAAAATCAGGACATTGCTTTTTTCAATAAGAATGGCCAGATGCCCCCTGGCAACTCCAAAAGAAAATTCTGCTTTTATCTTTGAGTTGATGTCTAGATCTCGTTACATTGTTACCCTCTAAATATAATTTTCAGAAGTACTGATATTGACATCACTGAGCCAAAACAATGTCTATGTAAATAGAATTGATAAAATCGTATCAGCAGTTCTATAGGTTCAACCATTCCAGATCTGTTTCCCTCCCTCCCTCCCTTCTTTCTTTCCTTGTTGTCAATGCTTCTTCCCATCCACTTTCTCTCCATATTATTACAGTGTTCTGATGTCGTGGTTGGGAATAATTCTAAAAAGAGAGCCACCCCAGCCTGCTCAGGGTGATTCATCATACTTTAAGCTTGACATGTCAGAGAGTATATAAATGTGTGTTCCTGGGCACTGTGGCAGGTTTCACTAAGAGCTGAGACATATTACTTAAGAGAAAACAGAGAAAATATGCAGCATAAAAACAAGTAGTGGGTATTTGTGAACAATTCAATCAATTGCAACGATCCACAAGACCAGGTTGGTGACTATAACCAGGGCTATAATTTCATATGTGGCGACCACAAGACCACCGAAGTATGGTAGGGGAATCAAGTCAGGGAAATATTTGATGGGAACCAGCCATTTATTCAGTGACCTTGTATTTACCAGAGTTGCCTGGGAGAGAAGCAGCCGGGCGTTATCACTGGCTTCCAAGGGCCTGAGGAGAAGGGCAGAACTACCCAGGAATGGAAGCCACAAGCAGCCCAAAGCTAGAAGGCCGTCGCCATGACACTGACCACTTGCTCAGTAAAGAGACCACTGGAGAAGACTGCAAAAGTCAGAAAAACTTGCCAGGGATAGGGCAAAGAGCTGATGAGGTTTAAGTTGTAGAGAATATATGACTCTGGAGTCTTACAGTCCTTGGTGTAAATCTGGCTCTGACACACATTTGAGTGGCCTTGAGAACATTATTTATTTAAGCTTCAGTTGCCCCCAAACATAAAGTGGAGATAAAAGTTACTTACCTTGCAGACTTGTTGTAAGACTTAACTGAAGTTATACGTGAAAACGCCCTGAGATGTAAAACTAGGAAAAAAATGGATTTTCCCCTCCCTCCCTCCCTTCCTTCCCCTGAATTCCTATAAAATCAGTTCCCCAAGGTAAGAAGAAAGAACTTTTACATTCTGCATGAAATAATCTATTTCTTGATCCTTTAGCATCAGGATTCAAATGGTCCTTTACTTAATTAAAGCTAGGAAGTGGACATTGGAAATTTCTTTTACAATTTCCAATTTAGATTTCTAAAATGGGTGACTGACTGTACATTAGCTTCCTCTCCACTTGTCACTAGTAAAGTATCCCCTTACTGTGAACAAGAGCTATATAGATATATACACGTAAACTTCAACGCGTCTAAATGCTAATTTGTGATGGGCCAAGAGTAGGCAGAGAAGAGATGATAAAAATGGCAGATTAGTAGTCACTAAGTTATCAGGGTGAGTGGAGGTCATAAAACTGAAAAAAAAAAAAAAAAAACATAAAAACAAGGTAAATTGCCAAGAAGCTAATGAAAGATACCTGAAAGCAGGGAATGAATTAAGACCTTGAGTGAGGGATTTAGACTTAAATAAGACGGATTACTGAGGTGGATTTCAGCTTCAAGTAACAGAAAACTAAGCTCAGAATTGTTTAAACAATAGATTTATTGGCTCATCTATCAGAAAGTCCAGATATAGTGAGGGCTTCAGCATTGTTGGATGACATCGTTCAATACATCGACCTGGGTCTGGGTTCTATTAGTCTGTTCACTCTGCCTTCAGAGTGAAAGCCCAGTACTAAAGTCCACTCCACGTTAATCACAGAATGGCCACAGTACCAGTCAGAGTTCTGGTGCTTTCTTGTTCACATTTGGTGGGAGGGAGGAACTAGATCCTCATAGTTTCAGAAACTTCCTACAAATCTGTCAGCATCTTATATTTTCTGGAACTGGATCATATACCCATTCCTAAAGAGAAAAGGACTTATCCCTCAATCAATCCGCCTCACCCATAGGCCATGTGGGAGTCAGCTTCCCTTGAAGTTTTTGGGCTATGTCAGAGGGCTTAGGTACCTGAACAAAACCAGGTAGTGTTAGGAAAAAAGTATAGATTGATCCAGGGTAGGTCATCTACCTTTTACACTACAGAATATTAGCAAGGTAAACATTACACTTTCATTTACTTCAGCCTCCTAAGTTTTCCAATGTGATGGCAATGTCATACAACGAAGTATTGGTAAAGTCATATCTAGTGATTTTTCTTACATCCCAAGTCATAAGTTTGTTTTGTTGTAGTGTTGTTTTGTCTTGACTATATTAAACTGCCTCTTAAGCAAGTACCACAAAACCTTTTCACCCTAACAAGTGCACATAATAAGGGTTCTCCAATTCTAAAGTCTGATACTCAGTGAGTCCCCAGACCCACGCATCTTATACTGTTCCCACCAGCATGAGGTCCAGGAATTCTGCCACACCATCAAAGTCAGTGGTTCTTAATCTGATTGGGCAATAGGATCACCCAGGGAACTTACCAGAAGTACCCATGCCAGAGGATACTGACCCAGTGGGAATGAGGGGAGGTTTGGGCATCTGTATGTTTTTTAATCCCAGTTGAAAGAGAGTTAGAGACTGGAAAACTGAAGCTTGGATGGGAGAGAGCATTAATTCACTGTATACTTTTTTGTGTGGATTGAATTTTTTTCATTATGTATCTATATTATTCTCTTCCCTTCGTTTTTCTTTTCTTTATTAAGGTCTTCAGTGTTTCTGAAGTGCAGACAATGAGAACTATTAATCTATATGGTCAAATATCAATCTTTAGGTTGAATAGAGCCAAAAGTGTTTAGAATTGGTTGTCAGAGTGATATTTAAACATACTGACTTTTTTCTTTTTGTAGAGATAGGGGGTGGGGGGCATCTTACTGTGTTGCCCACACTGGTCTCAAACTCATGGTCTCAGGCAATCCTCCTCCCTAGGCCTCCCAGAGTGCTGGGATTACGGGTGTGAGCCACCGCACCCAGCCCATATTGCCTTTTTAATGAAAACCCTGAGGCCAACAAATTGGTCGGTGCTAACACCTGACTCAGATTCTTGGACTCATTTTTTGGGATTTCTGGACAGACCACAGAGTCTGGAATATGTCCCAGTTTTTGAAATGAAAGAACATAGATGACCAGATCATTTTGTTGATAGACAGAGAAAATTCCGGAGAACCTTGTTTGGCTTCCCCTTGAAAGAAGAAACGATTAAATTATTTGTAACTGAAATCAGCTCCGTGCTGTTTGCCATCAGTCCTCCCACACGTATGCCTCAGTGACAGACAGAGACCAGAGTAAGATTGCTCTGTTTACTTTAAGATGTCTTTGTAGAGGTACTTCTCAAAGTCTCTTCTAAGTGATCAGAGGCACTGCTCCTCTTTGAATTACAGCTCTAAGAAGCAGGAATCAGTAACTAGATGTTTTAAAACCCCTTTCACTAGCAATTTAAAGAGATTAGAAGTTTCATGGAGAAAGATGTGCTTGGAAATCATTAAAACGGTAGACATTGTTTTCAGAAAGAAACATCCTTCGGTCACACTTTTGTAGCTAGTTATGGTCTGATGGAAATCAATCACAAAGAAAATTCAGTGTAGCCTAATGGTCATTTTCACAAGAGTAGACCAGACCACTTGTGGCACAGCAGTTACTATCTTTTTTATTTGTATTTCACATAGGATATTTTTAAACCTGCACATAAATTGTCTGACAAATCTCTATGTCTACCATATCTGGGGAATTGTTCCTCCTATGAGCCCAAAGCCATAGCTTGGCCTTAACTGACTAAAAACATTTTAGGTGCAAATTGCTGCTCCCTCCCTCTGTATATCAACGTTGCATTTTCTTCTACAGGGGTTTCCTATCCTTATAACACCTGGAGAAATAGATGTTCCTCAGCAGCCCTGACTTCAGAGGAAAAGCTTATCTGTTTGCAAGGTGGAAATGCTAGGCAACTCTCCAGAGGAAGAGCTCAGAGGCTGTCTCATCCATGGAATTCATGCAGTATAAGTGACTTAGTCTGAGAAAATATTTATCTGAGCCATTGGCACCAAACCTCCCATTGCTCCTTTAAAGTACCTCAGCCTTAGTTTGGGCCTGTGGCCTGGAGGTACATCCAAGATGGACCAAAAGATCCAGATTAGTTCCAGGCAGTGACAAGAGAGGCTGGAAGAAGGGAGGCCAACCGTTTCCTAAGGCTGTTTCCCCACAAAGCATTGATAAGAAGAAAGCCAAATTTTCTTTCTTTTTTTTTTTTTTTTGAGACGGAGTCTCGCTCTGTCGCCCAGGCTGGAGTGCAGTGGCTTGATCTCGGCGTACTGCAAGCTCCGCCTCCTGGATTCACGCCATTCTCCTGCCTCAGCCTCCCGAGAAGCTGGGACTACAGGCACCCGCCACGACGCCTGGCTAATTTTTTGTATTTTTAGTAGAGACAGGGTTTCACCGTGTTAGCCAGGATGGTCTCAATCTCCTGACCTCGTGAGCCGCCCGCCTCGGCCTCCCAAAGTGCTGGGATTACAGGTGTGAGCCACTGCGCCCGGCCAAGAAAGCCAAATTTTCTGTTTTCCAATTTTTTTTCTGTTCCCGTCCATCTCCCTAGGCTTTAAATTTCCAAATATATCAAATATGATTTTTTTTTGGATGGAGTCTCCCTCTTCACCCAGGCTGGAGTGCAGTGATGCGATCTCGGCTCACTGCAACCTCAGCCTCCCAGGTTCAAGTGATTCTCCTGCCTGAGCCTCCCAAGAAGCTGGGATTACAGGTGCGCACCACCATGCCAGTCTAAATTTTGTATTTTTAGTAGAGACAGGGTTTCATCATGTTGACCAGGCTAGTTTCAAACTCCTGGCTTGCAGTGATCCACCTCAGCCTCCCAAAGTGCTGGGATTACAGGCGTGAGCCACTGCGCCTGGCCTCAAATATGATCATTCTTAAAAGCAAACCAAGTTCTATAGAATATATATATTTTTTAGGTGAAACTTGATATTTCGTGTTCTACGCTGCTTTACAAATTGAAAAATATCTTTTCTTTAGTTCAAAGAAAGGGAGAGAACTAACAGTTGAATTCCTATTGTGATTTATTGTAGATACATGTTGGATTTTATGTCATCTTATTTAATCCTTGTAACTATTCTGCAAAATAGTTACACTGTATAACTTAATCCCCAGAGAGTGTCTACTGTGTACTTTCTCTGTTCTAGGGACTTTTACAGGGGTTAGAGACTTTGTGATCCCACCAGGAACTCATTCTGGTGGGGAAGATAGCATATGAATGACTAATTACAATAGAAACAGTAAAGTCCCATAATACATAGATGAACAGAAGGGTATTCGAGCATACATTTTAAATTTAAATTTCTTTAATGTGTGCACCAATCAAAATGGTAGGCTTACCCCAAAAAACAAATTCTGAGGCTGTTGCAAAAGACTCCAATATTTTGACACAAAAAGCTTTCTAGAAACAGATGGGTAACTAACTAGTAACATAGGTACCTCTTTATCTTTTTTTCTGTAAGGGAACTCTGGAAAGGTTTCTAACTACTCTTTTCCTCTAACAAAGTTACTTACTTCTAACAAAGTTTTTTTTTATTATTTTTATGTTTTGAGACAGGGTCTCACTGTGTGTCACTGAGTGCACTGGAGTGCAGTGGCATGATCGTAGCTCACTGCAGCCTTGAACTCTTGGGCTCACAAGATCCTCCTGCCTCGGCCTCACGAGTAGCTAGCACTACAGGCATGTGCCACCATACACGGCTAATTTTTTTATTATTATTATTTGTAGAGGTGAGGTCTCATCATGTTGCTCAGGCTCATCTCAAACTCCTGGCCTTAAGTAATCCTCCCACATCAGCCTCCCAAACTGTTAGGATTACAGTTGTGAGCCACTGCACCTGGCCTAATTTCTAATGATAGTATTTGCCAGTAAAATAACTTAAAACGGGCTGAGTGCAATAGCTCATGTCTGTAATCCTGGCACTTTGGGAGGCCAAGGCAGGTGGATCACTTGAGGTCAGCAGTTCAAGACCAGCCTGGCCAACATGGTGAAATCCCGTCTCTACTAAAAATAGAAAAAATTAGCTGGGCATGGTGGCACACACCTGCAATCCCAGTTACTCGGGAGGCTGAGGCAGGAGAATAGCTTGCACACAGGAGGCAGAGGTTGCAGTGAGCTGAGATCACGCCACTGCACTCCAACCTAGGCAACAGAACGAGACTTTCTCTCAAAAAAAAAAAAAAAATTAAAATATTTTAAAGAGACTTTACCTATTCATTCATACCCTTACACAATTCTAAAAATATTTTCATGTGGCTTACACAAATATATACAATAGCACAGAATAAATGAAAATAGTAGCAAAATGACTATATCTGTGTATCTTTCTGTATCAATTTCCTCTCAATATCAATTTCCTATTCCCCACAAATAGCTATTTCCTCTCTCCTGGTTTCAATTCTTTGTGGCTATCTGGAAAGCTCTGGTTTCCTCTGGAACTGATCAGTGCCTTGCTCTAGCCCCAGACCGCCCTGGCTTGTCTCCATGTGGGGTCTGCGTCGCCTCCTCCACAAGCACAATTCAGTCTCCAAATGACTTAGGCAAGAACTTTTGTCTTAAACAAATCTGTTTATCAGAGAGCCATTGGATCATATGTTATAGAAGCCTCAACAAACAGGATATTCCGTCTCAAATTGGTGGCCTCTTGGCAAACACAAGAATGCCTCCCAGGGAAGCATATGATTCTCAGGAACACCATGACACGTCATCAGCCTCAGTCACTGAAGGAAACAGGTTAGGCATCTGCTCACTGGCACTTCCTGGTTGAAGTACAACAATTAGTGTCTTTTTTGAATATGTGCAGCTTTGGGATTATTAATTTCAGCATGAGAAATCATTAGTATTCTTAATTTAAAGAGGAAACCTTTGGACAGGAGTCTGCGGCTATCAATCAATACTAAAGATTTTCTCTGAATTATGATGTTTTTACCTGACTCTGAAAATGGATTTTTTTTCCCTTTTCATTTTTGAGCTTTTGAATTTGACTTAGCATACGGACTCTGTCAGGTTCCTGTGGTGAATTGATAATGAAATTAGGAGAGACAGGGTCCATTGACTTAGAAGACCTGTGCCATTAGTTAAGTCTTCCCTCTGTTTCTGCAGCTGGCTTGACACCCACTTAGTCACCTAGGTTTTGGCACTTGCCTCTGACACTAACACTTGAGAGAGCAGAGCTCAGAATGGAGATGAGGAGGTAGCACAGTAAATAGGCATTATCAAAAAAAGACAGAGGTGAAAATCAATACCTCCATTAACATCTAGAAGCAGACTTTTCAAAGAACATTTATATGTTTAGCTGACAGTAATGTACCAAGAAGACTAGTTCCTTTATAGGTCACAAAGTATGTAACTATCCCTATGGTGTTATTTATTTTTCTTCCCATTTGGCTAAGAAGTATCATCAATAGGATTTAAAACTAAAAATAAACAAAAAACTCTGCCCAGCAAAAATATTCAAATAAAGGGTACAATTTTCAACAAAGTAGATACAACAAAATTCTAGTAATATACATCAAAATTATTAATAATGTAAGGTAAAATAGCTATTCTCTTGAAATTTGTCATAAGGCTTTGACGTACACGTATATCTTTTTTATAAGGTTATTATTTTTGTGACGCACATGACTTGAGATACCTGTATTGCAATGAACTGTATGTTTCTGGTTTTGTTTTTTTGGCATTGTGTTACTGTTGTTATCCTAACTGTCATCTTCAAATATAGGTTTAATTCCTGGTTTTCACATTCCTTAGCTCTGTGACTGTCAGAAGTCAACTTATATCATGCTCGGTTTCCCTATGTGTTACAGTAGTATTAGGAGAAATAAGTGATAGGTGTGTGTAAATGCCTAGCACAGTGCCTGGCACAAAATAAAGTCTCAGTAGATGGTAGTCCCCCACCTCCCCACCCCACCCCTCATTGCTTTCTCTTCCTCCCATGTTGGTCCCCTTGCCTCCTCTGCTTTGCCATCTCCTTCTCTATACCATCAAAGGAACACCTCTGGGCAAAGGAGACCACATTCATTTATGTCGGATAACACATTGACCTGGCGGCCTTCATTCCAGTGTAAAGAGGCTGGGTACCTCCCCTGTAGCTGTCATCCTTGCTCCTTGGTATTCTTTGCTAGTGCCTGTGCACAGGAGCCAAAGCTTGGTGTGACCAACTATCATCACTAAGCAGTGTAGGATTTGGGACCCGTCTCACCTCCAGGAACAGAAGTTGGAGCAAATAAATAGATGTAGTCTGTCAACTTGAACTTTGCAGGACACTCTGAACTTGAGTCCGATCTTCAAGAAAGAACAGGTTTAGAACAAAGAAATGCTGAGAACCTTGGGAGAAAGTAAGAGAGCCTTAAAATCCATCTGAGCAAAAGATAGACAGGCTGAGCAGTATCTGACACACATCCTAGACTATGGAAAGGCACATTTCAAAAAGTTAAAAGAAAATATATGTTTGGTCCCATGGCCAGAGGGTTTTCTAGAAGAGTATAAATAGGTCCAGAAGGACTAGAAAATTAAATTCTAACTATATAATAAAAATTAGCCAGATATGGAAGAAAAACTAAAGAAATCAATATGGTTGCTTGGGAACTCTCCTTGGAGCTCAGATATCAAAAGGCATGTTTCAAAGATCAAAGAACTTGTAGCCCAGAACAAAAGCAATGCAATAGCACAAACCTAGAAGAATAGTGTCATATAGAATAAAGTGAAAAATAAGCACAATTTTGCTGAATAAAAGGTTAAAAAATGACTTTTACTAATGTGTACAGAGTAAGAACAACAAGGAACTGTTAGCCACATTTCTAAGAGATTATGATGTAATGGTAATGAGACAAAGAGAAAATAGAATGTCTTAACTCCATTTTGCTTCTGTCTTTTCCACTAGAAGAATGACCTTCAGACTGAAAATGCAGATGTGGCTGACAACTGCAGACAAAAAGTGTTCTCTATCAGGCAGGGAGCCCCAGGGTGATTTTCCATAGGCGAGTGCCAGCAGTGTGAAGAAAACTGGAAGCCGGAAGCTGGGCAACTACTGTGATGGCCCACACAAGAAATAAGGACACAGTGAGGCAGTCCAGAGGAACAGAGCAAAGGAGGCACAGGGGAGAGGCGCTGAGAGGGCAGAAATGACAGAATAACCCACTGCAAAGGCTCTAGAAAAGCACTGGATGTGCTGCTTAAGGTGAACTTACAGAAGGAAAGGATTCCACACATCTTTTGTGGAAGCAGAAAGCAAAGAGGATGGGAAAGGGGAGAGCAACCACATGAGTCTATTCATGCAGACAGAAAGTGGAGCTGTGTTGGAGACATAGTGAGAATCCGGGTTCATCAGAGTCACAGGTTATTTTCAGGGAAATAGCTGGCTATAAAGGGGCCTTGGAGGAAGGTATAAACACTATGTCTGAAGGGTTTACTACCTGTCAGAAAGTCTCCAATGAGTGCTCCACACCTGGTGAGGATCCAGAGATGAATTAAAAACAAAACAAAACAAAAAAACCACACACCTGTAGAGCTATTCATTTGCCTCCTCATTCTAGGGATACCATGTAATCTGAATATAGAGCTGAAATCTGAAGGAATCAAGAGTTTTGTGAATTTTGTTTTGTTTTGTTTTGTGTGGGATTGATTAGTTAACAGTGAAACTGTTGAAAACTGTGGATAGAGCCACCCCTCCCGTCCCTGTGAAAGGCAGGGAATCTGGATTAATTCTTCAATTTCAGGGTGTTAATGCCAGTAAAGAAAGCCTTGTGGTACTACCAGAGCTGATGCTGAGGCTTCCTAAGGCCGACTGGGGGGTCAGGAGAAGGAAGTGACATATGGGCTGAGAACTTCAGACGAGTAGCGCTTAGCCTGAAGAAATACTCTGCATGTTTGGAGTGTGAAAATTGTATTCAGACCCGGGTGCCTCACTTTAAAGAAAAATGTTGCCAAACTGAACTCTGCCAGATGAGGAATCAAAGATGGCTAGCTAGGAGTTAACTGACATAGCAGGAAATCTGGTTATCAATTCTGTGTAGCCTTAGAGGAAGAATGTCATCCAATTCTGAGGCAATGTAGCATCAAGGTCAAGCTCAGAAGCTCTAGACCCAAATATGAGGGTTAAAATTCCGGCCCTACTGTGAATTACATTACCTTTTATGTATAATAACATTAATAATAATAATTGCATAGAATTGTTGGGAGGATGAAATGAATTAATACACATCAAGCGCCTAAAACAGTGCCCGGAACATAGCAGTCACACAATGCATGTTGGTTATTATTAATATTATTATCCAGTGAATAATAGTTATAATAAAACAGATAGATATATATTGTTATATTAAAGAATGTTTCGGAATTCAAATCGTTGAACAAAGTAATCTGTGTTACCTTTTAAATTGCCCCTGAGGCCGCTGCGAGAGAAGCCGCCGCCATGTCTGCGCATCTGCAATGGATGGTCGTGAGGAACTGCTCCAGTTTCCTGATCAAGAGGAAGAAGTAGACAGACAGCACAGAGCCCAATAACTTGAAGGCCCGCAACTCCTTCGCTAAAAAGGGCTGATTCACCGCAAGACTGTGGGCGTGGAGCCTGCAGCCGACAGCAGAGGTGTGGTGGTCATGAAGCGGAGATCCAGCCAGCGGAAGCCTGCCACCTCCTATGTGCGGACCACCATCAACAAGAATGCTCGCGCCACGCTCAGCAGCATCAGACACACGATACTGAAGAACAAGTATGCCCTGACCTGCGCATGGCTGCCATCCGCAGGGCCAGCGCCCTGCACAGCCGGAAGCCTGTAATGGTGAAGAGGAAGCGGACCCGCCCCACCAAGAACTCCTGAGTCCCTGCCCCCAAAGCAATAAAAAGTCAGCTGGCTTTCTCAAAAAAAATTATAATAATAAAATAAAAAATTAAAAAAGTTAAAATGTTTAACCAGAGATTTGAGGGTCATCTGGAAGAAGCAAGGAGGAGCTGCTGCCTGCTTTCAGTAGACAGATGAACTGGCTGAGTCTAGTTTTTCTGACTTTCGGAGTATATACATACATGTGTATATATATGTATGTGTGTATATATATGTGTGTGTGTGTGTGTGTGTGTGTGTGTGTGTGTGTGTGTGTGTGTATAGTGACAGGGTCTCGCTCTGTTGCCCAGTTTTCAGTTCATGATCATAGCTCACTGTAACTTCGACCTCCTGAACTCAAGTAATCCTCCTACCTCAGCCTACTGAGTCGCTAGGACTACAGGTGTGGCCACTACGCCCAGCTAATTTTTTATTTTTTATTTTTATTTTTTGTAGAGGCATGATCTTTCTATGTTGCCCAGGTTGGTCTCAAGCGCCTGGTTTGAAGCGATCCTCCCACCTCAGCCTCCCAAAGTGGTGGGATTACAGGCATGAGCTACCATGCCCAAGCCCCATAAGCCCATAATTTCATGTATAAAAATGGATATTTCAGGCCTGGCGCCGTGGCTCACTCCAGTAATCTCAGCACTTTGGGAGGCCGAGGCAGGCAGATCACCTGAGGTCGGGAGTTCAAGACCAGCCTGATCAACATGGAGAAACCCCGTCTCTACTAAAAATACAAATTTAGCTGGGCATGGTGGCGCATGCCTGTAATCCCAGCTACCTGAGAGGCTGAGGCAGGAGAATCGCTTGAAACCAGGAGGCGGAGGTTGTGGTGAGCCAAGATTGTGCCATTGCACTCCAGCCTGGGCAACAAGAGCGAAACTCTGTATCAAAAAAAAAAAAGATATTTCAAGTGCTCTTCATTTTGACTAATAGATGTATCACTGGTAGTAAAGTATTTATTAAATGTCCTGTGAAACTTTCCTTGTCAGGAGGAAATATCTATTTTATAGATTCCCAAAGCCATAGATCTTAAATTAGGACATAGCTGTGTATTTCAATTTGTGTTGAGTCCAATCCTAGGGAAAGCTATGGGTTCAGTCTATAAGGCAGAAATAAGAATACAGACTTGTTCATAGGAATTCATTCCAAAATGTGAAATAAAGGAGTTTTAATCTACTGTTGAAACTGACACAAACATTTCTTACACATTTCTTTGTCATTAGTGAACTAATTGTACTTTAATCGAGTCAGCAGTGAGCAATAAGAATCCATTAGGAAATACAGTAATATAGTACAGATTTTTATTTCCTTCAAGAGCTCTCCTCAGAATTCATGGTCTCAGTGAGAACACTAGCAATCTGTGAATTATCTGGGCTCTCAAAATGCAGAAAAGAATCAAAGGAGATTTAGAAAGGAGCATTGGCCCATTTTACTGAGAATTCAGCCAGGCTGATCTGCTCAATGGTTAAAGAGTAACAGCAACTACATTAAACACCAGAATGGTCAGTGCAATTAATGCAATTAAAGTAATTAGTCCTGGCAGCTGTAAGGTCAAATAGAGGTAGCTTTGTAACAACAATCTGCCACTGCAAAATTACTGACATTTCCAACTAAATTATATTCTCTAAATTGTTGCCTTAATGCTAAATAAATAAAGTTATGCTAATGTTGGGACTGATTACAGATTGAAATTAGCACAATTGCTTGTTATACAGTCTGCTAGGGTTAACATTTTTTAAAAACATAATTAATGGCCTTTGCTTACTGTCTCTGGTTATAGATCCTGCAGCTCATTTGCATTCTTTTGCAATATGCTGACAGTGCTAAATGTCTAAGAAGAAAGATCTCATCTGCAGGCAGAAAATGCGTTTTTCACGTCATCAAGCTAAAACTTGTTATGGTTTCAGGGCAGTGTTAATAACAAAAATGGCCAGAAAAGGAATGGATAAGAATGAGGCTAGAATCCGTTTTTCTTTTCAGTCTTGTGATCCAGGCCTTTTCTGGAGTCAATGTGAAATGTAATTGCTCTTTTGACCTCTATCTTCTCTCTCCCCAGGTCTGAGGAAGAGCTACACTGGTTGATTATTGCAGGAATGAAAGGCACTCTGACCTTGTCGACCGAACGCCTTGCTGCTTTCAATGTTGCCCATTATACTGAAGGCAGGCAACTCCTGGAGAGAGGCGGAATCTACAGGAGAGCTGCTCCCCGGGCAACCTGCCAGAAAAGGCTTCATCAGCAGCAGTTCAGACATGACCAAACAGCTCAGGCAGTAAAGGAAACAGCTAGGGGGGAGAAAAACAGAGTATATCAAAATATTGTTAGCACACAGCCTAAAGAGCTCTCAGGCATCTATACTATAGAGGGCCTTTGCGAATACTGCCCAGCGTCATTCGCCTGAACTGAAGATCAACCTGGGAATATTTGCTGAGGAAGGAAGCCGTAACCAATATAAGTACAGTCACTGATTTCCTAAAATAGGCAGTTGCTCATTCAAAGGGATTTGTGATAATATTTCTATGTAAAGAGGAAAGTAGGGTGATTTTCAGCAGAAAGTAGGTCAGGATATTTGGTTACAATTGCAGCCGGGTGGGTGGTGGCTCAAGCCTGAAATCCCCACACATTGGGAGCCCCAGGTGGGAAGATCACTTGAAGCCAAGAGTTCAAGACCAGCCTGAGCAACAAAGCAAGACCCCTTCTCTACAAAAAAAATATAAAAATTAGCCAAGTGAGGTGGTGTGTACCTATAGTCCTAGCTACTTGGGAGGCTGAGGCAGGAGGATTGCTTGAGCCCAGGAGTTGCAGGCCGCAATGAATTATGATTGTACCACTGAACTCCAGCTGAGAGACAGAGCAGGACCCTGTCTCTAAAAAAAGAAAAAACTTAAATTTAAATTTAAAAGAAAACACAATTGTTCTAGATGATAAATCATTCACCAAAAATCTAGTTTGATTATTTTTAGAATTTATGGTTGATGTAAGGATTAGGGTACAATTCACAATGAGAACATGCTCTCCCTTCAATCTCTAGAGTTAAAAGAGTCTTTGTTTAAAATCAGCTGTGGTTCCTTCACATAACTGCTCATTCTGCTCAAATCAATTCTATTCAACAAAATTTTATCGAGCATTTATTATGTGTCTAATCATTCTGGGAAACATAAATGAGATGTGAAGTGTGCCTATGAGTTAACGAGACTGGCTGACCAAGCAGACACAGAAATGGTGCCATTTGCTTTCTCATTTTATTGTATTCATTGAGAGAGAACACCAGAAGCCTCTGCTATGAGTGAGGCATGGTATTAGGTTCTTCAGATTCAGATGTCATTTAACTGTTACATTAGTTTTTAGGTTCATATTATTAGCCCCACTTTAGAAAGAGTTTACTGTAGTAAAAAAGACCCTGAAATCCGGAATTAGCCAGTCTTGGGTTTGCAAGGGAGAAAAGATATAATAACTTTCCTCATCCATCATAAGGGACACTCCTATAACAAAAGAGATTAACGAGACAAAACCATAACAAACGTATTCAATCAAAGTTTTACGTAACATGGGAACTGTCAGAAAAGAAGACCCAAAGACCCGAGGAAAGCTGTTTATTTTTATGCTTAGATTTAATGAAGAATGGACAAGGCATATGGAAATGTGATTGGACCAAAGAGTATGATCTAATGGTAATAGACTGGGAATGGTAGGAGCCCAGCAAGGCTTGTCTGTTTAGATTCTTTTTGGCCTCTCTGTGTAACATTTCTTCCTCCCAGGTATGGGATAGGACCCTTATGGAATGGTAGTCTTCAAGGGAGAAGAGAGGGAGTGACCTTTCTAAGATTTTGGCTTGCTTTGAGGGAGAAGAATTCTGGTTTCTATGGCTCACTAAAAAGAAGTGAGGGACAGGGGAGCAGGAAAAGCTCAGAGAGACCTTGCTTCTGAGGCCTTTCAATCTCCTTTAGTTCAAAGTAGTCAGCATGCCAAAGCACCATACTTTGGAGTATCATGTTCTGAGCCCCAGCAGGTTCATACACAATTCTGTTACTACTCAAAATCTCTGCAATCTTGAAAAAATTCTCCATTTCTCTGGATTTTTATTAGTTTTGTTCCTGTAATGAAGGAGACAAGAAGAACTTAAGACCTTTTCCATCTCTATAGTTCTATGAGAAATATTGTTGTACAGTCACACGTATCAGATTTTCTGGGACATCCCAATTCCAAATGTTGTGGCCCATCATGCCTGTAAAAATATTTATGCTCATCAAATGCAGAATTCAGGAAGCATAATCACCCTCTCTAAAAATAAAAAGAACTATCAGAGTTAGGAAATGAATGATGAATAAAGGCTAGGGAGAATGGCATTACAAGATAATTTTCAAAAGAAGGGTGAAATCACGACCCTCATACAGATATAAAAATGAACATGTTAAAGATTTGATTCTAGCCATTAATCAAAGACGGAATGCAGAAGATATTATAACTGGTTCAAGAGAATGTGAAGAGACATATTTAAAGATCAGGAATATTGAAATTAGCATGCAAATGGAATAAAACCAGTTTTTCCACAGGTAGGGGGAGGAAGTCAATTGAACCTATATTAGACAGGGCAGAATGTGCATGTCTATCAGTTACCTGCAAGATACAGGGTTGTAAAATAACTCAAAGACAAGGAAAGGCTAGAATCAGATAATAGGAAGGGTGTAGTGTACCAGATGATGCATAGTTTCCCATTGAAGCTGTTTTTTTTTTCTGCAATGCAAATAGTTTTCATGGGGTTCAGAAACCACTCCCCCAAAATATGGCATCTTGCATACTAAGTATTTTAAGCTGAAGGAATGTGAGAAGATGGCAGAAACAGGAAGGTCTGTCTGACCTTCTCCCACCCTTCCTTCCTGAAGGAAGGAAGGTCAAAAAACCTAGAAAGGATTTTTTGACCTTCCCCTGAAGCAGAACGTAAGACCTGCATGTGAGAGACTGCCTCCTACGCCTGGAGGAAAGGAATATCCTTATCTCTGAAGACACAGGGATACAGAGAAGAATCTAAGAAAACAGGCCTCGCTAAGTCTCCCTAGTATATTATCATCAGATCATACTTTTTAATCCAATCATACTTCTCCACAACTATCTACTTATTAAATCCAGCATAAAAAATACACAGGTTTACCTGTTTCTTCAGGTCTTCATTACCTTAGGAAGGCTCTCATGTCACATAAAACTCAAATAAATTTATTTATTTTTCTCTTGTTAGTCCATCTTTTGTTATGGGGGTCTTAGCCATGAACCTAGCAATGGATGAGGAAAAGATATTTTCGCTCCCCTACAGCTTCATGTGGAATACAGCATTTCATTGCAATTTCTGATTTTTCAATGGATATCTAGGAAAAAATGTCAGTGGGGGCCTAGGTGTGAACAAAAATCAGCTGAGATACTTTCAAAATAGAATCACACCCCCTTTGACCTGCATCAAGCCATCTAATAAATGCACTAAACAAATAGAAGTCCTGTTCAACTGCTTTTTGAAGTTGAAATTCAGATTTGAGGAGACCTAGAAATTCAGCTATGTGCAGTCTTTATAGATACAGTAACACTTCCTGATCCTTTAAGGAATCCTTTGTGATTTTCTTGACGTGGTTTAAGAGTCATGAAACTGTTTAGAGCCTGGTTCACCAAGGGCTAAGAACCAATGCGCACATTGCAGGGACAGGAAGGTCAAAAGGAAAAAATGGGAACTAGAGAAATAAAAATAGGGAAGAATAGGATAAGGAAGACTAGAAATAGAGACTAAGAGGGGAATCAGCTGGTGCACCGGCATGCCCAGGATGCCTCCCTGATAGAACTACTTTGTTAATAAAAATACCATTTTAAACCCATGCCCATAAAGAGTAGGAGTAAAAAGAAGCTTTATATCTAAAGCTCTGCCGCCGCCTCCACTGGAAATCTAATGTGGTCTTTTTTTTTTTCTAACTTTTCAGGGCATATGTATTCTAGTTCCATTATAATGGTGGAAAATGCTCTCATACACGCCGTTCCTGCAGTTTTATACTTTGGCTTTATTTTCCTCTCTTCTACACTTCCCTCCCTCCACAAAAATCGAAAATACATAAAATGATAAGTTGAAATCCCAAACTGAAGTCTTTTTAAATTTTAATTTATTTTTTTAAAACCACAACATTGTAAGTAGACTGGACTAAAGGAAATATAATTATTTATAGCTATGAAAGGGGAGTTTATGGAAATGCCAATTCAGGCTTAGCTCAGCAACTAAAATGAAATGTGAAAAAGAAAATAAAAGTGGAGAACTCTTTGGAGGTTCTAGGACGATTGTGAGAATCACCAGGGATTGATAATGCAGATGGAGGAAAGAAGGCCTCCAGAGGGTCAGGGTGTAATAGACATTCTATTTAGTGAAGCTTTATAACCCTCCAAGATACTAAACTGGAATTACTTTTGAAAGAAACAAGGTAGTGGGGTTCAGGACATGCTGCCCCCCAAATATGGCATCATGGTATTTGAGAAAACAGCAGAAGCAGAAGAGCCATTCTCCTCTTCCCCTCACTCTTCTTCCATGGAGCAGGGCATGAGACCTTCATTCAAAAAATATCCTTTCAAACACAGAGAAAAGGACCATCCTTACCTCTGAGGACACAGGGACACAGAGAAGAATATGAACAAACAGACCTTGCTTAATTCCCCCTTAATTCTTAATTTTTATTACCATTAGATCATGCCCTTTTGTCGTCCAATCACACTTAATCAAACCTCAGCATAAAAATCTCCAAGTTTCTCTATTTCTTTAGGCCTTCATTTCTTTATGAATGCTCTCATGTCACATAAAACTTATATTAAATAAATGTGTATGCTTTTCTCTTGTTAATCTGTCCTTTGTTATTAGGGCCCAAGCCATGAACTTAATGATAGATTAAAAAAAAAAAAGTTATTTCTTTTCCCCTCCAAAGGTAACTCTTACATTCAAACACATCAACTCAAGATGGGAGGCAATTTTATCTTGACTAAATCCTTCTGGAACTACGGACACCAGGAAAGGAAGAAAGGCCCTGTGGCTTTTCTACATGACATAGAGCAGATGGTCAGCAAACTCCCCGTGGGCAGTGAATTCACTGTGCTCGGACAAGTCAAAAAAGGTTAAACCAACTAACACCATGAAACAAATGAAAGAATGCTACTTGAGTCTTTGTGAAGTCAAAGTTTCAAATAAATTGTTCAGTCCAACAGAATAGTTGCTTTCTTTTCATTGTTTTAACCTGAGGGAAGAAGAAAAATAAATCAATGTCAGATTTTTTTTTGAAACCACTTCTGGTAGCTGGGTAAAATATATAAAGAAAATGAAAATAATCATTTGCTTGTGGGAAGAGAAAGCCAATAAAATAGAAGCTTCCTTCTAAGAGTACATTGCTAGGGTTCAAGACACATTACACCCAAGATATGGTGCCTTGGCATATTAAATATTTTAAGCTGAAAGAATTTGAGAAAATAGTAGAAGCAAGAAAGTATCCCAGACCGTCTCCCACCCTTCTCTTCTGATGCAGGTCCTAAAACCTAGGAAGGATTTTCTAACCTTTCCGTGAAGCAGGTCGTTAAGACACTCACGTCAGAGGTTCCCTGCCTACACTTAAAAGAAAGGAACATCTTTATCTCCGAAGGCATAGGGACACAGAAAAGAATCTGAGGCAGATGTTGCTGAGTTCCCCAACCCCAAGTTTATTACCATTAGATCATACTTTTTAACCCAATCATACTTCTTCACAACTATCCACTTACTCATCCAGCTTAGCATTAAAACATACACAGGTTGGCCAGACGTGGTGGCTCACGCCTGTAATTCCAGAACTTTGGGAGGCCGAGGCAGGCGGATCATGAGGTCAGGAGTTTGAGACCACCCTGACCAACATGGTGAAACCCCGTCTCTACTAAAAATACAAAAATTAGCCTGGTGTGGTGGCACACGCCTATAGTCCCAGCTACTCAGGAGGCTGAGGCAGGAAAATCATAGGTTCAAACCTGGGAGGCAGAGGTTTCAGTGAGCCAAGATCGCGCCACGGCATTCTAGCCTGGCAACAGAGCAAGACTCCATCTCAAAAAAAAAAAAAAAAAAAAAAAAGAGAAAGAGTCCTTGTCTTTTAGAGATGTATACTAAAATACAGTTGTCCCTTGGTGTCCATGGAAAATTCATTCCAAGATGCCCACAGATACCAAAATCACACCACTGCACTCCAGCCTGGGCAACAAAGCAAGACGCTGTCTTAAAAAAAACAGAAAAACAACAACAAAAAAAACACTGGTTTACCTGTTTCTTCAGGTCTTCATTTCCGTATGAAGGTTCCCGTGTCACATAAAACGTGTGTTAAATAAGTCTATCCTTTTCTTTAATCCATCTTTCCTTATAGAGGCCTCACGGTGAACCTAGCAATGGGTGAGGAAACGATATTTTTCCTCTGTCACAATACATTGGTGTTTTTGTTGTTGTTGTTGTTTTGAGACAGTGTTGCTCTTGTCACCCAGGCTGGAGTGCAATGGCACGATCTTGGCTCTTTGCAACCTCCGCCTCCCAGGCTGAAGCGATTCTCCTGCCTCAGCCTCTTGAGTAGCTAGAATTACAGGCATGCACCACCACGCCCAGCTAATTTTGTATTTTTAGTAGAGACGGAGTTTCACCATGTTGGCCAGGCTGGTCTCGAATTCCTGACCTCAGGTGATCCGCCTGCCTCGGCCTCCCAAAGTGCTGGGATTACAGGCGTGATCCACTGCACCCGGCCGCAATACATTGTTTAAAAAGGAAGTTTAGAGATATTTTTTTCTCCTCTGCGCTTCCCCAAAAGCTATGAGGTACACAAACTGTATCAAAATAGGGCTGCTTTCTGGATGTCATGTTTTAAATAGTACTATACATATTGCCGGGCGCGTAATCCCAGCACTTTGGGAGGCCGAGGCGGGTGGATCACGAGGTCAGGAGATCAAGACCATCCTGGCTAACATGGTGAAACCCCGACTCTACTAAATGTACAGAAAATTAGCCGGGCGTGATGGCGGGCGCCTGTAGTCCCAGCTACTCGGGAGGCTGAGGCAGGAGAATGGCGTGAACCTGGGAGGCGGAGCTTGCAGTGAGCCGAGATCGCGCCACTGCACTCCAGCCTGGGCGACAGAGCAAGACTCCGTCTCAACAACGACAACAAAAAAAATAGTACTATACACATGCGTTCCAAGTGTTTAAAGGCCCATTCAATGTTTTAAATAAAAGCAATTTAAGGAATGGATAGAGAGTGCACTACTAAATATAGCAACATAATTACTTTCATGTAAATTATCTCCTCTACATAGTGTTAGAACAATGAGAACAAAAAAATGTTTATACTGACAAAATTTGAATAAGTAGAAGAGGTGGATTTGGTTCAGAATGTCCATAACTTCATCCATAGACAAAGAGTAGGGAGCCCCTTTAATTTCCTTTGCATTTGGGGAGTTTTCCATGGTGCATTCAGATCATGTGTCCCTGCGTGATCAGGTAAGAGAAGGCTAGAATTACTAATGATGAAAGGAGGCAGCACAAGAGCAAGATGCAAAACAGCTCTTCCTTTTCTCACCTCATCTGGATGGATCTGAATTTCAACCATCATTTTGTTCTCAAAGTGATGGTGGGTCCATTTTCCAAAAGCAGGTTAGAGACATTGCAAATTAAGTTCTACAGATTCTTTCTCTTAAGTGCCAAAGAAGAAATGTGATGTCATTATGCTGACTGGCTATTTCGTCCTGCCTATTTGTATGCACTTCTCAGATAATAAATTGAGGGCAGTTTAAATTAAACATCATTGGCCAGGTGTCGTGACTCACGCCTGTAATCCCAGCACCTTGGGAGGCCAAGGTGGGTGGATCATTTGAGGCCAGGAGTTCAAGTCCAGCCTGACCAACATGGTGAAACCCCATCTCTACTAAAAATACAAAAAGTTAACTGGGCGTGGTGACAAGCGCCTATAATCCCAGCTACTCGGGAGGCTGAGGCAGAAAAATTGTTGGAACCCAGGGAGTGGAGGTTGCAGTGAGCTGAGATCGTGCCACTGCACTCCAGCCTGGGCGACAGAGTGTGACTCTGTCTCAAAAATAAAAATTAACCATCATTCAGCAAGCATCAGCTATTGTCCAGGTATATGGAAATAATAAACCCAGAGGTCTTGTCCTTGAAATAATTTTTTAGAATAGAAAGTTGGAAAGCTGTGATTTAAAAAAAAAAAGTTTAATTATCAGAATAATGGGGTATTAAGGTTCAGGAGTAGAAGTGACTTCTAATACTGTGTTGTCTTTTAGGTAAATGCAGGGATTGACCCAGAGCCCTCAGTAGACTTCAATTTAATATTCTCTAGCATAAGTCAACATCTGGAAGTCAACACTGAGCACTGCACCTGAGAAGCTGAACAGGAGAGTTGTCAGGAGATCATGGGTCTCTGGCACGCAAACTAGGCCATTGGTTAGGCCATTGTTTTCCTTTACTGCAAGCTTCCAAAAGTCTCCAGAAAAGAAAAACTATGCCATTTTACGGAAAATTTGGGAAACAACAGCAGGATCAGCATTTCATTTCATTAATATAGATAGTACGGAGACCAAGTACAAACGCTCTTGTTTTTAACTCGAGTTCATAATTTATTTAGATTTCCTTAGTTTTTAACTATGTTCCAGTATCCCATTGATGTAGGATATTTTCTTGAACGCTTTATGGGACTCATGACAGGGATGCCCCATTTACTCAGTCCACCATGCTCCACCCCCGCCGAAGGGAGCACGTAGGTAATGGAGCGCAGGAACCAGCTGGCTGCTTTGGCAACAGCAGACGCAAACTCTGTGTAGGCCCTGCGGTGACGTCCGGGTGGGGGTGACCCTAAGGCCCCAGAGGTGTATTACAATGCTCTTTTAGCTCTGCCGTCCACAAACAGCAGAGTGTTATCAGCTCAGTAAGCCTTTTTCCTCATTGCGTGGGGTGGCTGTCCTCCACCAGCAAGGGCAAAGGGCCAGTGTGACAGCCTTTTTGAGTATCCGCATTTGGTGGTTCTGAATTCTTGTCTGGTGCCCAAGAAGAATGAGGTCATGTGGATGAATTGAAGGACGGTGAATGCAGAAAACTTTATTGAGTGATGAAAGCAGCTCTCAGTGGAAAGGGGAGCTGGAAAGCGGATGGGAAGTGCAGGTTGCTCTCTCCTGAAGTCAAGTTGTCTGTCTGCTTCTCTCCTCCAAAGTCAAATTGCCTCTCTCCAACATCCAGCCATTGTCCCTGAAGTCAAGTTGCCTCTCCTTGATGTCCAGCTGCTTCTCATCTCTACCAGCTGAGTTGCAGATCTTTGTAGGCACAGGATGTGGGGCAGGGCGTGGGGTGACTCATGCCTGTAATCCCAGGACTTTGGGAAGCTGAGGCAGGCAGATCACCTGAGGCCAGGAGTTCAAGTGCAGCCTGGCCAACATGGTGAAACCCTGTCTCTACTAAAAATACAAAAAATTAGCTAGATGTGGTGACGTGCACTTGTAGTCCCAGATACTCAGGAGGCTGAGGCAGGAGAATTGCTTGAATCCGGGAGGTAGAGGTTTCAGTGAACTGAGATTGTGACAATGCACTCCAGCCTTGGTGACAGAACAAGACTCCATCTCAAAAAAAAAAAAAAATTATTCAGAAAGAACCAATCAGGAGAGAGAGGGCAAACAGGGACAGAAGTTCTCACTTTGGCCCTTGGGCTTCAGGCTTTTCAGCTTGAAGGTGGGGCGAACCTGCCCATTTGCCTAGAGTTTCTCTCGCCTCTATCACCATAAAATATTCTTATACAATGAAAAGAATACAGGAATATAGAAAGAAGAAAAACTATTTTGTGTTGACTTACCTAGGAAAAGGTTAAAGGCAGCTTGGATGTATGCAGCACTCAATTGGCTGACCTTACTGGGAAAGGCTTAGTATAGCCTTTCACCTATTGCCTGCTGCCCTTTTGGGTCAGGTTCTTCCCTGGGGTGAAGAAGAGATGTACAGTGAGCAACAACACCCCAAACATGAAGTCACATTGCTCCAGGTCACCCAGAAACACAGTAACTCTGAGTTGACTACAAACACACTCTTGCTTCCTTAGGCCAGCCCATGGTGGTTAAGATTTGTTTGGTAGTGAAATCTCTCAGGCAGTATGACATCCTGGGCCTTGTCCCACACAGAGAGCAAAAGGAACTGTGAAATAGTGACAGTCTCATTAAGAGAATGGTGTTTTTTCAGTGGAACATCAGTCACCACTAAATAATTGTTATAAAGGAAATGTAGCTCCTACAATGGGGAAATTCTTTCAGGACCAGTCCAAAGGTGAGAGTATATTAGCAATAATCTAAAAATGAGAATGCAATTATGAAATAATCTCTCCCACCCCCAATCCCACCCTCCCACGTTCTAAATGTTTTCTTTCCCCCAAAAAAACTTCAGAACAGTGGTCCCCAACCTTTTTGGGAACAGGAACCAGTTTTTCAAAAGACAATTTTTCCACGGATGGGAAGGTGAGGGTGGAGGGTTGGGTTGGGGTTATCAGGCATTAGATACTCATGAGGAGCATGCAACCTAGATCCTTCACATTCACAGTTCACAATAGGATTCACACTCCTATGAGAATCTAATGCCGTGGCTGACCTGACTCGAGGCTGAGCTCAGGTAGTAATGCTACTACCTTCCCTTCACCTCCTGCTGTGAGGCACAGTACCAGTCTGCAGCCTGGGGGTTGGGGATCCCTGCATTAGAACATAGTCTAAATTAAGACAAACACACGAATAAAAGCAGCATCATACCACCACCTGCAAAGTCATTTTTCAACTACAAACCCACATCCCATTGAGCCCAAAATGCAGGGGGTGGGGGGTGCAGAGGAGATGAAATGGTTAAGAGCAGGAAGGGCAGATAATACCTAAACTTCTGATAGGAATGATGGTGCTTTCATTGAGATAGGAACTCTGGACGAAGACTAGGTTTGGATAAGAAAGACTATAATGAGAAAGAATCAGGAGAGAGAGAGAGAGAGAGAGAGAGAAACACCCTGAAAATAGAGAAATGGAAACAAATGATAAAACCACAACTGAGAGAAAACAGTAAGGAACTGATGAGTGCATATAGGTTGAATGGTTAATCCTAAAGAAAAAAGAACACTGATTCCTGTGCATTAGGAAACTCCTTACTCTAAGCTAGAAAACGCCTTCTTTTAAACTAAGGGACTAACATTTGTTGGTGGCTTTGCATGTAGCTAGCACTGTGCTTCAGCACTTTCTTGTACAGTTCACCCTTGAACAGCATGAGTTTGAACTTTGCAAGTCCACTTATACATGGATATTTTTTCTGCTTCTACCACCCCTGAGACAGCAAGACCAACCCCTCCTCTTCATTCTCCTCCTCACCCTACTCAGTGTGAAGATGGCAAGGGTAAAGAGCTTTATGATGATTCATTTCCACTTAATGAATAGTAAATATATTTTATCTTCCTTATGATTTTCTTAATGTTTGCTTTTCTCTAACCTACATCATTGTAAGAATACAGTATATAATACATATAACATACAGAATGTGTTAATCACCTGTTTATGTTGTAAGTAAGGATTCCAGTCAATAGCTGACTATTAGTAAATTTTGGGAGGAATCAAAAGTCATATGAGGATTTTTAACTGGGCAGGGAGTGACATCCCATCCCCCAAGTTGTTCAAGTGTCAACTGTACGTTCGGAAACTGTTTTAAAAAAAGAGCAGGTTATCAAATGATAGTTTTTATTTTCTATGTGTCTACAGAACAAGAACAGTGACTGATATTTTAAAAATAGAGAGTGAGATTAAGAAGATGGTTACACTTGGGAGTATGCTTTGGGGAAGGTGAAAGGAAAATGACTAGAGATAAATAAAAAGAATGCCAAGTGGTATTTAGTGTTCAAAGCTGGATATGCATGGGTCAATGTCTTAATTTTTTTTAGACTAACTAAATATCATGTTGACATATTCCAGGGTCTATAGCAATTAGAATGGAAGAAAATTGCTTTCTTTGTTCTTAAAATAATTTTATCCTTAAAAAGCTAAACTCAAGGCCAGGCGTGGTGGCTCATGCCTGTAATTCCAGCACTTTGGGGGACTAAGGCAGGCAGATCACGAGGTCAAGAGATCAAGACCATCATCCTGGCCAACACAGTGAAACCCCATCTCTATTAAAAATACAAAAATTTCATGGTGGCCTCATGCCTGTAATCCCAGCACTTTGGGAGGCCGAGGCGGGTAGATCACGAGGTCAAGAGACTGAGACCATCTTAGCCAACATGGTGAAACCTCGCCTCTACTAAAAATACAAAAAATTAGCTGAGCGTGGTGGTGGACACCTGTAGTCCCAGCTACTCAGGAGGCTGAGGCAGGAGAATCACTTGAACTCGGGAGGCGGAGGTTGCATTGAGCCGAGCTTGCACCACTGCACTCCAGCCTGATGACAGAGTGAGACTCCATCTCAATAAACAACAACAACAACAACAACAAAATTTAGCCGGGCGTGGTGGCGCATGCCTGTAGTCCCAGCTACTCGGGAGTCTGAGGCAGGAGAATTGCTTGAACCTGGGAGGCAGGGCTTGCAGTGAGCCGAGATCACGCCACTGCACTCCAGCCTGGCCACAGAGTGAGACTCTGTCTAAAAAAAAAAAAAAAAAAAAAAAAAAAAAATCTAAATTCAAAGAACCGAAAAAACAAAACAGAAGTAGCTAGCAAGCTTCTGAGTCATTGCTTGAAAGTATGGCAGATTCTGAAATAGGTATCCTTCTCAGGTCAATAGGTTAAAGACTAGTCTGTGTTAGATTGGTTCAGATACCCTGCAGTATTCCCAAGGATTTGATTCTAAAACTTAGCAATACCAGAAGATACAATTATTACACAACTCCATGAGCTCTGATAACTGAAGCGTTTTGTGAATCTCTGACAGGTAAGTTGCAAGTGAATAAAAGCAATGTAATCAGATTTCCTGAAAATGTTACATATTCCTGCAAAATTAGTTTTACAATAAGCACTCTTGTAATAGCCAATTGGGCAAATAGGCTTATTCAATTTAACAAACATTTACTAGGCACAACTGAGTGGGAAGCGCAATGCTAGACAAAGCATTACCCCCTACAGGGGCTAACCTTCATGGAGGGCTTACTATGCACCAAGTACTGTTCTAAGTTCTCCACAAGTGTCCGTCTCAATAAGTGCTTAAAACAACCTTATGAAATAGGTCTAATCCCAAGTGTACAGAAAAGGCAACTGAGGTGTGCTGGTCACTCTCTGCTTTTCTGAGGCTCAGGGCAGTGAAAGGCACACTTAGAGGAAGAGCAATCTGTCTCTCCTTGTTTATCCCACACTCACTGTAAAAGCTTTAGTAAGGAAAGGGAGCTCAGAAGTTGCCAGAGGAAAAAAGTGAACTCTTACATAAAGTCTAGATGTTGAGAAAATGGACCAATTCTTATTATTGTATCATATTAAATCATATCATATCATATCATATCAGATTATCTCTTTTTTTTGTTGTTTTGTTTTTTACTTCTTTTGAGACAATGTCTTGCTCTGTCACATAGGCTGGAGTGCAGTGATGTGAACACGGCTCATTGCAGCCTCAATCTCCCAGGCTCAAGCAATCCTCCTGCCTCAGTCTTCTGAGTAGCTGAGGCCACAGGTGTGCACCACCACAGCTGGCTATTTTTTGTTTGTTTTTTATTTTCTGTAGAGATGAGGTCTTGTCATGTTGCCCAAGCTTGTCTTGAACTCCTGGGCTCAAGCAGTCCTCCTGCCTTGGCCTCCCAAAGTGCTGGGATGAGAGGCATGAGTTACTGCACCTGGCCAAGATTATCTTGATTGTCATAAAGATATATTTAGAAGTGTCACAAGCAGCCTTGGAAAAAAAATTGTCTTGTTAACTATATTGGTTAATGGGTAACTGCTACACATAACGTAATCTTTGTTTTAACCTTAAATGTTTGACGGTAGTGTGAGTGCTTCTGATGAGGACATGGAAGTGAATGTGTAAAAAGCATGTGATCGGCCGGGCGCGGTAGCTCACACCTGTAATCCCAGCACTTTGGGAGGCCGAGGTGCGCGGATCACAAAGTCAGGAGATCGAGACCATCCTGGCTAACACGGCGAAACCCCGTCTCTACTAAAAATACAAAAAATTAGCCGGGCGTAGTGGCGGGCGCCTGTAGTCTCAGCTACCGGGAGGCTGAGGCAGGAGAATGGCGTGAACCCAGGAGGCGGAGCTTGCAAGTGAGCCAAGATGGCGCCACTGCACTCTTGGCCTGGGTGACAGAGGGAGACTCCGTCTCAAAAAAAAAAAAAAAAAAAAGCATGTGATCATCCACATTTTATCTCAGGCTCCTTAAAAAGAGGAAAAGGAACTTATGTCTACTAAAAATTATTGTGTGTGAATGTCCTACAAGAGTTCTAGGAGTTACTCTACTATCAAGATGTTTAGGAATTTGTCCATATTGAACAACATTCCTTCCTTAAAATGTCTGGCTATCATTCCATATCATTGTTGATTTCAGATTATTTAAACTCCATCAAAAACACGTCAGCTACCACTTGCAGCCTCAAGACTATACAGTTGTCCCTCAGTATCTATGTGGAATTGTACCAAAATCTGCACATGCTCTGTCCCTTGCACAGAATAACCTAGTATTTGCATATAACTTACACACATTCTCTCATATACTTTAAGTTATCTCTAGATCACTTATAATACTTAATACAATGCCTACACATCACCACATTCACGTGAATTCAACACAATGCTCGGCGGGTGGCAAATTCAACTTTTGCTTTTGGCAATTTTGTGGGTCTTTTTTTCCCCAACATTTTCAACCCGAGGTTGATTAAATCCATGGATGTGGAACCCAGGAATGTGGAGGACCAACTGCATACACAGATGTTACACCATTTTTAGAGAAAAGCTTGTACATTTTCAAAAAGTATTTGTGGTTAGTTTATTAACATTATTTAAATAATAACACAACCAGAGTTGATTTGCTGCCACTACCTTGGAAATATTTAAACATTATTAAAACTAAGCTACACATTCTAGTTTTATCTCTAAAATTAATGCTTTTAGGCTCAATTTATGCCTGTCAACAAGTAATGATCATAGATGTGAGCTGGCTCATAATCCAGAGGTACTAGGTTACAATGTGTTACCATGGAAACTGTGTTTTATTGCATTCTCTCTTCTTGATTTAAGGCATTTGACAATCATAGCAACTGTTTGCCAGTCTTCTCACATCATAAAAAATTCAAAACCACAAACAACCAATAGAAAAAAAAAAAGAAAAAAAGAAGGAATATCCTCTACTGTTCTCAGACCCCTCTAGAAACATAAAAAGGAAATGACAGCCTTATATTTAACACGAACCTTTTGTGAATAGTTTATCTCTTAGAAAGTCTAAATGTGTTGGAAAATTCAATCAGTGGTTAGTCATCGAATGGACCTGTCTGCCTATGGTTCATTTTGTTTATTGCATCATATATCTTTTATGATCACTGGGACTTTAGCCTGAAACAGCATTTTCTTTAACAAGGACCGTGTTTCCTTTAACGTTGTTTATTGCATCTGAAACATTACTCTTTGAAATCATGGTACATTTTCCATCGAGCAAAGGTCTGCAACCGAATCTTGCATGAATGTGTTTATTCAGGAGCTAGAGCAGAGGGGGAAAAAAAAAACCACCTTATCCAGTTCATGTAACATTAATCACTTTGCCAGTGTTCAGCTGAGGTCATTGCCACATTCCTAGCAGTATTAAGGCAAGTCAAGATTAATCACATACATTAAACCTTGGAAGGGGAGCACGTGAAAGGGATCTCAAATTAGACATGTCTTAAAAGACAGAGAAGGGACTGTAGCTAAATGGGTTTACCTTGCTGCAGTCTGTCTTGGATATAACTTGCTCGCTTTTACCACATGTAGTCATACAACTGCTATGAATCTGTAGGCCTTTTTCCTATTTCTGAAAGCTTATAAGTCAAATTTAAGGTCTTTCTGAGCATTCAAAATAAAGACTCATTCACCAAACATCTTTTAGTACATACTAAACACCAGGCACCTGCTAGGAGCTGTCCATGCCAAGATGAATGAGACATAGCCCTCCCTCTCTCTGCCTCCTCCAATAAGTGCATAACCCAACCAGGAGCACTAATACCACTAATACCATGTGCACTGGGAACATGATTTGGTGTGAGTACAGAAGGGAGAATGGCTGATTGTGATGGGAAATCAGAAAACACCGAAGTTAACTTCAGACAGGGAGAAAGATGAGAAAAGCAATCTAGACATAGGAAACAACATAAAGCCTTAGTGAGTGTTCATAGACTGATGAGTAATCTGTTGGGGCTGGGGCAGAAAGCAAGACTGTGTAGGAGAGTTGGAAGGCGTGGTAGAAGATGAGATTGTACAGTATCTTGGAGCCAGATTGCAAAAGTCTTTGAACATGTACTTTATTCTAAAAGGAATGAGAAAACTGTGAAGAATTTGAAGCAGAAAAGTTAGAATAATCAGATTGTATTGGAAAATGATTATTTGGGGCAAAGGCAGGTTGGATGGCAGATTAGTTGGTAAGAAACTAGAATCACTGTCTCCAAAGTGGAAGAGAGTACAAGTCATCCAGAAAAGCCGTGATAACAGCTTAAACCCATAGAGTGGAGAGAAACACTGTGGAGCCAGATATGACAGAACTAGTCAATAGAGTTCCGGAAGGGAGCCAGAGGGTGGACGGTGGAGCAAAAGGAATCTAAGAAGATGCCAAGGGATTTGGTTGTGTCAAATAAGCAGATGATAATGCCATGGACCAAGGCATGGAAGGTCATGGGAATGGTGATTTCTGTTAGGATGTTATGGCACTCATGAGTGACAACAGGGCTGGATACATTGATTTGGGGGTCATCAACTTATTCTTGATTGTTTAAGTCATAGAGGAAGATAAGACTATTACAGGCAAAAAAGTAGAAAAAGAAGGAGAGAGAGTCCAGGGAATATTTTATGGGAGAAAAACTATTTCCCATTTTTTTGTGATAGTTTTTACATTAAGAAAAACATTAGAGGCTTGAGGAATTTTTATGTTTTTTTTTTCTATTTACAAAGTAAACTTGAGACATAGAATAATAATTTCTTAAAGACAAAATTTGAGAATAAATATTAGATTGAAAATATTTTATATTGGTTGCTTATATATAATGCAATCTGTATTTAAGATGCTAGTGGGCTCATATTTATAGAGTAATGTTTCACATAAGAGGCTAACATTATTTTGAACCATTGCAGCTTTAAATGTTCATAATATGCATATTTAAATATGTGCTTATATTGTAGGTGACAGATTTATACACTTCCCATGTCAACCATCCTACACTTTCATTAAAGATTTGCTTATTTTTAAAAATACATTTTATGCTCCCATAAAAAGAGGAAATTAAATCGTAAAAATACACACAAAGTTAGTGTTTACAGTCTAACTACTACTGACGCAAGAACCATCTGAGTCAGTGTTGTCTTTCCCCAGTTGAGTGTGGAGAGAAGGCCCAGGTTAACAGCTTAGTCTCTGCTGATGGAGATTTGAATTGCAATGACTGAATTTTCACTTAAACCTAAATATAACAAATGTGAAGTACGAAAGTATGATCTTCTAATAGAGCAGAAGACTGAAATCATATTCATCCGTGCTTTGCCTCATCTTTGTTAATACTGAAAATTAAGAACTGTTAATCATCCAGTAGCAAGAAACCATTGGAAAAATAATAATTTTATGTTAAATTCAGAAGGAAGATTTATACTTTTCAATGAGTTTTCTGTGAACTCATACAATAATTCATTCATTCATAAGTACTCACCAAGCAGCCATAATGTGTCAGATGCTATGAGTGGATAGAAGTTGGTGACACAGGCTGGGCGTGGTGGCTCACGCCTGTAATCCCAGCACTTTGGGAGGCTGAGAAGGGCAGATCACGAGGTCAGGAGTTGGAGACCAGGCTGACCAACATGATGAAACCCCGTCTCTACTAAAAATACAAAAATTAGCCGGGCATGGTGGCGTGCGCCTATAATCCCAGCTACTTGGGAGGCTGAGGCAGGAGAATCGCTTGAACCCAGGAGGAGGAGGTTTCAGTGAGCTGAGATCGCGCCACTGCACTCCAACCTGGGTGACAGAGCAAGACTCTGTCTCAAAAACAAACAACAAACAAACAAACAAAAAAGAGAAGATGGTGACACAATCCTTGCACTCAAAGAGTGAATACTCTACTCTTTGGGAAAGGATAAGATAAATTCTTAGGTTGCCATTGTGATTGGCTGGACACACTGTGTTTTGCACAACTTCAGGGGGACCCATTTACATATAGATTACAATGTAGCCCCGAAGAGACTCTAACCCTGCCTTAAACCAATTGGCATACCCATCTCCCTGGCTACAGTGAAGAGCTCAGGGATGAATGTGTGACCCAATCAGAGCCAATGAGATGTGAAGAGATGTTTGCTGAGACTTTGGGAAAAAGAAGCTCCCTCACTCTTCCTGAGAGCTCCCAAAAGGAGCTCATGGTTAATGTGGTGTAAGGATGTGAAATCAGAAATTGCTTTGGGTGTTCTGCAACCAGAAGTCATGAGCTTGGAGTTGTTGAGGTCTGTCATGTGGAACCTGAAGAGAAAGGCAGAAACAAGGCAGGCAGAATGGAGGGAAGGAGCACTCAGCCCCTTAGCGACATCACTGGAACAGTAGGTCAAGTCTCCTCCAAAGTCAAAACTATTTTGGCTAGGCTCGGTGGCTCATGCCTGTAATCCCAGCACTTTGGGAGGCCAAGGCAGGCAATTGACGAGGTCAGGAGATTGAGACCATCCTGGCTAACACCGTGAAACCCCGTCTCCACTAAAAATGCAAAAAATTAGCCGGTTATGATGGCACGTGCCTGTAGTCCCAGCTACTGGGGATGCTGGAGGAGGAGAATCACTTAAACCTGGGAGGCAGAGGTTGCAGTGGGCCAAGATCGTGCCACTGCACTCCAGCCTGGGTGACAGAGCAAGACTCCATCTCAAAAAGAAAAACAACAACAACAACAACAACAACAAAAAACAAAATCAGAACTATTTCATGTGCATGAGCCCTTTTTTGCTTAAGCCAGACTGAGTGGAATTTCTTGTCAGAATTGTGAGAATGCTGACATAGTCACCAAATTAACACCTTCCCTGTATCTAATTTTTGAGCCCATTCAGGTATCTATTGGTCTACGTTCTTCCAGATGTACATTTCAGCTTAGGGTGAAATAGATTCAAGTGGAGTCAATGAGAGAATGGATAAGCTCATCTTTGAGAGCTTAACCTAAGCACAGAGGTAGAGCCAACTTTCTAATCCATCAATTCTCATTCAGCCTGATTCAGAGATGAAGACAAAGAAAATGGATATTAAAAAGAAGTATTTAACATTCAAAGCTAACCTCCCAAGCTGTCTTGACACTATCTTCCTAGAATTGGAGGCTTTTTGTTTTTAATGTCCTCAATAACACATAAGAAAGTGCTCAGCATTTGTGTGATCCTTAATAAAGATTTGCTTTAAAATTTTTGTTTTAATTGTAGTAAGATATACATAATATAAAATTTACCATTTTGACCATTTCTAAGTGTACCATTCAGTGGCATTAGTACATTCATAATTTTGTGCAACCATCCATCCATCTCCATTACTTTTTCATCATTTCAACCTGAAACTCTGTACCCACAAAACAGTAAACAGGCCAGGCGCGGTGGCTCACACCTGTAATCCCAGCACATTGGGAAGCTGAGGCAGGTGGATCACGAGGTCAGGAGTTCAAGACCAGCCTGGCCAAGATGGTGAAACCCTATCTCTACTAAAAATACAAAAAAATTTTCCAGGCGTGGTGGTGGGCGCCTGTAATCCCAGCTACTCGGGAGGCTGAGGCAGAGAATTGCTTGAACCCAGGAGGCAGAGGTTGCAGTGAGCCAAGATTGTGCCACTGCACTCCAGCCTGGGGGATAGATCGAGACTCTATCTCAAAAAAAATAAATACATAAAATAAAAATAAATAAATAAAATAAATAATAATTCCTCTTTCCCCCTCCCCTCAGCCTCTAGTAACCTCTATTTGCCATTCTGTCTCTAAGAATTTGCCTATTTTAGGTACCTCACATAGTGGAATTATACAATATTTGTTCTTTTATGTCTTATTTTACTTAGCATAATGTTTTCAAGGTTAATTCATGATGTAGCATTAAGACTCATTTTTAGGGCCAGATGTGGTGGCTCACACCAGTAATCCCAGCAGTTTAGGAGGCCGAGGCGGGTGGATCACCTGAGCTCAGCAGTTTGACACCAGCCTGGCCAACATGGCAAAACCCCATTTCTACTAAAAATACAAAAATTAGCTGGGTGTGGTGGCGTGCGCCTGTAATCCCAGCTACACAGGAGGCTGAGGCAAGAGAATTGCTTGAACCCAGGAGGCGGAAGTTGCAATGAGCCGAGGTTGCGCCACTGCACTCCAGCCTGGGTGGGAGAGCAAGACTCCATCTCAAAAAAAAAAAAAAAAAAAGATTCATTTTTAGCCAAGCGCAGTGGCTCATGCCTGTAATCCCAACACTTTGGGAGGCCAAGGTGGGCGGATCATTTGAGGTTGGGAGTTTGAGACCAGCCATAGCCAACATGGTGAAACCCTGTCTCTACTAAAAATACAAAAATTAGCCAGGCGTGGTGATGGGCACCTGTAATCCCAGCTACTCCAGAGGATGAACCAGGAGAATCACTTGAACCAGGGAAGCAGAGGTTGCCATGAGTTGAGATAGTGCCACTGCATTCCAGCCTGGGCAACAGAGCAAGTCTCCATCTCAAAAAAAAAAAAAAAGAAAAAAAAAGAAGATGGATTTTAAAACGTATTTGCCGCCCCCCACCCCAACCATGTTTAATTTCTGCTATTCAAAAAATAATAATGCCGGCCAGGCACGGTGGCTCACGCCTATAATCCTAGCATTTTAGGAGGCCGAGGCAGGAGGATCACCTGAGGTCAGGAGTTTGAGACCAGCCTGGCCAACATGGTTAAAACCCGTCTCTATTCAAAATACAAAAACTAGCTGGGCATGGTGGTGGATGCCTGTAATCCCAGCTACTTGGGAGGCTGAGGCAAGCTAATCACTTGAACCCCAGAGGCAGAGGTTGCAGTGAGCTGAGATCGCACCATTGCACTCCAGCCTGGGCAACAAGAGCAAAACTCTATCTCAAAAATAATAATAATATGTAAATATTGTTGTTGTTTTTAATTATAACATTATAACATGCTCAGGAGCTGTATTAGTCAGGGTTCTCTAGAGGGACAGAACTAATAGGATATATGTATGTAAAGGGAAGTTTATTTAGTAGTATTAACTCACATAATCACAAGGTCCCACAATAGGTTGTCTGCAAGCTGAGCAGCAAGGTAGCCAGTCCAAGTCCCAAAGCTAAAGAACTTGGAGTCTGATGTTTGAGGGCAAGAAGCTTCCAGCACGGGAGAAAGATGCAGCCTGGGAGGCTAGGCCAGTCTAGCCTTTTCACATTTTTCTGCCTGTTCTATATCCTGGCCGTGCTGGCAGCTGATTAGATGGTGCCCACCCAGATTAAGAGTGGGTCTGGCTTTCCCAGCCCACTGACTCAAATGTTAATCTCCTTTGGCAACACCCTCACAGACACACCCAGGATCAATACTTTGCATCCTTCAATCCAATCAAGTTGACACTCAGTATTAACTATCACAGGAGCTGACACATATTTAGAACCCCCAAGCGCCCAGATGATGTACTAAGCCCTTTAAAGACATTACATTATTTAATACTCAAATTTTAACAGTTACGTTATTGTCAAAGACCCCTCAAGCCTCAAGATCTTGTGACATTGTAACTAGGATACCATCCTAATTCTCTCCTATTCAGAGCTCGTGCTTTTCCCATTTCTCCGCATTGCAATGGTCCAGAGACTCCAAACCAGAGAATGATGTAATAGAAAACCTAGTTCTAGCTCTATTAATAGCTTTAAAATTTCCAAGATAATATACTTATCCTTCTAATTAGGCTTTGTTTGGAATAATATAAAAACTAGTTCACACTACATGCATCTACTTAAATATTTGGGAAAAGGCTACCTTCCAGAAACCTACAGAGTGATAGATCTGTTATCCTGGAAACTCAAGCTTTCTCTGTCCAAGACAGAGTTCACTACACACACAACACATAGAAACCCTGGTCCTGGCATGGTGGCTCACAACTGTAATCTCGGGACTTTGGGAGGCCGAGGTGGGCGGATCATGAGGTCAGGAGTTCGAGACCAGCCTGGCCAACATGGTGAAACCCCATCAATACTAAAAATATAAAAATTAGCCGGAGTGGTGGCGTGCACCTGGAATCCCAGCTACTCGGGAGGCTGAGGCAGGAGAATTGTTTGAACTCGGGAGGTGGAGGTTGCAGTGAGCCGAGATGGCACCACTGCACTTCAGCCTGGGCGACAGAGTGAGACTCTGTCTCAGAAAAATACAAAAATAAATAAATAAATAATAAACGAATGAAAAACAACCTGTGATTTTCAAGATGCTTATCATTATCACAGAGCTCAAGATTCTTCTGGCTCTTCCATGCAAGTATTCTAGCTACCCAAGAGAAATCTTGCCCAGCAATCCCTAGAGCAAAAGGACTAGGGCCACTTCCTAGCCCAAAGCCTGTGTTGTTGTTTGGAGGATTCATAAAAGAATGGGAAAAGGCTGCTGGCAAAGGTATTTTGTTTTCTAGAGGCACAGAAAAGTGAGTCAGAGATTTTTTTCCCCAAATCTAGGGCAAACCTATTTTTTGGCAGAGCATTTTAAAAGACATTGCTCAATTTCACAGACAAACAGCATTGCCACATACCCAGTTCTTCTGAGAACTGTTCCCCTGAGTTTGGATTTTCACTAAATGTGCAATTATACAATTTTCACCAACATATAGTTTAACTTTGCGGACAGTTCTTTGGGGACACGTTGGGGGAAGTAGTGTAGGTCCTGGCAAAATAACAGCCAGTGCAGTCAGCAGACTTGGTTGGATTTCCGGCTCCAGCACTTTACTTCCTATGAAATTGTGAGCAACTCTTCAAACCTCCCACTGGCAGTTATTTATTTGTTGCTGTGTAACAAAACAGCCCAAAATTTAGTAGGCTTAAGACAGTAATCATTTTGTTTTCTCATGATTGTGTGGGTCAGCTCATTGGACTAGGCTCCATGGGGCAGTTCTTCTGATCTCTCCTAAGGTCAGGTATGAGGATATAGTCAGACAGTGACTCAACTAGGGTATGCCTGATTGAAGATGGTCTCACGCACATGTCTGCCTGGGGCATCTCACTTCTCTTTCCCATAACCAGCAGCCTAGCTTGGGCGCATTCACACAATCATCTCAGGATGGCAACCACAAGCAAAAAAGCACAAACCCATCTACAAACACTTTTTAAACCGATGTTTGCATTACATTTGCTAATGTCCCATTGACCAAAGCAAGTCTCATGGCCAAGCCCAGATTCCAAGTGTGGAGAAAAACCTGGGCAACATGATGAAACCCCATCTCTACAAAACACACAAAATTTAGCTGGACAGGAAGACCACTTGAGCCCAAGAAGTCAAGGTTTCAGCGAGCCATGTGCATGTCACTGCACTCCAGCCTGGGTGAAAAAGTGAGACCCTTCTCAAAAAAACCCAAAACAAGCCAGGCGCAGTGGCTCACACCTGTGATCCCAGCACTTTGGGAGGCTGAGGCGGGCAGATCACAAGGTCAGGAGGTCGAGACCACCCTGGCCAATATGGTGAAACCCCATCCCTACTAAAAATACAAAAAGTAGCCGGGCGTGATGGCGGGTGCCTGTAGTCCCAGCCACTCAGGAGGTTGAGGCAGGAGAATCGCTTGAACCCGGGATGCAGAGGTTGCCGTGAGCCAAGATCATGCCATTGCACTCCAGCCTGGGCAACAAGAGTGAAACACATCTTAAAAAAAAATAAAAATAAATAAAAATAAAAAACCAAAACAACAAAAAAAAAAGGGTAGAGAAAGAAACTATCTCTTGATGAGAAGAAAGGCAAAGTCACATTGCAAAAAGGTGTGAACATAGGAATGGGAGGAATTATTGTAGCCATCTTGCAAACTACCTTCTTTATGAAATGGGGATAATAATACATGGAATTTAACATTGTTATGAACACTATAATTTCCTTCTCTTTGTTGGCTAGGTCACTAGGGCTTAGAAATGGTAAGGGTGTAAGATAAGGTAGACTCAATCTTATGACACAAGGTCTTGAATGCTCAGTTGAAGCAGCCATGGAGACTTAATGATACACCAGGTACCTGTTGAATGACATCACTGAATTTGATCAAGGAACTATTTCTACAGGTATATATAGAAAGTTTGGAGACCTGGAGTGGGGTAAATCAAGGATAACAAGAATTGCTGCAAAGAGGAAAATAGAAAGTAGTAGTAGGAAAAAATAATGGGGACAGTAGATAGAACAAAGGCCATGGTTACGGATGCAATCAGGGTAGAGTGAAGCAAAGTGGAGAATCAGCGGTAACCCTCTGTGTCTCTACCCTGGGTTCCTGAGACACTAGCGGTCCCGTTCACAGAGAAAGAAATGGGAGTAAGAGGTGCTTGTTAGGTGAGATAATGGGGCATGGTGTGGAGAGACCAAGGAGATTTCGAGACCTCAAAGTATTCCGTGTGTGAAGAAGAGTCCAACGTGTTGACATTTGAAAAGATTTTAGACTTTTTTGTAGCAAATCTTAAGCTTTACATTAAGTATAGGATTGTCTTATCAGGGCAATGATGTTTTATTGTATGAGATCCCTTTTCAAAGAGCAAATATTTTTTAAGTATGTGTGAAGTGATCATTTTGCCCCTGCAAGGTTTAAGATTTTTTTCATTATGGTGGAAGGTATTTATAAAATCTGTCCACCCATGTGTTTTTTTTTTTTATCTGACGTCAATTCCTTTCTATTCCCTTTTATCCATTGACTTTTCCCATGATTGTAATAACTGTATGGTTTGCAGTTTCTGTTTGTAGAGTGGCTAAAAATTGACCACCTCGAGCGTTGTCTCTTAGCAGCGCCACCATCAGCTCTCCCTGGGATCATGGCTCTGACCTTCCTCCTCGTCTCCCACCCCATCTCCTCAGACCATCTTGTCTTCCAATTCCTCAACAATTTATTCTCTACATAAAAGCCCAAATGATATTTTTAAAACATAGCTCTGATCTTATCATTTTCTTTTTAGGACTTTCCTCTTTTCCTCAGAATGAAATCTAAACTCATAAACATGGCCTAGAAGAGCCTAACTGATCTCACCCCTGCCCACATCTCTGACAGCCTTGCTCCCCTCACTTTCTGTACTTCAGTTACCTTGGCCCTCTTTCTCTTCCTCCAAGGCACCATGCTTATTCCTGCCTTGCTGTCTTTTCATATACTGTTTCTTCTGCAATAAATGCTTTGCACCCAGATTGTAGCAAAGTTGACATCTAGCCTGTCCAGCTTTAGCTCCAGTGCCCTATCCTTAGAAAGACATTCCTCAGCCTCTCTATTAAATGTTACCTGCCCTACTCTATTCCTGTACCTCTCTTGTCATCGTGTTTTATTCCTTTTTTGTTGTTGTTATTTTTTGAGAGAGAGTCTCACTCTGTTGCCCAGGCTGGAATGCAGCGGCGTGATCTCGGCTCACTGCAATCTCTGCCTCCCAGGTTCACACCATTCTCCTGCCTCAGCCTCCCAAGTAGCTGGGACTACAGGCGCCTGCCAGCACACCCAGATAATTTTTTTGTATTTTTAATAGAGATGGGGTTTCACTGTGTTAGCCAGGATGGTCTCGATCTCCTGACCTCGTGATCCGCCTACCTTGGCCTCCCAAAGTGCTGGGATTACAGGCGTGAGCCACTGCGCCCGGCCCATCGTGTTTTATTTATTCACAGCAATTATCACTATTTAAAATTATCAGTTTCATTTATTTTCTTATTTATAGTCTGTTTTCATCCAGTAAGTTTATAAGTACCACAAGACAGAATAAAGATTTTGGTCTTCCAGTCTGTGCTCAGCACATAGAACTATGTCTGGCTCAAGAAATGCTTGCCGCATGATTGAATGCAGTCAAAGTCATTTCAAAATTCCTGCTATAATATGGCTTTCAGACTTTTCACTGCACTCATGCCTGTGTAGATGCATGATGTCTTCTAGCCCCCAAAGTCCTCTAGTACTGTGCACAATCTTTCTGGTATATTTGATGATCATTAGAGAAGGATAGAAGTAACTCTTGATGTGATTACTTGACTTTCGTCGATGCAGCCTAAGGTGGAACTTCTTGGTTCATATAGAACTTATAGGCAACTAAAAGTCCTATTTTCACCTATAAATGACTCTTAATACAAATCTTAAGCTTATCCCATCCCCAAATTGTCATTAAAAATCATTTTTAAATACCATAAAATACATAATCTTTGTCCTCACTCAGATTTCTCTTCAGTTTCTGGCTCATCATTCAAATTTGTCGGAATTTTTCTGAATCCACATTATGTCACCAAACACATTTGCTTGCTTTCCCAGTTTTGTGCCAAATTCAAATTTGAAAAGCACATTTCCTCTGTCTTCAGCAAAGTAGATGATAAAATGTTGGACAGGGAAGTCCTGAAAGAGAGACATGCCACTATTGTACCGCTAAAAATCTCCCCCTGAGTTGAACCAGCCACTCTTACTCAACTCTCCTATTCCCCACTTTTCGTGTCTCTACCTTTTCTGAGGATGTCGTTGGCAATTTGTCATATGTCTTGTTGAAATCAAAATATTAAATATTAGGCTGAGGTGAGAGGATCTCTTGAGGCCAGGAGTTCGAGAGCAGCCTGGGATACATAGCAAGACCCAGTCTCTACAAAAAATGTAAAAATTAGCCAGACATGGGGTGCACTGCTATAGTCCTAGCTACTTGGGAGGCTGAGATGGTAGGAAAACTTGTGCCCAGGACTTTGAGGCTGCAGTAACCTATGACTGCGCCATTGCACTCCAGCCTGTGTAACAGAAAGAAAACTTGTCTCAATAAATAAATATCAAATATTTACAGAATTCCCTTTTCTACCTACCTATTTAACCAATCCTATTTCTAAAAATAAAAGGAAACTAGGTTTGTCATGACTTGTTTTCCTCTTCAGTTGACTGATCTGCAACTTTACCTACAACTTTATCTTACTTATTTTCACCAAGGGAAAATATTCTTGATTCAATCGATGTTACATCCTTCTATTAGGACTTCCTAAATTAACTCCTTGCATCTTGTTGCAGACTTTAGGCATTTCCACTCTTCAGTAATAACAGCCCCTCCTTCTTTCATCAGATCATAGCCCTCACAACTGTAGTATTGGTTCTTGTATTAGTCAGGGTTCTCCAGAGGGACAGAACTGATAGGATATACATATATAGGAGTTTATTAAGGAGAATTGGCTCACACGATCACAATGTAAAGTCCCATGATAAGCTGTCTGCAAGCTGGGGAAAAAAAGGAACCAATATTGGCTCAGTTCAAGTCCAAAACCCTCAAAAGCAGGGAAGCCCACAGTGCAGTCTTCAGTCTGTGGCCAAAGGCCTGAGAGTGCCTGGCAAACCACTGGTTTAAGTCTAAGAACACAAAGGCCGAAGAACCTGGAGCCTGATGACCAAGGGCAGGAGGAAAGGAAGGAAGCATGCAGCATGGGAAAAAGAGGAAAGCCAGAAGACTCAGCAAGCAAGGTTTCTTTTACCTGCTTTGTTCTAGCTATGCTGGCAGTGATTGGATGGTGCTCACCTACACTGAGGGTGGGTCTTCTTCTCCCAGTCCACTGACTCAAATGTCAATCTCCTCTGGCAACACCTTCACAAACACACCCAGAAACAGTACTTTACCAGCCATCTAGGCATCCTTCAATCCAATCAAGTTGACACCTAATATTAACCATCACAGTTCTCAAACCTGATTTGGCTTCAAAATCATCTGGAGGCCTTGTTAAAACCCAGATTTCTGCGTTTCATTCCCAGAGCTTCTCATTCAACAGTTCTGAGGTGGGAGCCAAAAATTTGCATTTCTAATAATTTCCCAGCTGATGTTGATGTTGCTGGTCTGGGGACCACAGTTTGAGAACCACCAACCTTAGTATGTCCCTTCTTTAAAATAAAACAGTCTGGGTGTGGTGGCTCATGCCTATAATCCCAGCACCTTGGGAGGCTGAGGTGGGTGGATCACCAGAAGTCAAGAGTTCGGGATTGGCCTGGCCAACGTGATGAAACTCTGTCTCTACTAAAAATACAAAAATTAGCCGGTGTGGTGGGAGGTGCCTATAATCCCAGCTACTCAGGAGGCTGAGGCAGGAGAATCATTTGAACCCAGGAGGCGGAGGTTGCAGTAAGCCGAGATCGGCCACCGCACTCCAGCCTGGGTGACAAGAGTGAGACTCCATCTTAAAAACAAAACACCAAAACTCTTCTCCGATTTTACAAAAGCACCTACAAAAATGTTGCCTCACTTCCCTCTTCCCCTTCATAGCCAAACTTACTCAGAGCATTGTCTAATTTCGTATTCCCTATTTTCTCATGTTCATCCCAACACCACCGAAACATCTTTAAGCAAGTTTACCAATGGTTTTCTTGTTGCTAAATTTAAAGATCACCTGTCTGACCTATTCTTACTCCATCTCTCTGGTACTTTTAAGAACTTCTTACTTAAAATGCTTTTCTAAGGCTGGACAAGATGGCTCATGCCTATAATCCCAGCACTTTGGGAGGCCAAGGCAGGAGGATCACTTGAGCCCAGGAATTTGAGGCCAGCCTGGGTAACACAGAGAGACCCAGTCTCTACAAAAAATAAAAAATTAGCCAGGCATGGTGGCACACGCCTGTGGTCCCAGCTATTTGGGAGGCTGAGGTGGGAGGATCACTTGAGCCAGGGAGGTTGAGGAAAAAAAAAAGTTTTTCTTCTTCTATTAGCTTCTGAAATACCATTTTTTTTAATGCTTTGCTTCCTAATTCACTGATTTTCTTTTATTCTCTTTCACTGGTCCCCCTACTCAACCCAAATTCTAAATGCTGAAGTGCTTTAGGGTTTGGTCCTAGGCTTTCTTCTCTATCTCATTGTTCCTCCAAATAATCTTTTTTTTATTTTTTATTTTTTATTTTTGATGGAATCTCACTCTGTTACCAAGCTGGAGTGCAGAGGCACAATCTCGGATCACTGCAAACTCCGCTTCCCAGGTTCAAGCGATTCTCCTGCCTCAGCCTCCCGAGTAGCTGGGACTACAGGTGCACGCCACCATGCCCAGCTAAATTTTTTGTATTTTTAGTAAAGACGAGGTTTCACCATGTTCGCCAGGATGGTCTCGATCTCTTGACCTCATGATCTGCCTGCTTCGGCCTCCCAAAGTGCTGGGATTACAGGTGTGAGCCACCACACCCGGCCTTCTCTAGATAATCTAGTTCCCTGTGGCTTTAAATACCACACCTCTTACATTTATACCTGTTAGCCAAGACCTCCCTTGCAAACTTTAGACATAATTCCAAGTGGAGATCCAACTACCTATTTGACATTCCACTTGGATGCCTCTTGAGAGTCTCAAATTTAAATCTTAATTTTCCATCTTAAACCCAGTTATCTCTCAATTATCCCTGTGGTAGGCAGAATAACGTCCCTCCCAAGGATGTCCACATGCCAATACCCGGAACCGATGAATGTATTACCTTACATGGCAAAAGGGACATTGCAGTTACGATTGAGAACTTTGAGATGAGGAGATTATTCTAGATTATCTGAATAGAGCTAACGTCATCACAAGAGTCCTTAAAAGTGGAATGAAGAAGCCTGACAGAGAAGGAGCTGTGACAATGGGAAACAGAGCCAGAAAGATAGCAGCATGATTATCAAGGTGAGCCCAATCTAATCCTCAAAAGCAAAAAACATTTCCCAGTTGTGGTCCGAAGGAGATGTGATAACAGAAGGAAGCTCAAAGAGATTACATGCAAGAGCCACCTTTGTTGGCTCTGAAGATGGAGGAAGAAGGCTATGAGTTTAAAAATGCTGCTAGTCTCTAAAAGCTGGGATTGACAAGGAAACAGATCCTCCCCTAGAACCTCCAGAAAGAAACAGTCCTGCTGATGCTTGGATTTTAGCCCAGTGAGACTCAGGTCAGACTTCTGACCTATAGAACTGCAAGATATTGAATTTGTATTGTCCTGAGCTGCTAAATTTATGGTATTTTGTTACATCAGTAATAGAAAACTAATACAACCCCCCATCTCTGGAAGTGACACCAAAATCTACCCAGCTGCCCAGGCCAAAACCTTATGTGTAGTTTGTGATGCTTCCTTTTTAATTACCTTTTACCCACTCAATCCATTAACAGGTTCTGATGGGCCTGCCTCCAAAATAGAACTTGAATCTGTCCATTCCTCTCCCTCTTCACTGCCAGCATCCTGGTCCAGGCCATCATCATCTTGCTTCTGCACAACCACAGTAGCCTGATAGTCTATGTCTACAATGGCCACCCTCCAATTAATTCTTCATGAGTTAGCAACAGTGATCTTTTAAAAAGTGCATGTCACTTTTCTGCTTTAAACTCTGTAATATCTCATCAAGTTGTATACAATAAATATGTACAGCTTTTTGTATGTCAAAAAAACCCTCTAATAATATCTTCTCATCACAATTAGAATAAAATTCAAGTTTCTGAACATGTCCTACATAACCTGGTATCTGCTTACCTCTCTGACTTCACTTTATACATTTAACTCACTTTGTTTACTATTATTGAACTCCTTTCTTTTCCCGTAACAAGAAGAACTTATGCTTTGTATATGTTATTCTCTCCCCCAGTAATTTCCCATGTATGGCTTCTTTTTTATGTCCGAATTCAACTATCATTTCCTTAGAAAGGCTTTCAGTGACTTCCCTAGCTAATCTGCCCCAGACCACCAACTTAGTCATTACTTCTCACATAAGCATTTATAATGATCATATTTGTTTGATTTGGTTTTTTCACTTTGTTCCTCCAACCAGAAGGTAAGCTCCATGAGGCTTTCTTAGCTGATTCAACATTACTCCCCCCGTGCCTACCACAGTGCCTGACACATTGTCAGTAGTAAATATATATGCTCCTTGAAGTCATAATGAAGATTGAGTGAGTGAGTGAATGAGAGTGATGAGATCATGGTTTTTTTCACTTAGGTGAAATGCACATAACATAAAATTAACAATTTTAAAGTGAAGAACCAGTGGCATTCAGTACATTCACAATGTTCAATTACCATCTCTATCTAGTTCCAAAACATTTTCATCACTCCAAAATAAAACCTCATACCCATTAAGCAGTTACATCCCATTCTCTCCTCCCCTTAGTCTCTGACAACAACCAATCTGCTTTCTGTGTCTATGGATTTACCTATTCTGAATACTTCGTATCATTGAATCATATGATATATGACCTTTTCTCTCTGGCTTCTTTTACTTAGCATAATGTTTCTGAGGTTCATCCACATTGCAGCATATATCAGTGTTTTGTTCCTTATTGTAGTTGAATAATATTCCATTATATGGACATACTTAAATTTGTTTAGCCATTTGTCCCTCCATTTGTGCCTCCATTTTAGCCATTTGTCTGTGATGGACATGGGTTGTTTCCACCTTTTGGCTATTGTGAATACTGCTGCTACAAACATTGTATGTTTCCTTTTAACAGGTCCCAAACCCCATTTTGGAATTTGGGGTATGGGCAGTGATTTCTAGAGTATAAACTCACTCAGTTTTTGCGTGTTTCTTATTTGTTAGCATATCTCTCATACCCAAGGATTTCTCAGAGTCATTGAGAGTAGCTTTGTGATCATATCTGCTTAATTATCACAGAATTCTCAGCTAAGTTGTTTACTCTGTGGATTCATAGAGCAGGTCCCAAACTCAATAGGGCTGGAGACGGAACTAGGGGTAGGCAGGAAGAGATTAAGGGGAAGGGTGGTACGTGTAGTTAAAATTATAACTTTTTAAAAAAATGCATATTGCAAGATAATCATTTTACTCATTCTGTGATGAACTCTGTTTTCGTAAGAAATGTCAGAAGCTGTCAATTCTTACTGAATTATGCACTTGGAGTCCCTTGGTGGTATGTTCAATGCTATCTCCAGTGTTAGAAAGTTTTAATCTGCAATTAGATATATTATTAAGCCATTAAAATATCATTGCATTTTAATGATTTGAATCTATGAAAATATGTAAATTAGTAATGGCTTATTAAACTTTACAATTTCTGGTTATTGTAAAAAAAATCTGTACATTATAAGATGTTGAGGGGGGAGCCTTTTGTGTATTTTATTACATTATTCTTCAGTGAAGATGACAAGAATAAAAATGCCCATGCAATTGCTAATTTTTAAAAATAAGTACATTAGCTATTATGAACTGAAAGTATTTCCATGAAAGCCAAGTGCAAACAGTTGTTTAGGTCTAAGCACTTTATCTCAATCCCTGGCACTCTATTTTGTGCTTTGGAAAGCTCTACTCAATTCAGAACATAAATTTAGAAAAGGTTTCCTCCCTGAAACCCTCTGAAAGCCTGTAGTTATGGTGGTTACTTAAATTATTATTTCCATAGCTACGCTGGCTTCTAGCCACAGCTCAAATGCATATCAACAAGCTTGGTGTGAAAATGGAAAGGGAGGGAAAAAAAAAAAAAAAAAAGAAGAGACAGGACACTAATTTTTCTTCTTCAGAGTAGGAGGTATAATGTCTTTATAAAGTAATAATTAAAAGAAAAACAATTACTGGAACCTTATCTGGACCATGCAGCTGTACTTCCTCCTTTTACATTAGCAGTGTTTCTAAGGTTATGACAAACCATGAAAATTGCATCTTTAGGGGAGTTTTATTCCTTTTCCTATGATTTGATTGAAACAGACAGCTACATTTTGTGTATATATAATTAGGCAGTAAAATAGGCTTTGAAGGCAGGTTTCCATTTAGTATGTGAGTCACACACACAACAGTCTTTCATTCAACAGCCAAAGACTGATCTTTTTAATGCTTCAACTCACTCAACATGTTTTTTGAATGCTACATCTTGCACTGAGGGGAAAAAAAGAAAAGAAAAAAAATCAGCTTTTAGCCCATATTTCTTTCTTTTCTTTTTTTTTTTTTTTATCTTCTTTCCAAAGAAAAAACAATCTGAAAAACCAATCTGGGAAGTCTTTGGTGATTTAACCTTATGACAAACTGATTTTTATCGTCTTTTTTCCAGATTGTCGTTCGGGGCACCAGTGAATGCTGCACCAGTTCTTGGCGTATCTAATCCCTCTCATAAAAGGCCATTGTGGCAGGAAAACTGAGACCAATGGCTTTTTCATTCTCCACCTCTCAGCTCTCCAAAATAATGGCACTGGGTCTAAGAAGGGGGAGTGAGAGGGAGAAGAAATAAAATCCCATTTTCTCAATGCTGTGCCCATATGTGGCACTAAGTGATTTTTTTTTTCTGAACTTAAATTAGGAAGAGCTTTAACATGGTGCAGTTATTTAAGATGCAGCCTGTTTTTAGGAAAGAGATTGCCCTCTGAGATTTTGTGAATACAATGAGAACAACCCTGGGTGTATTTTTTTTTTCCTGTAACAGAAATCAAGTCTATCAACTGTGCATCATCATGCCTTATCTGATTACAAAGAAGTCGCCTATTAATCTCTATGCTTTCATCTCACTATATAGCATTTGCTATCTTCTGTCTCATTCTGGCAAACCCAAAGATGGAGAGAAATAATATCAAGCTACTTGATTGATTTATGCAAGTGATAGTTTGTGTTTGTAGAATGCCTTTCATCTGAAGACCTCAAAGGGCCTTATGAACATTATCACATTGACAGGGCCCAGCTCCAACATAAAGGGCACAGAAGGGCCATAGTCATGTAAATCCAAATTTCTAGAGTGATTAGTACCCTGGTAACCAAAAGAGATAAACTAGATTCTCATTTTTTATGTGAATTTGATGTCCATGCAGGAATTTCAATTTTCAATTCAGGCCCCATCACTGAAAAAACCACTCAGTATTCAATTTACTTCCTGGGAAGTCCCCCTGGGAAGTCTACTCCCCAAGATAAAGGGCTTTACATGACAGGCAGGTGTATATATTTCTTCAATTGGCCTAATCTAATAAAGCTGGACATGATTTATATGTGCAAAATGTTGCCATGTTAAATAATTCAGAATGAAACTGCCTTTCTGGTTGTGCTACAAATAGATGTCAATCTGCATTTGATGGTGCCTCTATCCCACAGGGATTTTGAACCAACTGAAAGAAAATACATTTCTTGTGCTGGTTCTAAGAAAAAACACTTGGGACAGCTCTCCCAACTGAAGCCTGGGTAATTTTGGCCCAAACTAAATGACATCTTTCAAAGTAGACTATCCTTGCTGGTTCTGTTTTTGTAAAAGAAGCACCTTCCACAGAAGAGTGTGGTATCCATCCAGGTTTCCATGTCAATCTGATACAAAGACCTCTCTTTATAAGAGAGATACATATGCACATAATCAGTGCCCAAAGGTTGAATAATCTCCTTACAGGTCCCTCTTTTTGCTGACTTTGTTAAGACTCTTCTTCACATTTCTCTTCCCTTCCTACCTCACAACTTCTCTCCCCATCCCCGATCTTATTCTCCCAAACTTGATTCTTAATGATTTTTTTCATGAAAACAATATTATGAGTCAAATTTTTACCATAGCTGATATCAAATGAAGTCGTAAGATTTGCATTCATCACTTCCATATTAATCAGAGAGACACAATAGGAGCTGTCAGTTTGCAAAAACAAGGTCTCTGCACTTCCATAGCATTATGTGTCTCAACTTCAACAGTGGTTTGCATTTACATGATAAAGCATAAGAGGCACTATTTTCCAAATGGGGTCTCTTTGCTTATGAAAATGAAATGGCAACATTATGAAAATGATCCAGCCAATATTGGGAGTTTCTTGATGATAACTTCAGAATGCCAGTTTATATTATCAATTCGTTAGCCTAATTTTATGGATGGATATGATAAAACATGGAAATTTTACATCCTGTGCCTTTCCTTGTGAACTAACCAGACCACAGCAGCCAGTTATTTCATCAGTCTTCAAAAGCTCACTGGGATCCCAGGGTTGTGTTACCCTGAAAGAGAATGCAGCAAATGGCCAATGAAGAAGTGCAAAATGACAAGTGCACTTTACTCCTGTGGGTCCCTCCGTCACACAGAACCAAGACATGGTTTTTCTGGGGCTAGTCCTATTTCATATGGACAATGCTTATTTAATATTCCCACTAATGCAAGTATATTTTTTGAGGCTTATTTTAAACCCAATTCAGAGGAATATTCTACAGTTACGAAAGGAAGACCCTCATGGATTTTTAACGAAGTGGTGGGAGGGCAGTTAGAGGGTTAAAATTCTTCCTGCTCCCATCACATTCCCTCATATCATAATTTTCTATCTTCTTTACAGCATTTATTACCATCTAAAATTATTATATGTTATTACCTGTTTACATATTATTTCTCAACTTCACTAGAATATAAACTTCATGAAAGCAGGAACTTTAGCATCCCTGGTTCCTAGAGCAAAGCCTGGCACACGGTAGATTTTCAATAAATATTTGTTGAAAGAATTAATGAATGGGTCTCAGTTATTCTAAACACATACATCAACATTTGATAGACTTCTGATTCTATAATTTTGTAAATATTTAACTAGTATACAAATGACCTGATTATTTTGATTGCAGTTTGGTATAAACGTCAATCCACTGGAATTAATTGCAAGCCGATGTCCAATGACTCTCTACTGCCACTTTATCACATCCGCATTACAAAGAAAACTAAGACAAATGATGGCCCAGAATTAGTGCAAGATGATAACTTACAAGCTAAGCATAATTTTGAAACAAGAGTTGGATGTAGGTTCTGGATATTATATTCAAACGCTTTGATAGCTTTTGGGAGCCATACACTGCACCCTTAACAACAAGCCTATGGATCAAAGACTGGTCTTGCCAAATCCGGTATATGTCTTCTCTTTTTTCCTATTTTGGAGTTCATAGACCATAGTAGTAAAGAATGTGGATTTTAGACTTATGCAGGTTAATTAAGCTCCAACTCTCCCATTATGCCTCCATTTCCTCCTCCCTAAAATGGGATAACAGTTTCTATCTTCTTTTTTAAAATATATTTTAAGAACAAAATGATGAGGCCAGGCACAGTGGCTCATGCCTGTAATCTTAGCACTTTGGGAGGCCGAGGCCAGAGGATCACTTGAGGTCAGGAGTTTGAGACCAGCATGGCCAACATGGTGAAACCCCAACTTTACTAAAAATACAAAATTAGCCGGGCATGGTGGTGGACACCTGTAATCCCAGCTACTTGGGAGGATGAGATAGGAGAATCACTTGAACTCAGGATGTGCAGGTTGCAGTGAGCCAACATTGTGCCACTGCACTCCACCCTGGGTGACAGAGTGAGACTCATTAGAATTAGTATCATGATTCTCTTGTTGCCCTTGTTCCCAAACCTATTTTGGCTAGCCTGTCCTAACTTCTGGTATTTACTTTTTGTGCCTACATTGTCTTCAGCTCAAGGTCTCCCTTCAGATACTTTATTCTTTCCTTTAGAATTTAATTGACCCATTTCTACCTTTTTACAGGAGTGGATCATTCAACCAACTTGTCTTTACACCTGGCTATCCATAAGCTTCATTTTATCTCCCAGCCCAGCCATGCCAGCATTGTCCATCTTGTCCTACTTTGGAATCCCAGATTCTTAATCTAGCTACCACTTTGAGTGAGTCTCTCACTTTGGGCTTGAAAAATGGTTTCAAAGATAGCTCTGATTATCCAGAATATTAGATTAATCTTGCCAGTATCTTTGATGTGTGACCTTTGACAAGGAACAAGCAAGCTGAGTTTCCATGTTTTCGTCTACAAAATTACGGGAGTTTGGGTTAGAATATTCTCTAAGGTCTTTTCCAATTAAAAATATTTGGTTCTGGCTGCAAGTGGTAGCTCATGCCTGTAATCCCAACATTTTGGGAGGCTGAGGAGGGCAGGTCACTTGTGTCCAAGAGTTCGAGACCAGCCTGGGCAATATGGCAAAACCCCATCTCTACTAAAAATACAAAAAAATAGCCCAGTGTGGTGATGCACACCTGTAGTCTTAGCTACTCAGGAGGCTGAAGTGGGAGTTCCACCTGAGCCCAGGAAGTAGAGGCTGCAGTGAACTGTGATCATGCCACTGCACTCCAGCCTGAGTAACAGGAGTGAGACCCTGTATCAAAGAAAGAAAGAAAGAAAGAAAGAAAGAAAGAAAGAAAGAAAGAAAGAAAGAAAGAAAGAAAGAAAGAAAGGAGGGAGGGAGGGAGGGAGGGAGGGAGGGAGGGAGGGAGGGAGGGAGGGAAGGAAGGAAGGAAGGAAGGAAGGAAGGAAAGAAGGAAGGAAGGAAGGAAAGAAAGAGAGAAAGGAAGGAAGGATATAGTTCTAATGATGAAAACTTTTATTTACTTTCATACTTCCTCAGGTTAAATTTTAAAAATAACCACTGTAGCAAAGCATTCAACTTCACTATTATTTTATCAAATGCTAGACTAACTGATCTAGATTGCACATTTGCTATTACACCTTTATCTCAGCATCTCCTAAAGCTATCAGTGTCTAATATATCATTTTCTAACATACTCTTAGCCTCATCTGTATACAACTGTTTTTATCCCTCTGTCAATTCATACTGGTAATAAAATTTGGGGGTATAATATTAGCAATTTATTATGTCTGTTTGTATAATCCACAGCCGTCAAGATGGAGTATCATCCAACTACATGTTTATTTGATAGTTTCACTAGACAACATAAAAAATGAAAATGCATTGCATTTGTGGATGGCTTTTTGTCTTAAAAGCACATTCACACATTAACTTGTATGACCCTCACAACAAATGAATGAGATAAGTAGGGCAAGCCTTATTGTCCCAATTTATAACAAGAAAAACTAGGGCACAGCAGAAAACTGAAGTGGCTTGCCCTAGGCACCACCGTTGATTAGTGACAACTAGGACAAGAACCCAGGATTCTAACTCTGAATCCAGGGTTATTTCCATGGTTCCTGTCCCCATTCTCAGCCAGCTCACTCACTCCACTAGGTGCCGATCACCAAATTCTTCACTGCTGTAAGAGATCTCTTACCCATTGACCACATTGCTTTGTTTGGGGAGAATAGTCAAATAATTTGTTATATAAAAATAAAAATAGAAAAGTATATATATGTGTTTATATTCTTATGAAAAGATATACAGGTAGGTGTTTGCAGTTCAGAGTTTCAGATGTGGTGTGTTGCTGAAGATAAAAATCCTGGCCAGGGTGGTGGCTCATACCTGTAATCCCAGGACTTTGGGAGGCCAAGGCGGGTAGATTGCTTGAGCTCAGGAGTTTGAGACTAGCCTAGGCAACATGGCTAAAACCCGTCTCTACTAAAAATACAAAAAAAAACATTTAGCCGGGCATGATGACACATGCCTGTGGTCCCAACTACTCGGGAGGCTGAGATGGAAGGATCACTTGAACCTGGGAGGTGAAGGTTGCATTGAGCCAAGATCACGCCACTGCACTCCCTCCTGGGTGACAGAGTGAGACTCTGTATCCAAAAAATAAAAAAAGAAAAAAGAAAAAAAATTCTTGTTATGCTTGGCTTTAGTGCCCTACTACCTTCATCAACATGGGCCCTGGTGAGGAAACCATCTGATAGTCAGTTAAAAATAACAAGCAAACTCCAAGATTCTAGTGGAAAAAGAAAAGCATTCCTCTTTCTGGGAAGTGGTGGTTACCATTTGAACTGTAACGTTCCTGCTATTTACCACTCTGAATACTATTAGACTGATGTTTACTCTTGCTGATTTACACTCACCTTCCTAATTTTATTACTGTAACATCATGGGCATTGGCATTAATCTCTTTCAATGTCAGGCCGAGTGCGGTAGCTCACCCCTGTAATCCCAGCATTTTGGGAGGCTGAGGCGGGAGGATCTCCTGAGGTCGGGAGTTCAAAACCAACCTGACCAACATGGGAAAACCCCATCTCTACTAAAAATACAAAAAATTTTCCCAATGTGGTGGCACATGCCTGTAATCCTAGCTATTCGGGAGGCTGAAGCAGGAGAATCGCTTGAACCTGGGAGGCGGAGGTTGCGGTGAACTGAGATCATGAGATCATGCCATTGCACTCCAGCCTGGGCAACAAGAGTGAAACTCTATCTCAAAAAAAAAATATATATATATATATATGTGTGTATATATATATGTATATATATGTGTGTATATATATATGTATATATATGTGTGTATATATATATGTATATATATATATATATTTCAATGTCAAAGAGCCTAGAAGTTTTAAATGTTTGCCCTTTCTTCAGTCTTCTATCACTGACCTCTTTCACAGTAGTATCCATGAACCCATGTATCATAGTGATTGTCCTTCCATTTATTTTGATTTGCAAATTTTGTAAAATAGATTTCATTTGTATATTGCTCAGTCTACTACATGTCTAGTCACAGCTAAGCCCTTTGCAAGAAACATAAAAGAAGTCAAAAATGCAATACTGTCTCTCTGCTTGAAGTCTTGAAAGACAAGATACATTTAAGAAGGCACTTGGTTATGCACTGAATGTTTGTGTCTCCCCCAAATTCATATGTTGATGCCCTAACTTCCAACGTGGCTGTATTTAGAGTTGAAGCCTCTAAGGAAGTAATTGAGGGTGAATGAGATCATATGCATAGGGCCTTGATCCAATAGCATTGGTGTCCTATAAGAAGAGACATCAGAGAGCCCTCTGCCTCTCTCTCTTTTCACCACATAAAGACACAGGGAGAATGGAGCTGTTTGCAAGCCAGGAAGAAAATGCTCACCAGTAACCAACCATCCCAGATCTTGATCTGAGACTATTAGCCTCCAGAATTGTGAAAAAAACAAATTTCTGTTGCTTAAGTCTCCCAATGTATCTCGTTTGTTATGCTAGCCCAAGATAACTTTTTTTTTTTGGTGGAGTTTTCTTTCTTTTTTTTTTTTAATTATTATACTTTAAGTTTTAGGGTACATGTGCACAACGTGCAGGTTTGTAACATATGAATACATGTGCCATGTTGGTGTGCTGCACCTGTTAACTTGTCATTTAGCATTAGGTATATCTCCTAATGCTCTCTCTCCCCCATCCCCCGACCCCACAACTGTCCCCGGTTGTGATGTTCCCCTTCCAGTGTCCATGTGTTCTCATTGTTCAATTCCCACCTATGAGTGAGAACATGCGGTGTTTGGTTTTTTGTCCTTGTGATAGTTTGCTGAGAATGATGGTTTCCAGCTTCATCCATGTACCTACAAAGGACATGAACTCACCATTTTTTATGGCTGCATAGTATTCCATGGTGTATGTGTGCCACATTTTCTTAATCCAGTCTATCATTGTTGGACAATTGGGTTGGTTCCAAGTCTTTGCTATTGTGAATAGTGCCAGCTAACTTTTATAGCTTAGAGAAAAAATATATGACAACCCATGGAGAACTAACTAGATCGTGTAGTGTACAGTGCAAAAAAAAAAAAAAAAAAAAAAAACAAATAAGAGAAGTAAAAAATGATTTGGGGTAGTAGTCCCCAGCATAAAAACTATGGTGGGCTTGATTTACTTTTTAGCCTTGAAAGAACTGTATGATTTAGATTGCAAAAACCAGTGAAACAAATGGTGAATTACAGGTATAGTCACATGACCCTGGTTTTGGGAAGATAACATGAAGAAAAAAGAGGAGGCCTTGGACTCATATAGACTTGCATTCAAATTCAAGCTTGGTGTCTTTCTAGCCACAATAATAGTATTACTATTACAGGCCAGGCACAGTAGCTCACGCCTGGAATCCCAGAACTTTGGGAGGCTGAGGGCGGGTGGATTCCTTGAGCCCAGGTGTTCGAGACCAGCCTTGGCAACATGGTGAAACCTTGTCTCTACCAAAAATACAAAAATTAGCCAGTTTCATAACCTGGTCTCAAAATAAATAAATAAATACATTTAAAAAATAATATTACTATTACATTGCAAAAACCACAATTACTTTTGTACCAACCTGATATTTATCATTTGAAAGCATATTTTGTGCCAGGTACAATTTTAGAAGCATGAGTTCATTGAATCTTTCAAACAACCTTGTTACTCAGTGCCTGACACACAGTAGGAACTCAATAAACGTTTGTAAATGATTGAGTACTAGAGTATGGTTCTCATTATTTTCTATGAGGAACACAAAGCTCAGGGAAGTTATATGACTGGCACAAGGCCACAGAGCTAACAAAGAACAGAGCTAGGATTTGAACAAAATCTAATTTAAAAATGGGGATAACACTTTTCTTGGATGGTGTATGGGTTAAGCAAAATACTGTGGCTAAAGATTTAGTACAATGCCTGGCACACAGAGAGTGCTTAAATAAATATTAGAACAAAACATCTCACATCAGGTAAACTGATATGAGACGAATAAGGAACAAAAAGGAAAGCAGTAGTACAACTATTTTTAGATTTCCAACAGTTTAAGGCAATGTGTTTAGAGTTGACAGAACCTCAAATGACCCACGGAAAGCAAATATTTAATGTGATGTTTGCTTTCATGCTCAGCCATGGCCACTGTTACTTAGTTTTTTCTGCCTAATAATTTTAATCCTAAGCATAAGAGAGACAACTAAATGACTTTTCCTGGAATAGTCTTCATTTTTCATACTGAATAGTTTAATAATATTTTCTGTTATGATATAAGATGTTATTTGATACCCCGATACATATAACACCTTAATAACTATTTGAGATGTTGAATTAAACCATAAGCTTTTTCAAAACAACCTAAATATTCATCACTTGGAGAACTGATATAGTAAATTACAGTATTTCCATCTCAATGATATCATGCAGCCATAAAAAGAATGAGCTCATTTATATGTACTGATCTGGGAAGATGTTTATCATATAGTCTTAAGTGAAAAAGTAATTGCAGAAAAAGCTGTAATAGAGAAATTCTAGTTTTTGCAAGAAAAAAACTGCATATCATGTATACACTTATAGATGCATGGAAACAAAATATGCAAGGGAATATAGTAAATCACAGAGAAACATTTCTACTGGATAAGAGAGTATGGTTAGAAGGAGATTTGGAAGGAAACTTATTCTTTTTTGCTTTATATACACCTGAATAATGCATTTATTAGTAGTAATATTTTTACTTTATGAGACAAACATAATTATTTTTACGTATTTCTTCAATTTAAAACCCAATAGGGATTACATCAAGATAATGGCCTCAGTATGCCTATATAGTTTTTTCAACAACCCAAGCTCCACTGAAATGACAGAAAATAGCCTTTAAGACTGCTACAAAGAAACTTCGGTTACCATAAGAGCCCCATATTGGCCAGGCGCGGTGGCTCACGCCTGTAATCCCAGCACTTTGGGAGACCGAGGCGGGTGGATCACCTGAGGTCGGGAGTTCGAGATTAGCCTGGCTAACATGGTGAAGCCCTGTCTCTACTAAATACACAAAATTAGCTGAGTGTGGTGGCGTATGCCTGTAATCCCAGCTACTCGGGAGGCTGAGGCAGAAGAATCGCTTGAACCCAGGAGGCAGAGGTTGCAGTGAGCCGAGATCGCGCCACTGCACTCCAGCCTCGGCAACGGAGTGAGACTCTGTCTCCAGAAAAAAAAAAAAAAAAAAAAAAAAAGTGCTATAAGGCAACATGGGTTACCATAAGAGCACCATATTATCTTGAGAAATTCCTGAAAGAGGAAAAACCAGTAGAGAAAAACACAAACAGAAGAAAGCTACCACAAATGTGGTATCAGTAATACCAACAATAACCTAACATATAGGAAGTGCAATACAGGATCCACAGTAATCGTCCAAGTACCAAAGAACCACATTTGAAAGAGCTACACTAGTAGGGTCCAACTCCTTGCTCCTTTGCCACATCAATTGAACAGCAGGAAGCAAAGGCTTTTTGCCTCCAGATTATTGCTCTAACTTCTTTCCAAACAAAATAAGACAGCCTCTAGTTTGTGAGTTCAAGTCGGAGAGGAGCCCTAGGTAACGCAAGGCCTACCAAAGGGCCTGGGTGTGGGGAATATATTCACATTGTATGCAGCTGCCTTCCTTTCCTTTTGCATAGCATTTGTTACTAGGATAAAACCTTGAACAGGCATTTCTTTTTTTAAAAAAAAAATGTATTTCCACAAGTTATTGGGGAACAGGTGGTGTGTGGTTACATGAGTAAGTTCTTTAGCGGTGATTTGTGAGAGTTTGGTGCACCCATCATTCGAGCAGTATACACTGAACCCAATTTGTAGTCTTTTATCCCTCACACCCTTCCCACCTTTTCCCCCGAGTATCCAAAGTCCACTGTGTCCTTCTTCTTTTTGAGACGAAGTTTCACTCTGCCCCTAAGGCTGGAGTGCAATGGCATGATCTCAGCTCACTGCAACCTCTTCCTCTCGGGTTCAAGCGATTCTCCAGCCTCAGCCTCCTGAGTAGCTGGGATTGCAGACATCCACCATCACACCTGGCTAATTTTTGTATTTTTAGTAGAGACAGGGTTTCGCCATGTTGGCCAGACTGGTCTCGAACTCCTGACCTCAGGTGATCTGCCCGCCTCGGCTCCCAAACTGCTGGGATTACAGGTGTGAGCCACCATGGCCAGCCCGTCTCTACTGACTCTTTTCTCTCGGCATGTTAAGAAAGTCAGCCGGGCGAGGTGGCTCACGCCTATAATCCCAGCACTTTGGGAGGTTGAGGTGGGCGGATCACTAGGTCAAGAGATTGAGACCATCCTAGCCAACATGATAAAACCCCCTCTCTACTAAAAATACAAAAATTAGCCGGGCATGGTGACGTGCGCCTGTAATCCCAGCTACTCAGGAGGCTGAGGCAGGAGAATCGCTTGAACCCGGGAGGCAGAGTTTTCAGTGAGCTGAGATTGCGCCACTACACTCCAGACTGGGCGACAGAGCAAGACTCTGTCTCAAAAAAAAAAAAAAAAAAAGAATGTTGAAGGCTGTTTCATAGTAGGTAAACAACAACAAAAGCCTTTTCCCAGACTCTTTTTCTAAAAATGATGCTCTCTCTTTGCTTTCAACCAACAAGCTTCTAGGAGTAGACTTCATTTGATCTACTTGTTCCTGCCTATTTCAGTCCCAAACCCATTGTAGTGAAAGGGTTATTGCTACCATTTCACTGACATTGCTCCTTTTAAGATCACCCATGACTTCTCCAAAAAAACCAATGGAGGCTTTTCCATCCGAAACTTACTTGATTTCCCTGATGCATTTGGAATTGTTGGTCACTCTCTCTTCAGAGCTGTACCTTCCCTAGCTTTAGAAAATCTCTCTTCTCGGCCGGGCGCCGTGGCTCATGCCTGTAATCCCAGCACTTTGGGAGGCTGAAGTGGGCAGATCACTGGGTCAGGAGATCGAGACCAGCCTGGTCAACATGGTGAAACCCCGTCTGTAATAAAAATACAAAAAATTAGCTGGGCGTGGTGACGGGCGCCTGTAGTCCCAGCTACTAAGGAGGCTGAGGCAGAAGAATCACTTGAACCTGGGAGACGGAGGTTGCAGTGAGCCAAGCTTGAGTCACTGCACTCCATCCTAGGCGACAGAGCTAGACTTCTTCTCAAAAAAAAAAAAAGAAAAAGAAAAACAAAAAAAGAAAGAAAAGAAAATCTCTCTTCTCTCTCATTCAAGACCTTTTATTTTTTGCCCCATATTTAGATTATTATTTATTTATTTATTTATCCAGAATATCTTCCTTGACAACTTAGATGTTGTTGTTCTCTAGGGATCCCATTTTTGACTCTATGTTCCGTTTCTTGACATTAACTTTTGTTTCATTCAACATGTTTTGATTCATAAGGACCTGTCTCTCAACAGGTTTTCATTCATAAAGACCTCTCTCTGCCTTCATTAGTTTATTTAATTTGGCTGTAAAATATTCTTGCAGAATTTGCACTTTCTAATTTGAGGATTTCTAAATTCCGAGTTGTCTTAATACATGTTTATTGTTATCTTTTGTCCAGTGAATATACTCATTGGCTTCAGTATATGTCAATACATCCTGAGCTGCTTGTGATTCATTACTGCCCCTTACATTTTTGGGGAATCCATTCTCTCTACTATTTACACATATAGAAGTTCAATATAAATTCATTAATTTAACAAATGTTTTGAGCATTACAATTTTCAAGAACTTGCCCAGGCATATATGATATGATATGATCCATTACTATCTCCTGGAACTTTTCTGTCTTTTCTTTTTATATACATCAGTAAAAAACTGAAAGTGATAAGAGATTCAAGAATTTTCCATAGTCCCTACTAGGGGTAGGCCATTGTCCTCTGATAAACTGAAACGCTCCTCTAAAGGGGGTAAAGGCAGCTGTGTAATCCAGTCTGGATGAGAGCACAGTTTGACATACATTACAAAAGATTGCCCTTCGTTAGGGTGACATAGCACAGAGCCAGGGCACTCAGCCTGGTGAGCAGAGCATGGCCTGATGTCAGCGTCCATTGTTCCCTCAACAGAACACCGTTGTGCCAGTTCATAATGACCCTATCTACAATAAGACTTCAGCCTACAGCCTGACCAGCATTCCTTCCCTTTAAGACCCCTAAGATCTAGCCATGCTGGACAACACTGGGGCCCCATTCTTTCTTGCCACTACATGTATGGTCATTATATTTCCTCTGCTTGGAAATACAATCTCCATTCTAATGTGGTTTAACAATTTAACCTACTTTGTTTCTAGAATCTATACTGACTCCTTAGATAAAGTTAGCTTTTCCTTTTCCCCCAAAGCAATGCTTTTTCTACTTATTATCATAAATCACATTCTTTTCATAGTTGGGTGTCTTATCTCCTCTAGGAAACTCAAAGCCTCTCAAGGGCAGAGATGATGTCTTTTCTTTTTCATATCTTCTTTGAACCTTGCATAACACAATAGAGGATTTTTGAGTTACTACATGGATAGCTCAAACTTAATTACAGGAAATGAGTTGATATTTGTAAAATGCTTAGTATAGTGCCTTGCACTGAGTAAGTGCTATACAGGTGTTTCTTAAAAATGAAAGGATGATAGAAGATGAGTTTGAATTTGGAAGGACCATTGTTATTATAATTAATGAAAACTGGGTCTATAATTTATTAATAGACTCAGAGATACTTCCCTCTTTATCACTAGACTTTTACTAATGTGGAACCATGGATAGAGACATTGCTTTCTTTTTATATTCTGTTCCTTTTTCTAATTACATATCATTTCTCTTACAGTGATAGTTAAATCTCATTATATTTAATGATTTATCCATTTCCTGCTATAACAGTTTTATCAGTGACTCCTTGTGTTATAATCTCATTATTTCACAAAATTATATCCTATTTGTTAAGAATAGTAACTGTTACCACGATTTTATCTTTTTCAATGCCCTTTTTAATGTCGATGTCTTAGACCTCTTTGTGAAAAGATTAAACATTTTTCTCTTCATTTAGTCTAATTCTGTTCAATTTTGCTTATATTATATAGCGTCTTTCACTGTATGCTGCTATTTTATTTAAAGAATTTAATTCTGGATAGGCATGGTGGCTCCTCCTTGTAATTCCAGTGCTTTGGGAGGCCAAGGCAGGAGGATTGCTTAAGTCCAGGAGTTCAAGACCAGCCTTGTCAGCAAAGCAAGATCCCCATCTCTACAAAAATGAAAATTAAAAAATTAGCCAGGTGTGGTGGCATGCACCTGTAGTCCCAGCTACTCAGGAGGCTGAGGCGGAAGAATGGCTTAGGCCCAGGATTTCAAGGCTGCAGTGAGCTATGATCATGCCACTGCACTCCAGCTGTGGCGACAGAGCAAGAGCCTGCCTTAGAAAAAAAAAAAAGAATTTAATTCTGTGTCTGAATTGTGTGTTTCATTTTTACAACTCTATTTCTTTGAATAAGACAGAAAACATGTACTGAAGAAATCTAAACTACCAAATTTTTTCTTTATTTTAAAGAAAATGAATGAGCCAGATGTGGTGACTCATGCCTGCAAATCCCAGCACTTTGGGAGGCCCAGGCGGGCGGATCACAAGGTCAGGAGTTTGAGACCAGCCTGACCGACATGGTGAAACCCTGTCTCTACTAAAAATACAAAAATTAGCTGGGCATGGTGGCACACACCTGTAATCCCAGCTACTCAGAAGGCTGAGGCAGGAGGATTGCTTGAACTCGGGAGGCGGAGGTTGCAGTGAGCTGAGATTCCGCCATGGCACTCCAGCTTGGGTGAAAGAGCGAAACTCTGTCTCAAAAAAAAAAAAAAAAGTTTGTGCAAGGAAGTTATAAACTGTTCAACTGAGTCTCCTAGACACATGTTGAAAATATAAATAGCGGCTAGGCGCGGTGGCCTACGCCTGTAATCCCAGTACTTTGGGAGGCTGAGATGGGTGGATCACTTGAGGTCAGGAGTTCGTGACCAGCCTGGCCAACATAGTGAAACCTCTTCTCTACTAAAAATACAAAAATTAACCATGCGTAGCAGTGCATGCCTGTAATCCCAGCTACTTGGGATACTGAGGCAGGAGAATCGCTTGAACCCAGGAGGCGGAGGTGGCAGTGAGCCGAGATAGCGCCATTGCACTCCAGCCTGGGTGACAGAGCCAGACTCCGTCTCAAGAAAAAAAGAAAATATAAATAGCACGTTACAGATTTTCAACGTATATGGCCTTGCAAGTAAATTGGACTCAAAACAAACAAACAAAAACCTGTGTAAACAAAGGGTAGGCTACAGGTGTAATCTGCTGCTTGTTTGTATATACAGTAAAGTCATTTTACCCTGTTGGATTAATGCAAAAACTGTTCTAAATCCAAGGGATAAATTGTGTTTCTGAATAGCTCCTTCCTTCTCCAAGGCACGGTAGCTTTTTGTTTGTTTGTTTGTTTGAGACAGGGTCTTGCTCTTTTGCCCAGATTGGAGTACAGTGGCATAGCTCACCGTAATGAGCCTTGAACTCCTGGGCTCAAGTGATCCTCCTGCCTCAGTCTCTCAAGTAGCTGGGACTACAGGCATGTGTCACCACATTCACCTAATTTTTGAAATTTTTTGTAGAGACACGGTCTTGTTATATTGCCCAGTCTGGTCTCGAACTCCTGGCCTCAAGCAATCCTCTCGCCTTGGCCCCCCAAAGTGTTGGGATTATAGGAATGAGCCTTTCAACTGGCCCCAGTTTTTAACATAGAAATTTTCAAAAGTGTGTGTGCGTATGTAAGCGCATGTATTACATAAAGAATATTATGATCCCAGGGGGGCACGGTGGCTCACGCCTGTAATCCCAGCACTTTGGGAGGCCGAGGCGGGCGGATCACGAGGTCAGGAGATTAAGACCATCCTGGCCAACACGGTGAAACCCCATCTCTACTAAAAAATACAAAAAAAAACAAACAAAAAAAAAAAACAAAAAGCTGGGCGTGGTGGCGGGTGCCTGTAGTCCCAGCTACTCAGGAGGCTGAGGCAGGAGAATGGCGTGAACTCGGGAGGCAGAGCTTACAGTGAGCCGAGATCGTACCTCTGCACTCCAGCCTGGGCGACAGAGCAAGACTCCGTTCCAAAAAAAAAAAAAAAAAACAAAAACAAAAACAAAAACGAATATTATGATCCCTATCAACAAACCACCAGTCCCAATAATGGCCAGCTTTATGTCATTTTTTAACCTCACTCTGCCACCTATTGTGGTAAGACTTTTCCTTGGTTCAGCTAACAACAGGGTCCTTTTCCGTCCCACGGCCATGAAAATTTAGGTTCCCAGATGGTTTGAAGGGTGAGTGAAGCAGGGTTTTATTGGGTGAAAAGGAAGAAAAGGGGGAAACAAGGACTCTGGCAGATAGAGTGCTGCTCACCAGCAGCTTGGATCCCAGGTTCCACACAGGAAAAGGTAAGGCAAGGTTCCTCCCTGCTGCAAATGTCCTGAACTTCACGTTGGTGAGGCTCCATCTCATTGGGCAGGCTGGTTGGAGTTTCTCCAGGGACCCCCTCCCACCTGGCTGCCTCACTATTATGGGAATATTTCTTAAATGTTTAAAATTTTTCTCAGATCCAAAGATGTGACCAAAAACTTTTTTTTTCAATTAAGTGATAAGAAGAAAATTGATTTTTAAAAAATATCCTGAGTATAAGGACCAGAAGTGATACAATTTCTCGCAGAATTTGCATGTATCTGATCAAATGTGCCATATCTTCAGTTTGGCATAGAGTTGTTCTATGTTGGAAAAAAGTTAGCACATTGCTTGTTAACTGCATTTCTTTCAGGAAAAGAAGTCCTTGGTCACCTGTTAATGTTCCTGCACTCAACAAAAAGAATGGCAATGTTGTCTGGAGTTTTGTTCTTTTATAATAGTCCTGGTGCAGTGGTTAAGCATACAGGCTTCCTATATTAAATCTTGGCTGGACCAAGATTTGGCTGGAAAATTTAGACAAATTACATGATTTCTGTGTCTCAGTTTCCTCATTCTGATGCTAATACTACTTATTTCACTTGCCTGCTATGAAGATTAAATAAATTAATACATATAAATAATTAAGAAGACTTTTTGGAACATAGTAAATCACACATGTATTTCCTACTATTATTCACTTGAATTACAAACCTATTTCAGGCTGGGCGTGGTGGCTCATGCTTATAATCCCAGCATTTTGGGAGGCCGAGGCAAGAGGATCCCTTGAGCCCAGCAGTTTGAGACCAGCCTGGGCAACATAGGAGACACCCTTCTTTACAAATATAAAGAAACTAGCTGGCTGTGGTGGTGCATGCCTGTGGTCCCAGCTACTCAGGAGGCTGAGGTAGGATTGCTTGAGCCCAGGAGGTTGAGGCTGCAGTGAGCTTCGATCATGCCTCTGCAATCCAGCCTGGGTGACAGAGTGAGATTCTGTCTCCAAAAATACAAAACAAAACAAAACAAAACAAAAAACCCCGACAACAACAACAACAACAACAAGCTTGAAAGAGTTGTGCATCCTTAATACACTATAGGAGTGTTAACTTCCTTTTTTTTTTTTTTTGAGACAGAGTCTCGCTTTGTTGTCCAGACTGGAGTTCTGGAGTGCAGTGGCATGATCTTGGCTCACTGCAACCTCTGCCTCCCAGGTTCAAGTGATTCCCCTGCCTCAGACTCCTGAGTAGCTGGGATTACAGGCAGCTGCCATAATGCCCAGCTAATTTTTGTATTTTTAGTAGAGACGGGGTTTCACCGTGTTGGCCAGGCTGGTCTCGAACTCCTAACCCCAAGCGATCCACCTGCCTCGGCCTCCCAAACTGCTGGGATTACAGGCGTATGCCACAGCACCCGGCCAAGAGTGTTAATGTTTAAAACATCTTTTAAAATTACAAATAAAAGGCAATGTTTTAATTATGAAAAAATACATTGTCTCCTTTACCTGAAAGATTACTTTTCAGTATTAAAGGTTTTTTAATTTAATGTTTTGACTTGTAAATATCTCAATAAAATTCTTTTTGGGAGACATTATGTTTAGAATTATAAAAATTAAAGCATATGTTTGTTCATTTAACTTTCATGGGACCCCTCTAAAATCCAAAGACACATCATTAAAACCCAAATAAACAGAAAACATTAAAATATGGTTAGAAAACATGTTCTCGTATATTCAACTCTATTCTTAACAGATCATTACATTTTAAAGGTGTTTGCAAGAAAATACAAGGTGCTTCCTTAAATGATTTTAAGAATCTTAAAAAAGAGGACAGAAGGACAGAAAGGAAAAGAAAGGAAAATAAAAGATGATTAAAATATTCATAGTAGAAAAAGGTCCACAGAGCAGTCTGGCAGGCAATGCATGTGATGAGCTGTAGAAACCTTAAACATCCTGGACCAGAAGTCAGCCAATCAGGGGGCTGAGAACCACATTTCCATAATGATGATTGGCTGGTGGACTGGAGGCACCGCTGAGCTGTGAGGAAGGGGAGGAAAGGCTCTGCTGAGAAAATAGCAAAACAACTTTCTGGCTTTCTGTTGTTTATTGCATATTCTCCAAATGATTGTAGTGATTCATTCTTTAGGAAAGCTTGTTTTGAAAACAAAAGAGGCACAGTTGTTCACAACAAAAGTGATATTCAACAGCCAAAGGAGCCGAGTATAACGGAACTCTTTTATTCTTCTTTAAAATAAACTTTGGTCTCCTGATTTCATCTAACCAAATATGTTAAGACTTCCCAGGTGATGCATAAGGGTTGGATTTAAATATTAAAATTAGGCAGGGGTTACTGTTTCTGATAAGTATCACTGCTTTGTTCTTCTGTCAGCTTTAGAAAATGTGCACAAATAGAATATATTTTTATAAAATGTGAAAAAAATCCTTAAATTCTAGCATCAAAAGTATATTTAGTGCTTTCACACTTGAGGGAATTATGCCACTCTCCAAAAAGAAACTAATTTAGGCATTTTGTTTTCCTGCAGTCATATATGTGTGAAAGTTGGAGATACATGTATCAATGTGTTTGGTATTGCTCTCAATTTTTACACATATGTAAAAATCTACTGTCATGAAGTCATAAGGATTTTAAAAATGACAAAAGAAGAAGCAGAGAAATGGAGGCAAAGGAGAAAGATGGAGTGGAACGTAATGGCTGGATCCTGCTGCCTCTTGATCTTCCTGTGCTTGATCGTATTGCATTTTGTTGTAATTGTTTTGAATTCAAATAGAGCAGTGACAACATTTCACCTACAAGTTTTTAAATTTAGTTTTACAAACACTGTATCTACGGGCCATCTATCTGGAAATGAGAATAACTCTATAATGCAGATTAAGCAGAAGTATTTTGCAGTCTCTCCCAGTGACTATTCCTTGGCTAGCTAACAGACCAGCCATTCAGAAGCAATTTTCTTCAGGCTGAAATTATGTGCTGACCTTAGCAGATCACTTCCCATAATAACCCTTCCCCCACCCAATGCTAAATACAATCTGTCTCCTACTCACTGTAATAACGTGCAAATGACTGTAATTTTACAGACAAGAAACAGCCGAAAGTGAAACGTGTCTAAACAGAGGTCGATTTGAAAAATCAGGGCTATTACCTAAATCTGTAAAATACATATTGTAATAAAACCAGCAACAGAAATCTCCAATAAGTAGTTCTTTTTTTTTTTTTTTTTTTTAATGTAGCTTGTGTTTTGATCTTCTTTATGCAGCCAGTCTCTGCTGGCATAAAAGAAAAATCCTTTTCCAGAAATGGTTTCATTACACGAGATGTAAATTGCCTTACTTTGCTAACTGATCCTCAGACCTTGCTTGAGCACCCACTCAGATATAGCTGCACACACCACACCACAAAAGCCCGAGCCAAGCGGAGGTACAATTTCAGATACTTAACACTGACCTACATTGCACTTCTCTTAATGAGAGCAGTATACAAATGTTTTCCTTTAAAGATCACATTGTTTTGCCATATTTTGCTAGGTTCTCTAGAGCTGCAAGGCATAAAAAAGACAATTTGCTGCTTTTTATTTTGATTATTTTAAGATGGAGGATTAGAGACTATATGAGGAATTACATAAACATAGAGGGTTTATAAGTATATAAAGTTCTTCAACTTTATATTGCTTTACTAATTAAATGCATTGTAGTCTTAAATAAATTCACGTAATATTTGCTCTATATCATCGCAACTTGTTTAAGGTAAACTGTATTGTAAAGACATGTCAAGACAGTTATTACTTTCCCTCCCTTGGGTGGAGGGTCTTTTTGTTATACTCTAAGGAATTTAAACTGAAGGTGAATTAATAGGGCATAGAAGTATCTTGAAAAGTTAACATAGCAGAGTAATACGATGTGTGTAAATAGTCGTATTTACAAAATGTATATTGGAAATGTCCCACAGTCTTTCATGGCAGGGAGAACATTGTTGATGTTTTTCTTCTCTGAGACCCTTCATGCTCCCCAAAAGGACCTGAAATGTTATGGTGTGCAGGGGCCCTTCTTTCCACGGTAGACAAGGCTCTTAGTGCTTTGTCTTGTTCCAGTGATATTTCAGGATAATGCAAAACGTCAAATGTTTGACCAAGAACAACACTGCTCGTCTCCTTTTGGCAACAGTTATCCAGAAATGGATATTTTTGTTTTTTTAAAAAGACAGGGTCCGGCTCTGTTGCCCAGGCTAGAGTGCAGTGGCGTGATTATGGCTCACTGCAGCCTCGACCTCCTGGGCTCAGGTGATCCTTTTGCCTCAGCCTCCTGAGTAGCTGGCATTATAGACCACCTTGCCTGACTAGTTTTTTTGATTTTATATAGAGACGGGGTCACCCTATGTTGCCCAGGCTGGTCTTGCACTTCTGGGCTCAAGGCATCTTCTCACCCCAGCCTCTAAAAGTGTTGAGATTACATGCATGAGTCACCACATCCAGCCTGGGAAATGGATATTGTTTAAAGTACTACCCAGAAACTTAAATTGGATTTAGCATGCAGGTGTGAAAAAGTAGAGACAGTGTTTTTTCTAGAGGACCTTTAGCAAGTCAGGATGTTACCTGTAGGGAAAAAAAGCAAAGACCTTCTTGTGTTTGTGTGGGTGTTTAATAAGTCATCAACTGTATTCCCTAGAAACCAGGGCAGGACACCTGCCCACTGCCTTGAGGCCATCCTGTTGATAAGCAAACCCAGAGAGATAAGAATCTTTCTCCATAATCCTCTGGGATAGCCAGTAAGTTTCTCATTATGTCTAAATTAAGTTCTTTTTCCTATAAATTAACCCCATTTCCATGTTGGTTTCATTTTTTATAACTTTGTTTTCCACTTTTTCCCTTGATCCTGAGTAGATCTCAAGTGTCAATGTTGGCATAAATATAGAAAAGGTAGGCCTAGGAATAGACTCCCTTACAAATACACAAAAACTGGAGAAATAGATATATATTTAGACATGTTCTCATTCTGTTGCCCAGACTGGAGTATAGCAGTATGATCATAGCTTACTGCAGCCTCCAACTCCTGGCCGTTAATGATCCTCCCACCTCAGCCTCCAGAGTAGCTAGGACATAGGCATGTGCCACCACGCCTGGCTAACTTTTTAAAAATTTTTTGTAGCCGAGCACGGTGGCTCACACCTGTAATCCCAGCACTTTGGGTGGCTGAGGCGGGAGGATCACGAGGTCAGGAATTTGAGATCAGCCTGACCAACATGGTGAAACCCCGTCTCTACTAAAATACAAAAATTAGCCAAGCGTGGTGGCGCACACCTGTAATCTCATGTACTCAGGAGGCTGAGGCAGAAGAATCCCTTGAACCCGGCAGGTGGAGGTTGTAGTGAGCTGAGATGGTGCCACAGCATTCCAGCCTGGGCGACAGAGTGAGACTGACTCAAAAAGAAAAAAAAAAAGAAAAAAAAATTTTATAGAGACAGGGTCTCGCTATGCTGAGCAGGCTGGTCTTGAATTCCTGGTTTCAAGCGATCCTCCAGCCTCAGCTTCCCAAAGTGCTGGGATTACAAGCATGAGTCACTGGGCCTAGCCCAAGAAATAATCTTTGATCTTTAATAATATACCCTAAATCAGAGGAAATAGGCACCAAAGAAAGATCACCATGTTTTCCTGTGTTACTGCTAGAAGCCCCTGGCCTCCTCAGCATTGAGATCGTCTGTCTTTAAAAAAGGAGGAAAGGGACCTTTTGATGACCTTAACAATGATGTAGTACAAGCAGGGGCAGAGCTGATCTTGAGATCCAAGGAGCGGGTAGTGGAGGTTGTTGGAGGGGGATGATACTGTTTTGTTTGTTTGTTTGTTTGTTTGTTTTTGAGATGGAGTTTTGCTCTTGTTGCCCAGGCTGCAGTTCAATGGCGCGATCTCGGCTTGCTGCAACCTCTGCCTCCTAGGTTCAAGCAATTCTCCTGCCTCAGCCTCCCGAGTAGCTGGGATTACAGGCATGCACCACCACGCCTGGCTAATTTTGTATTTTTAGTAGAGATGGCGGTTTCTCCATGTTGGTCAGGCGAGTCTCAAACTCCCGACCTCAGGTGATCCGCCCACGTCGGCCTCCAAAGAGCTGGATGATACTTTTTAAATGCCCCTTTTACACTATCCTCATGCTCCTTCCACCCCTCTGTTCCAAATACTCATTTCCTGACATCTCCTCCTTTCTACCACATCTCTGAGTAGACACTAAGGTGTAAAATTACATAGTGCTTATATTATACAGTAGTGTATTGATATTATGAAGTATATGCATGTGGATATTAGAATGGTGACAAATAGGTTCCTAGTTACCTTGATGAGAGATTAAGATAACATTTTCATCTCTATAAATACAGAAAACTTCCCAATTTTGTGAGAGGAGTAGCTCTGATTTTCAAAACTGGTAGTTAATTGTCTTAGTTTCAGTCATCAATTAGCTGATGGTCCTCTGATGCCTTTTGATTGGCCCCTTTGTCAAACAAAACAAAACAAAACAAACACAAGAAAAGCCAGTCTGACAACACTGGTTTATTCAAAAGTCTCCTGGAAGAACCTGGGAGGAAGGAGGTGGGGGTGGGGTGTAAATGGAGTGTGGAGATGTTGGAATGGAAGGAAATACTTTAATTTATCAAAATGGTTTGGGTTAAATATGTGGTAGAGTCGGGCCTAAGCCTTCATCTTGGGCCAGTAGGGTTTCTCAGAAAGGTTTAAGGTTTGGGTTTAAGTGTTGAAGCTCGGGTTAGATTAGATTATTTGATTATTACAAACCCTAAACTTTGGTTTTAGTTAGACTTCATCTGTGCTGCAGACGCTGTAATTTGTTTTGTATTGGAGGAACTCCAATCTTCTCCAGCTTCACTAGGTCTCATTTTTAAATGTCCCATTCTTTTAAGAACTACCTATATATTATTTCCAAACTAATATAACATATGGGGTAGGCATGGGCTTCCAAAGGCTGAGATGTAGATGACACCCCAGGGACACAGGAAGTGCCCAAGAGTGATCTGATCCTTTGAGAAATCACTCTTTTAGAAGAAGAAAAGTTAAAAAACAGTATGGTGCTGTATTCTTATCAATGGGGCATACACAAATGTAAAATCTGTATATTCAAAAATATAAAACAAATCTCAAAGCTAAAATGGAGGCTAGGTAGATATCAGATCCCTAATTTGCCCATTTTATTTGTTAAAGTACAGCTTTGATTTGAATACAAATTGACTTAGGGAGAGCTAAGGACTAGTACAGATTGCATTCCTCTGGTTTATATGTCCCAATAAAGGGTGGAAACTGCTGTTTATTACTATTTGCAGCCTCAAATCTAGTTCATTTATGGTAGTGAAACAGCTAATTGGCAATTTTTTTATGGACTAAATATATTGAAAGCTCAAACATGAGTCAATAGCCATTATTTAAAATATGTGACATAAATATTTTTATTGATCCACGAAGTCATCACTGAATATTTACATCAGAAGCTGTCTTCTGCTAGCACTCATTCACTTTACATGTCCATATGACTCAGTTAAGACACAACCTTAAATTACAATTGTCACGTGGAAATTACAATCCCAGTAGTACTGGATCTTTAAAACTTGGGATCATGATGCTTTCAGTTTACAGTAACCTTTGACTTTCAAATGTCCATATTGTAGCTTCTAAAAACAATGAAGGTAACAATAAAAAATTAAAAATTAAATGTACTCTAAAGGCTTAATATATGTAAATACATTAGCTTAAATATGTTAGCTGTTATAGTAAAATGTTAAACTTGTTATTTCATATTAACCTCTCTTATCCTATGAGCTGAGTCTCATTAACTTGGTTGCTGGCATTTGTCCTACAATAAATTCTAAAATATTTCTGTGTTTGTGGATTGTAGATGTAGCATTCAGAGGATTCATGATGCCCCCTTCCCCACCAGTGGGGTTAAAGATATGGGGGAAGAGGAATTCTGACCCTTCCACAGTTTAAATACGTGTACTGGGACTGTTTAACAGTTAATCTTCCTAGTACATTTAACTTTCATAAGTCGATTTTTTAAAAGATGAGGCTGGCCCGAGGTGTTACTATGTTTAGCTGGGGCCTTATTTTAATATTAAGTTTTTCTTTTTTGGAGTCACATAACACCAGGTGGAAAAGATTTGTTACTAATTCCAGGGAAGAACCATTCACATAGTGTTGGTTAAATGGTCGCCTGCGTTCACACTTCAGTGCCTGTAGACCAGAGCCCTGGAAACAAAAGGGTTACTTGTTTCCCCACCATCGCCTTTACCCGCAGATCGATTTTTCTTATTTAATCAGCGAGTAAAAAGAGAGACACAGGGAAGAAAAAAAAAAAAAACTGCAGGAAGGGCAAAGTGGTGGGGGGAGGGTTGAAAGCCAGAAGCTGCAATACAGAAAATCAGTCTTGGGAGTTGGGCTGCGAAGTCCTTGGAACAAGGAAGGGAAGCCGGCAAAATGCTCGCAGTCAGTTCCACACAGCCAGCCTCCCTTTTCTCTTCGCTACGCGCTAGCGGCTCGTTTGGCTTCTCTCTGCCACCGAGCGATCACATACATTATTTCCCCCAAGATAACACAATCAAACTTGTATTTACCGACATCCTCTCCTCGCAGCCTGTTTGAGATTTGTTTTAATAAATAAGTGTTTTATGTGAATGATGTAGTAATTGAAAGGGGCGCACCATTTTTTTGCCTTCTTACTGCGGGAGGTTCCTCAACCCCAATCTGGTTGGAAAATAAAACGCTTTGTCTCCACAACCACCCCCCACAGCACCCCCACCCGCTCTCAGTGTGTGTTTTATACGTGTGTATATCTCAACCCCCTACAGTAGCCAAGAGAAAGCAGCTAGCCAATGAGAGAGCCCAGTTTCATAAAAGCTGCTCTCTGATTGGCCCGATGCGAAAGGGCACTGGGAACAAAGAAAAGTCCCTTTCAGGTATAGAGGCTGAGAGCTTCTTTTGCTCCACTCCCCCTGTGTGTGTGTTGTGTTTCAGTCCTGATTTAGTGTTGCAGAACAAGCTTGTTGTGTGTGTGCACCAGGGGGATTTTTGTTTTGCTTTTTTTAAATTTTAATTTTTGCTTTTATAAAAAATACACAGGACGGTCTGTGACATTTGATGGTCCATCTTCTTTAATAATAAATTTGTTGAAGAGATTATAATTTCCAAAATAAAGCGGCTGCAACCAAACACATTCAATGCAGTTAGAAGGAAAAGGTCAACTCGATCCAATACAGACCGTAAGTACGGTTGCGTGGTGTGTCTCTATATAGCACTTAGCGGGGACTTCATGCAGGGGAATGTGCGAGTTTTATGCATAGAAATGAGGAACTAGTTACAGGGTTTGGCTTTTGCATTTAGAACAACAACCCAAGAAGGGTGAATTTTATTCAGTGGAGGGTGAAGCATTTGTAACTTCACACAAATTAAGCTTGACTGGGCACTCGGGGTAACTTAGAGGAAATTAGCTTTTGGGCTCTAACCCAAAGGAGAATAAAAGTGACACAGTTGCATATCCTGGTCTGCAGTGTCAATTCTCTAGCTCACCTTACTCCCTCCCTCTTCTGTCCTAGCTGGGCAGACCCCCCTCCCAAAGCGATCCAGGAAAATGGGGGCAAGGGCAGAACAAGCCGATTTCTGTCTCCTGTCAGATCCCAGTGCCCGATAATTTAATATTAAACAAGGGAATAGTCACTCATTACATGTAATGGTTATAATTACCATTCGCCATCTCCTTAAAAAAGCAAGCAACAAAAATACCATTAAGAGAAAAAATAAAAGCCCCACCCAACCCAAACAAACCCACAAATAGTAACAATGGTGTATTTATTACAGGACCAGGCTGGGGAGCAAGCAAAAGGTTTTTCTTTGTTTAATACATGAAGTGGGGGTCCCTAAAATCCAAGTAGCTCGGAGATACCCTTCTCCCTCCCCCAGGCGTCCCCGTCCCTGGCCCCTTGGGAAAGCCGACAAATTGGAGATAAGTTGAGGAAAGGTTTATAAAGTGTTTCTTTAAAACATCTGCTTTGCTCTTGTGCTCATTACATTTCGCTCCTTCCGAACTTCGGAGATCCTAGATCTCCGAGAAATGTTTCACATTCATAACTTGTAGCTTCGCCCACTGCGGGGGGGCGGGGGGAGGAGGTTGGGGGAGTGTGTGCAGGGGGAGGGGAGAGACTTTCAGCTTTTTTTTTTTTAAAGACCAGATCAGTATTTTCTTGATACGCTTGTCACCATTTTTGTTCTCACGACAACCAATTGAGCCCTTGATCCTCACGTGATGTGAAAGGCTTGCACTGTAACAAAATCGCTCCTTTTAGATGGTTGGTTGTTACTAACTCGCCCATCCCCCTCTCCCAGCCCCGACATTTCCAGCAAAGCGACTCTCCACTTCCAATCCATCAACAATTCATTACTGCTTTTAGCTTCCAAACGCCAGCTAATTAAAAATACTAAGCCAAGCTCCGGGGCCATCTGACTAAACACAGGAGGGGCTGGGCGAAGGGAGAGGAGAGAAAAAATAAATAAAAGGGAGACACACCGTTTGCTGCGAGTATAAGAGGGAAAAACTCCCGAAAAGGGTCGCCTTAAAAAAAAAAAAAAAGAAAACAAAAACCTTATTTTGACTCTAATTATCGAATTACCACATGACTGGCTGACCTGAGCGACAGAGGATTCCACTCCCCTCGGGAGCTATACTAGGAACTCAGTTCCTTTTTCTTAAAACAACATAAGACAGGAAAACATCACATCCTTTAGGTTTCGAAGACTGAGCCCATTTTAAACGCCGTTATTTTCCCCACCCCACCGCCCCAAGCCCCCCGCCCCCCGCCCCGAGCGAATGCTGTTATAACTGGTTTATCAGCTCACTGAATCATCTGCTGTCTCCTCCTCCACACCTTTCTTTTTCTCCTCTTGCCCAGTTTCTCATCCCACCCTTTCTTCTCCTCCTCCTCCCTCTACTCCCCCCCTCCTTTTCTCTTAAGTTAGTTCAAGAAATCAAATCTGTCAGGACGGGCGGAAAAATGCCACTTCCCGACTAACAGGCGGAATCCAGCCCAGATTTTCAGTCCTTTCTTCTTATTCTTTCTTCCCTTTCACTAATTTATCCCGATGTTAGCACATTCTGTCTCGTTACTAGCGGACGCCTGTAGGTTTGCTACATGGGATCATTACTGATCACGGTGACTCTGAAGTCTGGAACTGAAGGCGGAATGAGAAGTTGGGAAAACTTTTTTCTCTAAACTCTCTGTTTTTTAAAAAACTATTATTCTCGATGCTTGTTAAGAGGAAAAAAAAACCTTTGGTGCTTCTGTTGTGAATGTGAAACATTATTTTCCAGCTGTACAGTGACACATTTTTTTTAAGGAGAAAAGGACTGATTCGTTTGCCAAAAGGGGGGTGGGGAGGTGGAATAATGTTATCGAGTGATTATTCTGGCTGAGATGTGTTATTTGGTTTCTTCCTTCTTGATCATTTGGTGTTTAAGTAAAATGAGGCACAGGCTTGTTTGCCGAGTGGAGTGGGAAAGGCATTTTGATTTGCTGGCCTAATTAAAAAATGATAAAGGATTAAAAGGTAAGCAATGTCTGTGTGTGTGTATGTGTGTGTGTATGTATATTTATTTATTTTTTTCTTGACAATCAACTGTTAAAAAGGGGCTGATCCCTTTAAAAACCGTTTTAACTGCTCTTTGTCAAACACACTCATTTGCGGTCATTGAGGCCACCTTGGCGCAGATCACTTAAAGTGTATGTCTTAATCAGTTTTCTGTACAGTCAGTAGCACCGTATTTAAGAGAGTGAGCAATTCTCTGACCTAGGAATATGGTAGAATTGTTTAAATGTATTTTTTTCTCAAAAGGCAGGTATTTAACTTTTTATATAACACTGTCTTTTCTAGAGAGAAATGCTCTTAAAAGACATGCATATTTCAAAAAAGAAATTGTAGAAGCTGTTTGGGAAAAGAGGATAGGAGGGAGGTATGTGTGTGTGTTGGGGGCAGTTATTGGTTGTTTTTTCTGTTCCTTACTAGGAACAAAAAACAGATTGCCCAGACAATTTGTAAAAAGAAGTACTGAAACCTAAATTAGAAATAAGGAAAATTTAGCAACATTCTATTCTGAAAACTAGCCTCAGAACTTCCAGGGTCTGGTCTTCTAAATTGCAAGATCTAGGACATGTTTAGGGATGTTTAAAGCTGTGTTCTTCCTTCTTGTCTGAGTGTTCAGGCTGTGTTTCTGGGGTTGAGATATCACATGTGCCAGACTGAAATCCTAAACTTTAAAAAAGAACACAAAAACCTTTCTGGACTTGAATCAGATCCTTAAGATAATTTAATGCTTTTAAAAAGGTGATTATCCTTGTGTTGTTGATAAAGGGATTTTCTTTTTAGCTACCGTAAGATGCTTACTGTCATAGGTTTATTTTTCGGGTTTGGTTATTTTCCTTTAAACCTGATATTGGACTGTGAGGACAATACATGAGCCACCTTACTCTCCATCCTTCCCTGTCCCCTTTACTGATTCCCCAATACTAATCGTTTTTTATTCTGGTAACACCCAGACAAGAAATATTCGACTTTTCCCCCCCCCTTCACAGGAAAAGGTGGACCTGGACTGAGGGTGTAAAATCCCTGGACACATTCGTGGGGCAGGAAAAAGAAGAGGAAGATTAGAAGATTTTTTTTTTCTTTGAGAGAAAGCCCAGCGGAGATAAACGAATGTCCCCTCATCTCCAAAGAAAAGTTCATCGGATTTTTATTCTAGAGAGCTCATCTTCAGGATGTCAGTGAACATTTCTACTGCAGGAAAAGGTGTGGATCCAAATACAGTTGATACTTATGACAGTGGCGATGATTGGGAAATCGGGGTTGGAAATTTAATAATTGATTTGGACGCTGATTTGGAGAAGGACAGACAGAAATTTGAGATGAATAATTCCACCACCACCACTAGTAGCAGCAACTCCAAGGATTGTGGAGGTCCGGCCTCCAGTGGGGCTGGTGCTACCGCAGCCTTAGCTGATGGCCTAAAATTTGCTTCTGTTCAGGCCTCTGCTCCCCAGGGGAATTCACACAAAGAGACCAGCAAATCAAAAGTGAAAAGGAGTAAAACTTCTAAGGATGCTAATAAATCTCTGCCTTCTGCTGCCTTGTATGGGATTCCCGAGATCAGCAGCACTGGCAAGAGGCAGGAAGTCCAAGGGCGCCCTGGAGAGGCAACTGGCATGAATTCAGCGCTGGGTCAAAGTGTGAGCAGCGGCGGCAGCGGCAACCCAAACAGCAATAGTACCAGCACCAGCACCTCTGCCGCCACCGCGGGGGCAGGCTCCTGTGGGAAAAGCAAAGAGGAGAAGCCAGGTAAAAGCCAGAGCAGCCGAGGCGCCAAGCGGGATAAGGATGCGGGGAAATCCAGGAAGGACAAGCACGACCTGCTTCAGGGCCACCAGAATGGCAGTGGCAGCCAGGCCCCTTCCGGGGGGCACCTCTATGGCTTTGGGGCCAAGAGCAATGGAGGTGGCGCGAGCCCCTTCCACTGCGGGGGCACTGGGAGTGGCAGCGTCGCCGCTGCAGGGGAAGTTAGCAAAAGTGCCCCGGATTCAGGGCTCATGGGAAACTCTATGTTGGTAAAGAAGGAAGAGGAGGAGGAGGAGAGCCACAGGCGAATCAAGAAACTGAAAACTGAGAAGGTAGGATAAAGTCGCCTTCCTAGATGTCCTACTCTCCTCTGTGTGCATTTGTGTGGGTGTGTGGGGGTGTGCCTCTGTGTGCCTTACACTTTATGCTTTCTGGTTCTTTGTGAGATTTCTATGATATGCATCCTTTATATTAAAATTTGATATGGGGGAGCCTACTTGGGTGCAGTGTTTGGCTCTTGCTTCTGCTGTCCTTGCTGCTGCTGCTGCTGCTGCTGCTGCTTGTGATGCTAGTGTTTGGGTTCCCAGGTGGGAGGGCCTGAGTGTTCTAAGTACCTTTTGCCCTGTAGATCGGTTCCTCACTAGTCAGCAGGTTGCCGTGTGCTTTTAATAGAAAACCTGCTCATGCACCCTCTTGACTCTTGTCCTGCTTTCTTCCTTAAGGGGAACAGTTTTCTATTTTAATTTATTCATCCTAGTATTGCGGGTAATGTGTCCTTAGGTGCAAGGTTCAAGTTCCCTCCCTGGAGAGGAATGTCGAGGATTCGAATTTACATTCTACAGACCTCATCCCTTTTATTTTTTCTTACTGTCTCCAAAATAGTACTGTGAAAGGATATCCTTGAATGAGTTCTTGTTATTGGTCCTGAATGAAACCCCAAGCTTGATGTGTTGGGTCATTGGTTTCATAACTGCAGAAAAACTCGATGGTTTTGGTGGCTGTTAGCACTCTACCCCTGTTCCCTCACCCAGTTCTTAGCTAGAGATTTAAGAGTGTTATCACTTGGATACCTGACTGGGGAGCTGGACGGCTGCTAAGAAGAATAAAACAGACTTGCTGGACTGATACTCGTGAAATGTGAAAATGTAGCCAAAGGGGATGTAGACGGTTGAGTGAATTGGAATATAGAATTATGTGCTGCATTTAAACGGTGTGGATGGTTGATTTAGACCATTTGGACCCTTCTCCCCTTCTTTGTACAAGTCTATAGTTAGACACTGCCTTGGAAGAACTGCCTGCCCCGACACCCACACCATGTTTTGCTGCTTAGTCATAGACCACATTGACTAATGTTTGGGAACAGAAGGTGTTCTGTCCACTAGGCAGGTTGGGAAGGAGTTAGGGGTGTGTGTGTGATATTTCTATGAAATTAATCTTCATATTAATTCTACAGGTTGTGCCTTGCAGAAGCAAGCTTTCTGTCATGTGGGTTGTGGCATGGTTGTTGGGGAACATCCTTATTAAATAATTTTGATTTTTTTTTGCTATAGTTGGCGATTGGGATTGTAAGTGGTGATAATATGTCTTTGGAGAATTATTTCTGTGTAAAATGGTTCACTGCTACTTAAACTTTTATATTCTTGTTTTTGTGTTCAGGATTTAAGTTGGAGTATAGGAGTAAAGTTTTGATTTTTAAAAGTTGATAGAGGCACATTAAGGTGTAGATAATGCCAAATTTGCAAAATGCCTCCAAACGCTTATAAATTCATATCCTCTTGGTCAGGTACATTAATGAATATAAATGAATTTTTGAAAATTCCGGGTTTTGAGTCTTATATTTAAATGTGTAGTTTCACATTATTTCCGCTAAAAGGTGTTCTGAAATCTTCTTATTACTTAGTACAGTAGGGCATTTACTTTTGTTGCCAATAGTCTTCAAATTGCAGTTCTAATCTGCTTTAACTATCTAGATGAATTGCCCTAATCCAGTGCTCACAATGGCTGTGGTTAAGGAGTCAGAGCCATTTGATTGGATTCACTGGCTGCTTGGAATGTGGGAGGTACTGCCCTTTTGCATTCCCCTTAGCCTTTTAATCTTCCAGCCAAATGTTCACATTCAACAATTTTGTTTAGCTGGCAATCGGAACATTTCAGTATCTAAAAGGCTGCTGTCATGGCAACTGAGATTAGAGCGTGGTGTCGTTTCTCCAGTTTTTGTGTGTTCTTTTCACTTTCCAGTCACAGAGGAAACTGGGTGAAGAATGGAAGAATTAAATTATTCATATACATGCAACTCATCTTCAGTTAGAGCAGTATAAATGTGATAAATATGAATTACATAAATGAAGAGCAAACAAGTCATGGTGGATCTGGGGTGGGGGAGGGAAGAAAGCACACTGCAATTTAGATTCACTTCTGATCCTATACCAGAGGAAGCTGTGCCACCAATCTTAGCCACTGGAGTTGGCACAGGGGCCCCTCAAAGGCTTGGATCCAGGGGCTTGGATCCTGTAGTGTTGGCCATTCTCTGTCAAGTTGGGCGTTGGCTCAGGATCTCAAACATTATTCCTTAAGGCTTTCCTCCCCACCCCCACTTCACCCTGAGAATGACTTCTCTTAAGAATGCTTTCATCCTTGGCACACAGAAATGGCACTCCCTTGCATGAATGCCACCCAGGAAAGTAACTCTAATTCCACTAACTAGTGGTTGCATCAAATTAGGCATCAATTTAGAAAATGCTTCCTACTGATGTGAGAATACCTATTTAGAAAGTAAAGATTTAGTAGGACCAGAAGCTTCACCTGAAAAAATATTTCAACACTGAGGTTTTTTGACATTTTATACAGTGTTTTAATTTCCTTCAGCCTGGCTTGATTATCTGAGTTTGTGAAGAGTAAGTGCCTGGAGAGTGAAGATTATTAATTTTCAGCAATCAGATGTGGCTCGTGAGGGGCCACATGTGAAAACCAAAGGGGGGAGTGTATGTGTGTGTGCATTTTTTTTTTTTTTTTTTTTTTTTTCTGGTTGGAAGGTTCACAGGAGATTCATAAGACTTGCTGTCACCGGTTAATTTTCATAGCATGCATGCTTAAATGTCTATTTTTGGTCTGTTTATTCTGTTTCTTCACTACACAAAGTCATGTAAAACATGATAAATTGGACCTTATGAAACCTAATTAAATCAATGAGTGTTCTACTCCTTTATGTGGAAACCACAAGTATGTTGTAAAAGTCGCCACTCCCTTAATACGTGAACAAAATCAAAACATGCCATAATTCTAAGATGTTTGAGCTATATTTCTGTAGCCCATTTTGTGGTTAAGCCACCAGTGACATGTCTGAATAAGTAGATTTGATGGGTTGGCTTTTGGTTGTTAAAACCTGCCTCTCCACCTTCCCCTCCTTTCTTGTGAAGCATAATAGCCTTGTATTGAAGCTCTTCTTTATGTATCCTCCTAGCCATCTTACAGTTTTGACTTATCAGATAGGGAGGCATTCAGCTGGGCTTTATAAATAAACAGTTTATATGTAAAGTTGATGGGTTTATTTGATTTCTGGAAAATTCAAAAATATATACAAAAACTCAAAAATCCTAAAAGTGGCTGATACTTAAACAGAAGTGAAAGGCACAAGAGGTCATATAGTTGTGTCTCAATACCTATTCAGGGAAGAGAATTATTTCTGTAATATCATATTGCTTTCATTAAGATGGCCCTGGTCATAAAGGTGGTGTCTACAAATGGACCTGTCCATAAAGGATATCATTCATTTTATTTTATTCTTTTGTAGAGTCCTTTTTATACTTCACCAGGGAATTCTGGCACATTTTCTAAGTGAGTGTGAGCAGTTTAAGAACATATTTTGATTAATGAGTTTTGTGGACATTATGCTTTTTTTTTTTTTCAAATATAGTGTCCCATATGAATTCTGCCTAGAGTGTAGTGTATCTACTGTGAAATAAAAGGGCAGAGGGGTCACTTGCTATAATTAAAGAACAGAGTCCATTGTTGTCGGACAGCAAACTGTTTTGAAAGCTACATAAGAGGTTTAGCTGTTAAAGACGTTGGTAACTAAGGGTGGCGTCCAAATCAGCATTGATCCAGCTCCTTACTTTTCTATAGGCCTCCTCACAGGGTGACAGGGCTTTTTGAGGGAGGGGGCTGCCCTTTCCCCAAGAACACATGGAACTTAGGTATTTGTGTAATCAGACCCATCACTGAATTCTGACTTTGGTGTGTGAAATCCGTTTGCTTTGCTGGAGAGAGAAGGAATATGCATAACTGATCAAGATTGTCCTATAGGAGATAAATAATGTTTTGCAACTTTTAATAACTTTGCAAATAGTCTGTAAAAAACGGTGGGGGGAGGGATTGATAGTCCAAATGTCGTGAGGTTAAGAATGCTCTTCAAGTGAAATTGCTTGGCTGCAAGATGGTTTTAATTAGACTGTTATAAAGACTTATTTTTCCTAAGCAGCATTTTATAGTTAGTAAATGAAATGTATGCCGAAAGTGCTAAGCAGAAATCTCCCTAACCACAGAGGTGTTCAATAACCAGATTCGAACAACATGGAAAGTACCATCTGTTCTTCGTTTTCAGCGTGAAAAAGAGGGATTGAATGGCTGCGATTTGCTCCAGTTTCGACGGTGTCTGTGTGTGCGCGTGTATTCTTTTTTAATTTAAAAAAGTTCACCTGGTACTTCATAGAAACTTGAAATTGCAGTAATATGAGCAACACTGTGAAAACACATGTTCCTGCATTTATTTTAACCAGTTCCACTTTTATTTAAAAGATTTCCAGAAGCCCAGCCATTGAACACTTTATAATGGTTATACAGTTCCTGCAGGCAATCACAATGAGCGGTCAGCTTTTCCAAAGATCTGACTATTTAGTCAGTACTTGAATTATTCTGTCAATTTTCCCCCTGGAGGCAAGGAGGGGAAAAGGCTCTCACGCCAACTCTGGTCAGCGTTTATCAGTTAATCTAATTGTGTGTGATATTGCTGTGGACTGGTGTTTACTATACATAGACCTTGCTCTTGTTCAGAGCTGTAATCTAGGATTGTTGATAATGAGGAAAATATCCTTTTAAGGAAGGGTAACTTTTGAGTCCTTGACTTTTAGACACTAAGAATCTTGGTTCTGGGTTTAGTTAGAGCCCTGGGTAAAACATTATCCGGCCTTTGTTTGAGGTCTTTTATTGAAGCTAATGACTGGGCTTGTGCCTCCCTGAGATAAATGACATTATCTCTGAGTGGCCTGACAGGAAACAGACATGTTAATGGTGAAGCTGCGGGGAGGATCTGCTTGGGTTCTGACAAAAGAGTCGAGAAAGGGACCCCTGGTTGTGGTCATTAACACATAATGCATTCTTGCTCTTCCTAAGAGGCCCTTGATAATTGGAAAGCTATTTTAGCCACAAGCACTTAAATCATAAATCTACTACTCCTAGTTCTTTGCATTCTTAAAAGTAGCAAAGTAATGTGTTTTTTGTTAACAAGTGTGTGATCTGGTTTTTTAACGTGGTGGCAGCTCTAGGCTGCCTGGGTAATGACGTGTGGGAGAGCTGCACGTTGAATTGTTTTTATCAGTTGAGATCCTTCTTTGTCTTTCAGCATTGCTCAGCCATCCCTCTACTTTAATAAAGTGAAAAGTGGGTACAGAGCTGAAAATAAGTCATTTTTATGCTTGAAGATGTCTTGTGGGAGGGGGATAAAATCTGTTTCATAAGATATTGTGCAGTGATTTGAATGTGATGAAACCTGACTTGGAGTGTATGTTTTCAAAAGTCATGAGTATAATTGAGTTTCAATGCAGTTTAAACTCTCTGCTTCTTGAAGGAAGATAATTGCCACATTGAACACACTCTAGAGGTGTAGAAGAGGTGGCAGGATCATGTTATTCTATTCTTTAATATTAAGCACTGGAAGTTTTTCATAGTAATTACTGCAGCACAACATAGTTTTGATTGCCAGCACTCTGAACTTGCCAGCAATCTGAACATCAAGGGTTTTGCTTGAATACAAAACACTTTATTCCTAAATTACTTGTATTACATTCCTGTGTTATATGGAAGTCAGAACTAAGGAAATACTGGGCTATCCTTGTTAGCAACATCTTAGGGAAAATAACCCTTCTTCGCTAGGATTCTTGTTGATAAATGATCATAATACTCTCCTAATGTAGTCATTGAAGATTAAAGGGATGGAGAACAGGTGAGCTCCCTGCCTCAGTGATGACTTAGACTGTCATTAGAGAGTAAGTAATATGTGTATGATATTGGTGCCCTGTAACTGGTATGTCATAGGTGTGTGTATATAAATGTTGTAACTGCATATACAGATGTTGGATTGGGAGTATTTAGTTAGTATGGGTTTTATTCTTTAAAAAATGTTCACTGTTGGTTTTACGTTCCACTCTGTTGCAGAATATATGGACCTCTCCCTCTGTGTCTAATTCTTTCTCCCAACTGCAGTTTCACTAGTGACTACTTGCTCCCTGTCACAAGTTCTTTTTAATTTAAGCTCAAGGTTTTGGCAATGGGAACAAAGCCTTTGCAACTGAATGAAAGGTTGTTAAACTATTCATAGTTGATTGACCAGCAGTTGGGCTGTTTGTAATGTTATTTTGAGAGCTCAAAGGATATGCAACCTCTTGCATATCCAAAGTGAGACTTTGCTCCTAAAGCTGAATTTTGCATATTTGCTAAATTTTTCTTGGAAATACCTTTGGGAATGTAGTAGAAAAGATGATGGGTTTTGCCTTAAGAACTGAAATGATCACAAAGCAAATACTTATATTTTGCTAGGTCTGTGGGCCTTGAACCACAGGGATCCCATCTGGTATTCAGAAGGCTTTTCCCCCCAGTGAAACTAAATGAAAACTTAAAGGTATATATTGTAACTGTAATAAAGAACTCAAAGGAAAAGGTGTTTCGGTTAGAACAAATAGGTTTGAAATGATGAACAAATACTTCTGTGGATTTTTCAAAGCCACTTACTCTTCTTTCTCATTTCCACCCCCCGACCTAGTTTGAATATCATTCACTGTGACTATTCCAACCCAACTACTGAGCTTTCTGCCTCCTGGGAATCCTCATTGTCAGCTAGCACCTTAAGAAAAATGTGTCTGCAGGGACATTTAGGCATATTCCAATAATGCCACATGAATGTAGCTTTTACAGTTTAAAAAGCAAGTAAAAATATATTGATTATATTTTGTGTTGTACATAATGATTTCAGAAAGCAGATATTTAGGTTGTGGAATTGGCTTATTATGCTAACCAGAGAGCAGATGGCATGGTGCCACAGACGTATAATTTTACTTAAAGGGACTTTTAAGGTTTTGATGTGTTTTCTTTTCCTCTTATTTCCCTGATGGCTTCTTTTCATTGAAGGGTAACTTAAGGAGACCTGGTAGCAATTTTACTGCCTTCCCCTGACAGTTTGAAATAATAGCTTGGTCTTTGGTTGCACTGATCTTCTACCAGTCAACTCGATTCTGGTTTTTGTCATGTGGCAGAGAATTTTTAAAAAAAGTGTTAGTAGTATGTTTTAAGAAGTGGACTCTTTTATATGCCTCAATTAGCAACAGACGACAAAGTTCCAATTGGTCACACTTTCATAAACTCCTGGAAGTCACTGTTTGTCCTTTTGATTAAAGAAAACTCCTGGTTTAGTTTCTTAGGAAAAGCACATCTGGCCCTCTGGCCGCTTTTGGTATACCTTTTTGTCCTTCGCATTAGTCACTGAAGGTTCAAAGGTTGTGTCTAAGTTGTTCCTAGTTAGGTTAGAAAATTTTCCCCATGCTGGAGGAAATGTACTTTTTTTTTTTTAAACTACACTCATCATGTGTTTGGATTCAGCTGGCATAAAAGTACCTTTTGTTTTTGTACCTAGATTTTACAGTTTTATCCATTATTCACCTCACACATCATCAGGATGAGTTGGAAAGCATCTTCTAACTTTTTTTTCCAAAGCGTGCATAGCCAGACCAGTTTACTTCTGGATTTCCTGTCACTTCCTTGGCTGATTTTATGGATGGCTCATGTTAAAAACAACAAAAATGTTTGAACTGGAAGGGTTGAAGCCTTGGGTTTTCATTCTTCATGGAGAACTGTTTATTTGTGTGTGGTTCACCACAGTACATGGATAATGCTATCAAATCTGTGCTTTATTATAGGCTTATGACTAGCACAGCCGCACTTTAGTTATGTGTTCCCGTGCTTTAGTTATTTGCCAATTCTTTTGTGATGGAAATGAAATTAGAGCTGAATCTTTGCAACGAAGGGGAAAATAGGCACAACAAATAGAAACTATCCCTTGAGCCAGTTAAGAAGTAAGCAGTGGTGATTAAACATGTTTTTTTTTTTTCAAAATAAGTGAAACACAGAGGAAACTACTTCCTTTTAGCTTTTCTGTGAAGTTGTGTGGAAGATGAGCTCAACATTTTGAGAAGTGGAGGCTGCAGCTAGATTTTATCCCCTTGTATCGTTTGACATCTTCAGTAATTGAAAAGCGATTCGTATTCCCAAATTTTTAAACTTCTCTAAAGGTGTAATTTGAGTTAAGTAATATTGTTTGTTTCTGCCCCCAAAAGGGAGCAACATGATGTTAAAACAGAGCAGTTGAGCCTCTCCGCATCCAACTCCATTTGGTCAATTGTCTCCATTTACATTCCCTGCCCAAATCTTTCACCAGCCTTTCCCATGATGCCGCAGCAGATGCCAGACACTGAAGTAGAAAGGGAGCAGCTGTTTCCAAACATTACTCCATTGCTGTATTATCCTCCACAATCTGCTTTCTTTTGCTCTCCCCTTCCCCCATTCTTAAAATAAAGAAGCCTTCTCTCCCTTTGACTTTTGCATCCTCCAGTTTATCAGTGTGCAGGTTTTCTATCTTATCAGTCGCACTGGTTTCTTCAGCAGGTCCCTTTATTGTTTTCGCTATGGGAGCAGATGGAGGGCCCTGGGCTCCTGGGGGCGTGGCCGCTGGCACCTCGGGCCCGGGGCTGCGCGTTCCCGACGGGGCGGCGGGGGCGTGCAGCCGGGAACGCGCCCTTCTTCCCGCCAGGGACCCGTTTATGGCCCTGAGCGCTGTAAATCTGTCAGCTCTTCACGACGCCTTCACCTCTTTCTTCATTTGCTCCAGCTTCTAGTTTGACAACGTTCCCCTGAGGCAGAATTCTAATCTGCTTCCAATTAGTTGCAAAATGTGACTGAAATTTCCACATTATGACTGCTGTTTTACTTGCACGCACACATCTAGAAACAAATTAATGCTCTTGAATATTTATTTTTTGAGCCCTTGGATTTACTTTAAGAGGAAGAGTTTCCAACTGTTTGGAATGACTTCCAGGATTTGCATTTTTTCCCGAAAGCCGAATATACTGGGTACATTAAAACAAAACAAAGCAACTATGGTTGCCCCCCATCACTTAATAAGACTTTTCCATCTTTTCAAGATTTCCCAAAATGTATTGCATATGTTTAAGTAATGCAAATAAATTTTGTAGTATTTCTAAAATAAAACAAGGATGTTTGGCTAAGGAACGGTCCCTATGCAGTGTTTTAATAAAAGAGAAATATACAGACACATTTCCTTCTAAATATAGTTTAAGTATACTTTGGCCAAAACACAAAGACTTTTGTTCCACACGTTTAAATTCTTTCATTCAATATTCAAAAGCTGTAAACCCAAATAAACGAATTGAGTGATTAATTGGCTTGGCACAAATCTAAGGGTAGCATTAAATAAGTTACTGTGGGCATTAATGTGTACCCAAGTTTTTGTGTAGGTCTCTGGAGCACACCCTCCCTCAGCGAGCGGCTGGGGTGGTTGTACTGAGATCAGTATAGTAGGTGGGTTCCTGTGACTTTGGTCTTCCCAGTCCCTCCGTACGCCAGTGTTAGGAGAATGGACCTAGTTCTGGGCTTCGGGGTGGTTCTGTATAGAGGGTGATCATCACTTATCACCCCAACTCCATTTCCTCTCTTTCAGTGATTTTTTTTAACAAAGATGTTGATCCCCCTGATTATATGTAAATATTAGAGTTGTTTAAATCTTGGTTGCTGAGAATGTCAAGTTAAGACAACCATTTTATTACTTGCCTTAAAGACTGCTTTCTCAAGTACTGGAGAATTTTAGTACCAAGGCAGTGGATTAGTATTTGTGAAAAGGTGCTACTCTTAATGTAAACGGCGAAATTTACTGGTGCCTTTTATAGTAGAATTTAGTCCTCAAGCATCTTGGCAGATTGATATCAACAGTAATAATGGGCTTTAAAGAGGTGTGAAGGATTTTATTGATGGTAAAGTGGTTATGTTGATCGCATCACTGTGTATTAGTTTCTGAGTAAGAACTGCACATGTAAATGGATGCATGAGTTTTTTTTAAACATCTTTATCATATATAATCATAAAACCCTATATTGATTGATTTCTAATGCTCTTTTATGTGCCACTTTGAATCTCTAATCAGGAGGTGGAGAATTTATTTCATTTTGTTTCAACAAAACCTATTCAAAATTATTTCTTAGATATATAGGGTATATGTTATTTAAATGGTTTTCTAAAAACTTATTTTTAGATATGCCAGAATTCCACAAAAGAAGTCGGAGTGCTCTTTGTATTGCTTCCTTTCTTCTTACTCAATGACTAGTAGTAGAAAAAAACAGCCAGATTGAAATCCTTAAAAATTTAAAATGTTGGGCCTTCAGATTGCAGAGACCTCCTGGGTTAAAAAAATGAAAAAATTAGTGGCCCTGTAGTGAAATGCTCACAATAGCAATGATTGTGGTAGCCCCTCAAGTCCTGGGGTTCACTAATTACCCTTTAATGAGGTCAGTCTGCCCCGGCTTTTTCCCTACCTTGGGAGGAAAAGCACACAAGACAGTTGGAGTTCAAGTGGATCTTGCTGTATTTGCAACTTAGCATAACTGCTTTGAAAGCCCCCAGGGTGCTTAATTGGGGCCTGGGCATTTTTGTTTGGGGAGAGACTACACACAGCTCCTCATTGTGCTTGTAGAAGCCACTGTGCATCTTGGAAGCATTACATGCTTTTGTTGATGGTGCATAGTTTTATAAACTCCAAATGAGCTTATTGCTTTTTAACCATTGGGAGAGCTAAATAATGGAAGAACCTAGAAGTCTTTGGGTTGGGTAGCCGCCAAACAGAAAAAAAAAAAAAAAAAAAAAAAGAGAGAGAGATAGAGAGAATGAATGGTTTAATTGGAGAGCAAACCATTTGTTTGCAGATTAAGATTTACTTGGTCGCCAAATCCTATGGATGAGGTGAAAGAATGAGGCCGTAAGGTACAGAAATTGAATGCCCAGTGTTATGTTTTGTGATCATGCTCAGCTGTTTTTACCCTTTTTTTTTTTCACAAAGAAGGCAAAAGAAGAATGAATTGTTTAATGGAGAGAACTGCCTAGCCAAGTGCATCTTTTAAGCTGTATAGAGGGAGGGAAGAAGGTGGGGAGGCAGATTATTTCTGTGCTCCCTGGTCAGGAAGCAAAACTCTCAAGGTTCTTTTAGCTGAGAGAGGGGCTAGAAGACTTGCTGAATCTTCCTGTTTGCTCACTTAAGGAGGAATGGTGGTGGTGGAGCTAGGGAGTAAAAAGTAGAAGAAAGGTGTGTGGGAAAGAGGGTGGTTGGGGTAGAGCTTTTGTTGCAAGGGCCCTAGACAATGCATTCTCTTGAATAATTGGGACCATTTATAGAAATTCCCCATGATTTCATTAGTTAGTAGCCCTGTTTCTGAATAGAAAGGGACTCTCCAGCAACAGCAGTGAAGTGGTACAGCAGTTTTGGAGGGGGAAAAGCAGTTGCCTGGCAGCCTGAATGTCAGTATGTCTTTTTTTTTTTTTTTTGAACAAACAAAAAAACCCCTTTCCTAAGGACTAGAAGACCAGAAATCATGGCATTTGTCCATGTTGTAGTTGCAGTTTGTCCTTCTAATCTTATTGTGAATAAATAGGTTTCTGGAAAGACCTAGCATTATTTTCTAGAAGTATCATTCTAAACACTCCTCAACTCACTGTTTTTATTTTTACTTTAATCTTGGGAGTGAAACCCTTTATCTTAATCTGCTCTTTTGTGTATAAACTGTCTCTCTTTTTGATAACTCAGGATGCATGCCATGAAAAAGCCCATTTCTTCTGTAACATTAAAATCATTTGTTTATTGATGCATATTTGATACATTGAACTTTTAAATATCTGAATTGGCTTTAGGTGATCTTGTTTTGTTTTTCTCCTAGCTTTAAGTTCTGGTATTATTTATTATTTTGGTATCATGATCCTTTTGAAATGGCATGATTTTTGAATCCAAATAATGGCTGATAGCTTCATTTTATAGATCTATTTCTTCTGAGGGGCGGTGAACAAGAGGATTGTAGGAATTGGGGAGCAAAGAGAGTGTAAAAAATTAGGTCTAAGTAGTTTCAGTTTTGTCAAACTGCTACTTACTTTTTAATGTGCCATTGCTCATTCCTGATTCTTTCCTGTTAATATTTTCCGTATTAGTGAGGAAAGAGACTGGATTTTACTTCTGTTAATGTCTAAAACTCCAAACTTTTTTTTTGTTTTTTGAGATGGAGTCTTGCTTTGTCGCCCAGGCTGGAGTGCAGTGGCACGATCTCGGCTCGCTGCAACCTCCGCCTCCCGGGTCCAAGCGATTCTCTTGCCTCAGCCTCCCGAGTATCTGGGATTACAGACACCCACCAGCACGCCTGGCTAATTTTTGTATTTTTAGTTGAGATGGGGTTTCACCATGTTGGCCAGGCTAGTCTCGAACTCCTGGCCTCAGGTAATCTGCCCGCCTCAGCCTCCCAAAATGCTGAGATTATAGGCATGAGCCACCACTCCTGGCCTAAAACTCCAAACTTTTAAATCTTGTGTCAGTTGGCTGGGCGCGGTGGCTCACGCCTGTAATCCCAGCACTTTGGAAGGCTGAGGTGGGCGGATCACGAGGTCAGGAGTTCGAGACCAGCCTGACCAACATGGTGAAACCCCGTCTGTACTAAAAGAATACAAAAATTAGCCAGGTGTGGTGGTTCGCACCTATAACCCCAGCTACTCAGGAAGCTGCAACAGGAGAATCGCTTGAACCCGGGAGGCAGAGGTTGCAGTGAGCTGACATCGTGCCACTGCACACCAGCCTGGGCCACAGAGCGAGACTCCGTCTCAAAAAAACCCAAAAAACAATAACACTGCCATAGTCACTAAGTAGACTAAATTTGTGTAAACACATCTTTTTAAAGTTATAAAAAAAAATCATGTCTTACCAGTAGGAAAACCTGCAGATGCTCACCTACATGTGATTTCTTTGGTTGACTGAATGCTCAGTCTAGGTTTACTTAGCAAACCAAAACAAAAGTGCAAAGATAAACATGGCTTCTCTTAATATTTGTGACAGCCTAGAAGCTTTGCAATCTTGAAATTGCTCTACAGTTTTAATCCTTCCTGGAAAGAAAGCTTTTTACCAAATTGTCAGTGCCTCCACTCTATGAATGCTTCTGAGGATTTAAAAAACAACCCCCCGAAATACAAATTTATTTCAGTAAGTTTAATATGTGCTCACATGTAGCATAAAGAATGGAGAGTAAGTGCTGAGCTTTCGGCCCCTCACAATTTAATATTAACAAGAGTTCTTGTCTCTTGCTTCTCCTCTCTAACCTGTTCTGTATACTACAGACGTGGATCCTTTTTGTTGCCCATATAAAATGTGAAAGGAAAAATGCCAACCTAAGACACTCTGAAAATGATTTCTATAAACCTGTTTACACCAAAGTCTAATACTCTCTATCTTAGCTCACATTAAAGGCTTAAAGTCTCCTTTGAAACACTAGCATTTGCATCCGTAAGCCTGCTATAAATTCCTGTACATTATTTCCTTGTAAAAACCAGTCTTTTCCATTTACCTGGAGTCAGTACATCTGCAAGAGTTACTTCCAGCAGATAATCCTGTCTAGTTTTAGACTGATAGAAATTTTGTAATATCTATAGCTATATACTGGTGATTGGATGACAACACGAAATCACTTGCCCTTGTTGGATTTCAGCTCTGTAAGTATATTGGGTCTTAAACATGTTAAATTTTCCTTTTTTGACACTTAAAGTAAACTCTGAAGAGGGTGGAAGCCTTTTTACACTTGAAAAATCTAGAAAATGCCCTATGTATTCAAATCACATTGTTGCCAGTGTTTAACACATAAACACAGATCTCTTCAAATCACTTGTGCATTTGGTGAGCAGCTTGCCAGCACACACCAGTAGTAGGAGGAAGTTAAATGGTGGTGAAAAAATAGGTACTGTTTTATCTTTTGTCTGTAAAATAAATTCTGAAAGCTTTTTGAATAATTTTACTTTGGATTTGTTGTTGCTTCAGGATCTAAGGAATAATACTAATTGTACAAATCTGTGCAGTGAGGTGTAGTTGCTTCCATGTTATTTGAGCCTGAATGTGCGTGCATAATTGGAGAGATTATTGGAGAGAGAGTGTTTTGCTGTGGTAGATGTGGTTTAAATCCTAGCACTGAGCATAGCATTTACTTTCTCAGCTTACCCACAAAATCTGTGACTAATTTAGTGAATGTGAAGATTTTTGTCCAGATGGTTAGGTTTAATTGTAAAAACTGGAAAGATTTCAAAGTACCCTTTGGGGGAGTGTGGGAAACAACAAGTAAACAACAAAAAAGAAATAAAAGTAACCACAGATCACTAAATATAGCATATATGTATATTTTATATTTATAAACACACATAGATATATATACTTAAACATATACACATATAGAAGTACAGTATTTACAGTCAAGGAACAGCTTAAAGAATTTGTTGTAACAGCACGAACCAATACAACCTACAAGAGGAGTAATTTTTAATGTTTAAGGATTTACTATGTTCTGTTCTTAAGTGTTTCCTAAATGTGAGTGTTTAGCCTCTCCCGGGCTCAGAATAGGTTTCCGCTCCAGTGTGATACCACTTTGCTGCCACTCGCTATCCTTGGTTTAGGGGCATTGTTAGGTACCTCACCAAACATTAGGGCAAATGTCCCTCTCACTCAGGACCTCCATTGGCTGGTCTTCCTCTCTGGGATGCTCTTGGAGGCCTGGGCTAGCCTGTTCTTCCCAAACTGCAGCTGTGAAGCTCAAAGACGGAGTAAGCTTGTGAAAGGGACAGTGAGATGGTGATCAGTGTGCTGTGTCAGGACGAGCCTTCTTTTAAAACAGCATCCATTTCTTCTTCACACTTCTTGCATTTGATGGCCATGCCAGAATGAGTACGGTAATCAGAACTGATGCTTTTAAAGCGACTCAGGGACCTCCTCCTTCTGGTTGCTTCCTGTGCAGATGAGCGCTTAAAGGGCAGAAATTGGTCTCCTCCCCTTTTGTAAAGTTAGAATACTGCTGACCTAAATCTTGGGCCCATAAATTAGCTTTTGAAGTTGGTGGGCTAATAGGGTTCTATAGTGAATTTTATTTATGTTACTTGGAATTATAAGAAGAGAAAGAAGAGTGATGTGTCATGGGGTTTAGGAAATAGGACAGAAGGTGAGGTTATGGGGCTGTTGATAAAGTCCGCATTGTTTAAGTGGGTGGGGTTTATGGTACTAGAGTCTACAACGCAAGCAACATGGATATATTTCTTGCACTAGAGTGGAAATATGCCCAAATATTTATAAATCAACATATTTAATAATATTCAGGAACTATAGAGAATGAGCTAAATGTATATGTATTTATCATATATCAATTGCTGTCATATTTGATTATTGAGTCTTCAGCATTTAAAAATGGCTAAGGAACGAGTTTGAGGTTGTCTTGCATGGTAACGAAGATAAGCAGAAGGCCAGACATGTTGGGATAGTGATTTTCAGATTATGGAAAATCTGCGTAAGATAGGTCAAGAGAAGGTGCTTCCTGTGGAGGAGTGAGTACTGTACATGTCTGTGAGGCTATTATTATTGCCAGCAGCATGGGAGAGCTAGATAAACAAAATGTCAGCCACCCCAAAGCAGAGGTGATCTTTGCTTTGATCCCCTTGGCTAAATTCCTCCTGAAAATATCTTTCTGATATGTTCCTATCCACCTAAAGCCTATTTTTTTCTCCATTTATCAAGAGCTTTGCCCTCCAATACCAACCTATTGAATGACCCTTAAGGTGATTTTAAGATAGCACCTCAATCCCATCGTGAGTCGACTTTTCAAGACCAAGGTATGGAATTCAAAGGTAGGGACTGGTCTAATAGGAGGAGAGGCATAAGAGCTTTCCTGGTGTCTTAAATCACACCTTTGGGCAGTCATCTCTTCTGCCTATTTGTAAAGCTGTGTTTGGAGAGAACCTCCTTTACAGATGTTTCTTAAGATACTTGGGGCCCGGCACAGTGGCTCACCCCCTGTAATCCCAGGACTTTGGGAAGCCGAGGCGGGCAGATCACCTGAGGTCGAGAGTTCGAGACCAGCCCGACCAACATGGACAAACCCTGTCTCTACTAAAAATACAAAATTAGTCGGGCATGGTGGCACATGCCTGTAATCCCAGCTACTTGGGAGGCTGAGGCAAGAGAATCGCTTTAACCCGGGAGATGGAGGTTGTGGTGAGCCGAGGTCATGCCATTGCACTCTAGCCTGGGCAACAAGAATGAAACTCTGTCTTAAAAAAAAAAAAAAAAAAAAAAAGGATACCTGGAGCTGGCAACAAGATACAACTGATGAGGCTGAAGCTGTATCTGATGTGTGTGGTTTTTTTTTTTTTTTTTTGGTCTGATTTTTTTTTTTAAGGGACTTTTATAACTAAGAAGTGAAGTTCAATAAGGACCTAATAAGAAAATGAGATCTTGAGGATTGATACCATCTTGAGAGTAGTATATATGTTATATATTTCTTTTTTCCATATTTGTTAATATCTTTTTACATATACATTCATTTCTAGAATTTCTGCATATTTCTAACATACCCAATGAAATTGATTTGAGAAAGAGAAATAATAGAAGTAGTATGCATAAACTGACAAAGATACTGTGAGGGCAGCTATACAAGGTCAAGACCAACTGGAATCCCAAGGACAGAAGTCAGAAAGATAATGGATGTGATAAACTCAGTACAGCCTGTATAAGCAGTGATACTTTTTTATTTCCTCTGAAGCCTTGACTTGGGGAGAGGAGAGGGTTTTAGAGTTGACAGAGCACAGGGTTGTGAAATTTTCTATTGAAAATCCTGGCACATTTAGAACACAGTGGAGAAGAAATTTACTGGAGGAGATTTGCCCACTTGTTGCAAAACTCTGTTGCTGTCACTGTAAGACCTTTGGTGCTAGGAACTATAGGTAAAGGGATGAAGTTGAAGTGTAGGATCTCACTGTGATTTTGAAGCTCTGTTACAGGGTAGAGGCCTGTGTTAAGTACAAGCTTGAGATGGGAGAGAAAGAGCAGATACAGCAACTGATGCTGAATTGAGAGAGGATCCAAAGCCCGGAATCCCAGTTGGTTGGATGTTTGCACTTTTTTTTTGTCTGGAGATGCTTCCTAGTCTGTTTCTTGACCGACTGCACATGCTGTTAAATCCACTCAGGTAACACATATGTGTTGGGCGCACAGCCCATGTCCAGATTGGACTCGGAGTTGGGCAGAGGCCAGGTCATGCAGGGCCTTGTAGGCCATGGTAAGGAATTTGGATTTTAGCTTGAATGCGATGAGAAACCATTTCAGAATTTTGAGCAAGGCAGTGACTTTTTTTTTTTTTTTTTTTTTTAAACAAATCTTACTGTTGACTGTTGTATAGAGAATTGACTGTAGAGAGGCAAGAAGAGGACAAGGGAAATCAGTTGCAAGACTTTTTCAGTGGTCCTGGTGAGAGAAGATAGGCTTCTTTGGTAGGCATGGAAGTGGTGGGAAGTGGCAAGAAATGGTCACGTTGTCCTGAGATAATGAGGATATGGATATATGTGGAGTTGTGAAAGAATGAGAATTAAGGAAAATACCTGGATTTTGGAGGTGGATGGAATCAAGAGTTGTGACTCATTTTTGATATATCCTGTGGCTGCCAAGTGATTATGGTCCTTCCACAGGAAGGCCAGGGCTGGAGACACCTATGGGCAAATAGGTGGGCTTTAAAGTTATTGGGCTGGAAGAGGTCACCTCTAGAGTTAGTTCCAATGGAAAAGACTAGGGCCCAGAGGTGGGCTATGGAGCAGTAGGAGCCAGCGCCGTGTCCATTGAGGGGGAAGAAAACCCAGCCAGTCTGGTGTTTCTGGAAAGCAATGGAAGAAATTCTAGCAAGGAAGGTGTGATCAGCTGTGTCAATTGCTGCCAAGAAGTCAGGTTAAAATGAGACTCAGAATTGATTTTTGGTGACATTAGCACAAATCGTTTCTGGGGTAAAGGGTAGTGATGGGGAAATAAAAAGTTTGATTAGAGTGCTTGGATTTTTTGTGGGAGGTGAGAAAAAACAGGACACTATGAATATAGCACCCTTTTCTATAAGGGGCAAAGAGATCAGGGAATATCTGTCATTTTTTAAAGTGGAGAACTCTCACAGCCTGTTTGTATGCTGATGGGAATGATGAGAGAGGGGTGGAGAAGAGCTGTCCATACTAGAGAGAGAGAGGAGACAGTGTCCTGAAATAGGGTGCATCCATGGGTCTCTGGAGCTAGGACAGTCCTCCATTATAACAGGAGAAAGTCAGAGAATATGTACAGATTTAGGAGTGGTACAGTTTTTTCTAGGAAAAAACTAGAGCGTTTTCATTTTATCACTGTGCAGGGTATTGTTGCTGTGTTAAGGGATTAAAAAAAATACACATGTCATAGACAGCAGTTAAATATTCATTTCCTTGCCTCCTCCTACAGTTTAGAAGCTTTGGCCATTTTGTGTTCTGACAGCAAAAATAATTAGAATGGGGGAGGTATAAAAGCAGGTCTCAATCTGTTCTTTCATTTGTTCATTCCTTTATTCATTCCTTACTTTGTTTACCCAGCAAAAATACCTAGTAAAAATATTTCCTCAGCAAACATTTTTTTGAATGTCTATTATATGCCTAGCACAGTCTGGGTCCTGGAGGTACAGTAGTGAAGAAACCAAGTCTCTGCTATCATGAAGCTTATATTCAAATTTATTCCAGACAAATAAATATATTTTGGTTGGCGTTACGTGCTATAAGGGAGAATCAAGCAGGAGAAGGTGGTAGAAAGAGATGGTGGAAAAGAAGAATTTTATTTGTTTATGTTTGAGTAGGGACCTGAGTACAGTTAGGAGCCATTTGGCCCCCTTGTGGAGGGAACTTTTTAGACCCAGGACCTGTGTACAATCCCCCCGGGGGTCGAGGAGAGGGAGAGTGTATTTGGTGTGTTTGAGGAGACACCAGAGTGACTGAAGCTGGATGAGGGAGAGAGGAGAGTTCCAGAAGATGAAATCTAAGATGGAGCTTGAGGCCAGGCTCCAGAGAGCCTTCCAGAACCAAGTAAGACTCAGAAAGGTGGGAGAGACTGGGGGGCTTTGCGCAGAGGAGGGACAGGCTGTGACTTAAGTTCTAAACGTATCTCAGTGTGTGGGAACTGATCCTAAGCTTAACCTCTGGCTTTTGATTTCATTCTCATTTCTCAGTGGTTGAGGGAGATGATGTTACCCCGTGTGAATTATATTAACTGATTTCACATGCAAGATCGTAAATACTGAGTCCTTTTTCAGAGAGTGGACAAAATGGTACCTTTCTCTGAAGACATTAATTGAAAGAGTATTACTTTCCCCAGAGAACGTATTCCAGGTGTCTCTGGTTGTGTACACACACACACACACACACACACACGTGCTGTTGAATTAATATAGCTGATGTTTACTAAAGTTACAAATAACAAAAAATTGGAAATGATGAGGTAATAATATAAATAGAAATGCCAGTCTTTTTTTTTTTTTTTTTTTGCACTCTTTGCATACTCCCTGGGTTTGACCATGTCTCCTACTTAGGAGACTGGTCCAGAGCCCTGAGAAATTAGTTGCATTTATTACTTTTTGACTATTTTTTTTAAATTAAAAAAAGAGGTCAGAAATTGGTAAAAGTTCAAACTACACTAAAATGTTATATAATGAAAAGTAGGTTTTACTTCCCCCTTATGCCCCCCAGACTGTTCCCTAGAGCCAATTATTTTGAACAGTTTTGTATGTCCTCGAAATAGTCCCCGTATGTTCAAGAATATATATTTATATTTTTGTCCCCTTATACAAATCACAGCATATTAAAGAAACTGATCTGCACCTTTAAAATGTTCCTTTGAACATCTTTGCACATGTGTGTTTCAAAATTTAATTGCCCCCCAACTTGATTGCATCCGTTTGCATTCCCAGCAATGGTGGAACATGAATTGCCTGTAGTTTCTACAATTTAATACTGTGAGTTATAATTTTCTGGCTTTAATCTGTGCTAATCTGATAGTAATCTATTATTTTAATTTGCATTTTTCATGGGTACAAGCCATTGTATTTATTTTCCTAAATATTGATAATTTATAACCTTTGATTATCTAGTGAGTTGTTGGCCATTTCTTATTTTAAAGTATTTCAGTGTATAATAATTAAATATATAATTTTTTCATGTGTTTTGCAAATTTTTTTATGTGCTTTGCAAATATTTTTTCCCATCTCTTCATTTGTCGTTTGATTCTGTTTATGCTGTTCCTCCCCCTACTCCGTGCAAATATCTTAAACTGTATAGTCAGATTCATTGATTGATGGAGTCAGCGTCTCACTCCATCACCCAGGCTGGAGTGCAGTGGCACGATCTCTGGTCATTGCAACCTCTGCCTCCTGGGTTCAAGTGATTCTCCTGCCTCAGCCTCTCGAGTGGCTGGAATTACAGGTGCCCACCACCATGACTGGTTAATTTTTGTACTTCTAGTAGAGATGGGGTTTCACCATGTTGGCTGGGCTGGTCCTGAACTCCTGGCCTCAGGTGATCCACCCACCTTGGCCTCCCAAAGTGCTGGGATTACAGGGGTGAGCCACTGTGCCCAGCCAAACATTTTTATTTATTAACCTTGGAGTAAGAAATGTCTCCCTAAACCAATACAAAACCCCTTAGCCATAAAAGGCAATGAATTATAAATCTGACTATAAGGCAGGGCGCGGCTCACGCCTATAATCCCAGTACTTTGGGAGGCAGAGGCGGGTGAATCACCTGAGACCAGGAATGCAAAACCAGCCTGGCCAATATGGAGAAACCTTGTAGCTGGGAGTGGTGTCGCGTGCCTGTAATCCCACCTATTTGAGAGGCTGAGAACCGAGAATTGCTTGAACTGGGGAGGCGGAGGCTGCAGTGAGCCAAGATCGTGCCACTGCACTCCAGCCTGGGAAACACAGAAAGACCTTGTCTCAAAAAAAAAAAAAAAATTTTTTTTTTAAAGTCTCCTACTGCTTTTATGGTAGTTGAACTATTTTTATGGTCTTTAACTGGAAGTTATGATACATACCTTCTTGGGTTTGGGGGTCGTATTTCTACTTAAATAATTTTTGATCCAGTATACAGAATTATTGAACTCTTAATATAAATATTATTTCTTAATCATAGCTGTGCATCTGAATTATCCGAAGAGTGCTTAATTGTTTTCATTTCCACAAATATTCAGTCTCAGGCTTCCTAACCCCTATTCTGATTCTCCAACTCTAAAGGTTGGCTCCTTTGTATGCATTTAGCAAAAGCTTCAGATAGCTTATTTGAAGATATCTTCTCCAACCCTCAACCCCCACCTCCCTGCCCTTTCTCAAAAGGGAGATGTTAGGAATAGTTATTAGAATTTCTTGCGTGTGTGTGTGTGTGTGTGTGTGTGTGTGTGTGTGTGTGTGTGTATTTTAAGGGTTTATTTATAGAAAAATCATCACAGTATTGCTTTAAATATGACTTCATTAAGGTGTTTTACAGGTGGTTAATTAGTGTACTTGGTCAAATGGGAGGCAAAAGGACTAATGATTTGCAGCTCCAGCCCTAGGAATATTTACAGCCGGTAAATACACTTACTGATGTTTCCCGGAATCTTAGGGCAGAAACATCCCTGCACAAATGAATTGCTTAAGTAGTAAAGATGAGCCATAGCTTTGCTTAGTTAGCCATTTTGGTTTAGTAGAATGTAGATAATTGCCATGGAGGCAGGGGGAAACGTTTTGGGAGTGTATAAAGCATGAAGTTGTAAGTATTACTGCTATAGGTCTGATCTATGCAGGTCATCTCTTCTAGTCAGCTGGGCTTCAGAAAATTGCCATGTTGCTCTTGTGCTCTCAGTGTGGAGGTAGCCAGTAAGTCCTGCTGATGTTGGCCACATGTGGCCTTTAGGTAGATTGTTCCCTCCTGCAGACCTTTTACTCTTGATTTCTACCTGGGTCATGATCCAGGGAGAGAAGCTCTAGAACTGGGAATTGGGGGACTGGTCCCACTTGATGATTTGGCTTTGAGTTCTTTTTTTTTTTTTTTTTTTTTTTTTTTTTTTGAGACAGAGTCTCATTCTGTCGCCCAGGCTGGAGTGCAGTGGTACGATCTCGGCTCACTGTAACCTCGGCTTCCTTGGTTCAAGCAATTCTCCTGCTACAGCCTTCCTTCCGAGTAGCTGGGATGACAGGCGCCCGCCACCTCGCCTGGGTAATTTTTGTATTTTTAAAGTAGAGATGGGGTTTCACCATGTTGGCCAGGCTGGTCTTGAACCCCTGACCTCAGACGATCCACCCGCCTCAGCCTCCCAAAGTGTTGAGATTACAGGCGTGAGCCACTGTGCCCGGCCTGGCTCTGAGTTCTTTTATGACCCTTGGGCAACAGCTACTGGCTCTGAGCCTTAGTTGCTTCTTGGTTATGTTGTCTGACTATCTTTACTGTTCCAAAACAGTTGTAATTTCCCCCATTTCTATTTATTGCTCTGGAAACACATGTCGTTTATCTACACTTTTGCTGTTTTGTTCTGTGGTGTGTGAGCGCATGTTTCCCCTGCCAGCCTGGAACCCCTGAGGGCATGGATGCCATCTTATTTGTTTTTATCTCCCCAGCGCCTAGCACTGAGCCCTCTTACAGGAAATGCTCAGTCAATATTTGTTGAATTGGATTCTCTTTTAGTAGGGTTACAGAGGAAAAAAGAGCCTTAAAACTGTCTCCATGGGGTCCACATCTTTTGTCTTTTCTTCCATGTAGAGATCGTTGGCAAAAACATTGATGGGAATTATCTATCTTGCATTTATGTGACATTTTTAATTCTTTAACAGTATTGTCATCTGTATAATCAGTTATATTGCACCTGGTTTCCCCAGTTTGGTAGAGCATGCCTATTGAGTTTTAAAGAATAAAGATGACTTATTCAGAAGGGTCATGCTCTCAGAATAACAAACTGTCATGGCATCCTGTTTGCAAAAATCTGCATTAGGCAGATTTTTGTCTGATGATTTCTTTGTTATCCACATGACTTTCAGGGCTAAAATGAAATGCTACTTTTTTCTTTAAGTCATTATTCAAAAGTAAGAGAGAAGCGTTTATTATAACATATAGCTTAGGTGTGACCTTGGGAAAGTTGTTTAAACCAAGTTAATGATTTAATTTGCGGGGTGGGGGTGGGGGAGAAGATAAAGAAAAAGGAAAAAAAAGCCAGCCCAGGAGTTGGGAGTGTAATTAGATATTATGAGCTCAGGCATGAATTTGGCCCCTTTATCTCTGTTGAAATTTGTGTAAGAACATGAAGTGCGGCCCATTCTGACACTTTAATCATAGGTCATTCATAGCCATAATTGTTGTTGAAAAGAACAGTGGTTGGATTTATTTTTACCTGGAAGTTGCCCGTTAAACACAACATGTTATTAAAATTTATTTTTCCAAAAAGTATACTTTTCAGTATACATTTAACAGATTGAAGCTATACATGTTTACCATGAAAGTCTGTTTCACCTGAATGAATTCCGGTGTTGCTGTGTTAGATAGCTATAGCATGGTTGTGGTTTTTGTAGAGCCTCTACTAAGTTTTATATTTCTTACCATTCACAATTTTTGCCAGAAAAGTGGTAGAAAAAAGAAACTTCATAATCAGAAAGGTGATAGAGAAACCTCATAGTCAGATATATTATAAAAGAAGATGATGACACCTATTAACAAGAAATCTAACATCTTTTGTGGTGAGCTTCTAATACAGTATCAACAAAGCCTAGGAAGAGTTTCCTTTTTGAGACACCCCGCTTGCCCCCAAATACATTCGCTCAGATAAATTACTTACTGAGAAGGCTATTTCTTTTCTAAAATAAAAAATACAATGAATAATTTGTAATCTCTATACAGTGCCTGGCATCTAGCTGCCCAAGGAACATTTGTTGAATTCAGTAGCACCTTAAATTATGTTTAAGTACTTCCAAAGCCATACTCCTGTTGGTTGTTTTGTTATTGTTGTTGTTGTTGTTTTGACAGACTTCAACGATCATAAGAGAGTATGTCATTGCTCTGGCTCACAGGTGAAGAAACTGAGGTTTAGAATGAATGCCTGTGCTTTTAGTCTAGCAAATGTTTATTGAGTATGCATTGTAATGAAGAAGAAGCACAGCTCTTGCCCTTGAATTTGCCACTGGGTCAGTTCTCATCTCCTAGGTAGGTTAGGATTTTACTGGGCATGTATGGACTCTCTCTCCAGGAAAAGGAAGAGAGAAAGTACACAAACGCAGAAACCTTTGCTTCTGTAATTACAAGGTTTCTGAGGCCCCACAAATCTTTGAACCCCAGATTAAGAATCTTTGATCCCCACATAAAGAATCTTTGATTTAACCATTGCTTGTCAACAAGCCCTTGAATTAAGTAACTGACTTAGGGGGCAAATAGCTTAACTACTGAGAAGCAATAGGAACCCCATGCTTCTTTTTCCTCTCCTAATGTTTTTCCCACCACCCCATGCTGATTTTGAAGTGGTGAACAACAAATGAAGTAACAGGAAAACACTTTGTAAATATAGTGTTCTACAGATATGAATGCAAACAAATCTGTAAGTGGCAGGGAAACCCAGGCCACACATTTCGCAGTGTGGCTTATGTTCATACATTAGGGAGCCTGCTGGAACCCCACTAAACTGTTAGTTGCCAGCTGTTTGGTTTAGTCTGATCATTTACAAAAATATAGCAATCCTCACTGGTGTGTGTGTTAAATACAGACATCACTGAAACGAACGCTGTGCCTGTGACATACATTTTTGCAAGTGCTTTCTATGTATGGGTTGTCAGAGCTAGTTTAATTCTAATTGCAGAAATATCAGTGGGATTTATATCTGTCTTCTTCAAATAGTTGGAAAGAAAAAATGTAAGCACTTGGCACACATTTTGATTTTTGTTCTACATTGAAAAGAACCATGTTAATTTCAAGAAACTCATTAATGTGCAGGTCCGTACTAGTAGTTTCTCTTAGTTACATATTGGTGGAAGGCAGAAGTATTAAAAATGGCATATATGTAATGAGATTTTACAAAATTTCTGATTTTGAGGGTAGAGAAAAAGCCAGTGGATTTCCTATTGTGCATGTTAATTTAAAAATAATTTAATAATGACTCCATTTGTTTCATTCCAGCATTAAAAAGGGACATGGAGAAGGCTTGCCTGTCTTTATTCACCAAATAGCGGTTTTGCAGACCCTTACAAGTTCCCATATGCTAGTGAAAAACATTTTCCAAGAAATTGGCAGCATTGCACTTTGTAGCTGATGCCAGCTTCTTCCTTGGGCCAATTCAACAGAGAAGAGAGGAAAAAAAAATGCCTTGTTTTAGTGGCTGAATTACTCTGACAAGCTTTCACATCGCCCCTCCTCTTATTAATATTCTTTTTGATGTGAGCTTGTAAAACAGAGGATTGGCTGTTAATCTCCAAGATCTCAAGGGCTTTTGGCAGTGGCCCATAATTGATGTGTTCACATGGCTGTTGTCTGACTACTAATGATTAGACAGCAGTGTTATCTACCAGCTAAATCAGTGTTGCTTATAAATCACACTTGATAAACTGCAGTTTCATTTCTTCAAAGAGTTCGTACAATTCTGCATACTTTGATGGAAGTGCCAGAGGCATTTCATGATTCTTTGACAGCTTAGATTAGGTTTATTTTTCATTTCTGTTTGACAAAATATTAGACTTTTTAACGCATGTGAAAGAGAATTTTTTTGTTCCCCTAACAAGGCATTTAAAGAGTGCTAAGCAGAGAAAGATGACCTGCTTTCAGTGGGAAGATGTACAAGTTGGGATGGCAGGTCCCAGTTTTGCTTTTGCTACCTACTCCAAGGTAAATGGAATGGGGCCATGGCATCTGGTGCCATGCCACTTTGAAAGAAGAAGAGAAGAGGCCACCAGCAAGGAAGTTTGCAGAATGTGGGCCTGTGCTCAGATTGTGACAGGGTGGAGTAGTGAGAGAGCACCAATTGCTCAGCCATGTTATGTGTTGAGCCCCTGCGTCAAGGTGTGATTCTGCTTTATAGACAGGCAAGAGAAAGCAAAAAGGATTTATAAGAGGAAAAGGTGCCAGCCATAGGATTCATTTTCCTCCTTCGCTGCCCCTATAGGGACACTTGCCTGGCCACAGACACACCCAGAGTCCCCCATCTGTCCAGAACTCTGTGTACTGCAGAGATGAAACCAGGTTGCATGTCGCATGCACATGGTGGGCTTTGAGAACTTCTGCTAAGTTTTGGGTCTTTATTGGCTACAAACTCCTGTGGTCTTGAGTTAACTTTCCTCATTTATAAAACTAAAACAACAACAAAAAAGGACTAAATGATATCTAAGCTCATTTTATTGCTCTTTATTTTGCATGTCCTTGGACTGTATTGTTTCAGAGCCTCAAAAAAGCCTTTTTGCTAACATTAGTTAATCTTTGCTTAATTTTTGAGATCAAATATTAGATTGCAAAGAAATGGTTAAATCAGAATGGTTTGTGATTTTTAAAAAATGAATTTATTTATTTATTTATTTAAGGTGGAGTCTCGCTCTGTCGCCCAGGCTGGAGTGCAGTGGCGCAATCTTGGCTCACTGCAATTTCCGCCTCTTGGGTTCAAGCAATTCTCCTGCCTCAGCCTCCCCAGTAGCTGGGATTACAGGTGCTTGCCACCATGCCTGGCTAATTTTTTTTTTTAATTTTTAGTAGAGACAGGGTTTCTCTATGTTGGCCAGGTGGGTCTCGAACTCCCGACCTCAGGTGATTCGCCCACCTAGGCCTCCCAAAATGCTGGGGTTACAGGCATGAGCCATTGCTCCTGGCCAGCAAAAATGAATTTTAAAAATCACATTTCTTTTAAGAGAAGTTTATATAATTTTAAAATGTGTCAGAGGGTAAATATTTAATCAAAATTTACTTTATTTTGAGATGGAGTTTTGCTGTTGTCGCCCAGACTGGAGTGCAATGGTGTCATCTTGGCTCACTGCAACCTCCGTCTCCCAGGTTCAAGTGATTCTCCTGCCTCAGCCTCCTGAGTAGCTGGGATTATAGGCATGCACCACCATGGCCCGGCTAATTTTGTATTTTTGTAGAGACGGGGTTTCTCCAGGTTGGTCAAGCTGGTCTCCAACTCCCGACCTCAGGTGATTCGCCTGCCTCGGCCTCCCAAACTGCTGGAATTACAGGCGTGAGCCACCATGCCCGGCCAAAATGTACAACTTTTACTCAGAATAAAATTATGTTCTGTGACCAAGATTGGGAGTGGGGCTAATAATAACTTATTAAAGTTTAAAGAGTTATTAGAGCTCTAGAATGCAAGAATGCAGGAGAATGCACTTAACACTAAAGCTACCTGAAAAAATTTCACCTATCCTACCCTACCCCACTCCACCAAAACAAAAGTCATGTAAGATTTAACTGAGTACTTCCTTTTATATCCAGTACTTTTAGACCTTAAATCTAGGTGGCAAGTTTATTTCCCAACTTCCTAAGAGTGGCTTTGACATGAGCACTACTTTTTCCTAGTATATTTTAGGGCTGTAATTAAAATAAGCACTATAGTCAGGGAATAAATGTTTATTGATAAGTATTAACATTGATGAACAAAGGTGCTTAACTAAGCTGCTTATTTAAATGACTTGTGGTTGAAGGAAATCCCCTCTTTTTTTTTTTATTAAATGAAACAATTTAAATTTAAGTTGTTTTGGTTATGGTTATTAGATTTTAATGTGCTATGGAAAAATACCCATGATTAACTTAGAGAAGATAGCCATTCAGTGATTTAAATAGATGCTTCATTTAGTTTTGATACGTAAAGCAACTATATTAGAGTTTCTTTCTTTTCTTTTTTTTTTTTTTTTTTTTTGAGACGGATTCTCGCTCTGTCGCCCAGGCTGGAGTGCAGTGGCGCGATCTCGGCTCACTGCCAGCTCCGCCTCCCGGGTTCAGGCCATTCTCCTGCCTCAGCCTCCCCAGTAGCTGGGACTACAGGTGCCCGCCACCACGCCCGGCTAATTTTTTGTATTTTTAGTAGAGACAGGGTTTCACCGTGTTAGCCAGGATGGTCTCCATCTCCTGACCTCGTGATCCGCCCGCCTCGGCCTCCCAAGGTGCTGGGATTACAGGCGTGAGCCACCGCGCCCGGCCTATATTAGAGTAATGCAGCTATAAAATATGAGAAAAATGCATTAAAAGTTATGGAGTATGGTTTTCATTACGTAAGATATGTATGCATAAGTAAGGGCTGGTTGGTAATATTAAAAATAAAAATAATGATAACATTTGAAAAGATTTTTTACACCACTTAAAAATAATATTTTCTGTTTAAAAGCAGTATACGTACATGTATCTATGAGCTTTATGAAGTGTGTATATTACCATTATGGCAAAAAATAAGCATGCATTTTTTAATTTTAGAAGATAATAGTTTTTCTTGACTGATTTAAATCATGATTCAAATCAACTTGATTTAAATGTAGTCTAGATAATGCTAAAACTATATTGCAGGTGTTTGTCAACTAGCTAGAAATTATTTTAATGGTTAAGGGAGTGCATAATAGAAATAATTATTTTGCTGCAGATATGGCAAGCTCTGTCACCCGTGGGGTGCTTGTACTTGGATATTAGACACATTTGTAAAAATAAATAATAAATATTCTGGAAACGTGATGCCAAGAGAGCGTGATCCTGTTTACCACCCCTGCTATCCTTCATTTCTTTGTGGCATCATTTTTTTTTGTGTGTTAAAGAGTAAATGAGCTGACTTGGTAACTGTGCAAGAATAAATGGTTAATAACATTTATTTTTATTTACATTTGGGCATTCTTTTGAGACCATTTTCATAGAGGTTGTTTCATTTAATTCTTGAAGTACCCCTATAAAATAGCTGAGGAAGCATTTTCATAGAGTCCATTTCATTTGATTCTTGAAGTACCCCTATGAAATAGCTGAAGCAAGCATTCTTAATTCTTATGGATGTTAACACTAGAAGCAGAAGATCCTGATCTCATTCTTAGGCTGGGATTTCTCCTAGGATGTCAGCTTTTAGAAGAAGAAAAATCACTGTTACCTCCAAATAAAATCTTACTATGTAGTTGGTTCTAAAGAACCTTAAATATTCAATTATAAATTCATCCCCAGGTATTTTGAAGTGTTTCATTTAATTTGAAAACTGTCATCTGGTTTTCAGAGACTACAGCAGTATGTTTTTAATGTGTTGGTTTAGCCATGTGACAAATTAAGCAAGCCCTATGAACATGTGTTACTGAGATTGGTATTGGCAAGGACAATAATAACTAACATTTGTTGAGCACTTATATGATAGAGATACTACGACGGGCTTTATGTAGGATCTCTTGTTTGATATGTCTATTACATTAAATACAATTAGGTAATACTATAATCTCCACTTTATAGGTGAGGAAATTGAGGCTTAGAAAGGTTAAGTAAATTTTCAAGATTATACTAGTAAGTAAATGATCTGAGATTGAAGCACAGAGACCACACTCCTATTTATTACACTATATTACCCAGTTCAAAAGCATTAGTGAGACATGTGATGTGTGACATTGACCTGTCATCCTCTGTGAGAAGTAGCTTCTGGGACTGATGGTCTTAGTTGTGCATCCATGACTAGACTTCTGGATGAAAGAACTCCAAGTTTCTAGGAGGGCTTGTTTCATTTCTAGTCCTCAACAGAATGTGTTTGAGAACTTGATTTTTTCATGTAATTCATTCACTTATGGGGCAATTAAGATAAAATATCCTGGTTTTCAAACTGAAAATGTTACCAAAAACACATTGCAATTACATAGGATGGTTGTTTCTTCTTTTGGGAATAGAGACGTATCATAGATTGACAATGTTGTTTTTTTTAAAAAAGTTTACTTCTTTGTCAGCTCCGTGAAGGGAGGGATCTTGTCTGTCTTGGTTGTCATTAGCACCCAGCACAATGGCTGGTATAATAAAAAGATGTTCAATAAATATTTAATGTTTTATGTTATGACTGCTTAAGTTAGAACTGGAATGTGGCTCCTCATATCTCTTTTGGTTTATGACTCCTAGGTTTTTTTAAGAGAGTTAGGTAGTAGTAGGTACATTTATTATTATTTTTCATTCAGAGATGGATCTATATGTTTACTTTTAAAATCTCCTACACTTCTGTCCACTCCCTACTTCCTTTTTCACTTCCTTCCTGCCCTGTTCCAACATACTGTTAACTTCCCCTCCCCCTCTCCACCAACAGATATTAACGTCCAAGAGTGAACCTAAATGAGCTCTTGAATTCAGTAGAGCAAGGATTGGCAAATTTTTTCTGTAAATGGCTGATAGTAAATACTTTAGGCTTTGCAGGCCAAGAGGCAACATCACGGATATTATGTAGGCACTTGGATAACAAGAGAGAAAACAAATTTCCACAGAATTTTTTAATTGACAAAATTTAAAATCCAATGACAATTATTGAGCACAATTTTTGGTAATACAGATCTACTGATGAGAAGTATGAAATTCTTTTTGTGGGAGAGAATAACATTCCACTTAATAAGTGTTCAAAGTTAATGTTTGCTGTCATTACATTGACTGCAAAAATTCATCTGTAGAAAACATTCTTAGCTTTCAGGCCTTAGGAAAACAGACAGTGGGCCAGATTTGGACCGTGGGCCATCATTTGGTGACCTTTTAACTAGACTGTGGACTGAGAAATCCCTAAGCAGGGTTACTTGCCCTGGATATTCCTTCTCATAAAGGCTCATTGCTCTAAGACTGGAAAGGGAAGATGTTCAAATGGGATTTGTAGGGTGGAACCACCTTAGGGAACTAGTGAACATAAAGATAGAAGAGTAGTAAGAGAGAAGGGAAGGAGAGAGAGTTTCTCTCTGTTCAGGGACCAGTGGTGATTAAGGGGCATGTGCCTTGGACGTCATGCTGGGAAGGCCCGAATCAGGTGGTGGGTGGGGATAGAGGTTTGAAAAAGCTTATTTAGGATCCCCATTACTTTTGTTATTTAGCTTCCTGAAATGAAGGGCTCATTATCTTGGCCATCAGTGACATACAAAGATTAAGGGACATGGCATTTGGGATGGGATCTGGTTTCTCAAAGATCATGAGTCATCTAATGGAAAAATAGGTGACTTGCAGCATGGTGTGGAGTCATTTTTTCACCTAAATTGAAACAAAAGGTTCCAGGTTGGTGTAGGGGCAACACTGTGAGGCTGCCAGTGGCTGTTAGGGTAAAATTAAGGGAATTATTAGGAATCTACAGGTTTTAAAAAGCCAGCCGCTTTGTTCTTCTGGTAGCTGGAGGGAAAGCAGGGACCCTGGGCCAACTCCACAGGGTGGGTGGGCACTGTCTCCTCGTGGCTTCTCCATTGGTGTCATTGGACACCAGACTGCCCAGACCTTGGTACTCTTAGAGCCCCACTCCATAGATTAGTCACCCCACTTTCCAGGTTTGCCAGTCCCTCTCCAGCCACTCTGCTCCTTCTCACTCTTTGTGCCCCATCACTATTGGGGTCTACAGGGTTTTGGCCCTTCTCTTTACATTCTTTGCATTTTCCCTGAGCCAACTCAGCCACTCCACTGGCTTCATTACTTTCTTTCTGCCAGGGGTCACAGAGATGATCTAGAATGATCTAATTCTGTCCATTCGCCTGATAGACGTTGCCCAACAGGCGATCCTCTGCCCATCCTCCCCATCCCAGGCCATGACACTGTCACCAACTGAAACAGACCGCTGGGGCACATCTTGAGTTTGTCCTCTTCTGCCACCTTCCCGAGTCTGATCTCTCCTCCCTATCCCCCCACCCCACCACGGGTGCCAGGTCTTCTTGGAGTACTGCAATGGCTTCTTTTTTTATGTTTTGTGATGGAGTCTGGCTTTGTTGCCCGGGCTGGAGTGCAATGGTGCGATCTCAGCTCACTGCAACCTCTGCCTCCTGGGTTCAAGTGATTCTCCTGCCTCAGCCTCCCGAGTACCTGGGATTATAGGCACACACCTACACCCGGCTAATTGGTAATGGTTTCTTGTCTTCCTTCCTCCAGTCTTGCCCTGTCTCATCTGTTTTCCCATGGCTTCCAGTGTGCTTTTTACCACATTAACAATCGAATCCTTCCGTGCCCCTACTTTAAAATCCTCAGTGCCCACTTCCAACTTCATAATAACCCCCCAGATTCTTAGCCTGGCCTGGGCTCTTGTGAATTCTCTGATATTCCAGCCTCAGCTCTCCCTGTCCCTGCCCCACCCCCTTGGTGCTCCCACAATGCCCTGGGCTTAACTGACCACCTTCAGCTCTGACCACATTTGGCTCTGCGGCCACTGCTCATCTCCCCACCTTTGGCACATTGTGGCACCTGGCAAAAACTTGTTGGATGAAGGAATGACTTCCCCAACAGTGAGGCGGCTTAAACGGCAACCCATCTAAAGGGGAGGGCCTGGGGTTAATACATGATTCCTGTCACACAAACTAGGTCCTTATGCCACCTTGGACTCACTTGTGGATTTCAGGACCTCTGCATGAGGAGTTGAAATAATAGTCTTCAAGCATCTACCCTCTCCTCTCTGCTTTACTTTTACTCTAAAGTGGAATGCCTTAGCATCTTTTCATTAAAAAGTTAGTTTAAAAAATGGTAAAATAGTATATGGTCATGTCAAAATTTAAGCAGCATAGAAGGCTATAAAATGAAAAGTTATTCCTTCTTCCTCTGTATGTTTCTATATGTATAAAATTTCTGAAAGAACACACAAGAAACTGTTAGAAGAGAGGTTCTCTCTGGAGAGTGATCTGTTGACTTTTATTAATAAAATCTGCTGTGTTCTCAAGGTGGGGAAACCGAATTCTGGACCTGTGAGCAAGCAGCTTTTTTTTGTGTAGGCCTCTGTGAGAAGAAACTTTTAAAAGTGGTTTATGGTTTAGAACTTGGTAGGGGGCATGATAGACCTCATTGGGACAGGCTGTGGCCTCTTGTTTTTGCTCCTGACCCTGAGAAGTAACTTATCTCTTAAGACTAAGTTTCTTCAGTTTACACAATCAGATGAGAAAACCCACCCTTGCCTTTCTCTAGAGCTGTAGTAAAAATGAATGTTTCTTTAAAGAGTCCTTGACAATAGATATGTAGCTAAGTATTACATATGGATGGAAATACCATATACATGCATGTATAGAGATGGTGTATGGGGAAGCTTTGTCATGTTCTCTCTAACCATTCCATCTCTGTGATAAAGTATGGAGAGCTTTACCCAGTTGCTTAACTGTGATTCAGAATGAAATCACATTTTCAAAACTTTGCTTAATTTATTAAAATTGATCAGTGTTTTGGATCAACATTTGGGAGGTATGGAAAGAAGAGGCAGGAGACATACATAAGAAGCTTCTTGGACATATGTTGAATATATGTGAGCAATATTCAGATTTTGCAGGGAGGAAAGTGAGTGGTACCAAGATAGTGTCCTGTACAGGGAGTCAAAATTGTCTTCTTCTGTAGCCGACCCACGATGCTTTGGGTGCTTCTGTGGCCTTCCCTTTACATGGATCTCAGCTCACCGCATAGCTTTATACACCACATAGCTCCCATACAGTGTGACTCAGGCACTTCCTTGTCATTTAATTTGTTATGACCAGCATGTTTTGAGTTTGTAATTCAAATGTGTAAAATTTTAGTTGAAAATACTCCTTTTAGGTGGTTGCAAGTGAGATTCCCTAAAAGAAGGTAAGAAAAATGACTGATGTTAAGCTGAGAGAAATCGGAATACGGTGGTTTCCAAAATGGGCTTTTCTTTCCTTTCTTCCTGCCTTTCTTTCTTCTTAAAATCATGTCTGCATCCAGAAGCATAAGGATGAGAGACTTCTAACCTTTCCCTGATTTCAACCTAATTTCAAGGAGAAATAAGGGTCACACAAGGACAATGTATTTATCAATGACCAATATCAACTAAGATACATGCATTATTCATGTGTTTTGAAATTGATTTATTGGCTAATGTAGGCGCAACCATGTTTAGCAACATCCAGAATTTACCACTGAACTTTCTTTTTAAAAACTTTCACTTTTAAGGGATTGGGAACAAGATCTAATTGATAGAAATGGAATTTGCATGGAACTTTTCAGGAATTCAGCTTTGTACAAAGGGCCTTGTGCAAAGGATTAATCCAAGAACACAGGCTTTTTTAGTGCCTTTACGATGGTCTCCTTTCTTTGTGGCTTATTTTTGTGCTTTAAGTGTCTTTGGAAATGGGATGAGAGGAAATCAGAGAACTCTTATGAACAAGATATGAAAACACTGATCATTTACTGCCACTATTTAAAGCACACACAGCTCTCTGAGCAGTGAAAGATGTCAGCGGCACTTTTGAAACAGATTAAGTATCTGTGGCTCAGCAGTAGGACAGGTTTTCAAAGAACACAACTGAGGCTAAGTATGTGACAACTGATGTGGTGTGGTAGAAAAGAGTCCCTGTGTCTGCTCCGCCTCCACCAATATCGCTTAGCTATGGAACTCTACACAGTTCAAGGCCTTTGAGGGAGGAATTTAATTTGGCTTCATAACAAAAGAAATTTAAGACATTGAGTAGAGTAGTTTAATTATATTCCATCTTTACATACTCAGTACCTTCTGTTTTGCTTTGAAAACTGTCATGGCTAGAGAATGAAGTTAAAAATAGTCACTGCTGTTTAAAGCGTATTTTACACATGTAGCTGTGTACATTCTCTTGCTTTGTGACCTGCATATAGGGATCCTTCTGGCAGTCAGACACGAAGAGTCAGTGACCCCCTTTCCTCTCCACCCCAAAGCAGTACCATGCAGAACCCAGATTTTTTTTTTTTTTTTTTTTTTTTTTTTGAGACAGAGTCTCTCTCTGTTGCCCAGGCTGGAGGGCAATGGTGCAGTCTCGGCCCACTGCAATCTCCGCCTCCTGGGTTCAAGCAATTCTCCTGCCTCAGCCTCCCGAGTAGCTGGGATTACAGGAGCCGCTACCACGCCCAGCTAATTTTTGTATTTTTAGTAGAGACTGGGTTTTTCCATGTTGGTCAGGCTGGTCTTGAACTCCTGACCACAGGTGATCTACCCGCCTTGGCCTCCCAAAGTGCTGGGATTACAGGCGTGAGCCACTGCACCGGGCCTTGGATTTTTGGCATTCTGGAATTTTGGCATGGTGGGGGTTCTGGCTGGAGGTGGAAGCATCCGTCTTGGCCCCACTGGCCTTGGGGCCAGAGCCCTGGTCCATCCCCAGGCCAAGTCCTACCAGATCAGCTGCTAAGCCTGAACAGCACTTGAGGGCAGGGTTGGTCTTCATACCTGATAATGAGAAAGTGGAAATGGCAATATAATTCCCAGTCTGTGCATAACGGTAGTTTTAGAATTGGATGATTTAAAACAACAACAATAAAACAAAAGCTGAGCTTTGGTTTCAGTAAGGTTTTAAAGTGAGGTTTCTGAAGGGATTGTATTATTTGCTTGCAAGCCTGAGATTCACTATTCTGAACTATGGGTAATAAAGGGTGATTCAGGTATATTGCTTCCAACATACAGAAAAGGGCCAGAAATTACCCATGGAGAAAGATTTCTTTCCATCTCATCTTCTATTTTACATTTAGAAGGGTTTGCGTTTGATGTTAGACCAATGTGGGGTCAAATTCTGGCTCAGCCACCGACCCTGAGTGACCTTTTAAGTTACTTAACTTTTCCCACGTTTCCTTTTCCTCATCTGTAAAATACTTCCCTTAACAATTTTGTAAAGATCAAAAGAGAGAATGCACAGTATAATCCCTCCTACACTATATGTGGTAAGACAGTTATAATTCCTCTATGTTGTATGTGTTAAAAAGTAGCTGCTGATGTTACTATTTTTATGAGAAAGCCCATGGACTTTAAGATCAGAGAGCTTTGGTCTTGAATTTCAGCTCCTTAGATAAAGTGGCCCATCCTCTGAGATCTTCAGTTTCTGCTTCTATAAAACAGGAATGTTGTGAGAATTAAAGGAGGCGGAAAAAGTCTGGTACCTTAGACCCTTTGTGAGAATTTGCCCATGTTGTTTTCTCAGCAAGCTGCAAAGCGTAAATTGCTTTGATCATGGTTCTGAAAGGAAGAGTTGTCTCCATCACATTTACGAAAAGGCAGAATTAGAAGTGACCAAAATTCAGTTGTTACAGGTTTGTCCTTTAGGGATGGAAATTCAGCCTCAATGATTAGTTCTGGAGAAAAGATCAGTGCCTAATTTAAGGAAATGGTTTTTAAAGCTTCCCCTGCTTTGCTAAAGAAGCAGTGACGTCAGGCAGAAAAAGGGTGGTTAAAATGCAAAGTAAGAGACTGCAGCAGTGGTCGCCTCTAAAGAGCTGTGATTTCCCCTACGTAGTAGTGGAGTCTCTTTCTAATGCTTTTTAAATGAAGAGGTGACTATGGGCAATCTCATAAAACAGCCCAATACCAGGATATGGAGAAAACGTGAACATTAAGTAATCGTGCCCCAGCATTCTCATAGACTATAACAATATTGGCTCTGAGCAAAGTAAAACACCATTCCCCCTCTGGTTGTTGGTGATCCCGGGATTGAGGGGTTAATAGCAGGATCGGTGTGGATATTTTTGGCAATAGACGTGAGAAAGCTGTGGCAAGCTTCCCTGTCAGGGTTTAGACCTGATCCCAGGTAAAGGAGGGAATCTCTCTGCCTTCTGGAGGCTTGCTTCTCGGCAGTCCTGGGTTTCGCCTTCTCCTTCTACCTGGCAGCAGAGCCACCTGAATGTCTCTTTGTTGGGTCTGGGTGGAGCAGGAGTGCTCGAGGGAGCACTCTCCAGCCCTACCCTGGCCACCTATCCTCACTGGCTGTCGGTTTCCTGGTACTGAAAGCATCACTGACCAACACAGTGAAATGCCCCAGTGATGAAAAGCTGTCCCCACCAACACTCCAGCTTTGGATCCTTCCTTGCCCATCAGCACTCAGGAAGCCCTTGAAAGAAGGTGAACGGAGAAAATATTGCCAGGGTTTCCCTGCAGATTGCCCGCCCCCAACCCAGCCCTCTGATTACACACACTAAGTGCCGCTCTCTGTGTAAATAACCTTTTCTTCCCTGCCTCCCTTCAGCCTCCCTGCTCCCCCTCCCATGCTCTTAGGCTCTCTCGCGTGATAAATAGCCAGGCTACTGCTCAGCATGCACTAACACCTGGGAATAATCATGCAAAAATAACAGTGAGAGACTGCCGCGCGTCTGTTCTTGACATTAACTTTCCTCGGTTTGACAGGCTGCCACCACCAGCTGTTAGACTTATGGGTCTTTTTTTTCCAGTGGAGATGGCTGCTTTCCTGCTTTCCTCTTTTTTTGGGTTCTAATAGGTTACATCAGTGTCCTATCAAGATGACAGAAAAGAGCTTTGACAAAGAAACCATTGCTAAAACAGGCCAGTTCTCTATTCTGATATTTTATTCCAGTTGTTAGTATTATTAGACTAATAATCCCCCACTGATTTTTAAATGAGGAATATCTGATTAGAACTATATTAGTGTTTCTCCCCTCAGAAAGGGATTTGTTGTTGCCTCTTGTGAATTGCCTTTGAATGTAGCAAATACTAGCATTTGGTCCCATAGGGCCAAACCACCTATCGATTTCAGGTCTCAGATATATTTGTAATAATGATACTAATATTGACAATAGCAATAGCCCCTGTTTATTGAGTGCTACCTTCTACCAGGCCCTGAGCTAAAGTTATTTGTATGATCTTCTGTAGTAGTCACATGAGCCAGATGTTATTTCCGTTTTACAGATGAAGGCACTGATTCCCCAGAGCGATCAAACTACTTGCTTAAGGTTTTGTAGCTAACAGTAGAGCTGGATTCCAACCCCCAGTGAAGACAGATCCCTGCCCCACCCTGTCTTCCATTAACACGCTACTTTTTGCTCTCAGGCCACCATGAAAGTTCCTTTGGTTGTAGTTCTACAATTATCCTTGTAATTTTGCTATATTTGTATGATTATCTGACCAGTGTCACAGTCTTGCCCACTACACAGTCAGTCCAGAAGGGCAGGGACCTGGTCTGTTTGGGCCACTCTTGTTCTAGCAGGTTGCACGGTGCCTGGCAAATGGCAGGTGTGTAGTAATTATTGGGTGGATGTGTGATAAGAGTTGAGGTGAGCTGACTGTTAGGGCAGCAGTGCATGAGAAAAAGCTGCAACTAGAGATTAGGAGGAGGAGATTCTGTAGTAGTACGGGACTCATCAGGGCCTTCATGGTGATCCCATCATTGCCATAAAATTGTAAAATGGAGGTGGGTTAAGCCAGTTGACTGCTGCCAGATGTCAGTGTATGAAAGAAGCAGTATTTCCCCAGGCTGAGCTTCTCAAGGTTAAGCCCCCTTTCTTGTATTTTTAACATACTTTAATTGCACTTAACCATGCATTTGGAGGGGATTATAGATTTATGTTAAATATAGTAGGATATAAAAAGGAGCTTTGGAAGGTTGGGTGCAGGGTTAGGGAACTATAATATCAGACCAGGGACTTTTAAGCCAGTGTTTACTGACCTAAGCACTATGCTGAGCATTCACTTTGCACGGATTATCTCACTGAGTCTTCACTGCAACGCTTGTGGGGGTAATTGTTATTATTACTCCCATTTCTTAGAACTAGACACTGAGTCTTAGAGAAGAGAAGCGCGGTAACTTGCTCAGGGTTCCACACAGCAAGTACTGACAGGGTCAGCATTTGAACCCAATTCTGTCTGCTAACAGAACCAGAGGTTCAAGTCCTGGTATGCTGCCTCCTCACTGGAGGGAGTCCTTGTGGAAACTGTTGCCACCCTCTGCCTTAATGACCTTCATTGGCTGAAGAAATTATGGTTCAGTGTATGGATCACTGACCTGAGAAACCAGGGTGCAGTGGAGTTGATCTTTTGTATAAGGCAAAAATAACTACTGAAAATGCTTTAAAATCCTCCTTTACATATGATACATGTGACTTCACGTTTGACACTGAGATACACAAGAGAACTGAAACCTTTTGGGGGGAAATTCTTACCTAGCAGAAAGAATTGGCCACACTCTTTGAATTACTTCCCTTCCACCCTTCTTCTGTTTCCCAGTGTATGTTGAACTCCTGTCAATTTTCTGCTTGTGGGATGCCATCGTTTTATGTGTACCTAGGCTGCCACTAGAGACAGCTTATTACACTTGTACAAATATGGGCCACAGTTTTCTCTCGACTGAGTAGGTTGGGCTAGGCGACATTCTGTGATTGTTTCAGGCAGAGGGTGGAAGCACAAACTCCAGCATTCTCTGGTTGGGCAAGTCACGTGGCAAGGCTGCAGTGAAGCTCAGTTCTGTCAGTTGATGCCATGAGGAATGTGGGCCCAGGAGAGCACATAATCCAATAATTATTTTACGAAATAGGAGAAATTTAAATTCTTTCCTAATTTATTAAAGTGTTGCTAAAAAAAACTGGAATGTTTTAAAAAGTAACATACCTGCCAAATAAAAACACCTCTGGGAGTGGCTGTAATCCCCACCTGCAAATCCTGTTCTTGCTGGCGACCTCTAAGGAAGAGGGGCCTATGGTAGACCACACGGGGAGACTTTGTGCTCCACCTCCTCCCCAATCCCGACATCTCACAGTGAATGGGGAGAAACTGCGATTCTCCTCTCATTTGGTTCTCCTCTCACTGGTAGTGCTGGTCTGGTACCTATGGGAGTGGCAGTTCTGAGCCACCATGAGAAGCCGATACTACAGTGAAGAAACGAAGAAATTCACTTGTGCAAGTCAAAGATGTGAACCTCAAAACAATAGTAACTGTCAGGTTTAAGCCTTAAAAGCCTTAAATAGTCTAAAGACTATTATCACATCGGAGTGCTATTTATGATTAAGTGTATATTTATAGTCAAACTCTCTGAACCTTAGCTTTCTCATTTTAAAACATGTTGAACTGGACTCAAAAGTTCTTGCTATAAATATCAGTTCAACTTTCATGTTACATTTGAATTGTGTTAATGGTAACAAACACAATTAACTTACAAGTAGGCCCAGAGTACTCTGGCTTCTCCCCTCAAGGCATCCAGATTCCATAGAAATTTGAACTTGGAAATTACATAAATATGAGAGAGAGAGAGAGGGGTGTGTGTGTGTTTCTGCATGCAAATATATCTATAGATGGAGTTATGTTGAAATAAGGATTTAGTCTAGAAGCTGTTGTGATAGGATATGTCATCAATATTAGGCGGCTGAAAAGTGCATTTGTTGTTGCTGTTGTTGTTGTTTTTAAGGGACAGGGGCTTGCTTTGTTGCCCAGGCTGTAGCGCCATGGCATGATCATAGCTCACTGCTGCCTTGAATTCTTGGGCTCAGTTGTTCCTCCCACCTCAGCCTCTCGAGTATCTGGGACTACTCGCATGCCACCATGCCTGGCTAATTTTTAAATACTTTTTTATAGGGATGGGGGTCTTGCTGTGTTGCTCAGGCTGGTCTCCAACTCCCAGCCTGAAGTGATACTCCTTCTTGGAGCTCCCACAATGTTGGGATTACAAGTGTGAGCCACTACACCTGGCCAGGAATGTGTTTTCTAGTTGAGGAAAATGGGCCTCAGAGAGGTTGAATGACTCTCCAGGGTCATAAGCTAGTTAATATCAGAGTTGGCGCCAATCCTAGTGTTAGTATGTCTTGCCACCATAACTGTCATTGCCCCATTGTGTTCTCACCTCCAAATCAGAGAACTGATACGCTATAAGACTCATCTCTAATTTTATTTCATTTTCCTATGCATCCTATTCAAGCTACGTTTGTTCTCTTGGTATTAATGTAGGCTGTTGATCAGGTGATGTGAAGAATATTTTCAGAATAATGTTCTATTTTTTCTTTTCAATTTATACATGTGACATCGAATTGCAGTCAGTTTACAACTAACTATACAAATTAAGAAGCTGGAAAGCATGCAAAAAAAAAACCACTGGTTTATAATTTTCTTTGGTCTTTACTTTTAATTCTGGAAAGTGATTCTAATCTCAGACAGTCTTTTAGTTGTAATAAAGACTACTAGGTAGCATTGTTTTTTTTCCCCCCTTAAATTTCCTCTCTCAGAACCCCTTTGTTCATTTGTCAGCTCAGTTTTAAAATAAGAACTATCAGTGTGAACTTTGATCCACATTAAGCTACATTTACACAAAAGCATAAATCACAGTATCTGGGGTTTGGGGCTGTTAAATGCTTTTCTTTCCTGGGCTCTGTGATCAAGAATGCAGAACAATAAAAAGCGTGGAGCAAAAGAAGTTTTATGGCAGCTTTGAGAGCAGGAAATTAAGTTTTTTTAACATGCAGATGGGTGAAAGGCTGTTCTGTTGCATCTTGGATCACTCAGGCAAGTGAACGTCAGTTTATCATTTTAGTGAAATGCAAACTGTAGAAATAGTTCCTACAGTCATATGAACAAGGAGCCCACACAGATGACTGCTTCAGCTGTTTAACTAGGAGCACACTTCCTCATATGACTCTTGAAATACACTCTTTTTGTTTTGTTTCTTTTCAAAAAAAAAAACCAAAACCCAACAAAGACTATATACTATTACGCCTGCAGCCAAGTGGCTACAAAAGATAACTTACAGTGAACAGCAGAATAAGATAATATTTTACCAGAATGATCTTCGATGCGCCCTTTTTACATATAGGATTTGTTAGCCCAACTGATAATACATGCAAGGTGTCATCCCTTAAATGTAGGCCGTTTCTATGTGCAACACAAAGACATAGGTAATCTGGAGTCTTGGTACAAATGGGCTTTGTGTGTGGCATTTTCACAACCAATAATCAGGGTCAAAGCTATCTGTAGCAGTCCTAGCAGTTGTTACAATGGGCCAAATGAATGTACTGTTTAGTACATGGCATAGCCTTTGGTTTCATTATGGCCAGACTTTTAAACTTTTTGTGATGAAGAACTCTTTTGCTGCTCTCCTGGGGATAGCGGTGCAAAGGGGATGCCATTGCACCACAAGATCTTGTAGTTGGCTGCGATTTACATTTCCTGTATTTAGAGAGGTGGTGACTGAGCCTTAATCAAACTCATTAGGGATCTTTACCAGTTTAACCACGGAAGAATTTGTGCATTGGAAAAACTCAAGTTATGTTGATGTTGGGCACATGCATTTATCTCCCCCCTTATATGAATTCTGCTAAACTTTGCAATAGAATGCTTAATTAGGAGTTGATGCTTAATACATGCTAACAATATCCAGTTTTTGTGTTTCGGTGTAGATTGTAAAGTTTATGTATTTATATATTCAGCAAAGCTAATATATTTTAGTAGTGATTTAATTCATTATGGTTTATAAAGTTCTTTGAAAACAATTTTATTTCATCTCTTATACTTAAATTTTTAGTGTTTACTGGAGTTTCTCCTTTAGAAACTGTTATAATTTTTAAAGTGAGATTTCATTACATGTGAGAAGTAGCCTTAATTTTGCAAAACATGTTTCATTCACGTCTGCTGAGGCTAACGGTTGTCCAATGATGAATTTAGAAGGAGAAGGACACTGAAAACCTGCTTATGATTCAGGGAGCTAGCGCTCTCATGTTTAGCTTATTTGGCATGAAAAAACAAAATGCTCATTTCTATTCTCCTTTATATTTTGGCACCATTAAAACACTCAAAGCATATTATAATTGCAAATGGAATTTGGAATGGTGATATATTCTAGAAGTGATATAAGCAAATTGCATTAAAAGGAATTCACGGAATGCAGCACTACTGCAGTAAGCCTGTCTGTCTTTCAGGTTGACCCCCTGTTTACAGTGCCAGCGCCACCACCGCCGATTTCCAGCAGTCTCACGCCTCAGATTCTACCCTCCTACTTTTCCCCATCTTCATCCAATATTGCAGCACCGGTTGAACAGCTTTTGGTTCGGACTCGTTCTGTGGGTGTCAATACATGTGAAGTTGGAGTAGTGACAGAGCCAGAGTGTCTTGGGCCCTGTGAACCTGGGACCAGTGTGAATTTGGAAGGGATCGTGTGGCATGAAACAGAAGAAGGTAAATACAATTTATTTTTATATATTTCCCGATGCCCTCTTCCCCATGATGTATTTATGTCCACCTGTGAGGAGAATTTGTTTTGCGGTATTCAGAGAGGAATGGAAAGTGTTTTTTATTTCCGCTCTCTGGATTTGTGTTGGAAGTAAGAGCCGTGTTTGTCTTCTTGTGCATGGCTGCTTTTAAATTGCAGATGAGTTGGGTGTTTCTAAAAGTGATTCTCCTCTTTAAGTGCTAACATGGAAGGACTGTGAGAAGCAGGTGAGGGTTTACTCTTCCCCTAAAAGGTATTGTGGAAATTAGGAAGGGAGATAGATCTCAAGTTTATTTAATTCTTAGGGTGCCAACAAATGTGTCTGTCTTGACATGGTTGTTTTTGTGTTGTAGAGGCTTATATTTACTTTCTGAATTGAGCCAAGGTTCTTGCACATAGTGAGGATCATTGTCATGATGTGGCTGTGGCCAGCTGGTGCTCAGAAGTAATGAGGCCAGGGCCAAAGACTTAAGCCCTAGTAAGCCGGTCACTTCTCTTCTATGGCCAGAGACGTAAAACCTTTTCTGTTCCTTAACTCGGCAAGCCATTTGGCAAATGCAATCCATTAGCCACAAGAGAAACAAGGTTCAAAGGAAATGGATCAGGATTAATCTATCATTGCTATTGGAATATAAATCAGAGCATATGCCATGCTGATAGTGGATCCAAATCATGGTTGACCATGTCTCATAGCACATGACCACCAGGTATGAAGTGTTTCATATGGCCAGTGTCACTAACAAGCCAACCAATAATTGAAAACTAACTACCAAGAAGATCTGTAGTGCTCCATTGGGGAGTGAGTAGAGTAGAAGAGATAAGGAAGAAGCATGCTCCAGGGTGCTTCAGAGTGGACCAGAGAACAAAGAAAAATGAAGGGGTGGGGGAACTTTTTTTTCTCTGTAAGTTAGATCGGTCAAAGATAAGGGAGATGACAGTTGTTGATATCATGGTCATTTGCCAGAGGAGTAAGGGCAGGATGAGGGTAACAAGAAGGGTCTGAGACTCACAATTATTCATCAGATTCCTCTGAATCAAGGGAGAAAAACTGAGGGCCGAAACTCAAAGGGAGAAGGTGAAATGTATTCAAAAGTGGCTGAGTGGATGGGGAATATTGAGGGTAATTGCTGGGCAAGAAGTAGTTGAGAAAAAATAGTTAAGGATAGTGACAAACTGGGAAATGAAAGAAGAAGATAAAAATAAATGAAAATCAGATGACAAGTGTTGAGTATAATTCTTAAAAGATAGAAAACAGCTCAAGCTGTTTCAAGGTAGAAAACAAAGGTTGTTAGAGAACTCTGAATTCTACATATTACATTAAATATACTCTTGTGCGATATGTTTCGTAGTTAAATAAAAATATTTGTAGATAGCACTGGTAAGTATAAATAAAGACAATACACAAGAAAGAATCAGAGAAAAGGACTGAAAGTAGCTATGGTCAGCTTTTGTTTGCTCAGAGGGAAGTGATTAAAATTTACTTTTTTGGCTTTAGAAATTTTTGAGTTTTGGGTCTCTTCTTTCATTTTGTACTTTTAATTTGGGTTTTTCAGATATTCTGGGAAGCCATTTGAAACTATACTGTGGAACCACATTGGGAGGAACTGATGTAGGAGGAGCCAGAATTTGTCTCATCTTGCTTGTCTGTTCAGCCACCCTCCAGTACAAGGGGTCCCATGTGGGGAGCAAGCTTCTATCATGTTATTCTCTTGGGTTGTGCAGTTTGCCTTCCCTTAGATTTTCTCTAAGGGAAATGGTGGATAAGGCGTTCAGACTGACACTCAGTGTGAAAAGTATAAAAAAGTATTGAAGATCTTAATAAGGTCACAGTGAATTTGTTTAGGTGCACATTTTCAGGAACAGAAAAATATTTGGAAAGTGTAAGGGTAATTTCCCTAAACTTGAACATCAGATTTTTTTGTACTTGGATAATTTACTCATTAGCGTGAAATGCTGTCTTCCCATTTCTTAGCTATGACTTAGCACTCCCATCAGTTTATTGCTTGTCATGATTTTATTTATTCAAGTGTGGAGTAGGACTAAGTCCCTGCAGTGTGACCTCACTGGGTGGTAGATGTTATAAAATTAGCCACAAACTTTCTGGAACAGCTGTAAAGCTTGGGTTATTTTTCACTTTGCTTAGAAGTCTGCTTAGTTTTGACTTTTAACCTTAGCCTCTTCTCAAAGATAAGATTATTTAGGAAAAAAATCTGGGTTTAAAAACTATAGCAGTACATAAGTTGGTGTGGAATTCTGGGCATATGCTTAAAGAGCTGTAAGGTATTATTACTGTTGTTATTATTTGATAGTGATATACATAAAGCCTCACCAGTTCCACTCTGTCCTCTGAAAAACTGGTCTCCTGAGTCCAACTGCCTTTATACGTGCTCTGTTCCATCCATTTCTGTGAATATCTTTGTACATTCGTACAGCGGACTGATAGCTTTAGAAGGTTTTCAGGCTGTTGGCAGCCCCAGCCTTCTCTTTACTGCCTCACATTTTCCAGGATTTGGAATGTGTGGATGTTTACTGTGGTGACAAGAAGGAGCTGGAGCTGTTAATAGAGTTATTCTTGCTGAATAAACTAAACTTCTGACCTCCAAAGAATTTAAGAACTCATCTTAGTAAAGGCCTGGGTCATAAGATGTATGTTTAATGTGCAACCATTTGCAAGAGCGTTCCATTTGCATTTTTCTCACTATAGTGTGTTTAAAGCTCTTGTACCAATTTAAAAATTAAACCCACTTGACCATTAATTTTTTCCTTTTGGGAGAAACAAAGAGAGACACAGAACAAACACATTGGGAGCCAGTTATTTGGCAGAGCTGAAAGAGAGGGATTCCAGGAGAAGGGGAGGGGAGAGTAAGCTACAATAGTTTTGTAGTGTGAGGTTTCACTAACAAAGAGCTTCAAGTTGAGCATTTATAAAACTGTCAGGTGCCTTTGACTAATGTCCTGTAGATGGAGTTGAATAAAACCCCGTCCCTGGTATTTTCACTTGGAGAGAGAGTATTGTGTAACTGGTAGTGTTTTCCACAAACCTAATTTGTTACGTGCGTTCATATGTCTGTGAAGGTCATATATGTGTGTGTGTTTTAAGATCCTAGAATTTTAAGAGTTCATGCCTGCACTCTTTGGGGGGAATATTGAATATTACTGTGATTTATTTGGATGGTTGGGAATCGCAAGACTGGACTAGGAGGATCCCCATTCAATACTTAATTGTTTCTTGTGTTTGGAGTTTCTCATTAGAGGAGGATTCTTTTAGTCAGTCTTTCCCCTAGTGTTACTGCCAGTACATGAAGTACTGGTTGTCTAAGAACCAAGTTGTGCTCAGGAATAAAGTGTTACTAGTGAAGTTCCCTCTGGAAAAAATTAGTGGGTTTCAGATCATGCCTAATAGGAGAGAAAAACTATTACTGCATTTGGATGTTTGGTAATTCTACTCTGATCTTTTTTCTTTAAGGTAAATGCATAGGACCAATGATGTATGGTACAAAATTACTCACAGATGTTGGAAAGAATTTCCTTAGCATTTATTCCTGCCATTTGGGACACACATGCCTCTGTATAGTCATTTGTTTGAAAATTTGCTCTTTAAAAAAAAAATAACAAAACAAACCAGAAAAAACATGGTGTATATAGCAATATGTGTAAATACATATGTGCTGAACTTGGCTTTTTAGCCTTTATGAATGTGTTTCCTTTTGATTTTTATTGAATCATGTTTCTTATTGGCTTTTTTTTTTTTTTTTGGCCTTACCTGAGAACATACTTGGTTTAGCTGCATCTGTCGCCGTTATTCCGACCGTTATTTACTACTGCTCTGCCACTCTATCATTCACGACGCTTTTACTTTCTTACTGGTTAAGTAAAGCCATGAAGAAAAGAAAGTGAGAGAAAGAAAAGTGGTACTTGCCAAAGAGGGTTCTCGGTGCTGTGCCTTTGAATCACCTTGGGAGCTTTTAAAACCCACTAATGCCCAGGCACCACCCCAGGCATTTGTTTAGTCTGGGTTGGCATTTTGGTCTGGTTTGGTATTGGTGTTTTGTCAAAGCTCCCTAGGTGATTCTAATGTGCAAACAAGGTTGAGAACCACTGTCTCATGGCAAAGAGTTGATGTCTTAGCCCTTTGCAAGTTCCTTGACTTTTTCTCTGTAAGGAAGACACATGTATTATTGCTTCACTTTCCCAGGTATAAAATGGACATAGGGACACCCGTCCTACTTACCTCACAGAGCAGATAGTGTCTATCAAGATGCTATGGCAGGTGAGCAGGGTTGTTTAATCACTGTGCTGATGAGGAAGAGGGTCTGGCTTTGCTCCTCAACATGAACTCCACAGAGGATTTAAGAGGCTTAACAAACAACTGGTAGTACCACTCTTCCTAATTTATTGATATGGGAAGAGTGGACCCTACTGTTGATTTCTCAAGTGAGTCCAATGCAATACTTCTATTTCTGTGTGGCCTCTGCTGAATTATTTTTTAGATGACTCAGAACCCCATAGTATTAAGGAAAGTTGTTAATGTAGCAAATATAGAATGTGCTGAGAGAATCAGAGTTTTTGGCGGGCAATGAAAATACAAAGGGCAACTTATGATAGTGACTACCATTTTAATGAGAAGACTCAGCACCTGGTGTGAGAGGATGAATGCTTGTTTGTATGAGGACCTTCTTCACCTGATGCATTTTTCAAGGAAGGAAACTGATTTTGGGAATCCGTGTTTTCAGGGTAGTTAATTGGAGAAAGAAATGATTCTCTCTCTCTCTTTTTTTCCTTTTTTTTTTTTCTTGAGACGGAGTTTCACTCTTGTTGCCCAGGCTGGAGTGCAGTGGCATGATCTTTGCCCACTGCAACCTCCACCTCCCGGGTTCAAGCAATTCTCCTGCCTCAGCCTCCTGAGTAGCTGGGATTACAGGCATGCGCCACCACACCTCGATAATTTTTGTATTTTTAGTAGAGACGGGGTTTCTCCATGTTGGTCAGGCTGGTCTCGAACTCCTGACCTCAGGTGATCCACCCGCCTTGGCCTCCCAAAGTGCTGGGATTACAGGCGTGAGCCACCCCGCCCGGCCGAAATGATTCTCTTTTAAATCACCAGAGATGTTCTAAAATTCTTCTGCTTCTCCTATATCTCCAAAGTCATAAAGATGATAGTATTTAAATGTGCAATGTAGGAGGAGGTTCAAGCTAATTCTTTTTTTTTTTGAGACAGGGTCTCAGTTCATCGCTCAGGCTGGAGTGCAGTTGTTGTGATCATGGCTCACTATAGCCTTGATCTCCTGGGCTCAGGTGGTCCTCCCACCTCAGCCTCCCAAATAGCTGGGACCACAGGTGCATACCACCACACCAGCTCATTTTTTTTTGTATTTTTTGTAGACACGAGGTTTTGCCATGTTGCCCATGCTAGTCTCGAACCCCTGGGCTCAAGCAATCCACCTGCCTTGGCCTCCCAAAGTGCTGGGATTATAGTGAGGTATCTCACTCAGCCTCAAGCTAATTATTTAAAAGGCAAATGATCCTATGTAATGGAAAATGAATCTGTGGTATTGTTATTCTCATTCTGCAGTATTACTTGCCAATCTTACTACTGAAAATAGAACTTTTCTTTTGAAATTCTGATTAATTTGAGGTGAGATTAAACATTAATCCAGGCTTACTTTGTATTTTCAGTAACAGCATGGAGTTGGTACAGTACTTTACAGAGTGAAATATTATTTATTGAGGTATATCATAGTGACTTTATCAATTCAACTTTGACTCTCAAGAGGAATAAGATGTCTGTATTTCGTTACCCCTATCCAAGTCAGTGGCGATTATAACAGTGCAGTAATGGGGAACTTGAGATGTCTAGTGGGCATGCTTCTTATGACTCCTGCGCTAAATGGAGATAAATCAGCCCCCAATGTGTGAGTTGGGCAGGTGAGCATGGTTGTTTAATTACCATGCTAATGAGAAAAAGGGTCAAGTGGTGAGCCTCAACATGAACTCTACAGAAGTTCTGAGGGGCTGGAAGAACTACTAGTTAGTGCCACTCTGTATTGGCTGTGAACTTTCCCCTCGGCTTCCTGGGCCATCTTGCCATGGAAGTTGTCAGTGAAAGTGTGGATGGTTCCCGTCATTCTGAGCAAACTGTCGCAAGGACAGAAAACCAAACACCGCATGTTCTCACTCATAGGTGGGAATTGAACAATGAGGACACTTGGACACAGGATGGGGAACATCACACACCCAGGCCTGTCATGGGGTGGGGGAGGGGGGAGGGATAGCATTAGGAGATATACCTAATGTAAATGACGAGTTAATGGGTGCAGCACGCCAACATGGCACATGTATACATATGTAACAAACTGGCAGGTTGTGCACATGTACCCTAGAACTTAAAGTATAATAATAAAAAAAGAAGGTGTGGATGGTTCCTTGAGGTTCGTCACCGTTGTCAACAGAGCAGCACAGGGTAGCAGTGGACTTCTGAAGTACACAAGTGCTACCCACTTTCACATGGAAAAGGCAACCCAAATAGTGAATCAAATCTGTATATTTACTGGACCATATACCATCTTAGTTACCTCTATTCTGAGTACATTGATGAAAAAAAATTTTTTTAGTAAAAATAAAATTGAATTAAGGATACATAATAAACAACAAAACTCATCAGGGTATTTTCATTTTAAGATTAATGAGGGCCGGGCGCAGTGGCTCAAGCCTGTAATACCAGCAATTTGGGAGGCCGAGGCGGGCGGATCAGGAGGTCAGGAGATCGAGACCATCTGGCTAACACGGTGAAACCCCGTCTCTACTAAAAATACAAAAAAAAAAAAAAAAAAAAAAAAATTAGCCGAGCGTGGTGGCGGGCGCCTGTAGTCCCAGCTACTCAGGAGGCTGAGGCAGGAGAATGGCGTGAAACCGGGAGGCAGAGCTTGCAGTGAGCCGAGATCGCGCCACTGCACTCTAGCCTGGGCAACAGAGCGAGACTCTCTCTCAAAAAAAAAAAAAAAAAAAGATTAATGAAATGTTACCAGCTTCACAGAAAAATACAGAAGGTAAAAAAAAATGGAAGACAGGTCTTCACATAGGCGTACAATAGACAGTCAACAAAGGCGTACTGAATGGAGAGAAAGGAAGGAATTGTCCGGGGTTTTGTGCCATTTTCCTGGATTTGCTTTACTCTTGGACCTACTTGTTTTATGCTTTCCCGATGAGGGAATGCAGCCAAATTTGGATATGATGAGTGATTGTGTATTTTGTTGGAAAGCAACAACATAGACCGTCACTTTAACTCTTGTCAATGTGAAAAATAAGCTGCTGTTGAGTAGGATTCAGTTTAATGTTTTTAGATCAAATATTTGTTTTTTGGTGTCATTTGTGTATATATTTTCGTGGTGACATTAGGTGCTAAGTAATGAACCAATAGGTTTAAAACTCACTGTGTAAAGACATTGTTACCTCTTTTTTTGTGTTGGTTGATATTGTAGCCAGGTTTATTATTATATGTGAATATATAATGGAAAACTTTAAAACTTTTTTTCTTAGGACTTAGTTATAGTAAAAGATGTAAGCGCTATCTTGTAATATTTGTGTGTATATGTGGTATTGTTCTGCTTTTTAATCTTCTTCCTGTAAAGAAGGAATTAGTAAGAAAATCTTGAGTGTCTTAATATTATAGTGACTGAGCTGAAGATGTATTTTCTAATTACAAAATGGAGATGGTCTCATTGGCTGCAAAGAATAGCTTGTAATCATAGGTAGGCATTTGATTAAAGTATTCCACTGACATTTAAAAAATAAGTTCTCACAGCAGCTTTATTGAGATATAATTCACATAACTTAAAATCTACGCACTTAAGGTGTATAATTCAGTGTTTTTTTCTGTGTGTATTCAGAGGTGTACCACCATCACCGCAATTCATTTCAGAACATTTTTTATCACCCTAGAGGAAACCCTGTAACCCTCAACAGTCATTACCACTTACTCCAATCCCCCCATTTTGTTGACTTTTACATCATTGTCCTTGATTCTTTGTTGTTTTTATGTGTAAACATGTATGTTTTGTAGACAATAGAAGGGACTAGCTTGTTGAGTACTTACTTTGTGCCAGGCATTGTGCTAGGCATGCTTGTCAGGTCATGATTTCCTTTAATCCTCAGAAAAAAAGCCAAAATAAGCCCACTGTCATTATCTATATTTTAATAAAGGAGACTTAGAAAGGGATTCATCTGTGCCAGGCAGCACACCTGGCAAGTGGGGGAGAGTCTGAATTTGAACACACTGTGGTTGGACTTTCAGAGCCCTTGCTCTTCATACAATTCCTGGGTGTTCTGGATTTCTGTCTACCCCTTCACAAAAGTTCCTGTCTATTTTACAAAGTGCTCTTTGGAAAGGGAGTCAAATGTGATGTAATAACTGGAGTTTATTTTTAAACATGGAATGATAGGAATTTCTTTATAATTCTAGCATCTGATTTTGGCAGTAGTATTTGAATCAGCTTCAGCTGGGTTGATGTATACAAACCATCATTTTCAGCCCCACTATGCTGTGAGCTTCTTAAGTGCACAAATTCCATCTGTTTTGTTCACTGTTGGATCCCCAGCGCCTGGCACAGAGTCAGTGCGCCATACATATTTGTTGAATGTTGAATAAATTCGTGGAACAAAGTGATATGGTCTTGATACCTGTTTGAGTAGTGTAGCTTTCTAGTCAGGAATATGCTACTTTTAAATTAAGTTTGGTCTAGACAATTGAAAATAGAGAAATCTACTTTGTCACTGATTTTTAAAAATCCATTATAAAATCTCATTACATTTTATTATATTTCAGCTTCCAACCTTGTTATTGTAAGATTAATCTGCACAAGGAAGGAGGAACAAAATATTTGACATACTTTTTCCCTCAAATCATTCATATCCTCAATACGGTTTTTATTTTTCAATTATAAAAGGAATACATGCCATTTTAGGAGATTTGGGAAGAAAAGTAAAAATGTAGATGGGAAAAAACTCTATAATCTCACAATTTAGGTGACCACTTCATATGTTAGTTCATTTTCTTGATTTTTTTTTTTATTCTTAACCATAGGTACCGTGTTGTACTGCAGATCTCTAGAACTTAGTTATCTTGAACAACTAAAACTTTATACCTATTGAGCAGCAATTTCCCCTTTTACCCACCGACAGTTGCTGGTAACCACCATTCCACTCTGCTTCTGCCTTGGCCAACTACTTTAGATACATCATATATGTGTAATAATTATGTGACTGGCTCATTTCACTTGATGTAATATCCTTAAGGCTCATGCATGGTGTCACATATGATAGGATGTCCTTTTGACATGCTGAATAATATTCCAGTGTGTGTATATTCCGCATTTTCTTTATTCACCCATTGATGGACACGTAGGTTGCTTTCATATGTTGGCTATTGTGAATAATGCTGTGATGAACATGGGAATACAGACATCTCTTCAAGATCCTGATTTCAGTTTGGATAAATAACTCAGAAGTGGAATTGTTATCTTTTGATTTTTTAAATAATGGCTATCCTAACAGGTATGAGATGGTGTCTCATGGTTTTGATTGCATTTCCTTTGTGGATAGTGATGCTGAGCACTGAGCATCTTCACACATACTTGTTGGCCATTTGTGTATCTCCTCTGGAGAAAAGTCTATTCAAGGGTTCCCCCAGCCCTCACCTTTTTTTTTTGTTTTGTTTTTGTTTTTTAAATAAAAGAGACAGGGTCTTGCTATGTCACCCAGCCTGGAGTGCAGCCTCAAACTCCTGGGCTCAAGTGATCCTTCTGCCTCAGTCTCCCAGGTAGCTGGGATGGGCCTACAGATGTGTGCCACCATACCTGGCTGAGACGGGGGTCTCACTATGTTGTGCGGGTTGGTGTTGAACTCCTGGCCTCGAGTGATCCTACCATCTTGGCCTCTTGAGTTCCTGGGATTATAGCAAATAACAAATAACCCAATGAAAAATTGTGTAAAAAAAGTTGTGTAAAAAATTTTGCACACTTTTCCATTATGTGTGTGTGTGTGTGTGTGTGTGTGTGTGTTTTTCTGTTGCTTTGAAGGAGTCCCTGTTTTGGATATTAACCTTTTGTCAGAAACAGAGTTTATAAATATTTTTTCATTCTTTTTCCTTTTACTCTGTTCATTGTTTCCTTTACTCTGTGGAATCTTTTTAGTTACATGTTACTTGTTAGTTACTTGGCGATTTTTGCTTTTGTTGCCTTTGTCTTAGTGTCTTTAGTTCAGATCATTCAGTGGATAAGGTTTTTTTTGTTTGTGTTTTTGTAGAGATGGGGTCTCACCATGTTGCCCAGGCTGGTCTTCAACTCCTGGGTTCAAGCGATCTTCCTGCCTTGGCCTCCCAAAGTGCTGCAATTACAGGCATGAACCACTGTGTCCGACCTGGATACACTTTTTTAAAAGGCTGTTTTGTAAGAGCAGTTTTAGGTTCACAGAAAAATCGAGAAGAAGGTACAAAAATTTCCCATATATCCCTTGCCCCTACACATGCATAGCGTATCCATTATCAACATTCCCCACCAGAGTGGTACATGTGTTACAATTGGTGAATCTAATTGACACACCATCACCCAAAGCTCCTAGTTTATATTAGGGTTTGCCCATGGTGTGATACAATCAGTGAGTTTAGATAAATGTATAATAAGCTGTATTCACTATGTAGTTTCATACAGAGTATTTGCACTGCCCTAAAAATCTTCTGTGCTCCACTTACTCATCTCTCCTTCCCCCATCCCTAGCAACTACTGATCTTTTTATTGTCTCCATTGTTTTGCTCTTTCTAAAGATGACATATTGTTGGAATCATACTGTCTGTAGCCTTTTTCAGATTGGCTTCTTTTACTTAGCAATATGCATTTAAGTTTCTTCCATGTCTTCTTGTGGCTCAATAACTCAATGCTTGGGAGTACTGAATATTATTTCATTGAGTCTGGATGTATCATGGTTTATTTGTCCATTCACTCCTGAAAGACATCTTGGTAACTTCCAAGGTTGGCAATTATTAATAAAGCTGCTATAAACATCCATTTGTAGGTTTTTGTGTGGACATAAAGTTTTTAACTGCTTTGGGTAAATACCAGGGAGTGCAATTGCAGGATCATCTGGTAAGAGTATGTTTAGTTTTGTAAGAACCTGCCAGACTGTTTTTTGGAAAAGTGGCAATACTGTTTGGCATTCCCACCAGAAATGAATGAGAGTTCATTTGGTGTTGTCAGTGTTGTGGATTTTGACCATTCTAATAGGTGTGTAGTGGTATCTCATTGTTTTAATGTGAACTTTCTTGACAATTTATGATGTGGAGCCTCTTTGCTGGTACTTACCAGCCATCTGTATATCTTTTTTGATGAGCTGACTGTTAAGGTTTTTGGCCCATTTTTCTTACAGAGTTGTTTTCTTATTATTGAATTTGAAAAGGTCTTTGAATATTTTGGAAACTAGTTCTTCAGTTCTTTCTCTCTCTGTCTCTCTCTTTTTTTTTTTTTGAGGGACAGGGTCTTACTCTGGTCTTAAACTCTGTCACCTATGCTGGATTGCAGTGGTGTGATCATAGCACATTGCAGGTTTGAACTTTTTGACTGAAGCTATACTCCCTTCTCAGCCTCCTGAGTAGCTGGGACTACAGGTGGTGTGTACCACCACACCTGGCTAATTAAAAAAAATTTATTTTAGAGACAGGGTCTTGCTCAGTTGCCCAAACTGGAGTGCAGTAGTACAATCATATCAAGCACATCACAAGCGTATCACTGTAACCTTGAACTCTTGGGCTCAAGTGATCCTCCCATCTTGGCCTCTCAAAGCACTGGATTTTGGGCATGACCCAGTATGCCTGGTCTTTAGCTTTTCTCATATACATCTTATACGTATTTCTTTTACATTTATACTACCTAAGTATTTCACCTTTTTCATTGCTAATGTAAATATTATTGTGTTTTTAATTTCAAATTCTACTTATTATTGGTGTATAGGAAATTGATTGACTTTTTGTATATTAACCTTATATCCTGCATCCTTGCTATAATTTCTTAGTAGTTCTAGGTAGATACACTTTTAAATATTGCCTTCTTTTAATCTTAACATTAAAACACAAGCATTTCTGATGTTATGAAAACACTTTCTAGGAAGCATTTTTTAAAATATCAAATATTCCATGGAATGGACACACCAAAGATTAATTTAATTTAAATTCCATTAACAATGGATATTTACATTGCTTTCAACTTCTTAGATAAATATAAATAGGATTACATAGTATATCTTTGTGTATGAAGTTTTTTTGTTTTGTTTTATGAATTTGGAATTTGTATGCTGGGATCAATTTTCAGGAAACTGAATTGCTGAGTTGAAGTATACAAACATTTCTAATGTAGTAGAAACACATATTGCCTAACTGCTTCCCCTAAGAGTTGTACCAGTTTATATTTCCTGGATGAGACTGCCCATCTCAGTTATTCTTTCCAACTTTGGACTTGCTGACATTTTGATGACAAAGGGATGAAGTTGTAAGTCAAATGTATAGCTCTCAATGTTCATATCCAGGGTCCTACCCTAGGTAGAAAGGGAATGAGACTTTCTCCTTATAGTAAAAATCAAAATTGTTCAGCAGGAGGAAGCAAGCGGGCAAGTGATGCTCCCAAGAGACCACACGGCTGGGCTCTGCCTCAATGGAGGGCTTTGCTCTGGATGACAGAAAGGTTGGGACTTAACTTCTGCTTGTGTCTAGAATGACTCTTACAGCTCTTTTTCTCCCAAGTGAAGGAAGTTAAAAGATACTTTTAAATATGAAGAATTCAAACACTCAAGGGAGAAAATTAGTCTGTCAAACATCCATTCTGAACTGGAAGGAATCTGATTTACTTTTGTTGCTGTCTCTGCAAACATTTTTCTTTGGGATTCTGCTTTTTCAGAATAAAGAAGGATGAAGGACAGGATTTTCTAGAAAGCATTTTGCGTCTCATGATTTGTTTATAATATATAATGTGTCACTTGATGCATGCAGTGTGCAGTTTTCCCTGGCATGCCCAAGTGCTGTCCTGCCCCCTGCTACTTTTATTTCCTCTTGTAGTCTCTTTTCCCTTGTCTTCTTCTGTATATAACTACAGCAGGAGGAAGAACCATCAAGGTAGTTTTTAAAAGTAGTATCTACGAAAGCATTCCTATATGCCCTTCTGGGGCCTTTCTGATCTCAAATAAGTTTGGCTGGTATTTTCCTGGCAAAAGAAAAATGAACTATAATATGACAGAAGTCATATCATGGATTTTCAAAAGCTGTCCTCAACAAAGAAAGTAAGGGGAATTCGGCTCGTGGGCACAATTGCAGGGTATCTAGCGAAGTCTGACATAACCCAGTCAGGAGACCTAAGAAGGTTAAAAAAGTGCTGTGAGGCAGGCAAGGTGCTTACTGCTCATTTGATAATTTCTTGGAATTGAATAGTAAATTGAGCATTTATTATATACATACACATTATACCCATAGATATTCATTCATATTTAAGTCTTCAATATATATATTTGAGACTCTTTCACAGTATTTGAGTCCTTGGGTGTCAGAAATGTGGCTGTTTCCTTTATGTGACACAAGACACATTTGGTGCATCTGAACAATTAAACACTTTTGCCTGGAGAACCTTCTGTTGCTCTGTCAACACCATCTAGTTAGCATTTTCTCATTTACGGAGATGAGTCCCATAATTAGGCCCATTATTCTTATGGAAAAACTGAGATACAGACCATCCAAAGAAAATGACTGTGGGAAGTATGTTCTTTCTGGATTTCTAGTTTTATCTAATATTATTAGTCTTTCCTAGTTTTGAGTCTGTTTACGTGTGTATGAATATAACTAGCTATTTAAAAAATATGCTGTGAGGGAAATAAATACACATTTGCTTGTCCGTTTGAGGTTTTGACTGAAATGTGGAAACTTAATTCAGCTTATTAAGTGAAATGTTTTTAAAATTTGATATTCACCAAATATTTTTACAAAAACACCCCAAGTGTAGTTTCCAACTATATATTTCATAACAAGGAAAAAAAATTGCCCACCACTTCCTGTGCCTCAGAGAGTCAATGCCTTGTATTCTCCTGGCCCAGTGGGCAGTTTTGATCCTGCCAGCTCTTCGAGGACTTACTTGTACCTTTGCACAGTTTGTATACTGTCTTGTGGATGTCTTCCTCATATCCATGTTGACAGACAACTTTTGAAGTAACTCAAGTTGACAGAGCTGACTGAGAACATTTAATGTGTCTTATTTCACTTGAGCAGCAGCAGAGGCCAACTTGTTTAAAGAGAACCTGCAAAAGCTGCTTTCCACTGTTTTCCTCAGCTTCATGAGAAGACCTAGTCACTTTTCAGAATACAAAAAGCCAGCCAGTTCCAGACAGTGCACACAGTGCACATATAAAATTATTTATTGTCCAGACAAACATGTGTGGCTGGGTACCAGAAACACAGAAGAGCCACAACTGGGACTGGGGCATTGGCTTGGCTCCCTCTTGAAGCTGGCTGCAGTAAGCAAGTGTGTGAGAGTCACTTTCAGTTCAAAAAGTCTGAATACTCAAGGGCAGACACATTAGGAGGCCATAGACCAGGAACCAGGACAATCTTCATGGCAAAGCAGTAGCACCATGTTGAACTTGTCTCTTCGTAGACTCCTGCCTGATAGGGTGACCGAAGGGCATTATCCCATTCACAGGGACAGAGAATCTAATGGGATTAAGGAAATGGAGGGTCAGCTTTAAAGAAGCAGAATAGAGTGAGCTACTTAAAATTATATTGGTTGCACATTAATCTTCCACGATTCAGAAGGAGAGCATTACCTTAAATTTCCCAGTTACTAGAGAATCCCTGAAGTATACACCCTCTAGGAAATCTCCCTTTATATTTGGCATTTGAATTAAAAGTCTTCTTAAAATAAATATCATCAGCCATACCAGTCCTCCTTAGCTTGCAGTTTCTTGCAAGTAGCACATTTCCAAGTATGGAATTTCAACAAAGCACATCATATGTTGAGTGTGACTGTTAAGTATTTGAGGCTGTGATTTAGCATCACCATCTATATTTTCTCACAGTGAGGAAAATGAAGTATGGGGGAATCTATGACTTGCATAGAAATCAAGGCAGAGTCCAAAGGAGAATTAACAGCACAGAGGTCTGTGGCTCTAGTGATGGCTTGGGAGGGATCTAGTTGTTCTAACCACATATACCCACCTCAAGGTTTCAGGATCAGGTGGGCTGGCCGCGTACTGAGTTCCTCCTCTGGAGAATCAGGCTGGCAGCTAAGTCAGATCCCCTGGGGTCTGTTGATAAGTTGCTGTTGTTGTTTTTTTTTTTTTTCCTCTAGATTTGACTCTACCCTGACTACGCCTGATCAGGAGAGTCAGGCTTTACACTACACTTTACCCAAGGGAGATGCAGATACTCTACCAGTGGGTATGCAACTGTCACTTCATGCATTCCTTGGGGTAAATTGTTTGTGTATTTTGGAAAGTAAAAAGAATAGTCTGGTGTTTACAGAAGAATATTAGGGGATTGTCAGGGAGCCTAATTTTGTGTTGTTCTTTCGCTCTGTGAATTCTGGCACTACAACTTGCTATGGTTCAGTGTTTTATGTCATTCCCCCGTTTATTTCATTCCGATCATTAATGAAAAGCAACAAAAGTGTAGCAAGAGTGCCAGGCCAGTTGGTAGGCATAATAAGATTGATTAGAGCCCAAAATGAAAACATTAAACTCACTTGAAGGCAGCCAAAGCCTTAATTCTATTACGTATGAACTTCTTTTTTGGATACATGAATAGTGAAAAGTATTTGGAGTTGATAGTGTGTGACTTCAAAAGCATGTGAGAAGTTACTTGCCTTTATAATACCTCATGACAACTAAGCAAAAAGTGCATTTATATTTCATACAAAATACTGTGTTTATTAAGATCCTCTGAAAGGGCATGATTGTATAAATCAAGAAGCATCTGTAATATTTTGCTTAAAAATTCTTTATTCTTTGGCTGCAATAGTCTAGCAGCTATCCACTTAGCAGATTTAAAAAATGTATTGTTGCAGAATCCTCAACAGTTCTTGGTATTTCAGTTATGACTACTATTGGACAAACTGTTTTTGAGAAAAGACCTGTAGCTAAACCATGAGAAAAACCGAATTAAAACAAAATGGCGTGATTGCTGTAACTTTGAGGTTACTATAGTGTACTGGTTTTAAAAGAAGGGAAAAGGGAGACCAGTTAAAAGGAAAAGGAAAACTAAGTGGTGAGCTTCTGTTGGGAACTCTCACTTCCCACTACGCCCATTTGTTATAAAAATATATGTACATATGATGACCTAACGAAGTTCTTTCAGAGTATTCCTGCTGTTGCGTCCTCTCCTTTTGGTGACATTATCCCCCATCCACTGTGAAAACTAATGCATTTTATATAACCTAAATATGATGTAGTTCAGAAATGCCTTAGGACTTATGGGTAAGATTGATAAGTTATAAGGGAAAAGAAGAACCCTGGAAGAAAGCACTGGATCAGGTGTCAAGAGAACAGGGCTGCAACCTCCCTTTTCGTACCCTCTGGCTGTGTTTTCTTGGCTCTGGCTTCACTTTCCTCATGTGTACAGTGAAGGGGTGGAGGTTGGAGTACATAATAATCTCTTGAAGATACCTGAAATTCAGGTAGCAAAGGAGTGTTAAGATATTAGAGTGTTCTTCATGGCAGAATCAGGTAGCAAAGGAGTGGTAAAGATCTTAAGGTGCTCTTCATGCCAGCATCGTTTCAGACTTAAAGAATTCTAAACAAAATTATTAGCAAATAGTCAGCCCTGATGGCATTAGCCATAGTGCAAAGTCCTGTTGAATGAGTAGCCATGACTTGAGTCTCCAAAAATAGATCTGTTTCTAGGACTCTGTTTACTCACATCATTTATTAAACTAGTAGCACTTCTGTAGGTAAAGCAGGGTCTGGTTTGAGTAGACTGACATTTATTTTATGCTCTGATACACTCCAAAGAAGAATGAACCCATTAAAGACATTATCTGATAAGATTCCTAAGTGGTAGAGTCTTACCAGTTTCATTAGCAGGTTTTGGAACCCCTGGTCTAACGTGCCTGTACCAGATCCAGTGACTTCTAGTGCTACTTATATATACCTTGTATTAAGATTCCTTAGAATGCTCAAAAGACCACTGTGAAATACAGAATTTATTGGATGCACGAGAGTTAACACATAAATGTAGTTGAATTTTCTTTTTAACTTTTATTCAGGTTATATGTTTATATAGTTTAAACAGCCACATAGCTCTACAAGGCCCATAACAAAGAACAGTAGTTTCATATTTCACCTTTCCCTTCACCCAATTTCTACTTTCCGGAAGCAACTCACTAAACTCTTTGAACTGGCATTTTCCTCTATATTTTGAAAACACATGTTTATGTGGATATTTCTTGATTTATTTTTCAGTTTTAGGTATTTTATAGTAACTTTTTATTATGGAAGGTGATGATTTAGCTCCCTTACTCACCCTTTCCCCCAACACAAATATATTTTACCACCACCCATACTTCCAATATAATTATGAGTTATGAGCTCTTCATTGCTATGTAGCACATTATTCTAGATGATAGTACCTTAAAAACAACAAACATATCCCACAGTTTCCATGGGTCAGGAATCTGGGAGCAACTTAGCTGGTGCCTCTGGCTCAGGTTGTCTCAGAAGGTTTCAATCAGGCTGTAGGCAGGTGCTACTGTCAGCTGAAGACCCCATCCAGTGGAGATGAAGGAGCCACTTCTAAGCTTCCTTACATGGTTTTTGGCAGGCTTTAATTCCTCACGGGGCAATTTGACTTGCTATGCCATGTGGGCCTCTCCATAGGACTGCTCACAACATGGCAGCTTGCTTCCCAGCAAGATCAGATAGAGAGGGGGAGAGAGAGAGAGAGAGAGAGAGACAGAGCACCCAAAATGGAATTCATAGTCTTGGAATAACTTAATGTTAGAAATGATAGCTCATTACTTCTGTTCGTTATAAGTAAGTTCAGCCCACACTCAGGGGAGGGCATCACACAAGAGTGTGAATGCCAAGAGGCAGTGGTCATTAGGGGCCATCACAAGTAATTATGAGGCTGCCCACCACAAGTAATTATGGTTAGGCCAATATTCAGTTTTTACATTATGACTACAGCACAGTCATGTTCTATGATTACCTTTTCTAATCCAACTCTTTTCCACAAGTTAATAACTTATTTTTTTGTTTGCTTAGTGTTCTGTGCATCCACACTGATTCACCATCAACTGTCATGCCAGAATTATAAATTGCTTCTGGGTGTATTGAAATACACCAAGTATAAGTTCTATATGTTTTATCTTTTGGGATAGTCTCTCCCAGAGTTTTCTGACCTTCTCCAATCTGGACTGATTGCTTAGGCATTATTCATAGCTATAAAAATCTGAAATATCTCTTGTATACCATTCTGAAGATGCCATTGCCTCTTATGTTGGATACACTATTTCCTGACTCATTTCTCTTGGTCCATCCCTTCATTTTCGTGGTGCACATTTTCCAATAGCTTCCTAAAAAAGGATTCATGGTAGGCCGGGCACAGTGGCTCACGCCTGTAATCCCAGCACTTTGGGAGGCCAAGGCGGAAGGATCACCTGAGGTCAGGAGTTTGAGACCAGGCTGGCCAACATGGCGAAACCCTGTCTCTACTAAAAGTAGAAAAATTAGCCAGGCATGGTAGCAGGCGCTTGTAAGCCCAGCTACTGGGGAGGCTGCGGTAGGAGAATCGCTTGAACCTGGGAGGCGGAGGTTGCAGTGAGAGGAGATTGCACCATTGCACTCTAGCCTGGGAAACAAGAGCGAAACTCCATCTCAAAAAAGAAAAGAAAAGAAAAGCATTCATGGGAAGTCAACATTTTGAAAGCTCAGATGCTTAAAAAATGTAACGCGTAAAAATGTCTTCTGTCTACCCTCATGCTTGATTGATAATGGGGTCACATGAAGACTTGGTTGAAAATCATTTTTCTTCAGACTTCTGGAGATTATGCTCCTTTGCTTTGAGCTCCCCAGTGTTGTCTCCGAGGAGTCCAATGTCCTTCCTGATTTCAGATCTTGTATTTGATACCTATTGCTCCACCCCAGAAACTTTCATCTTTTCTTTGTTTCCAGTATTCTGACATATGTCAATGCCATCCTTTAGCATGAGTCCTTTTTTAGAGTCAGGGACTTGTTCCTTCACCTAGGCTAGAGTGAGTAGCATGGTCCTAGTACACTACAGCCACAAATTCCCAGGCTCAAGGGATCGTCCTGCCTCAGGCTTTCAAATAGGTGGGACTTAACAGTCATGTGCCAACATGCTAGGCCAATTTTTTTTCTTTCTATTTTTTGTAGAGATGGGATCTTCCTAGGAGTTTAAAGGTAGTCTTGAACTCCTGGCCTCAAGTGATGCTCCCAGCTCAGCCTCCGGAGTTGCTAGGATTCTTTTTTTCTTTTCTTTTCTATTTTTTGAGATGGAGTCTCGCTCTGTCACCCAGGCTGGAGTGCAGTGGCACAATCTCAGCTCACTGAAACCTTCGCCTCCTTAGTTCAAGTGATTCTCCTGCCTCAGCCTCTTGAGTAGCTGGGATTACAGGCTCCCACCATCACGCCCAGCTAACTTTTTTTTGTATTTTTATTAGAGACGGGGTTTCACCATGTTGACCAGGCTGGTCTCAAACTCCTGACCTCAAGTGATGTGCCCGCCTTGGCCTCCCAAAGTGTTGGGATTACAGGCGTGAGCCACCGCACCTGGCCTGGGATTCTTTTTTTAATCTGTTGTTCTGAGCTTGGTCCTCTTGTTGAAAACTCAAGTCCTGCAGTTTTGGAAATTTTATAGATGTATTTCTTTAGAAAGGATTAATTTCCATTTCCATGCTCTCTCTTTCTGGAACTCATTTTATGTAGAAGTTGAACCTCCTCTACCAATCTTCTTTTCTGATCTTTCTCCTTCTTTTTCAAAACTCTGGTTTATATGCGTTTTGTATTTTCTGCCTGGAGAGTTTTTCAAATTTATCTTTGCTTTTTCATTTCCCTCATGTAGTTTTTAATTTCTAAGCGCTTTTTATTTTCTATTTTGGTTATTGGCATTGCTCTCTTAAAAAGCCTTCTATTCTAGTTTCATGAATGAAGCATCTCCTCATTTCTCTGAAGATATTTAATTAGCTTTTCTAATTTCTTCTTTTTATTGTCAGCATTGCTTTTAATTCGTCTAAGTTTCTTTTTTGTTTATGTGTGTGATTTGTCATGTGTATTTTTTGTTGGAGACTTTCCTCAAATGCCTATGACTGTTGGCTGTCTGCTTCTATGAGTGGTGCGCTGAGAAGCTAGTTTGAAATTCTACATGCTTCAGTAGAACTGGTTGATGGTATAGGCAGACCTGGATCAATTATTTCTGTAGAGTTGCAATTCCCATATTCCTTTTCTCTTGCTTTTATCAGTTTTCCCCGAAAAGGCTTCACTGATCAGCTGGCAGCCAACTTTCTTGGTGCCAATTTTGGAAAAAAAGAGAGTGAAGGATTCACTCTTCATTATATAAACTTTATAAACTATGACTTAAATCTTCCTTTTTTTTTTTTGTGGCCATAATATCCCCATTTTACAAATAAGAAAATTTTTAGAGCTTTACATTTCTTTGTTGTAATTTCTTCATAGCTGTTATTTATTCCATGACCTGAAATAGAGATAATTTCAGTCAATATGGAATGTGCCATCATAATTATCCTTCTACGGAGATCTAGTCATTTAATTTATCATTATTGTGGTTTGCTTGGCCTATTTTTTTTTCAAATGTGGCTTCAGCGATGCTTGGTTTTCAGAAGACTATAAGCTTGGGACTTAAAACAGCAGCATATGAATGGCCAGAGTCCCCCTAACCCAGCCCTACCTCCCTCCCTTATAGGTCCTTGCCAGATCATTATGTTGGGCTTGAGCTCTGTTTTTATCTTTACTTATCAACATGAGCTGTTCGCCAAGCTGGTTTTTCACAAATTCTTTCAATGTTGACCAGCCCTTTAATATCTGCACTTCTAAGAATCAAAGTCCTAGGAAAAGACAGATCTCATAAGCACTTTCCTTCTACAAGGGACAGATGCATGGAAGACACCTCCTTAAAACCAAGGTACACTGCTATGTTCTGTGGTAACACCAAGCCACGGGGCAGGGTGTATTCCCCAGAGCTCCAAAGCACTCTGCTATCTTAACCAAAGCACATTCAGTCACCTGTATTTTCAAGTTTTTCTTCTCAGCCTAGAAAGGTGCTTTTTCCTTTAGTCTACCTACTTCAGAATAATAACAGGTACTTGCTTGCCTTCCTTGAGTGGAGACTGTAAAAGGTGATTTTAAATATCACATTGATATCTTACTCTGAGGCAGGGATTTTTCTCTCTCTTGTCCATGTATGTAGCCCCGGTGCCCAGCACATTGGCTGTTACCAATAAATATGTGTTGTCTGAAGGAAGGAAGGACAGAAGGAAGGAAGGAAGGAAGGAAGGAGGGAGGGAGGGAGGAAAAGAAGGAAGGAAGAAAGGAAAGAAGGAAGGAGGGAGGGAAGGAAGGAAGGAAGGGAAGGGAAGGAAGGAGAAGTCAAGTGAACTCATGACTTGACTTCAACCTGACTGAAAACAATCTTCCCACTTCTGTCCCCGCTCCCTCCCATGTTGCTCAAGTCCTACACAGGCACCCAGAGGGAGCTTGTTGCATGGAGTCCGTGCTGTTCTGCCAGTTGAGTAAATAGGTGACAGGCAGTAAACTGAAGGAAACGTTTTTATATCCTTAAAAGTGTTATCTTCGAGGAGCACAGTTTGTAATGCTGGAGTGAAAAGAAGCCTCCTTTCAGATGGCCAGCTTGATGCAGGCAAAGCTGCTAATTTGTTTTCAACTTCAAGGAGATTTAGAGCCTTGGCTTCCCCGGCAGTAGCTCACAGTGGAATTGTTTTCTTGCTCCTTCATGTAAGTCTGCTGCACGGCAATAAGAAAGGCCGGGGTGTTTACTGAACTGGCAGGACCAAATTCTTCTTTTTGCAGACAGACCTGGAGATTTGTTGCCCAGGACTTTTCTGACTTAATGGTGTACTCTTGGGAAAATACACCAATCTTTTTTCATATCTGAGGGCAACCACAGAACAGCCCACAGGAAGGAGCACTAGAGTCCAGTCACTTACCTGTTGGGAAAGGAAGAATCAGAGGGAAAGCTTTTGGCTCATGGGCCCTGGGCAGAGCTGTCATCAGCCCTGGCAGAAGTAGACAGCATACAAAGGAAACACACATCAACTAACACGCACCCTCAGAAAATGCTAGCCAGACTCAAACCTTTGGCAAGTGACACCCCTGGCTTTGCCTGCCAGTCTAGATGTGAGCATGGGAACGGAATGGCAGCCCATTGTGGTGGGAATGGCAGTTCCAAGTTGTCCTTTTCTGGCCTCCGGTTAAGTCCCCCGTCTGTTTAGACTACATTTACAGGAACCTATCAGTGGCACTTAGAAGGGGAATGTAGAAAAAGAAACTCTGCCAGGTGGTTCTATTTGTGCATTCTTGGTCAGCCATTTCATTATTATGTGGATTTCCATAGTTAATTAGATTAATTTTAGTCTATTACAATTTGATGGGATTTTTGTCCCAAAGTGGAGGCCTTTGGGTACTGAGAGTTGAAGTTTTAAGATTTCTTGGTAATGCCTGGATCAACATTCTAGGAATTGCTTCATTGCCAGCTTTCCTTTTTTGGTGGTGGAAAAGGCATGAATAATGCCTTCTTTGAAGCTTTAAGGCACACAATAAGCTAAGAACTCTCTAATTGAACTTTACAAGCTGAAGGGGCTGACTTACGGGCAGCATTTGAACAAACTTCTAGTCACCATAATTTAGTAAGGGTTGGCTGCCAAAAGCCATGTAAGGCTTTATTTGATCCATTTATGAATTAAGAGCCTGCAGTAAATTAATTACCATATATTGGGGCTAATAAAATCTAGCAGGATGAGAACGCCTTTGGGTTCATCTGCAGAGAGGAATAAGGACTGAGAGCTGCTTCCTGGTGTCTGAGTGTTTCTGGCTCGGGGCCTTCTGCAGTGCTGGGCAAGGGTGGTGTTCGTGCTCTGTGTCCACCAAAGAGGCATTTGAGCTAGCTTTTGGCTTTGCAACTGCTGGAAGGCTTTGCTCTATTGATCATAATAAGCTGTTCTGTCTTATTAAAGTTGCATCATGGAGTCTGGTTTTTAGGAGCCCTATTGAGAATTAGTTGCAGAAGAAGCGATTTGCTTGTATTTTCCGACAGTTAACAGGCCAAGCAGATGGGAGAGCAGACCTGAAATAGTTGGGTTGGCTGCCTGCCACTGTTCTATGAATTTTGATTTGCACGGATATGTAATAGTTGTATTTTTCCCTTTTTTGGAAGTACTTGCCTGTGAGCCTTGGGAAAATTAATCCTTGGTTTCCTGTAAAGTATACCCTTGTACGCGAATGTTGCTGCAGTGTTCCTTACAGACCCTGTGCTGTGTCCTATGTCAAACAGATCAGGACACCATAGACTGTGTGTTCAGTTGAAGAGGAGAAGAGGAGAGTTCTCGCTCCAGTTTCCCATGGCTCCTCAGGGAAAAACTGTTTTCATTCACAATTTACTTTGTGTTTTAAGATGTTTTCCCTTTCAAAGGGGGGGATTATTTTTCTTTTCCTTCAGGCTGTGTTCACCAAAATATTGAATAAATGCAAGAAAGGATGTTAAATTTAAGCTTAAGAAAAGGAATTTATAGACAAATGTGAAACAAGCATGAATGTATCTGGGTGAAGATCTGAGTTCTTCCTAAATCAGTTAAAATCTTGTCTTATTAAACATTAAATATATATGCAAAATAATATTTTAAAACATATGCATAAGATATAAGAAACAACATGAAAGCAAACGTATATTTCCTATCACTAGATTAAGTAATAGAAAATTTCACTTTCAGGACTTTTTTAACCCCTCAGTGATCCTTCCTTAACCCTATTGTGGTTGTTGCCCTCCCTACATAGCCGCTATCCTGAATTTTGTGGTTTTTATTCCCATGTTTTATCATATACCTCTAAATTCCTAAATAATGCATTGCTTAGTTTTGCATGGCTTTGCACTTTGCATAAATGGAATCACATATGGTATATTTTTCCAACTTGCTTTTTTCACTCAACATGAAGCATGAGTTCACTGTTAATGCTGCATCATGTTGTTTGAATATACCATTATTATTTATCCATTCTTGTGCCCATGGACTTTTGGGTTGTGGCCAGTTCTTTACTATTTCACACACTTTCTCCTGGTATCTAAGCCAGTTGTTAAACAAACCAATCTACTTTAAATAGTGTGCGGCTATTTTTTTTTAAAGATTTGTTTTGCTAACACGGTACGTCACAAAATATTTTAGGTATTATAGATTATAAAATGACTTTGTTACACACTTCAAAGAAAGTTCCATATTTACACAATAGTGTAAAGGAACAGGAGCTTTGTTTGTCTGCTCTTAATAGCGGTCTAGATAAGTCATTGCTTCTGCAAAATGCATTTCATTAATATTTGTTAAAACTACAGCTTGAAGAGTCAAATGGAATTTTAAGATCAGAAAGATAAACAGAAGGAAAAGAAAACCTCCAAGAAGTGCCTACTTCATTTCCATATGCTGCATTCACCTCTCCTTCTTGGGTTCACAGAGCGTTTATTGTTTGCACTCGCCCCTCAGATGGCTCTAGGCTTCTCTGGTTACTTCTCTCCAGTAGCATTCACCAAAGGCCTTTGATGACATCTCTTTGACTTCATTTAATGTTGAGAACACACTAAGTTCTCAATAAATATGTACCATTTTTCAAGTATGACTTCTGAGACAGGCTTTGTTGAACAAGTAGAATGCTACATCTCTACTTCTGCAGCCCATCTCCTTGCTGCCAGCAGGCCTTTGTGTGGCCAGCTGTCTCATGTCTTTTAGCTCTTGGCAGAGATACTACCTCCCAGAAAGGCATTTCTTGACTCCCTTTTCCAAAATAGTCTCTCTCCTATTACTTCCTAAACCTTTGCCTTATTTTCATCAAGAATTTAGTACTTAAAATTATAGCTGCTTGCTTGGTTATTATCTCTCTTGCCCCATGTGGGCATGGAGTCTGTCTTGTCCGCTACTGTATTCCAAGCACCTAGAAGTGCCTAACGCCGTGAGGGGGCAGAGCATAAAAATGGATGGAGAAAGTGAATTTCCCTTAAATAACAGATAGATTAAGGGTATTTCTAAAAAAATGATGGCCGTAGTCTCATGGAATGAATCCTGACAGGGACAAGAGTCATTTAAACAAGTCATTAAACTCTTTAGGCCTTATTTTTCTGTCTATAAAATGGGATTAAGGATTTAGTAAACATAAAATATTAACGGATACAATATTGCTATAAAAAATGGAAACATTATTATGAGAATGTGTTACAGATACCTAAACTGCCACTGGCCATACTAGCCTAAATGTTTGTGAAGGGAATGTGGATTGAAAGTGTTTTTTGTAAATTTTCCTGCAGGAAGAAAGCAGTCTTCAAATAGAAAAGGATCAGTTAGGTTGGAAGGCTCCAGAAGACTTTATATTTCAAATCCATGATCTCCAAGTCAGCTTGAGTAATTTTTGTCAAGAATTTGCACACGTTTGAATGATTTGTCACTTAGCTAACATGTACTGGAAACTTACTAATAACATTTTTAGTTTTCTTCTTAGCACTTAGGTGTTCAGCCTTCTGTAAATTTCACCCTTGCTGATACTCTTTAATATCCTCTTGTTTTTTCATCAGGGTGTATTTTTATCTGACTAGCTGAGTTGCAGTCTCCTTCAAAGGAGAGACTGTTTTGTTTTTAATTTATTTGTTTTTAATTAGTTGTTGTATTTGGCAAACATAGTCATGTGCTTTGCAGAGAAAGCGTGTTTGGATAAAAGCTTATTAAGTTGTTTAAATACTTTTGATTAACCTTAGAATCGATTAGGCCCATTCTTCTCAATCTAGACTGCATATTAAAGTCATTTTAGGGCTGGGTGTGGCGGCTCACCCCTGTAATCCTAGCATTTGGGGAGGTGAGGCAGAAGATCACTTAAGTCCAGGAGTTCAAGACCAACCTTGTCAACAAAGTAAGATCCTATCTCTACAATAATAGAATAAAAAAATTAGCCAGGTGTGGTGGTGCATATATGTAGTCCAAGCTACTCAGGAGGCTGAGGTAGGAGGATTGCTTGAGCCTAGGAGTTTGAGGCTGCCGTGAGCTATGATTATACCATTGCACTCCACACTGGGTGATAGAGGGAGACTCTGTCTCAAAGCAAAACAAACACACAAAATCATTTTAGGAACTTAGAAAAAAAATGCATTGGCTCAGCCCTAATGGTCAAATATTCTGAATTAATTGATTTAATATGCAGTCTATGCATTTTTTTAATGAGTTAGTTTGTAACTTCCTACAAGTTATTCTGATGAGCAGTGAGAACTGAGAACCACTAAACTAGGCTGGAACATTAGTTCACCAATGTGGCTGCCCACTGGAATCACCTAGGCAAGTTAAAACCTACTGATATTTGGGCCCCATTTCCACAGAATTTGATTTAAATGGGTATGAGCATCAAAGCTTAAAAGACCACCCAGTTGATTCCAATGTGCAGCGGTTTTTGAACCACTGCACTCAATTATGGGCTCTTTGAACATAGTACCAGACACAGATAGGTTAGCCCTTGTCTGACTTTACCTGATGATTCAATTTACCTATAATGTGTAGTGCTTGCTAAAATGCAGATTCCTGGATACCACACCAGAATCTACAGGAGAATGTTTAGAGGAATGCCAAGCTCCACGATGATTTTTATGATAATGCAAGTTTGGGGAACATGGCCCAGTAAATATTCCACTTCTAGAATTATTATCTTTATGAGTGAATTTTCTCATAATTTACCTGGTTTGCCTCTGAGCAGAGAAACTTGCTTTGCAAGTACATACTATCTTTTGAATAATTAAAAAAAAATTTCATATTTAGTGAAAACGTATATAAGCAGCAAAAGGCATCAAATTATGCCATGTGAGGAAACAATTATAATTGCTTTCTTTCTGTAGTTAAATGATCATAAACTACATGCTGTATATATCCTTGAAATAAACAGCCGATTTAGAGATAAGCATTTGATAATAGGAATATGCATCAAAACTGATGAGAAGTCTTATTATACCTGAGGTTTCCTCTCCCCTACTCCATTTTCTATTTAGGCTTTTTTGAATTTTGAGCTGTTGTCTGGTTTGTGTTTAACTCTATTTTGTTTTCATGATTTTTGTTTTAAGGACATACTCAGATATAGTATTATATTAAAAAAGAGAAATGAACAACAAAAAAAAAGATGAAAAGCTGAGCTCATTCAATAGAATCTATCGAATTCTATTATGTGCCTAGCATTGTGTAAGAATGTTTATACATTTTTTTTACTAGGAAATAAATTAAAAGTTTAAGACCATCTCTTGTGGTTGGAGGATAAATATAAATGTTTTACAGTGTCCAAAAAATGTACAAACTGCTTAATCCACCAACTAGTTAACCAATTGCATAATAATTAAGAGTGGGAGAGATATCTACGTATCTGTATTTCTATCTATAACCATCATATTGTCTGGTGTTTCTAATCATTTGTAAGAGATTTCCAATCTCTTGTAGGAGAAAGTTCTCCTGGTGTGAGTTAAGTACACTGAGTTTAATAATAACAAGCATTTGCAGCTTTGTGCTGAATCCATTTGAAAGGATGCACAAACTATGCTCATACTGATGGTGGGGATGCGGGGTGGGTATTGGGACCTGATAGTTAAGTTAGGCCCCCTCATTGGCTATTGGAGGCTCCAGAAATGTATTAATTGCATGTACCCAGTCTTTCGGGTTATGTTTTTTCTGCAGTTTGAGAATAGCCAGTCCACTGCAGTTACCCTTTTTTCCTGTTTCTTTGAGAGTCACCTTAACTTAGTAGGAACTTACTGTTGTCACCTCATACTCACTACAAGCCTATGATAAATGACTTGGGCTCATACTTTTTTCCGATGAAATAATTTTTAGGAGACATAGTTGTTTTCTCTGGACTTCCTCTGAACAAGGTTAAGATCTGAGAGTTTTGCCTTTTAGCATTTGAGAAGGTAACATCAAAAGGCTGTTCCTTCAAAGAATGTCATGTTGCTATTTAATTGGTAATCACTTTTCCCCTGGTTTAGCTCTGGGCTTGGTAAATTTAATAGGCTCAGTATTTTTATTTTATTGGTACTATGAGATGAGTGTCTGAATCAAAACACTAAATTCTGATTAGGAAGACAGTTGAACAACTATACTGAAGATCTGTTCCAGTGTTACTTGAGAAACATCTTAAACTATGTTACAGTGAAAATAAGTGAAGGTCCTTTTGCTTTTTGTAATTATTCATTTTGCATGCATTTTTCATTTAGTATCAGGAGACAGTTTTCCTGTTTCCCAGTCAACTTAGCCTTACTGAGGTAATTGAGGGCATAGTTAGATTAGTTTATTAGTTCTTTAGAGATTCATTATTTCCATGGAGGAAGAGCATAGGCCAGTGGTTTTCAACTCTGGTTAAACATAAGAATTCCTTTTTTTTAATAAGTGGCCTTTGGGATCCAGATCAACCAAATCACAATATTTAGGAGTCAGCCATGCTGTGGTTATTTAAAAACAAAATGAAACAAAACCTCCCTTATAATTAATGAGCACTAGGATTGGAAATCACTGACACAGACAAACCAGTTCTGTATTATATTTGGCTGAGAGAGAGTTAAATCAAGTTTATTTAACTAGGTGCCTATTAATATTTTATGTTGTATTACTCGGTAGAATTCTTAGGGAAAGAATGACTTTTTAAAAATGTTTTTCCTGGATACTTTCTTAATTCATTATTTGATTCTTTTTTTCTCTGTAGAATTGGGCTTCTCTGAGGCCTGTTACCTTTTCTGTGTACTTGATGATAAAGAAGCCCAAGGGGGCTGGACACAATGGCTCATGCCTGTAATCCCAGCAGTTTGGGAAGCTGACGCAGGTGGATCACATGAGCCCAGGAGTTCGATACCAGCCTGGGCAACATAGGGAGACCCCCATCTCTACAAAAAATTTAAAAAATTAGCCAGGTGTGGTGGCTCATGCCTGTAGTCCCAGGTACTCGGGAGGCTGAGCTAGAAGGATGGCTTGAGCCCAGGAGGTTGAGGCTGCAGTGAGTTGTGATGTCATCCTGCCACTGCACTCTGGGGTGAGACCCTGTCTCAAAAAAAAAAAAAAAAAAAGAGAAGCCCCAGGACAGTATGATGTGCCTGTTTCTTAGCCCCAAAGATGAGCCTAGTTTCTTTCTCCATATAAAATATTTTTGTTTAAGGGAAAAGAGACAAATTTGACTCTTGAGGTATTGTGTGGGTAGACACATTTAGAAGAGAAGGTTGAGAAATTAAATCTGGTGTTCTCACCATGTGCTGTAGTAGTTATTAGAAACTTAATGTGGAATGGGATTTGTTTTTGTGGTTTCAAATGACCTTTCGGATATGGTGAGTTATTTAAAACCCCAGGTGGCAAGGTGAGTCTTGGCACATTACTGATCTAGGAATTGGGCAGGAGATACACAGGCAGAAAAAGACCTTTCTGGGCTTCTCTTTATATTGTGTGTCTCTATTTCTGACTATTTAGTTAGAGCTTCCTTTGAATATTTTATTATCTACTTAGTTTATAATCAGGACCACCCACCTGATTTTAGCCTGCTGACTCTTTTCTGCCTTTTTATTCCCTCAAGCCCACAGTGCATGTGTATTCATGTTTTTGCTTTCCATTCACGGAGATCTCCAGCTGGGAAAATATAGTGTGTACAATACTCTCTGCCTTCAGCTGACATTGCTCATAAATTGCAACAGAAACACTGCTATCAGCAGCTTAATAGCAGGTAGAATACAGCTCTACATATCAAGTCTCAGCAGGATACAGAAACTATGGTTACCAAATTTCCAAAGGAGAAGGGGAGGGGGTAGAAAGTTTTCTATCTAAGAATAACTGAAACAACATTGAAAATTGATTCACTGAAAGCAGCTTTTTGAAAACGACTTATAAGGGCTGACCCAGTGGTTGCTCTGCTGTCACTTTTTGCTGAATTGTTATTTCTGAAGACCTCACAAGAAGGGTTTTGTGTGATGGAACGGTATAGAAAAGGCAAGCTTGTTTGCTTCTCTTCCTTCCTTTCTCTGTCTCTGTCTCTTATAGTTTTAAAAGAAAAGAAAGGGCCTTTGATAAACTTAATGAAAAGTGTACTGGTTAACTGATTCTAAAGTAGGGTGATTAGGTGGAGTTAGGAGTTACCCTCAGGCACACTCACCGTCATACATAGGCATCCCTGGCAGAGGATCCACGCCTATGACAAGGAAGAAGCGAGCCTTGCTATTAGTTTTTTCTCTTAGCTACAATTTATTTTATCTTGCGTGGTGACTCGTCCAGTTATTTGACTTCTGGTAAAATAGCACACATTTACATAGCATATCAAGACGTTCATATTTTAGGCTATGATGTGAAAATGGGCAGTCTTATAGAGCCTTTCCATTAAAAAAAAAAAGAAAGAAAGAAAAAGGATAGCTGCACTTGTGAAAATTTCCAGTGCTTTATTTAGCACATCATTTTATCTTAATAAGTGAGATTATATTAATATTTTGAAAAGTCCCAAATTCCCCTCTATCTCTGTGAAGAAAGGATTGCTGGGCTCCGTCATCTTTTGTGAGTAGCCACAGCAGAATTCTGCCTCTTGCCAGAAGAGATTAGTGTGGGTGGTAAAATAATTCTTTCTTTAAACCAAGTAAAGCTGTTGTATTAATACTCCTGTCATAGGACTCAGGCAGATAAAAAGCTCTCAGCCTTGTTCCAGGCTCCTTAGTGACTTCTAAAGGAATAGTCAAATATATCCTACTCCCACCTGCAACCCAGTCCCCAAAATACTGGAAAGTAATTAATCAAAATTATCATTCCCCATTTCTTTCCTGGGAAAACTCAACACAGTTTATGTATATCTTAGTTTGTATAATGTACATTTTTCTTTAAAGTCTGTTAGCCTAGTGGCTCTGATAAGAATCACCTTGGATCCTTAGGGGAGAGCTAGGGATTAGTATCTGTAATAAGGACTCAGGTGTATTTTTATCATCTGGCGAGTTTTGGGAAAACACAGGAGTCTGATAAGCCTAGGTATGAAACCCATCTATACCATCCTCCAGGAGTGTGTGTGTGTGTGTGTGTGTGTGTGTTTGTGTGTGTTTGGGAGAAGGGATTCATGGATTTTTTGAACCAGGGACCCAGGTTCTGAAACCTACGCTATAGTTCCTCCAAAAATGGAAGCTGATTCTTAACATTTGGAATAAGCTAGTGCCTTGCAGCCTATAGCGTTCACTTGGCAGGGACAGCCCATTTGTTTTGAGTATTGTATTGTATGCTGTCCACTGTTCCCGTCAGGTCCCTGGGTGCTGAACCATCTCCATGAGAGCAGGCCGTGTGGTGGCTGATGCCATGCTGAGAACACCTCTTCTTCCATTGTGGAAAGCACAGACAGTGTGCATCTGAGGATGCAGCCCCCCACCTTTCAGCCAGAGTGGCTATGTAAGCCTTGTGATAAAATGAAGCAAGTAGAGCAAGAGGCTTGCAATGCAAGTTTAGATAAACTCTATTTTGTAATGTGATTTCGGTGGGGGATGCTGAGTCAGTAGGTTCATTCTTGTCTGCCACGTGTCCCTGTCTTATGAAGGTGCTATCCCAGGAAGTCTATGGTCATATTTACCAGAGGCAGTAAAGTCACTACTGCTCCATCCGATTTTTTTTTTCTTCTCAGTGCACTAAATATGGTGCTAAATGGGTTATATTTTAGCAGTATGCCCTTTGCAATAGGTAGTCTTCTGGTTCCTTCTCTTCAATTACTTTATGTGCCATAAATCTGAGACATTTGGGTTTGGCTGTCTTGCTAATGAGGAAGTTTAGGATTAAATGAATTGGTTGAATGATTGATTAAATGAATTGCTTCCTGTGTCACCAACTGAAGGACTTTGGTTATTGCCTAGTGTATTGGCCCCTTCTTTACCCAGACCTCAAGGAAGTCTTGTCTTAAACCCCCTATTCTCCAAAGCAATTTCTAATCACTTAGCTTTGTGTTAGTCTTACTGGGGCAAAATTCCCGAAAGGCTCCTGGGCGTGGGTCAGGCCTCCCAGCTGTGTGATGGGCGTTAAAGGAACATTATGCTCACTGGAGAAGTGCTGAGAGCCAGGCAACTGGTGTCCTGATGGCCACCTACCCCAGAGGCTGCTGTGTGGGGGCAAAGGATCACTGGAAGAGAAGAAAGTTAGAGATCCAAGTGTGGTTTGGGCTCTGTTTTTGGCTCTGTTCCAATTAGTTTTAGGGCCCAGGACTAGCCATTTAACCTCTCTGGGCCCTAGTTTCCTTCTTGATAAGGAGGACAAATATGGAATAAGTGATCTCCAAGATTCTTTTGTGCTTGAAAATTACGTGATTTTTTTTTTTCTGTGTGGTGTTTTGTTTTGTTTTGAGACAGGGTCTCATTATCATACCTCACTGCAACCTCAGTCACCTCAAGGCTCAAATGATCCTCTGGTCTCAGCCTTGTAAGTAGCTGGAACTATAGGTGCAAGCCACTACATCCTGCGGTATATATAGATATATATAAAATATATATATATATAATATATATATATATATATATATTTTTAAGCATAGAGAAGGTCTCCATATGTTGCTCAGGCTGGTCTCAAACCCCTGAGCTCAAGTGAATCCTCCTGCCTCGGCCTCCCAAAGTTCTGGTATTACAGGCATGAGCCACCATGCCTGGCCTTTGTTGCTTGTTTGTTGGTGTTTATTTTATATGAGTTCTAGATGTGATATGGTGAAGCTTATTGTGTGATTCACGTACCTTGTCATGTATATTTAGCACGTGACCAACTAGAGCAAGGGGCAAAGCCCTTGAGTTGAGGGCCAGGAGTCTTCTGTTCACTCTCTTTGCACCGGTGTCTTCTACATGGGAATACTGGGTAATTGTCACAAACTGGGTTCCATTTCCTAGTTCCACAGATTACTGCCTATGTGATGTTGGGCAGTTACTTATTGCCTTCCTTGTACCTCGGTTGTACGATAGAGATACCATAATATAGTACCTCTTGTTTGGGTGGTTAGGAGGATTAAAAGAGTTAATATTTGGAAGACATTTTGAATAGTGCCTAACATAGTCAGCATGATATGCACTTGTTAAATTAAACAAACAAAAGGGCAATTCCCAGTGTTATAATATTTGTTCTAGGCAGAGACAGGGGTGTCTGTCATTAGCATGCCAGCATGCTGTCTATAATTTGGAATTTCAACATCGAAGACCCTGCTACTTGTAGATCTTCTTACAGTTATCAACAATGGTGTTGATGTTGCCACTTGTTTTCTTCCAGCCACGGTGGGGGTGGGAGGAAGCTGTGTTCAGGGGATGAATGCAGTGCAGGACTTGCACAGAATGAACACTCTGTCCCCAGGAGCCCAGTTTCACTGATTATCAGAAGCAGCTTTCCTCTGGGGTCAGGTGGAATTAAACTATAGGAACACATGTAGTTGGGATCAGTGCTTTATGTATAAATGCTTTGTAAAAGATATTTCTTGCCCCCCACCATTCCTCCTGCCATCCTAACTTCCAAACCCATACCAATAACTTTATTTCTTTAATGTAATGACTGGGGTTGTGAATACGGTCTAAGTAGATGTTATCTTGAAGAGTTGATCTTAAATACTTCATGCACTCAGGGATCAGGCAGTTCATTTTTACTTTGAATTGAATTGCTAATTTATATTAAGTAGATGAAAATTTATGTCTCTGTAATCTGCTGCTCCAGAGGATACCTTCTGCATCTGTACTGGCCATATTTACTCATATATTGATTCCACGCACCTACATTGTTGGTTACTGTGACCATGTGTTTTTGGAATGACAATTTTTATTAAATTTTTTCATTATTTTGTGTTCTATTTTATAGAATATATGCTTGCATACTGGGATTTCTACATATTTGCCAAGTTTCTATTTTGAAATATGTCTTTACATAAAATTAGGCTAATTTAATTAACTAGGGTTAAGCATTAAAGGCCATAAATTGTTAAACAGATGAAACACACACACACACACACACACACACACACACACACACACACACACACAGAGCAAACCCAGTTTGTATTTTGATATTTGAGTTGTGATAAAAGTAGTCACATTGAGTTACTAATCTTCCAGGGCTGGGGGAGCGGAATGTGCCTTTGCTATATTATGAAGGCAAGAAAATTGAAGTTTTTTTCTTTCCATTTCTTTCCCTTGTATTAGGAGCCAGGTACATGATTGCTAGTAGCCTAAAGACCTGACATTTTAAAAGAAACTACTCTATTTGTATTATTTGGAGAGCATGAGGTACCCAAAAGCACACTGGGAAAGAAAATTATCTTTTAGTATTTCAGCTAGTACAAGGGAAGTGCCTATTAGAAGCAATGGGCCGCTTGAGGACATGGATTGCATCCAGTAGTGGCGCATTCACCAAAAGGCAGATGAAAATAATCTGTACCAACAAGGATCACAACAGGAAACATCATCTGAATTTTCCACTATTGACAATCTTGACTATCTAGCCTGGGATTTGCATTGCCAAGCAACACGTTAAATAATTTTGTATCTCTTTGAAATCAATTTCTGGTGATCACACATGCAGATTGAAAACTATGGCTTTAAGATTTACGTTCAGTGAATAAAATTTACGTTCCCTGAAAGGCAAAGAAGGCTGTCATTTCATGCCTCCTAACCTTCATTGTCTATTTCCCTTTGGTACACACAAGCAACCTAGTACGCACAAACGTACATGCCCATTATGGAGAGATAGCTTTCTGCTCTGTCAACTTTGTTTTATAAAAGCTCTGTTTTCTTTATTGCCTTTATCTATTACATCTGTAAAATTTATTTTAAGCAATGACAAATCCCTCTTTGGGGCCCAGAGTCTGGGAGAATAACCACTGGCAGGCTATTGGGAGGAGATTTGTTGGATATGACTGTTCATTAAACTGCAAGGAGTAGTGGGAGAGGCCAACAGTCTGGATCTGCCATGGCTGGGCATGTTATGGGCTGTGTTTAGAGCTTCTACATCAGGTGAGAGACAAATGTACCTCATCAATTGCTTTTGTAATAGTCCAGTAAAACTGGATGGCTACTGAAATCTCAGGAAGATTCCTGATTTCTTTGACTTGTGAGATTACTTATTCCACAAAAGTTTCTAATAAAAAAATAGAAATACATAAAACCAAATTGTTTACAGCTATATCGTCAGATTATTTTAAAAAAGGAAAGAACCAACTGAGACAGGCTCCTTCACTTACAAGATATCAGAAGCAGCTGATGAACAATTTTCACCTTTCCAGTTTTTACTTTTATATTTGACTGGGGAACATAATTATAATGCAGGAGCTCTTTTGGCTCTGTTGTACTTTATTTTAATATTTCATGTGATTGAAGCATGGCAGTTCAGCAAATTAAATTTATAACCATTGGTGTGCCAGTAAGTATTTAACACCTGGCTCTGTGGTGGGAGTTGCAGGGAGAGAGCCCTGATTTGTAACATTTGCTGTTTTCTTTGGTGATTATATCACCACCGTGGTCAGTTTCAAGTTTCCAGTGTGATGTCACTGAACATGGTATTTTTTTTTTTTTTTGGGGGGAGGTGGAGTCTCCCTCTGTTGCCCAGGCTGGAGTGCAATGGCACAATCTCATCTCACTGCAACCTCCGCCTCCTGGGTTTAAGCCATTCTCCCTACCTCAGCCTCCTGAGTAGCTGGGATTACAGGCACCCACCACCAAGCCCAGCTAACTTTTTGTATTTTTAGTAGAGACGGGGTTTCACTATGTTGACCAGGCTGGTCTCAAACTCCTGACCTCGTGATCCATCCACCTCAGCCTCCCAAAGTGCTGGGATTACAGGTGTGAGCCACTGCGCCCAGCCTTGAACATGGTATTGAGAAGAGATGCTTGCCACCTGCAGCACATGCCTCCAACATACCACTATCATCATCAAGATGACCTTAGCCTTGTGGGTCCCCATCCATACATGCACCATTCCTTCATGACACTGTGTTATTTATAAATAAGTTTATGTAAACTTATAAAGTGCATTTAGAAGTATGGTATCAGAAGTCAGACTGCCTGTGCTCCAAATCTCTGACTTTCTGACCTGGGGCAAGTCAGCCAGTTAAGCTTTCCAAGAGTTACTTTGCTCATCAGTAAAATAGCAATAATAAAAGGACCTGACACACAGGCTCTGAGGAATGAATGAGATAAGCTGTATAAAAAACACTTATTCTTGCGACCTACACATAGCATAGCAAAGCACTCAATCAATGTTCCTAATATTTATTTTCTGTCTTTATCCCCTGGGGACAATAACAAAAATGTTAACTGCCTAGTGTGTAAAATAATGCTTATTTTATTAGTTTTGAATTGCCTTCTTTTAAGCTTCAGAGGAAGCCCCAACTTCAACTTCACCAAGATTCAGTGAGCAAATCCTGAGTTCAGTTTGTCCATAGGCTTACATTTTTAGTGATTTCAATTTTGACCTCCTGCAGTTTCCATCTTTATTAACTCAAGACTTAAAATTTGTAGTGTGTCTTTTTTCAGCAGCTATTTGTATATTTTGTTTTTTTTCCTCTGAATTGTTTCCTAACTTATTTCTAGGCTATAAGAAATAGGACGACTCAAGAAAGTTCATTATATAAGAACAGGCTATTATTTTGTTTTGAATGCTTTACAAAATATGTTTTGGTCCTGTTAGCCCATCGTAGTTATGAGCTTAATGTGCTATGATGTTGCATTCTTGTTTGTTAAAAATTAAGGATTTGTTAAAAATTTAAGCTACAGATACAGGACTACAATTTAAAGGGAAAAGGTTAATTGCAAATTTTAGGTTTCCTTGATCTAATTCTCTCTAATATTAAAATTAAGTAGAACTGAATGGCACCAGAAAATGTAATCGGCCGCACCAGGAGACTTTATCAAGACAGAAAGCATTGTTCTCCTAACCAGTACCTTTTTGGAAAGCTTATCAAATTTAGTATTACTTTCACATATCTTGGAGTCAATCCATTATCTAGCACACAAATGGAACAGAATTTAAAATGGCTTTCTGCTCACCGGTTTGGGAAAGTGTGCACTAATTCATATATACTAATTCATATGCTGAGATGTACTAAATAAAGTATTAATAGCATAATACTTTGGCTAAATGTCAAAGTCTTTTGTGGCTGAAAATTTCTCAATCAAAAGCTGTGTATAAAACCAAACCATTTGGTTTTTGTGCTTTTTCCCTGAACCCAAGAAATTTGATTTCCGAAATGTCAACATGTGCTTTCTCACTTGAAGCATTCACATTGTAGCCTGTCGTTTACCACTTTGAACAGCAAGGTTTTGTGGGGTGGGGCAGGTTTTGTGCATGCTGTGTGGTAGGCCAGGTCTGGGTCCCCACTGCAGTGAGCAACAGACCTGGACGCTCTGGTGTGTACCTTCTACGGCCACACCACTCGCCTTTCCCTCCTGTCTCCCCTGAGAGGCCTGTTTGGGTAAGAAGAGATAATGGGCTGCCTGTTTTCTCTTTCAAAGAAAACCGGAAAGCCTTTGGACCAATAATTCTGCCACCCCTTTAGAGTGCTGAATTTCTTCAAAGGAAGCCTGAATGGAATGCTGTACTCTTCACCCTGAGGCTATCCAGTCTGTTGCTGGCTGCTCACAAATAGAGCTACTAGTTTCCACTGAAAAAGATCTTTAGTTATTTTAAGCAAAGGACATCAGAAGGAAATAATAGGTTTCTACCTCATTCTTCCATCAGGCATTTTCCTGCCCTATATACTAATCCCCACAGATATTTGCCATGAAAAAATTTATTTATTGTTCCAGGTGGCAACCCCCAAGTGTTAGCATTGTCCAGCCAAACATTCTGTTTGCATTGGTATTAGATTTACTGGTTCAGGGACTGTGGCGAGTACAAATCAGATTTTTGTCCAGAAGTGTGTGTGTCTGTGTGTGTGTGTGTGTCTGTGTGTCTGTAACTCTTGAGAGAATTACAAGGCAACCTGGGAGGATGCTGAAATATTTGGTCAGGTTTTCTTTCAGTGAAGAGAGGTGTATAAAACACACGCTGATGATGAGCAGCAATTAACAGTGCATTACTTTCTGGAAAAGGCTTGAAGTCGGCTGCCCTGCAGGTCAGAGTCAATAAAGACTGAGTTACTAACAATAGCCTTTCTCTTGCTAAAGCCTTGGACTTAACCCTAACTTCATGAGACCAGAGAATAAGAGAATAATGCGAACAATAGGAGTCTTGGAGGTTGACTTGGGCCTAATGCACAGAGGCAGTAAAAGCTGTCAGAGAGTGTGATTGATTGGCTCACACGCCTTAGTCCCCAGTGCGAAGCACTAATGTTCCTGCCTCTTCTGAGAGGGCTGATGTGCCACCTGGGGTCAGAACTTATCAGCCTGTGGGGCTAATGTTTCAGATGAGGCCAAAGTGCAGTCAATAATTTATACGGAAATTTGTGCTCAGATTCGCAAGGAAAGCAGGTTTTGACTTGAATTCCTCAGTCATCCAAGAAAGAAGTCAGAGCCAACTTCAGATCTTCCTGCTAACATCGCTGCTGTGTATATTAATACTTAAGACAAACGTCAATTGAAGAAGACAATTTAAGTCATCATGAAGTATTTATTTAGCAGTTAACATTTGGAGCCAAATTTCAGGAGTTTCAGAATTGATCAGTGAAATGGGGAAAGGAAACAGCAGCAATTTTGAATTCATGAAAAAACAAAATCACCTCTAGAATGTAATAACCAGGTCAGGTTAAATCAGAGTGACTTCGGAAACTATTAAGTGTCCATGGGGAGGGTTGGTTTACAGGCCCTGAAATTGAGGTTCATGATACTATGATACTAACAACATGGAGAGAAATGTTAGGTGATATCAAGGACTAGAAGAGATACAAATATCGGAGAGGAATTAGATTTCAGTTAGATGCCTTGAACACTTCATCCTGTTTGCAGAGAAAGGTTAGCTGGCTGTGTGTGACTGTGTGTATACAGACGATCTCAGTGTCTGTGTAAACACACGTATTTACACACAGAGTATATAGAAATAGACAGTAAAGCAGTGACACCGAGCAGGCTGGTCAATCAATAACCAGCTAAGTTTTGTTCTGCTCCAGCAAAATGACGACTTTGCTCCAGTAAGTGCTAACAAAGGCCCTTTTACCTTCCCTGTGCTGGAGGAGAGCACTATTAGTCACACTTCATTAGGCTTGTTTACAGAAAAGAGCTGGTCTCTAAGCACGTTATTGAAATACTTGTAACTCTGTGGGGCTTTTTTTTTTTTTTCTTCCCTGAAAGATAAGAACTTTGGAATGTGGAATGGGGGAGGGTGGGAAGGCAGCCTCTGAGTGCTGTCAAGAAAACTGGTGGGTCCAGATGGGAATTGGAAAGATGAGTTCATGTTTAACCTGCTCTGTCCATCTGCATCCCCAGAGCCTTGCTGCAGAGTCTCATTTCTGTTGTCACGGTACTGGGGAGCTTTAATTTTGGCTTTTGTAATTTAGACAAATGTCAGGCATTCAGTTAGCTGTTCCTGAAAACATGAAATGAGGTTTTCTTACCCTGAAATAGTCCAGAGATGAGGCTTCAGTGATTTAGAACTGCATTTCTCAGTTGCCTTTACTATTGAGTAGTCAGAGGAAATGTTTGCTTTAAACAATGGATGGGTTAGGAAAGATAAATTTTATATCATTTGAAATTGGTGGTGGGTATAGAAATAATAAAAGAAGTCCCTCAGGTTGGAATTTGCAGCCCTTAAGATTCTAAAAGAAAGATAGGCCACATTTATAGTAAGCCTGGTCACCAGCAATGTGGGATAATTAGTGTAGATGCGCATAACTGAGTTTGCTTCACCTGGGAGGAATGCGGGAGGGCTTGCTGCCAGCTGCATTTCTGAGTGTGGAATTCATAGCATTTTGGCATCTCCTTCCATTCTTCAGCTTATGACCTGGGTGAGTTACAGGAGAGTTTAAAAGATGAGGACGCCGTAGTACATATGCTGAGTGGCTTCTTTATGCCAGTGCTCATGTTAAATACTTTACATAAATCACATCTTATTTAATATCCATATTACTCCCATTTTATAGATGAGGAAACTGAGGCTCAGGTAGGTTTAGGTTAGCTCAAGATGAAGCGGCTACAAAGCTGGTTGTGAACAGGTGAGTCTGCCTCTGTCTCCAGAGACATGCTTTCAGGTGCTTAGGGTGCTCCATTTGATGGCCACTGTTTATTCTTTCTTCCTTCCTACTCCTCAGAAATGACTGCAGAGTTCATCCTTTCAGCTTTCCCTATTGCATTCTGAACCTGAGCCACATGCTGTGGCTTCTCTACCAGAATGTGGGAACTACTTCCCACACTGCCTGCAGGGCATGGCCACCTCCAGGAAGAACAGGGAGGTTCACCAACAACTTAAGCCTCATTCACCCTGCCGCCAAAGGTGAAACTGAGTCTGGTTTCTCTGACATTCATATTCCTTGTTTCCTTTCTAGATTTGCAAAGATGGTGGCTTTTTGGTGACACACAAAATGTACCCCTTTGTGTGCCATATACATGCAGATCTCTCCCATTCTCTCTCTCACACACACACACACACACACAGAGTTAAGAGAGGCAGTTCTTCTGTTTTCGGCTGCTGTTGTAAATTGCTATTTTAAATTTCAGTGAATGGAATAATAGCAGAGTGATCATTTCCAGTAAATGTTGTTGGCCTTTGTAAAGAATAGCTTGTTCAGAGGTTTTATGATTTACAGAGGACACAGCTGGTGGCCAGCAGAGCGGTAGGAATGTATGCTCTCCTGGGCCCGGTATAGCTAGAGATGAAAAGGGCCCAGAGCTGGCACAAAAGCAAATAAGCGCTCTGACTTTAAATAAAGCATCATAATTTATAGGAAGCCTGGCTCTTCAATCCCAGTGAGACACATGGATCAGTAGCAGCTTTTTGATGTGGAGCATAATTGTCAATTGGTTCCCACTGTCTCCTTACAGCTCAAGGACTGGGGATGGTAAGAAATTACTTTAAGATACAGTCCTATAATCTGTAGTTGTATTACACATATTTTGACAAGCAATTCAATGGCATTTAAACCTGGAACTCTGCTAATCACCCATGACCTACTGATCTACAAGAGGTGGTGGGTTTGTGAGGAAAACTAGGTGATGAGAGGAGTTAGGAAGACAATAGCTCCTATTTCCTTTTCCTTGCCTATCCCTCCCCACAAGGCATGAGATTTTTCATTCTTACATTTTATTTCCTTTGCATCTTTCAGTTTCATTCATCTTGGTAATTACTTTGCCTTCCTGCCTGCTCCTCCTTCCTTTGCTCCTGCCACTGGGGAAGAATTGGGCAAGAAACAGACTATGCTGCCAGATACAGAAAATACGGAAGTGGCAGATAGCTGTTAATGACTTCTCAAATTCAGAGCATTTTACACCCTTCTACGCCCTTTTAGTCCTAGAGTACTCGTCTTTTGGTGAGTGGCATGGAGGGGGAGTTTTTGCCTGAAGGATGATTTATTTTTGTCTGGCTTGCTGTTCTCTTTACCTGTTTTTTTCTAGTCGAAGTAATGGCATCGTGGAGAGCTTGGGTATCTGAGTTGTTAACTTAAAAAAAAAAAAATCCTGTAATTAATATTAAGTGCAGGAAAGGACTGGGACCAATGATTTGAATGGCTGCACTCTTTCAGTTGCTTATCTTCAGTGACCTCCTGAGTCTGACAGTGGGAGTAAGTGAAAGCTGTTTCCCTCTCATTTTGACAGACCCTGGCCCTGTGCTATGTGCCCAGGGCCACTTGTAATAGCCGTCTTCTAAAATAACACTCTTAGGAAAGGAATGACCATTAGGAGGTAATACCACAAGATCTGTGTCATTATTATGGCTCATAGTAGGCCTAGTTCAATAATTACAAAATACCTTTCCCAAACTTTTTAACACTTTTATTTAAAAGAAGAAAAATGTGTCCTAACAAGCTAATGATACAAGCTTGTGAGACTGGATTGGGGAGGGGAGTCAATTCTGTTACAGTGGGCATTGAACCTTTGTCTTCCCACAAAGAGAGGGAGGAGGAAGAGAAGGAGAAAGCATTCTGCTACTCTAATGAGGAAATTTGGCTTTAAAAAAGGAGAGGGTTTGAGAAACCTGCCCCACACTAGAAATCGTCATCCAAACTCATCAGATTTCAGACCAACCAGTGGTGCCTGACAAGGAGCAGGAGAAAAATTAAGTTTCAAACTTGGCATTAGAAATCAGAGTGATGCTGTTGCTTAGTTTGGTGGCACTAAGCCTCAAAGGAGGCAGCTACTTACTAGGAAGTTTAATCAAAGACAAGAAATAAAACCCCTTGGTACAAATGTATACAGACACACACTCTATACATGTACATATTCAGTTTATGCATTTGAATTGCTCCAAATGTCTGTCTCAGAAGACTGTATTTTTTTATTTGATTCTATCTTCCTGTCCTCCTTTGTCCCTTGCATCCTGCTGTGTGTTGACTGAGCGCTGAGGGACCACAGCATGAAGGCCATCCCTTTTGGGGTACAGGGGGTGGCTTTTGATGCATCCCAGTTAAATGTCTGACTTGCTGACCTTGCTGAAGCAAGCTCAGGGGACTTGTCTTCTTCCCTCCTCCCCCAACACTATCACCTGAAACCTGTTCTGCCTGCCTGTCCCCAAAGTAGGGACTCCAGGAACCTTAGCAGGAACTACTAGAGGAACGGTCTACACAATAAGGGGTACATATTGTATATGAATGGTGCAGTACATATATTTTATTTTATTTTAAAGCTGGCCTCAAGTCATCAAGGGCAATGTTGCTTTAGGATATGTATGTTTGCCTAACTTAAAAGCAAATATTTTTGTTACTGATCAAAATTCCTGATTAAAAATTACTTTCTAAAGATCTCCATGTGATTTTTTTTTATGATGCTCTTTGTTACTTAAAATGTCTAAATTACACCTAAGACATTTTGTAACTAGGACACTTGCTTGGTAGAACATATGTTTTGATTATTTAAAAGAAGTAAAGCATGTCTTTCCACAGTAAACATTAATTGATCTCTAATGATCTGTTTTTGTTTGTTTGTTTGTTTGTTTTTTTGAGATGGAGTCTCGCTCTGTCGCCCAGGCTGGAGTGCAGTGGTGCGATCTCAGGTCACTATAAGCTCTGCCTCCCGGGTTCACGCCATTCACCTGCCTCCGCCTCCCGAGTAGCTGGGACTACAGGTGCCCACCACCAGGCCCGGCTATTTTTTATTTTTTTATTTTTTTATTTTTTAGTAGAGACTGGGTTTCACTGTGTTGGGCAGGATGGTCTCGATCTCCTGACCTCGTGAGCCACCCGCCTCGGCCTCCCAAAGTGCAGGGATTACAGGCGTGAGCCACTGCACCTGGTCTCTAATGATCTGTTTTGATTTAGTATTTCTTTTCATGTTATATCTTGGGCCCTGTAAGTTTTCACTGATGCTTAAACTTGGTCAGTGAAAATATCGTCACCATCTATATGTGCGGTGCAGCCTCCCACGTGAACATATGGGACAGCATCTTAGTGTTACCGGTGGTGCCTTATAAAAGTCTTATTTCTGCTCCCTCTTCTTACTCACAAGACTCCTTAACAGGCCATTGTATCTTCTAGAAGTGGGAAATGATAATGTTACTAGGGAAGCAAGAAAAAAGCAGCTTGGGCTTCTTTTAGCTGACCAGTCAGCTGGATATTGACCACCTGTCTTCATGGGAAAGAAATAGATGGCAGTGAATAAGCGAGAGTCTAGTTTTCCAAAGAAGCTCAATGATTTTCCCAAATCAATACAGCTCATCAGGCCTCAGAACAAAGGCTGCAGGGGAGGTGACAGTGATGGAAGTGGCTCTGTGTTCTTTTGTGTATTAAACCATAAGGCCCATGGGGAAACAAGGTTTCTTTAGCTGTGTGTGTGTGTGTGTGTGTGTGTGTGTGTGTGTGTGTGTGTGTGTGTGTGTTTAGGGCTTATTCTGTGTATTTAGGGGGAAAATCCTTTCAGATTTTTTTTTTAAAAAAGGATTTCCATAGATTGTATACCAATGACCAAATGTACTTTTGAAAGAGATAAGTACAGTCAAGTAAGAAAGATTATCATGTTTTAAAATGCAGAGTAGAACAGCATTTTTCCATTGCTTTTGTTATTGCTTAAGGTTTCATTTTTTGTTGTCGTTGTATGTGGATTGGGTTTAGATGAACCAAAAACAAGTCTGTGTTCAGATTAACCTCTGGCAAACCAAGAATCGTAACTACCCTCCCATAAACAAACCCTGTTCCTAATGCCCTGAAAATAACACCAAACCCTAATAGGAATGCTCAACTGTCATCTGAGAGGTTATAATTAACGCAGATAGAGTGATGCCAACATATTCCAGCCGCTGACAGAGAAGATCTATCCAAACCAGCAATTTTTAGCCCTTCAGTCCTTTAATCTTTAAGCTCACTGTGCTTTCATAAAGTAGTACATTAACACCAGAGCAGTGTGTCTCTGGGGTTTATGACTGGGGTGGCGGCACACTAGGGCATAAAGTGTTTCATTACACTTCCTTTTGTTAGTACTGCCCTATCTCCCAAGCTCCATTGCCATACACTATTTGTTCAGATAAAGCCCTATGTTCAGGGTGACTAATCGCAGCACTGTGTTCCAGATGGTTTGATTACAGGATGTGTTTAAAGTGACTCTTCAAACATTCAGCCCAGCGGTAGGGCTCTTTAAAAAAAAAACATACTGCATTTTATGGTCATGTGACAACACTTACTTTTCCTGTCCTAGTGCTCTATATATACTTGGCACAGGTAATGGGAAAGTCCCTCTGATTTTTGGCTGGCAGGTATTTTATGAGCAACCTTAGTTGTACATTTTAAATTTTCCCAAATAATTATATTTGAAGAAGGATCTGTCTGAAGGTTATAAGCTCCGAGGCTGGAACAGCGAAGCTTGTGCTATACAAGATTCAGCCTTTACAAAGTACCAGTATTGAATACCACAGAGTGACGACAACATAATAATGGGGGGAGGGAGTCCTGAACAAAGAAATGGTGATAAATCATACCTTGCACAATAGTCACGTTGTGTAAAAATGGAGGGTAATATGATATCTGAAATATATGAATTTTATCCTGTACTCATGAAATCAGCATATTGTGACATTTTGTCACCAATGTTTCACTAGAAAAAAATATATAAAAGGAAAGAAATGTGTAAACTTTCTTTTTTAAAGGCATATGGCATGAATGGGTTACCATTTGGTGTTATTCGAATGAGGTTTCTGTTTTCTGCCTGGATGCACATCAAATGCATCCAGATGTGGTAGTCTGAGAGAGTTCAAAAAAACTTCTGTCTGATTCCAAACTCAGCATTTGCGATGCTTGGCAAAGACTTCTGTCCCGGGGATGAGGCACTTTAAAGACTCTGAAGCAGTCTTTAAACTCAATACAAACAGAATTATGTCAATCCACTGGGAAATCAGGCATTTGCCCCGTTCTTGAGGAAACAGCTTCACAAATACCAGAAATAATAATTCATAAACCACATTTATAACATCTTGGGAGCAAAGCCTCTCCACAGAGAATGTCTATCATCTATAAAACTAGTGGGAGATTATGCTTATTGAAAAAGTATGGTAGTAATAAAAGGAAGTCACTGAGTAGGATTCAGTCTAGACTCTCTCTCTCGTCAGTCCTCGTGTAGTTAGTTCCTAGGTGTTTAATGAATTCTCACTATTAGGTAGCCACTGTGCCGCCAGGGGTTGTGGGTGCAGACACTGCTCCTATTTTCAAGGAGTGTCATCTAGTTGGAAGAGTTAGGCATACTGTGTATACAAGCAGAGTAAAATATTATGGGGGCCATGTATTACGGTAGGACAAATAGCCTTAAGTTCAGACCTGGGAAGTTCTCCTTGTCATTCAGGGTCCCAGATGAAGGAGACTCTGCCACCTTTATCCTGAGGACTTCGAGATCACAATAGCCATTTCCATTGCAGCCAGACAGAAAGGGATGAGAGGTTCTTATGGGCCAGGCCTGGAAGTGGCCCACATTCATCAGTTCTCTCACTTGCTTTCTGTAGGACTCAGTCACATGGCTGCATCGGACTGATAGGGAGGCTGAGAAGGAGTCTAGTTGTGAGCTCAGAAAGGGGAGGGAAACATGGCTCGTACGTTTCCATCAGGGCAAGAACTGTGTATGCAGTGCTGTGGGGATCCAGGAGAGAATGGCTGTCTTTTGGCAGTGTGCCTGGTATGCGTGTGTCTAGGGCAAGGATTCACAGAAGTGAGAACCTTTGCATTTGTCTCCATTTGCTTCTAATTCATTAGGAACTTTAACTTTCCCTAGGGATTTGGACTAAGGCATCTTCAAGGTTTCTTTTAGGGGAATTAAAAATGTGACATGAAGAACGGTTGAAGAAACTTGTCTAGGCTGGAGAGTAAAGAAGACATAGAGGCTGGGTGTGGTGGGTCACACTGTAATCCCAGCATTTTGGGAGGCTGACGGGGGAGGATTGCTTGAGGCCAGGAGTTCAAGACCACCCTGGGCAACATACTGAGAGCCCATCTCATTAAAAAAAAATAGGAAAAAGACAGTGAGCAGGAGGTGGGGAGAATGCCAACATGGTCATTATCCTTGCCTGGATGAAAGGCTGTTGAGTGGATGATGGGTGGACTGCATCTGCAGGGTATCAGGAGGCTCAGCCAGGACCAAGGTATTCAAAGACAAATTTAGTTTAACACAAGGAACAACTTTTTAACAAGATGGCTGGAAAATAGGCAATCCTGGGGGAGTGCTGGTGAAATCTTCTATCAGTGATGAAGCTGGAGAGAAAAAGGACACACACACACGCACACAAAGTCCTGAGGGTGTTGCACCAACAGTGCAGTTGGCTTCCTGGTCTTATAGCTATTGCGCCCTTGGAACTTTGGCCCATCATGGTTCTTTACGCCTCTTACTATCTTGCAAGCTTTAGGCTTCTACTCCTATTGCCAGTTCTTTGGAACTTCCATATTTCTCATTCAGATTCCCAACATAAGTCCCTGTTGGGCTGGCTGCCTTTGCTCCAGGTGCCCATCACTGGTCCAGTCAGATGGGGGCAGGGTTAGGATCACTGGTCTAGGTGGGGGCACCATGAACATGAAATCCAGGGTCTAGCCTGACGTGATAGCATAAGGGGCCTACTGTAAAAATGCAGGTAATAGACAAAACTATACTTCCACTTGTGCATCACAGTGTATGCCTGTGTCTCTTCTGTTCTTTTCATGCACAGACTCTTGAAGTACAGAGTTTGGATGGAGCTCCAAGTAAAACATGGTTGATTCCATAGCACTAAATAGGCACCTAATGTGTACCCTGTAGACACACACAATAAGTGTTTGTTGGGCTTGACATCTTCCTGGAAACCCTTTACAAAGGACATAACAGAACACTGACTGAAATCCTTATGAGGTCTCAGGCTTTTTTGGCTTGAGGAAGTAACAGGCTCAGGTTATATAATAAAGACCTTGTTCTTATTAAATGTTCTGTAGGTAATAGGCCTTTGGGGGCAGCATCTTAGACAAAGTGTTAACAGTACAAAGAAGAAAGCTGTGTGTGGTCAGCACACTCTCAAACCATCCATTGTACTCTTCAGCTGTATTCTTACTTTATTAGTAATAAGCCTCAGATGAAATGTTACAGGGCATTAGCTCTCTGACAAAGGCCAGGCCCAGTCCATGGGTGGAAAGGGAAGAATAATAAACCTGGTAGAATACTTGAATATAAAGATGAAAAGTACCTGTATAGAACGTCCCCAACACCTAGCTCACTGGCTAGATGTTTGAATAAATGTGCGTGAAAAGAAACTAATCTTTCTGGAATAAGTGTACACTTATTTCCAATTCACATGTGAGAAATAGAACTTTATGCCCAGATTTATAAAATACAAATTTGCACTTTTAAAGAACTAATTTTCATCATGGGCATTTATGCCTTCAGTAAGTGTAGTCTGCTTTATGTGACTGTGGGTTATAAAATGTTCAAGATTTTGAGATTTCAGCAAAATGATAAATCATTTACAAGTTTTAGAACCTAAACACCGCCTTTATACTTGGCCCTTCACAATGGGGTGTTGTCTAAACATAGACCTTCTTACAAAGAAACAGTACACTGTGTAGTTTATATGAGAAACATTCCTTAAGCCTTCATTCCAATATAGAGTGGCAGATTTGGCTGTGTAAACATGTGCCTGTATATATTCGGATGTGAATTGTGGGCAGATTTAAACACTCTGTGGCATTGTGAAGCGGCTCGTACATATAAAGAAAGATAGACACAAGCACACATATTTAATTAGCACTGCTTGATGGAGACTGTTCAAAATCTCCTTGGGTGTAAAGCATTTGTTTTGAGCATTTTAAATACGGAGTGCTTCTGGAAAAATAAGGGTTACTTATTTAGGCCCTTTGAGGTTGAAAATGGATTTTTCTTTCCAGGACTTGATTCCTTCCGAGTGCAAATAACAACGGCATCACTTGTACTTCGATAAGAGGTCTGCTTGTGTGGCTTCCAGAAAGAGCAGCAGGAGATGTGAATAATTTTACAGTGAGGAAGTTGCAACTGCAGATTAGCCTTTGTGACAGCTTCAACCTGTGGCCCCAGATAACCAGTGATTAATTGCCTGCCCTGGGTCCCTTCCTTTTTTCAGACTCCAGGTTTCCCTTGAGCCTGTATTGAGACGGTGAATTTCGTTCTGAGGGTTCTGCGTGGGCCGGCGTGTTGTGTGGAGCCGCGTGGCGCGGGGAGCGCAGCACGGTCACGCAGACCGAAGCTTTCACTGCACGGCCGGACTCGTTAGTGCGAATGAGCCTGTGTCCCGCGTGCACCGAGGGAGCCGAGCAGCGCAGGCGGCCCTCTAGCCCCGCACGGCCAGCGCGCCGTGGGGGATGCGTCCCTTTGCCTCCGCCACGCTCACCTCTACCCGACCGCTGCCTCTGTGCTCCGGGCGGCCGCCTCGGCCCAGCCAATCAGACGCGAGTGCTCGCAGCGGGCGCCGGCCAATCCGCGGCCAGCGTTCTCTGGAAACGCGAAACCCTTAGGGGAAAAGCAATAACAAAAGCCTTTCACTGCAGACAAATGTTAAGTGTCTGTGCAGACTTTTCCTGTTTTTAATTTTATTACTGCAAGAATGGAAGGTTTGTTGTTTCTTTCATGTTTCCTTTCAAGCAATTTTAATTATATATTTGTGCTACATCAGGGACTCTGGAACGCAGTGATTCAGCCTATTGGATCTAAAGCTAAAATGCAGTAACCTTCTGGCAGTACAGATATATTCCTGCACTGTAAATATAGCTGACATGCTAAAGAATTTTAAGCAGCTGCAAAGGTCTTTGACACCACACACAGTGCCCCAGAGAGAAGATGATGAGAAAACCAGCTCAGTCTTCCCCTTTGCCTCCTCTCCCACCCCCTCCCCTTTCCTGAAGGGATGTGTTCATAAAGAATCCTTTCCTCCAATTGTTCTGTCTTGTGCAGATTTTGACCAAATGCCTAATTACCATGGATTCTCATCGCAATAGGAAATTTTATACACAATGGTTTTAAAAAAATTTCCTGAGGGAATTTCATTGGAATCAGCTATGATTTGAGGAAATACTTGCTTTGCTCCATCCTAGCCTTTCCCCTGCTAGCCTATTGCTACAGTACACTGAATTAACACAGAGTAAATAATTCAGCTGTTGCCTAAGTAATAGCAACATAGACCATATGGGAAACAATTTTAAAATCTCCTTTTGAGACTTTGGAAAGAAATCGTTCTCCATTACTTGAGTCCCAACCATTGAAATATTTTACCTGCTGTTAAAAGGTTCCCAAGGAAATGAGTCTTACCTTGTCAGGTTTCCCTTACTGTAAAGGAGCCCACTACAGGTTTTCTGTAAAATTCACAATGGCAATGGTAATGCAAGTGAGCAAACTAGCTAGAAACAGATTTTGACTAATGTCTTCTGGTGCTTCCAAGAAAGAGTAGGGGTAGATGCAGAAAAGAAAACAAAGGCTCAGTTAAATATTTTATTTCTTTACCCTAATAATTTATGTATGTCTCAAAATCAAGGTTCTATTAAAATATGCTTTAAAGAAGTGATTTTTGTAATTTGGCATTTGTCCTCTCAGAAATAAAGAGGATATTATATTTTCTCTGTGACATTTGGTATACTAAGCACACTTAAGTTTAGTAATTCACAGATGCAGTGCTAAATTAAATTGTCTGTCTGAAAAGCAGTTGGAAAAAGCAGAATGGCTTGCAGGAAACGAGTGTGTTAGTTTTGAGATTTCTTTTCTAATCCTCTGAGGCAAATGCGTACCAAAGTTGACTCCAAAGATAACCCCAAGAGTAAATCTATTGTGCACATTTGTTTTCTTAAGAGGGCTATTTTAGGAGTCCTTAATATGAAACAAAACCAAACACTGAAACAGATACGGTACCCAGGCTGATTACTGTCTCACAAAGTCAAAGAGGGGAGGATTAGGGAAGTGAAATCGTAGTTGATTGTCTGCTATCTGGACTCTTGAGTCCCCACTCTCCTGTCTATGCCTATTTTTATGCACCTGCATAATTATTTTTTCTTAATAAAAATCACCATCATTTTATATTGTTGAATTGGAAACAAAACCGATTCCTTTCAGTCACCCTCTGGTTTAAGCACTGGTAACTGGCGCTAGTTTATATTGGCTGCTTGCCAAACGAAAGCAATTATGTGTAATAATAGAAAAATTAAGAGGTGAGTGTTGCTGTTTTACAGCAGGACATGGCAAAAACCATTTCCTTCTGTCAGCAGTATCTTGATTACACTCTCACACACAGTCTCACTCCTTTGTACCACATGCGCACGCGCACGAATGCACAACACACATTATTTCCTGTGGGTTTTAACTTGAGGTCACTGAAACCAGAAAGAGGAAGAATGCAAACCACAGCTTTTAAAAGCAAATGAGAATAGAACTTGCTGGCAAAAAAAAGAGAAAAAAATAATAAGTGAACTGGAAATAACAGTAATCAGTGGTAACTATGATCCTTTTTCATCCCCTGCCTCCTGCAGGTGTCCTAGTGGTCAATGTCACGTGGAGGAACAAAACGTACGTGGGAACCCTACTGGACTGCACCAAGCACGACTGGGCCCCTCCCAGGTATGAACAGGGCCTTTTATTTCTCTCCTTCCCCATCCTCTCTTTGCAGGGAAACTGTAGAGAGAGATTCATAATACATAAAAGTGTGCCTGTAATTGAAACCAGGCAAAGGAGAAATGAGCAATTTAGGATTGAACGCAGTAAAATGCAGATGCTAAATTTCTTTTCTATCAGAAGATCTCTGCTCCCCACCCCTTCTCTCCTGTCTTTGTTTTCATTTTTTCTCAAAGTGGGAATTTGAACTGGTTTGGAAGCTAGCTACTTGAGCTGTTTTTCTTTGGTTTTTCTGAGGAAGAATATAAGCCCTTGGTCGCCTGTTCTTTTGCAGGTGTTGGAAATTGTCAGTCTTTTCCTTGACTGGGCCCAGCCCTGAAGCTACTGGAGTGTTGACTCCTCTTTACTGCATTGTGTACTTTGTGATTTCACCTGGCTCTTTTGGGGATGCTCATTTTCACATCTGTTACTTGCTTCCATAGGTTTTGTGAGTCACCGACAAGTGACCTGGAGATGAGAGGGGGCCGGGGCAGAGGGAAGAGAGCGAGGTCTGCTGCTGCTGCCCCGGGCTCCGAGGCCAGCTTCACAGAGTCCAGAGGGCTGCAGAATAAGAACAGAGGGGGGGCCAATGGGAAAGGGAGGCGGGGCAGCCTCAATGCCAGCGGACGAAGGACACCCCCAAATTGTGCTGCTGAGGATATCAAAGCCAGCCCTTCCTCCACCAACAAAAGGAAAAACAAGCCTCCAATGGAGCTGGACCTGAACTCCAGCTCTGAGGACAATAAGCCTGGAAAGCGTGTCCGCACAAATTCCAGAAGCACTCCCACTACCCCTCAAGGGAAACCAGAGACTACTTTTTTGGACCAAGGCTGCTCTTCTCCAGTGTTAATCGACTGTCCCCACCCAAACTGCAACAAAAAGTACAAGCACATTAACGGCCTGAGGTACCACCAGGCTCATGCACACTTAGACCCAGAAAACAAGCTGGAGTTCGAGCCTGACAGTGAGGACAAGATCTCGGACTGTGAGGAAGGATTGAGTAATGTGGCACTTGAATGCAGTGAGCCAAGCACAAGTGTATCTGCTTATGACCAGTTGAAGGCACCGGCATCCCCTGGTGCTGGAAACCCACCTGGGACCCCAAAGGGAAAGAGAGAGCTGATGAGCAATGGCCCAGGTTCCATTATTGGTGCTAAAGCTGGGAAGAATTCTGGCAAAAAGAAGGGCCTTAACAATGAACTGAACAACCTTCCAGTAATCTCCAACATGACGGCTGCGTTAGACAGTTGCTCGGCAGCAGACGGCAGTTTGGCTGCTGAGATGCCTAAACTGGAAGCAGAAGGATTAATTGACAAGAAAAATTTAGGAGATAAAGAAAAGGGCAAAAAAGCTACCAACTGCAAAACGGACAAAAACCTCTCTAAACTGAAAAGTGCCCGGCCCATTGCCCCTGCCCCAGCCCCCACTCCCCCGCAGCTAATCGCTATACCCACTGCAACCTTTACAACGACCACCACTGGGACAATACCCGGACTGCCCTCCCTCACAACAACTGTTGTTCAGGCTACACCAAAGAGTCCTCCGTTAAAACCCATTCAACCAAAGCCCACAATTATGGGAGAGCCCATCACCGTGAACCCAGCTCTGGTGTCACTCAAAGACAAAAAGAAAAAGGAGAAGCGAAAGCTAAAGGACAAAGAAGGGAAAGAGACGGGAAGCCCAAAAATGGATGCCAAGCTGGGGAAACTAGAGGACTCCAAGGGGGCCAGCAAAGATTTACCTGGGCATTTTTTAAAGGATCATCTCAACAAGAATGAAGGGCTGGCAAATGGACTGTCGGAGTCTCAGGAGAGCCGCATGGCCAGTATCAAAGCTGAGGCCGATAAGGTTTACACTTTCACAGACAACGCTCCCAGCCCTTCCATAGGGAGCGCCTCGAGGCTGGAATGCAGCACTTTGGTGAACGGGCAGGCACCAATGGCACCTCTGCATGTGTTGACCCAGAATGGGGCAGAGAGTTCAGCTGCAAAGACAAGCAGCCCGGCCTATTCAGACATATCTGATGCTGCTGACGATGGTGGTTCTGACAGCAGGTCGGAGGGTATGAGATCAAAGGCCAGTTCCCCATCAGATATTATTTCTAGTAAGGACAGTGTTGTAAAAGGGCATTCTTCAACTACAGCACAATCATCTCAACTGAAAGAGTCCCATTCTCCCTATTACCACAGCTATGATCCTTATTATTCTCCAAGTTACATGCACCCTGGGCAGGTCGGTGCCCCTGCAGCTGGAAATAGTGGGAGCACGCAGGGAATGAAGATCAAGAAGGAGTCTGAGGAAGATGCTGAAAAGAAAGACAAGGCAGAGCAGTTAGATTCTAAGAAAGTGGACCACAATTCTGCATCCTTACAGCCTCAGCACCAGTCGGTGATCACACAAAGACATCCTGCCCTGGCTCAGTCACTTTATTATGGCCAGTATGCATATGGGCTCTATATGGACCAGAAGTCTCTGATGGCCACCAGCCCTGCCTATAGACAGCAGTATGAGAAGTACTATGAGGACCAGAGGCTGGCAGAGCAGAAAATGGCCCAGACTGGGAGAGGAGACTGTGAAAGGAAAAGTGAGCTCCCCTTGAAAGAGCTGGGCAAGGAGGAAACTAAACAGAAAAATATGCCATCGGCCACAATCTCAAAAGCTCCCTCTACTCCGGAGCCTAACAAAAACCATTCTAAACTAGGGCCATCAGTGCCTAATAAAACTGAGGAGACAGGTAAATCGCAGCTTCTCTCCAATCACCAGCAGCAGCTTCAGGCCGACAGCTTCAAAGCTAAGCAGATGGAAAACCACCAGCTTATTAAGGAGGCTGTAGAAATGAAGTCTGTCATGGACTCTATGAAGCAGACAGGTGTAGACCCAACCTCGAGATTTAAACAAGTAAGATTGTGGAGCGTGGCCCCAACAGGGAGAGAGCAGTCTGAGACTTGTATTATACATGTCTGGGCTTGATCTGGTTAGACTTCTGACACAGGAAAGAAACCCATATTAGTTTTTTCCTCTGCTCTTGAAAAATATCTTAAGATTCTCAGGAGTTACTATGTAGCTCTAAAATGTACATTATCAGTATTTTCTTGTCATGGTGTATAGTAAAAGGAACTGTGGATGGGTGCTTTGCAGATTTGTGTTTCATGCCACTAACTTGCTCTGTGACTCTGATGAGGTCCATTAATTTCTTTTTTTAAATTTTTTAAATTTTTTGAGACGGAATCTCTCTCTGTCACCCAGGCTGGAGTGCAGTGGTGCAATCTTGGCTCTCTGCAACCTCCGCCTCCGTTCAAGCGATTCTCCTGCGTCAGCCTCCTGAGTAGCTGGGACTACAGGCACGTGCCACCATGCCCGGCTAATTTTTTGTATTTTTAGTAGAGATGGGGTTTCACCGTGTTAGCGAGATGGTCTCGATCTCCTGACCTCATGATCCGCCCACCCTGGCCTCCCAAAGTGCTGGGATTACAGGCGTGAGCCACCGCGCCTGGCCAGGATCCCTTAATTTCTTAGTCCAAGGCGAGGGCTTTCCACAATGGGGCTGCTGAATTCTCTTCTAACTCTGAGATTCTGAGTCTTATCTCTGAAATATTTATTTTCCATTTTCAAATTTCTACTAGCATCTTCTTTGAAGATAATAAAAACTGGGTCCCTGAATTCACATTTCCCATTAATCTTTTTAATAGAATTTGGGGCCCAAATTTCTTTCACATGGGGTCAGAGATGCCTAGATTTCAGTCTTACTCCCTATATTAAGTACCCCAAAACTCAGAGCTCAGTGCTGAATGTTTGTGAGGAGGGTGAGGAGGTTTGGGTGGCAGGCCTCAACAGCTGTCCCAGAGCCCCATGGGTCAGTCAGCTTGAGAACACCTGAAAATTGGTCACCACGAAACCACAAATGTACTAGCACCTTCTGTCATGGTTCAGACATCCTGACCCACTGCAACCCCGTGAGCATTAATCCTGGTTATTTCCCAGCACTGCACATCCCCACTCCCACCCTCACCCCCATGCTTAGATAATCCCTGGTGCATTAGAGCAAGAACCACCAGCCCCCACCACCGCCACCCACACACACACATTTACTTAGGCACAACTTTGCATGTTCTCTGAGAACCTGAATCCCCAGTGGGTTTATATCATGAATGGGATGGGGATCACAAAGGCCATTTAGGATTCTCAGTTTCCCCACTTACAGAGGCATAAATCAGGCTGTCAATTCACAGGGCTGCAGAAGATTTATATAATTTTGGGGGTTTATAGATAGATGGCTTTGTTTTCCAATAGAGAAGCCATAACGTGTGCTATTAATTTGAAATTTTGTTTTGATTAAGATGTTAACACGTAATGAGAAGTGAGCCAATATATTAAGCCTCAGCTGCAGTAGATGAGGAAAATGTATTAGGAAACCAAGAGTTTTTCCTCCTAAGTGATGTTAATAGCTATAGCAATTACTTAAATTTACTATTATTAGCTTGAGTTGGAGTTTTTAACATTCTTTTCACCTGTGTGAGATATTAAAAGGCAAACGAAGACAGAATTAAATATGTCTGAGGATGTTATTTAGTGTTGAGAAATGACATTAAGGGCCCAGCTCTGAATTTCAGCAGACCTGAGTTTGAAGCCCAGCTCCACGACTGGGCAGCAGCATGACCTTGATGTTGCCTGAACTTTAAACACTTTGGTTTTATCTTCTGTACAGGGGATCAGTAATAATGCCTACCTGGGACATTATTACTTTGTAAGAGAAGGAGGTAAAGCAATTAGCACAGTGTCTAGCACAGAAATAAATGTCAACTTAGCATTAAAATTAAGAGTGCTAGTGCTGTCATGATTATTAACAAGTTTTCTTTAAAATTGAAATTTTAAAACAAATCTGTTGGGTTTTTTTTCTTTAAAACAAAAAAATCAGGACCCAGATTCAAGAACATGGCATCATTATGTATACCAGCCCAAATATCTGGATCAGCAAAAGTCAGAAGAACTTGATAGAGAGAAGAAATTAAAAGAGGATAGTCCGAGGAAAACTCCTAATAAAGAGAGTGGTGTGCCCAGCCTTCCTGTATCGTTAACAAGCATTAAAGAGGAGCCCAAAGAGGCCAAGCATCCTGATTCTCAATCAATGGAGGAGAGCAAGCTGAAAAATGATGATCGAAAGACTCCTGTGAACTGGAAGGACTCTCGGGGAACAAGAGTGGCTGTCTCCTCACCCATGAGTCAGCATCAGTCATACATACAGTACTTGCATGCTTATCCTTACCCACAGATGTACGACCCCAGCCATCCTGCATACCGGGCTGTTTCTCCCGTCCTAATGCACAGTTATCCTGGTACGTGTTGTCGGTTCTGACTATATTGGAGGAAAGAGGCGATGTTCAAATATTAGCTGTTAAAAACTCAAGATAAATTAGAAGCTTCAAGAGTGACATTTGTTTTCCTTGTTTTTATGCTGTTTAAAGTCCCAAAGATAAAACTGATTTAATATAAGTTTTTTTAATGAAATGTCAAGAATCCTCAGCCATAGTTTCCATAGTCTCTGATGGTCTGCTATAGCTGTTAGGCTGACAGATACTTTATTGCCTATAAAAATATTCTAAGCACTTACTGTCATAATCATTATAGTTACTATTCCTTTCACTTAAGCGGACACGTAAATGTATGAAATGGCTATAAGCTCAATTCTGTTTATAACCTCCCTTCATCAGGATGAATTAACTGGGAGAAGAAAATTGGAGAAGCTAGACACAGTTTAATGATGATGTAGCCCATTCTTAATGTAACCCCCTATTTTAAGATCTCTTTGACTCTTATCCCAAATTCATGTAACCCAAATGATTTTTTTTAAAGATATAGCCTGTAACTTGATGTGGCATTTGTTGTTTATCTGCAGGGGCATATCTCTCTCCAGGATTTCATTATCCTGTTTATGGGAAGATGTCAGGGAGAGAAGAGACAGAGAAAGTCAATACCAGCCCTAGCGTCAACACGAAAACAACCACTGAATCTAAAGCACTGGATTTGCTCCAGCAGCATGCTAACCAATACCGCAGCAAGTCTCCTGCTGTAAGCCTCCTTTTGTTGTTATTTAAAAGTACTGTGATTTGGGGAGAAAGGGGAACAAGCTAGAGAACAGTCTTGAAATATAAATGGTTTCGGAACCCAGCTGTGATTTCAGGATGCTGTTTTATCCTAATACGTAAAGAATGGAGCGTTCAAAAGTAAGACGCTTTCACACATGAGAGAAAATTGTTAAAGCACGTATGGCAGTAGCAAGCTTTTCTGTTGCAAAATCTAGTATACCTTGCTTACCCAGGAGGATGGTTGTTAGGTGGAAATTTAAATTCATAGGAACCAACTTTTGGTGCAAAATATGTTTGATAAGACATTGAGGAATTAGGTAACAGAGGAGTATATTTTATATAATTTTGGTAAGTAAGTAGTTCAGAGGCTACAAACTGTTGACTTTTTGGGCAAATCAAGCTTTTCAAAAAATGTTTTCTTGCAGGATACCTTTTAAAAATCAGACATTTTACATGCAAGTTCAGATCACCTCTTTCTCTTAAGACAATAGAAAATCTGGGCCGGGAGTGAGCCACTGCCTGTAATCCCAGCACTTTGGGAGGCCGAGGCGGGCAGATCACCTGAGGTCAGGAATTCGAGACCAGCCTGGCCAATATGGTGAAACTCCGTCTCTACTAAAAATACAAAAAGTAGCCTAGTGGTAGTGGGCACCTGTAATCCAAGTTACTCAGAAGGCTGAGGCAGGAGATTTGCTTGAGCCCGAGAGGCAGAGGTTGCAGTGAGCAGAGATTGTGCCACTGCACTCTAGCGTGGGCGACAGAGCAAGGCTCTGTCTCAAAAAAAAAAAAAAAAAAAAAAAAGACAATAGAAAATCTGGTTCAAAATGACATGGCAGTAACTGATGGGAACTAGTAGCCCCATCTAGGCAGATGTGCTGCTCCCCATCAATGTGCATGGATATAAATAGAAGCTCCCTAATCTGCATCACTTATCTTTGTTGTTAACTTGACTTCTGGAGAGATTTGAGGTTTCTGCTACTTGTATTGACCCTTCATATTCACATCATCAGTGTTCATGGTTGGGGGTTCATCACGAGCAAAGCTGAGTGCCCGTGACATGTAATAAGGCACAAATTTGAGCCTTGTACAGTGTGAGGCTCATTTGCAAGAGTAAGTCATGTGGCTTAGGAGTGAGAGCTGTGTCTGCTGTTTTCTGGCCTTGACTCTTTGTCATGTCCCTTTAACTCTGCTGAAGTAATACAATGTCTGTGAAAGATGGCTCTTCCCCAAAAAAGGTGACTGCTCTAGTCCTAGAGACTGTTGTGAAGAGAGACTAAACAAAAATAGGATGGTGCTTGGCTAGGAAAGAGTTTAAAGTAAATTAAAATAATAGTATCTGCAATGTGTGTGAGTCTACCAGAAACTCTATAGAGAAACCAGAAAAGGGGATTTCTGAATCTTTTTCTGAGTCCTCCTTCTTAGTACAAGGATTTCTTTTAAGTGAGAAGTATAACTTTAGTTAAAGGGTGGTTAGGCTGTAAAGGTAGAAAGTCATAGGAAATGAACCATCCTTACCCCAAACTATGGTTTGGGAGGATGGGGCCTTCTCTTTGAGAGTTCAAAAATTGAGAGATTCAAAATGTGGGTGTAGGACAGTGATTTCTTGTGCTTTATATTGGCATATAACTTTAGAGCATGTTTTTTCAGTAGAACAAAATGTATACAGACACGTTTAAAACTGTGAGATATGTTCTCTCCACAAAATACAAGTGTAATTAGAAAACTTGACCTTAAAGATATCTCCAAAACTACTTATTTTGTAAAAGTTGTTTATGGGAAGCAATTGGGTAAATTCTTAACCTGCAATTATGAATGAATATAGAGAGAAATCCTCTTATTTCCGTCATTTCAGGAAAACATTGGTGTCACTTGGTTTACTTTGGGTGGAGTAGTTCTTTTGTGTTGGCTTAATTCCAACTGAAACTAATGCATGTTTTTTGAAATTCTCTTTAGTTACTAAAGAATTGTATCTTTATATTTACTTTTTAATCATTAACACAATATTGTCGAAGGGACAAAGGTGGTTTAGTACTCTTAAAAGTTGATTTTCAGAGCATGAAGGGGGAAAATTTCTCTTTTCTGTTGCAGCCTGTGGAAAAGGCTACAGCTGAGCGGGAACGGGAGGCAGAAAGGGAAAGGGATCGCCACTCCCCCTTCGGCCAGCGGCACCTGCACACGCACCACCACACCCACGTTGGCATGGGTTACCCGCTAATCCCGGGTCAATATGACCCTTTTCAAGGTCAGCAGCTCTATCATTACTGTGTCTTTGTCCATTCTGCTTTGGAAAACAGTTGCTAAAATTGCATTTCACATCTTAAAAATATTGAGCTTTGAGTTCACATTAGCTCTCAGGAGGGTTTTTAACACTTATTTTCTAGTGACACAGCTAAGGCTATTCCCACATCTTTGTATTCTATTGAGACATGAAATGGCTACCACTTAATAATTGTCACCAGTTGATGTTATCGGCAGCTTACTGTTATCTCACAGACTGAGGGCGGTGGCCAGTGTCTGGGGCACTGAATATAACAATCAGAAGATCAGATATCTACTTCAGGAAAATTGTAGAAAAAGGGAGGGATGGTGGGAAGCTTTGGTGAAATTACTTGTTCTGATTTCTGCATGCCTTTTAAGTTGCTCTTTTCCCATGGAAATCATGGGAGTAATGTGATCAGGTTTAACACTTTTATAACCTCATTCGAGGGTTCTTCACAGCCCTTCACTGCTGCGACTTCACTAAATGGGAGAATTGAGAAAGAGAAACATGTTTTAAGCCATAGGATTGATATGAGGGAATCTTCACCTTGTAGTTCATTAGTTGAGCATGTATTATTTGTCCCATCTTTGTCATCTCATAGTAGGTGGGTGGTGGCACCATCTTTACAACTTGCTAGAATACCACAGATTGCATGGCTTTAAACAACAGGAATTTATTTTCTCACAGTTCTGGAGGCTGGAAGTTCAAGATCAGGGTGCCAGTACAGCCAGCGTCTGCTCAGGCCTCTCTTCCTGGCTTGTGTGCAGCTGCTGTCTTGCTGTGCGCTCATATGACCTCTTCTTTGTGCATGAGCTGGTGGGTGGGGAAGGGGCAGGGGGGAGCCCTCGTGTGCTTTCTTATAAGGACACTAATCATGCCCTATTAGGGTCCCACCCATATGACCTGATTTAACCTTAATTACCTCCTTATAAGCCCCATCTCCAAATCTAATCACATTGTGGATTAGAGCTTCAACATATTTTGAGGAGACATAATTTAGTCTATTGCACTTGCCAAGTTGCCTCTTATGCTACTGTGTGAATAGAAAGTAAGATAATATGTTTGAAGGTGTTTCCAAAACTGGGAAGTGATATACAAATGTGAAGGGGTCATTTTTATTTATTCAGGTCTTTTTAGTTGATGTCATCTAGTAGTGTTAAAAGAGAGCTTTCCTATTTCTTAAACAATTTGTATTGAGTGTAATAAGAACTTGGAAGAGAAAGAGGTTTTATTTCTAGTCTAACACATTATATCTATATATAAATAAAGTATATATGAGAAGAAAACAATTGTCTCTTTTAAGATAATATTATTGTTATTGTACTGTCTTAAGTTACCTCTGGGAAAAGAAAATATATCCAAATAAAAGACCTAGAAGGAGACAGTAATCTTCCCTAGGTTTGCATTTGTTTACTCTATTTTTCCCCAGGACTGTCTTCTATAGAATTTAAAAGAATTCTCTGTTAGGCAACATCATGCCATTTGGAGCTATTACAGTCTCTGACTGCTACCTTTGTCTTGCAGGGTGAAAGTTAAGAGCATTTCTAAGTTTGATTTACTGATTCTGTGTATCTTATGGGATGCATTGTGTTCAGTCACTGGGGAAAATGTTAAAGTGATAACAATTATTATGAAAGTATTGTATTCTAGGCAAATAGCATGCCGCTTCTGTAATTCACTGTGACTTTTGATTCCTGTTGTTACCTGGTATCTGTTATTTCTCCTGAGCTTCCTATTCAGGGAATGCATGCAAACCATTTAGCACCATGCAGAGCCGGAGAGATGGAATGCTGTATCTCCTTCGAATAGCTATTAAGAAAACTGCAGAGTATTCAAGAAAGGATAGATAGCAGATAGACCAAATGGTTTGTACTGTGTCCTTGCTGCATGAAACAGTTCATGTGTGTGTTTAGGAGAGGACACCATGCTGCTACTAGGTCTGCGGCCCTTCTCCACTGGGCCTGTATCTACTCTTATCCTTCTAAAGATCACAGACACTCTACATTTTTTCCCCATTAGGCTTGACCTCTGCTGCCCTTGTTGCCTCTCAGCAGGTGGCTGCCCAGGCATCTGCATCTGGAATGTTTCCTGGACAAAGAAGGTAAATATCCTCTACATTTTTAATTAGTTGTAGATAGAAATATCTTAATGGTTGGGAGGAAGCAAGTACAGGATTTTTAGACCAAAAACTTAACTCCTTGGGTTTTATATCATTGTAATGAATGTGTTTATTATGCCAATATAAGTTGCTTCACATGCAACTTAAATTCCATGAACCTCATTCTGTAAGGGTTACATAGATTAGTAATTAACTGATTAGTTTTTTAGACAGTTGAAATTTTCTTGGGTTATCCTTACGGCATTTCTAAAATAATTCACCATGACTCCCTTTGTTTTATTATGTTTAAAGATAAAGTCGCAAATGGAGACATTTATTTTCATAATGCTAAAGGTAATGTTTGTTCTTTGATATTTTAAATTATTCCCTAAGTTTTATGAAGGAAAATGATTTAAAGGAATTAAATTATTAATATTATAAAATTAATATTTTTCACAATGTATATCATTACTTTATGTTTATTCACTTTCTCTGGAATTGAATTCCACATTTGAATGGAATTAAAATAAGACTATCGGTCTTATGGTTTTCTGGTTTACAGTGCCAAATGTTGATAGAGGCTGGGCATGATGGCCCATGCCTGTAGTCCCACCACTTTGGGAGGCTCATGCAGGTGGATCACCTGAGGTCGGGAGTTCCAGACTAGCCTGGCCAACATGGTGAAACCCCATCTCTAATAAAAATACAAAAATTAGCTGGGCGTGGTGGTGTGCGTCTGTAATTCCAGCTACTAGGGAGGCTGAGGCATGAGAATTGCTGGAACCCAGGAGGTGGAGGTTGCAGTAAGCTGAGATTGCACCATTGCATTCCAGCCTAGGTGATGGAGTGAGACTCTGTCTCAAAACTAAAAAAAAAAAAAACTGTTGGCCGGGTGTGGTGGCTTATGCCTGTAATCCCAGCACTTTGGGAGGCCGAGGTGGGCAGATCACCTGAGGTCAGGAGCTTGAGACCAGTCTGACCAACATGGAGAAACCCCCTCTCTACTAAAAACATAAAATTAGCCAGGCATGGTGGCACATGCCTATAATCCCAGCTACTCGGGAGGCTGAGGCAGGAGAATCACTTGAACCCAGGAGGCAGAGGTTGCGGTGAGCCGAGATTGAGCCATGGCACTCTAGCCTGGGCAACAAGAGCAAAACTCCGACTCAAAAAACAAACAAACAAAATGTTGATAGAACCGTGTGCTAAGGTTTGCTTTTCTTTTGCAGAGAATAACAAGATTGGACATGTACATTGTCATGTGACTGGATCACATGGGGAAGCGCTTTATACAGACATCAGTTCCATGGTGTTAATTTGAAATGCCTTAATGGCAGGCAAAAACCAGTCATTTCATTTTTGTAAATTACAGATTTTATCACAGAGTAACAAATGTTGCTGTAATTAAACTTCTGTTTTATATATATATACGTATACATATCTGTATATATACATATATATATATATAAATATAAATATATTCTTTACTTTTTGTATCAGTAACCAGGCTCGCACACACAGGGTCTGCTGCCACGTCGCAAACCACTCAGTAAAGGAAATTAAAAATGTATTTGTCATGTTAAAAAGTGTTAGCCACAAAAGGCTACTTACTTTCTTTTCCTTTTCCTTTAAAATTGTAAATAAATAATGTTATGTATCAGTGTGCCTGAACCTTGCATATCCTTCACATATTTCCCATAAGCCCCTCAGAAAGGCTAACTGTGATGATGACACTTTGGTACAATTTAGATGTCTATTTGGTGGCTCCTGTTAAAGACGCACCAGTGTAAAATGTTCCTGTAGTCACTGTTTGTACTTGTGTATTGTGGAAAAAGTACTTTTGGAAGGCATGGGGTTGCCAGTACCACAAAAACTGTGTTGTATATAATGTAAAGATTAAAATGGGGAAATAATGAGCATCTGTGAATAATGAGGTGTCATTTTTTGATAATCTTGAATGGCAAATAACCCAATAGCCTGCGTACCAGAGACATCTGTGATTGTTCTATTACTTGAATAGTTCTACAGTCTTTTTTTTTTTTTAATGTTTACAATTATCCAGTTTTAGAAGAGAGAGACTTTAACGCCATTGCCTGGTTACTTGTTTTATGCTGTAATCTAGTTTATTTTATGTAAAATGTATATTGAATGCTTTCCTTTTTTATACCTGCCTTAAATAATTTGGCAATCAGAATTAAAAAGTTTTTTTTTTTTTAAATAATGGCTTCTTGTCTGTCTCATGTTATTTTCTACCTGGCTGATAGTCATTCTAATTTTCAAAGAAGGGTTTCTTAATATTATTAATATCCAATGCATAAGATACAGTAAACAGATATTAACTTTTCTTATAGGATACATAGGTATAACAACCAAATAGTGTGTTTAATTCGGTGAATGTATTCCCATTTACAGGGTATTTACCCTAAACATGGAGCACGATATCACTAGAAATTAGTAGATACAGGTTTCTATGGTATGGAATGATACTTCAAAGATGCAAATGTTATGACATGTGGATAACAGGAAAAATATGTAAAAAGTCATTTAGTCAGTTAGCTGTCATTACATTGATTTACTAGAATATTTTATGCCAAATTTTAACTGCCTCTTCTCTCCCTTCTTTGCTTGGAACAAACACTTACTGAGTGCCTGCTTTATCCCAAGCACTGCACTGGGTTCTGGCATATTGCAGTAAACAAAGCAGACACAAATTCCTGTCTTCATGGAGCTTTCATTTTTTGGTGGGTGGGATAAACATATCATAAAATATCTGAATAATATATAGAGCATGTTAGATGGTTGATAAATGCAATGAAGAGAAATGAAGCATGGGAGTGGGGCATAGTGAATATGTGCTGGAGTTTGTAACTGTAAACAGAGTGGCCACTAAAGAGATGGGGGGGATCCATGCAGACATCTGGGGGAACACCACTGCAGTGACATGGAAGAGCAAGTACCGAAGCCCCAAGGTGGGAGTGTGCTTTGTATGTTTGGACTGGTTGATTTCAGTGCTCCATTCCAGCTGTAAGTTTTTATTATTTTACTATAATTGCTAATGACAGTGCTACCACGTGGTTTACTAAAAAGTTCTTTAAGCTGACGGAATTTGTCTTGGTATAATTTGGTTAGTTCTACCTAGAGGCCTTTGCATCAGAAATGAATAGAATTTTGCAATCAAAAAGAAATGTTTCCCTTGATTTTGAAAGACCACCTTAGAGTATTGCCTTTGCTGCTTGGCTTACACATCTAGTCTATGTTCTTAATAGATTTCAGTAAGAAGATATTTTTCTGTTAGTTTTCAGTTTTTCTTTTGAATTTCATCCAAGCTGTTATTTATAAAAATATCGTTTGTGGTGTTTAATCCTATACATAAGAGTATTTCACATATTTTTCATCATTTTTAAGCTATCAACGCTTTTTCGTTTTTATACGACATCTTGATTATCCTTGAAGACTTGAGGTAATTTGTCTTATACCAGTTAAGCAAGTATGTTTTCTCTGTTCAGACTATAGTTGGCAGGGTATCTGTTGGTTGCCTACATGCTGATCCAGTTCTTAACCAACCCCTTAACTGTCAAAGCACAGAAGCAGAACTAAGGTCAACTTACATCTTCACTAGCTGAATTTTCATGTTCTTGTTGGTAGCTGGGTGATACTGTGGATTCCTGATGATTTTCTTGCTCTTAATAATATATATGGAAGCCAATCTTACCTTTCAGCTGCAAAATGACTAGATGTATGTTTATTACATAGCAGGCTTTTTAAAATCACTTCTAATTAGGTGGTTAAGTAAACAGGTTATAAATAGCTGCATTGGACCATGTTTAACTCTGCTCCTGTAATAAACAGGAATGCTGATAAATACAAAGAGATATATGACCAAAAGCACATTGCAATTTGAATAGGCTCTTCCCCTAGGCTTTTACTGGAACATTATTCGTGACTGGTTTACATTAATCACTAAATGAAGTTTTGTTTCTTCCTCTTACTGTTACAGTGTTGTCTTTGCTGATGACAACATGAATTGCCAAAGGCCAGGGCTTATTTATATTACGTGTGCCATTTCTCTGGCTGAGTATATAGTCAGTACCGAGTGGTAAATTAAAGATTCCCAAAAGACAAGTGTACTTGGCTCCATTATATTACTATGATGAATCTGCCATTAATACATTCTAATTGTTTTACTTTTATAGACATAAAATCAGTCCCCTTAGTGACTAATAATAGGGTTTATTGATTTTACTAAACATTACTCATTCCAGGCCTGCTCATATCAGCTTGTCCTGAACATATGCAAAAAGCCTGCAGTGCTGACACAGTGCAAATTAACTTCATGGAGAAATGGGAGTGAAGAGTTGTTTACAGCTGTGGTCCCCTTGAATACAGAATATTAAAAACCAGGTAATAGGCTCCATACAGAACCATTTATTCCTAGATTACAATCTCAGATGACTTTTTCATGGAAACTTGCCATTGCTGTTCAGCCCAGGTCATTAACACTTGCAGAGTAAAACGTGTGGCCTTATACATTCACACTGGCTGTGACCCTGATTTAGTGTGGTTTCAGCCCAAGGGTCTGTGAGTAACCAGAATGAATAGCTCTGATTGATGCAGGATAAAAACAGCAGTTTAAATGATAATTACTGGTCATTTCATTCCTTCCCTGACTCTGAAAGAGACAAGACAGGCAAAGCCATTTATTATTGTTTTTGTCACTAACCACAGTCATCCATTCCCTGCTTTTTGCAGTAGCCTGAGTCATAAATGTTGTTTACTTTCAGTTAACTTTAGAAGAGAAAACAAAGCAAGGCCCCCAGTCTGACTTTTCATTTTTCTTAACAAAATCACTCTTTAAAGCAAGGGGTGAGTTCTCAACCTTGGCACTATTGACATATGGGACCAGATAATTCTTTGCTGTGGGGGAACTGTTCTGTGCATTGTAGTATATTTAGCAGTACTCCTGACCTCTACTCTGGAGATACCAGTAGCAACCTCCCCAACAAATTGTGACAACCAACAGGTCGTATGAAATTTAGAACTCATGCCTAGCCCCTGCCCCACAGGTAGAGTGCTGAGTTCTATCGTTCTTTGTTGCTTTTGGAGATAGGAAAGCCATCGATGTTTCCTTGTAACTCGATGTAAACAGAATGGGGATGCTCATTTGACCAATGTGGATAAAGTTGGACCAGACCTCTAGCTCTTTAAAAAGAATTGGATGACCCAGATTTTAACATAATAATTAGTAGTTCTTTTAGGTTGAAGATGAATTCAATTTTAAAACCACATCTGAGGGCTGGATTCATTTCACAGCACGTCAATTAGCAGTGCTAGCCCACTAAAAATACATATTATTTCTTCTGGAATGAAGGCTGTCAGTGGAAAACCTGGAAAAAAATGGATAAATCTTAATTGAGTTGCTGGGATTGAATTCAGATTTTCTTCACACAGGGAGAGGCATTTCTTTCATACACAGGAACAAACTTTGAGAGATTCTCACATACACTATACATTTCAGTGAAGTTTTTTTTTTTCACTTAGACATTTGAAAATAAAATGAAAGGAAACATCAAAATCTGCAATATGGAGAAAGTTAAAGTATCCAGGGCTATCATGAACACAAGGCATGATAACACCCATGGACAAGTCTAGGTTTAGGTCTGATCAGACTAGCCTGACCCTTGGCCAGCTGTTGTCATGTTCCTGTCTACCTGGAATGGCAAGTAGTACGATGGAACAAAGCTTCTTTCCTGTGTCCATAACGGACGTGGCTAATCATTGCCGCATTCTCTCCACCTGAATGTGTGTGAGACCTCATAACAAGTTTCTCAGTGCAGCTTTCCCAGTAGTCCCTAAAAAACAGACCAAAGTTGACACGCAACATGAAGGCTGTTTGCCACCTCTGCAAGAAACTAAACTCTTATGGGACTAAATCATGACCCCTATAACTTTCAAGGGTGTCACCCTCACAACCCCCCAATTTCAGGCAAGGAGACTTAACATGGCACTATTCCTCCTTTCAACTATTGGAAACTTTGGAAGTTATTTATTTACCTTCAGTGTTTTAAAGCACTGATTTCTTCAGTCAGAAAAGTTGGGGAACCAGAATCGTTACTTATTGACCCAACTTTCTACTGATTTATGGAGGTGTTATCTTTTTCTCTTTTACTTTCATGCTATCATCACATCTTTGGCTCTCCTGCCACCCTCTTATAATGATCTTTGATTAGATAGAATCCATCCAAATAATCCAGTATCATCTCCTTCTCTCAATGTCACCTGATTAACAATTTTAGTTCCATCTGCAATCTTAATTCCCCTTTGCCACGTAACAACCGTTTCACAGATTCTGGGGATTAGGACATGGACATCTTTGGGGGCTACCACTCTACCTGCCACACCACCCAACACAAATCCCTTTCTGCCTGGGCAGTATTAACACAATAACAATAGTATAATAGTTCTACTGTATAATATACAATATTACAACTGGTATAATGACCATCATCAAAATTATAGTATATTTACTTTGCACTTCACATGTAAGAACTCATTTAGTTCTCATAATCACCCAATTACTATTCGCATTTTAGAGCTGGAAAAACTGAGGCATCAAGCTAAAGTAATTTGCCCAAGTTCACACCACTGTGTAAGTGACAGGACCATAACCCCTATGTTATACTGCTTCAGAGAAGGGATAATACACTCCCTAGGGAATTGACAAGATTTTCCTTTGCTAAAGTGCTTATTATTTCAGAGGGGAAAATAATGGTGTGTCTCTCCAGGCTGCTATGAGACAAAGCCTCTGTGCAGCCTGTGCTGGAGCCAGGCATCAAGCCCTTGTTAAACTCCACATTCCAGGCCCAGGATCCTGAGAGCCTAGCGGCTCTTCAGTGCATTGCTGGCAGAGGTTGCTGAAAAGGTTACCTTTTTTTTTGTTTTCTCATTGTCATGGCAGCCCTTGCCTCTTTCAATACTCTACCATATGTATCTGATGACTAGAAGCTCAGAATACAAGAGTTGGGCTTCACGGGAACTGGTGCTTGGGTGTCAGAGGCTGGTGGGAAGGCTGATGCTTTTGTGATTCTGGCAGAGACTATCATGGGCTCCTACAAAGGGTCATTCCAACGTTCTGACAAAGGGCCCCAAATTTGTACTTTCAATTATCTACAAATGATGTCATTCTCACTGTCTCAGGGGATTTTTGAAAATATTAGAAAGAAGGATGCTCAAACCTCAGCTTTAACTCTTTAAATACCCTCCCCTAACCAGATCCTTCTCCAGTGTATTTTGTGTGTACTGAGGGACAAGGGAATATGTGAAACATACTTACTTGCAAGATGTAAACATTTAAATTATAATTTCTGCAATGTTATATTGAAATTGCTTCTTTATTTCGATATGGTGAGAGCCTCAAAAAATGAATGCCTAGATTTTTCTTGGCTTCTCAGAGGACTTTGCTCTAAATAGTATGTGTTGGGGCAAAATACAGAAATTGATTGAAAAATTCTTCCTAATAAGGGTGGCAGGGGCCACTGAATCAAGACATCCTGGCCCCATTTAATCACTGGAGGTCACTGAACTATAGGTCTGAAAGAGAAAGTAGTTCCATCTTCCTCACCACTCTCCAGAGAAGGTAGTCCAGCCACCCAACCTAGACCAGATCGGAATTTTCCAGGGTGGGGGAAGTGGGGTGGAATCCCTAGCCTAGTAGGGATGACCTTTCAGCGTAATAACCATGGAGAGGGAGACTGTTTCTAGCAAGGCTGCTGTACAGCTGGATGTTTTCAGCTGCCTGTAACAGAAACCATGACTGAAACTGCCATCAACTGCAAGGAAATGTGTTCTCTCCCCAATGCTGAGCCAAGAGCAGGGTAATCTCCAGACATCATCCCGCATGCTGCTGACTCTGCTTCTCTGTGATACTCTTTGCTCAGTCTTCCTTGGGCTTGTCCCCTGTGTTATGGCCACATGAGTTCCAGATCTCTCTCTGGAGACATCAGTGTCCAGGGGAGAGAACTGTGTCTTCCTGTGTCTCTTAGGAGGGAAGAAACCTTCCTCAGATGCCTCTGGCAGGCATCTCTCCCATATCCTTGGCCAGAACCAGGCCACATGGTGACTCCTGAAACATTACAGGAAGAGAATGGGATTGCCATGAGTTCCTCAGGCTAAGAAGGATGAGAATCTGCCCCTGAGTCATGCATGGGAGGAGTGGCTCATGGCTTAGAACTAGGATTCTGTTGGGGAGAACGAAGGGGGGGATGAATGTTTTGTCTGAGGCATGAAACTTTCTTTGAGGCCAGTGAAACGTGGTAGAATCTCTTAGTGTCCTCTGGGTTCTCCTGAGGTGTGAGTCTGGGATGGGTGCTGGTGGGAGGCAGACAGTTGTTTACACTCCAGCAGAACTCACAGAGACCCTCCGCTGTAACTGATTTTTCCTTAGAGAATCTGGTGATTGGGTAGAATTAGGATAGCGGGCACAGGGCTGCACTGAACGCACTGTTCCGAAGGAACATGAAGAGATTCAGAAACCTACCGTCTTTCTTTTCTCTCTCTTCCATGACACAGCTGAGTAAGACTCTATGGGTAGGAGGAAAGGTGCCACTCTCTTCCACCATTCCCTAGCACACACGCACACATGCATACACACACACACACACACACACACACACACACACACACACACACTCTGCTCTTCAGAGGTTCCCCAGAACTTACAGCCTATAAGAAAGAACAGGGACCTACCTTCTCCCCCAAAGCAAGTTCTGCACTCTGGACAGAAAAGAGGAACTCAGGACCATTTTTACTAGAATTTAGACATAATTAGGAGGGGTGGGTGGAGGGGTGAAGGGACTGGAATGTTAGGAAGGGCAAGCGTTGAGCCCTGGTATACCAAAATTGGAAAGAGAAAGAACAAATTAGCCCACTGGCAGAGGGAGAATCTCACCATATCAGGAACAAGGGAGATTCCTTCAGGAGAAAGAGAAACCAGGCTTTAGCTTGGGGTCTCTGACTTAGAGTTATCAACGTTAGGAAAGGGCGTTGACCAAGTCTCAGAAAGCCATCTCACTCTTGCTGGAAGGGAAAGAATGGGTGGGCAACCCCTAGAACTTCCAGCTGGGTGGGGGCATAATCCTCTCTGCCTTTGGCCCTCTCTCCACTCTCAGCAGAGCAGAATGTGTCTGGTAGGGAAGAAGAAAAAGGACTGGCCTCATTTTCCTGCCCCTCTACCAACCTGAATTTGTCCCTGATTGGGTGAGTGGTGGGCGAGTGACCCACCCAGCAGATCTAGTGACTGCAAACCCTTGGGGTAGGGTTAATTCCTTCAAAAGAAGGAATTTTGAAAGTGGGTGAGCAGGTCATGAGACAGAATTCATTCAGGAAGTATTTCCTGAGTACCTGTGAGGGGCCTAGGTACTGGGTGCCCAGGTCCTGTGTCCTGGGGATAGGGTGCCCAGGCCCTGCCCTCTCCCACTTATAGACAGAGTGGGGCACCCCCTCCCACCTCTGGATGAGCACATAGATGTCTCCGTAAAGCTGAGCAAAGCTGAACTCTGCAGACCTAGTGCTGGCCAAGAAGGTCTGCCATGAAGACAAGCACTCACTGTGAGACTCTGCCTCGAAAGCTCATAAACCTGGGAGCCTGCTGTGCTCAGCCTCAGAAACCCCCAGGTGCCCGTGTGTCTGCCATCCCCAGCCCCCACCATCCCCTCAGTGATAAGATACTGGGAGGCAGACCATAAAAGGTGGATTTTGTGACAACAGCTTGGTGACCAGACCGTTCCCTCTGCTGAGGGCTGCTGAGGGCTGAAGCAGGGATGACTCATGGAGAGGCCCCAGCAGACAGCCGAGGAAGCCTCTGACCCTGCGGTGCTGTGGGCTGGGCCATCACGGGACACTGGGGAGCCACAGATGTGCTCAGAGGTAGGGATATGCGGTGAGTCACTCCACCCCTGTCAGGCACTGGCAGGGAGCTGAGGAGTCAGAAGCAGAGAGAGCCAGCGCCGAGCTCGCCCGGTGCCTGTGAGCAGCCAGCCTCTAAATGGCTTCCAGCTTGACAGTCCTCACACTGTGGCAATGTAGCTTCTGGAAGCCTATGGGGCCCAGGGACATTCCTCTGACTGACTCCAGTGGATGAGGTGTGCTCAGGGTGTGGTGGGTGAGCAAGTGGCCTTCCCGGGTCAGCTAGAGGGACTCCCTTGTCATCGTCCAGTGGTGGAAATTGATGAATTGGCACCTAACATGAATGCGATATCCTCCTGGGAGGCTGAGAATCTCTAATCTTGTCCCACTCGATGTCAGCAACTCCGCAGGCCTGGAAGCCTCCCTCTGAATGCTTAGCAGGGCTCCCCTGTGTACCTCCTGCTTTCCAGGGCCACTGTGCCTTGGTCAAGGATGTTTAAGGCGTAAATCACAGAAATCTATTCAAGCAAATGTAAGCAAAGTAGACAGATGTAAGAACAGAGGGGTTCTTACAGGAGCAAGGGTGGCAAGTGTGTCCAAGCTTCCTAGGGGCTGGCACTGGTGGGACCTGGGAGGTCTAGGCACCATGGAAGCTTCTCTCTCACACACATCGTGGTTTGTTTTGTCGCTGTTACTCCTCCTCTGCCTCATTCCTCTCTCTGCACACTGGCTCTCTCTGATTCTCCAAACACATGACCTCGCCTGACTGGCAATACTCTCTGTCATCTTCCAGTTCTAATTGCAGATTCTCAAGAGAAAGGATGGAAGTGGCCAGGCCCAGGGGCCACAGGATAGAATGAACTTGCTGAGGGAGTGGAGGCTGGGCAGTGTGGGGCGGGAACAGTTGCTAAGCTGGCTCCTATTTTTGGCTTCTTTTGACTCCCCACACCACTTTCATCTAAGCCCTTTGTCGAAGGAATATTTATGACTAGGAGCAGAAGTTCACGCAAACCAGCTTAGTTACAAAGAAGGTTTATTGAAAGCGTATAAGAATCCGTCTCACTATCCAAGGATAGGAAGGGAATTGGCAGGTCATAGTGGTTGTTGGTGTCTAGAAAATCCCTAAATCTCGCTCAAATATCACATAATCTCTTACCCCTTCTTCTCTTGGTGTCTCTGTCCCGTTCTCCCGCTTCTGCAGACAGACCGTTTCTACCTCTTTGTGACTTCCCTATTCTTGTAATTGAACGTGGCCTGAAATTGCTATGGAGCTCACGAGGGCTCGTTTCTCACCATCATTTAACTGACCTAGCCTTTCAGTTTGCACTCCAAATTCCTGTGCCAAGTGCAGTGGATTTCCATCCAAGGAATAACCAAATGTGGCTGGGCCGGATTTGGGAGAGGCGTATGGAATTATATAGGACTGTCAACACTCCTGTGATTCCAAGGGTTTTAGGAGCTCTGTGCCAGCAATTGTGGGGTGGCAAAGACCATATACATATATACATGTGAACAAGTGGTCTTTTCGGGTCAGCTAGAGGGACTACATATACATATATATGTGCATATATATGTATATATAGTCTACATATACATATATGTGTATATATATACATATGTATGTATATATACACACATATATACATATATGTATATATACACACATATATACATATATGTATATATACACACACATATATACATATATGTATATATACACACATATATACATATATGTATATATGTATAGTGTATATATGTATGTATATACACTATATAGTGTATATATGTATGTATATACTATATAGTGTATATATAGTGTATACAAGTATATATATATATACACTTATTTTTTATACCACAAAATAGAAATGTCCCCCTTTTCCCTGAGTGCTTCCTCTTTTGTCGTACTTTACTTTTTCCATTTTGTTTACCATCAAATGACATGTTAAATATTTGTTCGTGTATCTGATTATGGCCTCTCCTGCCATTAGAATATAAACTCCATAAGAGCAGGGACCTAATCATTTTTTCCTACTATTCTGTCTCCAGCATCCAGAACAGTGTTTCGCCTAAAACAGGCACTTAAGTATTGTCAGATGAATGAGTGAGCAAATGTCATGTCAGGATACAGTAGAGATGCCATTGATCTGCCTCCTTTCTTTGAGAATTTGCCTCACCCACAACCTCTAGAAGGTTTTATTTTTCATAATGAACCCTTTTGTACCTTACCTGACTTTACGCTAATGAGGTTACTTTTGGCGGGCCCTTAGGTAGTTTCAGGAAGGGGCCGGTCATCAGAGGAACCAACCTCGTGATTAGAGGGTTGGAACTTTTGCAGGGAAGAAGGACTGGAGATTGAGTCCTGTCACCAATGGCTGGTGATTTAATCAGCCATGGCTATATAATGACCCTTCAATAAAAACTCTTCAAAAACAAGGTTTAGGGAGCTGGTGAACGGGGCTGCTGAACCCATGTGCTGGGTGGTGGCATGCCTGGGGAGGGCATGGAGGCTCTGTGCCACCCCTGTCTCCATACCTTGTCTTACACATCTCTTCTATTTGGCTGTTCTGTGTTGTATTCTTCATAATAAAACTGAGATTATAACTCTTTCCTGAGTTCTGTGAGTCACTTTTGCAAATTATTGAACCACAAGGGGATCATGAGAAGCCTCAAATTTGCAGTTGGCTGGGCAGAAATGCAGGTAGTCTGGGGACCCCGTTTGTGGCTGGCACCTGAAGTGAAGGAAGTCTTGTGGGACTGAATCCTTAACTCTGTGGATCTGCACTCACTCCAAGTAATGTCCGAATTGAACTGGGTTGTAGGACACCCAGTTGGTGTTAGAGAATTGGAAATTGTTGTTGGGAAAATGACATAATTTTCTGTAGGAGGTTCAGGGAAGAGACATCTGAAGGCACTAAAGGAGCAAGTCATGCAGATGTCTCAGGAAATGTTTCAGGCAGAGGGAAGAGCAGGTGCAAAGGTCCTGAGGTGAGAATGTGTCTGAAGTGTTTAAGGGAAAGCATGGGAAACATTGTGGTTGGAATACAGGTGAGGGGCAGAATGGCAGATGAGGTGTCGTGTGGACACAACCTTGAGGCAACAGTAACCTTCAGCTACACAGCCAGGCATGCTATCCTGTAATTGTGGGACAGGCAGCTCACAGATTTAAAATGCACAGATCAGAGTTTGCTGAAGCATTTAAACTAAAGCATATAGTGAGAAGCAAGTTGAATAAAATGGAGTGGAGGCCAGCCATGGTGGCTCTTATGTGTAATCCCAGTAACACAAGAGGCCGAGGTGGAAGGATCACCTGAGGCCAGGAGTTCAAGACCAGCCTGGGCAATGTAGTGAGACCTTGTCTCTACAAACAAACAAACAAACAAACAAAACTAAAAAATTAGCTGAGCATGGTGGTGCATACTTGTAGTCCTAGCTACTTGGGAGGCTGAGGCAGGAGGATTGTTTGAGGCCAGGAGTTTGAGGCTGCAGTGAGCTATGATTGCACCACTATACTCCAGCCTTGGCGACAGAGTCAGGCCCTGCCTCAAAAAAAAAAAAACAATGCGGTAAGTTAATGCACCTAGGCTGGGGAGTACAAGCAAATGGAAGGGCCACAGGACCTGATAGGGTTACACAATGATTGTATATCTTGTCGGTCTTTGTGCTGCCTCAGGCTTTCCTTCTGGTAATGTGGTTATGAGGGCCCAAGTAGAGGACGAAGAAGACGGAAGGTGCCTGGAGTGAGCACATGTCTGCTCTATTGGAGAGCCTGGCCAAGGGCTGTAGCATTAGCCTGATGAGCAGTTAAGGGCTTTATTTGCATCTCCAGGGTAGGGGGCAGCTGAGGCCCTGCATGGTTGTCACTGAGTGGCTGAGATAAGACTTCACGGATAGTGAGTGCTTCGTGACCTCATTTAATATTTAGGATACAATAAATATTTAGTGCTTCATGTTTCTCATGTATATTTGGGGTATCATGAATATTTAGTATTTACTTGGTTCTTCCTTTCCTTCCTAACTAGGTTCACACATATATGCTCTACTTACTTTATCCCTCTAAGGTATCTCCCAGGTAAATAATTTAATTATGCTTAACACATCTAACGATTTGCATCAATTTCATTTATTTCTTTGCCTTCTCTAACAGAATTGAATATTCTCAATTCAGCAAATGGTCATTGCATGAAGCCCAAGAGTTGTGTGTGTGCTTGGGTGGGGAAGGTGACACATTCATTACGATCTTGTAAACTCTTGTAAGAACTTCATTTTTACTTTAAAGAGAATGAAGGAGCTGCTTGTTTAGATGATTCGTTATCACATGCATGGAAGATTTTAGGAAAGGCAGGAGGTAAGAAAAATTATAGAAGATGGTGCCAGCTGCTTCTTTGTAGAGTGGTATTTTATAAAAGCTGCTGAGAATGTGAGTTATGGGTGGTTGGCGGGGGAAAGGATAATGGGTATTAATTTCACTTGTTTGCCTACCAGTCATTTCGATTTTGCAATGATACCAAGGTGAGAAGACAGTGTGGGATAAGGCAGCCACCCCAGGGTGAAAGAAGGGACTGGGCAAGAGCAGCCATGGGTCAGCCTAGAGAACAGATCCAGCCAGCTCTGGAAGGAAGTTTAATGGCAGAAGTTTGCAAGACAGGAGGAGATAAATTAGCACCTTTAAGATCAAGGGACACGGTTGCTTTTTAACTGATTGTTCAATTTTTACAATAAAATTGGCTTTTCCCCCAGGATGTCCTGTTTCAGTTAGTCCTTATCTATTTCCTTCTGCCCATTTGAATATATTTTGAATAATATGATATTTTATACTTTGCACTAGTTTCATGATTTGAGTTAGCTGGGACAGAACACCAACATATTTCCTACTAATAGAAATGTTGAGCCAGGTGCGGTGGCTCACGCCTGTAATCTCAGCACTTTGGGAGACCAAGGCAGGTGGATCATCTGAGGTCAGGAGTTCGAGACCACCCTGGCCAACATGGTGACACTTCATCTCTACTAAAAATACAAAAATTAGCAGGGTGTGGTGGCACACGCCTGTAGTCCCAGCTACTTGGGAGGCTGAGGTGGGAGAATCACTTGAACACGGGAGGCGGAAGTTGCAGTGAGCTGAGACTGTGCCATTGCATTCCAGCCTGGGTGACAGAGTGAGACTCCATCTCAAAAATAAATAAATAAATAAATAAATAAAATTATCTGGCATGGTGGCAGGTGCCTGTAATCCCAGCTACTCAGGAGGCTGAGGCAGGAGAATCTCTTGAACCTGGGAAGCAGAGGTTGCAGTGAGCTGAGATTGTGCCATTGCACTCCAGCCTGGGGTGACAAGAGCAAAACTCCGTCTCAAAAAAAAAAAGAAAGCAGTGTTGCAGTGTTTGTTTATGAAGCAAAAGGGCATAACAATCTCATCTGATATAAAACCCTGAAAGCCAATTTAAGATCTACTAAAAGAGTCAATTAAAAATGTTTTTGTGCAGTATAATTGTTTTCATTTTTTTCTTTTTTTTGGAGTCTGTTGTTGAAAAGAAATTAAGGGAATATTCCTTTTTCATGTTCCTGTAACACAGAACTAGCAATTGCATTTTATTTATTTGTAAGTTGCAGAATATGTTTCTTAAAAAAATCATAAAACTTATGAAACAACAAGAGTGTACTGTTAATGTTTCTGCCAGGCATGGTGGCACACGCTTGTCGTCCCAGCTACTCAGGAAGCTGAGGTGGGAGGATCACTTTAGCCCAAGAGGTGGAGGCTGGCTGCAGTGAGTCGTGTTCACACCACTGCGTTCCAGCCTGGGCAATAGAGTGAGAGACCCTGTCTAAGAAAACAAATGAACAAACGAACAAGCAAATAAAACTAATAAGTAAAATTAATACATGAAAACATAAAGGTAATTTTATCTGTATTTGTAATAAAACATTACTTGACCAGCAAATGTGAGATGTTAGTGCCCTAAATATACCTTGACACATTGGTTAGCCATATGGAAAAAAATTAGCCTGGAATCCTATATAATGCCTTACAACAAAATAAATTCCAGATGGATCAAACTTTTAGTGCAAGTATCACACTACTAGAAGAAAATGTGGATGAATTTATTTCTATTCTTGGAATTGGAGCAGTGCTTCTGTGCATAGCATGAAATTCAGAAGCCACATAGGAAACGATGGATAATTTGATTACATTTTAAAAATTTTAAGTTGCACTTGGGGAATAACATCATAAATAAAGTCAAATAGCAAACAGGAAACGGGAAAATATTTGCAAAATATACCTCAGGCAAACGGCCAATTTTTATACTCAAATTATTTGTAAAAAGCATTGAGCCAGCAACCTCACAGAAAAGATGAGCAAAGGGTATAGACAACTGTTAACAGAAAAGAAACTGTGATGACTGAGAAAAATATGAAAAGATGGTCATTTAGTGAATTAAAAGGACAACAGATTATTTTTTCATCTATCAGTATGACAAAGGTTAAATGTTGGTGAGTGTGTGGGTGCAAATTCCTGCACCGTTGGTGAGAAATTTACTAGAGACAAATTTGGCACTATTTGTCAAAAATGTAAATGCACATAATAATTTCCTTTTCGGAAATAGTCTATAGCCCTTCACCCTCAATTGCACAAAGACACTGTACAAAAATGCTCATTGCATCATTTTAAATCACTGAAAACTACCTAAATGTCCATCAGTGTGTTCTAGTAACAGCAGGGCCACAGTATACTGCCTTGAAAAGGATGAAATAAGTCTTCATGTATTTACACGATACAGTGGCCATCACATATTGTTAACAAGTGAATTCGCTAGATACTATGTATAGGGTTATAAGAGTACAATCTTATTTCTGTAGAGACAAAAAACAATGAATACATGTTTATATATGTGTATGTTTGTGTGTAGATGTGTACGTGTGTTTGTGCAGTATATTTATATTTGGAGAGAAAAACCTGGAAAGCAAAGTATTTCAAACTGTTAGCAGCAGAGATTTATGATGAATGGGAAGTGGAAAAAAGTAGTCTGGGGGGGAGGAAATATTGTTAATTAATATAATTATGAACTATGGTTTTTTAAAATGAAAGACATGAATCGCTTTAAAAATAAACTGACTTTTTTTTCACCAACAATATATGGCATGATGTGTCTCCAAATTATCTCTATCTCTTTTGGTATTGCTACCTCTATTTAATTTATTTCTATTCAATTAATTTAATATATATTAAATAAAGGGAGAATGTTTATTAGTTATATAATCTTTTACCGTGATGGTAATGGCTTTGATTTATACAAAATTTGTCTTTGGCTATTAGCGATTAATATTTTATTCTAGCATAACATTATATGCATATTCTTACAGGCTTAATGAGAAAAGTGCCCAAATGGAGTAGAAAATAAATAGATATCTTTATTAATAATAGGCTAAGTACCCTCTTATGGTACTTAATATCTCAGAGTTAAAAATAGACATCTTGGAGTTAAATATATCAATTGTGAAGCTGTCTATCTAACGTTCTTTTAGCAGATGTCTTATTTTGAAGTAATGGAGAAAGTCTTATCATTTTAAGAATGCGTTGTGATGGGCAGTTAGGAGCAAGTAGTGGACTCCTCTGCACTGTGAGCTGCTGCTTTGAAAAGAGCAGTTTATATTCCTTACGTGTTTAGCGAGAAATGAGTTTGGTGAGGGACTTGTGATTAGTTAATGCCCAGAGTAACAGAAAGGCTTCCTTCCACCTTCCCTGCTTTTCTCCTGCTTAGTCTCTAGGGACTGGGAGTCACTGATGGGACCAGGAACGGTAAGCAGGCTTAAGATAGCTCTTGATGTAAAACAATTGCCTTGTATTGCCATCTCGTATACTCATATATTTCTATGTCAATGGAGGCAAGCCTAGATCTTTTGTATATATATGCAAGTATTTTGTATTTGCCTGAATACCTTTGCCCAACCTTTTCATCCCAAGCTTTCTGAATCATTTGTTTTGGGTGTGTCTCTTTTAGGAAGGGTAGAGATAAGTTTCTTAGAAACTTTTTTTGAATACTCAAATTTAGCTCATTTTATTTATGGCTCTAAAATATATGTTTGTCTCTGTTCTGTCATATTATTTTGTACTATGTTATCTTTTTGCTAATTTTGACATTGTAATTCTTGTGATATTTGAGAAGGTTTATATTTTTGTGCAAATATTTTGCACAACTTGCTTGTGTTATATAAAAGTGTAATTACCCCATACAAAGGCTTCTTCATCCAAAGCCTCCCTTGTACAAGGCTCCCTTTATTTAGTAACACCCATCCTCTTTGTTCCTTACCATCATCCATGATACGATTAGTTGATGTTCTTTTCCTTCTCTGTGTACTCTCCTTCCTCCAAATTTAGTCTTATCATTTTTGTTGTCGCCTTTGTAGTGCTAACCCTTCCACCACTTGGTCAATATTAAATAACATTCCCTTGTCCTCACCTGTTTTCTATCTTCTACCTTCTCCTCTCAATTTTTATTATTTTTAAGAGGTTATAAAAACATGTTCACACCTAAAACAAAATGAAACCAAATTCTTACTGTAAATGATGTGATCTTTTTGCCTAGCTGTGCAGAATATTACTTCTTTATCTTAAAATTCCCATAACTTTATTAGAAAAGTGCTCAGATGGAGTAGCAAACGAATAGATATCTTTATTAATAATAGGCTAAGTACCCTCTTATGGTACTTCATATGTCAGAGTTAAAAAGATTATGTTGCCGGGCATGGTGGCTCACGCCTGTAATCCCAGCAGTTTCGGAGGCCGACGCAGGCAGATCACCTGGGGTTGGGAGTTCGAAACCAGCCTGACCAACATGGAGAAACCCTGTCTGTACTAAAATTACAAAACTAGCCGGGTGTGGTGGCACATGCCTGTAATCCCAGCTACTTGGGAGGCCGAGGCAGGAGAATCACTTGAACCTGGGAGGCAGAGGTTGTGGTGAGCTGAGATCATGCCATTGCACTCCAGCCTGCGCAACAAGAGCAAAACTCTGTCTCAAAAAAAAAAAAAAAAAAAAGAAAAGGTTATGTCTCAGTGTTGATTGTTCTATTTTGGTTTCCCTAATACAAAATGTGCCTTTTGAATGTGTAGATACAAATCTTTGTTTATTTCAGGAAAGTTTATTTGCTGATGGTTTCAGAATACTTGCTCTGTTTTACATTCCCACCTTTGGAGATTCCAATTATGTGTACATTGAATATCCTTGATTTCTAGATGAATTAGATACATTTTGTCTTTTATAACCATTATTTTCTGTACAAGTCTTTAATTTTTTAAAAAATTTCTATCTTGTTAGCTTATTGCATTTCTATCTTTAATATTTCTTTTTGCGTTTTTTCCATTTCCCCCTTTGCTCCTTCCATTTAGAAAAATTCATTTCTTTAATTTTTTTCTTGTATTTATTTCCTAAGTTCTATCAGTGATATTTTATACTCCCTTGGGTGCTTAGTCTTCTCTGTGTTCTTATATTTTTATTTTGTAGTCTTGCTTTATGGAGGTAATTTTTTATTACTTTAAAAAGTCACGATACTTTTGTGATTATGAATTTTATCTACTCTATGGCAATATCTTTTTAACGAGTGTTTTTTTAAACCTATTTCTAAGTTTTAGTTCTGTAAAAATGTTTTTAAAACCACATTGTACTAATTATGTTATACGTAATTGATTGGGTTACATTTTCCTAGACCACTTATTTAAAGGATGTTTTTGTTAGGAGTAGGAAATAGGGCAAGATAAAATTCCAGGCTTTGTAATGGTTCTTCTTCTTTTTTTTTTTTTTTTTTTTGCTGTCTTAGAGACGTTTTGCTTCAATATGATATCTCTGTGCTCGGCAGGCTCTCTTTTCTTCTCTGAACCTGATAGCATGATCGTAGCTCTGTTTCATCTCACAGCAGTCTTCTGTTTCGTTTTTCACTTCTTAGTGGATCCCTCTCATTTTCAGCTCATGTATGTTTATGCTTTTTGGGATGTGCTGTGAGTTTGGGCTCCTTCATCCCTTGCTGGGCTGTTCCCTGATGCTTCCAGAACATCTTCCTTTGGGGCTCTGCCTAATCTCTGCTATTTGGGACAGCAATAATAACAATAAGTTGATATAGTGTTCTTGGTACCCAAGTTTTACCAAAAAGTTGTTTCCATAGTCCTTGTTACTCAATACAGTTTCCAGGAGAAGAGAAATTCTGGGCCAAATTGTCATTTTGTTTGTATCAGAAATCTTTACTCTCATACTTTAAACATTTTCACTTTTATTAAACAGTTTTTTCATTGCACAAGGCATATATAACTAAGTGAGAATGAAGGAAATAGAAGTCTCTTTGATTCTTCCTCCTAAACTCTTTAAAAAGGATCACTTTTAGTATCCTGGTAAGTATACAACTGGTTAGTATACAACTTTCTAGATATTTCTCTATGTACATGTATGAAATTGATATTATATATTTTTAAATTCATATCTTTAATCTTGTCTTTTGTTAATACTCACTTTTAGGATACTATCTCATCCTATCATTAACTTTGATCTTATTCTATAGCTACAGAACATGATACATTTTTATAAGAATTATTAGTCTTGAAATATGACAATTCCTTCTATCTTCAAGGGCAAAGTGTTCAATAAAAGTTGAACATTAGGACTGTGGTAATTTTCTCTTTCTTTTTTTTTTCTGAGTTTTCTTTCAAACCCCTCTCTTTTCTAAAATCTGAAAGCAAGAACTGAAGGCCTGCTCCCTCCTTCGTCCTTCTATAATAAGGATAACAAATACCTGCATAGGAGGAATTCTTCACAAACAAAATTACTTCGGGGGAAAAAAGGCCATTGGAAGGAAAAGAAAAACCTAAAATTGTGGGACTTAGATACAATACGGGATACTTTAAAAAGCATCTTTTCCTTCAGAAAGATTTCTAGTTTCTGTGTTACTGGTTGGGCTCTAGGGATTCATGAACCCATCTGAAATAGCAAGCAACATCTTGCATGACATGGTCACATAGGCATTTTTCTGCAGGAAAAGATGTTTAGTTTTAATGAGATCCCAAAGACACCAATGAATGAAAAGTTTAAGCAGTACTACTAAGGATCCTAATAGTTTACTGTAACTTTTGTGTGGGTAGGGTTGTGGCCATTTTTTGTTGTCCCTGCCTGGTGTCCATTTCTACTTTCTTTGGTAACAGTACCTCAGTGTTCCTTTGGGGGACTGCCCTCCTTCACTCTAAGCCCAGGCGAGCACATGGCTCAGGTGTGGTTGATAAGCATACTCTACCCTTCTGGCCATAATGTGTGGTTCAGGAAGTGGGCAAGTAACTCACTATAGGTCTGAGATTTTGCTGAAACTATTAGGAAAGAATCATCTTCTTTTTATTGCAGTTGCTGAACAGATATAATATAAATCTGGGTCTGACAGGGACCTCCATGGGGTAAGAGCTTTTCTGAAAGTGAAGCTAGCAGGCAATAAGATTGAGCCAAGAAATGGAAGAAGAGAGTCATGATACCTTTTTGAACCCATAAATCCGGTAGTGTCTAACAGTCTCCTTCTGTACTTTTTAGTTACCTAAACTAATAAACACACTCTTCTTCCACTCCTTTGTTTGTTTACTTAAATGAGTTTGAGTTGGGATTTTGTCACTCAGGTGACAGAGTCCTGAGTGACATCTCTGTGTATATATATGGTTTTTGAATATGTGTGAGAATAGCATGTACAATTTGGCATGCGTTGCAACATCTACGAGTTGTGTGGGAGATGTAATTTACCATTTCGCATATTTAAGTCTATTGACATAAGACACTTTTTAAGGGACTAAAAAAAAACTTTTGTTTTCCTAATCTGTAATTATAACTTATGTTTTGTCCTTGGCCTACCTGGTTTTTCTCTTAAAAAATGCCCTTCTGCCAAAAATGACTTTCATATTCATTCATATTCATCTGGTATTTTAAGTCGGCAGTGTGGATGTCCCCATGGTACCCTGTGACCCAAAGAAGAAAGTGGGAGAAACAAGACAAACTGGAGGGCACCTGAGTGTGACTTCAGGATTTTTCTTATTTCTTTCATTTGCAGTAAGCAAGAAAGAGTGCTCGTTCTATTTAACCCAATGAAGTTAGAAGAGAGAACAAAGAATCATTTTGAAAAATCTGCTGATAGTTCTAACAAAATAGGCTCTCTTATCTAAGGCTCAGTCACAACAAAGATGAAAAAATTCTTTTATGTGCTCAAGTACTTTTTCAGTTTTTGAAAAAAATCAATACCATATTCACACTAACGTTTGCTTGGATAAAATATTGACTGTAGACATGTTCCTTTGAATCCTTATGTAAAAGCGCCCATCTTAATCATCAGATGGGTTCTAATTGTCCCCCCTCCCCTCTAACAGAAAGAGTAATGAAATGACAGCTAAAAACAGAACTATATAGTTATTTTATAACTGGCACTAACAAATTTCGCCAATTACAGAGTCCATTCTGTAAACAATGAATGTGTGGCTCCCAATTAATCTAGTGCACCTCCAGGCAAGGTCTAAATCAGCTGGATACAGCTAAAGCAATTTGCACACAGCTAAAAGCAAATTGGAAAATAAGTGTTCCACGCTGCTGCCTATCTTTCCAAGCCAAAGACACAATCAGTATTCTGGCAGAAGCCCTCTGTCATGTTATTTGCAGCTATCAATTTTAATTATAACAATTATTGATTAGTTAGGAAAGCGAATAATCTGAAGCTCAAATGAATGACTCTGCAGCTTCAGGTCTCCTTCCTGTTTCTTAAGGGCTGTTGTTATGAGTCCTACTTAAAGATCCCACCTGCATGTCTGGACTGTTCTACCCCTACTTTTCCCGCCCCTCCCCACTACACACAGTTTTAGTTTTCCAAATCAGAATAAAGACTGCTCTGACCTGAAATAAAGCTTGGCTAGCATCTTATTTCTAATCAGAGAATTTAGAGACAAAGAGTGTTTGGAGTTCAAGAAACTATTTTATCTCAGTTGGGTAAAGAAGGAAGAAGAGAAATTCAATAGAAGGAAAGGAAAGTAGAACTGTATGTAAGAAAGAGAAGAAAAATGGTCACTAAGTTGTTAGATGAAACCAACAAGACAATGTGGTTTCATGAATGAGAAAGAAAGGTAAAATTTGGGGTTAAAAGGCCTGAAAGAATCTTTCCCTTAAGATATAAGTGGGAGCTAAATAATGAGAACCCATATGGGCATATAGAGGGGAACAACACACACTGGGGCCTTTTGGAGGGAGGAGGTTGGAAGGAGGGATCAGGAAAAATAACTAATGGGTACTGGGCTTAATACCTCAGTGATGAAATAATCTGTACAACCAACTCTGGTGACACAAGTTTACCTATATGACAAACCCACAGTTGTAACCCTGAACTTAAAAAAATAAAAATAAAAATAAAAAGATTATTGCTGCACTGTTAAATTTGTGATCTTGAGGAAATCAAATAACATTACTAAACGTTTATCTCCTAGTCTGTAAAATAGGGGCGAGAATAACACAATGAGAATAGTACTTTCTTTATTAGTTAGCTTTATTTTTTAGGTGGAGAAGATTGGAAGTGGGGAGGCAGTGAAATGATACACTCTCTTTGAAAGGCTTCTACTAGATGGTTATAAATGTTATGCTGGGCTCTCCCAAATAAGGTCTATCATATTTCTTGAACTAACCACATTCTCCTCTATATCAATTTTCTTTTGTCAGATTCTGTCTGAAGGAACCCCAGAGAGGTAAGCAGATATAGAGATGATAAATATGAACATAAATAAACTTATCTCTCACTTTATCAAATATGTGCAGCTAGCAAATTTGGCTATAAAGTGAATTTCTGCAAAGCAAATCCCACTTCTCTATTGATGTCTATTATGAAATCAGATATATATCCATGGATAAGAATTTCTCCAAGATAATAAGTCAAAAATCGTTATAGGACAGCAGTAGATACTTAGAAGTGTGTTCAGAATTTTGAAATATTTGGCATGAGTATCCCACCTCTGGGATTCATCTGGAACCTATCTTTTTCAGAAAAGGTTGGTTAAGGCCCAAGAAAGATCAGCAGCTCTTGGAATTAAGCTCCCCTTCTCCTTTGGTTTAAGCACTTTAAATCCGTAGAAAGTAGATGAATTCTGTGCTTTATCACTTCTTAATCTAAAAACTCAGCATATTGGGCTTATTAATGGAAGGCTGGATAGAGGTGGACCACATTAGGTGGTACAGTCTGAATGTGGTAACTGCAGTTCAAGGGGCTGTTACATTCTAGAGCTGGATGTAATCTAAGAACTAAAGCAAGATCAGAGCCTTATTATTCTTAGCAAGTCTTACAGAAGAGAGGTTAAAACCTCAAGTAATTACTACTCAATTTCTATTTGTTTCTTCTTGTAGGAAAAATCATACATTTGGAGAAGCATGGTTATAGGACTCAGACCTCATGGAGTCAACCAGTTTAATGAACATCATTTTCTTTCTACAGGTTTCTTAAAAATGATTTCAAATTGTGTGGGGGGTACAATATACTTCTTCTTTAATTTAAGGAAAGGCATGGCTTACTTTGTTAGTTTGCTCTGTATCAGAGAATATGACTTATAGCTGGGTGTGGTGGCTCAAGTCTATAATCCCAGGTACTCTGGAGGTCGAGACAGGAGGATAGCTTGAGCCCAGGAGATGGAGGCTGCAGTGAGCTATGATCACGCCACTGCACTCCAGCAAGAGTGAGACCTTGTCTCTAAAAAGAAATACAAAATAAAAATGATCTTATAATTGCTAGCAAGCCTGTCACCGTATTTGTGGGTAATCTATTTATTACATTAGTAAAAATTTAAATTAAATACCAAAGTAAATAAAGATCTGCAATGGTGACATGAATAGGAATTCTTAACCTTTCTAGAGTCATTTTTTTAAGCATCCTATTTAGATATGCAACATTAGTCATACTGGAAATATTTTAGAGTACTACATTCTTTTCTAAAGGACCCCATGGCATTTTTGCTTTGTTTTAACATATGTTTTAAAACAAACAGGATTGTATTTCAATATTTAGCACTTAAAATTCTTTAATAGTTTATATTTCAATGAATTGAAATTATTTATATGAATAGAACAGCCATAAAACTTCCTTATTTGATAAAGGGTACTTAGCAAGGCCAGTATACGGGTCAGAAATGTCCTTGGGTTTCAGCTACATTTAAAACTCACATGACTTCCATCCTTGAAAGTGGAGTGATTTGGTGGAATCAATAAAAAAAACTATATTACAACTCAAAGTATGAGATAGAACACAATGCATATTAAAGAAGCATGAGATTTGGTATAAAAAATTTGGTTAGACTCTAAATCTGTGCCCTCTGATTCTATGTTCATAGGCAAGTTATTTAACCTCCATAAGACCAATGATCTCTCCTATAAAATGGAGATAACAAAAGAAAATGTGTATTAAAGAGAATTAGATAAAATAATTAATTTAAAGTGCCTAATAGTTGCTTAATAAACATTATTTTCTCCTTCCTATTCCTTTTTCTATCTCAAAATAACATGAAGAGGTACACGAGGGTCCCAGTGCTATGGCTCATGTCTTTCCTAGCCCTTGGGCAGGCTGAGGCAGGAGGATTACCTGAGGCCAGGAGTTTGAGACCAGCCTGGGCAACAAGCAAGACCCCACCTCTACGAAAAAATTTTTAAATTATCTGGGTGTAGTGACATGTGACTGTGGCCCCATCCACCTGTGAGGCTAAGGTGGGATGACCACTTGAGCCCAGGAGATTGAAGCTACAGTGAGTTATGATCACGCCACTTTGCTCCAGCCTGGCCAACAGAGCAAGACCCTGTCTCAAACAAACAAACAAACAAACAAACAAAAGGTATATGAAGGAGTTGGAATCTCTCAACTGCTAAATAGAATATAGTTACAAACTGCTGATTTCTTTACTCAAAATCAGTCAAGAAATAATAGAAAATTAAGCAGGATAATTTCTTTGTTACAAAATATCAAAATCTCAATTGCAAGATTGTCTTATCTAACCAAACACCTTTGAAATTCTAAGCTTTGGCCCATACACTTTCAGCAATATTTTACACAATCCTAGGATCTTGATGTTAGAAGAGATTCTAAGGATCATCTGGTCTAATGGTCCACCTGTTGTCCTAATCCCCTCTTTCTTATGCTTTGGTCTTATCTGAACCAAAGGAGAAAACAGATTAGGGGAGTCATTGACTTGAATTTCATCTGTGAAGCTAACTATGGGGTACAAGGTAACTGACCTTATGAAATATGTTTCTTCTGGAATGGACCTGATCTACCAGCGTTTAGGGTGGGAAGTTAAGGAAGCACTCCTCTGTTCAGCTGATGTAATTATTTCTAGACCTGCTCTGGGGGACCAGGCTGGCTGCTCAGGATCCTCCACCCTGGTAGTTTGCCACTCAGAACTACTCCCCTGCTTGGTATATCTAGGGTCAGACTACTTGCTTCCTTTGCCTTTCTGTACTTAATTGTTCTGGGTCTAATTTCCTCAGCTCACAGGCTGATTAATTTGATATACCAATATATAAAGTGTTAACGATGATCTTCTCCCTTGGGGTTATTCTCATTTTAATGGTGACTCATAAAACTACAGTGACCTCCTCAGCAGGAATGAAATAAGGTTATCTGGGACTTGGGCAGCCTTATGAGGGAGATATCTTGGGAGAGGTGGGCATCGGAAGGCCTCCCATTTCTTCAAATCATACAACATATTTTCCTTCTATCCGTTTAAGATCAGTGTGGGCGGTGTTCATGTACACCAGAAACAGAATGTCTCTTTCAACTTACATGATTACTCGATGCAGTTGAAATGCTTCCGCATAAGATTGAAATAACCTAGTAAAGGCTGAGTCCTATCACATTACCTTCTAAATGTCTCGGCTGTTCAACGTTTCTAAAAAGGAAAATCAAATCCAACCGCTTCATGTTTAAATTGGACACCTTTTTAAGTGGCTGAGAATAAGTAGGGAAGGTCTGCTGGATGGCCTCTCTGACAGGCGGAGCTGGACATTGTCATTCTTATCAAGAAAAGGCTCTGCTTTTCAAGAAGCAAATCTCACACAGCTTGATGAGGCCTCATTAAAAACACCAACTATAACTATAGAAAATCCTTTTGCAGAAGAGCTAGGGCCGATGCTGTGTGAATTAGAAGGGCAATTTATTCATTAAAATGGATTCCCTAAGCCACTGTGCTATTATTACCTAGGCCAATGTCCCAACATTTTTGTCACTGTGAAAAGTGAGTCTCTAGGTATCCATTCTTCCCAACCAGACTAGAGAGCCTGGAGAGAAAACCAGCAATTTTTAATTCAGTCTTTTCTGGTCCTAACAGTACTTGTGATCATTTATGTAATATTTACCCAGGTTGAAAAAAAATCAATAACAATTATTTTTGTAGTGTTTTATTTACTTATTTATTTTATTATACTTTAAGTTCTAGGGTATATGATGTGCATAAAGTGCAGGTTTGTAACATAGGTATACATGTGCCATGTTGGTTTGCTGCACCCATCAACTCATCATTTACATTAGGTATTTCTCCTAATGCTATCCCTCCCTCAGCCCCCAACCCCCTGACAGGCCCCGGTGTGTGATGTTCCCTGCCCTGTGTCCAAGTGTTTTCATTGTTCAATTCCCACCTATGAGTGAGAACATGTGATGTTTGGTTTTCTGTCCTTGTGATAGTTTGCTGAGAAAGATGGTTTCCAGCTTCATCCATGTCCCTGCAGAGGACATGAACTCATCCTTTTTTATGGCTGCATAGTATTCAATGGTGTATATGTGCCACATTTTCTTAATCTAGTCTATCATTGATGGACATTTGGGTTGGTTCCAAGTCTTTGCTATTGTGAATAGTGCCACAATAAACATATGTGGGCATGTGTCTTTATAGTAGCATGATTTATAATCCTTTGGGTATATACCCAGTAATGGGATGGCTGGGTCAAATGGTATTTCTAGTTCTAGATCCTTGAGGAATTGCCACACTGTCTTCCACAATGGTTGAACTAATTTTACAGTCCCACCAACCGTGTAAAAGTGTTCCTATTTCTCCACATCCTCTCCAGCATCTGTTGTTTCCTGACTTTGACGATCATCATTCTAACTGGCGTGAGATGATATCTCATTGTGGTTTTTGATTTGCATTTCTCTGACCAGTGATGATGAGCATTTTTTCATGTGTCTGTTGGCTGCATAAATGTCTTCTTTTGAGAAGTGTCTGTTCATATCTTTTGTCCACTTTTTGATGGGGTTGTTTGTCTTTTTCTTGTAAATTTGTTGGAGTTCTTTGTAGATTCTGGATATTAGCCCTTTGTCAGATGGGTAGATTGCAAAAATTTTCTCCCATTCTGTAGGTTGTCTGTTCACTCTGATGGTAGTTTCTTTTGCTGTGCAGGAGCTCTTTAGTTTGATTAGATCCCACTTGTCAATTTTGGCTTTTGTTGCCATTGCTTTTGGTGTTTTAGTCATGAAGTCCTTGCCCATGCCTATGTCCTGAATGGTATTGCCTAGGTTTTCTTCCAGGGTTTTCATGGTTTTAGGTCTAACATTTAAGTCTTTAATCCATCTTGAATTAATTTTTGTATAAGGTGTAAGGAAGGGATCCAGTTTCAACTTTCTAAATAAGGCTAGCCAGTTTTCCTAGCACCATTTATTAAATAGGGAATCCTTTCCCCATTTCTTGTTTTTGTCAGGTTTGTCAAAGATCAGATGGTTGTAGATGGGTAGTGTTATTTCTGAGGCCTCTGTTCTGTTCCATTGGTCTATATCTCTGTTTTGGTACCAGTAACATGCTGTTTTGGTTACTGTAGCCACATAGTATAGTTTGAAGTCAGGTAGTGTGATGCCTCCAGCTTTGTTCTTTTGGCTTAGGATTGACTTGGCGATGTGGGCTCTTTTTTGGTTCCATATGAACTTTAAAGTAGTTTTTTCCAATTCTGTGAAGAAAGTCGTTGGTAGCTTGATGGGGATGGCATTGAATCTATAAATTACCTTGGGCAGTATGGCCATTTTCACGTTATTGATTCTTCCTATCCATGAGCATGGAATGTTCCTCCATTTGTTTGTGTCCTCTTTTATTTTGTTGAGCAGTGGTTTGCAGTTCTCCTTGATGAGGTCCTTCACGTTCCTTGTAAGTTGGATTCCTAGTTATTTTATTCTCTTTGTAGCAATTGTGAATGGGAGTTCACTCATGATTTGGATCTCTGTCTGTCTGTTATTGGTGTATAGGAATGCTTGTGATTTTTGCACATTGATTTTGTATCCTGAGACTTTGTTGAAGTTGCTTATCAGCTTAAGGAGATTGTGGGCTGCGACAATGAAGTTTTCTAAATATACAGTCATATCATCTGCAAACAGGGACAATTTGACTTCCTCTTTTCCTAATTGCATACCATTTATTTCTTTATCTTGCCTGATTGCCCTGGCCAGAACTTCCAACACTGTGTTGAATAGGAGTGGTGAGAGAGGGCATCCCTGTCTTATGCCAGTTTTCAAAATGCTTCCAGTTTTTGCCCATTCAGCATGATATTGGCTGTGGGTTTGTCATAAATAGCTCTTATTATTTTCAGATACATTCCATCAATACCTAGTTTATTGAGAGTTTTTAGCATGAAGCGTTGTTGAATTTTGTCAAAGGCCTTTTCTGCATCTTTTGAGATAATCATGTGGTTTTTGTTGTTGGTTCTGTTTATGTGATGGATTAAGTTTATTGATTTGCATATGTTAAACCAGCCTCGAATCCCGGGGATGAAGCCAACTTGATCGTGGTGGATAAGCTTTTTGATGTGCTGCTGGATTCGGTTTGCCAGTATTTTATTGAGGATTTTTGCATCGATGTTCATCAGGGATATTGGTCTAAAAATCTCTTTTTTGTTGTGTCTCTGCCAGGCTTTGGTATCAGGATGATGCTGGCCTCATAAAATGAGTTAGGGAGGATTCCCTCTTTTTCTGTTGATTGGAATAGTTTCAGAAGGAATGGTACCAGCTCCTCTTTGTACGTCGGTAGAATTCGGCTGCAAATCCATCTGGTCCTGGACTTTTTTTGGTTGGTAGGCTATTAATTATTGCCTCAATTTCAGAGCCTTTTATTGGTGTATTCAGAGATTCAACTTCTTCCTGGATTAGTCTTGGGAGGGTGTACGTGTCCAGGAATTTATTCTTTATGTGGCATTGAAAGGTTATCTCACTGAATGTACTAATCAATCAGTTGTCCATTTGGTAAGTATGCTTCTTACATGTTATGCATCAATTCCAATCCCCAGTCCTATCCTTGATAATCTCACTTAGCAGATGACTTTAGACACGTTTATTCAGTAAACATTGATTTGGCCACTGTGTGAGGAGACTTTAGTAATAAAATGGAGGCTAGCGGATGTGAACACTTTAACTTTCCTCCTCTCTTTACCCTTTCTCTTTCCTGGCTCCTATCTTGGAGAAAGAAGACCCTTTCCTTTTTGCCAAGTTTGCCCCTTCTGGCTCTCTTGCTTCTCCCTCGTCTACCCCCACGGGGTCCCTCTCTTTTACTGTCTCACCAACTGTATGTTTAATGCTTTCTTCCCTTCTCCCATAAACATGGTCAGCCAAAGCCTTCATTATCTTAAACACTACCACTCAAACTTTCCCCACAAAGGCATAATGCCATCTGCCTTCTCTTCACTCTGAGCTTCTTGAGCTTACAATGGCCCTTGACTCTTCTTCCTCACCAGATACTCAATCCTTCACCTTTTGAAATCTGGTGTATTCCCTTAATGTTCTATTGAGAGTGCTTCCATGACTGGAGCCTGGTGACAGGCTAAGTGACACTTCCCTGAAGCATATGTCCCTGACCATCTTCCCCTTCCCCAACTCTCCCCTCCCTTGGATGCTGAGACCTGGTCCAATGGTAATTCCCATCTTTGTTTTTTCAGCTCTTTTATCTCCTTAGTATTACAGCTTTTCTTAAACTGTTTGCCCTCAAACATAGTTTTGTTTTGTTTTTTTCCTTAGGCCACTTCTCTTGTTGGTTTTCCTTCAGGTTTCTTTCATCCTTGGGACTTCAGTTGCTGTTGTCTATGTTGCCACTTCCAAACCTGTATTTCTACTATTGACCTCTTTCCTAAGAACTATGTTTCTAGAACTATGTTTCCATAGAACTATGTTTCTAACTCCCTCCTAACAGCATCCACGTATCTCTACCTGAAGGTCTTTGTCCATCTCAAACTCGATCAATCAAAAACCTGAGTCCCCTTTCCTGCACTAAACCAGATGCTTCTCCTGGTCTCCCCACGTCTTTCCAAGGTGCCACCTCCCACTCACACTCAAACCTTGGAGTCTTAATGCCTTCTCATAAACGGTCACAAATGGGTTACTTCTACTCTGTAATTTCTCTTATGTACACCTCCTACTTTCCTGTCATCACTGAGGCTCAGGTTCTCCTTTCTTGCTTTGAGTGAAATCGCTTCCTGAATTCCATGTCTGCTTTCTAGCTCTTAAACTCTAGGGTGTGATACACACTACAGTAGAAATCCTCCTGTTTCAAGATATCAGAATTGGTAGGTAGTATGTGGGTTAATAAAAACAAAGTCAATTAAAACAGAATCAGATGGTACATGCATATCTTACATGTTTTCTTTTACCTTAAAACATATAAATATGCCTTAATCTAACACTTTCTGGCCCATTGACTCATATTCTGCGTCATCTTTTTTTGCATTCACATCTCAACTGCATGATTTCTTTGGTTTGGTTTCCTTTAAGTGGAGCAAGAACTTAAAGAAACTTTTGAAGCAATATGAGAACAAAATTTTCCTAAATTTTAATACTATCCCAGCAGCCATTTATAGCTTTCTCCTCCACACCAAATTTTTTTTTTTTTTTTTTTTGAGATGGAGTCTTGCTTAGTCACCCAGGCTGGAGTACAGTGGCACGATCTCGGCTCACTGCAACCTCCCAGGTTCAAGCAATTCTCCTGCCTCAGCCTCCCGAGTAGTTGGGACTACAGGTGTCCACCACCACACCTGGCTAATTTTTTGATATTTTTAGTAGAGATGGGGTTTTGCCATGTTGGCCAGGCTGGTCTCAAACTCCTGACCTCAGGTGATCTGCCCGCCTCAGCCTCCCAAAGTGCTGGGATTACAGGCGTGAGCCACGACGCCCGGCCCTCCACACCTAATTTGATGATGTTAAAAAAAAAAAACACCCAAAAAACCCACCTCTTTCACAGAAAATACAAATCTCTTTCTTCCACCACTTTAATTTTATCAGTTTATTTTAAATAGTAAATAAGTCATCTACTTATAATAACAAAGACAACCCGTATAAACAGATTTGGGCACAAACACAACCTATCTTGCTAAGTATATAACACAAATGATGAGAGCAAAGGTGTTCAGATACTTTGTCTGGAGAGAGGAGCCTGTTTGTGATGAGACAAGACATGTGTGTGCCGTGGCCAAGAATCAGGGCTGGGAACATATCAGCTAGTCTGGGAATTTGGCTATTTAGGGGTGAGTTAACAGAGCATCTACTGTATTGTCAAATTACCTGGAGTGAGATAGCTTTGTTTCTGAAACCCTAAAGAATACCACTCTCAGTCTGTAGGGATACCTGACCTCATGGGAAGCTTACTTTGAGGAGGGAATGTGGGAAGTATTGTTAGAATAATGCCCTATTCCCTTATCAGTAATTTCTGCCTTAGCAGAGATGGGCATTAGTCTGACATAAAGCAATGAAAATGCTACAGTGCCTTTTCAATTTTTTTTAAAGAGAGACTTAGCAAAAAAAAAAAAATTTCATACAAAAATATTGAAATGAATACATTTATACACATCTGATTTTAATGTAGAATTTCCATAGCAACATATTACTTATTGTTTAATGTTCAGTAACTTAGAGGCCCATTTGCCCATAAAACAATTGTGTAATGCTGTTCAGCATTAGATTATAGGAACCTCGTTCTTTATATGAAATATTATGATCTTCAGCCTTCCAATCTACCATGAGTTAATGCCTACTCTGGGAATTGATGTCATATTCCCTAACTAGAATCACTCTTGGAGAGCAAAAATAATTTATCGAGAAAAATAATCATAAAAGAAATTGAGTGTACTAATCCATGGATTAAAATATAATTTTAAAAACTCTTTCTGACTTAGAGTTCATCTGTGAAATGATTTTACTGAGTCTCGTCCCCCGTGAGTAGGGACACTGCCAAAAACCGGAATCACCTCCCTTTAACATGTAAAAATTTATCACTGAGCCCAAAGCCAGCCCAACACCATCTTGAGATTCTTGAAAGACTCTCCTTGAAAAATCAAGTCCATTCATTTAGCATGTTTCCAGAAGTTCATTGACTGTTGGATAATCAGAGGTTTAGATTTCATCAACATGCAGAAAATAGGCTCTGAGAATTCTCTAGGGCTCTTAGGCCAGGCCTGGAAAAGCTTGCTTGGACCTGTCCCTTGGACCTGTGTCAGTGTGCTGTCACTGGGAGTTCGGAAACATTTTACAATGCAGCCCTGAACTCTGGTGCATGGATGACTTGTTTTTCCGAAAGGAAAGAAGGCCAGCATTACTATGTAAGCAGAGGAAGTTGACATGATCTCATTCATGGGCCTTTCTTCTCTTTGTGTCAGGGAAATCGGCCTCTGCAGAATAGTAAGCCTTTCTTTCGGCCACACATGGTTGTCTGCCTAATTTTCCTCATTCTTAACCTTTGCCTCCTCCTCGGAATGAAGTGCGAAATACTGCCGAGACTCTACATTCTTTCTGTATATCTTCCTCACAATAGTCAGAAGGAGCAGGGTTAAAGATGTTTGCACACCCAGAAAATAACTCCAGCACACAGGACCAGGTCTGAACAGCCAACTACCAGTGGAAAGTGGCTGCACATAGAAGTGAATTCAGAAAAGAATATTTGTTTCTGTCTTATACAATATACATGTCAGCAACCTAGTTAAGTGTTGCCTAATTTAAATTAATGATAAAATATCTTGTAAATAAGAAAAGTCCCAAAAGCAAAAACTTTCATTTAATAGTACTAATTGCCTTTGAGTCAGATCTTTGCTTTAAAACTGTTTTAGTACATGGGGAACATTAATTATGGAGTAATATTTAAATCCTTGTGAAATAGTAATTTAATTTGCTGTGTTTTATATGGTAATGCTTTTTAAAATTCTTTTAGTTGCTGTACATATTGTAGAATTATGAATTATTCTATAGATAAGATTATTCTAAGAAACGTAGAGATAATACTTTGACTATTTGTAGCCAGCAATTAAATATATATTGCATCCTGCTACTCACAAAATACTTAAGCAGGCCTTTATCATGGTCTCAACTGATGACCTAATTGATCAGAAAACATTTTACTTTTACTGGTTTACTTAAAAAGAGAATGAAATAGCTCTGTTTCTAAATGTATGTTGCTAATATCAGCCAGTAAATCGATTTTATTCCTAGTATTCTGTTACTCATCTCCTATTTCTCATTCCTAAGGGAAGAAAAGGAAAGGAGGAAGCAAGAATCTGCCTAGCGTTTGAGAGTAGACCTTGGAGAGTGGAGTCTGATGATTCGTGCACACTAGAGCTACAGCTCAATGAAATGTCACACACATGTCCTCCTTTCCTTTCATGTCCCCTTCTGATTGCACTGTCATGCAAGAATCAAAGAGGACAAAATCATCGTGGAGCTCATTTTTCATCCTGTGCTATGTGGCTTTGGCAGCTTCAGGTTTTCTTGGAACTTAAGTTCCCATGGGATCTGTCAGGAAAGAAACCCCTCACAGCCACTTGATTCTTTCTTCACATGCCTTAAAGGGACTAACTAGCTTCTTTTTAGAGATCTATTTTTAATCCTTTTTTTTTTTTTGAGACAGAGTCTTGCTCTGTTACCCAGGCTGGAGTGCAATGGCATGATCTCAGCTCACTCTAACCTCTGTCTCTCAGGTTCAAGCGATTCTCCTGTCTCAATCTTCCGAGTAGCTGGGACTACAGGTGCCCACCACCACACCCAGCTAATTTTTGTATTTTTAGTAGAGGTGGGGTTTCACCATGTTGGCCAGGCTGGTCCTGAACTCCTGACCTCAGGTGATCTGCCCGCCTCAGCCTCCCAAAGTGCTGGGATTAGAGGTGTGAGCCACTGCACCCAGTTCTTAATCCCTTTTTTTTTAAAAAAAAAAAAACTCTTTGATAGTTATGACAACATAATAGCATTTTGGAAAACAAAATGAGGGAAAAAACCCATCCCCTTAATAAAATTATTCCAACACAATTGGTATTTTTAAAAAATATATGTTGTCATCAAGTCTCTTTTGTATAAATCTGTTTTTACATAGATTTGTAATCATGCTTTTTTTTAATACTTAGACATATTGCTGGATTTTTTAAATCCAGTTTTCATAATTATTATTTAAAACAGCTGTATAACAGTTCATGAAATAGATGGTTCATCATTTATATACAGAGGTCTTCCTATTTTTTTAAATTTAAGTTTTTATTGATTTTTACATATATATAAGTAAACTATACTATCTTATTACTATATATTATGTGAATCATATTGCCATATATGTTCCTATACTATATAATATTGGATTATATTAATTCACATTACTTTCTCCTTGTTTTAAAAATGTCCTGAGGCTAGAGACCTGCAAGTGGATACACTGGGTTAATGGGTATGGCTAATCCATAGCTTTTAATACACATGCCAGATTGCTCTCCAAAAGGGCTGAGCCAATTATGAATGAAAATTCCAGTTTCAAGGCAATCTAGCTCCTAATCTTTATAACTACTTTATCCTGCAACTTAGGGAGAGAAGCTGATGAAGGACCAGTTTTTTCCATGCTCTGTGAAGAAGAGAATAATGGTTGCGAAATCAGCTTCAAGTGATTATTAGGAGAGAAAATTGACATCTTTCTCTGATAAGGCAAATTGGATAACACATTATGCCTAGATGTTATACTATTTACAGTCTTAGTCTCTATTGTGTTTCTATTGCCTCTTCATATTTTATAGGTATGTGTTATTTTATTCATAAAGATTTTGATAAAGTCATACTTTTATAGAAAAGTTATTCAAGTGTGGAAGCATGTGTCAGCCTCCAACTCAGCTGATTGTATCATTTCCTGCTCAAAACCCTCACCAGACTCCATTACTTACTAAATAAATTCTGAATTCCTTATTCTGACACTTGAAGTCCTTCATTTTCTGGCCTTAAGCTTCCTTCCATCTTTATCTCTTACTAGAAGTTCTCTACACAGCAGCCAATCAGTGATTCTTGCTATTCCTCAAACAATACTTCTTCCTGCTCCCTATCATGGGTTTCACCTTTCCTGTCAAAATTTCACTTGGATTTCAAGGTGTTTAGAGTCATGCCCTCCCACAGCTTTTCCTGATTCCTGACATGTTTCTCCTCCCAAGTGCCTGTAATTTCTTCCTCCTCTGGATCATGGTGAAAGTTTTGCTTCTCTCTTAAAGCATTTATCACATTCTATCTCATAGTACTTGTGAACTTGTCAAATACCATTAAGTTGTAATATTCTTGATGGCAGAGAAACTTCTTATTTATTTGTTAACTGCTCACAATATTTATCAGTGTGCCTTACATATAGCAGTTTCTTAATAAATATTTGTTTAAATCAAGTATATAGGTTGGACCCAAGAGACCCCAATTAGTGTCCTGATCTACCGCTTAGTAGCAGCTATCAGAATATAGACATAAAATCTCAAGAGGAAGTAATTAGACATCTATACTTACGTGATAACTGATGCAAACAATTCTGACCCTCAAGTGTTTTGAGATCTTCAAGTGTGTTCCGAATCATCAAAGATAAAATGATCTGGTAGACTCTTTCAGGTTGCAAAACAACTAATATATATCCAGGCTACTTCAATTAGGCTATATATTGTAAGGATTCAAAAGGAAATGAAGAATGATTAAAAACAATCCATTTCCCACACTGCCCCAGCTCCTGGAGGACCAGAATTTTTACCTCTTTTCTAGTTTCTCCTTGGCTCCTCAGCACAGGACCCTGTTGCTCCCAACTCCTGAACTTTGCCATTATGGAAACTAAGCTTCCGTTGGTCTTTGCTACCACTGCTGTCAAGATTGACTTTGTCATTCAAGTGGAAGATTTGACTGGCCAGCCAGTCCCAATCTACTAGTGCCGTCAAGCCATCTGTGGTTGGACCACAGTCTACAAGGCAGCCAAACGCCAGAGTTTTTAGACTGGGGTCCCACTTGTGTCCCACTGTGGCCCAGCTAGCGGTGTTAGGATGACTGTGAAAATTGTGCAAATTCTGGCCACTTATTCACCTAAGGAATTGGACATGAGACTTACACTCCTGGCATTAAATCTCTTAAACAGGTTTAGTTTTTGACTGTTAAATTATTTTCTAATTTTATGAAGTTGGTAATTCATATGTTGTATATAATCTTTATTAAACCTGAATTTTATGTCAGTTGGGACTTTGTCCAATTTTGACAGGTGTTAATGGATATTCTGCTTAATAATAAGTACTGGCCAGGCACAGTGGCTCACGCCTGTAGTCCCAGCACCTTGGGAGGCTGAGGTGGGTGGATCACGAGGTCAGGAGATCGAGACCATCCTGGCTAACACGGTGAAACCCCGTCTCTACTAAAAATACAAAAATTAGCTGGGCGTGGTGGTGGGCGCCGGTAGTCCCGGTGATTCAGGAGGCTGAGGCAGGAGAATGGCGTGAACCCAGGAGGCAGAGCTTGCAGTGAGCCGAGATTGTGCCACTGCACTCCAGCCTGGGCGACAGAGTGAGACTCCATCTCAAAAATAAAATAAAATAAAATAAAATAAAGTGCTAACTTTGCCAGGCACGGTGGCTCACACCTGTAATCCCAGCACTTTGGGAGGCTGAAGTTGGTGGATCACCTGAGGTTGGGAGTTCGAGACCAGCCTGACCAACATGGCGAAACCCCATCTCTTCTAAAAATACACAAATTAGCTGAGTGTGGTGGTGGGTGCCTGTAATCCCAACTACTCGGGAGGCTGAAGCAGGAGAATTGCTTGAACCCGGGAAGTGGAGGTTGCAGTGAGCCAAGATCGCACCATTGCACTCCAGCCTGGGTGACAGAGCGAGACTCCATCTCAAAAAAAAAAGTACTAACTTTATCAAGCACTTACCATTGCAAATGTGTCTTCTTTCATCTTCTCAAGAACTCTGTAAGATACTTTTTTATCCTCATTTCATAGAAAAGGCTCAGAGAAGTTTATTAACTTGTGTACAGTCACAATTAAGTCATAGAACCGGGATATGACCTTAAGTTGGTTGGGATGAAAACCTGTCCATGAACCACACTCAAGCATGGACAATGTAGAATTTGAATTATTATTTTATTTTTATTTTTATGTTTTTAGAGACAGAGTGTCTCCCTGTCACCCAGGCTGAAGTGCAGTAGTGCAATCATAGTTCACCGCAGCCTCAAACTCCCAGGCTCAAGCCACCCTCCCACCTCAGCTTCCTGAGTAGCTGGAATTACAGGTGCTCACCACTGTGCCCAGCTAATTTTTAAAATTTTCTGTAGAGACAGGGGTCTCGTTATACTGCCAGGGCTGGTCTTGAACTCCTGGGCTCAAGTGATCCTCCCGCCTCAGCCTCCCAAAGTGCTGGGATTACAGGCGTGAGCCACGAGCGGAGTTTGGATTATTTAACCCTCATTTTTCTCCAAGTAGAAAACATAACAGGTTTTATGTAAATTTTAACTTTTTCATATCTCAGGGTGAGCCTGGATATTTTGCAAGTGAAATGAAGAGTAAGTATCGAGGCTCAGGAAGCACACCCGAACTTCAGTGTTGTCAATATTCCTGCTTATTCCACCGTGACAGGTTTTCTCCCCACCCTTCACATTTTTATTCTCAAATATTATATGGAAAAAAATGTGCTCTGCACTATGACAGAGCTTTATGCTAAAGGGCTTTCAAGAGAGTTAGTAGAGAAGTAACTTTGCTCTGTGTTTAAATAGCTTTCCTGAAAATATCACTCTGCTCAAGCGTTAGTGTTGCCTTTATAAATATATACAAAACCATTGGAACAAATGAACTTAAATTTGCAAAACTTCGAAGAAAAAATAAAACATGATCAGATCGCTCTTTTCATTAGAAGCTGAACTGGGTTCACAATTGCATTTCCAATTCAATTAAAAATGTAAAATTCACTGCAGTCTCTCCTACAATGTTGTACTCCTTTTATCTGGAATTTCAGGTTTCTTTTTTCTGTTTCCTGGGATTTGCAAAGTAGCAAAATCAGCCAGTTTACATTTAAGATGTTTTGATTCTTTTCTCAGACTCTTGCCAGTGTACTTAACACAGAATGATTAAAAGCTGTGTGTTCTGTTAGAACTGTTATAGTGTTTAAACAAGGAAGTCTGTGTTTGTTTAAGAGAATGGGGAAATGGTTATCTTGACAGATTAGACTGAAAAAACAGGACAGCCACAGTCTAGAACAGATGTCCACATTTGCCACTTGGCTGGCTTTTTGAGGTATACTAAACAAAACTTGCTTGTGTGCTTGTGCCTCTGTTCTGCTTGACACCTGACTGAGGAATGTGATTAAGAGCTACTGCCAGGGCCTGCGTGCCTCTGTGGGCAAATGTTCCCAGGTTTGAAATTTCTCAGCGTCTGTTTAACTATGTCATAATTAAACTAATGGAACACAAGAGAAATTTCTCTAACGGGCTTAAAGACCCCGTTCAACTGCAGTTTCATCTCACATCACACACGGTTCCCGTGGCTTCACTGAAAAGTTGAAATGAAGCTGAACAGAAGCTGCAGGGTACACCACATTAATCAGTCTTTTAAAAATGTGATCTTAAAAACTGGATGAAACATCAGTGGCAGTTGTGGTTTAGTGGGAATAGCACTGTATGAAAATTCAGGAAACCTTAATGCAAGCCCTAACTCTGCCATTTACTATTACAGCTGTTTGATCATGGTCAAGTCCTCACTTAACCTTTCTAGGTTAACGAAGCTATTGTTGATGATACTGATGACAACAGCTTGTGTTTATTAAGCCCGTATTCTGTGCCAGGCAGTGTTACAAGCTTGACACGCAATACTCCATCATACCCTCAAAAAAGCCCTGAAAGGTAAATACAGTTAGCTTTGCTGTTTCCTATGGAATCTCAGCAAACTAAGAACTTTGCTCAAAGTCAGATATCTAATGCGTAGCATACCAGCTAGGGTGTTTCCCAGGTCTAACAATTATACTTTATTGGATTTCTGTCTTTTCAAGGAGGATCTCCAAGGTAATTTCCATTTGTAAAATTCAATATTTGTGAAATCTGAACATATGAAAATCACTTTAAATATGTCAACAAATAAAAAAGACTCAGACTTACCCTTTTATAGTTGTGGTTATGCATAGATATCTACATTGCCTCATTGCACAGTTTACCATAAATATTAACATATAATTTTTAAATCAAATTTATGAAAGTATAGAATAGCCTCACTACATGGTATTTGCTCACTCAGATTTGGGGAGTTTAAACCTCTGGAATGTGGGATTATGACTTTTTACAGAGGAATAAATTCAAATTATAGTGTACAGTGTAGGACTTTGAGATATGCTTGCTAGCTCATATAAGAAATGATCAATTTCTTGGTCACTGTCTTTGTTGTATTTATTACTATTTATATAACTTCATTTTAACTTTATAATAATATGGATGATATTTAAGTATATTTAGTCTGTATTTAGAAGTTATTCTACTGCAGCTTTATTGGTAACAAAGAAAGAAAGGTTTCCATTGGCTTACTTTAAATAAGTAAGATCTTTTGACTTATCTCAAATATATTCTCATGTGGTATGTGAATATATTTTCCAAAAACCATGACAGCACAGTTTTGTTGTTGTTGTTTTGTTTTGTTTTTGAGACAAGGTCTGGCTCTATCACCCAGGCTGGAGTGTAGTGGCACAATCTTGGCTCACTTCAACCTCCACCTCCCGGGCTCAAACCATCCTCCCACCTCAGCCTCCTGAGTAGCTGGGACTACAGGTGTGCACCAGCATGCCCGGCTAATTTTTGTATCTTTTGTAGACATGTGGGGTTTTGCTACATTGCCCAGGCTGTTCTCAAACTTGTGAGCTCAAGCAGTTCACCCACGTCAGCCCCCAAAATTCTGGGATTACAGCCGTGAGCCACCGTGCCCGGCCAACAGCACAGTTTTTATTGAAAATATAAAATTTGAAATGTCAAAGTAGCAAGTGGCAGTCCACTTCTTCCCTGGCTGTGTTGTCAGTGTTACTGGGGTTACCCAGGTCTTTGGCAGACCAGACAGGATTATGACCATGGATTCTACCGGCTTTATTCTTAGAGACTAGCTAGAGCATCCCATTAATGCAAAGTCTAAAAGACTGGTTTGAAGAATTAAGCATGCACCAATTTTATATATCTGTACATATTTATTAATCAAATAAAATGTATTTAATAATTACTTCTTGTGCAATTATTTAAATGACTTATGGTAGTGTCTAAGCTCCTTTAATCTTTACCTGAAGACAGTCAGCCTGGGTAGCTTCATTTCTAGTCCTCTTGCCTTACTTTTACTTCTTTTGGCTCTAACCCTGCTCCCTTGTAAATCTCATTCCTAACATTTGGAACCACCTTTTACTCTACATCTGCTATTTTTCTCTCCTACCACTTCTGTTCAGGATAAATATCTTGAAATTCTAACCTCAGCCGTCAATGGATCAAATGATGAAAGGACTTATCCAAAAAGCTATTTTGTTTACCACAAAAATAAGAGGCCATTTCTCCCCAAAGAGGAATCTATTGTTTTGTCTTATCTCCTTTCGAATGAAAGAATTGAACAATTGAACCAGCAGGGCCACTTGTTTATCCCCATGCTGACACAGTGCCATGCAGTTGATATTAATAGATAACAAAGGAATTTCAGCGTAATTACTTCTTACATACATTCTTGGCCATGTGTCATGTAATTTCCCTGGTTTGATTTCCCCAGGAATTCCTAACGCTAGGAATTTAGATTAGTTTCTGCTAACATTTAAGATCACCAAATTGAGGCTGTGATCTCCATTTCAAACATAGCTCAAAGATAAATACAAATAATGAGCTTCAATATGTTGAGTCATGGTTAGGAAAAGTGAGGTCCAAATCTTCAGAGGCTGTTTGTCTAGGATGAGTCATGTGGTCTGCCCCTTCCACAGCTGAGCATTTACTCCGGTGAAATCAGGTAAAGCAATGATCTGAGACAGGCCACAGAGCAGTCTGTGAGGTAGGGGTGAGTGAGGCATGCCTGGGTATTTGAGTTGATTTATGGGGGACTTGTGTGTTTATGAAACTCGTGGGTTTTTGGGTTTTTTGGTTTTTGGCATCACTGTCTAGACTGCTTCCTTCTTCCTGCTCCTCACCCCTTTTCCAGAACTAGTGCTAGCTTGACTACTGTTGATCCATGGATTGTGCATGCAAAGCTCCAGGCCAAAGATGTTCACCAGGGTTTAGAGATAAACAATTTAAAAAATATATCTTTCAAGCAGTGCTTCACCCACTTGGGTTATCTGTGAACCCACTTTTCTAAAATTTACCAAATCTTAAAAAAAGTTGACCTACATTTTAATTTAAATAAATGTATTATAGAAGGAAACAAGATATCCCATGCTATAAATAGGAGACTCCATTCAAAACTGTGGAGACAAAACAATGGAGTTTAGACTTTAAATGCTAAAAAGGATCTGAGTTTGAGGCCTGTTCTCTTTTTCTGAAAGAGATGTCAGGGTTAGAGAGGTGGCAACCGCATACCAGTGCCAAACTAAAACTTTCTCCTTGGCTGGGTGTGGTGGCTCACGCCTGTAATCGCAGCACTTTGGGAAGCCGAGACAGGTGGATCACCTGAGGTCAGGAGTTCGAGACCAGCCTGGCCAACATGGTGAAACCCTGTCTCTACTAAAAATATAAAAATTAGCAGGGCATGGTGGGTGGGCGCCTGTAGTCCCAGCTACTGGGGAGGCTGAGGCAGGAGAACTGCTTGAACCCAGGAGGCAGAGGTTGCAGTAAGCCAAGATTGCGCCACTGCACTCAAGCCTGGGCAACAGAGTGAGATACCATCTCAAAAAAAAAAAAAAAAAAAAAAAAAGGCCAGGCGCAGTGGCTCACACCTGTAATCCGAGCACTTTGGGAGGCCAAGGTGGGTGGATCACAAGGTCAGGAGATCAAGACCATCTTGGCTAATACGGTGAAACCCTGCCTCTACTAAAAATACAAAAAATTAGCTGGGAGTGGTGGCATGCACCTGTAGTCCCTGCTACTTGGGAGGCTGAGGCAGGAGAATTGCTTGAACCCAGTAGGCGGAGGTTGCAGTGAGCCGAGATCACACCACTGTACTCCAGCCTAGGCAACAGAGTGAGACTCTGTCTCAAAAAAAAAAAAAAAAAAAGGAAAAAAGAAAAACAACTTTCTCCTTGATGTATTCAGAAGGATTGAGAGAAAACTGAAAATAGAATAACTTGCTCACTGTGTAAGTTAGCGTTATGTAATGCTGTGTTTGTGATCTACTTCATTTCACACACCTTCAATAGCATTTGTCTCACACAATGAGAAATGTTTTTAACTACTGTCTGGACCAGATAGTAGGTGGCAGTAGATTCAACATGGATTTATCGAATGCCTATCATGTGTATCATTTGTGCAAGGCATTACGGGGAATACAAAGAAAGCAGATTAACTTGAACTGGGGTTAGAAGACATAAATAATATGTATTATATATATGTGTGTGTGTGTGTGTGTGTGTGTGTGTGTGTGTGTGTGTATGTTTATATATTGAGTATTTCAAGGATGTACTTTCCTCCTCCTGGTGTTTACCATTCTTAAAAAATACATAATCTTAATATTTTTTCACCACAAATCCTTTGAGGATTGAATATTATATTGATTAAATAATGAGGCAGTGCCGTGTGCTTTGGGCTTGATAATCTTTGAGAGTAAAATAATACTAGATTTGGTGACATGACTGGTGTCTTGTTTTTCCCAGCTTTTAAGTCTAGCATTTCATAAAAAACAAAAATGTTGCATTTCATTTGGAAATTTAAAGTGCTCTAAGTGAAATCCACGTGAGTGAAGGGGTGCCCAGTGGCTCACAGCTCAAGAGTGCCCCATTGACTGTGCCTTCAACTCGTTTCAGAGAAGTTGCTGGCCACGCTTGGCCACAGTGTTAGCCTTCTGAATGAAATACAGACACCAAATAGGAAATCAGAACAGGGGGACTCTCTAAAGAACAGTTCTTTTTTTTTTTTTTTGAGATGGAATCTCGCCCTGTTGCCCAGGATGGAGTGCAATGGCGTGATCTTGGCTCAATGCAACCTCTGCCTCCCAGGTTCAAGCAATTCTCCTGCCTCAGCCTCCTGAGTAGCTGGGATTACAAGTGCACACCACCATGCCCGCGTAATTTTTGTATTTTTAGTAGAGACGGGGTTTCACCATGTCGATCAGGCTGGTCTCGAACTCCTGATCTTGTGATCAACCCGCCTCTGCCTCCCAAAGTGCTGGGATTACAGGCATGAGCCACTGCGCCCTGCAAGAACAGTTCTTTGATACAGTTCTTTAGTGAGAAGGACTTTAATCATGGAATCTGGCAGCTTTTATCTATCTTAGTGAGGACGCTCTCCTTCCAGGTTCCAGAAGCAGGACACATATCCATGCATTTCAAAGGTCCTGGACATAAGGCTGTTGTGGGCTATGCAGGACTCTCAGGACATAAATCTTGCACCAACCCTGGGGGTGTGGGACAGCAGACAGCTCCTAGGTGCAGTTTTCTCCTCACCATGCCCTAAATGAAGTGGAAAGGTCACTTGGCTAATCAAGCAACGGGCTTCTTGCTTGTATTCAGATATGCTTTTACTGCATTTGGTTTAGTACACCCAGACTTCGATATCATACTGAGAATTTAAAACTCACCTTAGGCTGTCCTTTGGGACAGGTGTGTGCTCATATGCATGTGTGTGTTCCAGTAGGGTCTGTCCCTGGATCCCCAGTACAGCTTTGAAGTGGAATGGTGGCTCCACACACAACAATGAACAATTCTTTTCCCTTGTTTCCCCACACTTGCTCCCCCTGCCTTCTTCCCTGATTATCTCTCTACTGTTCTTGCCATCTTCTGGTGCCCTATCTCTCAGCACCATTTCTACTTCCCAAGCAACTGTCCAACAAACTGTTGCATCTTAGCAAATATTGCTAATCCAGAATCCTTTGGTTATTTCTCAGAGGACTCCATTTGGAAAACTGTTTCTCCTTTCAGATTTGGGGAATCATAATCTTAAAACTTAATTCATTTATTCAACAAATGTTTCTCAAAGGCCTACCCTGTGACAGGTACTGTGCCAGATAGACACTTAAATAAATAATACATTTTCAGCACTTTTAAGAATTTTAGAATCCGGTGGGAGGAGACAGGCAAGTAAATCAACGATAATTATAAGTAATATATTAGTCATAATAAAAACTATGTCAGGGTGCCGGGCAGGGTGGCTCACGCCTGTAATCCCAGCACTTTGGGAGGCTGAGGCGGGCAGATCAATTGAGGTTGGGAGTTGGAGATCAGCCTGACCAACACGGAGAAACCCTGTCTCTACTAAAAATACAAAAAATTAGCCAGACGTGGTGGCGCATGCCTATAATCCAGCTACTCCGGAGGCTGAGGCAGGAAAAGCACTTCAAATGGGGAGGCAGAGGTTGCAGTGAGCCGAGACCGCACCATTGCACTTCAGCCTGGGCAACAGGAGCGAAACTCCATCTCAAACAAACAAACAAACAAACAAACAAACAAAAAAACCCCAAAACTATGCTAGATCTACTGGTATGCAGTTGTGCGAATGAGGAGGAGAGACATCTCAATCAGATGCTCTGGGTTCTTCTAGCTCCCTTACTGGCCCTTTTGCCACATTGAGCACCGCAAAGTGTTTACGTCACTGTAAGAGCAGAGTGTGAGAGTAGGGCTAGCACACACTGGTATGACTGTTCCAGTTGTTAAAACATTGAAATACTCCTGTACCAGTAGGTGATGACTTCAGTGTCCCTTCTACCCCAGGAGCCCCAGCTATTTCCCACAGACTCAGCAACTAAGGACAGACTGAGGCCCTGCAGGCATGGCTCCAGCATTTTGGCCTGGGGCCATTCTGTTTAGTTGTCATCTGGGCCATAAAGATTGCTTGATGGTTTGAATATCCTCCCTGTGTACTGGACTTGTTGGGCATTGAATCTGCTGCACCCAGCACAGAGACTGCCATTTAAGTAGTGCACAATAAATATTAGGTGGATGTTTAACACGTAATGTAATTACTAGGATTTAGGATGGGGAAGTTAATAGACCAGGCTTCTTGAATGAAGCAAGACTTCAGTCGAGTTTTGGAAATCTTAATTTTTTTAATTACAGAAAGAATAAATGCACATCATTGAATTTCATGAAAATTCTGTAAAGTACAAAGAAGAAAAAACAATCAGCTATTATCATACCACCCAGAGGCGGCCACAATTGACAATTTGATGTGTTGTCTTTTGGAATTTTCAATATGTGTATTTACTTCTCTCTCTCTCTCTGTGTGTGTGTGTGTGTGTGTGTGTGTGTGTGTGTGTGTGTGTATGGGCATGTATGCAAGTGGGCCTGTAAGAGGGGTGTGGTGGTCATAATAGTTTAAAATTGTTTGATGTGGCTTCTTTTATTTTTCTAAGCACTTGACCTTGGCCTTATTCTGCCTAATGTACCCACCTATCCATCTATCAGGAATGCAGACAGGGAACACAGTGATATTCAGTTTTTGATATTCAAAGATATGATTTTACAGCAAGTCAATAGTCTTGAAAATCAGGATATTTCTTGGAGAAAAATAATTCAAAATTACTTTGTTTCCTTATTTTTTAGCATGTCAAAATCCACACTTAGTGAACTAGACCATAGGTAATTTCTTAATAGAGGGCCTGTCAGGAAGATTACAACACTCTTCCAGTCCAGGGAGTTTGGGGGAAAAAGAAGGAAAGAGAATTGGGAGAGAGAAAACATCAGATATGCGCTGTGAGTTAGAAAAGTGAGGTGAATAACAGGAGTCTTTCCCACCTTCTCCACCTGATGCCCATTTGGGAATGGGGGAGGTTGCCACACCGGCTACTGTGTATCAATCAGACGTGAAGCCACAGCAAAATAAATGGTGGTACAGCAAGCTCAGGCAGAGAGAGGTCTTCAAGTTTATCTTTTTGGAGCAGTCCTTGGTCCCTGTGGAGCAAAGAAGGACCCAGCGTGACTGTGGAGACTGTCAAATGGGGTTACCAGAGTGGAGGCGGGGTGTCTCTGTCACAAAAGATGTAGAGCTGACAGCTCAAGCTGGGGCTCAGTGGGAAATGTAAGACCTGAGAGAAGTCTAGAATGTCAAGCTTATCCAACCAAGCTGAGAGACCAGGTTGCCAGCTCCACCAGATACATGCTATGAATGGCATTTGGGGCTGTAGTGTCTAGGGGGTGAGGTCGTTGCTCCAAGCGCAAGGGAGGCCGAAGAACTGAAAGAAATTGACTTGGCTTTTCTGCCCTGAGGTGAGTAAGCTTCACCTCTCCCCTCTTACCTTGAGATATTAGCATTTCTATTCCATACTACTTAAAGCAGCAGTCTAATTTATAAAATCAGATTAAATGTTATACCTGACAGGACACTTAGTTAATGTTTTCCCAAATAATGATAGCTGAGTACTGGAAGGGAGGAACAGATCATCCATAGATGAAAGAAATTACATGTTTTCTCCATCTACCTGCATTGTGTTACTTAAAATTGTGCATGCACACGCACATTCAGTAAGACCATCATACTGGGTACAGAGTTATTCCTGTTAAAGTTGTTTTGTTGGCAAAGATCAGAAACTCCCTAAGGTTCACTCAGGTAACAGAGTAAGGGATAATTTAAGAATCCCAAAAGGCAATTTCATGGATATCTACAGATGAGAAGAAGAGAAGACAGGTTTCAGGAGAAGTAGAATGGGAAATTAAAGACCCACGTTTATACTCACAACCTCAGTGATCACAGGATCGCTCTCATTTCTGCTTCCCCCTTATTAAGCTTGTTCTTGGTACAATATATACTGATGGCAAGTAAACACACAAAAAGATGCTTAGCATCAGTAGTTATTAGGGAAATGTTCATTAAAACCACAATAAGCTAACATTACACATTTATTAAAAAAAAACACTGGCAAAAATGCAGAGCAACTAGAACTCTCACAGTGTTGGTGGAAATGCAAGATAAATATTTTTTTATCTTGGAAATTTTTTTATCTCTGGAAAACAGTTTGTAAATTTCCTATCAAGTTAAACATACACTTCCTGTATGATGCAGAAATTCCACTTCTACATACTTACCAAGTGAAATGATTTTTTAAAAAGTCTACATGAAGGCTGGGTACAGTGGCTCACACCTATAATCTCAGCACTTTGGGAGTCCACAGCAGGTGGATCACCTGAGGTCGGGAGTTCAAGATCAGCCTGACCAACATGAAGAAACCCATCTCCACTAAAAATACAAAATTAGCCAGGCTTGGTGGTGCATGCCTCTAATCCCAGCTACTTGGAGGCTGAGGCAGGAGAATCGCTTGAACCCAGGAGGCGGAGATTGTGGTGAGCCAGGATCGTAGCATTGCACTCCAGCCTGTGCAACGGGAGTGAAACTCTGTCTCAAAAAAAACAAAACAAAATAAAAACAAATAAAAAGTCTACATGAATGCTTATAGCAGTTTTATTTATAATTTCTCCAAACTAGAAAACAAAACAAAACAAATGTTCTTTAACTGGGAAGTGCATAATCAAGTTTTAGTACATCCAATACAATGGCATACTACTTAGTAGTGAAAAGGAGTAAACTACTGATATATGCAACAAGATAAATGAGTCTCAAATGCACTATGCTAGTAAAATAAGCCAGATTTAAAAGGTGACATGTTATATGATTCCATTTATATGGCACTCCCCAAAAGGTAAAACTATAGAAATGGAGAATAGGTCAGTGGTTGCCAGGAGTTAGGGGTGGATGAGGACATTGTCTGAAAAGGAGAAGCATAAGGGAGGTTTTTAGAGTGAAGAAGATCAGGAAAATGTTCTGTCACCTCATTGTGATGGTAGCGACATGGCTCTATGCATTTGTCAAAAGTCATAGCATTTTACATTAAAAAGAATGATTTTATTGTATGTATATTTTTAAAATTTTGAAAAATGTTAAAAAGGAAGTCGAAAAACAATTCCAGTAAGACAGAAAATATAATTGACACTTCTCAGGTCAGATTACAATGTTGGTCCAATGATGGATGATTCCTCAGCAGAGCTCTGAGCTGTTTCTCCAGGTTTTGAGTGGTTCAGTAACCGTGGGTTGGCAAATGAAGAGACTTGTCCAGTTGTACACTGTGGCACCATTGATTAAGGTTATTTTATAAGCTTTTTCCCACATCTTTAAAATTATCTTGTATGCATCTATTGAAAATGTTTCTAGTGACCCATTCTACCTATAAATGTATCTGCCAAGTTTCAAAGAAGAATTTGAAAGTCACTTGATAACTAATTATCAGAGATATGCAAATCAAAACCACAATGAGATACTATCTCATTCTAGTCAGAGAGGCTACTATAAAGTCAAAAAACAATAGATGTGGACGAGGCTGTGGAGGAAAGGGAATGCTTATATACTGTTGGTGGGAATGTAAATTAATTCAGACATTGTGGAAAGCAGTTTGGCGATTTCTCAAGGAACTTAAAACAGAGCTACTATTTGACCCAGCAATCCCATTACTGGGTGTACATCCGAAAGAAAATAAATTGTTCTACCAAAAAGACACATGTAGTCATATGTTAATCATAGTACTATTCACAATAGCAAAGATATGGAATCAACCTAGCTGCCCATCAATAGTGGATTGAATAAAGAAAATGTGGTACGTATATACCATGGAATACTATGTAGCTATAAAAAAGACGAAATCATGTCTGTCTTTGCAGCAACATAGATGCAGCTGGAGGTCATTGTCCTAAGTGAATTAAGGCAAGAACAGAAAGTCAAATACTATGTGTTCTCACTTATAAGTAAGAGCTAAACATTGGGTGCTCATAAACACAAAGATGACAATAATGGACACTAGGGACTACTAGAGGTGCGAGGGAGGGGAGCAAGGCTGAAAAAGTAACAATTGAGTACTATGCTCAGTAGCTGGGTGATGGGATCAATCATACTCCATGCCTCAGCATCGTATGATATACCCATGTAACAAACCCGTGCATGTGCCCACTGAATCTAAAATAAAAGTTGAAATTATACATATATATATAATTATATATATAATTATATATATAAAATTATATATATAATTATATATATAAAATTATATATATATATGAAAATAACTAGATAAAGTAAGGAAGGAAAGCAAAGAAGCAGGAAAAGATCTAGATGCCATCTACTCTCAGAAGTGCCAGAACCAGCATCCACTCAATCAAGGACTTAATACAGAGAAGCAATTTTGAGTATAACATTGTGATAAGTAGTTTGTGTTGCATCAAAATATATATGAAGATTAAACTTCAAGATGCCAAGGAGCTATCTAGTTAGAGGGTAAAACTAACACATAGAAAAAAGATACAAGTATTCCTATTTTCTGCTTAATATATGTTTCTAACGGTTTGCCTCTAAGCCTTGTAAAATTGTATTATATTAAGTACAAAAACCCTATAGAATAAGCCTTGGAAGTATCAAGGTCTGAAAATCTTTGAAAAGTGCAAACATGTTTCAGGTACTCTTTACCTTATTGGTATAAGGCGGAGATGTTACATTTTGCTATTACTTATAGTTTGAAATAGCTTCCTTGATTTTTGTAATCAAGTATCTTTGTGCAATTGCTGAGCATCTTGAAAACACTTCAAAATCAACATAACTATATATTCGGTAGAAGTACCAAAGCAGCAGCAATTAAGCCCAGAGCTGCTAGCTGATATTTAGGAGTATCAAGTCACATTTTCTGCACTATGAGAAATTGTCTCAACTTTGGTTTACAACATAAAAATGGGTGAATCAGTGTTATATCAGGAAACAACACACTCTCTGGCTACTTCTCTCAGACGAAAAGCCACATAACTAATGTCACTAGGTTTATTTCTCTTCTTTCTAGGAATAATGTTTCTAGGTTAAGACTGAAGCCAATGGCAAGAGTGTGTGTGTGTGTGTGTGTGTGCATGCTGGGGGAAGATGGGGGGTAGTCCAATCTCTCTTTACGCGTCCCTCAAAGTGGCAAATATTAGAATGTTCTCATACTTGATTTTCTGATGAGCAAATACAGTCATCATTCAGTAGGCTGTGTAAAAGAAAAATAGGAAATCTTCAGTAATCTCCTCTTGTCAGACTTCGCATAACATAAATGTATCAGTGGAAGATTAAAGGCCAATTCATGAAAATAAAATAGAATGACTTGAGGTGATTCAGGGAGAAGAGAACACATTGTTTGTAAATGAAGGTTAATGATACCTTTGCACCAGCTGCAATTTTGTAGCATGCATATTTTGATGAATTATACCAAGGATGTATCATAATTTGTGACCTATATACAAAAGACTCAAAGTGAAGTAGTTATCCACGTTTTATTGTAATTTTTTTTTTCTGATCAGAATCCCCCTTCCCCATATCACTAAACTCTCTATATGGGTGTATATATTTTTTCAGACTATTAGTTCCCCCTGGAGACTATAACACTGACCAGCCACAACATGATTAAAGAGAAAGAAATAGTTGTATGAGTCACCTACCCATGTCAACAGGGGCTCACAGGGATGGATTTAAATTTTTTAAATTTAGATTTATTTACTTTGAAAACTGTTGATGGAGGCCAGGCGCGGTGGCTCATGCCTATAATCCCAGCACTTTGGGAGGCCGAGGTGGGTGGATCACCTGAGGTCAAGAGTTTGAGACCAGCCTGGCCAACATGGTGAAACCCTGTCTCTACTAAAAATACAAAAATTAGCCAGGAGTGGTGGCAGGTGCCTGTAATCCCAGCTACTCGGGAGGCCGAGGCAGGATAATTGATTGAACCCAGGAGGCAGAGGTTGCAGTGAGCTGAGATCACGCCATTGCACTCCAGCCTGGGGGACAAGAGTGAGACTTGGTCTCAAAAAAAAAAAAAAAAAATTGTTGATAGAATTTTTACATTTCGCCTCAAAAAGGCTGTACGATATCACTGCTGACACTACATTTACGCAGAGACTGACTTTATGCTAACAAATATTCTGTTCAGATTGTCAGCAAAGCTGAAATGAATGAGCTTAGCACAATTCAAATGGATCTTCGGCATATCATCAATCAATTACGTTCTCCCTGGCACTCTTAGGTTAATATCAAAGTATACAATACAACATCATCCATTTTACTTAGCATTCTTTGTGTGCAGTCCCATAAAACATGCTACAGAGGTTTCCTGATCTCTCCCTTCTAGACTAGAGTGACTCTGACAGTGACGAAGCAGAAGCTGAGGAGATGTGACCAGGGATTGTTCCCACAGGCTTCTTTGTCTCTGGGACAAGGTGCATGTCTCCACAATAACCAATATTGACCCTTGGTGGTTCGGATAAAGAAAAAAAAGACAAAAATTAAAGTTCAAAATAACCAAATTCAAGGATAAAAGTCCAAAAAGCAGGAAGAAATGGATGAGTGTGAAAATGTCAGAGAGATGAAGTAAACATCCCAGAAAGCTCCGCTTCAGTTCATTTGACTCAGTTGCAATCCACCTCAATGAAAAAGGAGCAGAGAGAAATGCTGCGAGGGTGATGCTGAGACCATTTCTGAAAACTGGAAGGCCATTCTGAAAAAATTCCAACATGGATTCTTATTTAGCCTGGATTCGGTTTACTTCAAGCAAATGTATTAAATTCAAATTTCATTCAGAAGCAAAGTCAATCTTATTCTTGAAATTACAGAATAGCCATTCTTGCCATGTTCAGTTTCTATGTGGCAGAGAACTACCCTGGGCTTACCTGCCGCAGTAGGATAAAAACTTCTGCTTCAGAGGAAACAAGAAAGAATAACAGGAGAATAGTGACTGCAAACTCTGCTTTCTGACACGATTATTGTAGCTTGTGACTCGGGACGATGTAATGTTTCCCTTAACTATGTTAAATGTTAGCACATTTTGTATTTAAAAGATCCCAAAGGTGAATCTTCTATAGCTGCTATTCATACTCTGAAAAGTCAAGTACTCTTAGGGTTGAAAGTGGGGAGCACAGGGTATTATTGCAAAAGGGGAGCATGAATCCGTGTGGTCTCTGAGTGTTACTGATATGGAGATATGGACAGGAGACAGGGAAATACTGGGTAGAAGAGGGCAGTTCCCCAGCAAAGGCCCCACCCTCAAGCCTGGAGACCCATGGCCCTGACTTGGAACAGGCATTTCTGTTTTCTGCCCAAAAAGTTGCCTTTTGGCCCACCACACCCCCCTATCCTGTACCCATGTAAACTGCAAACCCCAGGCTCCAGAAGCTGATGAGGAGATGAGCAGACAAGGAGACCAGGAGACAAGCAGACGAACAGCAGAACGGTGTGGCAGAGAAAGAGAGAAGGGAAGGCATGTCTGAATGCTGAGAGGAGTTTGGCTGGGGGCGGTCAGAGGGGAGTTTAGCTGCTGGATGGCCAAACTCCAGGGGAAGATCATCTTCCCACTCCATTCCCCCTTCCAGCTCCCCATCCTTCCCACTGAGAGCCACCTCCACCACTCAATAAAACCTCTCATTCATCCTTCAAGCCTGTGTGTGACCTGATTCTTCCAGGATGCTGGGCAAGAGCTCAGGATACAGAAAGCTGTCACACTGGCCTTCTGCCCTTGTGAAAAGGCAGAGGGTCCATTGAGCTGGTTAACACTTAAGCTCTCTGTAGACAGCAAGGCTAAAGGAGCATTATAACACTGGGGCTGCAGGCACACCCCCAAACACGGGGCTGGAGCCCACAGCACTCACCCTGATTACTATACCTGCCTGTCTGTGTACTCCCCCTCCAGTCAGGAGTTTGAGCAGCAGCAGTGATGGAACAGATGAGTCACAGATCTGTTACATGTCCTATGAGGGGGATCAGGGAACTCTCCTGTTTCATTACCAGTAAAAAGAAATGTCACATACATATATACTATGTTAAATGTATGTGTATCCTATTAAGAGAAATTAGAAGAAATTCCTTTAAAATTGTGATTGGGTTCATAAAGTTGCCTTTTAGCTTTATGTACTTTCTTTTATGTTTTTTTAAGAGATGGGGTCTTGCCTTGTTGCCCAGGCTGGAGTACAGTGGTGTGATTATAGCTCACTGCAGCCTCAAACTTACCAGCTCAAGAGATCCTCCCTCCTCAGCTTCCCAAGTAGCTGGGAATACAGGTGAGTGCCACCATGCCTGGCTAATTAAAAAAAAATTCTGGAGAAGACACAAACCATCCTTGCTATGTCCTGACCCACAGACTCTATAAGCATATTAAAATAGCTATTTTATACCATGAAGCTTTGAGGTAGTTTGTTACATAGTGAAAATAATGGAAACAGGATTCTTCTTACCTGAATAAAAACCATAACACTAAAACAAAATAGACCATCAAACTCAAGGAATTTGGAAACTAGGGTCAGCCAGGATTCTTTGGTTGCAAGCAACCAAAACCCACTCACTTAAGCAAAAGAGAATTTACTGGCAGGATATGGGGCTGGAAGGATCTAGAGGAATTAAGAACAATTCCACTTAAAAAGGCCCTCTGAGGGCCTGGGCAGAAGGAACTGATGAAGAATTTCTTCAAGTCTCAAGCACTGCTATGAATGTGCTCTGACCGTAGTCAGTTGTGTCACTCTAATTAAGATTTTAATTACAAGGAAAGCAATCAGTCAACCCAGACTGAGCCACACGCCTGCACCTTGTCTAGCAGAAGACAGGCACAGTGATTTGCAGCTTCACCAAGATCAGCACACAATGGGGAAGGGCTAAGTACCCCAAGGGAAATCAGGGTGCTCTTATTTACAAAAGGAGGACTAGATATGCAAGCATCCAAAACTCATGTTGTGTGGAACTAGTAATTCAAACGTTCTCTCACTGCACTATGAGGCTTGTGGTTTCAGGTTCTGAAATCAGCTTTATTCCAGTGTTGATAGTACTCAAAGATGACTGAAGTGGATTAGGTTTCTGGTGGCTGTTCAGTGCAGATTGGAGTTTAAGGCGTTTCCTGCTTCATATTTGCATAACCAATACTGTCTTGGGTACTGAGAGTGCGTAGATGAGTCATTCTCTAGTTGATTCATAGTGAAAGTAGTGGAGCTTGTATATTGCTGAAGCTGACTTTTTATATTGGTGGTAGTAGTAGCACTCACCCAGGCCCCCCTGTCCCACAGCTATGTGACTTTTGGCTGCTAATGACAACCACTTTCCCTTCTCCAGAGAACTGGCATCAACTGGGGAAGCCTCTGTCCTTCCTATAGTTAGTGACTAAGAAGGGCTTATGACAAAGGTTAGCCCTTTGCTTCAAAGGGAGATAACTCTGCTGCATGGTTTGCGCTCTAGAATCCTCTTCCTGTGAATCAGGCCAAGGAGAGGCTTCACCTGAATTTACATCACGTGCTTGCTTGTCTCTGTCCCTTTCTTTGCTCCACTTCCTTTCTTACAGATTTCTACTGAGAGGCGGTCCTTAATAAATCACTTTCATAAGGATCCCCATCTCAGGCTCTGCTTCTAGGTAACACAACTTAGAACATGAATCTATGTCTGTGGTTCTCAAACTTTTGCGTGCATCACAATCATTTGGAAGGCTGGTTAAAAACACAGATCTCAGAATTTCTGATTGAGTAGGTCTGGGGTGTGGCCAAAGAATGTGCAAATTCCCAGGTAATGCTGATGTTGCTGGTATGGGTACCACATTTGGAGAATCATTGTCTTGGTGATTGCTGGGTGGTATGATTTCAAGCACTGAGAAGTCTCTTCTGTACTTCATGCCTACGGCAAAACTATTTTGCCAAGTAGCCCTGCCATGGAACCTAAAATTCATGCTTAACTCTCTTTGGTTAGGAGGTTGAAGACTAAAGTATAAATGCAAATGTTATCCAGAAAAGCACAAACATATTATGTTTTATCCCTTACATTGGCTTTAGCATAGTATGGTTTACTTAGCCAATTACCTAGTAGAGCTCCGAGAAAAAAGGCAATTAAGAACAGGAAGGTTTTGATAGGGTAAAAAAAATCAAGAAAGTCCCATCACGGTATATTTCCAACTCATTTTAGTCACAGAATTCTTTCTTCAAACAAAAACTTTAGAGAAAGTCCAATACAGAGACCTAAGTGCATAGACTCTAAAGAAATCATTAAGGCTGACTGGTCTTCTCACTGGCTGTGTTGGCTGGTTCAAGAGGTGCAGGATCTTTAGCTACTTCTGTTTGATCTGGGCCTGTTCCAGGGCTGGTTCCATATGGCAAGCTTATTTTGAGGAAATACACCAACCATATGATTTCACTGGGAAACTAGAGCCCCCATATTGTATTTCAAGATCTGCAGTACTACTGCTGAGAAAACATGCATTATGAAAGAAAACAGGATTTGGCGCCATTGTTTATATAAGTGATGCTTAGTAAAATCCATGTTAGAGGAATACCAATGTCATGGGCCATGTACAAATTTTTTGATGTTTTCCCTTCTGTGTATTTCATGGTCTTGCTTTTTGTTCCATTAAAAAAAGTCTAGGGCATATGAAAATGCTTAAGTAACCACACATTGCGGCCCGTGATGGCTTGGTTTTGATGAATGATGTGGGATTGCGCAGCTCATTGCAAAGTAATGCTTTTAACTTAAATCAAATCAGTTTTAAGTGAATATGTTTTGCACATTTATGCTCCAGAGTTTGAAAAAACTTTCTTCCTAGAAAACAGCACTTCTTCAGACACTCCCACCAGTGGGGGGTTGTGGGGGTCGCCTCTCTGGCTCAGTTAAGGAGAGTGTTTACTTGCTTTGTCTTCAAACTGCTACAAGTTTAGGGCCCACAGGGCTGCTGTCTTCTTAATGAAGCGGTTAATGATGTGTGAATTATAGATCCTGACAACCCCTTTAATAAAAACAACAGGACTGCATCCACAGTATAGTGTGGCTGCTAAGTAATGACAGACTGTCTGCTTAACATAATGCAGTGTCTTTAAGTAAAGCGCCATTCTTGCATGGCGGCATTGAAAATTCCTGGTCAGTGCAGAGAAGAACAAGTGTCCTGAAGAACACGTTGATGCACAGGACACTTCTCTTCCATTCAACTGGGGCTTGGAGTGCAGGAGCCAGAGAGGTTTTAGAGACATAGCAGAATCACGAACAAGCAGCTGTTTAATACTCTTTGCTTTGTCGCCTTTGCTTTCCTGTGAGGTGCCCCTGATAGCAAAGGGCTGTATGATGGATGTTTTAATAGTCTAAAAGTTGCCCTCTTCTCCCCCTCCTCCCCACTGGAGCACAGGAATGCTGGCTTTCCAGTTGATTTCAAAGAACTAATTGTCTGCTCTGAATACCTACTGATGCTTGGATAGGATAATATGCGCGCCTGGACTTAGCCAGACAAGCCGTGCAGAGGCCCAGCTGTGGAGCCAGGCACATTCTGGTTGCTGACCTGGACAGTCAGAATGCATGAAAGCCTGGCTTGTGAGGAGCTGAAACACAAACCCAAACCTAAACAAAGCCTTTTCTCTATTTAATTTGGTGGCCACTTTTAAGAAAAAGTGAATTCACTTTCAATCCCTCTATAGGCACTGAATGTGGATTCACAGGCCAAAGTCCAATCTCTTTATCATTATCCCTGGGATGAGAAAATCCAAGTCTGCCTTGTTTAGGCAGGGGTAGTTTTCCTTTAAACAGTTCAAGGAACTGTTTGTCTAACCCTCACCATTTGAGGTGACAGATAGCAAAGCAAAGCAAAGAGAATGGCATGCATTCACAAGCGCACACAAACCTTTCCGTTTGTTCCCAGAGCTCAGAGACCAGCCCAGCAACGAAATCACTGCACTGCTGAAAGGGCATTGCCATGCAAATGAGGCCCGGGGCACCCTGCTTGGCTTCAGAAAAGCCCTGCCTGCCCCGCTGGGAAAGGCTGCCTGATGGGACAGGGGCTCGCTATGCCTTCTTCTGAGGTTCTCTCAAGCTGGAAAAGCACCTCAAGGGGAAGGGCCAGGATGAGCCCAGGTGAAGCTGAGCTTTGGGGAAGGGGAGGGGAGGAGATTGAGTATCAGGCAAGTCATTGCAGTTAAAGGGTGACCAACTGTCCTGAAGACTGAGGGGAGATTTGGGATCCAGGATTTCTCAAACTGGGACAAGTTGGTCACCCTAGTTAAGAATGATTTGCTACCCCTAACTTTCTCAGCTAGAAGGCAAACAGGAATCATTGTCCATTGTGGAAACGATAAAATCCACCGTGAATCTTGTTAAAAGCTGGACATGGTTGCTCACGCCTGTAATCCCAGCCCTTTGGGAGGCCGAGGCAGAAGGATCACTTAAGGCCAGGAGTTCGAGACCAGACTGGGCAACATAGCAAGACCCTGTCTCTACAAAAATTTTAAGATTAGCTGGGTGTGGTGGTACACATCTGTAGTCCCAGTTACTCGGGAGATTGAGGTGGGAGGATTGCTTGAGCCCAGGAGGTCAAGGCTGCAGTGAGCTGTGTTTGTGCCATTGCACTCCAGCATGGATGACAAAGTAAGACCCTGTCTCAAAAAAAAAAAAAAAAGAAAAAAAAAAAAGCCGGGTGTGGGTGGCTCATGCCTGTAATCCTAATCCTAGCACTTTGGGAGGCTGAGGTGGGTGGATCACCTGAGGTCAGGAGTTCAAGACCAGCCTGGCCAACAGGACGAAACCCCATCTCTACTAAAAAATGCAAAAATTAGCCAGGTGTGGTGGCACACACCTGTAATCCCAGCTAACTGGGAGGCTGAGGCAGGAGAATTGCTTGAACCCAGGAGGTGGAGGTTGCAGTGAGCCGAGATCGAGTCACTGCACTTGAGCCTGGGCAACAGAGCAAGACCCTGTCTCCAAAAAGAAAAAAAAGAATCTCTTTATAATCTGCTATTTCTTTGTCCTCCTTCATTGATTTCCAGATCTTAAACACATCTACTGTAAGTATCAAAATTAACTAGTTAGATTTTCTTTCTATTTTTTAAGTCTCTGAGCTCCTCCCATGGGAAGAAGGCTAAGAAATAAAGTGACTGTCTGTGGGAAACAAAGCACGTAGAGCATTCATTATCATTATTAGTGATCTACTATATGCTGGGTGTTAAGTTATAGCTTTTCTGTTTATTCATTCACTGACCATTGTCAGTGATCATATGAAGTAGGTGATACTTTGCCTGTTGTGCAGGTGATGAAACGAGGAGCTGATAGGTTTAGTATGATTTTCATAAGTTTATACAAGTAGTGGATTTGAAACAAAACTCTTGATTCTCCACCCCCAAGTCCTGTGGTGCTCCTCAGAACATCACATTGTGTCTTAAAGCATTATTGGTGATTGGTGTAAGGAATAGACATTTATTGAGCCAAACATTTTACAGACTTTAAAACAATAATGTCATTCATCAAATTCCACATTTTGCATAATTATGATCAAATTAATACATGAGTGTTGTAAAATCATTAATATAACTATGAATATAAAATGAAAGAAAAACGTTTTCCTACTCAATCTCTCTCAGCATCCCAGTCCCTGGAGGCAACCACAGCTATCAGTTTCTTGTATAACTTTATGGAGACTTCCACACATATAAATATTATCTCCATGTCAGTACATAGTACACAAAGAACTTTTTTTTTTTTTAGCAACTGGGCTGCCCCTCAATCAGATAGTCGTATTCTGACACAGGAATGTATCATTCAATTTAAGCAGCTTCCTATTAAGGATATTGAGGAAGTTTTCATTTTTTTTTTTGTATTACAAACTATTCTATGATAAATATTCTTGTACACATATTTGTGCTATTTTTTGGGTATATCTGAAAGACAAATGTCTAGAAGAGGTGCGTACATTTAAAATTTTGCTAGGTATTGCCAACAATTTATTCAAACTTGTATTAATTTTTATGCTAAACAACGAAGTAGGAGAGTCCTTGTTTTTTTCTCATCCTGGAAAACACTAAATGTTAGAAAATGTTCTAACATAGTAGCCAGTATGGTAGCTAAAAAAACCCTCAAATTTCATTGTTGCTTTACTTTGCATTTATTTACGTGAGCACTTGAGTGTCTTTATATATGTTTATTTGACATCAGTGTTATCTTTCAATAAATTCCTGCCTGTGCCAGATATTGTGGTAAGTGCCAGGAATACAAAGATGTACAAGACAAGACACCTGTCTTTAGGGAACTCATGGTCTATCAGACACATAAACAAAAACTGCAGTGAAGTATTATAGGTACCACAGAAGAAGTTCATGTAGAATACTGAGAGAGTCCAAACAACCATGTGGGCAATTCTCCTACAATAGGTCAAGGCTATAGGTCAAAGGGCATGGAGGAGCTGAGCCTTGAATGTGACACGGTGGGAAAAAAATGAGTTTTAGAGATGGGGAGGCTGAAGTCCTGACTGTGTTACTTATTGTGTTATCTTGGGGAATTTCTGTGACCTCCCTGACCTTCAGTTTCTTCACCTGTAAAATGGGGATTATGCTTCCTAAATCACATTGTTAGGGGGATTACATGAGGGAATGCTGATGTGCCAGTAACTGCTCCATGTGAATTTTATTGTTAAGAAAAAAATCTTCTTGTTCAATAACCAGCTTTTCTTATATCCAAGTGGTAGTACTTCCACCCTCATCCAATTTTGAATTTTCAAATACGAATTGGTGAGTCTAGGGACTTCAGAGCATACCCTTGCTCCTATGTGGTAATGTCCTTAAATAACATAACTGCTGTTATTGTTTTTTTTTTGGTTTTTGTTTTTTGTTTTTTTTTTAGATGGAATCTCATTCTGTCACCCGGGCTGGAGTGCAATGGCACGATCTTGGCTCACTGCAACCTCTGCCTCCCGGGTTCAAGCAATTCTCCTTCCTCAGCCTCCCGAGTAGCTGAGATTACAGGCATGTGCCACCGTACCTGGCTAATTTTTGTATTTTTAGTGGAGACAGTGTTTCACTATGTTGGCCAGGCTGATCTCGAACTACTGACCTCAAGTGATCTGCCCGCCTCGGCCTCCCAAAATGCTGGGATTACAGGCATGAACCATTGTGCCAGGCCAACTGCTGTTATTATTATGTAATGCAGCTGACTTACGTTTCCATAGTTAAAGACAATAATTCCTTCTTGATAGAAATGGCTTATGAGACTGTTGAAAGAATGCTTAGTGCCAATTGGAAGATAAGAGGAGACCGAATTTCAAGTTGTGATTTGCAGAGAAGTGTGGTTGAAGCCATGTCTGTGCACTTGTGAGAAGCTAGAACATCTTCAGTACCAGCAGTGCCTTGATGATCTCCATCAAAGATTGGGAACCATTTAGGATTTCCCAGTACCAAGTGAAGTGTTCAGAAATGCTGACAGCAGACCAAGAGTCTTCCAAATGACATTACTCTTTTAGTTTCCATTTTAATTTAACACAGGTTTACTGAACTGCTTACCAAAATGAACAGTTACTCTTTGGGAAGGCTTCTGGGAGACATTGGGGTCCAAGAACTTTGCCTTTACGACTGGAAAGCAGCAGGTTTAATCATTTTAAACAAATATCATTCATTAAAATAAATAAGTATCATTTGTGAAAATATTTGTGTATTCTATTTTCCTTAAGAGAGCATGAATGGATTTATACACTTTGAATGGCTCCCAGTGGGTTTTGATACTTGAGAAAATCCACTTGGTCATTTGCTGATGTATAACATGTTTGCAAATGGGCAGTTTTTACATGCAGGCTGCCAAAACTACCCGTGGATAACAAAGAGCCCATGTCAAGAAGAGTTTGTTGCTTTCACACTCTGAACGGTCAGTTCTGAGGCACATGTGGGCAGGTCTATGCTATACTTACCACTTGTGTGCCCTAACCAAGAGTGTAGTGTAACCACTGTGTGGTTTGCCCTAAATATAGCCAAGTTCCTGTGATGTTTAAGAGACAATAACCTGCAGGGAATGCAAGCACTTTTCTTAGAAGTCAGTCACCCAAAGCCTCCAACCTAGAGCTCAAGGTGGGCTGAAAGTGGCAGAGTAACTTCCCCAATGCTCATTGCCTTCCCATAAAGAGGAAGGCCTTCAGAAGCCCAAAGTAATGACAAATTCAGGTGACATTTTTGGCCTTCTCTCCATGTCATTTTTATCGAGGCGTAGCATGCATACAGTAACCTGCACAAATCTTGAGTTTAGATGGATGAATTGATATCTGTCTCTCATGTGATTTGAAATAAAACTTAAGTGCAAGCTGTAAAACACAAGCTTTGCAAGTATTTTGAAATTAGAAGGATTTCTTTTTATATTTTCTGATTGCTAATTCTAGATAAATTAATTAAAGCTAAGCTTATCTCTCTTCCTCTCTGTGTATTTGCTTTTAGTGTCTTAAGCACCAGGCTGGTCTGACTCTGTTTAATATAGCCTTGCCTAAGAGCAAGAGAGGGAAGATTTTCTTCCCTTGGTGGTTCCAGACGGCGTGCTCTTGTACCCACAGGAGCTCAAAAGAGAAAATCAGGCTGAAAAACATCTCTGAAAATCTTGGCAATGTGTTTGAGGTGCTCTTTGGTAGTGCTTATTGGAAGCTAGAGGAATTGTGATTCTGGGTTTGAAGCAATCAATAAATCAAATGTAACATCTAAGGTAATTTTAGAGCATTCCCGGGGAAACATGGCTCATTCAGTTGCTCCTCTATCACTTAAAACAGAGTTCTTTGTCTTTGGGGTTGATGAGTAGGTATAAAAGCAAATCCAGAGCAAACTGTCAGATAAAGCAAACTCAATTCTTGTCCTATAATGACAAGGTCATGCACCACATAGAACTGCTTTTAGATTGGCTTTGAGTAAACTCAGATGAAGAAAAATTTGTATTAGAAAAAAAAGAGTGAGAAAAAAAAAACAAAAAACACCTCCCACCTCACCTGAGAATACAGAGGGATGAGAAGGCGTCCAGCTCTGGCAGGGACACTAGCAAATAGCTGTTTCCATAATGACTTCTTTACATTATTGAATACAATGGGAACTTTAAGGGCGACTGCAATAACAGTTTCTCATAAAAAATTAACAAAGAATTTATGGAAATGTAGGAAAAGTCCCAAAGCAATTAGCTTAGATTTCTCTAGAGTCTGAGAAAAGCCTGGATAATTGCATGCAGAAACCGCATAAAGTGGCTATTTTCATTATCGCTGGATACCGAAAGTCCATTTTCATCACAATGGGATATAATGATGTTAAAGCTAACAGGGAGATACGTTTAAAAAGGTTACAACACGGTTTACCAAATGGTTTGATTTATGTAACTTTGGAGATACACACTTAAGATTACTGTTAAGGCGACTGGAGAGGTTACCCTTGAAATTTCTAAAGACTCCTATATGATAGGAAAATATATTACAGTTTCTGAAAGCTAATTGTACATTACCACTAGGATGCACAAGAATGAATTTAATTTGTCTCAGAATTGAAAGTTGAATTGTACTACAAGCTGGCACATGAATATCCATTCTGACTGACTCTCTTGTAAATTGGCTATTATGTATGTTTATAGGTGCACCTAGGGCTGGGGTCCTCTCCCTGAATGTCTTAGAAACTCTGAGGTCCTGGCACCCTAAGGAAGCAGAGGCAACATTCTGAAAATCTGCAGAGTCTTTACTAGGCCTAAAGAGAGATTAGACATCATTATGTAAATGTCACTATTTTCAGTAAAATAAAATAAAATGAAGCGCATCATCTTTTCTTGTGATATTCACTCACAAGCACTGGCAGTTTAATGACTCTTCCCAAGTCCAGGAAAGCCATCTTCTCCCCGGCTGTCTGTGAAGAAATGGGGAAAGAGACATAATACAGTGAGCTTTCATCAACCCCCAGTGTCCTCTGCAATGTCACAGACACATACAGATCTGGATATCCTTTTCTATCTATAAAAAGCTGTAGTTAAGGCTGTGCCTGGGATTTGAATGATTCTTGAAACCATTAAATAGATTCTTGCTCTGAAGCCCACAGAATATTAATAACTTTTGTTAGCTGCAGTGTCAAAAGGATCATACAGTCTCAATCTTATTTGGTAAACACTCACTGTTTAAAAAAAAAAAGAAAGAAGAAAGAGATTATTTAAGTGGTTCCAACAAAAGCCTCAGCAGAGGTCCTACTCTGAATGGACACTGCTGCCTGGGGACAAATGTCAACACAGTTCAAGCTTTGTTAAAAGGACTGAAAGGATCCGCAAGCCTGCACACGGACACGCTTATGGCCAGCATTAAGAAAATCAATCTAAAATAACAACACCACATTCACATCCCAACCTGGCCAATACACTTCCAGCAGATGTGACAATCATATTTTGACAGTTCAGATAGCTGATAACGGATGGCAAAAGAAATTTCTATTTGACAGGGGACCTGAGTTTACACAATTACAGCCCTTCTGTTTGTCTGGGGCACATTAAGGACGCAAAAAGTGGAGAGAACAAACAGAAGCCAGTGTCTTGGTATAATCAAGGCAAAGTGATATGAGCCCCATCAGTATCATTCCAGTCTACTTTCAATTTTATTTCCTTCTGCATTTAATAGTAGCCCAAAGAATAAATTAAGATTCCTGCAGTCCTCCTTGTTTCCCAGCTTGCCATCTTTTTGCTAGGCTCTTTGTCATTTCAAATACATTTTTTTAAGCCCATCATTCACCTGGCTAATGAAAGAAAGGAAGGAAGAATGAATAGAAAGCTTTGTTGTAAATGGAACTGGCATTTCACTCAGGCATTCTGAGCAGCTCTGACATTCAACACCCTTGTACCTGAAACTCCTGGACATCTCCCATTCAGGCAGGTCAAATAAAGCTGTTCCTTGGGGGATAGTTTAAAACTACTTGTAACATGTTTTGATTTACAGATTATCAATTCTGCTGAGCAACAGAGGGACATATTTGGGAGTCGCATAAACAAATATATTCAGCGGTGCTGTGGATTAACCTAAAGTGACACATTTATTTAAAAATCTGCCTACTACTTGTCCTCATTGATTAAATGCCCTTAAGAAAGTAAGTCTGATGAAATGAAAGCCATTAAGATGCAGCACACCTCCTCTGCTCCTTTTGATGGTTGACACATTCCCTGGAGTGGGAGATTGGACGGCTGATAAGCTAACACTGAATTATAAGCACTTTGTGGAATGTCACTGGCAAATGAAAGATCTACTGTTTTGCTTGCAAAGCAACCGTATGCCTTAACAGCACAAAAATGGACACGGTGCAGAATTATTTCATCCTCAGTGCTTAGAATATAAACAAATGTGTACACCGTGCGTGCATTTTCACAGTAGAGATCAGCTCACAGCCAGCGAGGCTTGTTTCTGGCTGTAGTACCATTGATCATGAAAATAGAAGGGCCTGCCAAGGACTTTGTCAACGTTGTCAGGACTCCAACAAGCATCGGGTGATTTTGCTGTTGCCTGTTGTTACCTGAGCTTTCATAGTTTTGGAGAGGGGATTGTATAGGGGCATGAGAGTGTGTTGGTGGTGGAACTGAAGCGTGGAGAGGTTAAATGGAAAACTTTTTTTTTTTTTTTTTTTTTTTTTTTTTTTTTTTTTTTTAGGAATTAGAGGTGTAAACAACATTCGAAGTGTAGAGGATAGGGTGCCAATGTGGAGTTCATGCCATGTGTTTCCTTACTAGTCTTATGGCTTCGAGAAAATCACTTCAATTTGCTGAGTGTCCAGTTTCTTGAGCTGAAAAATGGAGCTAATAATGTTTGTTTTTTATTGGATTGTGGAGAGGATGGTGGGGAATAATGTACAAGGATGTGCTTTGTAAACAATTCAACACCATACAAACATCAGGGGTCATCACTAACCACAATGAACTAGAGCACCAGGAGTTTGCTCCAAGTGGAGGACACTCCCCCTGAGGGGCAGTGGTTCCCCCCCGCCATTGGCCTCCCTGCTGTGCCCTAGTTCTCCTGCCTGATGTCAGGCAGAATCACCGTGAATCTCCGTTGCAGACTGTTCAAGGCCCTAACAGAAACACGGAGAAGATCTGAAACATAGTTTAGACCTCAATCTGAACGATGTAATGAATGTATGTTAAGATTAGCAATCAATCACACTGTCTAGAATAAAAATAATAAAGGGACCCTAAAGTGCAATGAAACACTGGTAAATTTTGGAATTGCTTTGAAACTAAATTGGTGACAAGACTTGAGGAATAGTCAAACTACTTTTTTGTTGCTCTTTCTCTTTATGAGCAACAAAAATAAAAATAAAATCTTTAGTGAAAAGTTAATTTAAGGCTGGCCAATGGCTCATACCTGTAATACCAGTACTGTGGAAGGCCAAGACAGGAGGATCACTTGAGGCCAGGAATTCAAGACCAGCCTGACAAAACAGCAAGGCCTCATTTCTACAAAAGATTTTAAAAATTAGCCAGTAGCTGGGCCTGGTGGTGTGTGCCTGTAGTGCTAGCTACTGGGAGGCTGGGGCAGGAGGATTGCTTGAGCCTAGGAGATTGAGGCTACAGCGAGCTGTGATTACACCACTGCACTCTAGCCTGGGTGACAGAGCAAGATCAAGTCTTAAAAAAAATAGTTATTTTAGGTCTATCCACATAAATACTAATTTTCCTTCAAACCTTTCTCTTGGGCTTTGCCCATTAGGCACAGACATTTTTTCCCCCCAAAAGCTGTTTTGATAGCATTATTTGTTCCAAAACACCTGTGATTTGGATCAGGAAGAATTTGGGGCTGAGCTGACCCATGCCCATATTACTATGGCTCTCACGAGGCTTTCTCTCTGAGGCTGATTCTGGAGAGGGCTCCGGCTGTCCTGTTCCAGTCTGAAACTCGAGGTGGGGGTAGTACGAACAGTCCTGCTTAACCCCTGCCATGTGGTGGCCATAAAATGAATTTGGTTCTGGTTTTTGCTTAGCCACTGCTAGCTGTGTTGCTCTGGACTTAGCTCTTAAAATTCTCTCATAATAATAATAATGCTACTAACTAGGATAATAGCAAGAACAATGATGATGACTTCTAATTACTGAGTGCTTCTCAAGTGCCAAGCATTTTTAAAAGGGTTAATGTGTTGTATCTAAGGCCGGGCATGGTGGCTCACTCCTGTAATCCCAGAACTTTGGGAGGCCAAAACTGGCGGATCACAAAGTCAGGAGTTCGAGACCAGCCTGGCCAACATGGTGAAACCCTGTCTCTACTAAAAATACAAAAATTAGCAGGGTGTGGTGGTGCGTGCCTGTAATCCCAGCTACTTGGAAGGCTGAGGCAGGAGAATTGCTTGAACCCAGGAGGCAGAGGTTGCAGTGAGCTGAGATTGAGCCACTGCACTCTAGCCTGGGACAGAGTGAGACTCCGTCTCAAAAAAAAAAAAAAATTATTAATAGAATTCTCCTAGGAAGCTGAGATAGTGGGTACTATTATCACATCTGTGGTACCAGTTCAAATTCCTCCCTCAGTTTCCATATCTGGTAGATTTGAAAAGAGGGCTCAAACCCAAGGCTGGGGGACTGAATCCTGAGCTACATCCACCTTGCTCACCTCATAGGTCTGTGGAGAATATTAAATGTGATCAAGCCTGTGAAATCATTTTTTAAAATATTTATTTATTTATTTTAGAATTGTACTAGTGGCTGGGTGTGGTGGCTCACACCTGTAATCCCAGCACTTCAGGAGGCTGAGGCAGGCAGATCACTTGAGGTCAGCAGTTCGAACCCAACTGGCCAACATGGCGAAATCTCGTCTCTACCAAAAATACGAAAATTACACGAGTGTGGTGGTGCACACCTGTAATCCCAGCTACTCGGGTGGCTAAGGCATGAGAATCTCTTGAACCAAGGAGATGGAGGCTGCAGTGAGCGAGATCATATCACTGCACTCCAGCCTGGGTGGCAGAGGGGAGAGTCTGTCTCAAAATTAAAAATAAAAATAAATTTAAAAAATTGTATTAGCAAACCATTTCTTATGAAAAACTTTGAAATCACAAAAGAAGTAAAAACCACTTATAACTCTATTGATTTTTATAAGAAGATGTAAAGTCAAAAGTCCAAATCCCTTCCTACACCTCCCACCCCATCCCTCAGAGATAAACTCTAGTTAATAGCTGTTTTGTGTGCACTTCCAGATACTTTTTCTGACGAAAGTTCATTGAAGAGTAGCACACTCCAAAATCCAAGTGTGAGCCTGATTTCCTGCTGCTGCGGCATGAAGGTCACAGGCTGCCCTTGACCATCCAGCGTGTCAATTTCAGGATGCTCTGGCTGGCTTGAGCTGTGTGACGCTTCTGCAAGACCATCTGCGTGTGTCGAGGGACTGACGGCCCCCAGCTGGCCCACGTGCTGGGGAACGTGCTCTGACCTGTCTAGGATTTTTTGTCCCAGATTGTGTCTGTTTGCCTCTTTCTTTCTTCTTCTGTCTCTCTTCCTTGCCTGCTGACCCTCTTCTTTTACATTGTCCCCTATCTTGATGTCAGCAGAAAACATTCTGAAGTGAAAGTGACTGGTGGGAAGGGGAGAAGGGGATGAGGAAAAAAAATCAATGTTCTATTGCTATTTTTAGCTGCTGAGACTCCCTTCCCCTGATTTAGCTAAGTGCTTTGGGGCAGAACCAGCCACCACACTTGGTAGCTTCAGCAGATGTCCTATTGCTCCCAAGGGAATAAACCAGATACCTGGAAGGAAGGGGAGACCTTGGAGCTTTATAGGAATTGGTGAATAGGTGGAAGAGTGAGCTCATGTTTATTCTCCAAGTGCCTGGTGAAACCCCTGCCCAAGCTCAGATCCCAGGCATAGAGCTCACCCTGGGCTTCTCCCGTGGCTGAAAAGCCCTGAGTGACAGTGGAGCTAGTGGCAGCAAGATTGATTTTCAGAAGATAATTCCAGTGAATTTACTTGGTCAGATGGGGAGAACCAGTAGCAGATATTTCTGCTGTTAGGGCCATTTTATGCTGAAGATTGTAAGGCATTCCCATTCCCATGGAATTCAGAGCAGCCCAGTGGGCTTGCCTGGACACCCAGAGCAGCACTGCCTCCACCGTGGTCCAGGCGTCCTCTATCTACCTGGAAAACACAGTTTCTTTTTCAGAATAAATGTTTAAGTCAATACTGAATAGAGGAAATTGTAGTGACAGGACCTGCATACTTGATGTATACATCTTCTGCTCCTCACTTCTTTTTTTTTTTTTTTTTTTGAGATGGAGTTTCGCTCTCATTGCCCAGGCTGGAGTGCAATGGCGTGATCTCGGCTCACCGCAACCTCTGCCTCCCAGGTTCAAGCAATTCTCCTTCCTCAGTCTCTCAAGTAGCTGGGATTATAGGCATGTGCTACCATGCCTGGCTAATTTTGTATTTTTAGTAGAGACAGGGTTTCTCCATGTTGGTCAGGCTGGTCTCGAACTCCCGACCTCAGGTGATCTGCTGGCCTCGGCCTCCCAAAGTGCTGGCATTACAAGTGTGAGCCACCATGCCCGGCCTTCACTTCTCTTTTACATTTGACTGAACTGATAAAAGTAACCTAAAATCCAGAAACTTTTCTTGCTCCAACTGCTGCCTTGTGACTCGTTTACATAGTACGTTTTCACCTCTTCATAACTGGCTAAATGTAGTTTTAAGCAGAATCTTGGTTGTCCAGTTGATGTGGCGTGGCTCTCACTGCCTCTTTCTCACACATGCAGAATAATGTAGAACTGATTCCATCTAATAATAAGGAGGTAGAAGTTCCACTAAGAGAAGTTAGTCACTCATGGCATTGGAACCATGAAAGGGAAGCTATGAGTGGTTTATCAATGTCAGAAGGAGCCAGGGATTGAATTACAACTTAATATGCACAGTTGGGTGTATTTTATTATTTATAACACATGCTTCATTTTTAACACTCCTCTGAATGCAATATCACTCTTCATCACTCTTCGGATGGGTCTCCCATCCTGAACCCCTCCCTTGCCCAACCTCCATCATTTAAAATACTGTGAACTGTTGCTGTCAGGCAGGCTAGTGCACATGGAGCCAGGGATATCTGGTTTCATTTTTGCTTTTTTAAAAAGAAGTCAAGTCTAGATCTCTCAACTGCGTATTCCAAAGGCTTCATGAATTGAAAACGAAGAAAAAATATTCTATTTTTGCATTAAAATACAGCTTGTGCTCTATTTAAAAAAGAGCTTGTGCTTACCTAGGAGATTCAAAATACAAAAATAATAGACTCATTCAAAAGTATCTGTGACTCTCTGGGGGACATTGTGCTAGGCATTCGGGATACAGACATGAGGAGTTAGACAGGACTCTGAACTCATGGAGCTTACATTCTTGTTAGGCAAAAAGCAAGATAATTATAGATTGCAACTGAATGCTATGACTGAAAAACAGTAACTGTCTGATAGATAATCAGGGCCAGGCAGAGGAAGGGGCTGCTGTCCAGTGATCGTCTGCAGAAGGAGGAGGCAATTAAGCTGGTTGAGGCAGAGATGTTAATTTTCAGATCCCTGCTAGGCCATTTATAAACTCCTTTGGCAGGTCTCGAGTAGCTCATCATTGTAACACGGACAATGAGGCAGGTTGCAGGAGGGTCACATGGAGAGTTCCCACTGGAGATCTACTGGTTTGCTAGAGCTACCATAACAAGGTACCATAGACTGGATGGCTTCAGCAACAGAAATTTTTTTTGTCATAGTTCTGGAGGCTGAGAAGCCTGATATCGAGGTGTTGACAGGGCTAGTTTTTGGTGAGGCTTCTCTTCGTGGCTGTAGATGGCCGTCTTCTCCCTGGATCTTTATATGTCACCATTTGTGCATGCACAAGTCTGTGTCCAGATTTCCTTTTCTTATAAGGGCAATGGTCATACTGGGTTAGGGCCTAAATTAGCGATCCTATTTTAACTTAATTACCTCTTTGAAGACCTTATTATCTGCAAATACAGCTACATTTTGAGGTACTGGGGGTGAGGACCTCAACTATGACTTTTGAAGGAAGAAAACTGAGCCCTTCAGGAGAGGAAAAGAAGAATGTCTACCTTTCTGAGAATGGTTGTAGATTTTTGTAGGGATGCAGTTTGGGAACATTATCTTATCCTCTGGGTATCTTGTAATGTGCTGCACCTTGTGTCTAAGAAAAATGACCATCAGATAACACATTCAAGGACCATTTTGCATTCTTCAAGTACACTGGGCATCAGTGGGTGGGTCCTGTCATGGGTCAGCCTCCTGGGAACCTTGGACTGGACTGCAGATTTTTTTTTTTGACAATGTTTTACATCTATTATTCAAAATGGGAAGTTGATGTGACTACCAATTCTGAAAAGGTGCTGCTGAACATTCTCTATCTAATTGAATATATATTAAAATTATCAAGCCAAATCATTAGAAAAAGAACACCTACTTTAAAAATTTTTGTTGATACATTCATAATTTTGTACCATAAAAGGAAATCAATTGACAATTGATTGAAAACTATGTGGTCAGTGCTCTGCTAAGGGGGAACTAGAAACACACAAATTGATTTATTCTTTCTTTCACTCAACAAATATTTATTGAGTCTTTACTGTAGGTTTTATCTACCATGTCCATTTTAGAAAACCTGGCTAAAGATAATTCAAGCATGATCTGATTTCACTAACTGTGGGAGGTGGATATTTAAGTAGACAATTAAAATGGGCCAGACTCGTTGGCTCATGCCTGTAATCCCAGCACTTTGGGGGGCCAAGGTGGTCCGATCACAAGGTCAGGAGTTCGAGACCAGCTGGGCCAACATGGTGAAACCCCATTTCTACTAAAACTACAAAAATTAGCCAAGAATGGTGGCACGCACCTGTAGTTCCAGCTACTCTGGAGGCTGAGGCAGGAGAATCACTTGAACCCGGGAGGCGGAGGTTGCCACTGCACTCCAGCCTGGGCAGCAGAGCAAGACCCCATCTCAAAAACAAACAAACAAACAAAACAATTAAAACAATGTGACACCTGAGTAGAGTAAGTACAAATGCAGGCATGATCTGAGTTTATCCAATTTGTTCGATGTGCTTTTTATTGTAAAATCCCTCTACAAACCACTGTGCTGGGGGCATAGTAGAGATAAGACCAGAAAGGTCTGGGATATCACATTACTCAGAGAAGGTTTCCTGGCTCCCATGGAATTTCTGGGCAGAACCTGTGAGTCTGCATGTTTCTCTTAGTAGACTTGATTAATAAGTATGTATCAAAGAATCAAAGAAAATGGCCAGGTCTTGTTTTACAAAGACACTCACATGAACATATTCAAACTGATACTCCCAAACTACTTGCTCTTACTCTACTCAGGTGTCACATGGTCTTTTTTTTTTGAGATGGAGTCTCACTGTCGCCCAGGCTGCAGTGTAGTGGCACGATCTTGGCTCACTGCAACCTCCTCCTCTTGGGTTCAAGCGATTCTCCTGCATCAGCCTCCTGAGTAGCTGGAATTACAGGTGCGCACAACCACACCTGGCTAATTTTTGTATTTTTAGTAGAGACGGGGTTTCACCATGTTGGCCAGGCTAGTCTCAAACTCCTGACCTCAAGTGATCCGCCCGCCTTGGCCTCCCAAAGTGCTGGGATTACAGGGATAAGCCACTGCCCTCTGTCAAATTGTCTTAATTGTTTACTTACATATCCACTTCCCACGTTTAGTCTGTGCATTTCTGTAGTGCCAGAAGTGGAGCCCACTGAATGGTTGATAAACATTTGTCGAATGAATGAATGAATCAATTTGGAATTTCTTGGAAAGCTTTTCTTTGTGTAGGTTGTTTCAGACTTTGTAGTAATTATATATATATATATATATATATGTGCATTATTTTATATTTTTTAAGACACTGGCTTTCACTATATTGTCCAGGTAGGAGTGCAGTGGCCATTCATAGGTGTAATCACAGTGCACTACAGCCTCAAACTCCTGAGCTCAAGCCATCCTCCTGTCTCAGCCTCCTTAAGTAGCTGGGACTACAGGCATGTGCCACTATGCCTGGCCAATATATTTTTGAATTAGATTAAAAATGCATCACTAAATTGTGGCACACAATAGTATCTAGACAGAGTTCTAAAGTACATTTGGATGCATGCATGACAAGTGTGATCCATTAAAAGGGCTTCGGAAGGTATCTTTTATGCATTGTCTAAATGGAAGGCTACTAAAAATGCATGAGAAAGAGAATGAGAGCACAAGTGAGAGTGAATTGAACTTAGCATTTGGAAAAAAAATGAGCACCTTGGTCACATTCATCAATTGTACCAAGATATTGCTCAGGCCTTGCAGAGATGGGAACACAGAGTACCGTGGGCTCTTAACTATTCCCAAGGGCCAGAGCTCCCTGATATGCTTCTCTGTCATATTTGTGGGCTCACATAAAATCAATAGAAGTTCCAGGAGAGTCAGGAAAATATGTGAGGATAACTTCTGGTTTCAGGGGATTTTAACTGATTCTAAGAAATTTGGACAAAAGACCAGTGAAAATCTCTTAGCAAAACAAAAATCGCTTCTGAGATGAATTGTAACTAAATGAATGGGAAACACCAATAATTATTCCTATCTTGAAATTAATAGTATCTGGAGACAAAGTGATAGAAGATGAAATATGTACATTGGAAATCCATAATATAAAGTTTATTTAACATTTATAAAATCATCATGTTCAACAATAAGAGGTTAATTAAATTATGATACATCCTTATGATAGATTACCTGATAGCCATTAAATATATATTTTTTAAATTTAAAAGCTATGAAAAACACTTATGCAATAAACTAAAAAGTAGGTTACAAAAATATATAAATATTAAAAACACAATTGTGTAAAAATATGTATAGGAGAAAGATCAAAGACCTGGCTGCCAGAATGTTAACTGCTATTTTCAGGTGTATGTATGTGTAATGTGTATGGGGGAATGAAGGTCAATGGTTTTTCTACATAGCTATTTTCCTATATTTTCCATGCATTTAAAAAATTTTCTTTTAGGCTGGGCATGGTGGCTCACGCCTGTAATCCCAGCACCTTGGGAGGCCAAGGCAGGTGGATTACAAAGTTAGGAGTTCAAGACCAGCCTGGCCAACATGGTGAAACCTGTCTCTATTAAAAATACAAAAATTAGCCAGGTATGGTGGTGCACAACTGTAGTCCGAGCTACTTGGGAGGCTGAGGCAGGAGAATTGCTTGAACCCGGGAGGCAGATGTTGCAGTGAGCCCAGATCGTGCCACTGCATTCCAGCCTGGGTGACAGAGTGAGACTGTCTCAAAGAAAAAAAAAATTCTTTTAAATTATGAAAATTTCAAAGAAATAGACAAGATTGGCAATCACAGAAATGATACTTATGCACCCATCACAAAGATTAAACAGATGCTAATAATAGGCCATATTTGCTTCCGATCTCTCTTTAAAACATACAAGAAATTTGACATTACAGGTAACAACTTTAGTGTCACTCCTCTCTCCTATTCTCCCACCCGCTTTGTAGAAGTAATCACTGCTTTTTCTTTAGGTACATGTTTGCCTAGAATAAACATTGCATCTCCCAGATATTGCCATTTGAGTGAATTCCGGCCAGTGGAAGTGGAATTAAAGTAGAAGTTATATGTACAACATCCTGGAGGATTCGCTAAAGAAGGAAGGGCCCCTTCTCTTTCCTCTTCCTCCTTCATACTGGCTAGAGTGGGGCTATCATGGTAGGAGCTCTCTTGGACCACTACGTAGAAGCTATGGGCTATGGACGGTGGCGCTACGAGACAGAAAAATTCGTTTTCTTCATGCCTGCAGAGTTGCCATCTCAACTAAAGCAACTTATGTAGACTTCTATTTGACAAATCTAATTCTAATGTATTTATGCCACTATCACTAAATTTCTTGTCAATGGTAACCTAAATTAACCCATACACTGTGCATCATTCTGAAATACGTCTTGTAATTTTTAACACATATGTATGTATCCTAAACTATATGTAGTATGAGTTAATATTATAACTAAATATTATACTGTACATATCCTTTTGTAATTTGCTTTTCAAAAAATATAACAAGTTGTTTTTCATAATCATTCATGTTGATATCTGTAGATGCAGTTCACTAATTTTGGCTGTTATATATTATTCTACAGTTTATGTCTATCCCCCTTGAGGAATATATAGATTGGTTTCACTTTTTTATTATTATAAAAAGTGCTATAACAAACATCTTTGTACATGGTTTGTTGTGTAAATGGTGAGTTTCTCAAAGGTGGATACCTAGTGGTGGAATTTCTGGGTTAAAGAGTACACATGGCCAGGCTTGGTGGCTCATGCCTGTAATCTCAGCACTTTGGGAGGCCGAGGCGGGTGGAACACATAAGGTCAAGAGTTCAAGACCATCCTGACCAATATGGTGAAATCCCATCTCTACTAAAAATACAAAATTAGCCTGGCGTGGTGGCGAATGCCTGTAATCCGAGCTATTTAGGAGGCTGAGGCAGGAGAGTCTCTTGAACCTGAGAGGCGGAGGTTGCTGTGACCTGAGATTGTGCCACTGCATCCAGCAACGGGCAACAAGAGTGAAACTCTGTCTCAAGACAAAAAAGAAAGAAAAAAAAAAAAAAGAAAAGAGTACATACATTTTTAAATTTTACTAGGTCTTGCCAAAGTGGTTGTTCTAAAAATCTACTCTTTCCGGCAATGTTAAAGAGTTTCTATTTCTCTTCATCCTGAATAATATTTGATATTATTGGGCTTTTCAATTTTTGCCTGTCTGATGAATATGAAATGGTGTTTTACAGTCATTTTCAATTTCTCTGTTTTTCATGATGAAAATGTATCACCTTTATAATTAAGAAAGATAAATATTAAAACCTCTCCCGGCTTGAATCTCAAGATGTACATTAAGTTGCTTCAGGGAGTCTAGACATGTATCAGGTATCAGTGGGGAATCTTTCTCATCCATATGGTTCTCTCTCTAAGCTCCTAGAGGCATCTAATCTATTATTCTAGAAACGCTGTGTACAGTAATACAGGACAATAAACTTTTGTTCTGCTTAACACACTTTTTATGAGAGTTTCAAAATCATAGTGCTGAAGCCAGCTGAATTGGTGACCTGTGACTTGGTGTTTCTGGATTCCTTGCTACAAAATTGTCTTGTTCTGCTGCCATTGTAAGCAAGTCTCTTAGCTCCTTTGTATTATCTACCCTTCCAAAATGCTGTGAAATGGAGAAGCATGGTTTTGCTTGATCCCCCTTCTCCCCGGCAGTGTCTTCTGTGATTCTCTCCTCTTGGTGAATATGTGCCTTCCTTCTACTTCCACAGTCATCTCCATCTTACTCACCTTCACTTTTTCCTCCCTCACTGACGGCGCTATCTTGATTCAGATTTCTATAGACCAGGGACCTGAGCCCAACTGACAGTTCATCATGCAAAATTGCTCTCTTGAGGTCATTGCTTTCTGAAGGCCTTTTGTACTTTATTTTATTTTTGAGACTGTCTCACTCTGTCGCTCAGGCTGGAGGGCAGTGGCATAATCACAGCTCACTACAGCTTCAACCTCCTGGGCTCAGGTGATTCTTCCACCTTAGCGTCCCTAGGAGCTGGCTCTACAGGCGCATGCCATCAAACCTGGCTGTTTTTGAATTTTTGTAGAGACAGGATTTTGCCATATTGCTCAGTCTGGTCTTGAACTCCTGGTCTCAAACAATCCACCCGCTCCGGCCTCCCAAAATGCTGGGACTACAGGCGTGAGCTACGGTGCCCATCCAGCATTTGCACTTTAATAGGGGACTCCGAAAGACAGAAGCCTCGAAGACTTCTGTCTTCGAGAAGAACTTCTAAGCCTTCGAGAAAGGACTAGATCTCTTTGAATAGAATTTAAGATACTTGATTAGTGCAAGAGGTAAAGGTTTGGAGCTTAGAGACTTCGTTGAAGGTGCTCCAATGATAACATAAGATTTACAAATGTGAATCAACTTGAGATTGGCCCAGCACTTAAAAAATATGTGTACATGGCCGGGCGTGGTGGCTCATGCCTGTAATCTCAGCACTTTGGGAGGCCGAGGTGGGCAGATCATGAGGTCAGGAGATCGAGACCATCCTGGCTAACACGGTGTAACTCCATGTCTACTAAAAAATATAAGAAATTAGCCGGGCGTGGTGGTGGGCGCCTGTAGTCCCAGCTACTTGGGAGGCTGAGGCAGGAGAATCACTTGAACTGGGGAGGCCTCAAAGGTTGCAGTGAGTCGAGATCGCACCACCGCACTCCAGCCTGGGTGACAGAGCAAGACTCCGTCTCAAAAAAAAAAAAAAAAAGTGTACATGAAAATAATATGTTAGTCAAGTCTTGTTAAGACAATATTTCACATAGTGTATGTTTATTTCCAGATCTTTAAGGTAAAATTCTAGTAATGACAAGAAAAGCCACAGCTGTATAAAGTCCAAAGGTGCTGAAATGATAACATAAGATTTACTAATGTGAATCAACAGGGTCTTGTTGTGTCACCCAGCCTGGAATGCAGTGATGCCATGATGGCTCACTGCAGCCTCTACCTCCTGGGCTCCGTTGATTTTCCTACCTAAGCCTTCCAATTAGCTGAGATACAGGCCCACGCCACAACACCTAGCTAATTTTTGTATTTTTTGTAGAGACAGGGGTCTTTCTATGTTGCCCAAGCTGGTCTCAAGCTCCTGGGCTCAGGCAAGCCTCTCACTTTGGCCTCCCAAAGCGCCAAATTTACAGGTGTGAGGCATCATGCCTGGCCTAGAAGTACCATGTCTTATTGTTTCTGAACATACAAATCAAAGACACAAATGGTGACATAATTTAACAATAATTTTGGTCTAATATAATTTAGATATGATTGTTCTCAGTATTTACAATTTTGTTCCCTCTGTGAAATAATTTTTTTTTTTTTTTTTTTTTTTGGTAAAAGAGAAGAGTGAAACACTGTAGAATTCGTAGCTGAACTTCGGACAGATTAGCACAATCTTCTTTTCCATGCCTCAAGGCCGCCTGCAAATATCTTAAATAAAAGTTAAAGGCATTTACCTATTTTTTCAAATCCAATGGAAATATTCATATTAAAGACGTTTTATACAAGTCAGCTTCACTTTAAAAACACTTCCAAGGGCAAGTTGTTGATGTAAATTGTCCTTATGTTCTGTTTTACTTCTGCAGTGTATTTAGACTTTTGAATTATAATGGGCAAATCTATATACCAGAGGATTTTAGTGTTTGAAATTTATTTCACTTTGTTCATACAAACTCAATTATTCCAGAAATAAGAATTCTGGTGTGAGTCACTTTTACAGAGTTGGGGCTTTGCTGCATGTGAATTTCTGGAAGCTCAAAATAAGGTTTCTCTAGGGGAAATATGTAAATTTGTTTGTTTTACTCGCAGCCTTTAAACTTACATGATATTTGACACAAATGGAAAAATACACACACACACACGTACACTTATAAGCATGAATAAAACTACAACAAAAGTCCACCAAATTAACTGATCTCCATCATTCTGTTATCAAAGGCAACCACTCTCCTTTTGTGTTTGTGTTCATTCCCTTGCTTTTTCCCTTAAACAGCTTTATTGAGATATAATCCACACCCATACCATACACTCATTTAAAGTGTAAAGTTCAAAGTTTTTTTAATTGATATTTACAGAGTTCTGCAACCATCATCACAATCATTTTAGCATATTTTATCACTAAAAAAGGAAGCACTGTACCCATTAACAGTTACTTTCATCCGCAACTCTCAACTCCTCCTCCCCATTTTTAAATATAACTTTTAACCACAGATGCACAACATGTATGCCTTTATCACTATGTATTTAGCTTTGATTTCAAATACAATACAATTTTTTCATACTTTACTTTTTTTCATTCAACACATTTCTAAAATTCATCCATGCTCTTGTACATAGCTATAGTTAATTCATTTTCATAACAGTATATTTTTACTGTTTGAATAAACCCACAATTTGTGCATATCCTTAATTTGTTTGGTTTGTTTTTAGTTTTTTTTGCTACAATAATTCTGTTCTGAATAATTGTGTACATGTCTCCTGGTATACATATGCAAAAGTTCCTCTAGCATAAATTGGCACTATAATTTTTGGCTGAAAGTTCAACTTTTCCAAACAATGCAAAATTTCATTGCAAAGTAGTTATAATAATTCATATTCTCATTAGTTGAGAGGCAGATTATTCTTCCACACTCTTGCCAACGTTTAGTGTTGTCAGGTTTCTTAATTTTTGCTGTTCTAATGGATGAAAAATGGTATCTCATTGTGTTTTAATTAGTGTTTCCCTGACTGTGAATGATGTTGAGCTCTTTCCATAGGTTCATTTGCCAGTCTTGTTTCCTCCTCTCTAAAATACCTGTTCATATCTTTTCCCATTTGGTTGCTTGCCTTAGTGATTAACAGCACTTCTTTATATATTCTGAATACCATTCAGTATTTGGCTATGTATGTGGCAAATACCTTCTTCAGGTTTCTAGTTTGTGTTTGTGCTTTTCATTGGTGCTTACCTCTCTCAAGTTATCGTCTACTTGTATTTTAAAATATCAATTATAATGTTTTTGACTTATGCGTTACTTAGAAGTCTTTTAAAAATGGCTATATGAGTTTTTTTAAAACTCACATAACTTATTTCTATTTATTCATTTCTAACTTTATTACATTATGGTTAAAATCTGAAATTTGTTGGTACTTGCTTTATGGCTTCTGTGTGGACGATGTTTTTGTAAATGTTCCATGTGTGCTTGAGAGGACTATATATTCTCTAATTGTTGGGCACAGCATCTTATTTACATCTTTTTTTTTTTTTTTTTGAGAGGGAGTCTCACTCTGTTGCCAGGCTGCAGCGCAGTGGTGCGATCTTGGCTCACTGCAACCTCCAACTCCCTGGTTCAAGTGATACTCCTGCCTCAGCCTCCTGAGTAGCTGGGATTACAGGCGCCTGCCACCACACCCAGCTAATTTTTTTTTTTTTTTTGTATTTTTAGTAGAGACGGGGTTTCACCATGTTGGCCAGGATGGTCTCGAACTCCTAACCTGGTGATCCACCTGTGTCGGCCTCCCAAAGTGCTGGGATTACAGGCGTGAGCCACCGCGCCCAGCCCCTATTTACATCTTTTAAGTCAAGCATGTTGACTGTGATTTAAAATTTCACATATTTACCACTCTTTTGAAAGCTTGAGCCATCAATTATGGAGAGATACATACTGAAATGTTCCACTATAATGATGGATTTGTTACTTTTTATCTGTAATTTTATCACTTTATTGTTTTGTACTTTTTGAGTCCCTATTTGGTGCATAAACATTTTAAATTTTTACATGTTTCTGTTGAGAAGAACCTTTACCACGGTGACACATTTTGTTTGAAAAACATGTGTGCCTCTTAAGGTCATTTTTTTCTGAATTAATATATTTAACCCTGTTTTCATTGGTTCATTTTAATCTTATATTTTTTTCTCCTTTTACTTTCAACTTGATCAATTTTCATCGTTTTACTTTCAATCTTGCCATGTACTCATTTTTAAACTTTATTTTGTAACTAGCATATAGCCAGATGCTTTCCCACCCAATCTGATTATCTCTATTCCTTGGCTGGACAACTGAAATCATTTACATTTATTTTTATTAGTAATACGTTTAAATTTGTGTTTTCTGTGTTACTTTGTAGTTTTCTATATCATGACTTTTCTGTGTGTATAAATTTGAGTTTGTTTATTTTCTTATTCTATTTTTCCTTCTAGTTATTTGGATAATATTAAGAGGTGAAGCCAGCTGGACTTTTGGGTCAGGTGGGGACTTGGAGAACTTTTCTGTCTTGTAGGAGGATTGCAAAATGCACCAATCAACACTCTGTAGCTAGGATTGTAAAACGCACCAACCAGCACTCTGTGGCTAGCTAGAGGTTTATAAAATGTGCCAATCAGTGCTCTGTAAAAACGCACCAATCAGCACTTGATGGCTGGCTAGAGGTTTGTAAAATGGACCAATCAACACTCTGTAAAATGGACCAATCAGCGCTCTGTAAAATGGACCAATCAGCAGGATGTGAGCGGGGACAAATAAGGCAATAAAAGCTGGCCACCACAGCCAGCAGCGGCAACCGGCTTGGGTCACCTTCCACTTTGTGGAAGCTTTGTTCTTTTGCTTTTCACAGTAAATCTTGCTGCCGGTCATTCTTTGGGTCCGTGCCACGTTTAAGAGCTGCAACACTCACTGCAAAGGTACACGGCTTCATTCTGGAAGTCAGAGAGACCAAGAACTCACCAGAAAAAACCAACCCCAGACACAATATGACTGTCTATTTTTGTAGTGGCTACACTTTAAATTTTACTGTGTATTTGGACTACCACTACTATTTAGACTTAACCGAAGTCCAAAGTTAGTCTTATCTAAATGACTTTCCAAACCATACACAAACTTAAAACATTTGTTATTCTGAGAACCATTCTCCAAAATACCTTTTATTTTTGTTCATTATTTTAGTTTTTAATCCAATAACATCAGACATTAGCATCATTATTATTGTATAGAATGTTTGCTTAAATTTACATACATGTTTTCCACTTTCGTTTTTCTCATTTTCTTCTCCTGTATTGGGCAGCTTTCTTATTTTCTGAAATACATCTTTTAAAAGTTTCAATGGTGAAAGTCTGCTGAGTAGACTATATCAGTATTTGCTTATTTAAACACGTCCTTATTTCATCCTCATTCTTAAAGGATATTTTGCTGAATATCCTGTTTTAGGTTGATGGTTGTATACGTTAGCATTCGGATGGCATTCTTTCACTATCTTCCAGCTTTCACTACAGCTTTTGAGAATCTTGCTTCCCATTTAATTGTTTCTCTGTGATTTGCAATTTTCCTCTTCATGCCTTATAATTCTTTATTTCGTCATTGATATTCTGCTCTTTGACTACAATGTGACTAAGTGTGGATTTGGTTTTATCTGTGCTGTTTGATATGGGTTTTGCATCCTCTGTGTGAAAAGTCTTGTGTTTCATCAGTCATGGAATATCATCAACCATTACCTTTTATAACACTATTTTTTTTTTTGAGACAGAGTTTCACTGTTGTTGCCCAGGCTGGAGTGCAATGGCGCAATCTTGCACTGCAACCTCCGCCTCCTGGGTTCAAGTGATTCTCCTGCCTCAGCCTCCTAAATTGCTGGGATTACAGGTGCCCACCACCACGCCTGGCTAATTTTTGTATTTTTAGTAGAGATGGGGTTTCACTATGTTGGTCAGGCTGGTCTCGAACTCCTGACCTCAGGTGATCCACCTGCCTTGGCCTCCCAAAGTGCTGGGATTACAGGCGTGAGCCACCACGACCAGCATACCATTACCTTTTAAATATTGCTTCTCCTCCATTCTTTCTCTTCTTTCCTTCTAAAAATTCCATTAACTGATTTTTAGTCTTCTCACTAAGCCTTCTCCATACTTTCTATTCTCTGCACTGCATTGTGAGTAACTTTTAAATATCTATTACCCCATTATCTAATTTTTTCTTCAGCAGTATATAATCGACTGTCTCATACTTCAATTGAGGTTTAAATTTAAATGCTTATAACTTTTATTTTTGAAAGTTGGTTTGATTCTTATTTAACTCTTTCTGATAATTTTGTAAAGTCTTTTGCTTGATAAATAAAAAGTTGTTTTTGCAAAATTATATATTTTTAAGAAATATGTCACACCTATTTTATATTCTGTATCTTAGAATTATTCCAGTAGTAAAATCATCAAGGCACTAACTTCATGGATTTTTGTTTTCGCTGAATTCACTTATAGCTGCTTATTTCCTTGTGTGGTTGGTAATGTTTGTTGTTGCTGTTGTGAGCTCCTATTTTGTTCAACGTAATCTCTAGGAATCATGTGAGACTGAATTGGCAATACTTTCTTTCAGAGAGAATTTGTGTTTGCTTCTTGGAGCTGGGAGTGGGGTGCTTCTTTTTTTTTTTTTTTTTTTTGAGACGGAGTCTCGCTCTGTCGCCCAGGCTGGAGTGCAGTGGCGGGATCTCGGCTCACTGCAAGCTCCGCCTCCCGGGTTCACGCCATTCTCCTGCCTCAGCCTCCCAAGTAGCTGGGACTACAGGCGCCCGCCACTACGCCCGGCTAAGTTTTTTTGTATTTTTAGTAGAGACGGGGTTTCACCGTTTTAGCCGGGATGGTCTCGATCTCCTGACCTCGTGATCCGCCCGCCTCGGCCTCCCAAAGTGCTGGGATTACAGGCGTGAGCCACCGCGCCCGGCCGGGAGTGGGGTGCTTCTAACGTGGGATCTCTTTAGCTGTTTTGGAGGATCCATACTAATGCATATTTCCCAGATTCAGCTCCCTCAGCTTGCAGCAGTGACAACATTTAGCCACCCAAGTTCTCCACTACTGTTGAAATTTACTCTAGGTTAACTCCAGATTTGGTGATATTGTTCACCTATCTGGCTTCAGTTTCAGCTTGCTACTCCTGTTCTATTCCTTTCAATCTCTTAAAATTTTTTTTTCTTAATTCCCCACACTACATTAAAAAATTGTTGTTGTTGTTGTAGTTTACCCAGGATCAGTGTGTCCCTAGTCTTGTGTATTACCCAAATCTGATATCCCAGACCTTTTTCACTTAGAGCAGTAAACATCTCTCAGGGGCTTTCTTCTCACATATGCTGTTTCAGCACTTACCATGTGCCAAGCTCTGTACTGGATGCTGTAGAGAATAATGTTTTTGTTCTTGAGAGCTTGGAATCTGATGGGAAAAATGGACATGTGCACCAGTAATGATTCTGTAAGGCAGCCTGAGATGTATGCTGAAACAGCCACAACTACCAAACATGGCAAAGGCTAAGGAGGGAGGACTTTGCTGTCCCTGGGGAAAGCTGAGATTGTAAGGCGCAAGCTCGTGCATTGAATATAAGCTTCCATTTCATAACAGTCCAGGGGTGTACTGCTGGGCAGAAGTTAAATCAAGTCTCTTTCATGTTAAGAGTGACTGATGTGAAGGGCATAAGCTTACTGCAGAAATCTGAGGAAACATTCCAGACAGCCCATGCTGTTCTCCTAGTCACAAACCTCCACTTGTACTAGGAAATTATTTAGAAGGTGCATGGCTGAGTAAAGATGGAACACATTTAGGTATTTCAAATATTTCCCAGGAAGAAATAGTCAATGCTTATACTGCTATTAAAGAGAACTTCTAAAGTGACTACTGTTTGTCTACTGATGTTTTCTATTATAACCCTATTTTAAGAGGGTTGTAACTTCACTGTAAAAATTCCCTCTGGGTGAAAACTTAGCATACCAGAGTGCTCCCTTTGAATAATGCTTTGTTTTTTTTTTAACTGATTTGTTTTACAGTAGCCAAGGTCTTTGAAAGTCAAAAAAGAGACAACAAAGCTCTTAGTATTGGAGGGAATTGATTCTTTCTATGGATGTTTGCATTCTGTACTGCATGGAAGATAAAAAATAAATAAAACAAGAATCAAACCTATTTGTCTTCTTAATGTACAAAACAAATATCCAATTTTAGATAAGAGTCTTCATGCAGTGTGCCCAAAATTACAATAACAAAGCTATATAATGTCTACTAAAGGGAAGAGCATTTTTTATTTTTTTTTTAAGTAACAGATGCAGTTGTAAGACACCAGCTGGCTAAAGTAGTATAACCCAATAGATGGAACTTACATAGAAGCAGACAGCAGTTTTGCTATTTCTACTGAGTTAGATGAGCTCTACCAAGACACTGAACAATATTGTAAAAACTCCGGTGATATTCAAAGAGATCAATATATTTAATACTAGGCATTATGTGCTTTGCATTAAAGAACAGAAGGAGACAGTGAAGGATGGAGAAGATATTCTACTCAATGGGCACCATATAAGGCATAAGGTACTTCAGATAGGAACCTGAAACTGTTGTGTTTTTTTGGTAGCCTCAGTTCCCACATGTTTCTTTTCTTGATGTGCTGAATGCAATTCCAGTGACTAAAGATACATAATCTGAGTATGAGTAGGTGCCACAACAGAGACAAAGCCATCTGGTCTACCACTGAAGAAAGTGCTGGCTTTACTCTGTTTCGAGTGAGTTGGTGTGTATATCTACCAAGTGGTGCCTTTCTAAGAATTGTTAAGGTTAAGTTTTCTTATATACAATTAAGTTTTAACTCATTTATCAGTTTTAGAATCTAACACAGAGTAAGATGTGACTTTGTGTTCTATGTTAACAGAAATCGTAAGAAAAAATGTGTTCTTACCCTTTAAAGTTATAGAGATGAGAAGGAAATTATAAAAATAGAATTACAGAAATAGAGATTAGTGGTTGCCATGGGTTAAGGAGGGGCAGGTAGAGAGGGCAGTGGGTGTGGCTATAGAAAGTCAACATGAGGGATTTTTGTAGTATTGGAAATATTTTGTATCTTGCCTGCATCAATGTCAATATTTTGGTTGTGATACCATGCTATCATTTCTGAGGATATTACCACTTGGGGGAAAGGTGTACAGAATTCCTCTATATTATTTTTTACAACTTAATATGAATCTATAATTATATCAAAATAAAAAGTTTAATGGAAAATAATATCAGATTTACTTTAATAATACATATAATAAAAAGCGAGACCAGTAACAACATGGAATCTAATAGAACAGGGATCAGTAAGTTATGGTCCACAGGCCAAGTCTGGCCCACTGCTTGTTTTTATAAATAGCCTTTCATTGGAACACTACTGTCTTCCTAAATTATCTGTTGTCTATGGATGCTGTTGTGCTGCAATAGCAAAATAAAGTCATTGCATTGGAGACTGTATGATCGACAAAGCCTAAAATATTTACTATCTTACTCTTTACTAAAAAATATTTGCCGATATAGAACATAAACTAGGCTGGGCCGAGTGGCTCACGCCTGTAATTATAGCATTTTGGGAGGCTGAGGTGGGTGGATTGCTAGAGTTCAGAAGTTTAAGGCCAGCTTGGACAAACTAGGGAGACCCTGTCTCTTTAAAAAATAAACAAATTAGCTGAGCATTGTGGTGTGTGCCTGTAGTCCCAGCTACTTGGGAAGCTGAGGCAGGAGGATCACTTGAGTCCAAGAGGATGAGGCTACAGTGAGTCATTATCACACTACTGTACTCCAACCTGGGCAACAGGGCAAGACCCTATCTTAAAAAACAAACAAACAAACAAACAAACAAAAAACAGAATATAAACTCTACCAGGGTAAGTACCTTGTCAGCTTTATTTATCACGGTTTCTTAGCACATTGGCTAGCACATTGTGGGTTCACAATCATCATTTGCTAAGTTAAGGAAGCAGCATACTAAGGAGATTTGAGTGTGCTAAGAAGAGGATGATTGAAAGAATTCAAAAAGATCATCTTGGGATCATGACTGTACATTTTCTAAAGCCCATGGCACTGAAAAACGATGCCGCCTGCCTTTTATAGACCGATAGAGGAAGAGGATTGTAGGTCTCACATAAGCCCACAGGATCCACATGAGACCAATGAAATGAAAAGAATTTTTAAAGGCATGAACTAACTGTGTAGAGGGTCTAATGTAATTCTAATTCATCATTAGTCAGGCATCTTACTTCCTTTTAGGTGTATAACATGTAGCAATAGTTCAATCTTTGAGATACACTTATAGTTAAGTCACTAAAACTGATGAATTTGATCAGAAGATTTCCACCTGTTTTGAGGGAATGCTCCTATTATCTCATTACACAGGCATGCACTTTGTTCAGGAGAAGAATTATTAAAAACAGGAGTGAAAAAAATCCAAACTTTTAAGTTGACTGTAGTTTTGAAATTTTGATTATACCAATGAAGGCTTCGATTTAAATGGACTCTTTTACAAATACTCTGCATGGTGAAAATGTTCTTTGATAATATCAAGAATAAACTTCTAAATTGTTGCTAAATTTTGACTGCCTCCAAGGCAGGAGTAATGTTATCATACTGTAGTCTCAAGAATAGTTTCCAGGAAATACAGTTGGTGCTGGGAAGATGAGAAGAGGAAATAATGAAAGCAGAGTCTGGAGCCAGACAAAACTGGATTTGAATCTCTGGGCCTGGAACAATTTAATTTTCCTTGCTGTGGCTCATGTGAAATGAAGCAAATGATTCCTGTCTCATAGGTTGTTCTGAGGATTAAATCAGGATGGAGAGTGCTTGGGCCTTGGAATATACTCATAGACACTCATCAAATGTTAGTGCTCTTTCCTTGAACTAAAAGACAAAGGAAATAGGTATTAAGAGAAAGGAGGATCTTCCATGATCTGCAGTCAGCAGAAAGGAATACCTTGCCTGTGTGACACTATCTCCTAGATGCTTCCCTGGGAAGGAGTAGGGCTCTTCTTTGTGTTGTGCCTGCAGCATTGTTCTGTAGTTTATCTAAATGATTCGGCCAGGCGCGGTGGCTCACGCCTGTAATCCCAGCACTTTGGGAGGCTAAGGCAGGCAGATCACTTGAGATCAGGAGTTGGAGACCAGCCTGGCCAACACGGCAAAACCTCATCTTTACTAAAAATACAAAAATTAGCTAGGCATAGTCGTGTGCGCCTATAATCCCAGCTACTCAGCAGGCTGAGGCAGGAGAATTGCTTGAACCTGGGAGGCAGAGGGTTGCAGTGAGCCAACATCACGCCACTGCACTCCAGCCTGGGCGACAGAGAGAGACTGTCTCAAAAAAAAAAAAAAAGATTGGCCTCCATGATATTTCTAAAAGATCATTTTGTTCATGGAACATAACATAGCAGCCTAAACAAATCAAACAAACAAAACCCTCTTGTTTGTGTGGGACATTGGGCTGAAGAGAAGTTTCCAATAAAACTCTCATCTGCAGGTGCTAGTCTAACAGGAATGACTGTCACGAGCTGACCATGCTGGAATCCATTCCTTTAGTTTCTTGAGGTACCCTCTGCCCTCCATTTTTGGGGCTCTGTCTAAAGCCACAGGAAAATTGTTTCCCAATTTGTTTGATTAAGATGTTTATTTAAAAAAAAAACTCTTGGTTACAAAAAGTCTCTCTTATGCCTGGTGTCCTTTCCTTTTATCGTGTTAAACATGAAACAGTAAGAAACAGCATTCTCTGAGAGGCAGTGTTTTTGTACTTCCCAACACTGAGGGTTTGACCTTGAGTCAGTTCCGTAGCAACTCTGTTTTATTGCTGTTACAGACTGCCCGTCAATGACTGTGGCCAGTTTACAAATTCAGCATGAAGCAAAATTATGATGAAGCACCTTTACTGTGGATAGCAATTCATTATTATACTAAAACATCTTTAAGGAGAAAATGTGACAAGAAGAAAGGTAGACAGAAGGTACTGTGACTATCTGGGGATTATTACCTTACCTAAACTAGGGAGAAATAATAAAGCAGGCTTCAGACTGTGGACTTTGTCAGCTCTGGATAAATAGCGAATCTAAGACCACAAGCTTACCCTGTGACAAAATACATAGCAGCCACCAGACAAAGTGAGTACGGGGCATACACCAGCTTTGCATTTTTAAGAAATGTTTTTAAATTATTAAATATAGCCAGTATTTTTTCCTGCATTTTCTTTTGTAGCTCTGTTAGTCATTTTTGTAATATCCAAGACCAAAAGCCACATTGCTAGAAAAGTAATCCACCCCAGAACTCCTGTTTTCTCTTCCCCAAATGGCTTAGTTTCACTCTGAATTATTTTATTCGCTTTACAAATAAATGTTGAATATTATAGGAAGAAACAGAACTGAGGAATGGGGTGCTTCCAGCTGGTATGTTAATTGGACACTGTTTATTCAACAGCAGCATTAAGAATATAAAAACCTCATCACCAGTCTTCTCTGGAAAGAAAGCCTCTGCAAATAATAGCACTTATGTAAAACTTAAGGCCTGAATGTTTCTTGTTTATGAGTAACATAGTATTAGCATATTAAAATCATTACTAACCAGTGCTGGAAGATGTGTTCGGAAGCCTGTCAATGTGCTAATGGTAGTAGTCTTGGAAACTCCACATCTGCCACAGGATTAATTGTTCACATAAAACATTATCATTTCCCACATCTCCTATGAGAAGGAGCTGCTGCTGGATTGATTAATGGCTCTGAATGATATACAAAGGAATAAATAGGAAGGGTACCCAGCAGAGGGAGAGATCTGCTCTTGACTCATACGAGAACAGGTTGAGGGACCTCAGTGGTGTAACGTTTATTTCTCGAGGCCTTTAAGCAATTGAAAAGAAATATCTGGCACAAGCTCTGAGAAACTTATTGTTTAAATGGCCAATAGTGCCTTCCCCCAGAGGCCTTTATATAGGAGAGGATGAGGGTGGAGAGAAAGTTAGGTCAGAGTGAAACTGGCCACTAGGGTTTGGTGAACTAGCTGCTGCTTGTCGATGCCACGTTTTCTAGGTCCTTCTATCGGTGTTTCTTAGTCACTGAAGTTCAGCTCAGAGGTGACTTCCAAGGTCTGCGCTGGCTTCTCTCCTTCTCACCACTACACCTTCTGTTAGATGTCAAGCTGAGGCAGATTCAGTTTTGAGAGGATGGAGGCAAAGAGAAGCGAAAGCATTTGAAAGACAATTTATTGTTTACAATTAAAACTAGGGGATTATAGTTCAAAGGTGAGAACCCAGTCTGCAATTAAGGCCTGCGAGAAGACTTAAACAAGCTATTATATGACAATTACCACAAATGGGAATAGGAGGTAATATATTGGAGGTAATATATTGATTGCATCCCTGAGCACCCCTCCATGTTGTCCATCATTCCAGCCAAGCACCTCTGTCAATCTCTATACACTACCTCCAGTTTACAATAAATTGACCAGCCGGATTGTTTGTTTGTTTGTCTTTTGGCTCTTCTCTGTTTCAGAAAAGAGAGAAACAGACTTTCCAAACAAAACCAGTCCTTGAGTTTTGAAAATAAGTCCAATTTCATTGCTTCTATCTTTCCTTTATTTTCCATAGGCCTTTTCTGGGAGACAGACTTTCACAATGGGGATTTGGGAAGTTAAAGCTGTTAGTGCTAAAGAAGTCAAGACAATTTTCAAAGCCTTTCAGCATCATTATAATTAGAGACAGAATTATAGTGAAGTTAGTGGTAATTCAAATTGATCAGCTAGATAGCAGATAATGAATGGTTTGAAACTGGCAAATTTAATGCATATCTACTTGGTGAGTGGATGTGGGTTTCAGTAAACAAAGATAAAACCTGACCACCTAGTTGGCCAAATTTATAAGCCCATGAACCAGTGGAAATGCTACTTATGCAGGTGACAGAGCTTAGCACTGTAGGGTTTTCAGAGAAAATGACATTGGCAGGGCATCCTGTTGAGTTTTCTTACCCCCTGCTAAATGACTTTGATTAAGCATTTAAATGCTACTCTTTCTGCAGAAGATCTTGGGAGAACCTACTAGAACCTCAAGTTGTGTTCTTAAAGTGTCTCCATTTTTATCTAGTTGAGTGTTATTTTTTCATTAGGTGGATCCAGTGTAGCTCACAGGCACTCTGATTTTCCAAGGACTTACATAAGCTTGGGCAGAATTATCTTGGCCCGAAGGATTGAGGTAATGACGGGGTAGTGGTGGAAGTGGGAAGGAGGGAGAGAGAGAGATAGATAGATAGAGAAACCCCAATGAAAGTCCTCTTAGAAGATCATCTGTTTTCCCTCACAAAAGTATTCCTTGTTTCAGATCATTCTTTTGAAATAAAAGAAGATAAAAAGGCAACCTAAATCACAGCTTATTTTCTGTTATGCCATTATTTTATTTTCAAGTCTCTTTTTCTTTGAGCGGGGAGAAAAAAACAAGTCTTATGAAGAAATAAATAGGAGTCAATACAAGTATGGTTGGGAAATTATACATTCAACCTGAAGGATGAAGGTTTGGACTATTGTTACTGGGTTTCCAAGAGCTGTGTTGAGACTTGAATTTCATGGTCAAACTCTTAGCATTTTATAGGACTCAAGAAAAAGATTGGTGTTGAATTCTTCAAAGATTTTAGCTTGAATAAGGTTTAGGTTGGAGCTTCAGCAGGAGCTTGCCAGGGATTGGAGAAAATGCCCCTTGAACCCTATTGCCCATGCATCATTACATCACAGATCTCTCAAGGTGGTGGTGCTGCCACTCATGATGTTGACATGTAGTCTCATTACACATTCTTTGATACAAGAGATCTTGATCTTGGGAGATTTAATATTGTTCCTTTTTGGCTTTAAGGTTTAGGAAGCAATAGATCTAGTTACTTATTGTAATTTCCCAAGCCTTGAAGAAAAAAATTTTTTAAAAAACTAGCAGAAACTGTGGTTTCCTTTTCACTTTCTTGTTTGTAATTCCAGTCATAGGGCTTGTTATAATAAGTAAAAATTCTCTCAAGTTGACATCTTCTATCATACACTATTACTGCTTCAAAATCCATGTATGTATTTTCACCAGAAGTGCTAAACCTTTGAGAGAAGCAGGTCTGACAATTGAGTGTCTGGCTGGAAATCATTTACTATCGATGGTCACTCAGCTCAAGATTGTATCGCTGAAATGACTTAGGAAGAAAAATCAATAATACTCACAGACTGTGCAGTCCTCTTAGAGGATCATCTGTTTTACCTCACAAAAGTATTCTTTGTTCCAGATCATTCTTTTGAAATAAAAGAAGATAAAAAGGCAACCTAAATCACAGCTTACTTTCTGTTATGCCATTATTTTATTTTCAAGTTCTATTTTTTTGAAGGGAAGAAAAAAACAAGTCTCATGAAGAAATAAATAGGAGTCAATACGAGTAAGATGGAAGGCTAACGTGGGTGTGCTTGTATTATAATTTCAATTGCTCAGGTTTTCAACCGAGAGAAAACCTGCCTAGTGTATAATTAATAATATCTCAATTTCAAATTGTTGGATGAAAGATGAACAGTTTTATTCCCATAAAATGGCTTTTGTGAGTGGAGGATTGACTTCACACTCACACATGCATACACACTAACACAAACATACACAGGGCACACATGGGTCACCATCACTTCCATTCTCAGTTAGACATTACACTTTCATTGTTCCTCTAAATTGAATTCTTTTATGTTTTACCCTAGCCTGGACCCGGACCACATTTTGGAACAGCATTCTGGTGAAATGCAGTGGGACTGGGCATGCCTAATCTGGGAGAGGAATGACATAAGTTATTGAAATATAAAATTGAAATCCTCCTGGAGTACATCCACACCAAAAGCTAAGTGAAGGAGTGAGATGGACTGGATTTTCCTTAGTTGCTCAGAAGGAAAAGCACAAATGGCCTACCATCGCAATTGGCCTGGAGCTCTCCTTGGTGCTGAGATAGCACCCGAGGGAGTTTCTCACATGGTGCTGACCTATGTGTGCCTGATGGGTTAGACTAGATCAGTCATTTTCACAGGGGGTTGTGTACCAAAGAGGCATAGGAGGTGGTTTGACAAGGAACAAGGACAAGAAACAGCATGAAATGAGTTTGAGTTTATGGTGAGAACATTATTCCTTTAATAAAGTCCTCATCTTCACCTCCTCACCATCAGTGTTTATGTGACTGTTAGAACCCAGATGATCCCATCTCCTTTCACCTCCCTCATCCTTGTCTTTTTTCTTTATTTATTTTAATGAGATAAAAGCTCTGCGGATGCTTATTCCTTTATCTGGATTTTACCTGCATTTCTGGCTCCTAGCTTTGGAGAATTTCTGCTCTGGTTTTAATTTGAGAGACCTAATGCATATCTTAATAGAAAGTGCAAAGAGATGAATCCATTCTACTCCTTTGGTCTATTTTTAACACCATGGCTGATTTGGTGGCTTTAAGAACTATATTTTTCAATGTGTTAAGCTATCTGAGGAAGCTGAGGGTGTAGATAAGAAAGCTAAAAAAATTTCTTTCTGTATTAAAACAAAGGATATATTTTTTGGTTTTGATGAAACTGGTCTCTATTAGAAGCATATCATGCCTTCAAGAGCTTATTTCAGTAAGGAGGAGGAAACAGGAGTTTCAGATTAAGATTGCAAATGATAAACTGATTGTGGTGTTGGGTGCTAATGCCAATAGAAAGTTAACTGTGCCTGTATATTTGTGAGAGTTGTTATTGTTTTTCTTAGGGCTTTAATGACAAAGTTCCATAGATTTTGTCCCAACACTATTTTCCCCCAAAGCCCTATTATGTACAGCCTGCAGTTTTACAGAATCTATGGCTTTTGTGTGTGTGTTCATGGAGTTATCACAGAAATGGTTGTAAAACATCTTGAATAGTTCAAGTTCATATTCTTGGGCACGAATGTAACCAGTCTTTTGCCAGTACAGAAAAGGCAACTGAAGACAGCACTGCATAGACATGAGGCACTTTGCAAAGTCCAGGGGCCTCCAGTATTCAGCCCATGCCACAAATGCATATGGGCCTAGACACTAGTTATTTTGGCTCATGGACCAGCTGCAGCCTTTGTATTCTCCTTCCTACCCTGTGGGAAAGAGATACTGTTGGTTAAGCTCAAGGACTTACAAACCTTCTAGCCCAGGAGAGTTAGCCCTTGTTCCTTAATACATTTTTTTTTTTTGAGACAGGGTCTTGCTCTGTTGCTCAGGCTAGAGTGCAGCATTGCCATCATGGCTCACTGCAGCCCCAACCTCCTGGACTCCTGGGCTCAAGCAATCCTCCCACCTCATTTTCTTAAGTAGCTAGGACTACATATGTGCACACTACCATGCACAGCTTTTTTTTTTTTTTCTTTTGTAGAGACAGGGACTCACTATGTTGCTTAGGCTGATCTTGAACTCCCGGGTTCGAGCAATCTTCCTGCCTTGGCCTCCTTAATGCATTCTTGGTTGCATTTGAGAACCAAGTCATCTGCTTTTCAGGTGTTGTGCCTTCTGCGTGGTCAATGCTGCCACATCTCTATCTGGACACATCAGGAAAAAAAAGCATTGGAATTTTGGCAAACTTGGCAAGTGTTATGTATGCCCCTCAATTTATACGTGTATTGTGTACTTTGAGTTCTACAATAGAATCTGTTTTTTTTTCCGGGTGAATTGTATGACATTCGCTGGATTACTTCAGCCCTGGGTTTTGGGTCCTAGGAACTGAAATGTAGACAGCATTTTAATCCTAACATCCTTTCCTGGCCTGGCATGTAAAGCACCTGACAGTTACTCTGTTTCTTTCTGTGAAGTCTCAGAATAGTCACCACACCACAGTCCTTCTTCTGGGTTTGGCTTCACTGGACTTGACAAGTAACTGGTGTTCTCTCCAATGGCAGCTGACTCATAGGCTGACTTGTGGTCTAAAAGGAGTGTTGCCTGAGAGTTCAGTTCAGCTCTTGATGAGCTAACCAGCCAACCCTGTCACATTGTCACCTGAGTGGCTTTGAACTTCAGACTCTTGGCATTAGTTGGTTACAGCAGGGGGAGACCAATTAGAGACTCAGCCACAGGGAGAGTAGCTGCATCACCCACTCTCGTGCAGCACCTGAGAGGGCAACAGCAGAAGTTAGCTGCTGAGGGGATAAGATGGTTTGGTAGCTGCTTTTGGTGGCATTGTGTCTTGAATGAAATTCTGGCCTCTGTAAGGCTTGGCTGGGCTTAATTGGGTTGATCTGCTGACTTCCTGGCTTTCCTGTGAATTCTTATCTAATAGTGTGTTTTACCATTTCCTGGCTGAGGGGCTGAGGGTGAGTAGGAGGTGGGGTTTGAGGAAGTTTAAGCCCATTTGTATCTGCGTACAAGTGCAAGGATGTTTCTTTCCATCCTACTTGCTCCCCATGGGGTATCCAAGTCCCTGTCCTTCTTTGAAGCTTATTGAAACTGGGTATGTTGTTGAGACTGACAATATCTTGGGCCAGATTGGCACTGTACTCCCAGAGGTTCACTGAGGATGTACTGCCTGCTCTCACAGCAAGGTTTTTGTGGGGTGCAATGTGGGAAGGAGACGCAGCACAGCTCTTTAGAGAAGGGGGTTGCATTGCTTGTGGGTAAGGACTAGACAGTCTGAAGAGGTGAGCAGTTCCTAGAAGCTGCTTGCTGCTGACAATACGGGGGATATTGAAGGAGGAGAGGCCAGGCAACCCAAGGGACCTGATGTCACTACTGCCTCATGGTCACTCCAAGCCCCTTCTCATGGCAGACCTGTACATGTCCCTCTCCTTTGGTTCCTTCCCTCAGCACCCTTCTTTCCCCACCCTTGGGAAGCCAAGGTGATCTTGGTGTATATGCAGGGGAAGGGGCAGTAGTTCTTATTCCTTTTGCTTTTTCATGTACTTTAATTTCTGGCTCTTCCTCTCAGGATACTAGAACCTTGAAACCCTACCCAGTCAGACTTTATTTTTCTTTACTTTTTAGTGCAGTAACCCTCCCTCGAGGCAGTGAATGCCACGAGCCTTGCTATTTGAATGAGGGAAAGAGAGTCCAGGGAGTGAGGTTGGTAGGGGAGCCTCTACCATAATGAAGAGAGGATAAAAAGAACTCTGGTTAATAAACATGTACAACAAATCCCATGACCTTTTACAAGTAACCCGAGCAAGTCTCTTTTGTGCATCTTGAAGGAGCCTAACATGTATCTTTGAGTCTCTATAGCGCAAAATATTTCCAAACCTCAGCGAGTGGGCCATCTTTTTCAGATAATAGGATAAGTTATAGTACATCTGAGTTACTTGGAAGGCCTTTGAAGTTTAAAACACACCTGTAAAACCGAAATGGAGGAGAATAAATGCAGGCCATTAAACTCTTAAGATATTGATCAAATAATATCTTGAATACCAGGCTTCCATTTAGGATGGATCCAAATATAACAATTTATTCAAGTGGCCAAGTCAAAGAAATAACTTAGGAATGAGCAAAATCAACAGGATAGAATCTCTGATTTGGAGCACAAAAGCAACTGCAGGTTGTGTTAAAATACCTACCAAGCTTTCTCTTGAATACACTCAATTACAGGTGAAGCTCCTAATGAAGATGAACAATTGCAATCAAATGGAGCTAGCTAGTGAAGACCGCAAGGCCAGAGGCTGTGTTTACCAAAGAGGCTTTTGAAAACAACAAAACTACATAATGGTGAAATCTTCCAGTTTTTGTGAAGTGCAATTATGATCATCTGGTAGTAAATGTATTACTCCTTTTGTAGATAGTTGCCATCAAATACACATCTCTTCTGTTCTGCAATTCGAGTCAATTAAATGTTTTATACAAAGAATTCTCAATCAGTCGCTGCACATCTCTGTAAAGTGCCTAAGTTTGCACAGCGAAAGTTTATAGGACACCACACTTCCCAGGAAGGCAGAATTATTTAAGAGGGTTATTATGCTGAGGACAGAAGGGACAAGAATAAAAGGTCATTTGTGTTCCATGGTTACTTACCAGGTAAATATGCAAATAGCAGATGCTACTAAAATTAAATGCATCTGAATGCAATCAGCCATCATAATTATATGTTGCACCAAACTTCTCTAACAACTATGAAGATAGAAGTCGGTTGTTCAGGGAAAGCTTCCCAGAGGAACTGACTTGTAAGGTGAGTACTAATGAATGAGTAGGAGGAAGAGTATTCTACAAGGTAAGGGTAAAGTATTCAGCAACTTAAGGGAAAAAGTGTGGTTCATTCAAAGAGCTGAATATTTAATATGGCTAAATTATGGAGCATATTATGTGTTTGCCTGTGTGTTTGTATGGGTGAGGTGGGCTGGTGTGTGGAGGGATGAAATATAAATACAAGGAGATGTGATCAGAAACACTAGCAAAAGTTGGACCATGAAGAGCCTTGTTGGCAAGAGTTAGGAGTTTAGACTATCCTAATGACAACCAGTGAAAAGGCATTGATAGATTTTAATCTGGAAGAGGATGACATAATTCTGTTTACATTTTGAGAGTATACCTCTCTGGGCTTGTGCAGAATGGACTGGAGATGATGGTGGCCCAAGCTAGGGTTGAAACAAGGAAAGGGAGAAAGGGACAGAGTCAAGTGACATTTAGAAGGAAGACTCAATAGGATTTTGTGATAGATTGAACAGGAGGTGCTAGTTGTAGAGACAAAGTAGGATTTGAGTTTCCTGGATTAGGCAACAGGGGTGTTGGTTGTGGCATTAATTAAGTTGTGAGGAACAGGAGGAGGGAGAGTTGAGGGACATGATTGGTTATAATCCTAGGCTTTAGTCCATTCATCTGAATGGAGCCTCTCACCTAGATGAGGAGGATGGTGTGGGTCTAAGAGACCCTAAAGAGAGGTCCTTAAATGTCTTTTTTTTTTTTTTCTAACAAATCACCCTCATATGGTGGATCATGAGAGCTGAGGAAGTCTTCCTTTTTGTACTTAGTAATTAAGTTCCCAGCATAAAACCTCAGCTAAAACAATCAATGGACCATCCTGTTGCTTCCAATATGGTAGCCCAGGCCACTGCCCTGAGGACAGCCCCAGTGATTGCTCTCTAGCTCTAAGTGTGACAAAACTGCCAACACCATGGCTAGACAGGTTCTTTCAGATCAAAGCCATGGAGAACCCAGTTTACTGGCCAAACTTGCCATGTTGGCAAAGCTGGTTCCACTTTTCTCTTCCCTATGGAGAAGATGGACTAAATTGAACAAATTGTCTCATTTTATTTTTTTCTCTGACTTTGAAAGAGCAATAACTTCAGGGCTGGCACTCCACAAGGGCACCCTACTGAGCCTAGACTGATTCAACCCCCCTCCCTCAGCCCCTTTGTCTCTCTTTCCCAGTGTCCTGACTCTCTCAAAGGGCAGAAATGTTGATCTCGCTTTGTCTTCTAGCTGGTCGTGGGATATATTGATTCCTACTCAGTCCTGTCCCTGCATAGCTGGCAGCAGAGCAGATCTGCTTGGTGATTGTTGATGTGAGCTAATGCCTTGGAGAGGTGTAATGCGGGAAGGCAGGTGTAGTGGAGAAGGAAGCTGTGCCATACACAGCTGTCAGGAGTAGTCTCAAGCAGGCTGATGCTAACAGGTCTTGGAAGTGAAGTGAGAGGAGCAAGGGGCTGCTCAGGGAAGAGCAGGAGTGATGAGTAACCAGGACCTTTGTAGATCTCCATGACACACTGATTGCCTTAAAGGACACGTGGCATAGGGAGGAGTCAGATTTTTCTAGAAACTATTGCCTGAGTGGTGGTGTCAGTTGATTCTTTCCTGTGGCTTTAAGCCTGGGCACAGGACTTAGAAAAGGAGAGAAGGGGGAAACTTCTGTTATTAGAGAATAGGCAACCCTCTTCATGAAGGGTAGATGCAAATTGGATTGTTTTAGAGTTGATGAAAACATGGCCATTGCTACTCCACACAGAAAATCTCTTCTATGTAGGAGCTTGGAGAGCTATGGAGTCACTGGGAAAATGACAAATAGTTATCCATGGTATGAGTGTCTGACTCCAACCCTGCTCTGCCACATGTTACATTTACTTCCCACTTTTCGGTGTGGTCATTAATATCCGTTGAGTCACTTAGAGAGTTTCTTGAAATTATATTCCATTCTTCTCTTTGACTAAATTTTCACATAATTTGTTTTGTATGCTTATTAGCTGAGCATAAAATTCACACTTATTTGTAGTCCCCCCAATTTGTCAATTAAATGCTTTCCTTTGTCCAATTTGTACCCAATAAAAATATAGAAATGCCCATGGAGTAGCTGCCTTTGAAATTATCCTACTAATAGCTTTCTTAGTAACCTTTTAAAACCAAATCCCTTTCATCTTCTGAAACCTGGCCTACTTAAATTTTAAATGTGTCTTGTCCTATAGCCTTTGGCAAAAAAATAAGTCTGATCCAGACAAACATGTCCAGAATATGTGGTATTATATTAGGAATAATGCATTTATTAAAATAGAGATGGGGATTTTAAATGAAATATGTACTTGCCCAGTAACATAAATTTTCATAATTCATAAGACAAGAGTCTCTAGAAGGTTTTGGGATGAGAAAGTAACTTTTGACTTTCAAGAAAGGATAGCAGTGGGGAAGGGTAGCCAGCGACGAAGTGATGACGAAGTCCAACTATGAAGATCAAATTTCTTACGGTTGCTTCTTTCCTGCTGGAAATCCTGGTAAATCTCAGAGAAGCCACATGGAAGCAGCCATTGGATAGAACTTTTACCAAAAAAAGCTTCTTGACTTACAATTTCAAGTGCCAGTGCTAATTTGTATGGTTGCTCTAAAGGAATCTTACTTGGAATGCTTCTTTAGGAAGCGACTGTATTGTCCCTGATAAGAAGACATCTGTTTGTTAAATTAATTTCTCTTTAATGATCTGGAGAAGTGGTGACCCTAGGATGGGCTAACTGACCAAATTGTTTATTTAAGGGAGACAGAGATTTAGACGAGCTCATCAGTTCGATTCTACAATCATCTGGATTCTACAACCTGAAAATAGAATTTTTGTTCTGTTTTATAATTTATAATACAATGTTACAAATTCCACATTTAACATAAAAATAAGAACAGTGGTTGAGTTAATTCTGCTTTTCTTTTTCTTTTTTGTTTTCTTTTTTTTCTTTGAGACTGAGTCTTACTCTATTGCCCAGGCTGGAGTGCAGTGGCCCGATCTCATCTCACTGCAATAATACTGCATTTTTTGTGGATGTCAGAGGCTCTAGGGTAAGATATTAGTGTGGCCAATAAAGACCTCTCCTGCCTCAACTTCTGTTTCTTATTTCTTTGTTTTTCAGGCCTTTGGACAATCTCTTCTTGCATTGGGAATACTTCTCTCCTTGTCCATCTGGTAAACCATCACTCATCTATAAAGTCCTGTTTATTCTTCACCTCCATAGTGGAATGGTTCCTGGCCAGGTCTCTCTCTGTGGAAGTTGGCTGCCATCCCTAACTACCGTGCTCAGAGTCAGGAAATCAGTAGGGGTTAAATAAGGGTTTGTTGGGTTAAAAAATGTTTACTGTGTAACTATTAGGTAAAGGGTAGTGAGGGAACCATATAAAATATAAGGCAAGATTTCAGTTCATTTCAAGCTCATATCTAGTTATAGTGACAAGACAGAAGCATCTAAAAATGCAAGTGAACAATGCCAGGCAACGAACAATGAAAGGCAAGAGGGATGACTCCAGGGCCACAAATACTAATGTGATAGAGATCAGCATTCCTTCTAGACTGGCACAACAAGCAAATCCTTGAAGCAGTTTCCCTGGAGAGAAGTCATCTGTCTCCTTCTTTTGAGCTTTAAAATTATATATCTTTCATGACACTCATCATATTCTACATTGTCATATAGATATTTGTGTCATGTGACATCTTTTCTTCTTTGATAAAGTAAATTTTTTTCATTTCGAAAATGTCATACAGTGCAGGGCTTATCATTATGTTAAGGATATAGTAGGTGCTTAAAGAAGCTCTGTTGCATGAATACAAATCTTGCTCTGGACAGTGAGTGCCACATGAATTCAAGGCAGAAAAGTCCATGACCTGCTCTTTTGATCATAGAATGCTCGGAAAAAGAGAAGCAATTAGGTTGTATTTTGAAGTGAAGAGTAGATTTACATAAATAGATTCAGGGAGGGCATTCCATAAAGGGAAAATGGTATGAGCAAATATTTGAAAGGAGGGTAGCAAAGATGGGGGAAAGTGGGTAGAAAGAAAGAAAACTCACGAAAGAGAAGAGCAAGGATTTCCTTTGGACAATGCAGTGGTTAAAAATACAAGCACAACGGCAAAGCAATAAAATAACATGATTATAGTTATTTTCTGGGCACCATTGTTTTAGAGAGGAACCATCTCACTCTTAAATAACACTAACTTCCTGATCATAAGGCATTTGCTGACATGGATTCTGAGCACGAGGTCATTTCCCAACAACTCTCTTTTGTCTGTTTGGTTATGAAGAATGCTTTGGTGGGGGCAGGAAGTTTGAGTGGCCCTATGAATGTGTGAGGTTCATTTTTGGAAAACTGAACAGTATTCTTAGAAATCTGACATATGGCACATGAAGGCAAGCTTGGAAGCTGGGCAGAAAAATTGTCCCCATCCTGGCATTTTATCTTGCCATGTGCAACCTATGGGAAAGGTGGAGCTTGATGACATAGAATCAATATGCCTTTTCCATGTTTATGGGGATTGCATCCCGTTTTCTGACTTCCCAAGTAAGCTTAGTTCGTGCTGATAACATAATGGCAGCCATTTTTGCCCACCATCACCACTGAGGTGTGGTAGATTAAGAAGGGTATAATGGAATAGAAAGTGAAGGAGGCAGAGAAGAGAACAGGGGTGTGGAAGGGAAAGAAGAAATAGATAAATAAATGTGGAAAAGGTCTGGTGTAAAGAATTAAAGGGTCCTGGAGAGTTCTCGAGCTAATCTGGCAGCAGTAATGGCCTGGCTTCTGAGGTTAATTGAAAGTTGATGGAGTTGCTGAACTAGAAAATTTCCAGAATTATGAATGTTTTTTCTTGTTTGTGTAGATCCAGGACAGCATGGAATTTATATCTTTTTTCTGTGTAAAATAATTGCCATATCAGCAAAAAGACTCATTTATTAAAATCTTGCTATGGTGAATTGTTTGACAAACTGTTGGTTTCTGCTCTGGTGTTTTCTATAAAGAACAAAAGTGACTCAGTGCTCCACATTCTTTGATTATCTTAACATAAGCCTAGTGCGACATGGTCGAGTTCAACACCATGACTGTATTAGACACGGGCAGGCAAATTCACTGGCCATAAAATAGTAGTGGGGGTTTCTCTGTAGGTAAAAACAGTGGTAATTGTATCCATCACAGAGGGCAGAAAGTGATTGTACACAGGGGTCAGGAGAGCAATCTGCCAGCCCAAACCTCATGGCAGCACTGGACGGTGCGTTCATTTTAAGCCTGCTTCCCCTCCTTTGAAGCCGGAAGTTATTGGCTACTGCCGGAGGCCTGTTATGACCATGTGAGGATCAAAAGCCCGACTAGGGGTGGGAAATCCTTTGTTCCTGGCTCTCTCATAATAGTTTTTTCCTTTTCTTTGACTGAGAGAAGCAAGTCAAATAGGATTATCCTAATGGAACAGAAGTGTTTTATATAAAAAGTTCAAAAAAGAAATCCAAACAAATGCCAATGTCTTTCATTTACTGAATACTGTTTTATTACAGAGCCAAAATGGAAAATATGTTGGTGGCCAGAGGGCCATTTTCTGAGGCTCTAAAGAAACTATCCTTTCTCAAATTATGACTGATTAACAAGCAAATGTAATGGTCTTTTTAACCACAGTAAATAAGTAAAACAAATGTTTTTTCCCAAACTCAAAGTCTTTAAAAATACAGACTTCCAAGACTGGCCTCTTCTCAAATTACTTTACTACAACTCCAACTTGTTTCAATTGTTGAAAAACTGAAAACCATATGCCCTAAAATGAAAATATACACTTAAGTGATACCTTCAGGGTATAATAAAGTACAATATAGGTGCAAAAAGCACAATGCAGTGGTTAAAAATATACAAGCACAACGGCAAAGTAATAAAATAACATGATTATAGTTATTTTCTGGGCACCATTGTTTTAGAGAGGAACCATCTCCCACTTAAATAACACTAACTTCCTGATCATAAGGCATTTGCTGACATGGATTCTGAGCACGAGATCATTTCCCAACAACTCTCTTTTGTCTGCTTGGTTATGAAGAATGCTTTGGTGGGGACAGGAAGTTCCAATGAATGTGTGAGGTTCATTTTTGGAAAAACGAGCAGTTATTCTTAGAAATCTGACATCTGACACATGAGGGCAAGCTTGGAAGCTGGGCAGAACAAATGTCGCCATCCTGGCATTTTATCTTGCTATGTACAACCTATCTTGGCTGTGTCAAAACAAAGGACAGACCCAGGAGTGTTGTGGGTATAGGTAGGCTTTCTTCAGCAAGGGGCTCGGCAACGTGCTTTGGTGAAAATCCTGGAGGTGTGGGTAGGCTTTCTTCAGCAAGGGGCTCGGCAATGTGCTTTGGTGAAAATCCTGGAGAGAGTTTGGCTATCTCTTGAGCTGCCTCCAGAGAGCAGGTTTATAAAGAAGGTACTATTTATTTATTTATGTGAGATGGAGTCTGGCTGTGTCGCCCAGGCTGGAGTGCAGTGGTATGATCTCAGCTCACTGCAACCTCTGCCCCTTGGGTTCAAGTGATTCTCTTGCCTCAGCCTCCCGAGTAGCTGGGATCACAGGCACACACCACCATGCCCGGCTGGCTAATTTTTTTGTATTTTAGTAGAGATGGGGTTTTGCCGTGTTGACCAGGCTGGTCTCAACCTCCTGATCTCAGGTGATCTACCTCCCAAAGTGCTGGGATTACAGGTGTGAGCCACCATGCCTGGCCTAATTTACTCTTGCCATTAAAATTTATTGGCTGGGTGTGGTGGTGGCTCATGCCTGTAATCCCAGCACTTCGGGAGGCTGAGGTGGGCAGATCACGAGGTCAGGAGATCGAAACCATCCTGGCTAACACGGTGAAACCGCGTCTCTGCTAAAAATACAAAAAATTAGCTGGGTGCGGTGGCAGGCACCTGTAGTCCCCACTACTCGGGAGGCTGAGGCAGGAGAATGGCTTGAACCGGGGAGGTGGAGCTTGCAGTGAGCCAAGATAGCGCCACTGCACTCCAGCCTGGGCGACAGAGAGAGATTCTGTCTCAAAAAAAAAAAAAAGAAAATTTATCTGGGTAGCTGGCTGCCAGTTTCTGTTTTTTCAGCAATTTAGGTAGAAAGTGAGGAATGGGTGGATTGCTAGATGGATATATGGAGTAAGATAAATCCTACCATTTTTTTTCCCAACCTCCATGCCATTTTAGTATTGGTAACACCAGGGTAAAATGATGAGCTACAACAGCCTGGAAATGGGAAAGGTATGCAGGCATTTGGGCATGGACAGTGGTGCCCTGCTTTGGCCTTGATGCTGTGGTTTATGGATTAATTTTGTAATTAACGTATAATACATAATGTATAGGCTATTTAGTATATTGTGAAAACGAGTGGTAGGGAGAGAACACGAAAGTGTGCCAGGTCATGAGGGAGATTTTTGTGTGTGTTTGAAGTGGCCTCCCTTGAGGCAGGTGGTGAAGCAAGACCAGAACAAATGGGAGGGTGGAGAGGCAGGGTGAGCTAAGGTTTCCCTGTAGAGAAGGCAGCTCAGTCTAGAAGAGAAATCTTAAGGCAGAGGATGAACTCAAGGGCCTATAGGACCCAATGCTAATGGGGGTAAGTGCCAGAGGCCTGGAGGTAAACTGGATGTGAATTGCAGAATACATGAAGGCCAAAGTGAGCAGCCCTGCTACTTGCAGCTCTGGACTCATGCTACAACACCAGAAAGCAGGCTAATGCTGCCAAAGAGAAGCTGGGAATACCGATTTTTTTATATGAATCTGCAGGTTTAAAAAAAATGGCAATTGGTTAGATTTTTTCTTAAACATTGCAAAAGCTGATTCAAGCTGTAGTGTTAAGTTTTGCTTTTGATTGCCAGTAAGACCTCTGTTTTGGTGTCTTAGTCCCAAAATGCTCACAGTCAGGTGATACGGGAGCAAGGCAGGAACACATCCCAGGTAGAAGTATCAGAAGGGGAAAAGACACAGGGGTAGAAAATAGCCTTGGGTAGGACTGGGGCACAAAGCCAGGATGTGAGCCAGTGATGATGGAGACAGCCAAAGGAGGGGAGCTAGATTGAAGGAGGATGGGCCCAAGTTACAGTAATCATGGGATCAAGATTTACAAGGGGGTGGGCGCGGTGGCTGACGCTTGTAATCCCAGCACCTTGGGAGGCCGAGACGGGTGGATCACCTGAGGTCAGGAGTTCGAGACCAGTCTGGCCTACATAGTGAAACCCCGTCTCTACTAAAAATACAAAAAATTAACCAGGTGTGGTGGTGTGAACCTGTAATCCCAGCTACTTGGGAGGCTGAGGCAGGAGAATCATTTGAATCCAGGAGGTGGAGGTTGCAGTGAGCTGACCACCATTGCACTCCAACCTAGGCAACAGAGTGACACTCCATCTCCAAAAATAAACATTTACAAGGGCTTGGGATTTATCTTGTAACCATCATTGCATATATTGGGTGTCGTTAGTTAAATTGTGTTCCCCCAAAATATACACCCAAATTCTAATCCCTGGTACTTGTCAATGTGACCTTACTTGGAAACAGGGTCTTTGCAGATGTAATTAAATTAAAGATCTCAAGACATAATTTTGGATTAACTGGGTGGATTAATTGGATCCTAAATCCAATGACTAGTGTTTTTATAAGGCAGATTTGAGACATATAGACCCTGAGGAGAAACACAGTGGAGAAGGCCATGTGAAGATGTAGGCAGAGTGAAGGGATGTGCCTACAAGCCACGGACACCAAGGATTGCCACAGCTAGCAGCAGCTAGGAGAGAGGGGTGCAACGGACTCTCCTTCAGAGACTCCAGAAGGAGCCAACCCTGACCACACTTTGATTTGGGACTTCTGGCCTCCAGAAAGCTGAGAGAGTTAACTTGTGTTGCTTCAAGCCATGAAGTTTGTGGTAATTTGTTACAGGAGCCCTTGGAAATTAATACACTGGGCTTCTATGTAAGTTTCATTAGGAAATCGCAGGGGTAGATGAAGGAGAACTCCTGCAAGGTTGAAGAGTGGTGAATGGCCTGGTCAGATTTGAGTGAGGGGAGGATCCTTCTGGCAGCCACTCAGGAGGGAAGAAGGCACAGCCCAGAAGAGCCTCTTAGAATCCCTTCGGGCTCCACACGAGACATGATGAGGACCCTGACCTGTGGGACTAAAGATGGAGCTGAAGGGACAACTTCGAGGAGCACTACATTTAGGAGGAAGAATTGGCAGGATTTGGTGATTGCTATGGGATGGGTGGCACTGAAGGTGGGAGATGAGATGAGGGCAGGGATTGGTTATTTTGAGGTCACTATGATGATGGCAGTGGCGGTTGCACTTGCTGAAATAGAGACTCCAGGAGAAGTAGTAGGCTCAGTGCAAATATGGCGAGGTCTGTTGTGGGCGAGTTCAGCTTGAAGTGACTGCTGATCATACAGGTGAGGATGACCAGCAAGCTGTTTGTTTCTTTCTATCTTACATGGACGATTTGGAGAACTCTAAGAGGGACAGCTGTAAGGTGAAATCGTGAGACGGTTGAGATAGCCCAGGAGTGTGCATCTGTTGAGAAGGAACACGTGCTGCTTTTTCTTTTTGTTTTTTCTTTTAATTATGTAGAAAACATGTTTACATCTTAGAAGAAAAAGAGTGACTCAGTGTTGTAGTCAACATTTATTTTTGCCTTCTCAGCATCCCTTCCCTTCTGGATGCAGTACCCTGATTTTTTTTAGAGGATTACCTGTTTCATTCTCAGTAACCCCCTTCCCAGCTCCAGGAGCCCCCAGCTGACCTAGGCCTGGCAATCAGAGCACTATGTCTCTGGCTACAGTGACCAGGGATTGGTTATTTTGTGATAGTCATGTGACCTAGAATGGACAGTGGCAGCCCTGCCTGGCACCTTTGTTCGAAGTTATCATGAAAGAGAAGATTTATGTCATGGATAAGTTGCTAGGCTGAAAGTGTGTAAACCTGGAGCTGCAGGTGGGCATCGGGCCATGACACAGGAGATCCTGCTGGAGATAGGAGCTGATGGAGAGGAAAGCAGAGAGGAGAGATGAGCAGGCAGGTTCTTGATGGCTTTGAGTCACCAGATCCCCTTTTGCCTTAAGTCAGTGTGAGGTTGCATTTATTTCTTTTACAACTAAAAAGGCTGCCGATTAGCGCATCAGTAATATATTGCTTTCTGCTAGCTGCTGGCACCTGGAGTGGATTTCTTCAGTGGCACTATGCCGGACATCAGCACGCTCTGGACTATGCATTGAAGAGAGGAACATCAAACCAAGCTTTCAGGGCCATAGTGTGAGGGAGGCCAGCATCTTTCTCAGAGAAAAGGAAGGCTGTCACAGCAGAGCAAATCAAATGCTATCTTTTTTTTTTTTTCCTGCGAAGTTTGGCAGTATTTCCCTTGACAGAGAGCTACAAAGTGATTCTTTTAGAGGCTACAATTACTAATTGGTCTGCCTGGGAAAAAAGTGAATCAAGTGTCTCTACAACTTCATTACTGTCATGCTCATCTTTTCATCTGTGGCAAAAACAAACAACTAAAAATGTGTGAGTGCACATTTTAAAGCTATCACAAAAAGCGTGATGCTTGTATGTATATTATTTAATTATGCTTCCAGATATTTCCTCTAAAACTGACTAATGAATGTTAATTTTCCTTCTATGACCCTACTCTCCCATTAGACATTTGACTTTGAAAGTGGCTCTCTGGGATCCCTTTGAGCTTCTCCGTGTCACTTATTGTGCAAGATTAAGCACTGAAAATATGATGCCAATGACATGTTTTTCTCATGTCAGTAAAATGGAAACTAAAATGAACTTTTAGTTCATTGACTTTTTAGTCTTTTGAAAGTATTTTTTTCCGATTATCAAACTAAGAATTCTATGGATTGATTCCAGTGTTGCTATGTAATTGCTGTTCTGATCCTATCAATATGCTTATGTATATGTAATTAACAATGACTTTAGCTATTAAATCTATCTACCTTGATTTTAAAAAAAGGCTTTAGAAACAGGGGCACAATGCCAAGATTTACATTTGTTATTCAAAGTGGAGGATATAACAAATAAGGTGATTGTATTCATTCATTTATTCATTCATTCATTGAATGCTCCCATCTTCATGAGCATGGAATGGCCTAGGTAACTTGACATATAAAGAACCAGAGGCCACAGCTGGTACTAGCAGACTTATGTTCTGGTGTTCACAACCTTAAGTGTCCTTCTTGAAAAAAGAAAGGCCATCACTGCAATCCTAGACATCACAGATTTGTAGAATTTTATTTGGAAACTGGACAGAAAGTCAGATCCCTTTTAACAATTTATTGTCATAATTTTACACTTAAAGATTCTAAGCCCTAAGGAGGTTGAATAGAATGTTGTACCACTGAGAAAAGAAGCCTGGATTCTTGTCTCCTAGTCTATGAAAATCTCTGCAGACAATTAAGCCATTAATATGTTAACATTTATTGGGGTATGGTTTTATGCCAGGCACTGTGCAGCATATATGAATGACATCATAGTCCCTGTCCTGGAAGGGAGTCATGAAGTAGTAGGAAGACAGGCACATCAACAAACAGTTTCAGTGTATTGGAATAAGTGTTAAAAAGAGGTATCATACTAGGATGTGAAGGGATTTCATAGGGAAGGTGGCAATTGAAGTGAATCTTGGAGGATGAGCGAAAGCCTGCCAAGTAGACAAAGCAGAGGTCTTCCCCATGAGAGATGAGTGAGTATGTCCAAAGATGTGAAAGGTGAGACATGGTCATGGAGCTGACAGCCTGGCTGGACATGGGAAACACACTTGCGAGGGTCATGGGGCATGAGATCAGAAAGGTAGGCAAGGATTAGACCACTTTATATGCTGTGTTAAGGACTTTTCACTTTAGCATGAAGGCAGTGGGAAGCTAGGGAAAGATGATAAACAGAGGCCTGATTGGATTTGCGTATGGTAAGCATGGAGCATGGATTAAAGGAGATGAGGAGTAGGAAGACGAATTAGGAGCTGACCCAATGGTCCATTTAATACACAACAAAAGCCTCAAAAATGGCAGTGGCCTGGGAGTGATGCATGATTGGAATGTGAAATAATTTGAAGAGCATTTAGACAGGAGAACAAAACAGGACATGGTGATTAATTGAATAGAGGGGTGTTGGTGACAGAGGAGTAGGAGTATGAGGCACATTGAGTTTTGTAGCTTGAGAAATTAGGGATTTGGTGGAGCCATTTCTCAGGTCAGAGGCTAAATGAGGAAGCCGACTTGGAGCTGTATGAACTCATAGAGGGCTCTGAAAAAGTCTGCAGACTTGGGGATGATGCCTTCCCATGGCGCCTGACAGCAATGTTTCCAGAAAGGAGTTGCCAGTGTCCAACGCACTGTTCCAGCTCTCAGCTAGAGCTGGAGTGTAAACAGCTTAGTTTCTTTTCATTTTGTACTTTTTTATTTTGAAAAAATCAGAAAGCCCAGTGTTCTATAAACCTAACTTTGGAGGATTTATTTCTCCATTTTGTCCTTGGATGAGGCCTTGCAGAATAGCCTGGCGTTACTGGCAAAAATAAACAAACAAACTGGGCGCGGTGGCTCACACCTGTAATCCCAGCACTTTGGGAGGCCAAGATGGGAGGATCATGAGGTCAAGAGATCAAGACCATCCTGGCTAACATGGTGAAACCCGATCTCTACTAAAAATACAAAAAATTAGCTGGGCATGGTGGCACGCATCTGTAGTCCCAGCTACTCGGGAGGCTGAAGCAGGAGAATTGCTTGAACCTGGGAGGCAGAGGTTGCACTGAGCCGAGATCTTGCCATTCTACTCCAGCCTGGGTGACAGAGAGAGACTTGGTCTCAAAAAAAAAAATAATAATAAATAAAAAATGAAAAAAAATGAATAAATAAACACTAGATTTAAAGGAAGACAACTATTTTAGCAGATTTGTTTCGTGATATGTTGAAAGCAGAGTGCAATGTGGCTATAACAGAGAGCACATTTAACCTCTATGTAATGTAGAAAGTGTCATAGATGCTTCCAGTTACTTTTTCCTGCTTATTAAATAAGAATGATGAAAACCAGCATTTTAATCTATCTTCCCTAATCTCTGTTCGACAGGCAGATGGGATTCTCCTCTTTTCAAAGCTCATGTACACAGTAGAGATAAATTTATATAATACACTAGATTCTCACTAAATTGGTATAAGCCCCACTCTCCTGCTGTTAAAGCATCTTATGGATTTTTAAACAAACAATATTTCATTTTAGATGAAATCTTTATTATTATTTGACAATTGGATATGAAACTGGAATGAAAATCTGAATATAAAGACATGCAAAAATAAAATGAGTCAAGCTAAAAGTGTTAATGTCATTTAGCGTGAACACACTTGCTTGGCGGGGCTCAGAAATGATTGTCTAGTGACTTGATTTAGCATTCTTTGGGCAACCAATAATGAAGGGTGTTTGGAAGAAACTTAACAATTTTTTTTTTTTTGATAACAGTCTCTAAAGGTGGTTTTCACTTCTATTTAAGCAGCAGAACTCTTCTTCAAGTGAAACCACAGGAACCACACCATATATTCAGAACCCAACTGAGAAGAGTAAAGTTGTGACTCATAGCCTGGATGGAAAGGGAGAGTCAAGCTCTGGATCCCCATCTAACTCCCCCAGCATCCTCTCCAAGGCAAGTAGTGGAATGTCTAAGGCAACTCAGAGAACACTTTGAAAACCACTCATAAGGAAAAGCAGAGATGGCCATGATCTCCCACATCTTAGAAGATACACATTTCGGCCAGGTGTGGTGACTCACGCCTGTAATCCCAGCACTTTGGGAGGCCGAGGCGGGTGGATCATGAGGTCAGGAGATCAAGACCATCCTGGTTAACATGGTGAAACCCCAATTCTACTAAAAATACAAAAAATTAGCCAAGTGCGATGGCACGCGCCTGTAATCCCAGTTGCTCTCCTGAGGCAGGAGAATCGCTTGAACCCAGAAGACGGTGGTTGTAGTGAGCCGAAATCGCACCACTGCACTCCAGCCTGGGTGACAGAGCAAGACTCTGTCTCAAAAAAAAAAAAAAAAAAAAAAAAAGAGGATGCACATTTCAAACTGGAAATGGCAATTCTCTTGGCAATACTTGTGTGTGTCTTTTAAAAATTACCTTTGTTCGCTTTAGAGGATGGTATGTTTTCAGGGCTGGCCATAGCTCTTCCTCTGTCTAGGCTGGTGCATTCAGGCAAATTCTCTTTTCTATAGTCACGTGGAGAAGTTGCTTTGATCATTTTGAAAATGTAAACATGCTACATAAATGCAAGGCAAAGGGTGCTCATAGAGATATCAATGACATTCCATTGTTTCGTTTCTATCATAGTAGGTATGCATCTTATTCCTAGATGTGAATGTGTGAGAGATGTCACGCTGCCTCGTTTTCCTAAATTAAATGAAATCTGTCTCTGAGTTCTTATTCCATTGCGACTGCAGGAAATTTAGTATCATCCATTGTTTGGGCTTCAATCTGACTCTGTCCCAGGGTTGTAGGAAAGTCCCAGAGATCTTGAGGTGGCAGATCATTTGGCATAGTTGTCCTTCTTGGTCACAGGCAAATTGCTAATTTCCTAGGAACTTCATGTTAAAAACCAAATGTTCTTGAATTTGTACCATTGCTTCCGAATCTTTCTGGGGGCAAGAATGCTGTACATCCCCAAGGTTGACTCATCCTAGGATAGTTTGCCAGGGAATTTATGAACAGACCACACTAATACTCTCCCAGGATGGCTGTAGGTATTCTCTACTCAATGATGAAATCTTTTATAACAGGTGATTTGACTCTTTACCAAAGGATCATGAAACTATTTTGCCCCAGCTCTTTCCTCATTTCTGACTCAGTTCTGAATGCTGCTGCTTTTACCTAACTATCAATATTACTCATTTTTCTATCGCTACACAAGTAGTGTGTGTGCACTCTGAGCTATTTAAAACATTGGCAATGTCTTGGTTCCTTCCCTGCACCCCCACACCCCCGGTCTCTCTTCCAGGAGTTTTTTGCTATAATAGATGTGCTGGCTATTTTTTCACTGGCACTCTTGATAGAAGCTGCCTGGCAGTAAATACTGCACACTACTGCAGACTGCCTCCAACCGGATTTCTTAATCCTTAGCTTGTTCCAATACTGGTATGGCTGAGTTAGCACATTGGGTGCAATAAAACACTAGGGCTGGTCTGAGATAGAGAGAGACAAAAAAGCCTTCCTCATTCTCAAAATTCTTTCAAAAGGCTTTATTTCTGGAGTCAGAGATAAAACAGGCTAAAGTCCATAAGCAAACGATGAACTTTGAAGTCCAGGCTGCTGAGACTCAGCAGCGCTCTAGATGGGGAACGCAATCATCATTGCTTGCAATAGGTTTGCGTTGCCATTTTGTAAGCTGCCTTCTTATGTGTAAAAATGGAATGGAAGGCTTAAAAAAATCTTACTGCCTCTTGGCCACCCTTAAATTACACTGGTCTCAAAAGCCATTTTTCAATGGAGCAGAAAATATGGGGCCATGTAGAATCTCCATATTCCATTAGTAAATACAGTGAAAAAAGAAAAAAAAAGACTGATATAAAAAATTTTAAAATCGCATTTGCACAAGAAGTAAGGTGATTTCCATAAGGAGACTTCTGGTTTGTAAGTCTGTGAACGGCATATAGGAAAATCAGAATTACTGACATATTTGGTATTAATTAGTAAACAAGTTGTGGAGACTGCTAGCTGTCCACCAAAACCACTTTTCTATTTCCTTCATGGTAACGGAAGCTGTACAATGACTGCCTAGACACCTTACACTTCCCAATTGCCTTTGCAGTTCAGTGAGGCCAGGAGGCATAAAAGGAGAATATAGTAGTTTGTAGTCTCATGTCTGGACTTCAGAATTTTTTTTTTTGGCAGTAATGATATGATTTTGGATTGCAGGAAAAGCAATCAGAAGTCATTATTTCCTTGAATAGCAAAATCTTTAAAGCATAGTATTCTTTTTTTTTAATCTTTTTTTTTTATTATACTTTAAGTTTTAGGGTACATGTGCACAATGTGCAGGTTAGTTACATATGTATACATGTGACATGCTGGTGCGCTGCACCCACTAACTCGTCATCTAGCATTAGGTATATCTCCCAGTGCTATCCCTCCCCCCTCCCCCCACCCCACACCAGTCCCCAGAGTGTGATGTTCCCCTTCCTGTGTCCGTGTGTTCTCATTGTTCAATTCCCACCTATGAGTGAGAATATGCAGTGTTTGGTTTTTTGTTCTTGCGATAGTTTACTGAGAATGATGATTTCCAATTTCATCCATGTCCCTGCAAAGGACATGAACTCATCATTTTTTATGGCTGCATAGTATTCCGTAGTGTATATGTGCCACATTTTCTTAATCCAGTCTATGATTGTTTGACATTTGGGTTGGTTCCAAGTCTTTGCTATTGTGAACAGTGCCGCAATAAACATATGTGTGCATGTGTCTTTATAGCAGCATGATTTATAGTCCTTTGGGTATATACCCAGTAATGGGATGGCTGGGTCAAATGGTATTTCTAGTTCTAGATCCCTGAGGAATCGCCACAGTGACTTCCACAAGGGTTGAACTAGTTTACAGTCCCACCAACAGTGTAAAAGTGTTCCTATTTCTCCACATCCTCTCTAGCACCTGTTGTTTCCTGACTTTTTAATGATTGCCATTCTCACTGGTGTGAGATGATATCTCATTGCGGTTTTGATTTGCATTTCTCTGATGGCCAGTGATGGTGAGCATTTTTTCATGTGTTTTTTGGCTGCATAAATGTCTTCTTTTGAAAAGTGTCTGTTCATGTCCTTTGCCCACTTTTTGATGGGGTTGTTTGTTTTTTTCTTGTAAATTTGTTTCAGTTCATTGTAGATTCTGGATATTAGCCCTTTGTGAGATGAGTAGGTTGTGAAAATTTTCTCCCATTTTGTGGGTTGCCTGTTCACTCTGATGGTAGTTTCTTTTGCTGTGCAGAAGCTCTTTAGTTTAATTAGATCCCATTTGTCAATTTTGGCTTTTGTTGCCATTGCTTTTGGTGTTTTAGACATGAAGTCCTTGCCCATGCCTATGTCCTGAATGGTAATGCCTAGGTTTTCTCCTAGGGTTTTTATGGTGAAGCATAATATTCTTAGGAATGCATCTTACCTATCAAAAGCTAACAGCATGTGTGGATGTGGTGAGCATCCAGCTCATAACTATATTTGATTGTACTCATATTCCTCTCCAGGTGTTCAGTTCAGAATAGCATAAACTCTTCGTAAGGTGTGATCATATCCTTAAGTCAGTGAAAAATGTAGGGGTTAAGCTGGATAAAGAGCCATTTAGAGAAATATTGAAGGCAGATGGAGATTTAATTCACATTGAGAGACCAAGGCCAGGGTGTGCTGGCCTGGTAGGGGATGGAGGCTTGGCATGGTGGTGGAATCCTTGGGTATGGGGTGGAAACATGAGGGAGAAGGCTTATATTCAAAGCAGAACTGGAGGGCCTGGGGACAGGTGAGCAGATAAGAGTATAAATTGACAGCAGGGCTCAGAACAAAGGTTTCTGGAAAGAGTCTAGCAGTTTGGTGTTAGGAGGAAGTAGATGTCAAAGGGATATTAATGCAGGTGGCTACAAAGCCTGAGCAGGTGGTCAGCAACCTGGAGATCCACGGAAACTGGAAAGGCAAGACAAAGAAGGCAAAATGGATGCACAATGAAAACATAAAGGGGAGATTTTGACAGGGATGCCAAGCTGACGTTAGCCAGAGGCTTTCTCATATTCATTTAGGGCAGTGCCAGACCTGCAAAGGGAGCTACCTGCTGCTTCATCTCTGCTGCCTTTATCAGCTCTGGTGGAGGGAGTCATAGCAGAAGTGAAACTCAGAGACCTCCTGGTGGCCAGAAAGAGAGTCATCTCATTGTTCTTGTAGTGGAGAAAAGTCGTGCACCGCCTCAGAAGGTACAGTTGTAATGGCATACTGCTTTCGGGGCTTGATGGGCTTCAGTCTTAGCCCATGTCAAAGTCCTGGTGACTTTTCCAAACGGAGTAGTCACACTGAGGTTAAAAGCAGAGAAAATACAAAGGGAGCCTTCACAGCCCTTTGGAAACCCAACCATACCAACTGTTTGGCCTATGTTCCTTGAAGTTTTACATGGAAGAGATTCCAGAAAGAGAGTACTACAGCAATAGACTTCTCTCATTTCCAAATTGCGGTTGTGGTCCTAGAATCTTCTTGTCAACAGGAGAACTCACTCTTTCAAATGGGAAATAAGCTCTTTTCTGATCTTTCCTAATAGAAAGTAGGCCAAAGGTTTTTCTAGGACAGCAATGTCATTTTGAATTTCATGGTTACCCATGGCAGCTTCCAGTGGAGGCTTGATTTATATCCGGATCCTTGTGATTTTAGAGATGAAGTCAGCTTTGCTTTGGGATTCTAATTTCCAATTAACAAACACATTATTTTATGATAACTCTGGTTTAATGACTAACAAGAATGATTAACAGAAGGTCAACTGTATTCAGAAAGGCAGGGCAACCCTCAGAGTCACACGTACTTCTTTCCTTAGAGATGACAATATCCAATGTTGTTATGAATTTTCATGAGAATTAATACTTGGATTCGCGTCTCTGCTGAAGGTCTTTGATGATGGAACTAAAACAAGCAAGCAAATAGCTCTTCGAGCTTCATGTGGAAAAAGCCCTTAATTTATTACTAATGTCTTGTTAATCATAGAAAAACTGGAGCAAGGGAAATGGGACCAGTTAACTTTGAGTATGTACAGTGTTGTGGTGGTTTTGCACCTTGAAGATAACCTTAGTCAGAGTGGAAGCCAAATAACTGAGTCCAAGCTGGGTGCAGTGGCTCACCCCTGTAATCCCAACACTTTGGGTGCCTGAGGTAGGAGGATTGTTTGAGCCCAGGAGTTCAAGATCAGGCTGAGCAACATATTCAGACCCCATCTCTACAAAAAATAAAAAAAATTAGCTGGGTGTGGTGGCATGCACCTGTAGTCCTAGCTACTTAGAATACTGAGGCAGGAGGATTGCTTGAGCCCAGGAGTTCGAGTCTGCAATGGGCTACCATTATGTCATTGCACTCTAGCCTGGGCAACAGAGCAAGACTTCATTTCTAACAAACAAACAGACAGACAAAACCCAGGTCTAGATTAGTAACAAAACACTTAAGCTCTGCTTCTTTTTATCACAGTCTTATTGCTCCTGACCCCAAGCTTTCCTCCAGTTTGCACTCCTGAGACAGTCCATGCACATTTTAAGTGGTCTAAAAGGAGTCTTGCCAATCAGATCGTTTGTTACTAAACTCTCAGAATCCCTAATTAAATGTCCAGCCCCTGAGATCAAGGCTTTGGCTATGCCTGGGTATTTTACAGAGCTTTTGTTTTATGAGCTTGAGAAATATTCCTGTTCTTCTCTTCATGCCAATCCACATCTCCAGAAAATTGAGGAGAGGGCAGTCCCTGGGCAAGCCTTCTTGCTTTTACTCAGAGACAATTTTTCTTGCCAATTTTCCTGATGGTCTTTGGCTGAAGAGGAAGGGAGTTCCAGTGGGAACCTGATTTATGTGTTTAAGATGAAATCTGGATTGTAATTTCCCAAGAACAAACATATTACTTTATAACAAGCAAATACCCTTGCAACCTTGCCTTTAGTTTAGAGACCAACAAGCATGGGTAGCAGAGGGTCAATGTGGCAGATGCTGCAGATCTTCCTGCTTAAGACCTCTTCTTTCTAGCATGTCCTCCTAGACATGGTAGCCTGGTAAGCTGGAAACTGTATCTCACAGATTCCTTTGCAGTTAGAGGTACCTCTGACCTTCATTCTTCAAGTGGACACATCTGTGTCCGGAATTGGTGAGTTCGTGGTCTCACTGACTTCAAGAATGAAGCCACGGACCCTCGCGGTGAGTGTTACAGTTCTTAAAGGCGGCGTGTCTGGAGTTTGTTCCTTCTGATCTTCGGGTGTGTTGGGAGTTTCTTCCTTCTGGTGGGTTCGTGGTCTTGCTGGCTCAGGAGTGAAGATGCAGACCTTCGTGGTGAGTGTTACAGCTCATAAAGGCAGTGTGGACCCAAAGAGTGAGCAGCAGCAAGATTTATTGCAAAGAGCGAAAAAACAAAGCTTCCACAGTGTGGAAGGGGACCCGAACGGGTTGCCACTGCTGGCTTGGGCAGCCTGCTTTAATTCTCTTATCTGGCCCCGCTCACATCCTGCTGATTGGTCCATTTTACAGAGAGCCGAGTGGTCTGTTTTGACAGAGTTCTGATTGGTGCGTTTACAATCCCTGAGGTAGACACAAAGGTTCTCCACCTCCCCACTAGATTAGCTAGGTACAGAGTGTGGACACAAAGGTTCTCCAAGTCCCCACCAGAGTAGCTAGATACAGAGTGTCCATTGGTGCATTCACAAACCCTGAGCTAGACACAGGGTGCTGTTGGTGTGTTGACAAACCTTGAGATAGATACAGAGTGCCGATTGGTGTATTTACAATCCCTTAGCTAGACATAAAGGTTCTCCAAGCCCCCACCACTCAGGAGCCCAGCTGGCTTCACCCAGTGGATCCCGCACGGGGGCGCAGGTGGAGCTGCCTGAGAGTCCCTTGCCGTGTGCCCGTACTCCTCAGCCCTTGGGTGGTCGATGGGACTAGGTGCTGGTGGAGCAGGGGTGGCGTTCATCGGGGAGGCTTGGGGGCACAGGAGCCCATGGAGGGGGGGGGGAGGCTCAGGCATAGGGGGGCTGCAGGTCCCGAGCCCTGCCCGGCGGGCAGGCAGCTAAGGCCCTGCGAGAAATCGAGCGCAGTGCTGGTGGGCCAGCACTGCCGGGGTAACCCAGCACACCCTCTGCAGCTGCTGGCCTGGGTGCTAAGCCCCTCATTGCCCAGGGCCGGCAGCGGCGGCCGGCCGCTCTGAGTGTGGGCCGCGGAGCCCACATCCACCGGGAACTTGTGCTGGCCCGCAAGCACAGTGCACAGCCCTGGTTCCCACCGGCGCCTCTCCCTCCACACCTCCCCGCAAGCTGTGGGAGCCGGCTCTGGCCTCGGCCAGCCCAGGAAGGGGCTCCCACAGTGCAGCGGGGGGGCTGAAGTGCTCCCCAACTGCCGCCGAAGTGGGAGCCCAGGCAGAGGAGGTGCCTAGAGCGAGCAAGGGCTGTGAGGGCTGCCAACACGCTGTCACCTCTCACATCAGGTGAGATTTGGAAGGAGTAAAAGAGCAAGTGGCTGTGGCTATATGCATAGAGATCTAACCTTCTGGCCAGTGTAGGTCAGAGGCAGTGTAGTTCTGGGGCTGGTGGCTGCAGAGGCAGCTCCTTGTTTCGGCACTTGGTAATTGCAACCGAGGCCTGTGTTGCAACCAAATCTTTTAATGTGGCACTTCTCTGGAGGAGCTAAGGAAGTTGTTTCTGAAATTTCTGTTTAGAGCCTGTTCTTTCAAATCACCCAATGGCTTTGTGAGCTCGGTTACTTTCTATAATAATTCCCTTTCTCTTTATATTATCAATAATAGATTCTGTTGTCTGCAGTAAAAAACACTGACTGATAAAGTGAATCTCTTTGGGTAGTCTGGATGGCAGAATCGTTTCAGTCATGTTAAAGGGTCACAAGTAGGCTTCCCTGCTCTCTCTCTTCCATTTTTACTGCTGGCCCTACCCCAGGGATGTGGGCTATATACCATTTTTTTTCTGGCTGTTATCTTTTTTTAATTTTCTGCGATCTAACTCTTTTTTTTTTTTTTGAGGCGGAGTGTCGCTCTTTCGCCTAGGCCAGAGTGCAGTGGTGCTATCTCGGCTGACTGCAAGCTCCGCTACCCAAGTTCACGCCATTCTCCTGCCTCAGCCTCCCTAGTTGCTGGAACTACAGGCGCCCGCCACCGAGCCCGGCTAATGTTTTGTATTTTTAGTAGAGACGGGGTTTCACAGTGTTAGCCAGGATGGTCTTGATCTCCTGACCTGGTGATCCGTCCGCCTCGGCCCCCCAAAGTGCTGGGATTACAGGCGTGAGCCACCGTGCCCGGCCTCTGTGAAGGATATGAATGTTTACATATCTGTAAGCCACAAAACTCATATTCATTTTCAATTTCTTGTTACTCTCCATGATAGAAAGCAGAATGGGGCTGCTCACAAAACCCAGTGGATGACAGAGGTTTAGGCCTCCTTCATGAAGTTCCATAGGAGTTGTTCCCTGTCCACAGTGAATTGTAGCAGGAAGTAGAGTTGCTCACTGCTAGTCTCCTCTTTCACACACTTCTTAGGGGAGTCTCACACAGTTGTTATACCATCTTCAATCCCTAGGAATGTTCCCCTTCAAAATTACTCCTTCTAATGAGTGAGGTTCTCTAGCAATTACAAGTCTGCTTTCAAATTCTAGTGGCTCAATTGTGTATAAAGAGGAATGGAAATATGCCTGTTATTCTGGTGTCATTATTCATGCTCTTGCTCTATTCATCTTCCTTATAGCCACAGTCATTTTAATCCATCTCTGATACTCACTCACTAGCTTAACCAACCCTCAGACCCAGGTGTGGTCTACCCCTCACACACCACTTGCAGCTGGGGAACTATCTTTCAAACTTGTTTCTCCAAGTTGCTTAGTTCAGGTAACTTTTCCTGTACTCTGTCTTTGCCAAAACATCAGCTTTTAAGGCCTGCTCGTTCTTTTAAGAAGCAACACTAAAAAACAAGTGTTTAGATTAGAAGAAGGTGTACAGGACAGACTTCAGACAGGTGGAAATTTAGAAAATAGATTAAGCCTCTTGGGTGGCATTTTAAAGAATTTGTACTTCTAGAATTCATACTGCATCCAGATCCGGAAGAAGTCAAAATAGCAGGGACGGGGAGGTGATATGACAATGTCAAAAAAGTTACAGGCTGAAATGAAATATGAAAGAGGAAGTTTTACACCTTTTAAGGGGGCACAATCGGTATAGCCATTTAGTTTCTGTGGCTGTGCTATACCACATAGACTGTTAATTGTCATGAATCTGCTTTTCCTCTGAGGGTCTATTTATATCCTGTTGGAGAGCCAGTGGCACTGAGTCATGGCAATGTGCAGAGCTAGAATTAAGCAAGCTGGTGATTACTTATGCCTGTACAAGCAAGGGGCCAGTCCTTTGGGCAAAATTTCAGGAGCATTCCCTTCCATCTGCTGATAAAAAAGCCTTTTCTATGTTGGGCTATTGCAGTTAAAGCAACTCCTTTGGAGAAGACAAAGTGGTATAGTAAAAAAGGACTGAACATAGATCAGTTCTGGTTATGAATCTTGATTTATTCCTTAATACTGCATTGACCTTGGTCAAGTCAATTACTATCTGGGAACCTTAAATTTACCACCACTGAGTTAGAAATATTTATTTATTTTTCTTTTCTTTTTTTTTTTATTTTGGAGACAGGGTTTCACTCTTTTACCCAGGCTGGAGTACAGTGGTGCAATCCTAGCCCACTGCAATCTCAAACTCCTGGGCTCAAGTGATCCACTCCCCTCAGCCTCCCAAGTAGCTAGAACTACAGGCGCAAGCCACCATGCCTGTTTAATTTTTGAATTTTTTGTAGAAACAAGATCTCTCTATGTGATCAAGCTGGTCTCAAACTCCTGGCCTCAAGTGATCCTCCTGCCTCGGCCTCCCAAAGTGTTGGGATTACAGATGTGAGCTGCCATGCCTAGCTGGAAATATGGAGTTACAGATGTGAGCTTCCATGCCCAGCTGGAAATATTTATATTTTTATATCTTGTGCCCTTCTGGGATCAATGAGAGGATGAAATGGGATAGCATATTTGTTGACACTATAGAAACAATAACATGCTTTAGGCAGCTCAATGGTCAAACCAGGCAAGCTCTGTTAAGAAGAAATATATTCTGCTTACAGTAGCAAACTATCTAATTATCAGCCACAATCTCTAAGTTCATTAGGAATCTTTTAGTTGTGAGGGACACAAATGGTCTCCAGTGTCGTTAAGCAAATAGGTGAAATTTCACAAAGTTCTTGGGGGCTTCAGAATTGATAGGAGATTGAAGAACTAGAATTGGGAAAGTGGACAGAAGCCAGGAGAGTCAACAATCAGGGAGTAGTGCCGTCATGTTTTAGCAGAAGCAGCCTGACCAGAATGTCACTACCACCAGTACTATAGGACAGGACTTCTGCTACTGAAGGGACAACCTCTCCATCTGCAGCCTCCTCCTCAATTAATGAGGATATTCCTTCCTATCACATCTCCTGCTGTAGGTGAATCCAAGCAGTTCTCGTGCTTTGGCATTACAATGCTAGGATTCAAAGCCCTAGACAAGAGCATCTTCTAGGCCAGCTCTGGGTCATATATGCATAAGGTGACTACCCCTGTTTCTGGGGAGGGAGGATCTGGTGCCTTCAGCTTCCCCCAAAGGATTCAGGGAACTGCTACCATCAAGTCTATACACACTGGGGAGTTACAAATGTTTAGCTGACATTTATTATTTAGAACTTAGCTGATTCCTATATCAAAGGAAAATGGGAAAAATAAATAAGCTTTGATGTGAATTCAGGATAGTGAATTTTCAACTAAACACTAATGGGGGAGGAGGGGATGCCGGATGACCAAGGGACACAGTGAGCAGGGCACGGAAATAAAAAAGGGCCTTAACAAGGAGAGGTAAGAGGATGCTAAAGATTACTTTCTCCCCAAATTTTCTTACTCTAGATCTCATGTACAAACACTGCAAAGTTTTTGAAAAAATTATCTAAAAATTCCTTTCGGTTGCACAATTCATGCAGTATTGCATGTGTCATCTGGAAAGGACTTCAGAGGTTCGACTCCATCCCTTTATGTCTAAAGAAACTGAGGCTGGGTGAGTTGATGTGAATACACAGGTCCCACAGTGAGTTAAGGCCAGAGCTGGAACAAGAACTCAATTTTCCAGACTCTAGTCCAGTGTTATTTTCATAGCACCCCATAGCATCTCTTTTGTGAAACTGCCTTTTTATTTTTTTTTCTGGCAGGACAAGAAAATATGCTCAGTATTATTTACTGATGCAGTCCAGCTGGGCCACTGAATTCTGCACTTACCTATAACTTCTGTGTGTCCAGGCACTGAAAAATTTTCCAAGGATTGTGAGCTGATATTTATACCAAGAAAAGACAGAGAAACCTTCATGATTATCTTAGGAAGAATAGTTTCATTTAGTTAGATTAATATTTATAGAGTACCCGCTATATGCAAGGTCAGTGGGGTATTAAAAATTGAGCAAAATGTGTTTTCTAATCTCAAAGATCTCCCAAGCCATCAAGAGTGAAATAGATAAGCCTACAAAGAGATTCCAAAAATGAATGTTGAATATGATAGGCAAAGGACTAAGTATACTATAGATTTTTAAAGGAGAAAAATCACATTGATTACCACCATATTCCTCTGTGCTAGAGACTTTCTTACTCATATCTACTTCTCTAGGCCCTCTGAGAATATGGGCGGGTCACATATTGCTCTCACTGTCATGTGACTAGTTTTGGCTAATGGGCTACAAGAAAAAATGATGTGTACTACCAAGCCCAAGTATTTGATTGCAGTTGCAGCCCTCTTCTCCCTCTGTGGCAACAGAGATGCCCCCAGCCTCAGGATGGTGCAGTTACAAGAAAGTGGACCCCTCATGAGCCTGGATGACTTGAGTCACTGAATGGAGATCAGTTGCCCTGAAAACTCTCCTGAACTCACACAGTGGATATTGACTGACCAAGAGTAAATTTTCGTTGGATTACATAAGTGAAAATTTTGGGCATTTTTGTCATGGCATTATCTAGCTTATCCTGATGAAGATATCTTCCTCCTGGCCTATTCCTTATGGAAAAGTGAATATATAAATATAAATATAAATATATATTTATTAACAAATATATTTGATAATTTAAATATTTAATAAATATATAAATATTTGAAATGACAAATATATTTAATAGCTAAAATATAAGCTAATAACTTAAATATGTACATCAGTATAAATAAACTGCAGGCCATGTATTTATTAATTCCAATGGACAATTTAATGCTTGGAAACCAACGAGTCTGTTCAAAGTCCAAGCTGTCTCCATTTCTCTCCTTGTTCTTAACCTTAACTCTTTCTGCTATTCAGGGGAAAAAATTTTTTACTTTTTCACTTTCTAATACCACCGGATGTCCTGGCATAGAGTCAAATCTTTTACAGAATGTATCCAACTCTGGTTATAATCTAAGGGTTTGAAATCAATGGCAGAAAGCATGCAGATATGGAATGTTTGAACTGGATGAGTAGGAGAAGCAGACAAATAGTCTTAAGATTCCTAATGCTATCTCAAAGAGCAATAAATAGAAGAATGGGAGAACTGGTGTTGAAAAGAAATATTTATTTAAATAAGAAAAGATTTTCATTGTGGGGAGAATAAACATAATTCATTGAGTTAATTTTTGCAAAGGTTTTATTTTCTTTTACTCTTTTTTCCTTTTGGCAAGGCGATGGTGGGGGTTGGGTGGGAGGGTTGTTGGACTATATGCAGCCAAGGAAATAAAATGATCTTTCTAGCCAGTTGCACTCTCCAAGAAATGTGAAATCACTCCAAGTTAAAGAGCATATAATACTGCCTAAAGTCTATTGAAATCTTTCCAAAATATGTCCAAATTAAGTCTTCCAAGTTCCATGGCTCTGTTGGTGCTGTCAAATGAAGCAACCGCAAATAATGAAACCTACAAGAAAACTGAAGCATTTTTTTTCAAATATAACAACCTGTGTCACAATTTATCCATTTGGAAGTATTTGACACCAACAGATCTTTTTTTTTTTTTTCTGTTCATATATCATTACCAGCCCTTTGGCCTTGTTATTTTGCAACCTCCTTCATTTCTTGTCAACTTTTTTGGTTGCATCCAACGGAAACTTGGAGAGGTACCTAAAATAGAAATAACTGGGAAACTCTAGGATGTTCTGCTTTTCTTAATGCCAACACTTAACCTTTGTTGATGTAATGTTTTCTCTGCAAATAGTGCAAATTGGAAATTTCCCTAGGATCACAATCCAGCCTTCCCCAGAGCCAAATTCAGTCTCAAAGTTGCTGTTCTCAAGTATGGTGATATTTATTCAGTCTCAGCTCATTTCCTACATTTTTTTTGTTGAAACACTCTTCCTACAGCACTATTTAACAATTGAGTCATTTGGACAATTAGCTGTTTGTTTCTAAAATTTGGATTTCTGAAGGAAGCCTAAATATTTGCCCATGGTTGGTATTTTGGGCCTTGATCAAGTGTCCTGTACAACCATTTTGACCTCTTACTTCTCCTAGAGACATGTAAATTTCTCCCAAATTCATTCATTTTGTTTCAGCTGCTGGGAATCATGTTTACATACAACAATACTGTAAGAACCTAGTGAGAAATCCTCTGTGCTGTTGTTAATGTGTTTTCATTTTCATACAGGGGAGGTTTTTATTGTGCAGCCGTCCGCTGACACCCTATTCAAGCTTTCTATTATCCCTCCAGCTTTGTCTTCAGCTAAACACATTCTCTTTTTTTCCTCCTCCAAATTATTTGCATGAAGATTTGCATTTAAATGGATGTGGAACGTACATTAACAACACCTACACTAACCATGTAAAAGCTGTACAGTATTTGTTGCTGCCAGACATGAATGGGAAAAAAATTCAATGAATGTTTTGTAAGGAGAGTCCTCAGGTAACTGCATTTTAGACACAAAGACACTTCATTAGATTGTATTTAATACTGATTATGCATATAGAAGTATATGAATACAAATGCCCTATTCCCAAAAGGGCTGTTGTGAAATTCTATTACATATTTGTGCACACCCCAGAAACCAAACATATTTCAGCATTTGGGGTGAATCCAAAGGCCCCTAAGTGGGTTGAGAGCACATTCCAGGGTTGGTCCATTTTGAATGACCTTTATGTCCTCGCTAATAGAACAAGGAAGAAAAAGGAGAGAGAATTAAAATATACTGTATTTTATGTTTGCACCTTAGCACATTTTTTCCTGAGCAGCTCAAACAATAAACATTTTATAAGAAGGCTGGATACCTAAGAGAGGGAAGGGAAAAAAGGAGGAGAGAGAAACAACAAAAAATAGGGTGAGAAGGGAAAGAGAAGCATGTGTAGTGAGATTTTAGATATCTATTCCATTTTTAATCAAAAGAAAACAATTGGAAGAAAGAAAGAAAAAGACAAAGCAAGAAGAAAAATGAAAAGAGAAGGAAAAAGTATGATAAAAGGTCACATAAATCAGAAAACAAGTCTTCATGAAGAAGAGGGAGAAAGGGGTAGAGAGGAGAGAAGAAAAAGGGAAAAGAGGGGAACTGAAGAACGACTATAAAAGAACACTTGTGTTTCATTTATGAAGCAGATACCTCGAGTTATCATTCAGTATTATGAGAGAGAAAATTAAATTGGTCTTGGCAAAAGGATTCTATTAAGGGATAATATCTTCCCTTTTATTGTTAATTATTTTATGTTTACAATAGTCAGTGTAAATGTATATTATTTTTACAGTAACACATGGCTTAGCATAAATAATTTACCCAGGATATATGGTTAATTTCTAATTAACTTCTAGCTCTGTTAGTTTGCTTTAGATTAAAGCCCTTTCTCTTTCTAACAAGTGCTTGAAGGGAAGCAGACAACCTAATTACAGACATTCATTGTGGAATATTTATATTTAGCAATTTAAAAAGGTAATATCAAATGAGAAATGTAGTGGAAAATAAAGTGGAAGAGGAAAAGGCTGCAGTAGAGGGAGGAAAATTTATTGTTTGTCTTTGTATTTTTATGTCTGTATAAGAAAAAAAATAGGCCAGAGAAATTTATCCACAAGCTGAATGCAATACGGCAGCAGTACCTCTGTGTCCCCAAATACAATTATTGTTTATTGCTTAAAAACAATTTTCCATAGGCTGTATGCACTAAAGAGAAATCCATAAACATCAGAAACAAGTCTCTAACAAGTCTTCATTTTTTATATGGATTAAAAAAATCCATATTTTCCTTCCTGTTAATCCAGAATAGACCTGAATAAAGCAAATTCACTGCATCCAGTGAGATTTGTAATGCAACAGCAGAAGAATCTGATTTCACACATTATGGTTAGGGTCCTCCATATCCCAGCCATAACAAGGATAATAAATAAAGTCTACTCTAAAACCAGGCATATAGCCTCAGTAATTGACTCGCCGTCTGCATGAGACACAGTGATTTCCAAATGTGAAGGGCTAACCTGAGTCAGAGGGCTTGCAGAAGTTCACCATGGGAATGTACTGGCATAAACACTCTTTTGTGCATACAACCTCATCCTAGGTGCTGAAGCTTCTTTAAAAAGCAACAAAATGAGATCAGGTCCTTACTTTATACCTGTATCATTGTAATTGACACAGCAGAGGAAAGCCCTCTCCCCCTGGGGTCTTATATCTTGAACTAATCTGAGTCACCTTTGGACTTGTGATACCATAGCTCTGAATTCATTGAGGTTTAGATAAGTATGCTGTATTAGTCTTAATGTGCATTTACAGTGTATGGTGTAATTGCTCCTTTGGAGCCGTTAATGCATTTTTATAGCCAAAGACAATTTCGTGTATACTGTATGTATTAAGGAGAAATGTCTGCCTGAAAATGATGCTGAGAAAGCACGAAAACAAAGCAAAACATCCTAGTGTGTGCATTCATCTTGTTAAAGACCATACACTTGGGTGCATTTGTTCTTCAGAGAATGTGAGGAACATCAAACACTTAGGGTTCTTTGTCATCCCTGAGCCTGGCTTTAGAGCTTCCATGCTCCTTTTCTATTTTCTTCTATATCCTCAATATATAAGGCTATCTAGGGAACAAGTGAGAAAATGCTGAGTGAAAAGGTTTACGTGATAATGTTAAAACCGAAAATGATATACTTTAAGTTTTAAAATCATCTCTGAAGAGATGGTGCAGATTCATATGCGCAAAGACAGGAAGGAAATTCTGGACAGTGAAAATTCTTGCACCAAGCATGCGGAGTCAAAAACAATGTGCTCCCCCCACGTTTTATCCCAATGATTCTTTAATGGTGTTATATAATTTTTACCAAAACAGGGGGTGGGTAGGTGTCCCATTCATTCTTGGTTTCATTTGCTGATTCTTTTTCTGCACTGCTGTCTGTTCAAGGGAACTGACTGTTTGAGGTCTGCATCACCGGACTCCCTGCCAGCTGGCTTCCACTGGGTTTGGCCAACGGCACACACAGGCAGATCAGAAGACAGAAGGAGAGAGGGGTTGGGTCATGTCTTCCTTGCTGCTTCCCTGCCTTGGTGCTATATCTCTGGCATGCATTCCTCCATGATGGCAGCTTCTGCTGAGGGGCCCCACCAGGGTTCCTGCTTTTTCTGAGGATTGTAACACAGGTTGGTAAAGCCTTCTCATTGTTGCTTGTCTCTGGGTACCCATCCGTTGTGAATCCTGCTCACCTCTCTGTAAGTTAGCACTTGATTAAATATACTTGTTGGGACCCTGACTGATACACTGGGTATGTAGGCAGGAGAAAGAGACCCCAAAATGCTCAAACCAGTTAATTCACATGGGGGCTGAAATACTCTAATAGCTCTGTTGACTGTAAGGCTTTGGCAAGCTCAGCCTTGTAGCTGCCAAAATGATGCATCTTCCTAGTTGTTCAGTGACTGTGCTACCATGTAGCTGGAATGCTTTTGTTTGGTTTGACCTAAAGCAATTGTGTATTAGTTAGAACTTTATAGCTACAACTGCAGAAACCCAACCCCAAATAGCCTATGAAGGAGAGGGGAGAGGATCTTATTGACTCACATAACTGAAAAGTCTAGTGGCACAGAAGCCTTAGATCCAAAGGTTCAAATGATTTTCCTGGGTCATATGCTTATCCCTGAGTTGGATGAATTGGAGATATTTCCACTAAATCCAAAAGTGGAACTTTCTCCAAGGATAAATAGGACTGGGCAGAATGAGGTAATATGAAGTAATACATGCACACGTTATATGTTCTAAATGGTTCTCAGAAATATTCTGTCACTGTGTGCAGAAATGACACACGAGAGCCATGTGTATATGACACTGAAGAAACCTGTGAGCAGTCTTTACTACACACATTTGTGACCTTCCTAACTACTTTTTAACACCTGCCTGTTGTTTGAAGATAAATACCAGTGAAAGCAACCTTGTATATCTAGTCTCTGCTTTATGGGAAAATGAAGATAAGAGATTTTTGGAAAGAGCACTGAATATATTACCTTATGTCCAGTGGATGCTCAATCCATTTTAATTATCCCACTTATGAATGGGAGGGAAAGATAAGAGATGCAAAATCATTTCTGAAAAAGAAAACATCTGGCTTGGCAACATGACTTAGAGCCCACATCTCGTTCAGGCACTGGTTTGTGGACCCTTGAGCATGTTCATGAAAATCCATGGCTCCTGGTTTATTCCTATGAGAAATGAAGAGGAGTCTAGAACTAAAAGAGAGGAAGGGTCCCTTTTTTCCTTTTTCTTGAGACTTATTTGACAAAAAAGCTTAATAAAGCTTTCGGCAGGACGAAATCAGGAGGCATTGGGCTTATTTCTGATTTTACTTCATTATTCGAGAAACAGATAATATATTTCTACACAATATTTGCTACCTAAACATTTCTTTTAGGGAAAACATTTAGACAGAAATGAACATTCTGGCGTCCAAACTCCATCTCAGACCAGGGGAAGCAGATGAAGTGTTGCCTTTTTTTTTTAATTCTTACTTGTCATTTTTGCTTAATAACTTCTCTGCCCTTCAAATGGCTTGTTTTGATTGTGAATTTCCAAATCTTAATAGAAATTTCTTAAATTCCTTCCTTGATAGGAAATTTTATCCAAAGATTTTGAGGATTTAACAAAGACAGAAGCTTTACAAAAAGTATTTTTTGTTTGCCCCCTTTCCCACCTGAAATTGGCAGGAAACTGTTGGCAAAAGATGAGATGTCTTTCCCCGGCTTCCCCATACACATGAGCCAGGACTTGCCTGAGAAGCTTTGAAGCTATGGTAGTTACTCTCCAAAGATAGCTCCCTCCCTAATGAAACATAACTGGAAATTGAGCCCTTGTGTGGTCTCTGCCCATTGAACCCGGGTTGGCTAATAAAATGAGACAGAAGTGCTGCTGCCAGACTCTTAAAGTGCATTTTGAAGCCTTGTAGATATTGCCTGGGTTTCTTGGGATGCTTTCTTTTGGGGGAGCCAGCCACCACGTAAGAAGTCAGCCTGCTAGCCAGGTGTGGTGGCGCATGCCTGTGGTCCTAGCTACTCGGGAGGCTGAAGCGGGAGAATTGCTAGCACCCAGGAGGCAGAGGCTGCAGTGAGCCAAGATCACGCTGCTGCAGTCTAGCATGGGTGCCAGAGCCAGACTCTGTCTCAAAAAAAAAAAAAAAAAAAAAAAAAAAGTCAGATTTCCCTGAGACTATACATCCTGAGGATGTCTAAGCTAGCCATGTGGAGAGACTGCATGGAGACAGAGGTGTCTGAGCATTGCCCAGCTATGCCAACCATCTGAGTCATCAGACATGTGAGAGATGAAGCCATCTTAGTTGGCCAGCCCAAGTCAAGAATTCAGGTGACCCCAGCCCCATCTGCCATCTGATTGTAACTGCTTGAGAAAACAATGCGAGAAAAGTGCCCAGCTGAGCCTGGCCAAGTCAAGAACTACATAAGATAATAATAAATTGTCATTTAAAGCCACTGAGTATTGGGGTGGTTTGTTGTGTAGCAATAGAGAACTGAAACAGGGCTTATAAGCAAACAGGTGGATGGGTCCATGGGAGCTGAAGTGATCCATAAAGGAGGGGTGACTTGGTGTTGTCTTAGTCTCCTCACTTGGTTGTGGCTGTGAAGAATGAAATGGTGACCTGAAGACTGGACTGTTTCTTTTGGGCCCTCTATCCAGGGTGAGGGCCCTTACTCTTGCTCTGGGCTCTCCCCACCTGTCTTCTTTGTACTCTGAGCACCTGGTCTCCATAGTTATTTATTTCTTAACATTACAAATAATTCTCCCCTGAGTGCAATCTCTGACTTCAATTTATCCTTAATCTGTTTAATTGCCACCCATTATTGTATATAGTTAACAAAGGTGAATTTGTGCTATAAATGGATTTTCTGGGTAATATAAAGAAATTAATCATTTATATTTTATATATAATAATATATACTCAGCAACATTTCACATTTCCTTAAATGGGTGAAATGAGTGGTGTCATAAATAGAAAATTTCCTATTGAATGACTCATAGAAATATATTGTCTAGTTTAAGAGAAGTACTAAAACTGCTCAGCAAAATTAACAACAACCCTTTCAAACTCTATCATTACTATAAAGTGAGGTTAGATGGCAAGTTCTGAGGATGCAGTGAGGTATAAAACACAACCTCTGTCCTTAATAAATTTAGAATCTAGTTGGAGAGATGATTGATGACAATGATGATAATAACCAGTATTTATTGTGTATCTATGTGCCAGGCACTAAGATAAGTATGTTACATGCATTTATTCACTTAATCCTCATAACAATCTATCAAGTACATAATACTATTGTGAGTATATGCATCAAAAAATTCAGGAATAGAGATTATGTAACTTACCCAAGATCATACAGCTAGCAAGCGTGGTATTAAGTAGATAACTACTATGCAGTATTACCATACATTCTGAAAACAGTGGTCCCCAACCTTTTTGGCACCAGGAACTGGTTTGTGGAAGACAATTTTCCCACAGATGGTGGGGGTATGGTTTTGGGATGAAACTGTTCCACCTCAGATCATCAAGCATTAGATTCTCACAAGGAGCACGCAACCTAAATCCCTCATATGTGCAGTTCACAGTGGTGTTTGTGCCCCTGTAAGAATTTAATGCTCTCACTGACCTGACAGGAGGCAGAGCTCAGGTGGTAATGCTTGCTTACTAGATGCTCGCCTCCTGCTGTGTGGCCCAGTTCTTAACAGGCCAAAAAGTAGTACCGGTCCACAGCCTAGGGGTTGGAGACCCCTGCCCTAAACCCCTGCAATACTCCACCTCACTAATTCTGGCACACATAATATGTCAGCTTGGACCAGGAAGATGGATGGACATTCACATGGCCATTTGGCTGCATCTGGTGATCTGAGAATAGCTGCCATACTTTCTATCCAGTAGGAAGTGTATTCATTGATTCAAAAAAAAAAAATTATTCCAATCCCTGAAGAAATTTGACTAGGTCATAAATGTTTAAAAGACAAGAAAGCATTATATGTGACATTACTGATCAAGAAATAAGGTCAGTAAATCTTTGGTATGTGGGAGCAGTTAATAAAAGAAGGAGAAATAAAGGGGGTGAGAAAAGTCATATTACATAATTTGCTGTCTTGACTTTGTGTATGGTTTTGAGACCTCCCAAAGAACTTTGACACTGTTGAGACAGTTATTAACAGAATAGGGGAGGAAGCTTAAGAAGCTAACGCAAGAGAGTAGAGTCCAGGGGAAATTTATTTTCACTGGTATATAAAAAGCAAACCAATGGACAGATGCTACAGAAAGGAATTTTGTCTAGCCAACTTAGGAGGAAGAGGAAGACAACTGCATAAACTATAACAGAAAAAAAAAATCCTCATCATCCTTTTCAAAGCCAACAGGGGAACCTTGGTTAAAAAAACAGTAGTGGTAGGAGAACATAAATGTCATAAGGGTTATGATGCCTAATGGAGCAGGAAGTATAATAATAAAGGTTAGTTCTGTGAGCAAAAGTTAAGAACAGAGAAATAAGAAGGACTAATACAGCGAGAGAATGTTCACAAATATGTGGGTGACAGTGTTGAAGGTCACGTTCTGCTTCACATGAAACTTGTCTCATGGAAGAAGACATGGGCTTCTAACTCAGATAGACTTGGGTTGGAAGTCTAACTTCTGTCCTTTTTTGCTTTCTAAACATTTACTTTCTTATACATAAAATGACAATAATCTTATCAACCTCACAAGGCAGTTCTGGAAACTCTCCTACAGAGTGCATTTTAAAGATCTCATTCCTGCATATTCAATTCATTTTCATGCCCTGTATGTGGACCTTGTTAAGATCTTCTGAATCTGTCTACTTTTTTTCTATCATTATCACCTCTTCTATAGTCTAAGATACCAAGATCCAAGTCCTTCTGCCTGAACTACTGCTATAACCTTTTAAATGGTCTTTCCATACTTACCCCCTTGCTTGCTTCCAGACCGCTCACATAGCAGACAGCAGATCTCTTTCATATGCACATCTGTCATGTTACACACACCTCCCCAACACACAGAGACACACACACACTCCCCTTAAATGGCTTCGCACTGAACCTAGGAAAATGATAAAACATGGCCTGAACTTGCCTCTGCTTAAACATTATTTTTCACAACTCTTGGCCTTTTATCACTTCCTTGAAATTCATTTTGGTGCTGGGTTAATGTCTGTTTCCATCATTAGAGGTTTAGCTTCATGAGCTCAGGGTCTATGTCTATTTTGCTCACGACTGGATCTCCAGCATCCAGCACAGTGCCAGATAAATACGAGGTGCTCATCCAGTGTTCCGGAATGAATGACAATGCCTATTTAGTAAAATCTGCCTCTTTCTTCCCTACCAGGAGGGACAGCAAATCTCAAAACTGTGTGAGGCATTGATAATATGTGTTTGGCTACTAGTCCATCATTACTGGACACGCCTACCATACACTTGAAGGATAGGAGTGGTGGCTGTAAAGATGCCCTACTTTGAAAACTTCTAGAATGGCATTCTCAATCAGACACACTTATGAATTTCCTAAAAAGGAGCCAATTAAAGAATTGGGAATGATATATGATGCCTTATGTTGGAGTAGAACTTCCTGGGTAAATAGAATTGTGCTATTTTATACCTCAATTTTCATAATATCAAAATATTCTTCCAGCATTTATTTCTTCTCTCTTGTAGAACTTAAGGTAAGTGGCAAAAACAATAGCACAAATGACTTATCAAACAAAATACTGCATTTTAATGTATATATTTAAATGAAGGAACATCTTAATTGCCTTACCCATTCTTAATTTTTATTCTATGCTTTATGTTTTATTAATCCCACTTGGAAATAGCCTTCTGTCACTTTAATATTGGCTTATTCACATTTCAAAATTATGCCATGTAATCTAATCTCTGGAAGTTTAGCTTTTGCAGTTGTTAATAATAATATGATATGATTAATTTCCAAAGACTCTCATTAGTAATACTGTTCATTTCAAATCCTCATTAACCTGTCAGATAGGAGCTTTGGATTCTTCACTGCTAGAATCAAGACAGATTCCAATATGCTTAATTACTTGAAATGAGGTGCTGCATGTTATCTTTGAGAGTGTTTGTTGGTTCAGGGATTGATAACACTTGGGTTAAATTTGGTCTTAGATATATGTTTTCTGGAATCTGTTGAGTTGTGTCACTATTAATAGAATAGTAAAAGTAAGACTATAATATAAGACAAAAACATGATTTTTTCTGAATGCTCTGCCTAGCCCTCTCTGTTGGGGTGAAATCTCTTCGCACACACTATAACAATCTTGATTATGTCATGCACAGGTAGTTGTGGATGTTAGAAACACTGCACCTTTAATCTCTCAGCTAGTCAGACTTTAAGACTGTGTGTGGGAAAGTTTGAGAACTTGGTAGAGCACAAGACTATGCAATGAGGCAGAAACAGTGAAAAATGGTCTTGGCTGATTTTACTTTTGAGCTCTGAGATGGCACTGACAGTGGTATAGCTTGTTTAAGACCATTCTCATTCAGGCCTGTGGTGTCCGGTGGAATCTTTTGAGAATGCTCAGAATGCGGTCATCTCTCCCTAGATACGTCATTTAGAAAAGAGAATTTCTAGAAGATGCATGGCCAAGTAGTGCCAAGTAGGAGTCTGGACCTAGTCAGAGTTTGATAATTTTGAAAATAATAATCTTTGGCAAGATAAATGGATATATATGCCATTGCCATGTATCTCCAGTTGAAAGAAGGGGTTTCTGGGTCCTTCTGCAAGGATCTGCTCCTTGTGAGAACTGACTTAGCATTGGTTTTAAGCCTTCTATTTTCATACTCAAGGTCATCTGTGGCCAGTCACTGGTCAGGGGTCCAGGAAAACCTGGGGAATTAAGCTTTTGTCCTAGGTTCTTTACAGAATGCACCTGGAAGAAGTCTGGGTGGCTATCTAGAATATAAAAAGGGACACCTCCTGAGAAGCAGCAAATTCTCATTATTTTTGAAAAATAACTCTCTTTACAGATGAATTACATATCATTAAAAGTAGGTTCATTATTCTAAATTTAGAAAAAATGAATGAATCTGCAGGAAGAAAAAAATAAAACTTTTCCATAAACCTATTATCCAGAAAGAATCACTTCTGAGTTTGTTATGTTTCCAGTCACTCTCCCTGTCTATTTCTCTTTCTTTATGTAATTGTGTGTGTGTGCTTGTGTGTATGTGTGTGTGTGTGTGATAAGTATACACACACACAAACATGCAGAGCAAGGTCACAAAATTACATGGACTCAGATTACCCAGACAAATGAACCTTTATTCTCCTTTATTCTTCTATAACTGATATGATCTTCTCTGTGAATCGTCACATACTGTCTGTGGGAACAAAACCAAAAAATTTAGTTTAGTCCATAAACTCTGTCTGAGCTGAGGCAAAGACTTGCAAAGTTTCTTTGGATAACCCAGCTTTTTCCTGTTTGCTTCAGGTAAAATTCAGGCTTCCAGAGTTCTGTGCCCTTCCTCTCACTTTTCTCCAAAATGTGTCTAGGTGATGCATGTGACCTCAGGGCAGTGGGAGGAAGGGGTTTCTGGGTCCTTCTAGAAGGACTTGCTCCTTATGTCAGTGATCTTTGAAGTGCTATAGGTCCTAGGTGGCAGTTTCAGGTCAGGTATGACCATCTCCTCTGGGCCTATTTGTTCACAGTGCATGGAAGTTTCTTCATCCAGATTGCAGCCCTGGGGTCCTTTAGAGAGGTCTCATCCCCTAAGTCCCATCATCACCAACTCTAGCTCTTTTGTACTTGGTGCATAAACCTTGGGGAGCCAGGAGGTCTGCTCCCCTGCCACACCAGAAATCTTGCTGAGCTGGGTTGTATCTCTACACCCAAGGCGGGTGGGTGGAGGAAGTGCAACTGTATGAAAATAGTACTGCAAGTCAGTCTGGGATTTAGAAATTACTTTAAGTATTGCTCAGAGTGAAAAATGAGGGGTCTAACAATTGAGCATAGTTAAACTGTCCTTTTCCGAATAGGCTTTATTCTGTTTTGTAAATTCCACATTCCCTGCCTTGACCTCTCATGTGGGTCAAGATTTGTTCTTATAGAATGTTGCCGGGGTAACAATGCCTGTGGCTTTTCAAGGAATTTCAGGAGTGACTGAAGAGCTCTCTTCATCTGCTGGTGAAGCTACTTGGGGATAAGAAAGAGGTCTTATGTCAATTTGTTTCCTATTAAGATTACATTAATAAGCATCACTCATGCAAATCTCACAGGCGAGTAGTAATTCTTGGGCTTATGCTTCTGTGTTTCCAGAGAGAATTCTCCGTTTCTATGCCCATGCATCACTACAGCTCAACTCTAAAAAGACAAATAGGTTAATTCACTTTACTTGCTCCATGTCCTCTGAAAGTTACAACCCAGTTTTGTTTAAGTGGCCATTGAAGACAGTCTGGAGAAGTGTGGATCCTTTAAGAATTCAGTGGTGGAGCACATATTGTGTGCCTGATTGTATATGGACTGATATTTAGGGCAATTAAAGGATGTACTCTTTGACAGGTGCCAAGAAATTCCTGGGATTGACATCATGAAGTTGTCCCTGAATCAGGATAGAGGAGTAGGTGATGGAGGAAGCTGGAGACCACCCCAGTTCCCTATACCTAACCTGAAAGGAACAAACCACAGGGGTCAATTCTGATCTGGGTCTAACTGACCATGGAGTAGCCTGGAAGAGAGACCAGTGGCAAGGGTTGGATAGAACAGAGAAAAAAGTCTAAGGCTCTACCAGTTTCTCTCTGTGGGAAGCAGATATGCCCTGGTTCTTATGGTGTGTGCATTTGAGGGATAAAAGAGGAAATTGACCTCCTCTGATTTCCATTTGGGAGTTAAATCACTTTTGTACTGTGACCCCATCCCCTCAAGAAAACAAATCTCTATTAACATGCTTACAAAATATAGCATACAGCCATGAGCCAGACTGAACTTGATGGCAGAAATGCCAGACAAGGAGTGGGGAGCTTGTGGCTTTCTGGCTTTGACTTTAATCGGGTCGTCTTGATTACATAGCACAGGCAATGAGAAGCTTGATTAAATGACTTTAGTTCATTGACGTCTTTAAATAGCGGAATATGTAATTTGCAATTTTACCAACTCACTTACCTGTGGGTTACCATGGTAATAAAGTATATACTGAAATGACATTTGACATTAATTTTATTATTGTAATTTATAATCAGTGAAACAATAGCACTTCCCTACCAGTGTACTTCATTTTAAGGTAACTGTGGAAGACTAAATGTACTCACATCCTCAAAGTAGTTATGAATTATGGTATATTAAAGATAAAAGGTTAAGACCAATTCATCCATCATCCAAATTAAACTTTAAATTGATGTAGGTGGTTGGGTTAAATGGATTCTCTTGAAACAGGTATCCATCTGGCTTTCTAACCTGTGGATGGGTGGTACTTGGTCTTGGGATGAGTTACATTCAAATCCAAAATGTGTTATAATGGCATGATAGTACCCTAGCTCCTTGAGTTTAGCATTTCAACGCCAGAATGAGGTATATTTATACTTTGGTGGCAACCAATGGCTATGAGAACTAGGCCTTGGTTGAACTTTAATGGCTTAGTTAATATTCTAGGAAAAATTACTCATGCATAATTTCATGCACGTCTGTGTGAAGAGACCACTAAACAGGCTTTGTGTGAGCAATAAAGCTTTTAATCACCTGGGTGCAGGTGGGGTGAGTCCGAAAAGAGTCATCGAAGGGAGATAAGGGTGGGGCCATTTTATAGGATTTGGGTAGATACAGGAAAATTACAGTCAAAAGGGGGTTGTTCTCTGGCGGGCAGAGTGGGGGTCACAAGGTGCTCAGTAGGGGAGCTTTTGAGCCAGGGTGAGCCAGGAGAAGGAATTTCACAAGACAATGTCATCAGTTAAAGCATGAACAGGCCATTTTCACTTCTTTTGTGGTGGAATGTCATCAGTTAAGGCAGGAACCAGCCATCTGGATGTGTACATGCAGGTCACAGGCAATATGATGGCTTGGCTTGGGCTCAGAGGCCTGACATTCCTGCCTTCTTATATTAATAAGAAAAATAAAACAAAATAGTGTTGAAGTTTGGGGCAGCGAAAATTTTTGGGGGGTGGTATGGAGAGAGAATGGGCGATGCTTCTCAGGGCTGCTTCAAGCGGGATTAGGGGCGGCGTGGGAACCTAGAGTGGGAGAGATTAAGCTGAAGGAAGATTCTGTGGTAAGGGGTGATATTGTGGGGATGTTAGAAGAAACATTTGTCATTTAGAATTATTGGTTATGGCCTGGATACAGTTTTATATGAATTAAAAAACTGAATGGAATAAGAGAAGGAGAAAAACAGGTATAAAAGGTCTAAGAATTGGGACGACTCAGGACATCTGATTAGAGAGTGCCTAAGGAGATTCAGCATAGTCCTGCCAGCAAAGATTATTTATTTACTTCAAGAGTTAAGAGTGGCAGTTTGAGGATAGCACCAGGAGATATCAGCTGTGATGGCTTGGAGAAACAGTGTAAACAAGAGCAGGGCATGTATGAGTAGTTGAGAACCGTGAATAGGAGTATGACTAGACAGAAAGTAGTAGGGATGACAAGTTTTTTGGGGCACAGTCTAAGTTGGTCTGGTGTCTGGGATGAGACTGGGGCCTAATAAAAAGGAGCATCTATACAGGAGCTCAAATGGGCTGTACCCTGTAGCATTCTGAAGACAGGCCTGACTTCTGAGAAGGGAAAGTGGTAAAAGTATTGTCCGGTCATTTTTAAGTTGGTGGCTGAGCTTGGTGAGGTGTGTTTTTAAAAGACCTTTAGTCCGTTCTATTTTTCCTTAAGACTGAGGACCATAAGGGATATAAAGGTTTCACTGAATACTAAGAGCCTGAAAAACTGCTTGGCTGATTTGACTAATAAAAGCTGGTCTGTTATCAGACTATATAGAGGTGGGAAGGCTAAAGTGAGGAATTATGTCTGACAGAAGGGAAGAAATGCCTGCAGTGGCCTTCTCAGACCCTGTAGGAAAGGCCTCTACCTATCCAGTGAAAGTGTCTACCTAGACTAAGAGGTATTTTAGTTATCTGACTCGGGGCATGTTGAGTAAAGCTAATTTGCCAGTCCTGGGTGGGGGCAAATCCTCGAGCTTGATGTGTAGGGAAGGGAGGGGTCCTGAATAATCCCTGAGGAGTAGTAGAATAGCAGATGGAACACTGAGAAGTTATTTCCTTGAGGATAGATTTCCACAATGGAAAGAAAATGAGAGGTTCTAAGAGGCGGGCTAGTGGCTTATACTGTAGCATATCCTGCCTTTGCTGGTGTGTGGCGATTAGGCCTGGTGGAACTGCCATCAATAAATCAAGCGTGATCAGGGTAAGGAACAGGAAAGAAGGAAATATGGGGAAATGGGGTGAATGTCAGGTGGATCAGAGAGATACAGTCATGGAGGTCAGGTGTGGTATCAGGAATAATGTGGGAGGCCGGATTGAAGTTTGGGCCAGGAACAATCGTAATTGTGGGACTTAACAAAGAGTGAGTACAGCTGAAGGAGCCGAGGAGCAGAAAGTATATGCGTCAGGTATGAGGAAGAAAATAGATTTTGGAAGTTATGAGAGCTGTAGAGAGTGAGTTGAGCATAGTTTGTGATTTTGAGGGCCTCTAAAAGTATTAGGGCGGCAGCAGCTGCTGCACAGAGACATGACAGCTAGGCTAAAACAGTAAGGTCAAGTTGTTTGGACAGAAGGGCTATAGGGTGAGGTCCTGGCTCTTGTGTAAGAATTCTGACTGCACTAACCATGCCTAGGAAGGAAAGGAGTTGTTATTTTGTAAAAGATTGAGGTTTGGGAGATTAATCGGACACGATCAGCAGGGAGAGCACGTGTGTTTTTATGAGAATTATGCTGAGATAGGTAACAGATGAGGATGAAATTTGGGCTTGACTGAAGTAATGGGGGCTGTCTGTGAAGCCTTGCGGCAGTATAGCCCAGGTAATTTGCTGAGCCTAATGGGTGTCAGGGTCAGTCTAAGTGAAAGCAAAGAGGCTGGGATGAAGGGTGCAAAGGAATAGTAAAGAAAGCATGTTTGAGTTCCAGAACAGAATAATGGGTTGTGGAGGGAGGTATTGAGGATAGGAGAGTATATGGGTTTGGCACCATGGGGTGGATAGGCAAAACAATTTGGTTGATAAGGCGCAGATTCTGAACTAACCTGTAAGCCTTGTCTGGTTTTAGGACAGGTAAAATGGGGGAATGGTAAGAAGAGTTTATAGGCTTTAAAAGGCCATGCTGTAACAGGCGAGTGATAACAGGCTTTAATCCTTTCAAAGCGTGCTGTGGGATGGGATATTGGCATTGAGCCAGGTAAGATTGATTAGGTTTTAATGGGATGGTAAGGGGTGCATGATCGGTCGCTAAGGAGGGAGTAGAGGTGTCTTATACTTGTGGGTTAAGGTGGGGAGATAAAAGGGGAGGATGTGAAGGAGGCTTTGAACTGGGGGAAAAGGCAGCAATGAGGTGTGGCTGTAGCCCAGGAATAGTCAGGGAAGCAGATAATTTAGTTAAAGTGTCTCGGCCTAATAAGGGAACTGGGCAGGTGGGGATAACTAAAAAGGAGTGCTTAAAAGAGTATTGTCTAAGTTGGCACCAGAGTTGGGGAGTTTTAAGAGGTTTAGAAGCCTGGCCATCAATACGCACAACAGTTATGGAAGCAAGGGAAACAGGCCCTTGAAAAGAAGGTAATGTAGAGTGGGTAGCCTCTGTATTGATTAAGAAGGGGACGGACTTACCCTCCACTGTGAGAGTTACCTAGAGTGTCTGTGATGGTCCTGTAGGCTTCTGAGGTGATGGGGCAGTGTCAGTCTTCAGCTGCTAAGCTGAGAAGATCTGGGAAGGAGTCAGTCAGAGAGCCCTGGGCCAGAGTTCCAGGGGCTCTGGAAGTGGCTGCCAGGTGAGTTGAACAGTCTAATTTTCAGTGGGGTCCTGCACAGATGGGACACGGCTTAGGAGGAATCCCGGGCTGTGGCCATTCCTTGGTCTAGTGGCCAGATTTCCAGCACTTGTAGCAAGCTCCTGGGGGAGGAGGTTCTGGAGGAAACTCTGGCAGCTGCGGTTCAGGCATTTGAAGTTCTTGTGTGCTGGAGATGTGGCTGGGGTTTGTCTCACAGTGGAGGCAAAGAATTGCAACTCAGAAATATGTTTCTATTTGGTTGCCTCTACTCTATTATTGTACACCTTGAAGGTGAGGTTAATTAAGTCCTGTTGTGGGGTTTGAGGGCCAGAATTTAATTTTTGGAGTTTTATTTAATGTCGGGAGCAGATTGGGTAATAAAATGTTGAGAATAAGATGGCCTTTTGACCTTTTAGGGTTTAGGGCTGTGAAGCGTCTCAGGGTCGTTGCCGAACGAGCCATGAACTGGGCTGGGTTTTTCATATTTGATGAAAGAGCCTAAATGCTCACTGATTTGGGAGAGGTCTGATAAAGAAAAAGGAGCATTAACCTTGACTATGTCTTTATCTTCAGCCACCTTTTTAAGAGGAAATTGCTGGGCAGGTGGGGGAGGGCTACTCACGGAATGAAACTGTAAGCCGGACCGGGTGTGAGGAGGGGAGGTGATAAAAAGATTATAGGGTGGAGGAGCGGAGGCTGAGGAAGAATTGGGACCTAGCTCGGCCTGGTGAGGAGCAGCCTGGGGAGAAGGGGAGAAGTCAGATGGGTCTGTAGAAAAGGAAGATTAGAAAGACTCAGCAAGGCTTGCGATTGGGACTGAGGGGACAGGTGGGAGGGAAAGAAGGAAAATTTGGGACAAGTTGCATTGGGCACAGAGACTAGGGAGGCACGGATGTAAAAGAATGCCTGGACGTCAGGCACCTCAGACCATTTGCCTATTTTTCGACAAAAATTATTTAGGTCTTGTAGGATGGAGAAATTGAAAGTGCCGTTTTCTGGCCATTTAGAACCACTGTCGAGTTTGTATTGGGGTCAAGTGGCATCGTAGAAGAAAATAAGGCATTTAGGTTTTAGGTCAGGTGTGAGTTGAAGAGGTTTTAAGTTCTTGAGAGCACAGGCTAAGGGAGATGGAGGAATGGAGGGTGGAAGGTTGCCTATAGTGAAGGAGGCAAGCCTAGAGAAAAGAGAGAGAGACATGGAGGGAAGGGGTTCGGGGATTCTTATCTTCCAGAAAAGTGGGAAAGGGGTCGCGGTGCAGAAATAAGGGGTTGAGGCACAGAGATAAGAGGTTGGGGCATGGAAATAAGGGATCGGGGCACAGAGATACAAGATGTCAGAGCACAGAAATAAGGGATCGGGGTGAAGAGATACAAGGTTGGGGTACTTGTCCCTCCCCCAGAAAAACGAGACTTGCTGCTAAGGGTGAAGGAGAAGGGGTTGAGGGGTTCTTGTCTCTCCCCCAGAAAAGCAGAGAAGGGGTAGAGACACAGAGAGAAGGGGTTGGGGTACTGGCCCCTCCCCTAGAAAAGCAGGACTTGCCACTAAGGGTGAAGGACCAAGGCAGGCGTCCCTGCGTGGTCTGACACCTCTGAAACGTGGGTGAGTAATTAGAGAGGTGTCCCTGCAATGATTAAACACCAAAGGAAGGCTGCCTTCCCTAGTCCATGACTGGCGCCGGAGTTTTGGGTCCGCAGATAAAACACGTCTCCTTTGTCTCTACCAGAAAATGAAAGGAACTGAAATTAAGAGAAGGGAGAGATTGAAGTGTGATGCCAAGATTGAAAGGAGAAAGAAGGTGAGAGATAGTGAGGGAGGTTGGAGAAGAGAGTATAAAGAGGCCGCTTACCGGATTTGAAATTGGTGAGACGTTTCTTGGGCTGGTGGGTCTGAGGACCTGAGGTCGTAGGTGGATCTTTCTCACAGAGCAAAGAACAGGAGGACAGGGGATTGATCTCCCAAGGGAGGTCCCCCGATCCGAGTCATGGCACCAAATTTCATGCACATCCGTATGAAGAGAACACTAAACAGGCTTTGTGTGAGCAATAAAGCTTTTAATCACCTGGGTGCAGGCAGGGTGAGTCTGAAAACAGAGTCAGCGAAGGGAGATAGGGGTGGGGCCGTTTTATAAGATTTGGGTAGGTAAGGGAAAATTACAGTCAAAGGGGGGTTGTTCTCTGGCGGGCAGAGTGGGGGTCACAAGGTGCTCAGTAGGGGAGCTAGTGAGCCAGGATGAGCCAAGAGAAGGAATTTAACAAGACAATGTCATCAGTTAAGGCAGGAACAGGACATTTTCACTTCTATTGTGGTGGAATGTCATCAGTTAAGGCAGGAACTGACCATCTGGATGTGTACGTGCAGGTCACAGGGGATATGATGGCTTGGCTTGGGCTCAGAGGCCTGACACATAATAGAAACATAGGGAAGTTTGGACATTCTTTTATCTAATGATAGATTTGTGACAAAAAGGTAAAATAATGAGGTAATATAAAAGCATTTTTTTTGTTATGACTACCTCTAATAATATAGACTTCTGTAGTATAGAAGATCAGCATGGAAAAGGACCTAGGGCTTCATACTCATTTTGGAAATGATTCCACATGGATTTACCATCCTCCAGGGAAGGGATACAATGGACTTTGCTTATGTCTTGTGAAAAGGATGTTCAGTCCTGGCCCCCATTTTTATCTCTGCTCTTGACCACATCTGACTCTCAGGGTGTCCATATTGCTTCTTTTTCTCTCAGCATTCATGCAAGTTTATTGAGAACTTAGCTTTTTAAAAAAAAAAAATTCTTTCTGTGAGTGATTATTATAGTGGGAATATATTTCAGGATACTTCTTTTGCTTTTGACTAATAAAGGAAACTAAGTCCTATCAGAAGTAGTTGAATATTTCCTCCATGTTCTACAATGGTACATATTTTCTTTTAAATTTGGGGATGAGGATGCATAAAAAATTTTTTAGGTCTGGCTAATACATTGTTTTGTCAGACAGCCATGTGCAGAAATACTCATAAAAATAGATCCTATAATATATTTTAAGGGTAAATGTAATCCCTATAAGCTGTGAATAGTGTTAGAAAACATAGAATCCAACTCTCTTTCCTTAAAAGAAGCATTTATCTCAGAAGCCAATCAAAAAAATTGAACTCAATACACCCCAAATACCTTTTAGTTATTTATTGAAAAATTAATTCAAATTTTGTCACCAAGTCCTCACACTGATTATTTTTCCATCTAACCACTCATACAGCCAACCATAAATAATCAAGCCAAAACAACAATTGGCAGTCATAGAGAGAGAATGATATTAAAAGGTAGAAAATAAATGTATCCATCAGCTGATGGAAATAAAACCAATAACCAATGAAAATAGTAAAGAAAACATTAATTCAGGAGGCACCCTTTCCATTTGCCTTAGGAATCATGAGTAGCAATTTGAAACCCTGTTTTTCTCCTGGGAAGGGGTGCTGCCTAGAATATGATATAAACTATACTGATCAAATAAAGAGGAAAGCCTCAGGCTAAAACAGAGAGAAAGAAGTTACAACAAAGAAAAACAGCTAGTTGTATGAAATGACACATTTATACACCAATAAAGTAAAATTAGAAATCTCCCTCCACATAAATGTTATATTAGCTGCAGAAGAAAAATAGCTGTCTAACAGAGATCAGACTTGAAAAAGAGGATGACATAAAATAGAAGACAACTTCTAATAGTTCCCAGAGCATGCCTCCTTAATGTGTATATATATATATTTAGATTTTGATCATGATATAATATTAGTTTTGTTACATGCTATATAGAGTTACCAGAAAAAAATGAATATCTTAGGAAAAATGTAATGAGAAACAATATGAAATAGTACACATTGGAACAAAAAATTTGAGGAATATAGATTATTAAATTTTAGCAGGGATTTGACATTCTCTTTCTTCTTTGGAAATGTAAAGCTCTTGATTCAGGCCAAATGATATCCTATGGCTTTTGTGAGCATCACTGAGCTTAGAAAAGTGTAGCCAATGACAAAGTGAAATATTGCAGAGGTATGCTTTGGATGTGATGAATTTGTTATTGCAGAAGTTCCCATTAGAAATTCAATGTCATCTATTAGGAAGGCCTCTGTGCCTAAGTTTATACAGTACATGGCTTCTGAAAGGCAACAGACAAGTACAATTTTTGTAAATTAAATGAATGTGCTTGTCATTTGTGGCTCATCATTCTGTAAAACCGTAGTACATTTGTAATGTCAATGATTAGGCCTAAAATATCTAATTGATTAGATTTTCTAAATCAGATTTTATTAGAGTAAAGCATAAAAATATTGCTGACAGCAATTTAAATGTCTGTAAGGATACTAAAATGACAAAAAGAAAAGATAATTATAGGAAATCATGAATGATTCACTTCATAGTCAATACAATGTAAACAAGATTTTATGAGTGTTTAATCTTTGCACAACTGGTAATCACTTCACTTTTCTCCCTTCCTCAAGCTAAACTCTTTAGAGTCTCAGTTCATATTTTGATCTATCAACAGCATTTTTTTGAAGTTGATCATTCCTTTTACTTGAAACACTCTTAAGACACTACCCTCTGCTAGAAGTCCTCACGGCTCACTGAGACTTTTTTTTTCATCTTCTTTCTGGTTGTATGTCAACATTAAAATGTTTAGGACCTAATCCTTGGATCATTTATCCTCTATTTGACCTCATATACTTAATGATCTCATTGGACTTTACAACTTTATTTGCCATGTGTATGTGAACTGCATTCTCTTCATCCTTGAGCTCCAGACTACTCACCCATGCAACACAGGCAGCATCTCCTCTTGGATGTCTAATAGGCGTCTTGAGCTTAAATATGTGCAAAACTGAATGCTTAATTTTCTCCCTCCCCCACTTGCTCCTTGACATTGTTTCATTTCAGTAAATAAAAGCTCCATCCTTTCATTTACTGAAGCTCCAAACCCAAAGTCATACTTGAAGCCTATCTTTTTCTCATACCCCACATCTAACGCACTAGTGAAGCCCTGCCTCTGCTAATATCAGCCTGACCTAAGCCACTAACTTTCCTGTTTTATTGCAATGATCTCCGAGGCCATCTTTCTGCTTCTTCTCTTTTCCACATACAGTTTTTTTCCCCTCAAAGCAGTCAGAGTGATTTTTTAAAAAATCTAAGCAAGATTAAGTCACTTCTCTACCCAACCTCCTCCAATCACTTCCTGTGCCATTCAAAGCAAAAGACCAAGTCCTTGCATCAGCCTATAAGATCTGTGTGATCTGACCACTTGACCTCTCCGATTTCGTTCCTTTAAATGCTTGCCCTACCTCCCATGCACTTCTCCAGCCACAGCCTCCTAGCTGTCATGTCAGGATCACTCCCAACTCACAGCTTTTGCACCCTGAGTCCTGACCACTCTTCTTTCAGACACCTACATGACTACATTCATCTTTACTAAATGTCATCTTCTCCGTGAGGTCTTTCTAATCACCCAATGTAAATGGCAATTTCCACCCCTGCACCCCCTATACTCCCTATCCCTTTCTTAACATTCTCCATGGCGGTTATCACAATCTGGTGTGCAATGTTTTATTTCACTTAATACCCATCCCCTCCCATTCTAACATACGTTCCATGAAGAAAGAAAGTATTGCCATTTTTGTTCACTGCTCAGCCCCCAAAGAAGTGCCTGACATAGAAGAGGGTTAATTAGTATTTGTTGAATAAATGACTAAGTGTACCAATAGGGCTACTTTGAATATTTAAGGAATCTAACCTACATGTACAATCTATTGTAAGATCTGAACTTTGCGACTTACAGAATTAATAATCTAAACTTGGGACCAGGGTTTATGTAGTAGAGTATACCACCAATATAGGTGGATTGGAAGTTATTCAAGGAAAATAAATGCAAAATCAGTATCTGGCCAAGGCATTTGATTGCTCATCTAGCAGCTCTTTCCCCTTTTTCTCCTAGTGAAAGACTTCTGATTTTCTGACAGTTATAGTGAATTCCATCCAACTCTGGAATGAATTAAGATAAATTTAAGCCAATCATGAAAATGTCATTTTTCTTTGCCCAGTAACTAACTAGGACAGTTCTTTGTCAATGTGATGTAAAGTCTCTGGGAAAAATTTTCTACTCTCATAAATTAGGCAGTAGTACACAGGAAAAACTCTCTATTTGCCTTATTCCTTGCTTCTTGCTTTGGATATTGCTTTTTGGGATGCAATGCTTGGAATTGGAACAGCCAACTTGTAACCACGAAGGAAGCATCACCAACATACTGAGGATGCCTGATCAGAAACATGGAAAAAGTTAACATGCTTGCTGATAGTGTTGATACTGGCCAACCTCATTACAGCCTGCTTGCAGATTTCTTGATAGGGAAGGTAATAAATATTTGTGTGGCTTATATCACTCTTTACTGAGTAATTTTTTACCTGTTGCAAAATTATCCTAACTGAAACAGAGGACTTGAAAAAGTGAGGACATGGCACTGATTCAAATAAACCTCAATTGTAACAATGTAACCGGGGAAAACAAACACACAGCTGTTCTGGTGAAAAAATCCTGCAATCATTTAAAATCTTGGAGTCGAGCCATGTGGAGCCAAGATGGCTGACTAGAAGCAGTGGCGATTGGGGGCTCCCGTGGAAAAGAACCATAACATAAAGTGCGAATCCTGCACTGGCAACCGAGGTCTCCAGGCTCTGTTATCACAACTCACTAGGCCGCTGGTGTGGCCCACAGAGAGGCAGGAAGAGCAGTGTGGTGCGGCAGCCCACGTGAGAGCCACAATGACACAGGGCAGGGGAGCCCCCACTCCCCAGTCAAGGGAGGCTGTCAGTGAGCGTGCCACCCAGCCTGGGAAACCGTGCTTTGTCCATGGAACTGTGCAACCCACGGATTGGAAGATCCCACTTGTGAGCCCACCACCAGGGCCTAGGGTCCTAACCATGGAGCTGCACAGATTCTCAATAGCCAATCAGCTAGAATCTGCTTAAGCCTGTGAGCTCCCAGCGGGGAGGGGCGACCAGCACCACAGTTGCGGCTACCTGCTGTCTAAGCTGTTTGAGCTCCCTGGGGAAGGGGCGACAACAAAGTCTGGGACTGATAGCTGCCTAACACAATAAGTTCCCAGGGTGAGAGAAGGGCAGCAGCCATCTCTTTAGCTCCAGGCTGCACTTTTCCCTTGATGCAGCTGGGGAGGCTGGACAGCTTGGTCAGAGGGGGTATCCTCCACAGCCAACACACCAGCTGTGGCAGCTCTGCGGACCAGCAGACTTAGTCTTTCCTCCAGCTAGTTCTGAGGAATCCGGGCAGCCCAGACCAGTGCGTTTCCCCCAGGGAAGCATACCCCCTCCACCAAGGGACAGTCAAAGTGCTTCGTTAAAGGGGTCCTGCTCCCTGTGCCACCCAACTGGGTAAGACCCTCCAACAGGGGTTGTCAGACACCCTATAAAGCAGCATTCCTACTGGCATCAGGTCAGTGCTCCTCAAGGTCAGAGATCCCAGAGGAAGGAGCAGGCACCCATTTTTGCTGTTATCCAGTCTCCTCGAGTGACATCTCTAGGTGTGGGAGTGAACCAGATGAATAGGGCCTGAAGTGAACCCCCAGCAAACCACAGCAGCCCTACAGAAGAGGGACCTGACCATTATAAGAAAAACAAATAAACAGAAAACAACAACAATAGCATCTACAAGAGAAAAGGCCCCAGAAAACTTCAATGGTCAGCAGCCTCAAAGATTGACACTAGACAAACTCATGAAGATGAAAAAGAATCAGTGACAAAAACGCTGAAAACCCAAAAGGTGAGAGTGCCTCTTCTCCAGATGATCACAAATCCTCTCCAGCAAGGGCACAGAACTGGATGGAGGATGAGATGGACGAATTGACAGAAGTAGGCTTCAGAAGGTGGGCAATAATAAACTCCACTGAGCTAAAGGAACATGTTTTAACCCAACGCAAAGAAGCTAAGAACCTTGATAAAAGGTCACAGGAGCTGCTAGCTAGAATAATCACTTTAGAGAGGAACATAAATGACCTGATGGAGCTGAAAAACACAGCACAAGAACTTCGTGAAACATATACAAGTATCAATAACTGAGTCAACCAAGCAGGAGAAAGGGTATCAGAGTTTGAAGACCATGTTGCTGAAATAAGGCATGCAGACAAGATTAGAGAACAAAGAACGAAAAGGAACATACAAAGCCTCCAAGAAATATGAGACTATGTGGAAAGACCAAGCCTTCAATTGATTGGAGTATGGGAAAGAGATGGGGAGAATGGAACCAAGTTGGAAAACACAGTTCAGTATATTATCCAAGAGAACTTCCTCAACCTAGCAAGACAGGCCGACATTCAAATTCAGGAAATACAGAGAACACCACTGAGATCCTCCATGAGGAGATCAACCCCAAGACACATAATCATCAGATTCTCCAGGGTTGAAATAAAGGAAAACATGTTAAGAGCAGCCAGAAAGGCCAGGTCACCTACAAAGGGAAGCCCATCAGACTAACAGTGGACCTCTCAGCAGAAACCCTGCAAGCCAGAAGAGAATGGGGACCAATATTCAACATTCTTAAAGAAAAGAATTTCCAACCCAGAATTTCATATCCAGCCAAACTAAGCTTCATAAGCAAAGGAGAAATAAAATCCTTTTCAGACAAGCAAATGCTGAGGGATTTCATCACCACTAGGCCTGCCTTGCAAGAGCTCCTGCAGGAAGCACTAAATGTTGAAAGGAAAAACCAGTACCAGCCACCTCAAAAACACACCAAAATATAAGGACCATTGACACTATCAAGAAACTGCACCAACTACTGTGCAAAATAACCAGCTAGCATCATGATGACAGGATTATATTCACACATAACAATATTAACATTAAATGTAAATGGGCTAAATGCCCTGAATAAAAGACACAGACTGGCAAATGGGATAAAGAGTCAAGACGTATTGGTGTGCGTATTCAGGAGACCCATTGATATGGTCTGGCTATGTCCCTATCCAAATCTGAACTTGAATTGTGTCTCCCAGAATTCCCACATGTTGTGGGAGGGACCCAGGGGGAGGTAATTGAATCATGGGGGCCAGTCTTTCCTATGCTGTTCTCTTGATAGTGAATAAGTCTCACGAGATCTGATGGGTTTATCACGGGTCTCTGCATTTGCTTCTTCCTCATTTTCTCTTGCTGCTGCCATGTAAGAAGTACCTTTCGCCTCCCACCATGATTCTGAGGCCTGCCCAGCCATATGGAACTGTAAGTCCAATTAAACCTCTTTTTCTTCCCGGTCTCGGGTATGTCTTTATCAGCAGCATGAAAATAGGACCAATACAGTAAATTGGTACCAGCAGAGTGGGGCATTGCTGAAAAGATACCTGAAAATGTGGAAGCAACTTTGGAAATGGGTAACAGGCAGAGATAGGAACAGTTTCATGGGCTCAGAAGAAGACAGGAAAATGTGGGAAAGTTTGGAACTTCCTAGAGACTTGTTGAATGGCTTTGCCCAAAATGCTGATAGCAATATGGACAATAAAATCCAGGCTGAGGTGGTCTCACATGGGGGTGAGGAACTTGTTGGGAACTGGCACAAAAGTGACTCCTGTTATATTTTAGTAAAGAGACTGGTGGCATTTTGCCCCTGCCCTAGAGATTTGCGGAACTTTGAACTTCAGAGAGATGATGAGGGGTAAATGGCGGAAGAAATTTCTAGACAGCAAAGCATTCAAAATGTGATTTGTGTGCTGTTAAAAGCATTCTGTTTTGAAAGGCAAATGGAGCATAAAAGTTTGGAAAATTTGCAGAGCCTGATGATGCAGCAGAAAAGAAAAACCCATTTTCTGGGGAGAAATTCAAGCCAGTTGCAGAAATTTGCATAAGTAGCAAGGAGTCTAATGTTAATCCCCAAGACCATGGGGAAAATGTCTCCAGGCCATGTCAGAGACCTTCATGGCAGGCCCTCCCATCATAGGCCCTGGAGGCCCAGGAAGAAAAAGTGGTTTCATGGGCCAGACCCAGGGACTCCATGCTGTGTGCAGCCTAGGGACTTCTTGCCCTGTGTCCCAGCTGCTCCAGCCATGACTGAAAGGGACCAATGTACAGCTTGGGTGGTGGATTCAGAGGCGGAAGCCTCTATCCTTGGTAGCTTCCATGTGGGGTTGAGCCTGCAGGTGCACAGAAGTCAAGAATTGAGGTTTGGGAACCTGCACCTGGATTTCAGAAGATGTACAGAAATGCCTGGATGCCCAAGCAAGAGTTTGCTGCAGGGGCAGGGCCCTCATGGAAAACCTCTTCTAGGGCAGTGCAGAAGGGAAATGTGGGATTGGAGTCCCCCACACAGAGTCCCTACTGGGGCACTGCCTAGTGGAGCTGTGAGAAGAGGGCCACAGTTCTCCAGACTCCAGAATGGTAGATCCACCAACAGCTTGTGCAGTGTGCCTGGAAAAGCCACAGACACTCAACACAAGCCTGTGAAAGCAGCTAGGAGGGAGGCTGACTCCTGCAAATCCATGGGGACAGAGCTGCCCAAGACCATGGGGACCCACCTCTTGCATCAGAGTGACCTGGATATGCGACCTGGAGTCAAAAGAGATTATTTTGGAACTATAAAATTTGATGGCCCTGCTGGATTTCTGACTTCTATGGGCCCTGTAACCCTTTTGTTTTGGCCAATTTCTTCCATGTGGAATGGCTGTATTTACCCAATACCTGTACCACCATTGTATCTAGGAAGCAACTAGTTTGTTTTGATTTTACAGGCTCTTAGACAGAAGGGACTTGCCTTGTCTCAGATGAGACTTTGGACTGTGGACTTTTGGGTTAATGCTGAAATGAGTTAAGACTTTGGGGGACTGTTGGGAAAGCACGATTGGTTTTGAAATGTGAGGACATGAGATTTGGAGGGACCAGGGGCAGAATAATGTGGTCTAGCTGTGTCCGTATCCAAATCTCAACTTGAATTATATCTCCCAGAATCCCCACATGTTGTAGGAGGGACCCAGAGGGAGGTAATTGAATCATGGGGGCTGGTTTTTCCCATGCTATTCTCGTGATAGTGAATAAGTCTCATGAGATCTGATGGGTTTATCAGGGGTCTCTGCATTTGCTTCTTCCTCATTTTCTCTTCCTGCTGCCATGTAAGAAGTGCCTTTCACTTCCCGCCATGATTCTGAGGCCTCCACAGCTATATGAAACTCTAAGTCCAATTAAACCTCTTTTTCTTCCCAGTCTCAGGTATGTCTTTATCAGCAGCATAAAGACAGACTAATACACCCATCTCATGTGCAAACACACAGAGGCTCAAAATAAAGTGACTGTGGAAAATTTAGCAAGCAAATAGAAAGCAAAAAAAAAAAAAAAAAAAGTGCATATATATTTAGGATATATAAATCTGAGTACCCAATACAGGAGTACTCAGGTTCTTAAAACAAGTTCTTAGAGACCTACAAAGAGACTTAGACTTTCACACAATAATAGTGGGAGACATTAACACCTCACTGTCGATATTAGACAGATCAATGAGATGGAAAAATTAACAAAATATTCAGGACTTGAACTCAGCTCTGGATCAAGTGGACCTAATAGACATCAACAGAACTTGACTTTATCCCTGGGATGCAAGGCCTGTTCAATATATGCAAATCAATAAACATAATCCATCACATAAACAGAAGCAATGACAAAAACCACATGATCGTCTCAATAGATGCAGAAAAGGCCTTTGATAAAATTCAAAGTTCTTTCATGTCAAAAACTCTCAATAAACTAGGTATTGATAGAGTATATCTCAAAATACTAAGAACTATTTATGGCAAACCCACAGCCAATATCATACTGAATGGGCAAAACTGGAAGCATTCCCTTTGAAAGCTGGCACAAGACAAGGATGCCCCATCTCACCACTCGTATTCAACATAGTATTGGAAGTTCTGGCCACGGCAACGAGGCAAGAAAAAGAAATAAAGGGTATTCAAATAGGAAGAGAGGAAGTCAAATTGTCTCTGTTTGCAGACAACATGATTCTGTATTTAGAAAACCCCATTGTCTCAGCCCAAAAACTCCTTAAGCTGATAAGCAACTTCAGCAAAGTCTCAGAATACAAAATCAATGTGCAAAAATTACAAGCATTTCTATACACCAACAATAGACAGAGAGCCAAATCATGAATGAACTCCCATTCACAATTGCTACACAGAGAATAAAATACCTAGGAATACAGCTAACAAGGGATGTGAAGGACCTCTTCAGGGAGAACTACAAACCACTGCTCAAGGAAATAAGAGAGGACACAAACAAATGGAAACACATTCCATCCTCATGGATAGGAAGAATCAATATCATGAAAATGGCCATACTGTACAAAGCAATTTATAGATTCAATGTAATTCCCATCAAACTACCATTGACATTCTTCACAGAATTAGAAAAAAACTATTTTAAATTTCACATGGAATCAAAAAAGAACCTGTATAACCAAGGCAATCTTAAGCAAAAAGAATAAAGCTGGAGGCATCACGCTACCTGACTTCAAACTATGCTACAAGGCTACAGTGACCAAAATAGCATGGTACTAGTACCAAAACAGATATATAGACCAATGTAACAGAACAGAGACCTCAGAAATAATACCACACATCTGCAACCATCTGATCTTCAACAAACCTGACAAAAACAAGCAATGGGAAAAGCATTCCCTATTTTATAAATGGTTCTGGGAAAACTGGCTAGCCATATGCAGAAAACTGAAACTAGACTCCTTCCTTACACCATATACAAAAATTAACTTAAGATGGATTAAAGACTTAAATGTAGGCTGCGCATGGTGGCTCACACCTGTAATCCTAGCACTTGGGGAGGCGGAGGCGGGCAGATTACCTGAGGTCAGGAGTTCGAGACCAGCCTGGCCAACATGGTGAAACCCTGTCTGTACTAAAAATACAAAAATTAGTTGGGCATGGTGGTGGGTGCCTGTAATCCCAGCTACTTGGGAGGCTGAGGCAGGAGAATTGCTTGAACCTGGGAGGCTGAGGTTGCAGTGAGCCAAGATCATGCCACTGCACTTCAGCCTGGGTGACAGAGGGAGACTTTGTCCAAAATAAATAAATAAATAAATAAATAAAGACTTAAATGTAAAACCCAAAACCATAAAAACTATAGAAGAAAACTTAGGCAATCCATTCAGGACATAGGAGGCGTGGGCAAAGACTTCATGACAAAAATGCAAAAAGCAATTGCAACAGAAGCCAAAATTGACAAATGGGATCTAATTAAAGTAAAGAGCTTCTGCACAGCAAAAGAAACTACCATTGGAGTGAACAGGCAACCTAGAGAATGGGAGAAAATATTTGCAATCTACCCATATGATAAAGGTCTAATATCCAGAATCTACAAGAAACTTAAACAAATTTACAAGAAAAAACCAACAACCCTATCAAAAAGTGGGCAAAAGATATGAACAGATACTTCTCAAAAAAAGACATTTATGAGGCCAACAAACATGAAAAATAGCTCAACATCACGGATCATTAGAGAAATGCAAATCAAAATCACAATGAGATACCATCTCATACCAGTCAGATGGTGATTATTAAAAAGTCAAGAAACAATAGATGCTGGCAAGGCTGTGGAGAAATAAGAATGCTTTTACACTGTTGGTGGGAATGTAAATTAGTTCAACCATTTTAGAAGACAGTGTGTCAATTCCTCAAGGATCTAGAACTAGAAATACCATTTGGCCCAGCAATCCCATTACTGAGTCAATACCCAAAGGAATATAAATCATCCTACTATAAAGACATATACACATGTACGTTTATTACAAGATTATTTACAATAGCAAGGACATGGAACCAACCCAAATGCCCATCAATGATAGACTGGATAAAGAAAATGTGGTACATATACACCATGAAATACTATGCAGCCATAAGATGGAATGATATCGTGTCCTTTGGAGGGACATGGATGAAGCTGGAAGCCATCATCCTCAGCAAACTAACACAGGATCGGAAAACCAAACACCGCATGTTCTCACTCATAAACGGGAGATGAACAATGAGAACACATGGACACAGGAAGGGGAACATCACACACTGGGCCTGTTGGGGGCTGGGGGAAGGGGGAGAGAGAGCATTAGGACAAATAGCTAACACACGTGGGGCTTAAAACCTAAATGATGGGTTGATAGGTGCAGCAAACCACCATGGCACACATATACCCATGTAACAAACCTACACAGTCTGCACTTGTATCCCAGAACTTAAAAAAAAAAAGAATTAGAGGTAAACTGTAAAATATTAACAATAACAAATAAATAAAAAAATAAATTCTTGGAGTCTGCGGAGTGACTATCCTGCCCTCTAGGCAGTGTTTTTGGATCTCTGCATAGAATAGAAAATATGAAGCAGAATACAAAGTAGTGCTACATTCTCCTCTGCAGTCTAGGCTCTGGGGCCCTCCTTCCCCCAGTACAGGCATGACTTGTTTTATTGCTCTGTGCTTTATTGTGCTTCACAGATACTTCATTTAAAAAAAAAAAAAATTGAAGGTTTGTGGCAACCCAGCATTGAGCGAGCCCATTGGCACCATTTTACCAACATGCTGTGCTCATTTTGTGTCTCTGTGTCACATTTTGGTGATTCTCCTATTATTTCACACTTTTTCATTAGTATGATATCTGTTGTGGTGATCTGTGATTAGAGATCTTAGTTGTTACTGTTGTCATTGTTTTAGGGCATCACAAACTGTGCCCACACAAGACAGCAAACTTGACAGATAAATGTGTGTGTTCTGACTGCTCCACTGACTAGCTGTTCCCCTTTCTCCCTTTCCTCAGGCCTCCCTATTCCCTGAGACACAATGTTATTGAAATTAGGCCAATTAATAACCCTACAATGGCCTCTAAGTGTTCAAGTGAAAGGAAGGGACACATATTTCTCACTTTAAATCAAAAGCTAGAAATGATTAAGTTTAGTGAGGAAGGCACTTTAGAAAGCTAGCCCACTTGCACAAAATAGCCAAGTTGTGAAGTCAAAGAAAAAGTTATTGAAGGAAATTAAAAGCACTACTCCAGTGAATACACAAATGATAAAGCGATGCTGAGCATCAGTCCTTTGCAGCAACATGGATGCAGCTGGAGGCCATCATCCTAAGCAAATTAAGGCAAGAATGGAAAACCAAATACTGCATGTTCTCACTTATAAATGGGAACTAAACATCAAGCACACATGGACATAAATATGGGAACAATAGACTCTGTGTACTACTAGATGGAGGAGGGGAAGGGAGGGGTTATGGGTTGAAAAACTACCAATTGGCCACTATGCTCACTACCTGAGTGTTGGGGTCCATACCCCAAACCTCAGCATCATGTAATATTCCCATGTAACAAACCTGCACATGTACCCCTTGTATCTAAACTAAAAGTTGAAATTAAAGAGAATGAAACACCCTTATTGCTAATGTGGAGAACATTTGAGTGGTTTGGATAGATCAACCCAGCCACAACATTCCTTTCAGCCAAAGCTTAATCCAGAGCATGGACCTAACACTTTCCAATTCTATGAAGGCTGAGAGAGATGAAGGAGCTGCAGAAGAAAAGTTGGAAACTAGTAGAGGTCTGTGCATGAGACTTAAGGAAATAATCCTTCTTCATAGCATAAAGTGCAAGCTGAAGCAGCAAGTGCTGATGTAGAAGATGTAGCAAGTTATCCAGTAGATCTAGTTAAGATAATTGAAGGTGGCGACACTAAACAACAACTGTTCAATGTAGATGAAACAGCCTTCCATTGGATGAACATGCCATCTAGGACTTGTGTAGTTAGAGAGAAGTCAATGCCTGGCTTCAAAGCTTCAAAGGACAGGCTGACTCTTTTGCTAGGGGCTAATGCAGCTGGTAACTTTAAGAACACAGTGCTAATCTACCATTTTGAAAATCCTAAGGACCTTATGACTTATTCTAAACTTACTCTGCCAGTACTCTAGAAATAGAAAAACAAAGCTGGGTAACAGCACATCTGTTCACAGTATGATTTGCTGAATATATTATGCTCACTGTTAAGACTTAATGCTCAGGAAAAAAAATCCTTTTAAAATATTACTGCTCATTGACAATGAACCTAGTTACTTAAGAGCTCTGATGGAGATACACAAGAAGATTAATGTTGTTTTCATGTCTGGTAACATGACACCCATTCTGCAGCCCATGGATCAAGAAGTAATTTCAAATTTCAAGTCTTATTATTTAAGAAATAAATTCATAAGGCTATAGCTATCTGCCACAGATAGTGATTTTTCTGATAGATCTGGGCAAAGTAAATTGAAAACCTTGTGGAAAGGATTCACCATTGTAGATTCTATTAAGAACATTCTTAGCCAGGCACTGTGGCTCACGCCTGTAATCCCAGCACTTTGGGAGGCCAAGGCGGGCAGATCACTTGAGGTCAGGAGTTCAAGACCAGCCTGGCCAACTCCCATCTCTACTAAAAATACAAAAAATTAGCTGGGCCGTGGCAGGAGCCTGTAACCCTTGCTACTTGGGAGGCTGAGAGAGGAGAATCCTTTGAACCTGGGAGGCAGAGGTTGCAGTGAGCTGAGATCGTGCCACTGCACTCCAGCCTGGGCGACAGAGTGAGACTGCATCTCAAAAAAAAAAAAAAGAACATTCTTGATTTATAGGAGGGGGTAAACATTTAACACTAACAGGAGTTTGGAAGAGGTTGATTTCAACCCTCATGGATGACTTTGAGGGGTTCATGACTTCAGTGGGGGAAGTAACTACATATGTGATGGAAATACCAAGAGAGCTAGAATTAGAAGTGAAGCGTAAAGACATGACTGAATTGCTACAATCTCATGATCCAGCTTGAATGTATGAGAAGTTGCCTTTTATGTGTGAGCAAATAAAGTGTTTTCTTGAGATAGAATGTACTCCTGGTGAAGATGCTGTGGACACTGTTAAAATGACAACAAAGGATTTAGAATATTCCATATACTTAGTTGATAAAGCAGTAAGAGGGCTTGAGAAGACTGTCTCCAATTTTGAAAGAAGTTCTACTATGGGCGAAATGCTATCAAACAGCATTGTGAGCTGTAGAGAAATCTTTTGTGAAAGGAAGAGTCAATCAATGTAGCAAACTTCACTGTTGCCTTATATTAAGGAATTGCCACAGCCATCCACCTTCAGCAACCCCTACCTTGATCAGTCTGCAGCCATTGACACTGAGGCAAGATCCTCAGCAAAAAGACCAACCAGCAAAAGATGCCAATTCCCTGAAGGCTCAGGTGATCATTAGCATATTTTAGCATAAGGTATTTTTAAATTAAGGTATGTACATTTTTTTAGACATGATGCAATTGTACACTTAATATACTATAATGTAGTGTAAACATAACTTTTATATGCACCGAGAAACAAACAAATTAGTGTGACCCGCTTAATTTTGATATTCATTTTATTGCAGTAGTCTGTCTGGAACCAACCCCGCAATGTCTCTGAGGTGTGCCTGTGTAATGATGAGCATGATTGGTGCCTGGCTGGGGTCTCCCTCGCAGCCCTTCATACTCAGGACTGAGGACATGAAATGCCCTATGTGAGATCATCCACACAGGGAAGATCTGCATTCTGTAGAGTTAAAGCAGTGGCCACCTTATTTTTGCTAGATTTCTATTTCTCATTATTTTTCCTCTTGAAGTCAGTTCCAAATCCTCTGGCTTCAATAAAACAAGTCTCTTCTAACATTTTCTTTACAGTGTGGAGCCATTGTTCATGCTCAATTAAAGATGATGACGAATAACACAACCAACAGTAATTAGTAGCTTGAAAGAAAATGATGGCTAAAAAAACGGTAGGGAACTTCCCAGTAGAGTTTTATTTCTATATTGACTAGCCTTATGAAAAAAATGTAGCGGAAGCATCATTCACCTGGGATGGAAAAAGTCTGGACAAATAGCAAGAATAGATGACAGTGGGGAATTCTGCGATAGTGAGGTAATGAGCTGAAATGCCCAATGGTTTTTCATCCTATTTAATTTCAAAGGTTTAATTTTCACCATTACCAAATGGTGATTATTACATCCCCTCCTGAACACAGCATTGACCTAGATCCTACCCCCTAGAAGGATATTACGCAAGCATGCATTTTGAATTTCCCTTGGTTATATTCATAAAAAAAATAGTACGTGGCAAAATGCTCTTAATAGAGCATGACCTTGCTTCTCTGCCTTTGGCCTTGCTGTCTCCTGTGATTGGAACGCCCTGCCCTCTTCCACTCATGCCACTCTTCAGATCCTTCCTACTCAGGCCCCTGCCCTCCTGGAAGCCTTCATGAATCTTTCATCTCTCACGGAATTGTTTCTTCCTGAGTTCTCAAAGTACTTCTTATGCTCCCACTCCCAGCAAATAATTAATTTTTTTTAATTTAAAGAATATTTTTAAAAAGTCTTGTATGATTTACGTACAATAAAATGTTTGTATCTTATGAATTTTAAATATAACCATCACTCAAATCAAGATCTAGAACATTTCCAGAAGGCTTCCTGAGCACTATTCTAGCCTCTAATGCCATAGACTAGCCTTGACTGGTTTTGATCTCCATATATCAGTGGCTCTCATCTGAAAGTGGTTTTATCCCCAAGAGGACATTTGGCAATGTCTGGAAACATTTTTGGTTTTCATAACGGGCCTTGGGGTGGGGGTAATATTGGCATCTGTTAGGTAGAGACCAGGGATGCTACTAACATCCTACAATGTACAGGAAAATGCCGCACATCAGAGGATTTTGTCACTCAGAATGTCAATAGAGCTGATGTTGAGAAACCCTCATATGGATAAAATCATAAAAAGTATGTACTCTTTTGTGTCTGACTTCTTTTATGCAATATTACATTTGTGAGAATCATCTAACTTGCTGCATATATCAGTAGTTCTTATTTATTGCTGTGTATTTTAGTGTACGGTAAATGAGTACACAAAACCTTTATTTATTCATTCTACTATTGATAGATATCCCAAAGTCATTTTTTAATAAGACATTTAAAGTAGCTATTTTATTGGTAAATATTTGTATACACTAGATTGAAGGAAGTCAGTATGGAAAAGTGGTTAAGAGGTCAGTTTGCATGCCAGACTATCTAGGTCCACCCCTTGGCTTCATCGTATTTTAGTCACAGGGCCTTGGTGGCAAGGTACTTAACCTCTTTGGGCCTCAAGTCCCTAGTCAGTAAGTGGAGATAATGAGATAATAGTACCTATTTATAGGGTTGTTAAGAGGATTAAATAAGTCACCATATTTAAAGTGCTTAGAATACAGCTGAATTCATTGTAAGTGCTGAAACAAAATTGGGCTATGTGCCTACCTAGTTCACTGAGCTTAGTTACTGGTCAAAAATGTTTTATGTAATAAACAATTACTGGTAAGAAGGGAAAAAATAATTAATTTTTGGGCATTTTTCAAGGCTTCAAAAGGCACTGTGTTTAGCAAAGGGTCTCTAAGGAACTATGTCCATCCCAAATTGGAGCTATTTCTGACAATAAAAAGATCTGTAGACAAATTGTTGTATACATCTTAAAATAACACAATTTATGGACTTTAAAGAAACCTCTCTAATGGGAAGAAAAATTCAATGTCAGGATTTTACATCTATTTTAAACTAATCTAGAACTAATCATGATTTTTAAGAAATCTCCAGGTTGAACAGAAGGTGATTAAAAATAAATGTTCTAATTCTTCTTGATTACGAGAAATAACAGCACATGGCAGGGGGAAATGGCCCAAACTATTTTAGGTATGTACTCAAAAGTTTTGAAAAAAATTAGATTAAAAGAAACATAAATAATTTGTGTGGTTGAAATAGGAGTTTATTGGGTGACATTACTATTACTATTATTTATTATTATTATTATTATTATTATTATTATTATTTTTAGAGATGGGTTCTCACTCTGTCACCCAGGCTGCAGTGCAGTGGTAGGATCATAGCTCACTGCAAGCTTGGACTCCTGGGCTTAAAGTGATACTCTCGCCGCAGCCTTCCGAGTCGCTGGGACTACAGGTGCGTGCCACAATGTTTGGCTAATATTGGGTGACATTATTAAATCCACTTGAAGATTATTGTTAAAATAACTTTTTGAGGCAAGGATAATTTTTTAGTCCCCCTTTATGTGTTACCTATGTCCAGATACAAAGGAGATGCTTGGCCATATAACACACCTTTTTGGCTGAGCATATTGGTAGTAATTCTGTTAAATAAGACTATGTAGATGGTCAAACCTGGTTCTGAGAAACAATTCAATGTGCGATACAGATTGTTGAATATTAAAGTTTTGCTTCATTATCATATGATGCTTGTGTGAATGTTGGTAGTGGTCACTAGCCCTCATTGTCTAATTGTGGAAGGGATCTGAATGGCACTTGGTGGGAAAGATGAACTTAGTGCATATCATCCGCTGTATATAAATTCTGGAAGCAACTCCTGGCTATTCTCTCTCTGTTTAATTTTTTCTAGAGAAGAACTTCTTTATCACGGAAACCTGGGGATATGGCTTTTTTCACTTGTTAAGAAATAGGGGGCCAGGTATGGCGGCTCATGTCTGTAATCCCAGCACTTTGGGAGGCTGAAATGGGAGGATCACTTGAGGTCAGGAGTTCAAGACCAGCCTGGGCAACATGACAAAACCCCATCTCTACTAAAAATATAAAAATTAGCAGGGTGTGGTGGCACATACCTGTAGTCCCAGCTACTTGAGAGGCTGAGGCAGGAGAATTGCTTGAGCCTGGGAGATAGAGGCTGCAGTGCACTATGATCACACCACTGCACTCCAGCCTGCATGACAGAGTGAGGCTCTGTCTCAAAAAAAAAAAAAAAAAAAAAAAAGTAAATAAGGGCAGCTTCTGAACTTTGTTCATTCAGTATTGTATTCATGGTTGTGATAGCATTTTTGAGCAAAGCTAGAATCTTGATAACAAGTCTTTTCTGTAGGTGCCTGTATATATCACCAAGCTAGAGGGTAAGTACACTTTTGCCCACGGGACTCAATGACAATGTTTAAATGATTCAGACATTTAGATACTGGGCTGTTGCTGCTGAGAGAGCCAGGTTACTCCTAGGTAGGAGTACCTGACCTGGTGGAGTCAGGTTATTCCAGCTGAGGGTTTCAAAGAGGCCTCTGAGCACTGGCTGCAGCGGTGACCCCCAGGTGTGTCCCTGACATCAAAACTGTTAATGTGGTCTCTTTTTGGCTCACACAGTTCTTCCTCAATGAACAACTGTATAACAAATCAAAAGACTTCTAAGAAAAATGTAGATTATATTACAACCAGGTGTTCTTATGAAGGAACCACAATTTCTTATTTGGTACATGGAAAAAATTTGGGGGAGAGAGACCATCTTATGTAATCCCACTAGTGAAATTTTTTTTTAAAGAAACATTTCCCAGTGTCACTGAATCAGTGACACAGGTAAATTGGGAAAAACTTGTGGGAGTCACTTGCTGTGGCTTTTGTGATGGGTTAGAGCAGAGCAGAAAGTTATTGCCTCCTGACATAGAGATTCGAAATACCTTTTCTTCCCCCAAGTCATGATGAGAATGTTAAAGAGAGAACTGACAGTAAGCCACAGCACAGCAGAAGCTGAGGCCTTCTCCCAGCTGAGGTTTGATTAGGAGGACTGCCAGCAAATGTGACCGAGTTTTATTTCACAGAAGAAAGAACAGAGCAACAATGAAGACACAGAAGGAAAACAAGGTCAATGAGCTTTCCCTTAAATAAAAAAAAAAAAAGCCTGGTTTCAAGTAGACAACATTGTTAAAGATTTTAGTGTCAAATCCACACTGTAATTTACCCTGGAAGATTGAGGAAAAATAGTCATTGATTCATTTATTCTTTTTTCATATATCTCTACTGAGTGCTATTACCATCAAAGCTGAACTTATTTTGATTTGCTTGATGTGTATAAACATTGTGAATGTCAGGTTCTCCTGAGGAAACTCCTTAGCCTCCAGAGGATGGAAGCCAACAAGGTTTGCACATGACCAGCCTGCAGGCTCGCTTATGAGGTGGTGTCTTGCAATGAAGGTGCATCCCTGAGCAGGGTTCATCAATCTTACAGACATTTATGAGCCAGCAGGCCCAGTGTGCAGCTCTGAACTCCTCTCTTTCTCTTTCTCTCTCTCTCTCCCCCACTTTAGGCACATTGAGCAGACTCTTGCATGAAAAAGGCCCAGTAGGAAGCAAACAGTAGCTTCTTCCAGCAGTGTTTGCAGTCTTTTCTCCTGACAAGCCAATGGATCCTCTATGGGAAAGGGTGGGAAGAGGCAAGCTTGGCTCTCTAGTGCAGCAATGGAGAGGGGTAGTTGATTTATCCAAGTCATTTAAGAGCACTGAGTCCTTGCACGTCACTCCCAGCCAGTCGCATGTCTCAAACATCATACGTTATACCAATCCCAATGTATTTCTAACACTTCTTATGATAATAAAGTAGCCCTCAGGTATTAATCCTTTTGAGGATTATCTTATTCCCACATTCATCATATCATGCTACTCACACTAAATTATTTCAAAGTAAATCATCACAAATGTCACACAGACCTACTATGTCCTAGGCATTGTTCTGGAGATTCATAAATGAATAAAGTCACTGCTCTCGTGGGACTTACATAAAAGTTACATGTTAATTAATTAATATATAACTTAAAGTTAGGTAGTGAGAAAAGCTATGAGGAAAAATGAAGTAGATAAGAGGACAGAGAGGAATGAGTGAGGGTGCTGTCTTGGATAGGGGTCAGGAAAGACCAATGTTGAGGGATGCATTCGAGCAGGGTTGGAGTGAAGAGAATCATGGATATCTGGGGGTGGAGTTTGCTCTTGAAGAGGAAACAGAATATGCAAAGGCTCTGAGGTCTGGTGGCTCGGAATGTTTTAGGAACAAGAGAGTCCATTGGACTAGACAGAGCACAGTGAACATGTCAGGGCTGAATCTGGTAGATCTGGGAGACTGAATTCTGGGCTTTGAATCTTATTCAAAATGTAACTGGAGGCCTGTGACGGCTTTGGACAGAAAAGTAAGACAGTCAGGGGTACTTTCTAAAAGTCCACAAGAAAATATCATTTCTTTACATGACTGTCCCAAGATTACATATACCTTCTGGCAGACTTATCTACAAATAATTTTTGGTGATATATTCAGAGCCCAACTCCCAGTTATTCACAAAAATGCACTCTTTGGAGATAGGGTACCATGGCATTTTTGAACTCTCATTTCATTTTTAGAAAAACCCTGTGAGCAAACCTACTTACATTTTATCGAGTTGCTATGTGCTTGCAATTGGCTGGTTTATGTATATTTTCCCTCATTTTCACAGCTACTTTGCAAGGTAAACCTCACCGTTGCTTTTTGGTAAGTGAGAAAACAAAGGCCAAGAAAAGTTAAGTGACTTGGCCAAGGTGATGCCATCAGTAGAGTGGAGCTGAAACTTTGACATGGATTTGCCTCAGTCCAAACCTGGTGCCCTTCTTACTTCATGACAGGGCTTACACTATGATTACTCACATTTAATAAAGAAATGAAGTGATTTACTCAACGTCCTCTGGCCAGTGCTCTTCCTGCTTACAACTGTCCTAGGAAAATTATCAGGCTCAAATGGACTTGTTTGGAAGTGTTTTCAAGCTCTTGTGATAGGACTAGGGCAAGAGTCTATTTTATATTGCTTTCAATGTTCTGGAGACATTATCATTTCTTCTGCTAAAGCTAATGCCATGGGTGTAACTTGTAGATGAGTAAGAGCTAGAATGAATGGATGCCTAGTGTTCCTTTAGTGCATTTCAAGTACAGACAAGGATGGCAAGGCATTGTAAACGATGCTGTTTAATTAATTTCCCATAGAAGGCTATCCTAGAGAGTCATGGAATGCAGAAGCTCAATGGAAAACAAAACTCCACAAACATACAAAGGAGGGACAGGATTTGGTTTAGCTCAGTTTAATTTAGTTTAGCTATTTGTACCAGCCATTCCATTCCAAATGGAATTTCCTTTACTGAAAGTTCATGAGAAGAGAGACCTTGTCTATGCAGTGGATTTCATCTTTGGTGCTTGACATATCTTTGCTGCTATTGCATTACATGCAGCACATGCAGCTGTACAGACACCTTGGGAGAGCTCAGCAGCCCACAAAGCCCAAGAAATAAAGTTCGTGTTTCTTGTCACTTTTATTATTTTTAATAGTGGCTTTATTCTTACCTCACAGTCCCCTTTCTTGGCTGAATACTGACAGAATCTACTGTAGTTCACCAGAAACCTAAATTAAAAAGTTACATTGGATGTGGAATCTTCATAGACTTCTGGGTAGAATGTGAAACAGTAGAACCATTTTCGAAATCTGCTTGGCAGTGTTTTAAGTGGTGAACAAACACATACCATATGACCTAGCTATTCCTTTCACGGGTATTTAGTTAAGAGAAATGGAAACATATGTCCCTCAACACAAATATTCATAGAGGCTTTACTGCCCCAAAACTGGAAAAAACAGGTAAACAGATTAAAAGATTTTGGTACACTCATATGATAGAATACTACTCAGGAAATGAAACATAATGAACCATTGATAAAACCACACGAATGAAATATAAATGCATTATGCTAAGCAAAAGAAGCCAAACACTAATGACTGCATTTATGTGAAATTCTAGAAAATGCAGAGTAATGGATAGCAACAGAAAGCAGATCAGTGGTTGTCTAGTTGTGGAAACAGAGGGGGTATGGACTGCCCTGGGCTTGAGGGAAATTTCTTTTCTTGTCTTTTTTTGAGACAGAGTCTTGCTGTGTCACTTAAGCTGAAGTGCAGTGGCATGATCTTGGCTCACTGCAGCCTTGTCTTCCTGGGCTCAAGTGATCCTCTCACCTCAGCTTCCCAAGTAGCTGGGACCACGGGCACACGCCACCATACTCAAGTAATTTTTTTTTTTTTGTATTTTTTGTAGAGACAGGATTTTACCATGTTGCCTAGGCTGGTCTCCTGGGCTCAAGTGATCCACCCACCTTGGCTTCCCCAAGTGATGGAATTACAGGCGTGACCCACGACACCTGGTCAAGGCCAAGGGAACTTCCTGAGAGTGAAGGAAATATTCTGGACCTTGACTGTTCTGGTAGACCTGGATATAAACACACACACACACACACACACACACACACACACACACACACACATTATTTGATAAAATTTGTCCAATTGTATACTTAAAATGAATGAGGCTTATTATATCTGGGCTTATTATATCAAGCTGGGTGCAGTGGCTCACACCTGTAATCCCATCACTTTGGGAGGCCAAGGTGGGCAGATGACCTGAGATCAGGAGCTCAAGAACAGGCCGGCCAAATGGCAAAATCCTGTCTCTAATAAAGTACAAAAATTAGCCGGGTGTGGTGGCGGGTGCCCGTGATCCCAGCTACTTGGGAGGTTGAAGCATGAGTATCAGTTGAACCCAAGAGATGGAGGTTACAGTGAGCCGAGCTAGAGCACCACCGCACTGCAGCCTGTGAGATACAATGAGACTCTGTCTCAAAAAAAAAAAAAAGTCAACAAAATTGATTTTTTAAAAAAGTTATGTTAAATACTTTCTTTGTGTTGCCTTGGATGTCTGAATCCCCCAGCTGCCTTTGTCCAGTAATTCCCTGGCTCCTCTTTTTGCATCTGGAAGCTTCAAAGAGGTTATGATCAAGCTGATGCCTAGCTGTTTTCTTCCTATATTTTATCAGTAGAGGAGTGATGGAAATATATGGGCAAAAGTCTATATTCTGCTAATGGGTTGGCCTTTAAGAATGAATTCCATTTTAAGCATGGGTCCTACCTTTATTCTTTCTGACCCTTCAGCATCATATACAGATTTAAACAGATAGGGATGGGGATTACGAATGAACAGAGTGAGGAAAACATTTAAAATTCAGTGAACCATGACTCCTGCCATTCCATTCTATGAATGACTCTTTCGGGAAGAGTCGGAGATGGGAGTGATGAAAACTGTTACCTAGGACCTCCTGCAGTGAGCAGCTCGCTACTTTAAAAGATTGTAATACTTTTCAAGATATGTGTTTTTCATACAACACGTCTTCCTAAACACAAGCCTGGTGTTTATAATACCTGGTACAATAATATTGAGGAAACACTATGTTTCCATGTTAGAAAATTCAAGGTAATTTATTCTATCTTTTATCAGAAGGAGCTGCAAACTTCTCAAAAAGAGAAATTTGGGTTCAATTCCAGGAAGGTAGGAGTGTGGGAGCCAGCCTCCATGATGGCCCCCACTGGGCTTGCCTCCTGGTGCTCCTGCTGCTGAGTGGAGCTCCCACAGGGCTTTTGTACAGAACCAGGTTGTTCTACCGACCAATAGAAAATGGCAGAAATGATGATGTATGTGTGATTTGGGAGAATAAGTGACAGAAAACATGGCCACTTTTGTTTGATTTCTCTTGGATCAGTTGCTGTGAGGGAAGCTGACACACAAGCATCCTATAGAAATGTTTATGTGTCAAGGAACTGAGGCCTCCTGCCAAGGATGGGCTCTAACTTGCTAGCTCAGGTAAGTCGTCTTGGAAACAGATCTTCCAGCTCTTCGGGGATCAGGATAACTGCCATCCTGGCTGCCATGTTAATGACACCCTCGTGAAAAATCCCAAGTTAGAACCACCCCGCTGAATTTTTCCTGAATTCATGACCCACAGAAACTGTGCGGTGATAAATGATTATTAACTTAAGCCATTAAATTTTGGAGTAGTCTGTCATTCGGCAATGGATAATGAACACAATTAGAGTCCTGAGGACCCTTGGGGACTCTCTGGCAACTGACTCCCCCCAACCCCCTTTTTTATTTTTGAGATGGAGTCTTGCTCTATTGCCCAGGCTTCAGTGCAGTGGCACAATCTTGACTCACTGCAACCTCCATCTCCCAGATTCAAGCGATTCTCCTCCCTTAGCCTCCTGAGTAGCTGGGAGTACAGGCGTGTGCCACCACATCTGGCTAATTTTTGAATTTTTGGTAAAGACAGGGTTTTGTCATGTTGGTCAGGCTGGTCTTGAACTCCTGGCCTCAAATGATCCTCCTGCCTTGGCCTCCCAAAGTGCTGGGATTACAGGCATTAGCCACCACACCCAGCCGACAACCAACTCCCTTCTAAATAAAAGCATTCAGTCTGAATAGAGCCATGATTACCCTGATTACAGAAACATCAGGCAACGCTTCATGCACAGTTCACGTATTGTCTCATTCAATTCCTATAACAGTGTTATAAGGTACATATCCCTTATTACCCCATTTTACAGATGAGGAAAAAGTGTAGTGCCGAAAATTCCAAGGTCACTCAGATAGGATTGACTGACTGCAAGGCCCACAGTCTTAACCTTGAATGGAATACAGCCTCACTGTCTGACATTATTTTCACTCTAGTTATTTCGTATTCTATTTTATGTGAGATTTCAATTTGTTTTCATTTTTCTCTAAATGAGATGCAAAGTGAATTACAGGAACACAGCTATTTCACATCCCCATTGTCTGCAATTCCAGCAACAGAACAGACTAAATTTCTGTGAAATCTGAGCTCTTAGTGCATTGTATCTGTGAAACATGTAACCATTTTCCGAGTAAAACAAACCAGGTGAGGGGAAACATATTTCTTCTCTTCTGGTTTTTAGTTAAGTTGCCTAAAAATAACTTTACTTATGCTAAGTAGAAAGATGTTTTCTAGAAATTATCATTTCAATATGTTCTCAAAAACTTTAGAATATCAGTCAAAAAGCCTTAGTTTGACACTAGAAAGTAGAATTCATTACACAGTCAGAAAGAAGTTCTTTTCATGTCTTAAACAAATGCAGCAATTGATTTATTCTTTTGTTTGTCTGTTTTTTTGAGAGAGGGTCTCACTTGGTCACCCACGCTGGAGTGACCAAGTGAGACTATAGCCTTGACCTCCTGGGCTCAGCCGATCCTCCAACCTCAGGCTCCCAAGTAGCTGGGACTACAGGCACACACTACCATACCTGGCTAGCTTTTTGTATTTTTTGTAGAGATGAGGTTTTGCCATGTTTCCCAGGCCTGTCTTGATCTCCTGGGCTCAAGGGATTCTCCTGCCTCAGCCTCTCAAAGTGCTGGGGTTACAGGCATGAGCCACCATGCCAAGGTGATTTGTTCTTTAGTTACTAAATCTCCATAATTTTTGCTTTATTTTATTAATAATAAATGCTTTTGTTGAACACTAACATAGCTGAGCTGTACCACTGTGCCTTCAGTACATAATTTTTAAAAATTCTTCATAAATCACTATGAAATAAATACTAATGCTACCCTCATTCGACAAATGATGAGAAAAATGATGGGCAAGGAAATAATGGCCTTGCCCAGTGACACCCACTTTCTAACTGGCAGACTTGGGATTTGAACCCAGGTCTGCCTAAGCCCAAAACCTATGCTTTTTTCTACCACTGCTCCTGTATTACTCTGAAAGAACTGACAAAAAGTATTAAAAATACAAGAACCAATGGTCAAATAGAATAGAAACCCATTACAAATAGCTTTGGGATTCAGATATAATTGTTGAGATGAAGGGTTTCTATGTTAGAGTGTAAAAATGTACATACTTGGCCACAGCAAAACCAGCAACATGGAACCAGTTCTGTTATACCAAAAGTTTTAAGGTGCTCTTCCACTTTACTTTAAAAAGTGAAAGAACACTGTAATATGTAGACTTCCCCAGTCACCAGATGTAGATCAGGCTGTTATTCACCTGTCTATTTTTTATTTGTAAAAACTAATTTTCTGTCAGATGAAGTATATATAGCCATAGATCTGTTTAATGGTCGACTTAGGGCTGGAATGTTAGTGTTCAGGTGCCAAGGATGGTGATTTTTGCAGCATGCACATACTTTCTTTTAAAAGTATTTTAGACCTGGCACATAATGATTTTGAGTCAGTGTATGCCTAATATCATGCTCACCATTTTAAAAAATATTGGAATCTAACAGCAATTTTAGAAGTATACCTCACAGAAGTCTCAATCTATTGCGGTTTCTGCTAGGACAGTCCTTGATTTTTTTTTTTTTTATAAAGTAATTCTTTCAGAGTCTATAGTTATTAAATTCTGGGGGTAATAAACATATAAATATTTATGGAAGTGAAGAATAGCTTAGATTAGTTTTCTCAGACACAGACTTCAATGTCATTTTTTTCCAACTCATCTCACATCATTTCATTTGAATTTAATACTATTGACACGTGATGATTGCACACAAACTCAAGAGTCACCCTGAGGGTGACCGTACTAGATTTCTTTTAGGACAAAGGCCAGTGCAATTAACTTCATAGGTAAAAATTTCTTCATGAAATCCAGCTGTGACATATACACTTCAGATGGACTGTATATACAATGAGAGACCTCTTTTAGAGGAGAACAAAGTAAAGGGATTTGGTAAAACTTATCATGAAACTAGATTAGGTCTAGACCCCAGAAACACTGGGCTGAAGAAAGTAATGTGAATACCAATAATCTAAATAGGTCTTTTAGAGTCAGGAAAAATAAAAATTAACTAGTAACCACTTATTAATGGTTTATGCTTTTCCAACTTACAAAACTACTTTAAGTGAGCTTTTCTCCTTCACTATTTATGCATGTGTAAAATCCATAAATCCAGTTTAATCCAGTAAAACACACTTCTGACTCCTCATTTACAATAGGCACAAAGATCTTTCACACATGTACAAATAATATGGAGCCTACAGAAACATAGCTTTGTGAATTGCGATTATGACATAACTTTGAAAAAACTGCAGGGTATTCGCAACAGAATGTGAAATACACTTTGTATAAAGAATGATCTCGAGGGTGGATCAGAAGCTGTTCCCACTGGACAGTGGTGTGTTTAGAAGTCAAGTTAATTAGTAATTAATTAACTAATTAATTAACATAGTTGTTTATAAACTACCTGCTCGGGCATGTGATGCTACATATAACCAACCTGCAGTGGCACTGAGAATATTTTGGGTTTGGCAGCTAACTCATTCTTCCTGCTCAATCCTGTATATTTTTCTTAAGACACTCAGAGAAATAGTGAAGGAAGTATCTCCTGAGTGTTCCACAACTCTGAGCAGTTTTAGGAAATCTAGCTAGCCCTCCCTCTGTGGTCTGTATATTCTTGGTATTGGGCTCATGGATATGACGGAATTCCTTTCTATACAGAGAGGATGGGTCATAGGGGTCAGGGTCCTGATGTCCTCCACACTACATTCCTGTATAATGGCAAAGACTGAAATGGGTTAATGATCTGCAACTAGTAACTAGCTATTTTAATTTTTATTGGCAAGAAAGGCAATAATCAAATGACTCCTATGGGGATGAATTATAATGATGTTAGCAATAAGCCTTCGAGTGAATTATACTAATTAATTTCTGTAGGTCAGCATTATCCATCACCTCCATCATAAAAGGCAGGGAAGCCTCAATCCGGAGAAGCAAAGTTGCATTTCAAAAGCTTTTGAGTGGGCATCCAGGGATTGGAATTTGTAGCTTTGCATTCCAAATGGGATGTTGAATTTAGAGAATTAGGACAATGCCCAAGGAGTTTACTCTCTTCCTTCTCTATGGGGGTCGGGCATAGGGGAAATGGGGCGCAAGTATTTGGAGGACCCTGTGGGGATGTTGTTAGTGCTGTCCTGGCAGTACTTGAGCTGCAAATAAACAAACTTCACTCCAGAAGACTCTCTAGTGTGCAACTTTGAAGGCATGAAATTCACACACACAATGGTGGTTCAATACGCTACTGCCCAGTAGGACCACTCTTTAAAAATTAAAATAAGATTGAGTTGAGTTTTCTATAAGAGGAAGCAGCTCTGCCCTAGAAATTGGCTCTATTCAGCTTTCTGAATAAGAGCTAATGCAAGTCTTTTGTGAATATATTTTTTCACAGTGTTGTCTTACGTTAGCACAAATGGGCAAAACAAACAAACAAAAAACCCCAAAAACGAAACAAAAGACGCAGATTGCATAGGAGAGAAAATGTAGTTTATTCTTTTTGTTATATGTGTCTTTATTTTTATTGTATATATTTAAGGTGTACAACATCATGTTTTGATATACATAGTGAAATACTTACTACAGTCAAGCCAATTAACAAATCCATCGTCTCACAGAGTTACCCACCTTCTCTTTTTTTTTTGTGGTGAGCCACCTAAATTTCCAGTATACAGCACAATATGATTAACTATAGTCCTCATGCTGTACACCAGATCACTAGACTTATTCATCCTATGTAACTGCAACTTTATGACCTTTGACCTACATTTCCCCATGACTTTACATTTCTCCCCCATCAGCCTCCCCCAAACTCTCCCTCCTGTCTTTGGTAACCACCATTTTACATTGTTTTTTTGCATATCAACTTTTACAAATATTCCGCATATAAGTGAGTTCATGCAGTGTTTGTCTTTCTGTGTCTGGATTATTTCAGTTAGCATAACATTCTCCAGGTTCATCTCTGCTGTGGTAAATGCCAAGATCTCTTTCTTTGTTAAGGCTGAATAATATTTCATTGTATATGTACAACACTTTTCTTTATCCATTCACCCATTGACAGATACTTAGGTTGTTTCTATATCTTTTATTGTGGATAATGCTCAATGAATATGGGAGTTCATATACCTCTTCAACATACTGATTTCACTTCATTTGAGTATATCCAGAAAAGTGATTGCTGGGTTAACCATTCAGTTCTATTTTCAATTTTTTGAGTATCCTCTGTATTATTTTCTGTAATGGCTATACCAATTTACATTTCCACCAACAGTGTATGAGGGTTTCTTCTTCTCCATGCCCTCACCAACAATTGTTATTGCTTGTCTTTTTGGTAATAGCCATCCTAACAGGTGAGAACTAATATCTTATGGTTTTTATTTGCATTTCTCTAATAATAAGGGATGTTAAGCATCTCTTTATAAACTTATTGGACATTTATATGTGTTCTTTGGTGAAATATCTATTCAAGTCCTTTTCTGACTTTAAAATGTGTGTTTTTTTTATATGAGTTTCCTTTATATTTTGGATATTAACTCCTTGTCAGATATGTGGCTTGCAAATATTTTCTCTCAGTCTGTAGACTGCCTTTTAATTTTGCTGATTGTTTCCTTTGCTATGCAGATTTTTAGTTTGATGTATGAGTTCCACTTGTTTATCTTTCCTTTTTTTTTTTCATTTGCCTGAGTATTTTGTGTGATGTCCAAGAAATTATTGCCAAGGCCGATGTCAAAGAACTTTCTTTTACATTTTCTCCTGGAAGTTTTACAGTTTCGTGTCTTTCAGTTTTCCCCTATTGATTATGATGTTACCCGACAGCATTTTATATAGCTTTAATTATGTTGTGGAAATTTCCTTTCCTGTACCTAAATTGTTGACAGCTTTTATCAAGAAAGGATCTGAACTTGGCCAAATGTTTTTTCTGCATCTATTGAGATGATTTTGGGGCTTTTGTCTTTTTTCTGTTACTGTCGTATATCACATTGATTGATTAGGTTATGTTAAACCAACTTTGCATCCCAGGGCTAAATCCCACTTGGTTGTGAGTAAGCTCCCTGAGTTGAGCTCAGTGCTGGTGAAAAATGCAGGGATCCCCAGTGGTGAAGACTTCAGGCGTCTGCAGGGGTGATGAGGACAACCAGAGTCCTCCAGCTCACTGTTTCCCCTCAGGGGCACATTCCTCCAGGTTCGAAGCTGATCCTGACTGGGGCATGGGGTGGCACAGATAATGTGTTTCCTACCCTATTCTAAGCAGCCATCCTTGGTTTCTGTGCTCCACAGTGTTTCTGCTGCTCCTTTGCTGTACTCTAGAACTCTTCCTTCAGTATTTTTGTTGACATGTAGTTGTTCCTTCTTTTTTCTATGAGGGAGAAGAACATTGGGACCTTCTGGCCTTCCATCCCATTGATGTTACTCCTTCGGAGTTTATTTTTAAGGTGGGAAGACATCAACTACTCAATCTTGATAATCCAACACAGAATGTACAGTCACGGTATCAGGTTTTCTGCCATTTTATAGGGCAAATATGCTTATACAATTTATTTGAGCAAGATGAAAAATTGCTAATACTAGAGGAATTTTATGTTGTGTTAATTCAGAAACTCAACTTTCAGCCTTCTTGGCACTATGACAAATACACTTGCGATCACAACAGCATATTGTATTTAAAATGCTGCACTCTTTCCAAACTGAAAGCTACTGTGTTTAGACGCTTCCCCCGACTCTGGCTAGGGAATTTGAAACCATTTTCTATGAACAGTATAACAAACACATATGTCAAAATCTTGTTCCTTGCTCCTAGGCATTCTAGCTTTTGAAGTTTGGTAGCATTTAATAGTGACCATAGTGACCATCAGCTTAGTATGGAGAATAATACTTGATGTTACGTCTTACAATCAATTATAAGATAAAGACATATAATTCATAGCTAACATGACTCTCCATTCTGATAATATGGCTGCTAGTTTGGACAGCGGATTTGAACTTTTGCATATGATATTCAGATTGAAGTAGTTATTTCCTCTTATGTAAAACTTTCATCAACCCTACCTGGGGCATTGATCAATTTTAGCACTTTTTTGTCTCTCTAGAACTGCAGTATTTTTGGATTGCTGTCAAAGCTGGCTCTACTGCAATCCTAAGGGCTATATTCAAGGTCATGTGACTGTTTACTGTTTCAATAAAAAGGAACTTATAAATGCAAAATGCTATTCACTATTTATTCATCTCATGTATTCATTCAATGTTCGTTGGCTTACTGTGGTGTTTGCTTAATATGTATTCTACAGCACATCTTTTGTTTCTGCACAACTGCACATTATATCATTTTTGCATCTGACACTGACTTTCTTCTAGGGAAATATTCTAATAGCAAGGGAAAAAGAAAAGGCTACGATGAGGAGCTACCAACCCTTGCAAATTTGCTTAACTTGCTGAAAAGGCAGGGAGATTTTAGGAGCACACTGACCTTGAGTAGTGAGAAATCCCACAGCAAAACGTGTTAAACCATAGTTCATTGCCAAATCTTATTACTATGCTTCCTAGTTATCTTGGTTATTTTCACTTTAAGTTCCTTATGATCTAACAGATATATGTCATGGTTTACATGAAACCTCAAACAACCATGGGGAAACCAACATATTTATTCTGCTTTCCCCCATGAGAAACTGAGAATAATGATTTTAAGATTACTTCCGTATTTTTTTCTTTGGAAGGCTTTGGATTAGAAGATTTAAATAGTGATATCTCTAGGCCTGGCACTGTATGCTCACACCTGTAATCCAAACACTTTGGGAGGCCAAGGCAGGAAGATCAATTGAAGCCAGGAATTTGAGACCAGCCTGGACAATAAAGCAAGACCCAATTTCTACAAAAAATAATAAGTAGAATTAGCTGGATGAGGTGGTGTGGGTCTATAGTCCCAGCTACTTGGGAGACTGAGGCAGGAGGATTCCTTGAGCCCAGGAGTTGGAGGCTGCAGTGAGCTATGATTGTTCTACTACACTTTAGCCTGTACAACAGAGTAAGACCCTGTCTCTAAAAAATTAAAAAAAAAAAAAAGCAATGTCTCTAAATTCAACAATGTCGGGACTGCATTTGGGACAGTTCTGGTCATTCATCCACGTAGTCAAACCCCATAGATTTGAAGTTCTATTTCAACCCAGGTTTCAGTATGCAATTTGGGACAAACCAGATCTCAGTTTGAGTCTGGCTCTGCTGCACCGAGGTGGATGAAATTAACAAATCATTATCCTCTCTGAGCATTCATTTGCTCATCTACAAAATACAGATAAAAATGCCCACCTTGAAGAATTGTTGTCTGTATGTGTGTATATAAGAGACCTAGTAAATGTTGATTCCTTTTCCACTTTCTTTTGCTCTTAAAGAAGATAAGGTATTTTTTTTTTTCTAGTTCATTCACTTCTCTGAGATGGAGCTAGTTATAGTGATATCTGTTGAAATTTTTAAGCAGTAAAAAAGTAAAGATACACATCCTGTCTTTTCCAAAGCTAATACCAGTGGTCAAATCAAATGGACATAAGGCATCTTCAAGTATTTTGACTCCAAGAGACCAAAAGACCAGGACTTATACCTGGATCCTCCCAATCACTAGCTGGGGAAATTTAACCTATCCGAGACTTAATTTCCTCCTTTATAAAATAGGGCTTATAATAAAACAAATTTCAGTAAAAGCATCCTAAAGAGCTATGAAGATTAAATGAGACAATGTCAATTTCAAGTGCTTGGAATGTTTAGCACATGGTAGAGGCTCAGACACACTCTTTACAATGTCACCAGCTGCTTTTCTTTTGGCCAGGATTCTCTGTTGGATTATAGTCTTGAATACCGCAGACTGAGACCCAGTGATTCAATCTCATACAATTTGGTCACATTGGTAAAGATATGGCCAAGACCAACAGTCGCATTTATTATCTATTTTTAACTCAGTTTAGGCAGCTTTTGTTTTAAATACAGCCTCCCAGTTTGAGTAAATGATGGGTACCATGTCACATGTCTGAGTGGCTCCACTTAACAAACCTAAAGATGACACTTAGGGTTCTAAGTGTGGAAGAGAGAGATTTCTCTGTTAATTGCTTGAAGATGAAACACAATTTTAAATGAGACCAATGGTTGCTGTGATTTTTGTTAGCACCTCTTGAATCTTTAGTTTGAACATCTCCAGGGCCTCACTGAGGAGCTGCTGTGTCGCTCTGCAGGGACAGTGTAAGTGAGCCTAAAAGAGGGCTAGTGATGGAAGGTAAACCTTTTCTGTGTTGTAAGCATGTATAATCTCCAAAGGTAAATATTGCTTGCAGTGAAGGAAGGACTCTGATAAGTTCATTTGCAGCAAAGGACAGAGTAGGGACAGCATACTGAGATTGGGGGACAGAAGAACCTCTGTTTTTCTTTAAACAATGGATGACAGAGTGCTTATTTTTAACCATTTCCAGGTGCATGCAACAAAGTCATATGGGAGATTTATTTCTTTTACAACAGAAGTCAATTGGGCATGACACTAATGTATTGTTTCAAGAAAAGTCTAACTCAACTAAATCGAGACTCAGTAGGAAATTTAAAGAGAAACAATTTCTGTTATCGGTTTTAATGAATAGCATTAAGTGATAACCAAAAAGGGAGAAGAAAAAAAGATTAGGGATTGCTCAGAAAACATCCTTCCCACTTTTCTAAATTATCATGACAACACAGTCTTTAGCTGTGAAGTTAATTTCCTTCGTAATTACATTCTATTTAGAGGTGCGATTGCTTAGAAACACCCTCCTGGTGAAGAAGCTTTTTTGATTTTAGTGAGGGATGAAGAAGGGGTCCCCTGCACCACGTGGCAAGTATTTCCTTTCCCTGCTTCACCCTGGGGCACTTATCTGTGGGGTGCCTTGGGAGTCCCTCCCATTCCAGTGGCTGCCTCTCATCCTGAAAGCAGTGGGCAGAATTCACTTTAGAGAGACTCTCAGGAGAAGGCTTCCTTGGCTGGAAGTGAATGGCACTTGCCTTGAATTCTAGGGTGTCTCTGAAGGCACTTACATCTCCCCCTGTCCCTAGGATTGTATGAAGGAGGGTTAAATGGGCCATAGTGTCACTGTTGTAGTTATGTAGGCGAGAGAGCTGTGTACTTAGAAGAGAGATATTTTTTAGATCAAAATGAACACTGGTCTTCTAAGGCTCGTTAGCATGCAGTTGAATCATTGCAAGCCTGATTCTACTATGACACGAATGAATACATTTTAACATTTCCACTACCTAAATCCTTGCTTACAATCATTTCTCTCACAGTCATTTGGGAGGGGGGAAGAAAAACAACAGTAGAAACAAAAAAGCCACAACCCAGACTAGCTGTCTTTGAGTTGGTCATGAAGTCTTTCACCCTAAGGACTAAAAACTAGGGCAAGATACTTTGTTGTGATGTAGGCCAATTTCCTATTTTCAAACCACTGGAAAAAAAAAATGAGGCCAGAGGGTTCTGATAAATGATTCTAAGAGATGAATCCCAAGGCTCTCTCTCACATGTTTCATGCAAAACCAGAGAATGTTCACGACAGTCCTGAGTCCAGCTTGTGGAGGCTCTAATTCTATTACTGCCTCATCCAGGCACATTATTTTTGCTCATTAACGAGATGGCATCATAATGGAGCATGCAGCAGCCACAGTGATTAGCAAAGCGCCTCCTTCCATTCTTCAAAATGTCATCAACACACTGGTCAGGAAACAAACTCATTTTCCGACTCTGCCATGATTTGCAGGGTTTCAGGCACTGATGATAGCTTGTCTGCTTGGTTTAAAAGAGCTCCTGATATAACAGAACCTGACACTGTTTACTTCAGCCTATTATGCCTGCTGCATTCAGTGAATGCTTCATTGGAGAAGAAAAATCGAAAGAAAGCTATTCATTGTAATGCCAGCTGCTTTTTAAAAAAGGAAATCAATTTTTGCTTGAGCTCAGAATGTACTCTGCAGGTCCAGAGTGACCTACCACTTTTGATGTCAACAACAAAAGGATCTGCCTGAATTTTCCACAACAATCACCCAACAGCTCAAAGAACATTGAAATCCTAGATTAGTTTCATTTTAGTTTATGTTCAAATTGGTATCCACTCATCCCAACAATATCACAAAATACAAAGCCTTGGGTGACACAGCCCTTGCACGCCAAGCTGTAGGAACTCTGGGCTTTGCCTTCTATGCGGGGTTTTGTTATAAATTACTTGGCAGGACCATTTTATGACGGAAATAATTAGTTATGTTTAGTATTTATAGCTAGTATCATGATGCCTTTCTGCACTGCTAATTAATTATTTTATGGCCAGCATGTTTCAAATGCAATTAGTTAGGTATGGCAATGATCATAATATTTTGCATATTCATGACAACATTCTGCCTATTTACAGCAAAACTTGGGTGTCAAAATCAGTCATTTTCCTTTTGTTATTAGGCAGAATAATTACAGGAAACAATAACAATGATGTCTTGCATGTGAATAACATTTTACAACCGAGCACCTCCATTCATGTCACCCATGCATGTACCCCTGTGGTTTCTCACAGGGAAATGGAAACTATATGGTGACAGATTTTGGCTAGGTCTTTAGCCAGCTTGAAGGTCACCAACAGAGGCTTTTGCTCTTTTTACTTTGTAGTTGGAGTCTCATTTGGGCCATAGGGACAAACTGGTTGCTAAAAAAGTATTGTGAAGGTGAATATTTCAGCTGGGTAAGGAAACAAAAGGGTCAGTTGGCACTTGGCTATTTTGAACAAATCCCCTCAGTGTTTTCTTCATAATTAATACTATTATTTTTTATAGTAGGTGTGGAGGTGTCACTAAACAGCAGCAAAGCCTCCTTAGTTTTTTGCATTGGAGGCCTCAGAAGACAGATTGAGTTATTGCTTAACCAGACTCCGTATCCAGCAAGCACACTGCCTTATGTTGAACTATCGAATGCTTCTTAAACCCTGAGAGTCTAGAAATAGTATTGCCCTGTGAAGCCTGGGAATGTTCTCAATTAGCTTGTGGACAAGATCAATGACATATGCTCTCTTCCAGATCTGTGCCAATTTCTCTTGACTTTAAGCCTCCCCGACTAGCCATAATCCTCCATTTCCTTTTCCCCATATGTCTTTGCAAAGTGCTGAAAATAGTAAAAATCAAGAAAAATATTGACCACTGAGAACTGAGATCTAGCCATGAGTGTCCTTTTGTGGTACATTTGTAAGACCAGGCTGTGGGTGCCTGAAGAACAGGAATGGGGTGGGGAAATGAAACCATTACATATTTCCAGTTTTTGCTCCTCAGAGTCTAAACAACCAAGAAAAAAAACCAGTTAAAAAATGAGAAGTCAAGTTTAATTATAAAAAATGTGTGGTCTATCCCTCTATTAAAATCTGTATACACATCTGTACTCCATGACCTCAGATTGCCATATTTCTTCCTCTGAAGCACAAGAAAGTCTTCCTTTTACCTCACCCAATTCTCTCCTGCTTTTAATTCGAGCCTATTTCCATTCATTGGGTTTGTTGCAGACATGAAGAGCAAACTGGCTTTGAAGTTAATAATCATTATTTTCTCATTTCTTGGGATAAAGGCAAAAAGAATCCCTTCAGCCTTCCCTCAGAAACCATTCTTTAGCCCTTTCATCATCTTTGTCACTTCTCTGAACTCACTCCAGGTTCGCCACATCTGCACGTTACAAGCGTGAGTTCTCAGTGTTCTCAAACATCCCCAACTCCGTTCTCAAAAACATCTGCCAGCACTTGGGGCCAAGTCTAGAGTTAATCCTTCTGTTTTAACACCTCTGGTATGGGTCACAGACTAGCCGTTTTGTTGCCTTTAAACAAAACAAACAACAACAAAAAAACCATAGGGATGGGATATTTCGAAGGTGAGTGGCCAACTTTCAGAATGACAGTGTTTTCTTCTGACCTCAAAGATGGGCTGCCTTCCAAGGGGAGCCTTGAAGTTTCAGCCAGGCCCAGGCGTGGGGTGTAGAAATGGCGGTGCGATGGAGCATACTGTCAAGGTGTGAGACCCAGTGGAGAGGCTTGAGTTTGGAGGGCCAGGCTGGGTTTTCTGAGATTACTGAATTCAATTCAGCAACTCATAGGATATTTGTTACTAAAATCCCAACTATATTTTGGGAGCTTCTTCAGCATCTGTAAGACAAGCTAGAAAATCAGAAAATGAATAGGGAGGAGAAATTTTATAAGATACAAGTATTACAGAGATATACAGTATGGAGGCAGATGCAATTAATCAATCCTTGATAACTAATGATCGTTTGACTGACAGATTTACAGATTCTGCTCCAGTTAACACTTCTATTCCTAACTTAATATGTCTAAGTCCCGGCCATGTTCTCTTTCCCAGTTTCTCCCTTCTAACACTCTCCCCTTTGTCCAAGGGTCTTGCTTACTCTTCGATGGCATTAAGAAAAAATTAAAAAGTGACTGATACCTGCTGGGGGTGAAATCATTATAACTCATTTTTCTGTAAGAATCTATGCCAGCTCACTCTCATTCTATAGCCTCAACTGCAGTTACACATGTTCCCTTACTGAGAGACATTCAAAATACAAACATGTTGTAGTCCTGATGAGCTATTCATGTTGTTTTTGTCATCAAAGAGCAGCATAAAAAGAAGAATGCCGGCGACGTGCCATTAGTAATTGAGAGCCTAATCAATTCTACATTGTAATTGCCCCTGTCATCTGTTTACACACCTTTCATCGGTTTACAATCGTGCTCTTAAAAGACAGGCTTGCCCCAGCCCTGCAGGTTGAGAAACATCTGTATTCCTGCTCTCTGAACACAGCATAAAAGTTACGTTGAAAAAGAAACATCAATAACATTTTACAAATGGATTTTGTATTCATTTAATTCATAATTGTGAAATATTAATGTCAGGCATCACTTTCAGCCAAAACAGAGAGCTTTCTTGTGTTTGATTTGCATAAAACAGTTGATGTATTTAGATTATTTGAAGGATTTTAATATATGTATTATTAGTTTACATTAGACTAATGTAGTTTTGAAAAAATCGTGGGTAGTTATTGTCATCAAGTGGAATAATTTTACATATTTCTAGATAAGCTTAATTTTTTTTAAGGTTTCTTTTTTTTAATTATAATTTTCACACCTCTTATATTTCTAGAAACTTCACAGGCATCACTAATATATTTCCATGAAGATTGACTTGTAGCAGCCTTCTATAGGGATTAGAGCTGACATCTGTGTAACAGTGCCTGAGAGAAAAAAATATTAATATAGTTCCTGCTATATGAAGATAGACATTAGGATGTCATTAGCAGACCAATTTCTGAAATAAAAACTCACACCACATTGGGCATTTTGATCTTGGGTTTGACCCAGCAATATGATCTGGAATCAAGACAAGATTGCTAAAGAACTATAAACAACTGAGGCAAGAGAGAAACTTTTTTTTTTCTTTAAACTCTTTAGTATGTGATATGAATAAAATTAGAGAAGGCAGTATGTGGCTTTTCTGGTTTTCCTGCTTTCACTCTTAACTATTTTCACCAGACAAAACCCCCACCCCCAAATCTATTTTTCATTTTTCTTAGGAATGAATGGATAGAAGGCAGAAAACTCACTACACAATTTCATACTTCAGTTTATCTGAAATGCATATAAAATGCATATAAATGTAGCAAATTTGAGAGAAACAGGGTAGCTTGAGCCAGTGTCCTTTGTTGCTGGGTCCTGTCAGTTACTCACAGAGAGGATCCATTCAGCACAGCTGAAGTGCATCCTGCCAATACCACACATTCTGTCCACATGTAGTGTCTTCAACTTTGATGAAGGCAGGGTCAGACCACAGGGTCAAACTGTTTTACCCCGCAATTTAGTTGATGTTCCCTGAGCCCTTTAAAACTTTCTGAGCTCACAAATATTATATAATTTTAATGAATGCAAATGTTTTAAATCTGGTGTTTAAAAATTTAAGTTAGCCACTCTTCCACCAACAAATATACACGAGTGTCTATAACTTGCAAGCTATTGTTCTGGCTACCACAGAATACAAAGATGCTTGACATCTACCCCAGTCCTTCAGGTTTCTTGCAGTCCAGGAGTCTTTAGCTGTATAACTAAATATAATTACCTAGCTTTCTCTAGATCAGTCTTCTGTTTTTTAAAATTCCATATTCCATTATCACAAAGTTATTTGGCTTGGTTTGTGTTAGAAGAGAGTCACCTTTGGTCTCATCTCTTTGAAAATTCTGTTTGTTTATATATTACCATTTCAATTTACAATCACCCTGTGGTGGGATAAAGGCTTGAAAGAGGTATGATGAGCACCTTGGAGGGGGATAAGAGGATCAGTTGCCTTATTTCACAGGTGAGGAAGCTGAATACCAAAAGCCCAGAATGAAAGGTCCAAGACCTATAGCTGGATACAAATGAGCAGAGGCCTCTGGATGCTCACACCAGGATGATTTCCTTTCTCCTCAAAGATTAGGCAGAACCAAGCATCCCAGGGGTGATTGTTTGCAGGCCAGGCTACCGGTACCCACGCAGCTTCCAGCATGGTGATTTTACCACACAATGTAAACAGATGGCCCGTGGTTCCAAGAACCAGCTGAATGCTTCAATCTGTCCACTCCAGCCGTTAGGGTGAGCCGACCATCTCAATTCATATTGCAGGCCAGTGTGCCACAATTACTGCTTGATCATTTTCAATTTGGAGGATTTAAAGAAAGAGCACCCTTCTGCCTTTGCTAGAATTTAAAAAAGATATTTAGAAAATAGCAGGAAAGTGTCATCTTTGTTGTTTTCCTTGTCCATGTCAACAAGAATACATTTTCTTAAGAGATTTGTGTAACCATTCTTTTGTCTTGATCCAATTGTTAGAAATTAATTTCCCTTTGTTTTCACAGCAACATCCTTGACCTAATGGGTGCCTTTGCTCTTTATGTACACACAAAGTCATAAAAATCCTTTAAGTCTGTATGAATATCCCTCACAACATCTAAGAGGAATCCATCCAGTTTGGAGTAGTTTGGCTTGAAGGGATTTAATTGCTGCAAACTGTATTTGTAAACTAGTTCTTTCCACCACATCTAACAATTTTGTGAAGTAATTGTTAGCAGAAACAAAATCTGTATTTATTAATGTTTAGTGTGTTTCAGCTGAAATCAATTTTCAAAGCATACTTTTGAGTGCCATTTACATTCAAAAATAAACACAGCAGATGTGTTATTAGGCCGGCTTCAGGATATTCCAGGAGGCCTAATGTGCCAACATTTACTGCATCAAGGCAAATGAGTAAACCTCCAGAGTGATCAGCTCCATGGAACTAATGTTTTATCTAATCCAAGGCTCGAATGAGACATGAACAGATTTCTGCTCCGCTACGCTACCAGTAATTAGCAAAGTCTCCCTAGGTCTAGTTGCATTTAGAATAAAGTAAATAATATTCATGATTTGGCCATTTCTGTTACATTCCTGTGGCTTCTAAAATTGAAAGAATGAATTCAAACAAGCTGTTGCATATAGCAATCACCATAAATGCTTCTCCAAATAGTGTAGATTTTTTCTGGAAAATCTAAAGCTCCACATACCTAAGTCTTATACTAAATAATATTCATAGTAGAGCTGCTTAATGTTGCTTTTCAAAAACTCCAAGAAGAACCATGTATATTTTTTTAACTACAAGGGACCAGTGTATACTGATATAATTTTATGTCTCATTTTCTGGCCTCACTGAACAGAAGAGGACCTGCTAGAAAGTCTCCTGTCTTCACTTATCTTTTGCGTATTTCTAAAAATAAAATGGAAATCTTGTTAAAAGATGACAAAATACCTGTTTTATTGCAAAAGTCTTCCTTTTCACATAGAAAATGGATACAGACACGAGTTCTCAAATTGTTATCTTTCCTTAACGAAGAAAGGTGACAGGGTGAATTAGTTCTTCCTCCTTCAGAATAATGCTTTCCACATATCACCCTCTGCTGTGGTTGAGCTCCACCTACCTGGGAAGGCAGGTTATCCTCCATGACAGGGGAGACATCTGCAATATCTCTGCTCAACCAGGATTGTCCACCTTCATAAAGTCACAACGGCATTGAGATGCGGCTTTTCTTGCTGCATCTGTTTTGATGCAAAACCTACAAATGGAAAAAAGAATTTCCCAATCCCAAACACTCTGGGAAGCTCTTTGATCTTCTGTCTTGCAAGATGGGGTTCGAGTTTTAAGAAACAAATTTTTATGATTGCAAAGACCTTTGATGAGGCAAATAACATGCGGTAAACTAAGGAGTGATTTAAGATTTTGGTTTGCTAGGTTTCAGGAGCACCCCCCTTCCTTCTAATGATGTAGTGGAACATTCTCCACTTCAGTGACTTTTAAACATCGATGTTATTCCCCAGCAAACTTTCAAAATTGGTTTTATTTTTCTTACCTAACTGACGATTATAGGGTTCCTGTGAATTCTCTGCTCTTAGATAAGTTAGTGTTTCTGGATACAGAGAGTACTTGTTGGATGTCTGTTGGCTCAGTAGTTGTGTGTCACCCTGAGGCTCTGACTTAATTGGCAGCTCCACCCATGGGCAGTGGTGCCCCAGCAAGGGAAGGTGGGAAAGTTAGGCAGAGCAGAACGGCTGTTTCATTAAGTTCTCCTGACTACCTGGATTATTTGCTGTCTTAATCCCATCTTTTTTTTTAATTAATTTATCTTTTTATTACACTTTAAGTTCTAGGGTACATGAGCACAATGTGCAGGTTTGTTACATAGGTATACATGTGCCATATTGTTAACCCCATCTTTCAGGGCAGTAAAAAATAAAATAAAATAAAGATATTTCAAGGTGAAGTCTTACGTGATTGCTCCATAACTGTGGATCTCCTAAAAAGTATTTTTTTATGTGTGCCCCTCAACATTCTCAGTTGCCAGTGTGCCAAAATCGGATGAGTTGTAAAAGGTAAATATAAATTGAAAACAAAAGTGCCTACTGTAATATCTGGCACATAGTATTAAATAAATGTTAGTTGATACTGAACTATAGAGCCTTATACACAAATATCCTTCAAATGGAGAATTTTATATTGTAAAAGTCACATGATTCTCTTTTTATGCTGCCAGCAGTTCTCCATGATGGACATTCTAAATATTGAATATTATTATCTTTATTTTTGAAATGAAAGGGACGGGGAAAAAAATGTAAAAGATTAGCCTAAACGACGGTATGTGGTCACAGACAGAGGAAGCAGTCGAAGACTGATTTGTTTTATTCCATTTCATTTTTATTCAGAAAGGCAGAGGTGAGTTAGTTTTATAGGAAGTTGCAGTATCCAACTGTATTTTGTTTAATTTTTGAAACAATTTTGCTTATGTGGGTTATACTCGCTTTTAAGGTTTATTCCTGTTGAAACATGTAAATCTGGTTAATTAAAAAACTGCTGTGAAGTATTCCATTCTCAAATTCTCAAGTTTCTTGCCTTTTTTTTTAATAGTTAAAAAATTTCATTCCTTACTAAAGCAGGAATGTGTATGACAGTCATACAAGGCAATATTTCTCATGCTGGTCAAGATTTTTGGTTAAAATCTTAGCAAAGTCGTGGCAATCTTAGGAATTTAGATTTTCAGACACTGAGTAGTTGCATAAATTGGACAGTGGTTCTTTGATTTAGTTTTGTACGTGTATTCTAAGTAAGTTATTTATATAAATTACTAAACCTAACTCAGTATTTTTAATCATAATCTTCAGCATGCATCATTATATGTTGTAGAGGAAAAGAGCTTTTAATCTAGTGGAATTCCAAATCATCTGTGTTGCCGTTCCTGAGAGAAATAGATAATGTTTGGGTAATGGTTATCATGCAGTTGGTTTAGATGACTGTTGTGAACTGAGTGTTTGCATCTGCCCAAAATTCATAGGTTGAAACCGAAACCCCCAATGTGACTATATTTGGAGATAGGACCCATGAGATGATAAAGGCTAAATGAAGTTAAAGAGTGGGTTCCTAATCTCACAAGGCTGGTGCCCTTATAAAAAGAGGAAGAGAGATCAGAGCTGTCTCTCTCCATGTGAGGACACAGCAAGAAGGCTCTTGTCTGAAAGCCAAGCAGAGAGCCCTCAGCAGGAAACAAACCATGCTGGCAACCCCAAACCTGGACTTCCCAGGCTCCTTCACTGTGAGAAATCAACCTCTGTGGTCTAAGCCACCCAGTCTGGTATTTTGTTATGGCAGCTCGTGATGACTAATATAATAATCGATGTATTATAACACTTGTGGGGACCTCACAATTTTAAGGAGTGACAAAAACATGAGTCGTCCTGGGTTTTGTTTATACTCTGTGTCTCAGAATCAGTGAAGCAAAGAAGTTGATGCTGGAGTAATCTCTGCTACATCCTCAAAATGGCCCAATGAGGCCAGTGTTGAGAAATAAATTTATCGCTGCACATTATTATCATTACTACCTTAAGGATGAGGAAACTTACTTGCCAAGAGTCACACAGTTAAAGTACAAATTCAGAGGTCTTTCTATACCACACTGCCTTTTAGTTTCAAAATTCTGTCCTGAATCATTTTATTGGTATGACTTGCATCACCCTAAAGAGAGCTCTGATCTCAGGGAAGCTTTGTGCAAAAAAAGGGAACCATAGGAGCTGGATGACATTTAATTGACCCAGAAACTTCTAAAAATTCCAAAGGTGATGTTATGTGGAGTTACATGCCACTTACAGAAACCAGCTTCCAGCAAGTGGCTTACCAAGACTAAGGAGGTAGCAAAAGGTAACTGCTGAAGGTGAGAGAGTGGCTTGGTGCAGTGATTTCAGAATAGAATCTATCAGTCAAGGTCCTGGCAGGAAGAGTACTTTCAGGCTGGGTGTTTGATGAAAATTTCTAGGAGAACATGAACAGGGTTTTCAAAAAGTGACTAAGGCTGGTGTAGCACCCCTAAGGGGCATTAAGAATGCAGGGCCATTATTATCCCAGGCCTGAAGAGGACAGTGCGGGTGAGCAATTATAGGAGCCCAGAGAGAGAATTGTGTGGAAAGAGCTCCTGACAGGAGCTTTGACCTTCTGTGGAGAGTCACAGCCTGTCCACAGCGACCCTCATTCTCTTCCTACCCTCTGCACTCTGCAAACCAGGGGAAGTGGGGCAGTGGCTCAACACAAGCAGAAGCCAAAGGACAAGGGAGTGCTGATAGCTATATAAACCTCCTCCTGTGCGTGCACATGCATGTACACACACACACACGCACGCGCGAGAGTATAGAGAGAGGATCTGCCTGGACAGGCAGTTCAAATGTATCAGACTCCTTCATTGTGGCCCCTCAGTACTCTATGATCTGGCCTATCCCTGCCTTCCTGCTCACCACACACCACTCACTCTGCTCAGCCACACTGACCCTGGGCCATGGGTCATTTGTGCGATTCTCTGTGAGACATTGTTCTTCCTCAGCTCAAGCACGTCTTTTTCAGAGACCCCTTTCCCCCACCAGAGTTTCTGCTCTCCCTTAAGTTCTCCATTTTTACCCACATGTGACCCCACTCACCCTTTTCTTTGATTCCCTTGTTTTGTTTCCTTCGTGCAGCCCCTAGTTTCTTAGCTTGGGAAGATACTTATCATTCATCATCCCCTGTATTTTTGAAAACTCCAGGAGATCTGGGCCTTGTCTGCTTTGTTCCCTGCTCTATCTTTAGCCCCTGGAACAGTGCCTGGCATTTTGTAGGCTCTTGAGATAGGCTTGTTGAATTGCCGAATGAGTGAATGAATGAACAAATGGAGTGTTTGGGGTGTACAGTGTAAAGCACAACTTAATAACTAAGACTCTGGAATGTAGCAAATAAATAAAGTGGCCGAGGGCATCAGGCAGAGATATGTGGAGTTCTATAGCAAAGAGCATCAAATTATGTCTTTATGCTGTCGCTGTTGAATTTACTGGCCCCAGGATTACACTGAACAAAGTCCTTATTGAACCCAGCATTTCAACAGTGCTGTCCTTGCTGCCTGTTAGAAAGCATAAACTGGAAGTCTTGATAAGTGGCAGCAAATGCTCTTGTTTTCCGTGAGCATCTCGGAAACATCAGGGACAAAGTCAATTTGATGCTTTTCTTGAGAAAGCCCATCAGTTTAGGTGATGCGTTTACATTTTTTTCATACTATATGATTTAATTCTCCATACTGTTCCTATATATCAGAGTTTTTGATCTTGATTCCTTTGACTAGGATTTTAAATATGTTTATTGAATTAAATTTCTTATTCAATTTATGGGTCAAGGGGGTCCAGTATGCCCCATTAGCTGATAGATGGACTGACCATGATGCTATTTTTTTCTGCCAAGCTAAGCTTCTCCTAAGCTGCATTTCTGTTTGGTCAAGGAAATCCTCCCCCTCCTTCCATCTCCACTTCCCTCAGTAGCGCCTTTACTTAACACTTGTAGATTTTTTTGGTGATTTACAAAAATCACATTTTCCCTTTTAGAAATAATTGATCTTTGAATCTGGGGATTCTTGCCCCACTTAAGATACTTAAAGAAACTCTAGTGAGTGTGTGAATTAATTAAGAGGTATTGAGTGGCTCCACCATGCTGGGTGCTATCTGGGCCCTGAAAACACCAGGAAGAACAAGACAGACTTGGTTCACTTCTTATGGAGCTTCTTGTGAGTTGGGGGAAGATTTTTTAAAAACCAAGAAAATATAAAATAAAGAAAGGAATTATAAGCTGTGTAAGGTAGAGCATCCCCAGGGGCCCCACTTTAGGCAGAGCCATCAAGGGGGCCCTTTCTGAGGGGTAATCAAAAGGTAGATGGGAAAAGCAGGTGGGAGGGGGGCACTCTGGACAAAGGGAACAAGGCCAAGTCCCTGAGTGAAGGAGGAAATGCTATATTTGTGGCAGTGAGAAGAGGCCACCAGGGGTGAGGAGCCCTGAGTTAGGGAAGAGTGGCTTGCAATAACTCTGCAGGCCATGGTGAGGATGTATGACTTCAATCTAACTGCGGTGGATGCCTTTGATAGATTTTAAAGAGGAGAGTGATATGATAGCATTTCCATTTTAAGATACATTTGCCTATCTGTATTGAGGGAATCAGAGGCAGAAAGTGTAGCAGAGTAAATCAGTTAGGAAGCTATGACATCGAGCTATAGGAGGCTGAGAGGAGGCCATTCATGTTCAGGAGGAAATAATGATAAAGTGGGATTGTGGGTTTGGGGTGGTAAAATGAACAATTGGTGTTCACTTTCTATTTGCTTAATGAAGTACGAGGTAAAGTTGTCAGCTGAGAATAAGGGCAGAGGGGGAGGTGTGGAAGGTCTGAGGCAGTGCTGTGAAACAGCCATCTTGGGAAGTGGGAAAGAGTCCACTCCTTTAAAAGAGGAGAATTGCTGGCTGTGTGGAGTCCCCATTGAGATTTGAGATCCTGAATTTAACATACGACCGCTATACTTGATTACATGATTTTCTCCTGTAGTATTCAGTTGTTGGGGACATTGAACTGTTAAATATAAAGATAGTCCTGTGTACTTTAAGCTGGAGGATTGAATTAAAACTAAGAATCTACTCATCTAATGGTGGTAGTTGCATTAATGGAAGCGACCCTTAACATTTTGAGGAAGAATTGTCTTTTCATTGTGTTAGACAGCTGTAATAGCCACTTCCAAAATGAAACAGACACTAAGCAGGGATTGGTGACAAAGTGTTTATTTGTGACACGCTCTGAACAAGCAGTTGGGGAGGCCTGCAGTACTTCATCTTATAAAGTAGCATGCTGAGGAGGTGTTGTGCCTCCAGACATAGTCATGGAAACGGCCCGAGTGTTCTACAGGGGGCCAAGGTGATGCTACATATATTGAGGATGTCGAGGACAAATATCCCAAATCAGTTATTTCCATAGCAGTCTTTTTGCAAATGGAAAATCACTTGTAGCTGTGGCAAACCGACAGAGCTTGCTTTTAATTTTCTTGAAATGTCCTAACTACAGTTGGATTTGTTTTATGGAAATGTGTGTGTGGAGGTGTTTTCACATAGGCATGCATCTGTGTGAAAGTATGTGTTGGGTGGGCAGTGGTTGTTTTCACTTCATCAAAACCAAAGCATCTTCTTCCAACATCAGTTCTTTCCACAATATGCACAAAAACAGATAGATCCGGTTGGTTCTGAGAATAGGCCAGTGTTTCTAAATATTTTATCTTCTCATGTTACCTGTCTGGGAAGCTTTTCTGGTTTCCAAGGGCTGTGTAACCCTGTTTTAATATTCTTTTCCACTATCGTGGGCAAATGTTCCTGGGACTATGGCTGTGAGTGGCCTTATTTGATACAACAGTCATTATGGGAAGCAGCTTTGAAACGGGATCCATATGAATTCAAAATGACTAGAACAATGATTTCCACCTTTTGGGAATCCCACTTTGTGAAAGGAAGGAGGTTTCATAGAGAGGCTCTGTTGCTTAAACTTTAAATATTAGTGAAAAGTAATATTGTTTGGAGACTTTTATAATCCCCCTTGACAGGACCACGGGCATCTTGGTGATGGGTTGTTAATCACAGCTGCAACTGTGAGGCCTTGGCTAATGCTTCTACTGAAACATAAAGCTGTGCACATGAACGTTTGCTAGAAACACCCATAGGAAGGCTTCTTCACTGGGGCTCTGAGCACCCAGGGGAAAGAAGGGCAGGAGAGAGTCTAGACATCTCCTTCCTATCAGAAAAGCATGTCCTCTTGTCCTGGGTAACAAGATAGCCTCTGTCTTACACAGGCAATGACTTAAACCTTGAGAAGAGTAATGGACCCAGATTCAGGACCTGGCTCCACTTTATCTATAATAGCCATGAAACCTTGAGCTCAGATTCAACTAGGAGCTTGTCAAATTGTTGTAAAGCTTAAACAAGCCTTGCAGATGGGCTATAAAATTGTGGGATGTCATCTGAGTCCATCAGTGCTTCTCAGCTTCATTACTTGTCCTTTGTCAGTTTGTCCTAATCAGTTTGCTCTTCTGCTTCCCTTAGCAGCATGTCTCCTCAAACGTCTAATCTCAGAAACTTCCATTTCGCAAGGAAAACATTGAGTATAAACTCCCCCAAGTTCCTAACCTCCTGCCTACCAAGTGATCTTTACGGGCTCCTGTCCCCAAACGGACTCGTCTTCTGAGCCAGTGAGCTGGGCCTCATCCCCTCCCGTGCTCACATATCCTTACAGATCTTGCTTCATCATTTATCCTCTTGGTTCCTGTGTCAACTTTTCAGCCTGATTGTCTCCTTTCTGTCACCAAATTATCAAGACCCAATTCTTTCTCTTTATAAAACAGCCCCTCTCTTAGGGACGAGTCTTAGCCTCTCAGGCCTGAGATGTAGTGGTATCCAAGATTCTTTTCTCTCTCTCATGCTCAGATCTAGTTAATCAGCAAATGCTCACTCTATGTTTCCTCTCTCCATTCCTCCAGCCACTTCCTTAATTTGGGCCCTCATCATCTCTAATTAGGATCATAGCAATAACCTCTTAACCAGTCTTCTTGACTCTTCTGCCCTTAAATTTGTACTCTGCAGATCTGTCTGAGAGAAGAGGGGATGAGGTCATTTCCTAAGGCAGTGGTCCTCATTGTGTGCTTTCCTGGCCAGGAGCTTCATCATCACCTGGGAACCTGTTGGAAAGGTACATTCTCTGGCCCACCCCAGACCCACTGGATAGAAATGCTGGGGAGTGGGCCTCATCGGTCTCTGTTTAATGAGTCCTCTGAGTGATTCTGATGAGGTAAGGTTTGAGAACCACCGTCCTCAAAGATAATCAAGGTACTATTAACCAAAGGACGGGAGAGAGATTCTGGAAAGCACAATCTTGTCTACTACTGGGTTCTGTGCTACAGCAAGCTCCCAAAGGACCTTATTTCTAAAGTGTTGCATCTCCAGGTGCAAACCAGGCTCCTGGTTTCTTGAATGAATGCCTGAAGGTGCCCAGTGCTTGGCTGTTCCAGGGGCAGAATTGAGGTTACTTTCTTTTCTTTCTTAGCTTTTTTCAATGAGTTTTAGAGATTTACTCATGCTGGGAATCAACAGGCTATCACTTGGAGTCCTGAGAACAAATGACCTTTGTTGGCTGGAAGCTGCATCATCTCCCTAAAGCTTTATGAGAGCAGAAGTCCCTGGTACCATGACCCTTGAGACCCAACCTTTTGTAGCTCTCTCCCTTGTCTCAGTTAATTCTGACCTCACTGGGTAGATGGCATTTGAGTGAAGCTTGAGGGTTAAAAAGAATTCGGTAAGTGGAGAATGAGGGGAAGATCATTTCAGGCTCAAAGAATGCTATAAACAAAGACAGGAGGGATGAAATTACAAGACATGTTATGCAGCCAACAAAAGTAGAATGGTATGGGCTGAACAGAAGACATGAGACTGAAAAAGTAGTTTGTAAATCAGTCCTGAAGAGTCCACTAAGGGAGTTTGGACTCTATATGAGAAACTGCGTAATGGATAAGTAAGAGTCATCGTGTGAGAAGTGTTATATCCCATATTTGTACCTCAGAGGTACCTCTATGTGATTTTATTTCCCAGCAAAAGACATGGATAGCAACTTATATGTAGGTAGAGTCAGAGCTCAGTTGAATAAGGTTGATAAATCCACCCGACCCTCTGCCTGGGGAACAGAGGTAACAGCTACCTACACATTAGCATACTAGGAAGCAGTAAGAGATCCGCTGAGACTGAGCTGCAGATATCTGGTTGTTCTTTCTTTGTTTTCTAAGGTGTGGACACTGGCTATCCAGGTGTGAGCATCTTTAGCAGTGACATATTAGCTCAGAGACATGGGAGCTGAGAAAACCATGGGACTGTGAAAAAGTGCCTTAAATAAGGCTGGTTCCTCCTTGAACACTCCCTCCCCAACTTGCCTTTGCTTATCTACCTGGACATCTCTTACTAAGGGAATGCTTCAGATCTTCCAGAGTGAGGATTGTGACTTATTAAAGAAAACAGCTGTTAGGTTCCTATTACATGACTGGTTTTGAACAGACACCAAGACATTTTCCATCTGATGATGAGCGTTAACCTTCTTAAGTGGCTGAAAAGCTAAATATCCCTGTAGGTGATCAGTGTGATCCTCAGTCATTAGTTTAGCCTCTGGCTGTTTTGATTTCAGAGTGATAATAAAGAACTTAGTAAAGAAGCCACCACAGAACCAGCACAAGCTCACAGAGGAGCTTCAAATGCCTGCCTCTGGTTAAAATGGATTTATTTGCTCAGGTTAAAGGATTTGCTACCCAGACCAGACTTGAAAGTCTAAGACAAAGACTTGACAAGGAGGAGAAACAGGAGAAGGTAGTATGAGGGTTTTTGTTGTTGTTGTTGTTTTTTACAAAAATTGTCAGTTTTTCTCGTTGCTTAATTTACCATCATTATATTTTGGGAGATGAAAGAAAGAAATAAGTCATCCTTTGACTCTGACTGCAAGACATCTCTGCTTCGACTGATAATAAAAAAAGAGCTGGATGGTATGAAGCCCCAGAAACGCAGCTCAATCACTCCCCGCAATTACTGTGTCTTATTGATAACTTGCAGCTCTATCCAGCAAACGCCATCTCTGGAACAAAGCCTGTCACAGATCAGACTGAATCCATTAAAAAGCTTTGATTAACATGTCCCTAGGGTGTGCTGTGGAAACTTTTTACGCCAAAGACAGCCTATTGCTGCTGCTTCTGAATTGTCCTCCTGAAACACTCTTGTGTTTTAATCTAGTGCACAGTTTAAATTAAAAAACGGCAATGACTTTGTGTGACCTAAATACAAGCCACTTCTATTCAGGGTGGGATTTATCAACTGCTAACATATTAAGTGTTCAGAGAAGCAACAATTAACCTTACTGTGTGGTGGCTAATATTAATTATATATATATGTATAATACATATGTTGTGTATATAATCTCTTGTTCTTTCTTCTATTCTTAAACATGGCCCAGAGAAAGGGTCATAGTTAATGTGCTTTATCTAGTGGCTATAAAGCTTTGTGTTCATCCTTAGTAGAAAAGAAATTTGTTTATATTTGAGGAGCACAAGAATCACCCTCCCTGGTGCTTTTTTATTGGTCTCTGATATGGATATGGCAATAAATCGCAGTCTTTTGAAGCAAAGATGAAGCTCAGTCTTCCAAATGTGGAGTTGTTAGGGGCAGGGAGCTGCTAGTTGTCCACACAAATATCTCCCTTTCATTCTATGGGGGAAATTCAATCTTGAGGGAGGGTCTGTAAGGGGAGTGTGTGTGTCTGTGTGTGTGTGCGCATGTGTGTGTGTTTCTTTATTGCTAATATACATTCTCTCAAAATACAAGTGCTGAATGGTTGCATTTTGGGACTGTTATGAACTACATTAAGCAATAAAATGATTATCTTAGATGCCATAAACAGACACTGTGAAAACAGAAGGAGGGCACCTACCTACTGCTCTTCGCAGTATTTTAAAATCTCTGAAACTGATGGAAGATAAAAAGCTTTTCGTGGTAGGATTATTAAAGCAAATTTATTGTTGGCAGCCATTAATTATGGCAAAAAGATAAGAATGAATGAAAGAGTATCGGGTAGAGAATGTAGCAGCCCTGGGGCCCCTCTACTGTCTACCTAAATGTATAAAGACAGCTTTTTCCCTTCCATCACTAGAGAAATGAAGTCACACTCTCCTTTTAAGGCTACATCTTACCACTGACTGGGAACTCATGACACCTCCATCTTTCATCACATATAGTGATATATAGGTACAGAGGGGGACCTAAGGGATCTCAGATTGAAGAAAATTTATAGCCATTTAAATAAAATACATTCTGGTTAATTTGGGGTATACAAAAGTGTAATGGCCAGCATTCTGAAGTGGTTGAAATAGGATGGGTGATGTGTGTCAAACGAGAGTTGGGAGAACATGATTTATGAGGCAAATAAGGTCTAACATTTAGAAAAGAAAAATATCAAACATTTAATGTTTTCTTTTTTGATGAATTGAAAATGTTTTTCTTTTGTTCCTTCAAAACTCACCAAAAGTTCAACAGAATCTAAGATTCATGAAGGTATGTATCCTGGTGTTTTGTTCATGGTGGTATCTCTAGCTTCTAGAACAGTAATAGAACATAGTAAAACACCCAACAAATATTTACTGTTATTTGCATTGGATTCGCAGCAGAGAGAAGCTCATGACACATTATTACCAAAATGAGCAAGCCATAGCTGTTACTCCCTCTCGGCTTGTTTCATCACAGGGGTGTTAGGCACCCTAGTTGCTCACAGGTGCACCCTTACCCTCCCATCCTTCTTAACCTCAGACTTCCGCTAGCAGATATTCATTATGAGAGCAGCAACTTTGGTTTTGACAAAAGTAGACCTTCAGCATTTCAAGGGCATCCAACAGTGAGCTGACATACCACTGGGGAGCCCAGCACTTTATATTTAGTCTAGGTTCTGTTCCACACCTCTATTAATAGACAGTCTCTGGCAGCCTGGGATAAAGTGGAGTCAAAGTACTTTAGAATGAATAGAATGGTGACTGGATCTTTCTGAGTGGGATCTTTCACTCAGGCTGGTTTCTGACCTGGTTAACTCTGACTGACTTCCTTTCCACTGGTCTGCAGGACCATTTGCCTCCCAAAAGAACAGCATTTGATATGAGCCAAGCATAAGACTACTCGGTAAGAACCTCCTTGGAGAAGGACAGAGGTAGATTTGGAGCAATGGATCATGCATTTGCAAAACCAAACATCACTCTCAATGCCATACCTGTCCAGAAATTCTAATTTTCTTCTAAATATTTTATATTTGTCTTTGAAAGTTTATTTCCCCCTCCCATACCCACCCTTGGATCTGATATTGTACTTCCACTACTTCCTGGTCAAGGAAGTGGTCCAAAGACATGAGAAAAATAAGCTGTTCAAAAACAGCCAGTGGGCATTCTTCACTACAGGAAAAAATTGGGGAAAATGTAAATGTTTCAATGTAATTGAATTGTATATTAGATGTATATTAGATGACTAATCATTTGTATATTAGATGACTACTAAAAAGGCAAATAATAATAGAGGGAAATATGTAAGTGAAGAAGTGCTAAGCAAAAGTAAAACAATCTAACATAAAAACATAGGTTACAGCTAAAAAAGGCATTAATAAATATTTCAGAAGTCAATTTTTTTGGAAATGGGGAAGGGCAACAATCATTTAGTGAGTGTTATTTCCCAGGACTTTCACAAATGTTCTCATAACAAGTGTAGGCAATCAGCATTAGTATCACCGTTTTACACATGAAGATACTGACCTTCAAAGAGGTTGAGTATCTATCCAAGAAAACACTAGGAGGAAGAGACAAACTGAGAATTTCAACACAGAGATTTTCTGATGCTGAACCCAAACTCTCTCCATTACAATATTAATGTTTATTTGGTTATTCTTCTCTGTAAAGTTGCATTAAATTGCAATTTAAAAAATGTCATTTGATATAATTGCTTCAAACATTAGTAGATCATGAGTTAGCATTCATGTTACACTGACACAGTTGAGGCAAATAAAAATTGATGCTTATGAATATATTTAATTTCCAATTTGGAAAAAAGGAAGAATGTTAGCTAACTTGATAGATAAAAATCTTTCTCAGGCAGTTTAGCCTTTTTTCCTCTTCAGTGAAAATGCATTTTCTGGTGCTCTTTGACCTATAGGGCACAGGCTCATCTTTGAGGGAAGTAATATTAAGAATTCAGATTTGTTGCTAACTCAGTGTTGAGAAATGAACAAGCATGTGACCTCTTAGCCACTACTTCTAAATATTAGATCTATCCAATTTAGAAAATTAAACTTACAAGTCAAAATCTGGGTGTGGGGGCTTGTGCCTGTAGTCCCAACTATTTGGGAGACTGAGGCCAGAGGATCACTTGAGCCCAGGAGTTTGAGGCAGCAGTGAGCTATGATAGTGCCACACACTGCACCCCAGCCTGCGTGACAGCGTGAGACCCTGTCTCTAAAAATAGAAGAAAGAAAATTAAACTCACAGGTCTAAATACCTATAAATATCCATATCCTATTAATCCCTATCTGTTTCTCTTTTGCTCTGTGTCACATTTCATTCGTGGAGTAAAATATATTTCTAATGTCTCAACTTAAAGAAAAATTTAATACAGTACTGACAAGCATCTTTGGTCATGAAAATTATCTCCTTGCCTGAATCTAGTGCCCAGGTGAAGGGAACTTTCGTTCTGAACCCTAAAGCTTCAAGAATTTGAGTCTATAAAATAAACAGACAATAGATAGATTAGCATGAGAAAAGGCATACAAATTTGTTAACGTGCAAGGGCACAGGAGTCACACAAAGTATGAAGGGCAAGATGACTGAAGCTTGAATGCCCTCTTCATGAGGGACAGGGAAACAGGAGATTGATATGGTTTGGCTGTGTTCCCACCCAAATCTCATCTTGAATTGTAGCTCCCATAATTCCCATGTGTTGTGGGAGGGAACCAGTGGGAGATAATTGGATGATGCGGGCAGTTTCCCCCCTACTGTTCTCTTGGTAGTGGATAAGTCTCATGAGATCTGATGGTTTTATAAGGCGGTTCTCCTTTCTCTTGGCTCTCGTTCTCTTTCATCTTCATGTAAGATGTGCCTTTCACCTTTCACCATGATTGTGAGGCTTCCCCTAGCTACATGGAACTGTGATTCCATTAAACCTCTTTTTCTTTATAAATTACCCAATCTTGGGTATGTCTTTATCGGCAGCATGAAAACAGACTAACACAGAGATGTAGGCAATTTTAGAGAAAGAGTAAAGGATTTTTAGGTGGATGAATGGACCTGAAGAAAAGACAATAATCTGGGACAAAGTTCCTCTGGGCTCTGGGTGTGATGTCAATTCTAGTCTTCTTTCCTTCTAGTTAATCTTCCCGGTTTGATGAGATTATAGGGAGGAGGTCCAAGACAACTGCATTCCTTCTGGAGGAACATTGTTAGTCAGATAGGAGAATTTCAAAGGAAACCCTTCCCTGTGCTTCTGGAGGAGCAGAGGGGCAATAGACAGGAAGGCAGGAGGTCACCTTGGTGCTGAGGTTGCTTCTTTAGTTGAAAGTACTCAGCATGTCCAAGTGCCAGGCTTTGAGGTATCATTTTTCTAAGCCCCAGCACTAGTTATTTCACACATTGCCAACATGCCCAAAACATTTTGTTTTCCAAGCAATTTATTAAGACAATGACACTCCTCCTCATATTCCAGGGAATTATATTAATTATTAATGTGCACTGTATTATGTTACCATTTAGTGTAAGACACATCCTGGGTTTACTCTATGACTAGTCAGTTTGGAAGACCACCCAGCCTGGAACCCCGGGTGGTCTTGGGAAGAGCTTGGGTATTGGAAGTCAGCTCTGTATTTGGGTCCTGGCTCTCCTGCCTACCATCAGTGTGATGCCACACCATTTACTTGACTTTTTGGAACTCAATTTTCCTCTCCCTTAATAGGATTAGAAATGTATAGCATGCAGGTGAAGGACCTGGGATAATTAATTATACCAATTATATATTGGTAATATTAGTACAGCATAGAGTAGTGGTTCTAAAGTATGGTCCCCAGACCAGCAGGATCAACATCATGTATTACAAAGCAAGTTCTTGGGCTTGAACCCAGACCTACTGAATCCAAAACACTAGGGAGAGAGCTCAGCCATCTATGTTTTAGCTAAAGTTGGAAACTATTAGCAGAATGGTTAAGAGTGGAGAGCTCATTTAGAAAATTGGCTAATGCATACATTTACCTCATACAGGAGTTGTAAAGCACTCAGTGTTTGGCACTGAGTAGGCACTAGATAAATGTCAGTATTATTTACATCTGAGAAACAGAGTTTGTGTGCTGAAAACAGTATTTGAGTCAAATGTTCCTCTTAGGTAGGCAAAATATAATCGCTGCTAGGCACATGAATTTTGGACTGAGACAATGTGCGTTCAAATCTCATTTCTGCCAACATAGAAGCGATTGGTTTTGGGAAAGTGTCAAGGTCTCAATGTTCTTATCTGTAAAATGGAAATAGTAATAGTATCAACTTCAAGTAATTATAATGGCACTATAACATGAGTAGTAAGGTGTTGACAAAGATTTTCTCCTTGACCAATCTCTAGTCAGGTTATACTGATGCCTTTGCTAGACCGGACCTGACCGTAGGCTTCTGTCTCTAGCCTTGTAGAATCCGGTTTTAGCAAGAATCTTGAAAAGTTAGTTTAGAGAGAACCTCTCCCCTTGGTAATGGATGACACACACTATCTGATCAAATTCCTCATTGTCCACCATCTGCCAGCTGACGTCTGACCACTTTGGCCTGCTATCAGCAAGAATCTTGTTAGGTCAGATTAGCCAGAATCATTTTAGGCAGAATCCCCTCTTCCCATGATATTTCTTCTTAGCAATTTTCCATTCAGTGTCCCACCTCACTATAAATCTTCACTTTTCCTTATATTCAATGTTGAGCCCAATCTCTCTCCCCTACTACAAAACTGTATTGCAGCAGTATCTACTTTTATCACAATAGCCCTGAATAAAGTCTACCTAGCCATTTTAACAAATGTCAGAAAAATTGTTTCTTTACCAGCATGTTGGATGAAAATGTTAGTTGTTAAGAATTACTCTTCAAACAGAAGTAGTCTAATTGAATGACAAATGCTCACCCAATGATTTTATGTCTTAAGATTGTCATGGAGAATTATCTTATTATAAATTCCTGCTTACTCTTGAAGCTTCAATATAATTTCACCACTTTTTTTTAAGCTTCAGGATCAAAAAATATCCCACGATTTTCAATGAAATTAATCTGTGTGCTTAATTTGATGCTCCATTTAAAAAACAATACAGTGTCTCTGATAGTACCTCAGAAATAAATACCGTATGGCCTGGCATGGTGGTGTGTGCCTGTAGTTCCAGTTACTTGGGAGCTCCCGAGGCCAGGAGTTTGAGGCCAGCCTGGGCAGCATAGTGAAATCACATCTCAAGAAATTTTTTAAAGTTGTAAAAAAAAGAAATAAGTACTATAACTAGCAGCTGCCATCCTATATGAGAGGGTTACTCTATGTGTACATCTCCAGATGAAGGGTGACTCAGAGTAACACCACATTTAGTGCGATGCCATACCCAGTTTCACACTCTCAGATGAGGCTTTGTTATTCTTGAAGACTGAGGTCCCGTAGGTAGCCTGGAAAACAGTTCACAAAAGGCTCTCTGAATAGTGAATGCACATGCTTAACAAATCTGTTTTTGCTAGTCTCCATTACCTTCCTTCAGCAGGTGTAAAGCTTTAGTTCTGATATTCCTCTCCATTGTAGATGCCTGGCTCTAAGCCTTCTTTGTTTCTACCCAGATGCCAGCTTCTAGTTAACTATTCTTTTTTTTTTTTTTTTAAGCTACCAACCATCTGGAGGAAATCTGATTGGGGCTAGGGTCATTTTTGTACCTTTTAAAATGCGGTGTAGGTAAAAGGATTTGTCAAACCCATGAATGACCCTTCTCAGATCTCAGAGGCACTTCAGATTGGCAAGGGACTCCTTCATGAAGAAGCTGACTCAAGCAGAGGTAGCAACAGAGGCAAAGAGGAGCATGCTGAAGCTACAAGATGGGTTGAGAAATATAGATCTGCCCAATTATAATTCAAACAAAAACAAGTGAGAAACTGTAGTCGGTTGAGGCACTCTTGGCCGAGCATCTGGGCTTGGCATGCATGCATGCATAATTAGGCTTCAGGCAGCTGCAGGCTTCCACAGTGCAACAGGGCAGGCAGGATATCATAATACACAGTAGGTTGCATATCAATGAAACTCTTTTTAAATTCACATGAAGCCTAAGATAAAAAGACATCAGCAAAAATTAAACAGCATTCAAAACGGCAGTGAATTGTGATACAGGCCACCAGGAAAACGATGAAACCCGACCTGGTTTCCCCCCATTGTTCTGTTTCCTTCACACAAATAGATTAGAGCAACAGTGCTGACTTTGTTTTAAAATACACACACTCATTAGATCAAAGTGATCAATGCACATTTAAGCAACTTTCAAGGCATCACAGGAAGAGTGAAATGGTCTGCTTTATTTTGAAAGACAACAGAGAAAATCACACACATGCATCGGGGCATTGTGATATGCAGATGGTTGGCTTTCAGAAGAATTAAATATTCATGGAAGATAAAAATCTCTCTCATTATATTTTTAATGTATATGAGGCTTTGGGCTCAATGCCCTCTGTGTTCACATAACAGACAGACCCTGTTCTCCAAACACATGGATCTGCACACAAGGACGGCTCAGATCACATCCCGAGATGTCACCCTGGCCCGGGCCGGTCAGGCCCTTCCACCGCAGGGCTGCCCCATGGCAGCCAGTGACACCGCTGAGACAACTTTGCCGTGGCCTTACTTTCATTTCCTTGGTTGTTCAGTTTATGGCAAAAGACCCTCAGCTGTGTTTTGTTTACTAATTCCCCTAAGCCTGCCTTAAATCCAGACTGCCAGGGCCACAGGAAATCTTTCAGACCCCTGACAGGTACGGGTAAGTCTCTGAGGTACCTGGGCGTTTGCATTTGCTTCTATTACTAACCCACGTGCAGCATTATAACCTTCCTGCTTTTTCTTGTTTATTCCATGTCTTTGTTTGACAGAGATTCAAAGGGGTTTCTCAGAGGCTTTTAATCTGATTAACTACACATGGGTGACCACTGTAAGGGTTGGGATGCTACAGGACAGGCAGCACTGTCGGGTAGGGTCAGATTTGTCATCCCTCCTGCCCTCGCTTTCCCCAACACACTCCCAGTTTTCCCCTCCCCCACCCCGTGTGCCAGCTCACTCAGAAAATAGGATTCCAGATATGCTTTTATTGAGGAAGAATAATTAAAAAAAAAGATGTGTTTCTTCTTCATAGGGTGCTGAAATAATGAATTTATTAACCTTAGATCAGTGAAATGAATGAAAACTAAACCTGCTTAAAGGAAAGCATTAAGGTGAGAAAAATAAATATTCCTCTACATTTCAATTTGATTCTGAATTTAGTTCATTTTACTCCAGTTAGAAAATTGGCTCCACCTATGGCATTCACTGGAGTAGTCATCATCTTCTACACCGTGTCATTTTCCGTGCTTCTTTGTACATACATTCTTTCCTATGCTTTAAGACTGTATCGTCTATAGAAGATGAGTAATTATGATGAAGACTGAATCGTCACAGCATTTTGTTGTTGGCGTTCAGGTAATTGTAGCTGCGCGTGAGGTAGTTATTTGACCAGGTCTAATGTGTTGAATTGGTCTCTTGCTTTTTTTTTTTTGGTCACTGCTGTTGCCCTCCAATAAATTCCATCTTATCTTCAACTTAGATTTAAATACATGTGTTTTCTAGGTGTTGTTTCTATGCTCATATTTTAAACACAAGCATAAATGTACTTACATTACTGGATTCCAAAATGTAAATAGGTAGGACACTCAGGAATCAGATCTAACTTCCTTTTATCCCCCTGTCTGTGAACTGTGCTTTCAGTAAAAAGTAATGTTTCCATGTTGGGAATTCCCATTATTTCTTTTAAATATCCTCTAAAGCCCTGGTTTAAATAGGAATCAAAGTTCTTATTCCAGTGAGTGGAACAATGCAGTAATATAGATGTAGGGATCAAAGACATCACTGAACCATCAGCCTCCTGCCTCCAGTGTAGCCAGCCATCCTCAGCCATCCCCAGAAGCTGCATCCTCAGGGGCAGCACCCGGGGCTGAACAGTGAGCTGGCCAGGCTGGAGGGAATCTCCTCAGGGGAAATGTGTGAATAGACCCTGATTTGGAGGCAATATCCTCCCCCGCACCCTTTATTGAGGTATGATTAACACATAAAAATTGTATATATTTTTTACAACATGATATTTTGATATATACTGTGAAATTATTACCACAATCAAGCTAACATCCATCACCTCACGTGGTTACCTCTGTTTCCCTGGTGAGAACACTTAAGATCTACTCTCTTAGCAAATTTCAAGTACACAATACATTATTACTAATTATGGTCACCAAGCTGGACATTAAACCTGAACTTATTTATTTGAGAACTTAAAGTTTGGCTGAGTGTGGTGGCTCATGCCTGTAATCCCGGCACTTTGGGAGGCTGAGGTGGGAGGGTCACTTGAGACCAGGAGTTTGAGACCAGCGTGGGTAACAATGACATCCCATCCTTACAAAAATTAAAAAAACTATCCAGGTATGGTGGTGTGCACCAGTAGTCTCAGCTACTCAGGAGGCTGAGGTAGGAAGATCTCTTGACCCCAGGAGTTCAAGGCTGAAGTGAACTATGATTACCCCACTGCACTCCAGCCTGGGTGACACAGCAAGACCTTGGCTCTTTAAAAAAAAAAAAAAAGAAAGTTTGTACCCTTTGAATAATATTTCCCCTTTTTTTTCCATGACTCAGCCCCTGGTCATCACCATTTTACTCTCTGTTTCTATGTATTTGACTTTTTTTTAAAGATTCCACATGTACATGAGACTATGCAGTATTTATGTTTATTTATCTGGCTTATTTCATTTAGCGTAATGTCCTCTAACTTCATCCATGTTATTGCAAATGGCAAGATTTCGATTTCTTTCTCCTTTTTTTTTTTTAAGATAGGATCTCACATTGTCACTCAGGTTGGAGGGCAGTGGTGGGATCACAGGTCACTGCATCCTTGACCTCCTGGGCTGAAGTAGTCCTCCCGCCTCAGCCTCCGTGGTAGCTGGGACTACAGGCACATGCCACTGCACGCAGGTAATTTTCTTGCTTTTTTTTTTTTTTTTGTAGAGACAGGGTTTTGCTATGTTGTCCAGGCTGGTCTTGAGTTCTCAGGCTCAAGGGATCTGACTACCTTGGCCTCCCAAAGTGCTGGAATTATAGTCATGAGCCACCATGTCCGGCCAGATAGCCTTCATTTTTAAGGCTCAATAATAATATTCAATTGTGTGTATTCGTCCATTCTCACACTGATATAAAGAATACTACCTGAGACTAGGAATTATAAAGGAAAGAGGTTTAATTGACTCACAGTTCCACTGGCTTAATGGGAAGCATGACTAGGAGGCCTCAGAAAACTTATAATCATGGCAGAAATTGAAGGGGAAACAGGCAACTTCTTCACAAGGCTGCAGGAGGGAGTGTGTGCAAGTGTGAAGGAGGAACTGTCAAACACTTATAAAACCATCAGCTCTCATGAGAACTCACTCACTATCATGAGAACGGCATGGGGAAAACCACCCCCACGATCCAGTCACCTTCCACCAGGTCCCTCCTTTGAGGTGGAGATTACGGGGATTACAATTCGAGATGAGATTTGGGTGGGGACACACAGTCAAACCTTATCAGTGTGTTGTAGGACACTTAGATTATTTCCTTATTTTGGTTATTATGAATATTGCTGCAAGGGGGAATGTGGGAGTAGAGCTATCTTTTTGAGATAGTGATTTTATTTCCTTTGGATATATACCCAGAAGAGGGATTGCTAGATCGTATGGTAGTTCTATTTTTAATTTTTTGAGGAAACTCCATACTATTTTCATAGGGCTGTACCAATTTATAGTCTCACCAACAGTAGATAAGTGTTCCCTTTTCTTCACATCTTTCCCAACCCTCATTATCTTTGACTTTTTGATAATAGCCAACCTAACAGGTGTGAGGCAATATCTCACTGTGGTTTTGATTTGCATTTCCTTGATGATTAGTGATGTTGGGCATCTCTTCATGTACCTGTTGGTCATTTGTATATCTTCTTTGGAAAATTTTCTATGCAGCCCTTTTACCCATTTTTCACTTGGGTTATTTTGTTGGTTTGTTTGTTCATTTGTATGGTATTGAGTTGTAAGAGTTTCTTATATATTTTTGATATTAACCTTTCATTGGACATACAGTGTTCACATATTTTCTCACATTCCATAGGATGCCTTTTCATTTTGTTGATTGTTCCTTTTGCTGCGCAGAAATTTTTAATTTGATATAGTTATACGTGTTTGTTTTTGCTTTTGTTGCCTGTGCTTTGAGTGATAAGTAAAAAAAAATTGCCAAGAAAAATTTCAAGGAACAAAAGTTTTCTTCTATTTTTATAGTTTTCTATATGTTTTCTTCTAGTTTTGTAGTTTCAGATCTTGTGTATAGGTCTTCAATTCATTTTGAGTTAACCTCTGTGTATGGTATAAAGTAAGATTCCAATTTTATTCTTTTGCATATGCATATCCAGTTTTCCCAATGCCATTTATTGAAGAGATCATCCTTTCCCTATTGTATATTCTTGATGCCTTTATCAAAAATTAGTTGACTGTAGTATACATGTGGGCTTTTTTCTGGGCTCTCTATTCTGTTCCATTGGTCTACTTGTCTGTTTTTAATGCCAGTACCATACTGTTTTGATTATTATTGCTTTGTAATATAATTTGATATCAGAAAATGTGATGCTACTACCTTAGTTCTTCTAATTCAAGATGGCTTTGTTTATTCAGGGTCTTTAGTGATTTCACACATATTTTAGGATTTCTTTTCTATTTCTGTGAAAAACACCATGGGAATTTTGACAGAGGTTACATTGAATCTGTAAAGCATTTTAGGTAGCATGGACATTTTAGTAATATTAATTATCCCAATCAGTGAGCACAGGGTATCTTTCCATTTATTTTTATCTTCTTCAAATTCTTTTGTTAATGCTTTATGATTTTAGTTTACAGATCTTTCTCCTCCTTGGTTAAATTTATTCCTAAGTACTTTATTCTTTTTGATGCTATTGTAAATGGGACTCTTTTCTATTTTTTTAGTTTTAAATTTAAAAATATTTAAAATTAACACATAGTTGTATGCATTTTGGGGTAAAGTGTGAGGTTTTGATACATGTGTAGATTGTGTAATTATCAAATCAGGATATTTAGCATATCCATCATTTCATGCATTTATCATTTCTTTGTGGTGAGAACTTTTAAAATTCTCTCTTCTAGTTATCTTGAAATATTCAATATTGTTAACTGTAACACCCTACTCTGCAATAGAATAGTAGGACTTACTTCTCCTAACTGTAACTTTGTACCTGTTAACCAACCTCCCTATCCCTACTCCTACCTACCCTCCTTAGCCTCTCATAGTCACTATTCTACACTCTACTTCTGTGAGATCAACTTCTTTAGACTCCACATATGAATGAGATCATGTGGTGTTTGTCTTTTTGTGTCTGGCTCATTTTTCTTAGCATAATGTCCTCCAGATTCATCCATTTTACCAGAAAATATCAAGGTTTTATTCTTTTTTTATGCCTGATTTAGTATTCCATTGAATTATATGTATATATATATATATATATATATGCACACACACTATATATATATATATACACACTATATATATAATATAATACTATATATAAGAAATATAGTATATGTGTTACATACTATATATAGTATAAATAGTGGTATATGTGTTATATATATGGTATATACTATATATGGTATATAGGTTTAGGATATATACTGTATATATGGTATATAACAAGTATACCACATATATACTATATATGTGGTATGTAACACATATACCTCATTTTCTTTATCCATTTATCCATTGATGAACACTTAGGTTGTTTTCATATCTTGGCTATTGTGAATATTGCTGCAATAAACATGGAGTGCAGCTATCTCTTTGGCATATCGATTTCAATTCCTTTGTATATATACTCTGCAGTGGGATTGATGGGTGATATGGTAGCTCAATTTTCAATATTTTGAGAAACCGCAATACTGTTTTCCCTAATGCCTGTACTAATTCATGTTCCCATCAACAGTATATCAGTATTCCCCTTTCTCCACATCCATGCCAACATTTGTTATTTTTTTGTCTTTTTGTTTATAGCTGTTCTAATGGTGGTGAGGAGATATTTCATTATGGTTTTCACTTGCATTTCCCTGATGATTAATTATGTCAAACATTTTTTCATATACCTGTTGGCCATTTGTATGTCTTCTTTGGGGAAATGTCTATTCAGGTCTTTTGCCCATTAACAAAAAATCAAATTGTTAATTTTTTTTCTACTGAGTTGAGTTCTTTTTATACTCAATATTAACCCCTTGTCAGACGCATAATTTGCAAATATTTTCTCCCAGTCTCCATTTTGTAGGTTGTCTCTTCACATTGTTTTGTTTGTTGTTGTTTAGAGGTTTTTTGGTTGGTGTAATTCCATTTGTCTATTTTTGCTTTTGTTGTTCGTGCTTTTGAGGTTTTATCCAAAAAATCTTTCTCCAGACCAATGTCATGAAGCATTTCTCTTATGTTTTCTTTTAGTGGTTTTATTGTTTTGGGTCTTAACATTTAAGTTTTTAATCTATTTTGAGTTTATTTTTGTCAGTTGTGAGAGATAGGGTTCCAGCATCATTCTTCTCCATGTGGATATCCAGTTTTCCCAGCACCATTTATTGAAGAGACTTTGCTTTCTCTAATGTGCGTTCTTGGCATCTTTGTTGAAAATGAGTTGGCAGAAAATACGTGGATTTGTTTCTGGGCTCTCTGTTCTGCTCCTTTTGGTCTATGTGTCTGTTTTTATGCCAGTATCATGCAGTTTGGGTTACTATATGGCTTTGTAGTGTAGTATATTTTGAAGTAAGAAAGTGTGATACCTCCAGCTTTGTTCTTTTTGCTCAGGATTGCATTGGCTAGTTGGGAGTCTTTTGTGATTCTGTATGCATTTTAAGATTGTTTTTTCTATTTCTGTGAAGAAGTTATTGGTATTTTGATAGAGATTGCATTGAATCTGCAAGTTGCTTTGGATAGTGTGGACATCTTAAACAATATTAGTTCTTCCAACCCATGAACATAGGATATCTTTTCATTAATAAAGCATTCATCAATGTTTTATAGTTTTCACTGTAACAATCTTTTACCTTCTGAGTTAAATGTATTTCTAGGTATTTTATTTTTTGTAAGTATTGTAAATGGGATTGCTTTCTTGATTTATTTTTCAGGTAATTTGCTATTGGTGTATAGAAATGCTACTGATTATTGTATATTGATTTTGTATTCTGCAACTTTACTAAATTTATTTATTGATCCTAACAGTTATTTTGGTGGAGTCTTTAGGATATTCTGCATTTAAGATCATTTCATCTACAAACATAGAACAATTTGGCTTCCTTTTTTCCAATTTGGATGTCCTTTATTTTCTTCTCTTGCCTAATTGCTCTGGCTAGGTCTTGCAATACTATGCTGAATAAAAGCTGTGAAAGTGGATATCCTCATCTTGTTTTAGATCTTAGAGAAAAAGCATTCAACTTTTCCCCATTCAGTATGGTGTTAGATGTGATTTTGACATATCTGGTCTTTACTGTGTTGGGGTATATTTTATTTATACCTAACATATTCAAAATTCTTATCATGGAGACATGGTGAATTTTATCAAATGCCTTTTTAGCATCTACTAAAATGAACATACGGTTTTTGTCTTTGATTCTGTTAATGTGACATGTCACATGTATTGATTTGCATGTGTTGGACTTTTTTTTGCATCCCTGGAATTAATTCCACTTGATCACAGTGATCTTTTTAATGTGTAATTGGCTAGTATTTTGTTAAGGATTCTGCATCTGTGTTCATCAGGGATACTGGCCTGTAGTTTTTCTTTTTATGGCATGCCCTTGTCTGATTTTGGCATCAGGATAATGCTGGCCTTGTAAAATGAGTTTGGAAGAATTCCTCTTAAATTTTCTGGAACAATTTGAAAAAAAAAAGTGATAAATTCTTTAAATGTCTGATAGAATTCAGCAGGGAAATCATCCATTCTTGTGCTTTGATGGGATACTTTTTATTACTGATTCAATCTTGTTAGTCATTATTGGTCTGTTCATGTGTTCTCTTTATTCGTGATTCAACTTTGGTAGGCTGTATGTATCCAAGAATTTATCCATTTCTTCTAGGCTTTCCAATTTGTTGGTGTCTAGTTGTTCATAGTAGTCTCTTATGATCCTTTCTATTTCTGTGGTATTAGTTGTAATATCTTTTTCATTTATGATTTTATTTATAGGGGCTCTCTTTCTCTATTAGTTATTGTAGCTAAAAGTTTGCCAATTTTGTTTATCATTTCCAAAAACTAACTCAGTTGATTTTTTGTATTTTTAAAGTCTCCATTTTGTTTATGTCTGCTCTCATCGATATTATTTCTTTCCCTTTACTAATTTTGAATTTAGTTTGTTCTTGATTTTCTAATTCCTTAAGGTGCAATGTTAGGTTGTTTATTTGATATATTTCCTTTTTTCTTTTCTCTCTCTCCTTCTTTCTCTCTCTCTCTCTTTTTTTCTTTTTGGCAGGGTCTCACTCTCATTGCCCAGGCTAGAGTGCAGTGGCACAATCTTGGCTCACTGCAGCCTTGACTTCGTGGGCTCAGGTGATCCTCCTACTTCAGTTTCCTAAGTAGCTGGGACCACAGGTGCATGCCACTATGCCTGGCTAATTTTTTGTATTTTTAGTGGAGTCAGGGTTTCACTATATTGCCCAGGCTGATCTCAAACTCCTGGGCTTGCGCTCAAGCGATCCACCTGCCTATGCCTCCCAAAGTGGTGGGATTACAGGTGTGATCCACTACTCCTGGCTCTTTCCTCTTTTCTGATGTAAATATTTGTTGCTACAAACTTTCCTGGGAGAACTGCTTTGCTGTATTGCATAGGTTTTGATATGTTGTGTTTCCATTTCATTTGTCTAAACAAATTTTTAAATTTTTCCTTCAATTTTTTCATTGGCCCATTGGTTGTTCAGGAACACGCTGTTTAATTTCCATGTATGTGTAATGTTTCTGAGGTTTCTCCTGTTGTTGATCTCTAGCTTTATTCCAGTAGGCAGAAAAGATATGTTGTATAATTTTGATGTTCTTAAATTTGTTGAGACTTGTTTTGTAGCCTAACATTTGGAGAATATTCCATGTGCAGTTGAGAAAAAAGTAAATTTTATAGCTGTTGGAAGGAATGTTTTGTAAATGTTCATTAGGTCCATTTGGTCTACAGTACAGTAGACTAAATGCTGTATTTTTAATCTGGGTGATCTTTGCTGATATTTAATCTGGGTGATCTGTTTATTGCTAAAACTAGGGTGAGGAAGACCCCTACTATTATTGTATTGTGGTCTGTCTCTCCCTTTAGATCTATTAATATTTGCTTACATATTTAGGTGCTCCAATGTTGGGTACATATATATTTACAGGTGTTATCTGCCCTTGCAGAATTGACCTTCTAATTATATAATGACCTTTATTTTTACAGTTTTTGATTTAACATCTGTTTTATTTAAGTATAGCTACTCCTGCTTCCTTTTGGTTTCTGTTTGCTTGAAATATCTTTTCCAGTTTTTCACTCAGTCTATGTCTGTTCTTATAAGTGAAGTAAGTCTCTTGAAGGCAGCATATTGTTAAGTCTTGTTTTTACTTTGGTGTTGTTCATTCAACTACTCTATGTCTTTTAATTGGAGAACTGAGTCCATTTACATTCAAGATAATTTTTGATAGATAGAGACTCACTACTGCCATTTCATTAATTGTTTTCCAGTTATTTTGTAGATCTTTTGTTCCTTTATTCCTCTTTTCCTGTCTTCCTTTGTGGTTGATAAATTTTCTCTAGTGGTATATTTTGATTCCTTGCTTTTTAAAAATTATTATACTTTAAGTTCTAGGGTACATGTGTACAACGTGCAGGTTTGTTACATATGTATACAGGTGCCATGTTGGTGTGCTGCACCCATTAACTCGTCATTTACATTAGGTATTTCTCCTAATGCTATCCCTCCCTCAGCCCCAAACCCCACGTCAGGCCCCAGTGTGTGATGTTCCCCACCCTGTGTTCAAAAGTTCTCATTGTTTATGAGTAAGAACATGCGGTGATTGGTTTTCTGTCCTTGCAATAGTTTGCTCAGAATGATGGTTTCTAGCTTCATCCATGTCCCTACAGAGGACATGAGCTCATCATTTGTTATGGCTACATAGTATTCTATGGTGTATATGTGCCACATTTTCTTAATCCAGTTTATCATTGATGGACATTTGGGTTGGATCCAAGTCTTTGCTATTGTGAATAGTGCCACAATAAACATACATGTGCATGTGTCTTTATAGCAGCATGATTTATAATCCTTTGGGTATATACCCAGCAATGGGATTACTGGGTCAAATGGTATTTCTATTTCTAGATCCTTGAGCAGTCGCCACACTGTCTTCCACAATGATTGAACTAGTTTACAGTCCCACCAACAGTGTAAAAGTGTTCCTATTTCTCCACATCCTCTCCAGCACTGGTTGCTTCCTGACTTTTTAATGATCGCCATTCTAACTGGTGTGAGATGGTATCTCATTGTGATTTTGATTTGCATTTCTCTGATGGCCAGTGATGATGAGCATTTCTTCATGTGTCTTTTGGCTGCATAAATGTCTTCTTCTGAGAAGTGTCTGTTCATATCCTTCACCCACTTTTTGATGGGGTTGATTTTTTTCTTGTAAATTTGTTTCAGTTCTTTGTCGATTCTGGATATTAGCCCTTTGTCAGATGGGTAGATTGCAAAAATGTTCTCCCATTCTGTAGGTTGCCTGTTCACTCTGATGGTGGTTTCTTTTGCTGTGCAGGAGCTCTTTAGTTTAATTAGATCCCATTTGTCAATTTTGGCTTCTGTTGCCATTGCTTTAGGTGTTTTAGTCATGAAGTACTTGCCCATGCCTATGTCCTGAATGGTATTGCCTAGGTTTTCTTCTAGGGTCTTTATGGTCTTAGGTCTAACATTGAAGTCTTTAATCCATCTTGAATTAATTTTTGTATAATGTGTAAGGAAGGGATCCAGTTTCAGCTTTCTACATAAGGCTAGCCAGTTTTCCCAGCACCATTTATTAAATAGGGAATCCTTTCCCCATTGCTTGTTTTTGTCAGGTTTGTCAAAGATAAGATGGCTGTAGATGTGAGGTATTATTTCTGAGGGTTCTGTTCTGTTCCATTGGTCTATATCTCTGTTTTGGTACCAGTACCATGCTGTTCTGGTTACTGTAGCCTTGTAGTATAGTTTGAAGTCAGATAGCATGATGCCTCCAGCTTTGTACTTTTTGCTTAGGATTGTCTCAGCAATGAGGACTCTTTTTTGGTTCCATACGAACTTTAAAGTAGTTTTTTCCAATTCTGTGAAGAAAGTCATTGGTAGCTTGATGGGGATGGCATTGAATCTATAAATTATCTTGGGCAGTATGGCCATTTTCACAATATTGATTCTTCCTATCCATGAACATGGAATGTTCTTCCATTTGTTTGTGTCCTCTTTTATTTCATTGAGCAGTGGTTTGTTGTTCTCCTTGAAGAGGTCCTTCACATCCCTTCTAAGTTGGATTCCTAGGTATTTTATTCTCTTTGTAGCAATTGTGAATGGGAGTTCACTCATGATTTGGCTCTCTGTTTGTCTATTATTGGTGTATAGGAATGCTTGTGATTTTTGCACATTGATTTTGTATCCTGAGACTTTGCTGAAGTTGCTTATCAGCTTAAGGAGATTTTGGGCTGAGATGATGGGGTTTTCTAAATATGCAATCATGTCTCTGCAAACAGGGACAATTTGATTTCCTCTTTTCCTAATCGAATACAATTTATTTCTTTCTCCTGCCTGATTGCCCTGGCTAGAACTTCCAACACTATGTTGAATAGGAGTGGTGAGAGAGGGCATCCCTGTCTTGTGCCAGTTTTCAGAGGGAATGCTTCCAGTTTTTGCCCATTCAGTATAATATTGGCTGTGAGTTTGTCATAAATAGCTCTTATTATTTTGAGATATGTCCCATCAATACCTAGTTTATTGAGAGTTTTTAGCATGAAGGATTGTTGAATTTTGTCAAAGGCTTTTTCTCCATCTATTGAGATAATCATGTAGTTTTTGTCTTTGGTTTTGTTCATATGATGGATTACGTTTATTGATTTGCGTATGTTGAACCAGTCTTGCATCCCAGGGATGAAGCCCACTTGATCATGGTGGATAAGCTTTCTGATGTGCTGCTGGATTCGGTTTGTCAGTATTTTATTGAGGATTTTTGCATCGATGTTCATCAGGGATATTAGTCTAAAATTCTCTTTTTTTGTTGTGTCTCTGCCGGGCTTTGGTATCAGGATGATGCTGGCCTCATACAATGAGTTAGGGAGGATTCTCTCTTTTTCTATTGATTGGAATAGTTTCAGAAGGAACGTTACCAGCTCCTCTTTGTACCTCTGGTAGAATTAGGCTGTGAATCTATCTGGTCCTGGACTTTTTTTGGTTGGTAGGCTATTAATTATTGCCTCAATTTCAGAGCCTATTATTGGTCTATTCAGGGATTCAACTTCTTCCTGGTTTAGTCTTGGGAGGGTGTATGTGTCCAGGAATTTATCAATTTCTTCTAGATTTTCTGGTTTATTTGCATAGAGGTGTTTATAGTATTCTCTGATGGTAGTTTGTATTTCTGTGGGATCGGTGCACATATCCCCTTTATCATTTTTGTTGTGTCTATTTAGTTCTTCTCTCTTTTCTTCTTTATTAGTGTTGCTAGCAGTCTATCAATTTTGTTGATCTTTTCAAAAAACCAGCTCCTGGATTCATTGATTTTTTGAAGGGTTTTTTGTGTCTCTATCTCCTTCAGTTCTGCTCTGATCTTAGTTATTTCTTGCCTTCTGCTAGCTTTTGAATGCGTTTGCTCTTGCTTCTCTAGTTCTTTTAATTGTGATGTTAGCATGTCAATTTTAGATCTTTCCTGCTTTCTCTTGTGGGCATTTAGTGCTATAAATTTCCCTCTGCCCACTGCTTTAAATGTGCCCCAGAGATTCTGGTATGTTGTGTCTTTGTTCTCGTTGGTTTCAAAGAACATCTTTATTTCTGCCTTCATTTCGTTATTTGCCCAGCAGTCATTCGGGAACATGTTGTTCAGTTTCCATGTAGTTGAGTGGTTTTGAGTGAGTTTCTTAATTCTGAGTTCTAATTTGATTGCACTGTGATCTGAGAGACAGTTTGTTATAATTTCTGTTCTTTTACATTTGCTGAGGAGTGCTTTACTTCCAAATATGTGGTCAATTTTGGAATAAGTGTGATGTGATGCTGAGAAGAAGGTATATTCTGTTGATTTGGGGTGGAGAGTTCTATAGAAGTCTATTAGATATGCTTGGTGCAGAGCTGAGTTCAAGTCCTGGTTATGCTTGTTAACTTTCTGTCTCATCAATCTGTCTAATGTTGACAGTGTGGTGTTAAAGTCTCCCATTTTTATTGTGTGGGAGTCTAAGTCTCTTTGTAGATCTCTAAGGACTTGCTTTATGAATCTGGGTGCTCCTGTATTGGGTGCATATATATTTAGGATAGTTAGCTCTTCTTGTTGAATTGATCCCTTTACCATTATGTAATGGCCTTCTTTGTCTCTTTTGATCTTTGTTGGTTTAATGTCTGTTTAATCAGAGACTAGGATTTCAACCCTGCTTTTTTTTTGTTTTCCATTTGCTTGGTAGATCTTCCTCCATCCCTTTATTTTGAGCCTATGTGTGTCTCTGCACTTGAGGTGGGTCTCTTGAATATGACACACTGAAGGGTCTTGACTTTTTATCCAATTTGCCAGTCTGTGTCTTTTAATTGGAGCATTTAGCCCATTTACATTTAAAGTTAATATTGTTATGTGTGAATTTGATCCTGTCATTGTGATGTTAGCTGGTTATTTTGCTCATTAGTTGATGCAGTTTCTTCCTAGCCTTGATGGTCTTTAAAATTTGGCATGCTTTTGCAGTGGCTGGTACCGGTTCTTCCTTTCCATGTTTAGTGCTACCTTTACAGTGCTCTTGTAAGTTAGGCCTGGTGGTGACAAAATCTCTCAGCATTTGCTTGTCTGTAAAGGATTTTATGTCTCCTTCACTTATGAAGCTTAGTTTGCTGGATATGAAATTCTGTGTTGAAAATTCCTTTCTTTAGGAATGTTGAATACTGGCCCCCACTCTCTTTTGGCTTATAGAGTTTCTGCTGAGACATCCGCTGTTAGTGTGATGGGCTTCCCTTTGTGGGTAACCTGACCTTTCTCTGTGGCCGCCCTTAACATTTTTTCCTTCATTTCAACTTTGGTGAATCTGACAATTATGTGTCTTGGAGTTGCCCTTCTGAAGGAGTATCTTTGTGGCATTCTCTGTATTTCCTGAATTTGAATGTTGGCCTGCCTTGCTAGGTTGGGGAGGTTCTCCTGGATAATATCATGAAGAGTATTTTCCAACTTGTTTCCATTCTCCCCGTCACTTTCAGGTACACCAGTCAGACATAGATTTGGTCTTTTCACATAGTCCCATATTTCTTGGAGGCTTTGTTCATTTCTTTTAACTCTTTTTTCTGTAAACTTGTCTTCTCTCTTCATTTCATTCATTTGATCTTCATTCGCTGATACCCTTTCTTCCACTTGAGCGAATCAGCTGCTGAACCTTGTGCATGCATCACGTATTTGTTATGCCATGGTTTTCAGCTCCATCAGGTCATTTAAGGTCTTCTCTATGCTGTTGATTTTAGTTAGCCATTCGTCTAATCTTTTTTCAAGGTTTTTAGCTTCTTTGTGATGGGTTCGAACATCATCCTTTCACTTGGAGAAGTTTGTTATTACTCATCTTTTGAAGCCTACTTCTGTCAACTCATCAAAGTCATTCTCCGTCTAGGTTTGTTCTGTTGCTGGTGAGGAGCTGTGTTCCTTTGGAGGAGAAGAAGCATTCTGATTTTTAGAATTTTAAGTTTTTCTCCTCTGGTTTCTCCCCATCTTTGTGGTTTTATCTACCTTTGGTCTTTGATGATGGTGACCTACAGATGGGGTTTTTGTGTGGATGTCCTTTTTGTTGATGTTGATGCTGTTCCTTTCTCTTTGTTAGTTTTCCTTCTAACAGTGAGGACCCTCAGCTGCAGGTCTGTTCGAATTTGCTGGAGGTCCACTCCAGACCCTGTTTTCCTGGGTGACATCAGCAGGGGCTGCAGAACAGCAAATGTTGCTGCCTGATCCTTCCTCTGGAAGCTTCATCTCAGAGGGGCACCTGGCTGTGTGAGGTGTCAGTCGGCCCCTACTAGGAGGTGTCTCCCAGGTAGGCTACTCGGGGGTCAGGGACCCACTTGAGGAGGCAGTCTATCCATTCTCAAATTTCAAACTCTGTGCTGGAAGAACCACTACTCTCCTCAAGGCTGTCAGACCAGGACGTTTAAGTCTGAAGAAGTTTCTGCTGCCTTTTGTTTAGCCATGCCCTGCCCCCAGAGTTGGAGTCTACAGAGGCAGGCAGGCCTCCTTGAGCTGCGGTGGGCTTCACCCACTTTTAGCTTCCTGGCTGCTTTGTTTACCTAGTCAAGCCTCAGCAATGGCGGATCCCCCTCCCCCAGCCTCACTGCCTCCTTGCAGTTTGATCTCAGACTGCTCTGCTAGCAGTGAGCAAGGCTCCATGGGTATGGGACCCTCTGAGCCATGCATGGGATATAATCTCCTGGTGTGCCATTTGCTGAGACCATTGGAAAAGCACAGTATTAGGGTGGGAGTGTCCCGATTTTTCAGGTACCATCTGTCATGGCTTCCCTTGGCTAGGAAAGGGAATTCCCTGACTCCTTGTGCTTCCTGGGTGAGGCAGTGCCCCACCTTGGTTTGGCTCACAGTCACGTGGGCTGCACCCACTGTCCACAAGTCCCAGTGAGATGAACCCAGTACCTCAGTTGGAAATGCAGAAATCACCCGTCTTCTGCGTCACTCACGTTGGGAGCTGTACACTGGAGGTCTTCCTATTTGGCCATCTTGGAGGGCAGAGCTCCTTGCTTTTTTTGTATACTCACTATAGGTTTTTGCTTTGTATTTATCATGAGGCTTACAAAAAAACATCTTATAGTCATAACTGGTTATTTTAAGCTGTTGACAACTTAACTTGATTGAAAAAACAAAGACTCCACAATACTCTACACTTTTATTTCACTCTCCCATTTAAAAGTTTTGACTTCATAATTTATATATTTTTACATTGAATATCTCTTAACATTAGTTATTATTTTCATAGTTTCACTTTTTAACCTTCGTACAGAAAATGTGATTTACATACTGCCATTACATTATTAGAATATTCAGAATTTGACTATGTACTTAATTTTATTAGTGAGTTATATACTTTCAGTTGTTTTTGTGTTACTCATTAGACTTCTTTTCTTTCACCTTAAAGAACTCTCCTTAAAATTTTCCGTAAGACAGATTTGGTGGTGATGAATTCCCTCAGCTTTTGTTTGTCTGGAAAATCTTCTTTCTTCCTCATTTCTGAGAAACAGATTTGCTGAATACAGTATTCCTGTTTGGCAGGATTTTTTTATTTGAGCACTTTGAATACATCATCCCACTCTCTCTTGGTCATTAGATTTCTGCTGAGAGGTCTGGTGTTAGATATATTGGGACTTCTCTATATGTTGTTTGCTTCTTTTCTGTTGCTGCTTGCAGGATCCTCTCTTTGTCTTTGCCTTTGACTGTTTGATTATAATATATCATTGGGCATTGTTATTTGAATTTAATCTGACTGGGGAGCCTTGGCCTTCTTGTACCTGGATATTTATATCTTTTTCCAGGTTTGGAAAAATTCTAGTATTGTTTCTTTAAATAAGTTTTCTCTCATTTTCTCTTTTTCTACTGTCTCTGGAATAGCAATGACCTATACATTTGCTTTTTTGATGTTATCCCCTAAATCCCATAAGCTTTCTTTATTCCTTTTCATTCTTTTTCTATTTTTCTCTCTTTCACTGTTTATTTTTAAGTAACTGGTCTTCACATTCACATATTCTTTCCTCTTATTGATCAATTCTCTTGTCGAGGCATTCTATTGCATTTCTTATTTTATTCATTGTGTATTTTAGCCCCAGTATTTCTATTTATTTATTTTTTATTACTTAAATCTCTGTTAAATTTCTCTGATAAGTTTCTGAATTATTTATCTGTATTTTCTTGAAGTTTGTTGAGTGATAAGGGCTCTGTGTCCTCATCCAAATATCATGTTGAATTATGATCTTCAGTGCTGGAGGAGGGGCCTAATGGGAGGTGATTGAATCATGGGGACAGATTTCTCCCTTGCTGTTCTTATGATAGTGAGTTCTCATAAGATTTGGTTGTTTAAAAGCATGTAGCACTTCCCCTTTTCTCTCTCTCTCCTGCTATCATGTGAATATTGTGCTTGCTTCCACTTTGCTCTTTTACCATGATTGTAAGTTTCCCGAGGCCCCCCCACCCATGCTTCCTATACAGCCTGCAGAACTGTGAGTCAGTTTAACCTCTTTTCTCTATAAATTACCCAGTCTCAGGTAGTTCTTTATAACAATGTTAGAATTAACTAATATACTGAACTTCCTTAAAAACGCTGTTTAGAATTCATCAGGCAGTTCTTTCATCTCCACACTGTAGTGTCATTCACTGGCACTTTATTTTGTCTTTCTGGTATCTTCATGTTTCCCTTGGTTTTTGTGGCTGTGCACAAATGTCTGCACATTGATATAGGTATTTAATCCAGTCCTCACAGCCTGATTTGGTTCTTTCAGTAGTGGGCCTGTCCAGAGATTAAGGGCAGATTGACTGGTGAGGACCCTAAGCTCTCTGCTTAGGGCGGGTTAATTGGTGAGGACCCTAAGCCCCAGTCCCACTGCTTTAGCTGTTGCAGTGCTAGGGAGCACCCTAAACTCAGGACCACTGTGGCTGAAATCCTTTGGCTCCTGAGGTTGACACAAGTGCTAGGTCCCATTCAAAGCTCGCAGCTGCCAATACCAGCACAGACTGAGGTGTGCCAGAGGTCTGTGGCTGATGTGGCCTGCCTACTGCTGAGGTTTATTTAGGGCCTGAGGCCCATATAGTCAGCAGGTAGTGAAGGTGGCCAGGTCTTGAGTCCATCATACTGGGCCTGCAGGTTCCTGTTTGGTACCAGATTGAATTGAGAGGCCCCACTCACAGATACCTGCCTGGTGTCAGGGGTTCCATGTTTCTAACCAGTGCTGGATTTTACTGCAAGTCCAGTATAGGGTTGCAAGGCAAAGTCTTATACTTACTTTCCTCTCTTTCGGCCAGGTAAATGTTGTCTTTCTCTGTGCTGTGCTACTTGGGGTTCTGGAAAGGGCAACATAGGCAATCCCATGGCCACTGAGGCTAATGCAAATTGGTCTTCCCCAGGCCCAGTGCCACCGATAGCAGTGCAGCACTGGGGCATGCCTAAGGCCTGTGTGTGCCCTGCCCTGCCTGCCACTGAGGTTTGTTTAGAGCCCAAGGCCACTACAGTAGGCCTGCAGTGAGTTTAGTCTATCATGCTGAGTTTAGTCCGTATTGACTGGAACATAAGTCCATTCCACTGGGGCTGCAGTTTCCTGTCTAGTGCTAGGGTGGGTCTGGAGGTTCTGTCCATGGGTACCAGCCTGATGTCAGGTGCCAAGAGGTTCTGTCTGGTGCTAGTCTTCTGGCTGGCCTAGTACTGTTCTGCAAAGCAAAGTTTTATGCTCATTTCTCTCCTCTTCCCCCAAATGGACAATGTCTCTGCACTGTGGTGCGTAGGGTTAGGGGAGGGGTAGCATAGGTAATATTAAACTGTTCTTTCTATCCTCTTCAATGTGTCTTGTCTTATTATTATGCTAAAACCAAGTACTGGTATACAAGGCGATCTCTTACCTTGTTGTCCGATCTCCTGTGAAGGCTTTTTCATGTATGGATAGTTGTACACATGGATGTTTTTGTGGGGGGATGATCCTGGAGAGTTCTACTGTGCCATCATGCTGAGTTTAGTTCTGGGGTTGTTTTCTTAATTTCTTTTTTGAAAAGTTTGTTTCAGAGTATGGAGACTAGCAACATTATTGATTTTTATATGTTGATTTTATAGCCTGCAAATTTACTGATTTGTTTATTAGTTTTTAGGGCTTTTTTGGTGGGATTACTATGGTTTTCTATAAATAAGATCATGTCATCTGCAAACAGACAATATTACTTCTTTCTTTCCAAAGGAACACCTTTTTTTTTCTTGCCTAGTTGAGAAATCTCACAATTTCTCACAAATAAAGTATACCCCCATTAATTCATCAGGTCACAGTCATTCTGGAGAAAGGCTGTTTACTTACTTTTCTACAAGAGGAAATCGTGATTATTTATACCTTTGCATTTGACCAGTTGCTCTCAAAGCCCTCAAGTCTCTGGGGAGAGGAAGAAACCTTGCTTGGACTATAATCACACTGTCTACTTTACAAGTGTGAAAAAAGTGCTATTAATTTTAGCAGCACTTCAAGAAACAAAAACAAAAAACCTCTCACTTTGCTCCCTGCTGTCCCCGCTCTCAGTCCTTCTACACCTTTTTGACAGCTCAGCTGTGTGATTTTCTGATCTTTTCTGCAAGGGTATTTCAAAAGAGATAAGTGGTAGGAATCAATGCACATCATCTTAATTACCAAATACAGTTTATTTTATTGTAAGCCATTTATCTCTCAATGGCCATAAGACAAATGCTCTGTCCTTGTGCTAAGAATATGCCTACTTTTCTAAAATGATGCAGAAACATTTGTCAGATAATTCTAACATCCCCAAATTGGCTTTTCTATCCAAGATATTCCGAACTATGAGAAAAATTGCCTCAAATTTTTAGTTTAATATGTAGACCCTACTTATTTTAAAATATCTGCTGTATATCTTCTTTCTTTTGTATTGCTTTTCTGTAAATCACAGATGGTTATGGTGTTAGTTGTGCAAGATCTGAATTCTCCTCAGGCAGGTTTTGTAATTATATTTTCAATGTGTTTGTGTGTGTGTATATATATATCTATATATGATTTAAATTGCATTGTAGAATAATAATAAATAAAGACATACAAAACATGTATAGATACAGATACAGATACCATAGGGTCAGACCTTTTTAAGCACATATGAGTCTCTGGTGACTTGAAAAATCATGAACAGGGGCTCTAGGGACATTTTAGGGGGCTAGAGGTTTACATAAACATCCAAACATCTAGTCACCTAAGATGAAAATCTGGGGGCATCATAGCACTTTGTTAGGGCCATTTCCACTTTCCACATCTCAAATTCTACCTATATTATGTGACTTCTTATTTACTATCTCTTAACCAGCTTCTGGTCTGGTAATCCTCACATCCATCATATCAGCCAGATGACTCCTGTAAACACAAGTCAGGCATTGTCAATTCCCTACAAAATTCATCCGTAACTCCCAATTTTTCACAGGATAAAGGTGAACAAGCCCTGGGTTTAGGCTCCACTCTACCTCATCAGCTGCATCTTTTGACAAGACTATCATGAAGCTCCACGAATTAGTATCCACATTGGGATATTTGTAACCTCCAGGTCTGGGTGGATGCTCTCCTTTCTGCCTGGAACACTTCTCTCCAGCAATCCTGCCAGACTGGCTCCTACTCATCCATTAATGCCCAGCTTAGGGATTACCTCATCTTGATTTCCTTTTCTATTTCCTCACTCCTCAGAGGGGCATAGGTACCCCTGCTCTGTTTTCCCATAATACTTTGTGCATCTTTCTATCATTGGCTGTCTAAATGAAATTCAGCCCAGAGCTTAGTTTAGGGTTTTGGTCCTAGCCAGAATGCCACCTGAACAGGCAATGCTTCAAGCATTCTCAGTAATTTTTAGCTAGGAGAGGAAAGGGCAGCGTCAGAAAGAGAGGTTAAGAGAGAGCTGAAGGGGCTCAGGACACACTACCCCAAAGTATGGCACTTGGAATATTGAAGAAAACAGCAGAAACAAGAAGGTTGCCCTCAACTTCCCCAGCCCTTCTCCCCTGAAGCAGGTCATAAAACCTAGGAAGAATTTTCTGACCTTCCTCTGAAGCAGGTCATGATTCTTATTTGAGAGGTGCTCTTTCTTTACATGAAGGAAAGGAACATCCTTATATCCTTATATCTGAAGATGGAGGGTCACAGAGAAGAATCTGAACAAATGGCCTTGCCAAGATTCCCCTAGCTTATTACCATTAGATCATACTCTTATTGCCCTATTGTAGTTTCCATATGACTGTCCGCTCTTTATCAAACCTTGCATAAAAACGTACAGGTTTAACCATTTCTTTGGGTCTTCATTTGCTTAAGAAGGGTTCTATGTCACATAAAGCTTATTAAATAAATTTGTATGCTTTTCTCTTGTAATCTGTCTTTTGTTATAACATCCTCAGCCATGAACCCAGGACAAATATTTTTCTCCTGTTCAGAGTACATAAGAATGCCAATACTGGCAAACATGAGAGAAGCGCCAGGGTTTTGCTGAGAGGAAAGGTCTCTGGTAGGAAATAAGCTTGCTAAAGACCGACTTTGCCTATTCTGCAGAGATGTTGAGGTCTCTATCACTTTATCTCTCTTTCACTTGAAAAAATAAGACAGAATTGACATCAAGACATTACTATCAGTGCACTTTTGGTTTGAAAAAATAGTTTCTTGGCTGAACTAGAGGCTTATGTTAACCTGATTTAAAATAATTTATGGAAGGGTGTGTGTCTGTGTGTTTTAAGACTCCAATACCACTAGAGTGTTGACATCTTTGTTTACTCTTGACTCTAGAGCAGTCACCACTGGAGACTAATAAAAATCACATTTTTGTTTCAATAGCTAACCTTCTTTGCCTTCTTTAGCTTCTTGTAAAATGAATTTTGGGCAATGAATGTGCTGCAAGGAAAATTTAGTTTTTGTGTTGGATATTACATGTAAATATGACCATGAAAATTAGATTCTTTTTTATATCTAAATTTCACCTAAATATAAATCCCAAGTAATAGACTGTAACAGAGGAAAGGGGTCTAGGCATCATCTAATCTAATTGCTTGATTTTACAAACAAACATGCTAAAGTTAAATGAATAAACTCAAAAGCCAGACTACCTGAGTTTTTCATCTGGCATAAGATTGCTGTGTGAACTTGGGAAGATTACTTAACCGCTCTGCATCTCCTTCCTTTTGGGTAATGGGAATAAAAAGAGTGTCTACTTCTTATCGTTGTTTGGAGAGTTAAGTACAGTTAATAGTAAGTGTTCAGTAATTTTTGTTCTTACTGGGTTGTTGTTTTCTACACCGCATGGCAAATTAACCAAGACTAAAATTCAAGTTTCCTAACTGCTCTCCAAGATTCTTTCCACAACTCTCTCATTTCCCAAATCCACCCAATTTTCCTCCATCTACTGTAAGATTCTATAGGAGTGGTGAAAAGCATTTTTCCTTGCTTTAACCCCATTATTTCTACATCAGGGCTATGTATTAAGTATCATGCATTTTCCATCTATTTGTTTATCTCTCTAGTCTATTTCTGTCTATCTCTCTCTTCGGTTCAATTTATGCCAGCACTGCAGAGATGCCTTAGGCCAGTTGAACACTTGCAGGGTACAGTTGGCCTTAAAGTAACCTTAGTTTCTGAATGCTTAAAGACTATGTGCAGAAAGACAGCTGAGAACCAGCCCTTAGCACAGGCCTACAGTCTTTGGGGCACACAGGCGAGGGTTCACCACTCTGGGCTAAGGTATTTCCCTCTGCTCTGAACATCCTGGATAGCCTGTACTGAGACCCCAGGCCTCAGTGACATCCACACGTCAGACAGGTGCTGCCTGGGACTGGGGCCCTCCAAACCAGGCTCACAACAGCTCTCATGGACATCAGGCCAAATATGGCCCAGGAAAAAACAGGAGTGCTCAGGAACCAGAACGAATTGTGCCAAATGTGGAATATTTGTCTCCAAACTCTGATTACTGTAATCCCTAGTCACCACCTAAAACTCTTTGAATAGGCTTGCTGAGTTGTCTGGGTAATCTTATTTGTACTTGTTGTCCTGGCATAATTATCAACAGGGTCTCCATTCACTCTCAAAAATGTCACCCTATCCAAGATGCAAGGCCACATGTACCCTCCCTAATCATGTATCCTTTATGATATTCAGTAGTCCCCCTTATCTGTGGTTTCACTTTCCAAGGCTTCAGTTACTTGTGATCAAGTGTGGCCTGAAAATAGGTGAGTAGAGTATGATAAGATATTTTAAGAGAGAGAAAGAGAGACCACATGCACATAACTTTTATTACTGTATATCGTTATAATTGTTTTATTTTATTATTAGTCATTGCTCATTTCTTACTGTGCCTAATTTGTCAATTAAACTGTATCATAGGCATGTATGAGTAGGAAAAACATAGGAACTATGTATGGAGGGTTTGGTGCTATCTGCAGTTGCAGACATCCTCTGGGGGTCTTGGAACCTGTGGACAAGAGATAACTTCTATATATTTTTATATCTTTACTAGTTGGCATGTTTTATGCCATAACTGTTCCCAATTTATATATAAACCCCCGTTTTCCCCCTTTGTCCACTTGTTCCTTTGTGAAACGACTCTCTCACACTCTCAGCCTCTAGGAAACAAATCTTACCGTCCTGGGAAGCTGCTTCTCTGACACACTCGCTGCTAGGGTGGTTGGCCTGAGATCTGCCCAGCCCTGCGTCAGGACCCGGCCCTCCTCTCTGAAACCTTAAGTCTTGTCCTGAGTAGATCTCAACAGCCTGCCTACCCACGTCCCTCCGGGAGTGAGGACAGAAGGCGAGAGGGAGCTCATTCATTCCTAGACATTTTTGGCTTCTATTCTTTTCATCAAGTCTGTGTAGTAAGAATTTGGCCTTGTCCAAAAAGAGGTTTTGCTTTTGCCCTCAGTTTCTAGGAGGCAATTTCTGGCACACCTGACAGAAGTGTCTTTGTTTAGGGTAAGAGCTGACCATACCAGAACTCAAGGTGGGGCCGGCCTCACCCAGTCAACACTGGATAGAGCTGGCCATTCCAGAAAGACCAGCCATGTGATTGATGGTGGAGGCTTTGAGTCATGTGGTATTGGTTGGTGTGGGTATCACAGCTTGGGTGAACTTTTCTTGGTCTTTTGTTGTTGTCGTTGGCAATACTTTATGGTCATTGCTACACATTGATGTCCTAATTCCACAAAGAGGGGACAACAGAAGCTTTGTGTTTGTGACCCTCCCAGTCTCTGCCCTCTATGTCTCTTTCCTGGGCTGATTTTGACCTGTATCCTTTCCCTGTCATGAAGTGTAACCATAAGCATAACAGTTTTCAGTGAGTTCTTGTGTCCTTCTAGTGAATTGTTGGAACTGAGAGTCATCTGGGGAAAGCAAAGTGAACTGGCAGGTGGTGCCATAAGGGAGAGCTATCTTGGATGGAGACTGCATCATCTAACTGTTGCAGTTGGGCTAATTCCAGGTAGAGTCCCTCTTTATTTACATGGCAGAGGGGACACATTTCAGTCCCTTTTCTCTCAGGTGGCTTCTGGCTCCTTTCCTGGGCAGAGTTGTTAGGAGAGGAATGTTAAATCCTCCAATATCAGTGAGATCTGTCACTTCTTGGCCAACAAAGTCAGTCTCATTTCTCAAGTTCAGCCAAACCTGTCCTGTACTTCTGTGCCTGGATGGTAAAGACATTTAACTACCTTCACAGCGGGTGCTAGAATTTTTCTTCACAGCATTTAGGAAACACATCGATAAGCCTGTACTAAGATGTTAGAGGAAAGGAGAAGATGACCTGCATAACACAAAGGGAATAATTAATTTTTTTCACATCTTAATGGGAGGAGGGTTGATGAGTGAAGATGAGAAAGAAAGGGGGAGAGGAGCTCTCAGATAGAGCAGGAGAGGCCAACACTAATGAGAGCAGTGTCAATGGAAAGCTCGGTGGTAGTGGCCTGAGGGTACTAAAAAAACTCGCATGCCCTGGTTCCCCTTGGAGTCCTTCCGGCTGTTCAGATCTATCACTCCTCCATGTGCCTCGCACCCACCCCACCTTTGAGAAGCTCACTAAGTTTTCGTGAGAGGGAGCCTGAGGATCTCAGCTGGATGACAGTGCAGAACACACAGTAGCCCTAGGAGGCAGACGTCCTGCAGTCAGGAGAGGTCTCAAGACCCATCTGTCCTGGCAGTTTGCAGAAGCCTCAGAGGACTCTGGACTCCAGAAAATAGACTTTGGAGCATTAAGGTAATTCCACCTTAGCTCTCTAGGGTGGAGCCTCCAGCTTACATTTTGGTTACATTTATCTTTTCTATCTGAACATTTTTCCAGAACTGACCATGCATTTCCCACTATGCTAGGTGGTTAGCTCTTATTTAATCATCCCCACTACCCTATGGAGTCAGTGCTGCTATCTCCATTTGACGATACAGAAAGGTGACATGCAGGTTCACAGCTGGTCAGCAGTAGATGGATTCTGGCTCCTGCTTAGCACCCCCCAGTGCTTCCCTGTTACTTACATGTTACATCCTAGGCTTCTTACATGACCCCGAGACCTTGTGGGATCTGACGCTGCTGGCCTCTCCTGCCTGACTTTTTACCTCTCCCTGCCTTCTTCTCCATGCTCCAGCCTATTGGACAAGAGTGTTTAGAGAAACCAGCCCATGCTCATTTCCACCTCTCGGTCCTGGAGTCACTACTTTCTCTTCCTGGTCTACTGTTTCCTTCCCTCTTCGTTTGGAAGACCTTGACTCTCTATCCCCAGATGCCACAGCTGTCTCCCCGGCTAAGTGTGGGGCACACCCACATGCTGCCATCATGCCCTATTCACACTTCTGTACTAGTGGTTCACCACCAGGCAATGAGAGCCTGTGAGTGCCTCCCTGGCTGGGATGGGATAGAGAACATGCACTGTAAGGGTATAAGTAAACTACATTCAAGTTAGCAAAATAATGATTATGAAGACCGGTAAGGTCATAAAACTAAGACAAGTTTTGATTTTTCCTAGTAGAGCTGCTTAGAAGATGATATGAAGATACTAGAATTTTGTTATATTGACTGTCAGTGAAAGAACAATGAAGTTGGAGGGGCAATGGGCAAATGTCAAGGATCAGGAAGTAGACCTCAGTTTCTCATTTTCTACTCACCTACTGTTGTGGGAGGGACCCAGGGGAAGGTAATTGAATCATGGGGCCAGTGAATAAGTCTCACGAGATCTGATGGGTTTATCAGGGGTTTCCGCTTTTGCTTCTTTCTCATTTTTCTCTTGCTGCTGCCATGTAAGAAGTGCCTTTCGCCTCCCACCATGATTCTGAGGCCTCCCCAGCCATGTGGAAATGTAAGTCCAATTAAACCTCTTTTTCTTGCCAGTTTCAGGTATGTCTTTATCAGCAGCGTGAAAACGAACTAATACACCTGCATAGGATACTGTCCTGTAAACATTTTGTTCTTGCCGCCCCCTACTCACCTTTCTTTCCTTATTTATTATTCTGATTTCTAGTACTTTAAATCTGCTTGCACTTTCAGATTCTTTTTACCTAGAGAATCAGTGGGTGTGGTGGAGAGACTAATGGCCCCCAAAGATTCCTACATTCTAATTACTAGAAAATGTGAATATGTTGGGTTACAGAGAAAAGAAGAATTAAGGCGGCTAACCCTGGGTTTTCCTGGTGGGCCTAATTTAATCACAGGCATTCTTAAAAGTAGAAGAACAAGGCAGAAGAAGTCAGAGTCAGAGGGATATATGCCTATGGAAGAAGAGTTAGAAAAATACAACCTTGTATCATTTTAAGCTGCTAAATTTGTGGTAGTTTGTTATAGCAGCAATAAAAAACTAATACAGTGGGTGACCAAAAACACCCACAGAAAATTCCTCTTTTTAGGCCCAATGGTTAGGAGCCCAGGCTCTGAGGATGCCCGAGTTCAATCTTTGGCTCTTGAGATGTTGACTGAACCCCTTTGTAGCGTTATTGTGAGAATTAGCTGGGCATGGTGGCACATGCTACTTGGGAGGCTGAGGCAGGAGGATCACTTGGGCTCAGGAGTTCAAGGCTGCAGTGAGATATAATCGCACCACTGCACTCCAGTCTAAGCAATAGAATGAGACCTTGTCTCTTTAAAGAAAATTCCTTGTAGTATTATGAGAATTAAGTGAGTTAATATATCTAAAGTGCTTAAAATGGTGCTACTAAGGCCCTGGTAAGTTGTTGCCGTTATTATTATTTTTATATTCCTCTGCTGATTATGGCACCTTAGCCAGGAGCAGTTCTAATTTGCAAATAAACTTGTATTTAGTAAATATTTGCTTCATGTATATGCATAGAAAAAAAATAAATCCAACAGCTTAATTTGAAGATCTGAATTTATACCCTAGCTTTGCATAGAAGCCTTGGCATTGGTAGATTAGAAGAGCTCTATCTTTGAGATCTGGACAATTTTTCAAGCTAAGTATATAGAACAAGCTCAGAATACACAAGGGCAACTGCGTTTAAATCAGATGGAGAATGCTACTTCACAGAATTAGCTGATTGCCAGTGAGCAAGACAGGTTTTGATTTTTCCGTAGTTGAACTGCCAGGAAGAATTTGAGAAGTTGAGAAAACTGAGTTAGGTGATGGTATTTTTCAGCCATTTTATAAAAGTATGGCAAGACAAAGAGTTTTTTAAAAGACATATTTCAAGATGGGATGGGGTCAGATTTTGTTTAAAAAGCTTATTTGCCAAAAACCACAAAGGCTTTTTTGTTGTGATGTCTAATTTGGAGCTTTTCAATATTTCTATCTGCTGATGCAAAGAATATTTGCATTGGTATACAGAATGGTTTTATATGTTATTTGCAAGTCCAGCTGCCAGTTTCCAATGCAAATGAAAGTATTTGTACTTGCAAAAGACACCCACCTGCAGTCTGAGGATGATATAGCAGAAGGCTGGAGAGTTCTAATATGTATTTATATTTGAATTTCCACCTCCTTGTTCTCCAGTCTTAGTACAGACACTGTTTCTGTCCATCCCTAATTCTGTTAATTCTGTTCATCTCCTAGCCTGAAACACCTGTGTCTTCTTTGTCTGCTCCAACCTCTCCCACTTTTCCCTACTTTAGCTTCATCCTGTTAGTGGCAGAACCTACAGACTCCATAATTTCTGCCTCTCACATATACTCCTTCTTTCTATTCTCGCTGTCTGCTCTGTAATTCCTACTTCTGTTCCTCCTGTCTAGACCATGACCACAGCCTTCTCACGGTACAGCGTTTAGCCTTTCCCTCTTCTAATATGTTCTCTATATATTCAATTATTTTTCCTGAAGTGCAGTTTTGATATGGTCATCCCAGTTTGCACAACACTTCAATATCTCTTGCTGGCTACTTAACTAAATGTAAATCCCTGGCTGCAATATGCAAAACCTTGGTGTATTTCTAGTACATTCTGAGGTTTCTTCCCCACTGGTTCTGAGGCTGCCTGGGTTCATGCTGCACCCTCCTTCTGAAATGGCTTCTCACTTCCTCTTTTGCCCATTTGAAGCCCTACCTATTACTGAACCAAATTTCAAATAATAACTTCTAGCTTATCCCTGATTATCACTATACAAATTTACTGTATATTTTAGTGGAATTTTTATTTTACAGATGCATGTATACTTGCATTTCCCCCTAGAGTAGGTTCTTTGAGTGCAGGGTCTATGCACACTCTTAGATCTATGAATATCTCCTGCATTTGGCATATTACCTTGAATATGGTGGTGATTTAAATATATAAATTAAGTTCAATAATTTGTGAAGCTACTATTTTCTCTTTTTTTAAATGCAGATAGAAAAAGTTCTTGAAGCATATATCCTAATGTGAGTGTCCATGAAATGAGTAAGCATAGTATGTTTTGGTATCCCTGAGCTGTATTCTGCATCATAGGGTAGAAGAGGTGGATTCCCCCAACACACACACACACACACACACACACACACACACACACACACACACACACCATGTAATTATTATTTGGGCCTGAAATGAAATGCATGGCTTTATTTATGGAGAGGCCTCAAGGTGAAAGGATCCAGTCAGGCAGTTTAAGATTACCCTTAGCAATATTTATCTATGACTATGTAACAAATTAACCCAAATCTTAGTGGTTCAAAATAATAAACATTTATTATCTCACATAACTCTGTGGGGCTGGAATATGGGAGGGGCTTAGATGGTGATTCTGGCTCAGGGTCTTTTTTTGAGATTGCAGTCAACGTGGTAGCTGTGTGTGGTTGCAGTCATCTGAGGACTAGACCAAGGCTGGAGGATCCAATTCCAAGGTGACTTACATGGCGAATTAGTGCTGGTTATGGGTAAGGGGCCTTAGTTTCTCACCATGTGGTCACTTTTGTTGGGCATCTCGAGTATCTACTGGCATGGTGGTTGGCTTCTCCCAAAGTGAGTGATCTGAGAGAGAGAGGAGGAGACAGAAAGAAAGAGAGGGAAAGAGAAAGAGAGACAGAGAGCAAGCTAGAAGTGGTAATGCCTTTTATGACTTGGCCTAGGAAGACACACACTGTCATTTCTAAGTGATACACTTGCTCACATGGTCATCTATATTCAAAGTGGAAAAAAACTACATAAGGGCATGAATATAAAGAGGTGAAGACCACTGGGGGCTGCTTTAGAGGCTGGCTACCACTCCTCAGTAATTATTGTCCAATTATGTGTTTGGGACCCCATCAGAAAGAGAAGTTTGTTGCCTTCTCTTTAATTTCATGGAGTTTGGTGGAGCCTAAGGAACTGGACGTCAGATACGAATTTCCAGGCCTGGTCTTCTGGGAGGCTGCCTTACATTCTCCCCTGATTCAGTGATGCATAACTAGTGAGACCTTGATTTCTGGGCCTCTCAATCACTTTTGAAAGAATGCAGCAGCCTCACAATAAGGGCATAGCGATGAATGGATTTTGGACAAGAATTTGATTGAACATTTTAAAATAAGTCCTGATGCTGCCAGAATGCCCCAAGTACTTTTGACTTTTTTGTAGGGTTGATTTCTTTCAAATGGAAGGTATTTCTCTTTCCCTTTGGAAACAAATTCTTTTAATAAGTATCTGGATTGGCTTCAGTTATTTACTCGGCACTCTTTCAGCTGCAAGTTGATGATTAGATACATTCCATTTCAGTGACACACACATTTGAAAGGATTCACGCTTCTAATCAAAAAAGATAAAGTTTTTTTCTTTCCTAACATCTGGAGTCTGATGAATAATTACTATAATTAAACAAGAGGCCATTGTATATTTGGGTATTTTTTAAGCTTCAAACGCCTCTCTGTGTGCAAGATTCACGTTACGCACTCTTTGTTCTAAAGCATTCTACTGTGTAGTGCTCACAATCAACTGAGGCGCCTTAGTGGCTGGTGTTAAAAGTAGGTCATCGTGGCCTAATCTTTATCACTCCCTTCTTCTGCTTCACCAAACCCTTAGTAAGTAAACCCACTGCTCCTGTCAGGATTCTATACTCTGCCTCCCTACACCTCATGGCATGGAGGGCAGGACACTGGCCGGTCACCTGGGAGGTGTTAGCTCCTCTCCTTAGACTACTATTCCTGATTTAATGATACCACGTTGAAAAGTAATGCCATGCCAATGACTGTTAAGATGATTAAGGATACATTTTAGAGGCAGCAACGTGAGATATAAAATTGAAACAATCTGAGGTCAGGTTTGCAGTGAAAGTGTAGTACCTTATAATTTTTAGATGCCCATTTCCCATCAAGTTTTGCCAGCCCTGTCACCATCTTCTCACCTGGTCTCACCCCCAGGACTACTTACCTTGACATTAGAACATGTTCATTCTTTTGCTGAACTCTGGTGCTCTGCTAAGGCAAACTGACCTTGCACTGGATCTATCCAAGAACTTACTTCTTCCTGTGGACTTGGTACCCATCTTTCCGAGAGAAGACATGGAAATAAACCTAATTACTTAGAGCCTAGAAACTCTGCAAGCATCTGAAATCTTCATGTCTCTTTGAGTTCACCATTTTTTAAACTCCATAAGTGTTTATTTTTTGATAGGTGAAAACTTATAAAGAATTCTGCAGGCTTTTATGAAGAAATTGCTTTATATTTCCTAATATTCCTTAAATACCTTGTGCATGGTAGGTGGTAATAAATTCTTAACAGTTTGTTGTTTGATACTCATGTTTGGCTTATTGGATCATGGTGCCAGAGGCAAAAATAATTAGAAGGAGGATAGTATTTAGTAAAGCAAGACAAAATTAAGTTTTATTTAAAAATTATTATTATTATGATTGTGGTAAAATACACATAACATAAAATTTGCCATCTTCACTATTTTTAATTGTGTAGTTCGGTGGTATTAAATATGTTCACATGTTATGTAACCATCAACATCATCAATCTCCATAATGCTTTTCATTTTGTAAATCTGAAATTCCATACCCATTAAGCAATAACTCCCTATTTACCCCACCCCCCAGACCCTGACAACCACAATTCTATTTTCTGTCTCTATGGTTTAGACTACTTTAAGTACCTTTTATAAGTGGAATCATGCAATATTTGTCTTTTTGTGACTGGTCATTTTTCTTAGCATAAAGTTGTCAACCTTTATGACAACTTCTTCCATATTGTAGCATATGTAAGAATTTCCTTCCTTTTTAAGGCTGAATAATCCAAATTAAGTTTTGTAGCCTGATAAAATACTGACAGGTTGAACATCATAGAAAACCCTTTATAAAATCTGTATTTAAATAAATAGTTTCCATTCTATAGAGTATAATGTTGCGCTTATTAAAAGAGAAATAATGATAAAAACATGTATTTGATGTACAAACATTCTGCTTATGGCATCTTGAAGAATTTAGGACACAGTCACATTCAGGAATTACAGGCTAATGAGCATCTTCACCTCTTTTCATTCACTCTGAAGAGGTTTCATGAAAGTCAGAAGACTTTCAACATTGGGAATGTTGGAATGAAATGTGCTTTAGTATTTTTAATTTTTTTTAAATAAAATAATCCAGGTGAGGTTAATTAATGCATACACTCAGCCTAATCAAAAGAAATCTATTGGGATAATGAGCATTTTGGTGACTATTGCAAAGAAAAAGGTGCTTATTTCTAAGGCAGAAAGAAAATATATTTTCATAGTTAATATATACATTAAAATTGTATGTACTTGCATATTAGATATACACAGTGTTAAAGCTATGGCTAATATATCATTTTGGAGAAAAATCTGAGTAAAAATTAACTCTTGTAAAGAGTTACTGGTGTCAGATGGCAGAGTCCCAAATGAGTGGATTCGTTTATCCCCACAATGTATCAGGTGATCACCTCTCATAAAAACTACTATTAACCTAAAAAATTAGGGTCAGTAAAAGCTTAGCTCTAATTCACAAATCTCAACAAGCTGAACTGTTAGACCCAGTGAGCTCATTAGGATAGATTAAAGACCAAACATAATGACATTACGAAATATGTGATTTTAATATGTTTGATCCTATCAGAGCAATCCTTTTAATAACATGATTTTATTGTGGAACCTTGTATGTTTTCCTTAAAAACCAAAAAGACAATCTAAAAATTTAACCCATTGTTGTTTCTTAGCTTGTAACCCCGTGATACTTGATTTAATTTGGTAAAGCTGACTGAAGTGATGCTATTCTGGGACATAATGACAGCAAAGATGACATGAGCCAATGCTGCAGCTGAATTTCAATTTTCAGTAAAAAATCCTCACCCCACCTGCCACTGGAATAGAAATAATATCAAGGGCTAACTTCTAATCTTGCACCCCTGTCATACATCATACTCTGGATTCCAACAGTCTACACCTATTTTCTTTTATAATGGTCCTAACCCCAAACAAGCAACCTAGGGTTTGTAGCAACAAAATCAGATCCTTACAGTGAACAGGACTTTGCAAAGCACCTTCTTCAGAATTAGTAATATTACTTACTTAATATGGGAAAAAACATACAAATCTTACCATCAATGGGCCAACTCATAACCAACAATTTATAGCATACAAGAACCTTCATGGTATCTTATTCAACCTTTAACATAATTCTATTTGTTATCATTAATTCTAAATCACAAATGAGGAAACAGAGTCAGAAACAGCTGATTTTTCACTGTGCTTGGGTTAGGTCCAACTCTGGAATTATCATATGCAAATAATGACAGAGAGAGGCTCTCATATAGTTGTAGAATTGTAACAAGACAACAAGCAATTCACATAAGTCATGGTTTCTCAGACAATAATCTTGTTTAGTAATTATTAGTCTTTATCTGAAACACATGGTTTGATGGTAAATTTTTTGAATAGGCGATAATAAAAAATAATTCTCAAAAAGAACCCTCAAAGTCAACTGTGTGTATTTCCTTCTTTCCTGGTGGGGAAAGTTTATAAGGGTTGGGGCAAGTCCCTTCAGACCCAGGAATTTGATAAACACCATCAGGGTTGTTGAGACCAACCTCACTGTGAGAGAGAAACAGAATGAATGAGATGTTGATATAGGAAAGGAAGTAGCTGAATTAAGAGTGTTTTCTTCTTTACTAACAGCCAGTCCACACGTTGAAAAGCATTCAGTTACAATTTTTATCTATAAAGAGTGGAACATTCGCCCAATGTCCCAGTACAATAGGACCATGAGAGTGAAGTTCCCTAAAGAACTCAACCATTTCCATGGATAGATGGCAGAGGAACACAGCTTTGCTGTCAGAATGATTTGTGACCAGGCCTAGATGGGGACTGGGGGCATCCTGGCAGGTTGATAATTTTATTTTAAAACCATATTCTTTCAATATTTGTACATTTATATCGAAGAGAGTCTGAGCTCTGTGTGGGAGCAATGTGCAGTGGGAACTTCTGGGTCCCTCGGTGTCCCCTTTCATGTCTTAGGCTATTTGGCTCTACCAGGTGTGGATATTCCACTCAGCACGGCTGTGCCCACAGAGGCTGTGCCTCTGGCTTGCTCTTCTTGGAAGTCAGATGCAAATATCGCCTTCTCGGGTCTTAGCCCCATCTTAGTATCCCATCCTTTTCCCTAAGAAGAAACGTGGCATATACAAGTTCCTCCATCTTGTGACATTTCCACGATTCTCTTAGCCCCTCTTACAGAACAGTTTCCCAAGCAGCAGCCTGCCTGATCCACCCTTAATTCAGCTGTGCGTCTGACAACATGTTCTACAGGAAAGATAACCTTGTACATCAGGTGTTTCCTGTTTCCAGTACCAAAAGGTCAGTACTTGATTACACATGTATTTACAAGGGTAGAGAAGGGAAATGATCAAAAGTTTTTACAACCATAGTCCTTCAATTAAGAAAGAAGTGGTCTTTAATTTTCTCCATTCTTTTTAAAAATTCTCTTTCTACCTTTGTTTAAATATCTCTCCTAACTAGGAAAGACCTGTTGTACATCATACAAGGCATACCAACCCACATACTAGAACACATAAGTAGGAGGAATAGTGTTCTAGAAGAGAATTACTATTTGGAGAAAAAAAGGCATAATTTCCTTTTACAGTCATGCATTGCTTAATGCCAGAGATACGTCCTGAGAAATGTGTGATTAGGCAGTATCATCATTGTGTGAACATAATAGAATGTATTTACACAAACCTAGGTGGTATAACCCACTATTCACCTAAGCAATATGGTACTGCTCCTAGGCTACAAACCTGTATAGCATGTTACTATACTGGATACTGTAAACAATTGTAACCCAATGGTAAGTATTTACATATCTAAACATATCTGAGCATTAAAAAGGTACAGTAAAAATACAGTATTCTAGTCTTACAGGATTACCACTATATATGCCCTTTGTCATTGATGGAACCATCATTATGCTGTGCTTGCCTATATTTCAAAATTCACTATAAAAAGATAGGTGAACCTCAGATCCATCTCCTAGATGTATGATTTCTAGCTGCATATTAACCTCAGTCACATTTTAATATTATTCACACAAAAATTAAAACACTCAGGTATTTGTGATGAAGTAATTTTGCCTAAATTTATTTTATTTCCAAAGAACCTGCATCAATTTGATTCAGTAACATTTAAAATCATTCAACAAAAATCTTTCAAACTTTTATGTTACAGTAATATTCAAACTCTTTTTTTGTGGCTCAAATCTTTTTATGAACTTCAATTATGTGAAAATATCCAATTTTATTTTTAAATAAAGATGTTTAGAAATGTATTGATATTTGTCAAATCTAAGTTGCAGCTATGTAAGTTTTTATTAAGTCATTCTCTGTGTATACTTCTAAGTATGTTGGACTTCTTACATAAAAAATTAAACGTTATTGAGGAAAGAAAAGGGAGAATAAGTTTCAAAAAGAAATTTATCTTTCTTTAGATATATATAATCATCACAAAATATTATCAGATAACAAATCTTGAATTTTACTTTAAATGAAAACATTTTTCAGATCTGTCTTACTAATTTTATGTAATTCCTTTTCACATGTTTCGTGAGGCTGATAAAATGCTTCGTAAGCAGGTATTCATGTGGCTCTATAACAAGTTATTTTTAGGAAGCTTATATACAAAAATACTTGCCACACTTTCTCTCACTCTCTGGACAGTCAGACAAGAAGGCTCACTTTCTCCAGGAATCTCCTAGTGCCAGGTTCTGGGCTGTGGACACCATGCTGGCCAGAGGAAGCTGCTGCACAGGTACAGAGGTGCAGAGGGTGGGGCTGCACTGAGAGGGCGGGGCGGGATCAGAAGTAATTTGACCAGTTAGGAAGCTACTGCAATAGCAATATTGATTATTTACTATGTGTCAGATGCTGTGCCATTGTGCTAGGTGCTGGGCATAGGAGTGAAAAAGACACCAAAGTCCTCAGTTCCAGGGAATTAATTTTTCTAGTAAACAAACAAACCAAAAAACAAGGAAAGTCATCATTACTATGGAGAAAACAACACTGGATCTTGTCATAGCGACTGAGGCCTCCACAGAAGGTGGGCTGTGTGTGTGTGTGTGTGTGTGTGTGTGTGTGTGTGTGTGTGTGTGTGTATGTGTATTATTTGGATAAACAAATTAGGGCCCATCTTTGGAGTTGGGGATGGGGTCAATCCCACCAGAATAGTGAAGGGATGTTTTCCATTTTCTTTCAGTTTTATCCATTCTCTTTGTTTGTTTTTCCAAAGAAAAGTCCAGGCGCTGATCCAGGATGCAAAAATTCATCCCCTTTAAAAGCTAGTGCCAGTTGTGGAGTGAGGATAGAAAAAGGGGAAGGAGAGGGAGCTTTGTGAATTCTCACACTGTGGTAATTTTTATTCCTGTTACAAATTAATTTTAAAAATCTATTATATACATTTTCAAGTTACCAAAGTGAAATCATCACAGCTCAAGTGCCTATGGTAGCAAACATGGATATTGCATAAATATATGGTCCCTAATAAATAAAAATTAAAATATTTGTATCTAACTGGAGTGTTTTTTAAAGTTAAAAATTAAAAATGAAATTAAATGAGAGAATGGGGCCATCATTAACAATTTAAAAAATGCTTAGTCTTTGGAAAGTGATTTAAAGTAGTAATAATTTTTTACCTTTTAGGCCTTTAATGACTATCAGTCCGCTCATCCAGCAGGAATGCCCATGTTTAGATTTAGTATTATTAGAGTTAGGTGTGTGCATGGCACAGTCCCAGAGTTCCATGGGAACATTCCCACCAGGGAGTGAGAGTTTATGCAGAGCAGCATCTATACTTCAGGTCATTACTGCAATTAGGCTTATTCTCGTCAGCTCCTACTTGGAAAGGATTAATGTTTTGATGTTTATAGACTGTTACCATGATTTTATTGTGGGCTCTGAGCCACCAGTTATTGAATCAGGGTTTCGCAAGAAAATATTCCTGTTTCACTGATCTCAAGAAACAAGGCAGAGGAAGCAGTGCTTCTGGCCATAGAGTCCCTGTGGCATGGGGCTGGGTTCTTACTGGCAATGCCGAGTCATCTGGTCAGAACACTTTACAACCACACAAAGAGGGCAAATAAGTGCAGAGCCAGCTCCTCTGAGCCCACAAAAGGTCCTGTTGAAATCTATTAATCTCCTCCGCTGAAGGGCAAGTGGAGACGATGACAATACTGAGGTGTGGAATAGAAGAAATGTGATAAGCGGCTCTATTTTGTTTCCACCTCTAGTGGCTTAGGAACACAGAGTGTTCGAGGTTCAAAGAACTGAGAAACCTCAACAGCCTTAGAGGTTGATTGTGAATATGTGGGTTTCTCTTTAGTAACCTTAGAAGGGCCACATTGTTTAATTGAAAAACTCAATAGCCCTTGTAAGTTTTCAAAAGCAAAATTCTCTTTACGCCTATGATCTTACTAACAATCAGATAAAAGCTCTTTCTCATCACAGTCCACCTATAATTTTTAAAAGGAAATTACCTAATCTGGGATTATAAATAAAACCTAAATAAACACACCTAAACAGCTCACTGAGATATAAATACCTGTCTATGTTCACTCAGGTGTAGGTAATTAGAAAAGAAATAAATGTACCTGGGGCCCAGCCCTGAGGCAATGAGGAAATCAGGGGAGTTTTGTTTTGGGCCTCTTTCAGGTTTCACTGTGGGTGCTTTTCCTTTCCTTCTTGACAATCCTTCCTCTGTCCTTGCACCCTGCCTCCCAGAGAAACTCGCACATATCTCATTCAAACTTTTAGCCTCTGTTTGTTTCTAGTTCTCAGCTCCCTGCTCCCAACCCTGCTCAGTCATTAACTAACAATTCACCTCTGAACTTACCCGTAATGGTACCCAGAGGGTCTCTGAGGCATGAAGTTCAGGAATCAGATGGGGAAGGAGGACAGAGTAGGGTGGGGAGGGCAGTGGCGGGTTTGGAACTTCAGGGTGAGACATTGCGTCTGCTGCCTTCTCAGATCCACCTGCAACTCACCAACCCAGCACTGGCCTATGGCCTTTCCACTCCTATTGCTTTTGCTGGCTGAGATCACTGGATTTTCCTTTGTATCTTTTCTTATTTATCTCATACCTTCCAAAATCTTCAGTAAACTGGAAAAAGTTCAAAACAAGCAATTTAGAATTTAAATAACTAAAAATAATAGTTTAAAAATAGGTTGGTGCTACCCCAAGTATAGTTCCCAGACCAGCAGCCTCGACACCAACTGGGGGCTGGTTAGGAATGCTGACTCTGGGGCCCAGCCCACACCCATGGGATCAGAATATAACGAGATTCCCAGGTAATATTCATATGCATACTAAAGTATGAGAAGTTCTTCTCCCACCCCTGACAATTACCCATTAAGGATTTGAATGATGGACTTGCTTGATAAAGGAAATGCCATGGTGACATGGCACCACTCACCATGTGAGTGCTTTTCACTCACACTTGCCCTTGAAAGAATGATTTGGGAAAAAAATATTAACATCAGATGTTCATACTGAAGAACATTCTTTGTCTACTTGGGTATTTTTAGCCTGTGGGGCAGGAGTATGCCATTACTTGAGTGTTATGCTACCCAATTTGGAGGAAAAAAGATGTGGTAGGCAGATAAAATAGATTCGTTTCAAATCAGGAGGATTTTTCAAAGTTTAGAGGAGAGAATTCTGGGGTATAAACAAAGGGAATGAAAAAAAGGGAAGAAGAATTGCTCAGAAATCCAGCTATGGACTACGTATCCTCTTCATAGCGTTAGAGATGTCCAGGTTTCTAACATGAGTTATTTGGAAAGTACACTTTGATTTTAGGACCATGTTTTTTGATGGCAGCACCTAGCCTGGGTCTGGCTACATTGTCATATCTTTGGCAGGGTTATGAAGGATTGTACTTCAGAACACCAACATCAGATTCAAGACAGTGTCACTCGTTAAACTCTGTCAAGGGCTGGGTATGGTGGCTCATGCCTGTAATTCCAGAGCTTTGGGAGGCCGAGGCAGGAGGATCACTTGAAGATAGGAGTTTCAGACCAACACTGGCAACACAGTGAGACTCTTTCTCTATTACAAAGAAAAAAGAAAAAAAAATCTGTGAAGTATTCCACTAGGGAACATTATGTTTTAGGTCACATTTATCTGCAGACAATGAACTAGACAGTGATAAAAATGGTAGAGTCTAGAACCATGTTTTCAATGACCATATCACCTTTGCTTTCATATTTACTTGAGCTTAAAGAAGGCTGCTTTGGGCTTTAATCACTTTTGGGTTGCATTACATTATCCTAGCATCTCTGGGACAAAAACTTGTTATATATAAGATATATAACAGTGAATATGTATAAAGTGTAGAAATAAACTCGCCCCTCTTCATAACTAAGTGTACTTTAGCATTTTGGAAAAAATAATGTACAACATGCAAATAAAAAATAATTAAAACATGCCTTTGGACAAGCATGCCTATAAAAACTAAGCAAAACCACAATAGTTGAATAGGTATCTGGAACATTGTTCTTTGGCAGGGAAATGGCAGAATCCCAAAATTCCTTCTTTTCTCTTAAAAAAAATTAATCTGCTCCTTTGGCAGATTGTGTTTTTTAAAGATGATCACAGAAACATTTCCTATCTCACAAACCTTTTCTATAAATATGACTTTGACATCCTTTCTCACAAAAGCTGGGATCTATGTTGCTTCCCCTTGGCATCGGGCAGGCTTTGATGACTGTTTGAAACAACGGACTATGGTGGAAATGTCCTCTGTAAATTCTGAAGCTAAATCACAAAAGGCAATTTCCATTCTGCCTTGCTTGCTGGAATGCTTACCCTTTAAGCTTTAGGCTGCTAATTAAGAAGTCATTCTCTGAAGAAGTCCAAACTAGCTCAGATAGAGAAAATGGAGAGACCCTGAGACTACACACAGAGAGAGAGAGAGAGAGATGAAGGGATGCTGGGCCAGGCCCTAGGTAGTCCAGCCCCCAGCTGTTCCAAATCCACCACAGGTAGACTTTGAGTTACAACCGTCCAATCTAATTCCTCACCCACAGAAACCAGGGAAGAAGATAAAATAATTGCACTTTTTTGAAGCCACTAAGTAACTGGCTGCGCTTATGTTACTGGTTCCTGTTTAACACCATTTTATGTCTTCACGCCAGTTTTCTGTGGTGATATCTAAATCTAAGAAAGAATTAATGTTGTTGCAGTGGGGGCGACATTGTTCAAATGGTAAGGAAAATCTTTAAAGAAAGGCAAGACTTAGAAAAACAAAGCATGGTGAAATTGGGGTGTTGCGATACTGTCAATGTAAGGTAACAGGGTCGTGAAAGAGAAAATGGCAATCACTTGTGCAGTGATCATTCTCCGTGGGGCAGGTAGGAGCAAGGGAAATTAGGTTATGGAAAAAAGTTGGGACCAGATTATAGGGGTTATTAAGTGGCATACTGAGTTAGGCTTTCATCTGTGGACAAGCAGAACTGATTGATGCTGCATTTTGTATATATATGAAGTGGTTGTGGGGGATGGTGGTGCTGACCTAATTACCATGTGGCAGAGTTCTGATTGTGCATAATGTGGATGAAACATGCCTGATAAACTTCATCATGAATTCCATCTGAATACAATGCCAAAAACATGAAACATGCTTAGTCTTCATAATTCGTTCCTTATGTGGCAAGGCACATGCACACACTTTATAAAAACAGAGGGAATATTGCCCACAGCTGTATTTGGTCCACTCTTACACTCCAGAGATTTCACTCTTTTTTTTCTATTTTTATAACCATCTTTGTCACTTTCACTTCTTTCCTCTTTCCTGTTTTCGATTCAGCTGCAGCCATATCCAATAAAACACAGTGACAGATAGATGGATCTTACAGAAAATCTGCTGATTGCTCTCTCTGTAAACCTCAAATGTAAACAATAGAAGGGCATTTGTTTCTCTGTCATGTTTCTTTTACTACATAAAGATGGAAAACTGAATCAATGTTAGGAAAAAAGAATATGTTGTAGTTCCTCCCTGGTTGACTTTTTGTAGCCATTCACCCTTAAAAAAAGACTACAGCAAAATGGGTGGTTATGTCTTGCCTATTTCACTAGGGGCAAAATAATTTCTATTTTTCTAATTTTCAAAGTCTTTACTGAGGGAACTCTAGAAAAAGAAGTCAAAAATCCTAGTTACTGCAATTTGTATCGTTTTTAATTTCTCTGACTCTATAAAATAGCATAGGTAGAACAGGACACCAAAATAACATAAAAATGATTATATATGGAATATTCAAGAATCTTCTGGGTACTTGGTGTCATACATATCTAAATATGAAATATTTCGTTATTTCGAAAAGACTCAGGATCTTCACAAAATGACTGAAGTTCACCTCTCCACCTCTTCTTTCTCACCTCCTCTTTTAAATGACTCACCATCCCTCAACCAATAATTGAGACTGACACAGAAAAGATCTTTGAGTCCCCCACACAGTGAATTGTTTCTCAGTTTAGTTTTGGTTGTAGAGATACATGCTCTGCCCTGGTAAAGATCAGTTAGTTCTACCTGGACTCCAGTGTTTCTTCCACTTCTGAATATTACATTTGTATTTATACTTTCCGCAGCTGGAAAAATGCATTCCTTGGTCGGTAATATAAAGCACAGAAATTATGCCTATGTGGTCATAGCAGGTGAGTAACTCTGGTCCCTTGTGGAGTCAGATGAACAAGGATCCAAACAGCATTACAGATGGATAATTTAGGCACCATGTGGTCCCTTGGGGTTTGTACTGCTAGAAAACATTTTCAGTCCCAAGTAATAAAAATGACAGACAGTCACTCAGCCTACATGGAATTGTACCCTGTCACCTTTACTCAGGAAAATCTCCCTGTGAAGTCAGTGGGGGTTTTTAGACTGGGTTTGGGCCATAGAATATGCCCTTTTAAATGAAGACAATGGAATTAATGTTTAGCTGAGCAATTCAAGAACACTTTTCAGTGACATGTCTGAGAAATTAGGGAAATGTCATTATTTCCCTTCAAAGTGCATTGTCATATTGCTAGGCATCATGGTAGCCACCAATTTGTCTCTGAGGTTGGATTTGACTAGCTTATTCATAAAATTTCACAGGGAATATTGCTTTTCTTTTCTTTGCGAAAAGTCTGTTAAGAACCTCATTCTATCACTGAGTTCTGGCTAGTTGCTATCAGCATGAAGTGCCCAAGAGGGATTTACATATAATACCTTTTACTTAATTCTCTGAGGATTTTTGCTTAAGCACTTACACCAGCATAGAGTTAATATTGCAATGAATGTGGTAGTTGGAACGCAAATGTTATTCCCAAGGGAGAAAGAGAAAACTAGAAACAATCACAGGAGCAATTGTTGGGAAGCTGGAGAGGCAGATCCAGATCCCCTTCCTTCCCCTGACACACAGGCATCCTTCAAATAGTGTCAGGGCCAGCTGTGTGGATAGAATCATAATCTTACTTGACATTATTACTTATCGTTTTCAAAATATACTTACTCTTTTTAAAGTACAATTTCTCTTTACATTTCTGTTGGGTTTCTTTTTGGTAGCTCTTTAAAGTGATGGCAGGGGCTTAATTGCCACCCCATCAGCAATCTTAACATATTTCTTAATAAATTTCAGATACATATATTTGAACCCCATCATGCCATAGGTTTTCTATATCTTATGAGAGAATGGGATTGATAAAGTACAGGTAAGATGCGTGGGCTATGAGAGGCGGTGGATAGGAACTATTTATTTGATGCTTCAGGTTTTAGCATCAAGTTATTTGTGGAGTACAAAAAGAAAAATAAAATTGGTGTATACAACCATTGAGAAATGTAGCCTAGGTGTAATTGCTCCATTGGGTTTCTCCCTGTGGCCTATTTTTGCTTTTCATCAATAAATGTTCAGTGGGTTTTGCGTCAGGGTTTGGTTGGATGATGAACACGTATGGTGTCTCCTGTCCTCTGCAATCTGCCACACTCTCAGACAGTATATTTTTGATTGGCAGCTCTTGGTAGCAGATAGATGAACTAGAATACCTAAATGTGACAATGCTCACTTTGTTGCCCCTTCCTTGCCTTGCACTGTGGCTGTCTCGTTGTGTCCCTTTTTTCCAATCTGCAGACAGTATCACAGGATTCTGAGATCAGTTCACTCAATGTTTCACTCAGATTTTTCTCTCCTTACCTGTGTCAAGCTCATTCTGGTCCTGCGAAGTCCTTCGTAAAGTGCCAACAATCTGCTAATGTTCCTGGAAAATTTCGTAGATGCCATTTGCACTAGATTAATGTTGTACTCGTTTTGCATACACAACAGGCAGTGAGCAAATGAAAGTAGATTCTTAGCTGGGAGACTATCAAATAGGATATTGACCTCAATCCCAAATATAAGATTTGGAGATTAAATATCAAAATAGATCTCTCTGAATATTTTTCACTTGCTGCCTGATGGAAATGTGTCCAGTTTTCTTTTGAAAATGAGTGACTCCCAGACAAGTGTCTTGCCATAACTGTGCCCTAATGCACTCCTGATCCCAGTGGCTTAAATTCCTGTCAGAATCCAAGTGCAAAAACAAAGTGAATAGAACAGATACCTCTGCTCCTCGGGTCTTGCTTTGAGAAGCAGAGTGAGCTGGGTCCAGACACTAGATACTACTATACTCAGTGCCACTGGGTGCTTCTTTCCCTGCCAGCACACTGTAAAGAAGAGAGACATCAACGTGGAACCAGATCCCAGGCGCTGTCCAGTTGAAAAGGTCACTGCCGCAAATGAGCAATTAGTGCTCCCTGCTGCCGCGGAGGCTGTGGCTTCAGAAAGAGCCGCAGAAACACAATGCCTGGATAAACCAGCTTTGTAATCTGCTCGTCACAAGTCCAGTTGTCAGGGGTCTGTGCTGAATCGTAAAGGATAATGCTGTCCGGATTGGGAAAAATCAGATTTTTTAAAATGCAGCTGTCAACAGAACAGACCAAAGGGATATTTCATCTGTTGGCGGGGAGGATGTGGCGGACAAAGTACGGGGGGCATGGCTTTGGAGCCTCATTCTAAACCTTCACTATTTGGGACCTGCTTTCTCTCGAGGCCTCAGAGCTCAGCTGCAAAGCTTTGTTGCCTACTAAATGGGAATTTGAAAAAATTGGCTACAAATGCTAGGGTTAAATTGACTGTGTTATTAGCACTTTCTCTAAGAATCAGCTGCTTTCTTAAGGATTGTTCTTAAGAGTGTTTCATTTAAAACCTGGAACTTCTGCTTCCTCTTCATAAGGGTAGGAAGTGGAAATAGTGACAGGAGTGAAGGAGTGCTTGCTGGTGGCGGGTGAGTGAGGAGGATTGGTGGTGGAAGGAGGAGATGAGAGCCGAAACGTCTTTCCAAACTGCTCCTGGCTGAGGAGCCTCGGCCTGCCGCAATCCTGCCACCCCTGCAAAGCCCAGAATGCAGCAGGCAGACAGGGCTTTGGGAAGCCGCTCTGAAGCCACAGGTTTGACCTTGAAGACAGACGACTGACCCACTCTTCAAGGTAGCCTGACAGAAACTTCATTTCTTTGGCCACGTCAGTCAAATCCAGAGAAGGAAAAGAGACAATTCTCATTTCATCAGCCCAAAAGGCAAGATTTTGTTTTATGTTACAGACAAAGCTGTGAAATTGCATCTGACAAGAGAGGGCTCAAATAGTGAATTATCCAAGGTTTTGATACATGAATCAAGATTTTTCCCCTTTGTGTTGTAACGTTAGTGTTCAAGTTGTAAGGTAAATTGATCAAGCTATATTGGTTTAGTAAAGAGGAGGATGCAGCTGCCTCTCCCCATCCTCTCCTCTGTAGGATGGTTCCTAAAAATATAATCAGCCCTATTTTTATATGGGCTCAGGCCTCTGATTTTATAATGCAAGTTTATGGGCATTCTGATGCTTAGAATTGTAAACAACAACAGCACAACAAAAAACTCCAAGATTAATTTATAAGTTTCTCATAGACATACAGGAGGTAATCTCAGAAAAGGACATTTAAATTACTTGCTCTTCTACTTTCCCGTATAAACTTGTGCTAAATTCTACCCAGACTTTGTCCACATTCTCATGCATGTAAGTCTGTAATGCCTACTCATGAATCAATTGTGTTTTCTGTCTTGCCTATTGGTATGGAGAGGTCTTTGGTTGACAGGATTGTTTTATTTCCCTGACAGTGGTCAAGAGGATGAGAGGTGCTTTGGGAAGGGTAGAGCTAAGCCAGGAGGCAAGCACTGGACAGAGCGAGTAACTGAGGGCAGTCCAGGTGCTGGGGCATGAGGGAATGCAGGGTAAGAAGTCAACTTAGTGATTTCTTCCAGTATAGCTTCCTCTGCTCGCCTCTGACCAGGATTAAGTTAAAGGGCTCCATTGCTGACTCTGCTTTCAACTCTCAAAAAGACATTTTCCTAAGTCCGGGTTTTCGAGATTCCATTTATCTGTTCTTATTATGCAATTTGTCTGAGCCCCCCTGGAGGCTGAGATGGCAGTTGGTGCTAACTTCTTGGCACTAAAAGCTGCTTTTCTTTACAAAGGCTGGGCTTATTTCATTGAGGCATTTTGTTGTCAAGCTCTGAGTTGACAGCACAGAGTTACTAACACTCTTTCAACAGAAACTAAGTTTATAAGCTTGTAATTAGTGTTTAATGTTTGATATTTATACAGAGCTTTTCAAAGCTCAAAGCATTCTACAAGAAGAAAAGGAAAGTAAGCAAAACAAAACAAACAAAAAATCCTATTAGAACAAGGGCACAGAATGGTAGGATGTTATATAAAACCTAAATGTCATATATATGTAGATATGTATACATTCTTGTGTATATATAGTCATATATACATATATGAATAAGAACTTCTATCTAAACAATTTATGGAAGTTTTCAGGTGATTATTGAAATATTTCTAGGGCATATTCTTGTTTTTCATTCATTAATTATCAATTCTTTAATTACTCAGAAATCATTAATTCCATTACTCTAGGAGTAACACTATTCAATGTCTTATTGAGTCCAGATAATAGCACTTAAGGTTTTTGGCCATAGATCCTATATATTCAACAGGCTGCCTTCTGCTCAGGATTCTCTCTTTCTCATCTTTCTTCCTTTCTTCCTCCTTGTTGTATAGTTTTTAAACAATCGATATGTTTTGATATTTAACTTCATAATGAAACAAAAAAGTTTTCTTATACGGTTATTGATCAAAGCAAATATCTCCCTGGCTCATCTCTAGGTGAATTCTCTCTGTACTCATAATTCTTATTTCAACACTGGTATGTGTCTTTCAGGACCACTTTCTCTTAATGTATATGTGTGTGTACATGTATGATGTGTACATGCACAAAGAAGGTATTTGTGAATTTTTAAAACAATAATAATGATATCTAATATTTTTAGGGTACTTACTATGCAACAGGTACTGTTCTAATTAATCCTGACAACAACACTATAAGGCTCTCTGTATCCCCATTTTGCTAATGAGAAAATGAAAAACCCAGGGAGGGTAAGTAACTTTCCTGGGATTGCACTGTCAGTAAGTGGCAGAGCCAGGGTTCACATGCAGGTTTACACTTCTAACCAGTATGCCCTATTATGCTCTCTGTATATATATTGTCTCGATATACTCTCTGATATATATATACTCTGTACAAGCAATAATGTGTTTCAGAGATTTTTTTAATACTAATGCATTCTAGATTAATTTATGCTTCTAAATTGCTAGATAGTTTTCCATTTCATGGATGGGCCCTATTTTTATTTAGCCATTCCCCATTAGTCAACTTTTGGTTATTAGTACTTGATTTTTCCTTCCATTTTCTTTTCAAATTTTTTTATTAGAGTAAAAATACATTATATAAAATTAACCATCTTATTTGTTTTTAATTGTATGATTCAGTCGTATTCACTGCATTGTTAATGTACAACCATTACTACCATTCAACTCCATAACACTTCATCTTGTAAAACTGAAAGTTTATATCCATTAAAGAATAACTTCTCATTTCCTTACCCCCACAATCCCTGGCAACCACCATTCTGCTTTCTGTTTGTAAAAGTTTGACTACTTTAGATACTCCATATAAGTGGAGTCACATAGTATTTATTTCTCTGTGGCTGGCTTATTTTATTTAGCATTATGTCCTCAGGTTTCATTCATGTTGTAATATAAGTCCAATTTTCCTTCTTTTTTTTTTTTTTTTCTAATACGAAGTCTTGCTCTGTTGCCCTGGCTGGAGTGCAGTGGCACGATCTCAGCACACTGCAACCTCTGCCTCCTAAGTTCAAGCAATTCTCCTGCCTCAGCCTCCCAAGTAGCTGGGATTACAGGCGTGTGCCACCACACCTGGATAATTGTTGTATTTTTAGTAGATATGGGGTTTCACCATGTTGGCCAGGCTGGTCAGGAACTCCTGACCTCAAGTGATCTGGCCCCCCAACCCTCGGCCTCCCAAAGTGCTGGGATTACAGGCGTGAATCACCACACCCGCCCTTGAGGCACCTGCCGGCCTGATTTTCCTTCTTTTTAAAGCTGCATAAGATTCCATTGTATGTATATACCACATCTTGCTCATCCATTCATTGATCAATGAACACTTGGTTGCTTCCATTTTTAACTATTAAAAATAATGCTTCTGTGAACATGGGTGTATCTCTTCAAGGCCATACTCTCAATTATTTTGGTTATATACAGGCATACCTCATTTTGTCATGCTTCACTTTATTGTGCTTCACAGATAATGTGGTTTCACAAATTGAAGTTTTATGGTAATCCTGCATGGAACAAGTCTATTGCCACCATTTTTTTCAAATAGCATGTGCTCATTCATGTCTCTGTGTCACATTTTGGCAGTACTCATAATATTTTAGACTTTTAAATTATTATTATATCTGTTATGGTGATTTTTGATCAGTGATCTTTGATGTTATTGTAATTGCTTGGGGGTGGCACAATTCACACCTATATAAGATGGTGAACTTAATAAATAAGTATATGTGTTCTGACTGCTCCATGGACTGGTCATTCCACAATTTTTCTCTCTCTCTTTGGGCTTTCCTATTCTCTGAGACACAACAATATTAAAATTAGGCCAATTAATAACCCTACAATGGCCTACATGTTCAAGTGAAAGGAAGGGTCACATATCTGTCACTTTAAAGCAAAAGCTAGAAAAGACTAAGCTTAGTTTGTAAGACATGTCAAAAGCCATCATAGCCCAAAAACTAGGACTCTTGTTTCAAAAAGCTATTAGCCAGGTGGTGAATGCAAAGAAAAGTTCTTGAAGAAAATTCAAAGTGCTCCTCTAGTCAATACACAAATGATAAGAAGGTGAAACAGCTTTATTGTTGATATGGGGAAAGTCTGAGTTGTCTGGATAGAAGATCAAAGCAGCCGCAACATTCCGTTAAGCCAAAGCCTAATCCAGAACAAGACCCTAACTCTTCAATTCTTTGAAGGCTGAGAGAGGTGAGGAAGCTGCCAAAGGAAAGCTGGAAGTGAGCAGACATTGGTTCATGAGATTTAAGAAAGTAGCCATTTCTGTAACATAAAAGTGCAAGGTGAAGCAGCAAGTGCTGTTGTAGAAGCTGCAGCAAGTTATCCAGATCTAGCCAAGATCATTTATGATAGTGTCTACACTAAACAATATATTTTTAATGGTCTTCTATTAGAAGAAGATGTCATCTAGGACTTTCATAGCTAAAGAGGAGAAGTCAATGGCTAGCTTCAAAGCTTCAAAAGATAGCCTGATTCTCTTGTTAGAGGCTAATGCAGTGAGTGACTTTAAGTTGAAGTCGGTGCTCATTTACCATTTCAAAATTTTAAGGGCCTTAAGAATGATGCTAAGTCTACTCTGCCTGTGCTCTGTAAATGGAACAACAAAGCTTGGTTGAAAACACATCTGTTTACAGCATGATTTACTGAATATTTTAAGTCTGCTGTTGAGACCTACTGCTCAGGAAAAAACAAAAACAAAAACAAAACAAAACAAAAAAACACTGTTCCTTTCAAAATGTTACTGCCCATTGATTGACAATGCACCTAGTCACCCCAGGGCTCTGATGAAGATGTACAAAGAGATTAATGTTTTCCTGCCTGCTAGCACAATATCCATGTGTATCAAGGAGTAATTTTGACTTTCAAGTCTTATTATTGAAGAAATACATTTTATAAGGCTATAGTTGTCATAGATAATGATTCCCCTCATAGGTCTGGGCAAAGAAATTGAAAACCTTCTGGAAGAAATTTGTCATTTTAGGTGCCATTAAGAACATTTATGATTCATGGGAGGAGGCCAAAATATCAACATTAGCAGGAGTTTGGAAGAAGTTGATTTTAACCCTTGTAGATGACTTTGAGGGGTTCAAAATTCAGTGGGGAATTAACTACAGATGTGGTGGAAATACTAAGAGAAGTAGAATTAGAAGTGGAGCCTAAAGATGTGACTGAGTTGCTGCAATCTCATGATAAGGATTGAATGGATGAGAAGTTGCTTCTTATCGATGAACAAAGAAAGTCGTTTCTTGAGATGGAATTTATTCATGGTTAAGATGCTGGGAACAATGTTGAAATGACAACAGAGGATTTAGAGTATTCATACACTTAATTGATAAAGTAGTAAGAGGGTTTGAGAAGATTGACTTCAATTTTGAAAGAAGTTCTACTGTAGGTTAAATGCTATCAAACAGCATTGCATGCTACAGAGAAATCTTTCATGAAAGAGTCAATTAATGTGCAAACTTTATTGTTGTATTGCTGTAAAAAATTGCCACAGCCTCCCCAACCTTCAGCAATCACCACCCTGATCAGTCAGCAGCCATCACCATCAAGGCAAGACCCTCCACCAGCAAAAAGATGACAACTTGCTCAAGGCTCAGAAGATTGTTAGAATATTTTAAGAATAAAGTATTTTTTTAACTAAGGTATGTACATTGTTTTTTTAAGACATGATAGTATTGCATGCTTAATAGACTATAGTATAGTATAAACATAACTTTTATATGCAATGGGAAATGAAAAAATTGTATGACTTGCTTTATTGTGATATTCATTTTATTGTAGTGATCTGGAACCAAATCCACAGTATCTCTGATGTATGCCTGTACCCAGAAGTGGACTTGCTGGATGATATTTAAATTCTATTTTTAACTTTTTGCAGGATTATCATACTGTTTTCCACAGTGACTGTACCACTTATATTCTCACCAACTGTACACAAGGGTTCCATTTCTCCACATCCTTGCTCACACTTATTTTCTGATTTTTAAATATTAACCTTTTTCTAATGGGTGATATCTCATGGTAGCCTTGATTTGCATTTTCCTAATAACTAGTGAGGTTGAGAATCTTTTCCTCTGCCTCTTGGTAATCTGTGTATCACCTGTGGAGAAATGTCTATTCAAGTCCTTTGTCCATTTTTGAATTAGGTTGTTTTGTTGTTGTTGAATTTTAGGCATTCTCTGTGTATTCTGGCTATTAATTTTTTTTATTAGATACATTCTTTGCAAATATTTTCTCCCATTCTTTGGACTGCCTTTTTTTACTCTGTTAGTAGTATCTTTTGAAGCATATTTAAACTTTTTTTAGGAAGTCCATGGTTTTCTCAATTCTAAAATTCATGTGGAACCAAAAAAGAGCCCACATAGCCAAAGCAAGACTAATCAAAAAGAACAAATCTGGAGGCATCACATTACCTGATTTCAAACTATACTATAAGCCCATAGTCACCAAAACAGCATGGTATTGGTATAAAAATAGGCACATAGACCAGTGGAACAGAATAGAAAACTCAGAAATAAACCCAGATACTTATAGCCAACTGATCTTTGACAAAGCAAACAAAAACATAAAGTGGGGAAAGGACACCCTTTTCAACAAATGATGCTGGGATAATTGGCTAGCCACATGTAGGAGAATGAAACTGGATCCTCATCACTCACCTTGTACAAAAATCAACTCAAGATGGATTAAGGACTTAAATCTAAGATCTGAAACTCTAAAAATTCAAGAAGATAACCTTGAAAAAAACCCTTTTGGACTTTGACTTAGGCAAGGATTTCATGACCAAGAACCCAAAAGCAAATGCAATAAAAGCAAAGATAAATGTCTGGGACTTAATTAAACTGAAGAGCTTTTGCATGGCAAAAGGAACAGTCAGAAGAGTAAACAGGCAACCCACAGAGTGGAAAAAATCTTCACAATTTGTACATCTGACAAAGGACTAATATACAGAATCTACAATGAACTCAAATCAACAAGAAAAAACAATCCCATCAAAAAGTGGGCTAAGGACATGAATAGATAATTCACAAAAGAAGATATACAAATGGCCAGCAAACATATGAAAAAATACTCAACATCACTAATGATCAGGGAAATGCAAATCAAAACCACAATGCCATACCACCTTACCCATGCAAGAATGGCCATAATCAAAAAATAAAAAAATAGTAGATGTTGGCATGGATGTGGTGAACAAGGAAAACTTCTACACTGCTGGTGGGAATGTAAACTAGTACAACCACTATGGAAAACAGTGTGGCGATTCCTTAAAGAACTAAAAGTATAACTACCATTTGATCCAGCAATCTCACTACTGGGTATCTACCCAGAGGAAAAGAAGTTATTTTACGAAAAAGATACTTGCACACACATGTTTATAGCAGCACAATTTGCAATTGCAAAAATGTGGAAGCAACCCAAATGCCCATCAATCATTAAGTGGATAAAGAAACAGTAGCATAGATATACAACAGAGCACTACTCAGCCAGCCATTAAAAAGGAATGAATTAATGGCATTCACAGCCACCTGGATGAGATTGGAGATGATTATTCTAAGTGAAGTAACTCAGGATGTAAGCTATGAGGATACAAAGGCATAAGAATGACACAGTGGACTTTGGGAACTCAGTAGGAAAGGGTGGGAAGGGGGTGAGGGATAAAAGACTACAAATTGGATGCAGTGTATACTGCTCAGGTGATGGGTGCACCAAAATCTCACAAATCACTGCGAAAGAACTTACTCATGTAACCAAATACCAACTGCTCCCCAATAACCTACGGAAATAAAGAAAGTTAAAACAACAGAAAAAAGAAGTCCATGGTTTTCTTTTGCTGTCTGTGCCTTTGGTGTGATAGCCAATGAAGTCATTGTGAAAAAAAATGTTGTTAGGCTTTTTCCTCTATGATTTCTTCTAAGAATTTTAGTTTTAGAACTTACACTTATTTCTTTGATCCATTGCATGTCTTTTAATCTATGAACATGGGATATGTTTCCATTTATTGTCTTCCTTAATTTCTTTTAGCATTGTTTTATAGTTGTTTTGTTGTATAAGTCTTTCAACTCCTTGATTAAATTAATTGCTAAGTATTTTATTATTTTTGATGATACTGTAAATAAAATTGTTTTCATCATTTCCATTTCTTATTGTTTATTGTTAGTGTATAGAAATGTAACTGATTATTTTGTGCTGGCTTTGTATCTTGTTAAATTGCCTAATTCACTTATTAGGTCTAACATTTTTATGTGGAATCTTCAGGGTATTCTACATAGATGATCATATCATCTGCAAACAGATAATTTTAGTTCTTCCTTTTCCATTTCTATTCTATCTGTTTATTTTTTCTTGTCAAAGATATTCTTTCAGTCTTTCACCATTGGGTATGATGTTCACTGTGGGTTTTTCATATATGGCTTTTATTATGTTGAGGTCGTTTCCTTCTATACCTAGTTTGTTGAATGTTTTTATTAGGAAACAGTGTTGAATTTTGTGAAATCCTTTTTCTGCATTGATTAAGATGATTATGTGTTTTTTTTCCCCCTTCATTCTGTTAATGTGATGTGTTATGTTGATTTTTGTATGTTGAATTATCCTTGTATTTCAGGAATAAATCCCATTTGGTCATGCTATATAACTCTTATAGTATGCTTCTGAATTCAGTTTGCTAGTATTTTATTAAGCATTTTTGCATGAATGTTCATAAGAGATATTGATTTGCTATTTTCTTTTCTTGTAGTGTCTTCCTTTGGCTTTGGTATCAAGGTAATGCTGGCCTCATAAGGTGAGTAAGAAAGTGTTCTCATCTTTTCAATGCTTCTTTTTGAAAAATTCGAAAATGATTTGTGTTAGTTCTTTTTTAAATGTTCGTTGGAATTTACCCAGGACCCGTCAGGTCCTGGGCTTTACTTTGTTGGAAGATTTTAAATTACTGACTCAATATCCTTCTAGTTACAGGTCTATTCAGATTTTATATTTTTTTCATTATTGTGTCTTGGTAGAGTTTGTGTTTCTAGCAATTTCCCCATTTAATCTAGGTTATCTAAGTTGTTAGTGTGCAATTATTTATAGTACTTTCCCACAATCCTTTTTATTTCTATAGAATCAGTAGTATTCCTGCTTTCATTTCTGACTTTAGTAATTTAAGTCTGTGGTTTTTTTTCTTAGCCTATCTATTTAAGTTTTGTCAATTTTGTTGATATTTTAAAACAAACCAACTTTTGGTTTTATTGATTTCCTGTATTGTATTTCTCTATTTTGTTTATTTCTGTACCATCGTTTTTCTTTTTTTTCCTGCCAACTTTGGGTTTTGATAGTTTCTTTTTCTATTTTTTTTAAGCTGTAACTTTAGGTAGTTGATTTGAGATCCTTCTTGTTTTTAAGTGTTTATAGCTATAAATTTCCCCTAAAATTATTTAGCACTGTTTTCACAGCATCCCATATTTTGGTATGTTGGGCTTTCATTTTCATTCATCTGTAAGTATTTTCTAATTTCTGTTGTGCTTTCTTCTTTGATCTGTTGGTTGTTTAAGAGTGTGTTGTTTAATTTTTACAATATTGTAAATTTTCCATTTTTACTTACGTTATTGATTTCTAATTTTGTTTCATTGTGATTGGAGAAGATGCTTTTTATGATATCTGTCTTTGAAAATCTACTGAAACATAATCTATGTTTCAGTATATATATATATACTGAAATATATATAGATAACATATAGTCTATCCTGGAAAATGTCCCATGTGCACTTGAGAAGATGTGTATGCTGTTATTGCTGGGTACGGTGTTCAATGTGTGTCTATTAGATCTAGTTGGTTTATTCTGTTGTTTAAGTACTCTACTTTCTTATTTATCTTTTGTCTGGTTGTTTTAGCCATTATTGAGAATGGGGTACTGAAATCTCCAACTATTATTGTAGAACAGTCTATTTCTCCCATTGGTTCTGTCAGTTTTTGTTGCACATGTATATATTTTAATGGTTTGTCATTAGGTGCATAAATGTTTATAATTATATATTCTTGCTGTACTGAACTTTTTATTAATGCATAATGCCCTTCTTCATTTTTTGTAAATTTTGAAAAATGGAAGACTATTTTGTCTGATATTAGTATCACTAACTCTGATCTTTTCTGGTTACTATTTCCATAGAATATCTGTTTCCATCCTTTCACTTTAAATCTATTTGTGTCTTTGGATCTAAAGTAAATCTCTTGTAGACAACATACAGTTAGATTATATTCTTAAATTTATCCTGCAAATCTCTGTCTTTTGACTGGAGAGTTTAATTCACTTACATTTAAAGTAATTACTAAAAAAAGGTTTTACTTCTGTCATTTTTCTATTTGTTTTCTAAATGTCTAATAGCTATTTTGTTCCTCATTTCCTGAATTACTATTTTCTTCTGTGTTTAGTTGATTTTTTTGTAGAAAAACATTTCTCATTTCTTTTTTATATATCCTATAGGCATATTCTTTGTGGTTACCATGGAGATTACATTTAACATTCTAAAGTTATAACAGTCTAACTTCAATTTATACCAGCTTCATTCCAATAACATACAAAACTGCTCCTTTAACAGGTTCATCCTCATCGCTTTAGCTTGCTAAAGTCACAAAATTACATGTTTTTACATAGTATGCCCCAAAATATAAACTAATAATTTTTTTTAAATGCATTAGTGTTTTAAATAAATAGAAAAATGTGGGGTTACAAACCAATGTTACAATAATATTAGCTTTTAGATTGTTATTTTTCAAAGTGTTTTAGTATCTTAAATAATGTAGAGAACAAAAAGTACAGTGACAAACCATTGTTACAGTAATGCTAGCTTTTATAATTGCCCATGTATTTACCTTTATTGAGATCTTTATTTCTTTATATAGCTTTACTCTCTGGTGTCATTTTATTTCACCTTCCTGGACTCCCAAGCATTTCTTGTGTGGCAAATTTAGTGGGAACAAACTTTCTCAACTTTTGTTAATCTGGGAATGTCTTAATTTCTCCTTCACTTTTGAAGAACAGTTTTGTCAAATACAGGATTTTGGTTTGACAATTTTTGTTGTTGTTGTTGTTGTTTTAATTTAGCATTTTGAATGTATGTATCCACTGTCTTCTGGATTCCAATGTTTCTGATGAGAAATCTGATGATAATCTTATAGAGGATTCCTTCTATGTGACAAGTCACATCTCTTTTGCTGCTTTCAAGTTTTTCTCTTTGCCTTTGCTTTTGAAAGTTTGATTGAAATGTGTTGTGGTGTAGACCCCTGAGTTCTTCTTACTTAGAGTTTGCTGGGCTTTTTGGATGTTTGTATTCATGCATTTCACCAAACTTGGGAGGTTTTCATTCATTATTTCATCAACTATTCTCTTTGTCCCTTTATCCTTGTCTTCTCTGTGTGGGACTCCCAGAGTATGTAAGTTGGTATACTTGGTGGTGTCCCACAGTATTGGGGGAACCCGCCCCCAGTATTTCAACGTAGGTTCTTTCTGTTTTCCGTAAGTGTCGGCTGGCTGAGAAATAAAGAGAAAGAGTACAAAGGGAGGAATTTTACAGCTGGGACTCCAGGGGTGACATCACCTATCGATAGGACCGTGATGCCCACCTGGGCCTTAAACTAGCAAGATTTTTTATTAAGGGTTTCAAAAGGGGAGGGGGTGTAAGAATAGGGAGTAGATCACATGCTTCAAAGGGCAAAAAGGAGAACTACTGATAAGGGTCCAACAAAGATCACAAGACAAAAGGGCAAAAGCAGAACTACTGATAAGGGTCTATGTTCAGCGGTGCACATATTGTCTTGATAAACATCTTAAACAACAGAAAACAAAGTTGAGAGCAGAGAGTTGGTCTGACCACAAATTTACCGGGGTGGAGTTTTTTCCCCACCCAGGTAAGCCTGAGGGTACTGCAGGAGACCAGGGCGTATCTCAGTCCTTATCTCAACCGCATAAGACAGACATTCCCAGAGCGGCCGTTTATAGACCTCCCCCCAGGAATGCATTCCTTTCCCAGGGTATTAATATTAATATTAATGTTAATATTCCTTGCTAGGAAAAGAATTTAGCGATATCTCTCCTACTTGCACGTCCGTTTATAGGTTCTCTGCAAGAAGAAAAATATGGCTCTTTTTGCCCTACCCCAGAACTTATGGTTGTCTTCCCTTGTTCCCTAAAAATTGCTGCTATTCTGTTCTTTTTCAAGGTGCACTGATTTCATATTGTTCAAACATACATGTTTTACAATCAATTTGTACAGTTAACACAATTATCACAGTGGTCCTGAGGTGATGTACATCCTCTGCTTACGAAGATAACAGGATTAAAAGATTAAAGTAAGACAGGCGTAAGAAATTATAAAAGTATTATTTGGGAACTGATAAATTTCCATGAAATCTTCACAATTCGTGTTCCTCTACCGCAGCTCCAGCCGGTCCCTCCATTTGGGGTCCCTGGCTTCCCACAACACCACAGGTCCCTTAGGCTCTGTTCGTTTTCTTCAATCTTTTTTTCTTCTGTTTCTCAGACTCAATTATTTCAGTTGTCCTCTCTTTAAGTTCATTGATTCTTTCTTCTGCCTGCTTGAATCTGCCTTGGAATCCCTCTAGTGAATTTTTCATTTCAGTTATTCTATTTTTCATGTCCAGAATTTCATTTTGGCTTCTTTTTACATTTTCTAACTCTTTACTGATTTTTTATTTTGTTCGTACATCATTGTCTTTTCTCTCTCCACACCTTCCTTTAGTTCTTTGAGCATATTTAAAACAATTGGCTTAAAGTTTTTGTTTAGTGCAACTGCCATTAGGTCTTTCTCAGGGATAGTTTCTGTTGATTTACTTTTTTCCTTTGAATGGGCCATATTTTCCTATGTTTTTTGTTTGTTTGTTTATTTGTTTGTTTTCATGCCTTATGATTTTCTGTTGAAAACTGAACATTTGAATCTAATGATGTGGTAACTCTTGAAATTAGATTCTCCATCTTCCCCAGGGTTTGCTGGGTTTTGCTTATTGTTTTTTTGGTTATTCTAACCTGTCTCTATGTCATAGGTCAGTGTGAGATATAATGTCTTCTCAAGTATTTTCTGAAGCTGCACCTTTTCCTAGGCATGCACGGTCACTTTCAAATTTTCCCCATATATGTAGTTGCTTTTGAATAACTGAGTCTTTAATGTCTGGATCCAAAAAGTGGAAAAAAAGAATAATAAAAGAAGGAGGGGAGAAAGAGTGCCAGCCGTTTAAATCCTCTGGAAGTCATTTTAGCCCTAGAGTGTGGGGGCTGTAACAATGGAGGAGGTGAAACAACAATGGCTGCATGTCTCTTTGTCGGTATGTTTGTGATCAGAAGTAGCAGCAATCAGTGTACAGATACCTGACATTTGGAGGACAGGGTCCATTTTTCCTACCCTGACTTCCACAGGGTATACCCAGGACACTCCAGAAACATGCACACAGCTGCCTGCCACAGGGCTGAGGATGGAATATGGGTAGCTGCTACCCTGATAAGAACTGAAATAGACTGAAATTAACTGCAATTGACCATTAAAGGCTTTTCCTAGAAATTGCAAGGCTGCAATAGAATCCAGAGTTCCAAAAGAGTTACATCAGACTGATTCTGCCAGAGCAAATGTTGTCTAGGTGGGGAGACAGACAGATTGCTGGTGCTTCCCATTCCACCATCTTCCCAGAATCCTCCTGGTTGTTATTTGTTTATTCTTGTAAATATTTGCTGCAAAGCAAAGCTTTCCACCGGTGTTTTCATATATATATTATATGCATGTATTCTCAATAACAGAGAAGAAAAATAGAATTTCTGGCTTGGTGTGTGTGTGTGTGTGTGCGCGTGTGCATGCATGACCAAGGTGCTTTCAAAGGTTGCACTTATTTACACTTCAAACATATATTGTATGAGAGTACATTTTTTTTTCATCTGTCAACACTTGGTATAATTGTTATTTAAATTCTTTTTCAATTAGATGAAAATACTTGATATATATTGTTTAAATTTGTATTTCTTTTAATGTTTATTAGTCATATTTTCTGACTTCAATTTTATTTTTATATTTTGCTGTTGTGAGCAGCCATTTTAAATTTCATATCAGCTAGGAGTTTTCAGGCCATTCCGTCTGGAAGTGTAGATGGAGTCACTTTAACAACAACAACCCATGCCCAGCACAATAACTGGAACATCATTGGAACACAACAAATAATGATTGACTGAACCTTCTCCAAGCCATGAGTATGTGCTATGCTTTGTTACACTCATTTTTTTTTTAAAGAAACACATTTCCAGGAGAAAAAGTTAAATGTCTAGGTTTGTTTTCTCTTGAGATTGTTTTTTCTTACCCCTAGAGTAACCTCAGTTTCATGCATATAAACCTTCATCAGGGCTGTTCTGCTCATTTATCAGATAACTCCAGACATGCCTGAATGCCAGCACTAGGCAGTGGTGGCCTCTTAAGTCTTACCATCTCCCCAACTTTCTGGAATCCATGCCTTGAGTTGTCAGAAAATAAAAATATTAATAAAAACAATTGTTCAATTTAAGGCAAAGGATTTGGGCCCAAAGCAATCATTTTGGACTGTTCTTATAAGAAATGTTTTATAATTGTTTCTGAAGATTTCCATATGAAAGATACCTTTATTTATTCTGCAAACATGTATTGAATGCCTGCTGTATTGTGGTGCTGGGCTATAACCACACACAGTCATGCTTTCTAGGGGCATATGAGGATGATAAAATACAAACAAACAAGCAAAACAACGAGTGTAACAAAGCACAGCACATACTCTGACAGTTTGGAGAAGTTTCAGAGGGAGCATAGGAAGGGTGTGGTGAGTTGAATCCCAGGGAGTCAGGAAAATCCTCATTGTTAAGATGATGTTTCAGCTAAAAGGATGCCTTTTTTAAAGATGTGGGTGGCCAGGGTTATGATGACTTTGCTGTTGTCAAACAAACTTCAGCCAAGATGATTGATAGTAGCTCAAAAGATCTCATCTCCTAACTGACATACAGCTTAGAACTAAATAAAACCAAACCACTTCCAATAAATGTGATGACATTTTCAAGTCTATGCAATATGGGTTTTGTGAATATTATTCTAAATATTTTACAATAACAGGAAATGTTGTGATAACATGAAATCAGACAGACTTTGAAAAGCCCCTCAGAAACTTGTAATCACAAGTTAATTTGAGAGAAATCTGATCATGGCAAAGCAGCAATCAATCCCATTTGCCTAACATAGAAGTCAGTTATGTCTCTATATTTACATAGTCTATGTCTTTAAATTTATATATTCTGTATCATTTTATATATATTCTATATCTTTATAGAATTGTATATAAAAATAAATAAATAAATAAAGAAGAAGATGAGATGCTTATCAACGGAGGGTAAAAAGAAGGACAGTGCCAACATTTTTGTGATGGTTCTTATTTTCAAGGTCAGAGAATAATGTACTTTTCTGAAATTTTTAAGAAGATAGTTTAAAACTTACATTGTTCTTTAACTTTAGCTGTTCCCAAATGAACCCAGATTAAAGAAGGTTGAAGATGGCAGGGTGAGAGATGAATGAACACTAATATTCACTTGAGATGTGTGTGTTTACAGACCATGTTCATTTATTCATACAACAAATGTAATGAACATTTACTGTGTGTTGGGCAGTATGCTAGAGGCAGGGCATGAAAAGATAATATAATTTTTTTCCCTTTAAGGAATTTATAGTCTGGTTCAGTAGACATAGCCCTAAATGTATTATTATAATGCAGTAGAATAAGGACTCTGTTTCTAGCCAGGCTTTTACTAACCTAGAGCTACAGACAAAATGTGTGCTATGGGAACTTAAAAGTTACTTATCTCATCTTGAGTTATCTTATCTTGGGGAGCCAAGAAGGCTTCACAGAAAAGGTGACTTTTATGGACAAAGTAGGTATGAGTTTTTAATTTTCCTTCCCCCCAGTGAAGCAATTATAAGACCCAGAAAAGTATAAAGCGAAACAAATAGAGCAAAAATATTATAAGAGAATAATAGTCCAATCAGGAGCAAACACAAATATGGTGTGATTTCTTATAATTAATGATTTGTAAAAATGATCATTCATTTGACTGAGTGTTTAGCTCACTTTATCCTTCTCCTTTGAATGGCACAAATGTCATGACTTTAAACCTGTGAATACGGAAATATAATCTTGGTACTCTGCTTGTAGTGAACTCTGTAGTGAACACTATTTTACATGTCATATTAATCCAAAGACTTTGATTGGTTTTTAGTCTTCACCTAGCTAAGTACTCAACTTCAAGTTAAAATAGAATGCGCCTCAACATCAATAATTTCAGCATAACATATTATTTAGGGTTAACTTAATAACTAAAAACAATAAAATTAAGGTGGCTGCTTCTGGAAAGCAGGACCCTGGGGGGAGGAAAAGAATGAGATAAAGCAATTTTTCAAAATGTAAAACCACTTCTGGGGGCCAGGTGCAATGGCTCAGTCCTGCAATCCCAGTGCTAGGGAAGAATCTTTTGAACCCAGGGGTTTGAGACCAGCCTGGGCAATATAGTGGGATGCCATCTTTACAAAAAAAAAAAACCATGGAAAATTAGCTGGGTGCAGTGGTGTGTACCCACAGTCCTAGCTAATTCGGAGGCTGAGGTGGGAAGATTGCTTAAGGCCAGGAGTTTGAGGTTACAGTGAAGTATGATTGCACTACTGCAGTCCATCCTGGGCAACAGAGTGACATCCTAGGGAAGAAACAACAACCACAAAACAAATAAACAAACCAAAAAACCCATTTCTATATATTTGATTTTTAAAATACTGTGTATGTATTGCCATGTTTTTTTTAAAAGGACTCTTAAAACCCTAAGGTAATTTAGCAAATTAATTCAATGCAAAGAAATGTAATTATTTCAAATGATCACCCTTAGCTATAAGAAGTCTGCAGATCCAATGAGTAGTTTCATTTTCCATCTGTGTTTCTGATAATATTATATCCAGCACTTGTCATCCTCACTCACACTAAGGCACTTACTGTACTATGTGGTCTTGTGTGTTTAGTGTTTCAGAGTGACATCATATTCTTTTGATACCCCATCCCCTTTTATTCTACCGGACTGATACAGGTAGAAGGGAAGGAATTGAAGAAACATGGTTCAGTAGTCATTTGTCCAGAGAGAAATGGTTACGAGTGCTTTTGCCACTAAATTATGCTAATCCACTCTATAATCCAATCACTATTTTCTAAATGACAAGGGACCCTAGTGCCAAAGGAACTGTAGCAATTTTCTCCTTTGTCCCAGTAGGTCAATTATTCTATTTTTCCTGAGGTAAAAGAATAACTTTCTTTCCCTGAACTTGTGAGGGCTCTGCAATGCACACCACTCACAGGATCTGCCAAACTATTATCACTCCATTAGACCTGGCTGAGATCATAATTACCTAAGGAATGCCATACCTCAACTCCATGTTTCTGGATGTCAGCGGCTCCAGGCACCTCAGCTCATTCAGGAGTTAAGGTTCATATATCCTGCCCTTTATTTTCCCTCTGGACTTCCATGATTCTACATGCTGAAGAGTACACAGAGCATTGCCTTGGAGTTAGTAACAAGGGACTGAAAACCCAACCATTTGGAACTAATATATTTATTGCAGTATCCGTAAGAAAGATGGCATGAAGCATTCTTATTAAGAAGCGTGAAAACTCCTTATATTTTGGTTCCTAAAATAACACCACACACGTAGAGAAAATTAGACAGGACTAGGAGATTTCTTATCATTCGTAGGGTTGGTGTGTATAGAGATCCAGGAATGTAACACAAATATAAGACACACATTTTTTAACATTAGTGAACCTGAGTTGCAGCTACCATGGAATGTAAAGTTAATGGGAGACTTGGATAATCTCTCCCCAAATAACTAAATTTAAGGATTTGTTTTCTCCTTGTTTCTACCTTAGTACACTATTAATTAATTTGCCTTGTTTGGAAGACCTTGATTTCTGCGTGTGTGTGTGTGTGTGTGTGTGTGTGTGTGTGTGTGTGTGTGTTTAGAGGGCAGGGTGTCTTGATTAGCTTTGAAGTGCCTTTCTTGCATAATGAACAACATTCTAACACGAGCTGGCTCTAGTATCCAGGCCTCATTGTTAGGAAGGCTTTATCAGGTGCTATCCTCAGTCTCTGACACATTCAAAAGAATGTTAACAGTGATTTTTCATCCTTGGAGGGTATACTTGGATTTGGAAGACTGTCAAAATGTATTTGGAGCCAAGCATGGTGAATAAATGCTGGGTGATGATTCTAGGAAATAGAATGTTTAGAGAAGTGGTCAAAAAAAAAAAAAAAAAAAAACAAAGGATCCTAAACTTTTGTTTTTCTTTTAAGCAATGGGCATTTTGTAATAAATAGAATATGTAACACCACAAGGTAACTTTCTATGAGTTAGTAAGTTTGCTCTCTGTAGAAACCAGAGAGAGGTTATCAGAAGCCTGCCTCTGAGAAAATGCCAGGTGGGTCGCAATGTTATTTATATAGATGAATAACTTGGAATTTTTCTCAATACTCTCTTCAGATAAATGGAGGATATTATTCCTTAGATTTAGCCTTCTGGTTGCTTGTCTCCAGTTCCCAATTTTCCAGTAATCACTCAGCCTTCACAGCAAATGTCATTAACCTGGGGAAAGGAAAAAAGAAATTTGATCTACTTCACCATCTTAGATGCTCAGATAGAGCCTGTCAGATGTGCAGACAACAGAGAGTTACGGAAAGGTCATAGAAAACAAGGAAATTGTGGATACTACCTCTTTCTCACCCCACTGACCCCCATATAAAGCAAGGTTCACTTACATTCCAAAAACATTTATGTACTCTGTTATTTGTAAAACTTTTTTCTAATAAAGAGAGAATAAGAAAGCTGCAAATGAACGTACCTATTCTTTAAAAGTGTCAAAAATTTTCTTTGAGAGGAGAATTACAACAAAAATTATGTCAACACTAATAACATCATACAATTAGTCGCTTGATTTTGTAAACACTTTAATTGCTTTGACAATGCTTGACTTACATATTAAGAGTAGTTGTTATCCATAAGAACTATAACCATGTGCTTGCCCTACAACAGGGAGTAACATATATACAGAAATCAACAATGAAAATATTAACAAATCACCAAACTAGAAGAAGAAAATTCACTAAAGGAAGACAGAATTAAGAGAGGTACCAAAGAACTGGGTGTGGTGGCACATGCTTGTAATCCCAACTACTTGTGGGGCTGAGGCAGGAGGATCACTTGAGCCCAGGAGTTCCAGGCCAGCCTGGGCAATATAGTGAGACCCATCTCTTAAAAGAGAGAGAGAAAGTGATTGAGAAAGAGAGAGGGATAGAAAGTGGCATCAAAATTTGACCTGTGGCCCTAACATTGAACTTAATGCTCCGCAACCATCACTCTAGAAACTATTTTCAATCTGCTTTTTATCTAGGTAAGAATAAAAAGAACAGTTTCATAGATCTCTTTTCATGGTTGTTTTGATACATTCTTATTGGAATGCCATATAATTATGTGACCATTGAAGGTTATATAAGTCCTTTTATTCTTTTCTGCTTTACTTCCTGTCTTTCTTTTGTGTGCTGGTCAGTTTTAAACTTTGACATATTTTAGAGCTGTAGAAATTTTAGTTTTGTTTCAATAAATCCATTTTGTAAAAATTAAGAAGCATATCAAATCAACTCAACTGTGAACAAACTGTGGAGTCAGTTAATATGTTAATATTACCAAAGCATGAGTGATACCAATAGGTTCAAATAGTTCAATTGTATATGTAGATGCATTTTATTAAGGAGGAAATTTTTTTCACATTTTCCCAAGCATAAAAGACCATCTGATTTTAGAATTTGGAGCCTTTGAAATAGAAGTATTGTCCCTAGATTTTTCATATAAGGTCATGAAATGGCTGTTATTTATAAAATACATTTTATCTAGCTGGTATCTTTTATTATAAAAGGGCCAGAATAGATGTTGACAAGTGGACATTTTATATGTAAATAAAATATTTTAAAGCCTCCATGAACTCAACATGTTTATATATTGGTTTCTGTCATATCTTTTTCTTTAGTGCTTATATATCAAGCATTTTTATGAAGTATTCTTTCTTCTAAATTGAGACATAGTGTAAGACAGAAAAGCAGGCAATATCAGGAACTGAGTTTTTTTTTCTCATTTTTCTATGAGAAACACTTATTCTGAGAGAGAGGAGTCTAAATGGTGATGCTGAGACCACAAGCTCTTGATTTTATAGTTCAGTTCTGGTGTTGGGTGAAGTCCTAGGCTTTGGGGTGATTTTTCAGTGTGATAATTTTAGACTAAACTATTTGCCTGCTGCACCAAATATTGCCGAGGATCCAAAATGTGACTTTGGGCAAATTATCCACTGATTTTAAATATCAAAAGAATATTACTGGCTTCAGACAAATCTTGTAATGATCAATTAAGTTTCAATGATGCTTTAAAATTAGTCCTTCTATGAGTAAAGGAAAAAGTCTAGAATCCTCCATAGTTAGAATAACTCCCAGGTACTTATTGCCTATGCATGGCCTATTTTCAGCTTCCTCTTTATTAGTGTCCATGCTCTTTTAGGGAATTGGCATGTATATTTTTGTTTCGAGGAAGTCATTTCTTTCTACGGTGATGTCAGACTTAGGTATCTTTTCTTTAAAAGGCAGCAGTTTAGGTGCCATCAGAGCCAATTTGCCATCACCTTCAATGTTTCCAAATGTAAATACGTCACTCTGTTGTGGTCTGGCTCCATGAACATTGCTACAGTATATTAAAGAATGTTTTTACATCTACAGCCCTGTGCATTAAAAGGGAAATTTTAAAAGAGGCCCATGATATATTAGTCACATGAATGCTAGCAAAGGAGCGAGAGTGTTTCCAATTAGCTTGTCTTCCTTTTGCTGTTTTATGGGGAACAGATGAGTGACACATCTCACTGCAGTGAAGAGTTACTAGATGTGAAACCAAAAGTCTTGAGCTGGGGCACACTTTCTTGTTGTTTAAACCCTTTGAGATTTTTTAAAAATCAGACATGTCAAATGAGAATAATATCTGGTCTACTAGTGTCAGAGCGTTGTGGGAGGGAATAGGGTACAAAATGAGTAAATGCTCTGTGAACTATTAGTTGTTGTATACAGGTTGGTGTGTATTAGTTCCATGCCTTTGATTATAAGCCTGGAAATGAACTGTGGCTAACTGAAGCTAGAGAGAATTTAGTGGAAGTATATTGAGGCTCACAGAATAGCCAGGAGCCTAGAAGATCATGCTAGGGATGTGACAAGAAATAAGGCCTTTTCAGAGGGCAAAGAAGCAGGACATTCTAGAGGCCACAGCAGGAACTGTCCATGAGGATGGAGTGTATGCTATTCATTTCCAGTCCCTTTGATCCTACGCTCAGATTTGAATACTAGTGAAAGGGCGGTAGTAGAGTAGTAGGCCCAGTTGCAATCTTGTGCTAGTCTCATGGGTAGGGAAGGGTATGGGCCCTGGTTACTGTCCCATCAGACTGTGTCTTATAGGAAAAAAGTAATTTCTCAAAAGGAATTAGAGTGGTAATAGAAAGAAGATGGATGCTGGACAATCCAAAAATCCACAGACATGAAATTGATATTCCTTATTTCTTCAGTTTAGGGTAGAAAATGTATATAGACTCAGTGATTCTGAGCCCTTTTACCCTGTGCTATGGTCTGAATGTTTATGTTTCTCCTAAATTCAAATGTTGAATCCCTTACCCTCAAGGGATGGTATTAGGACATGCGGACTTTGTAAGGTGATTAGGTCATGAGGGTAGGACCCTTGTGAGTGGGATTAATGCCCTTATAAAAGAGGCCTGAGGATTGCTCCTTCCACCATGTGAGGACACAATGAAAATCCACCATCTATGAACCAGAAAGCAGGCCCTCATCCCACACCAAATCTGTTGGTGCCTAGATCTTGAACTTCCCAGCCTCTAGAACTGTAAGAAATAAATTTCTCTCATTTAGGCTATCCAGTTTAAGGTATTTTATCATAGCAGCTCAACAGTACTAGGACAATATTCTGAAATTAATTTTTTTTTAATTTCCCCAGTCTTGGGAACTTAAATATTTAAATTCAATGACTCTGAGCCCTTGTCTCCTGTAACCAAGGGAATGCCATATTTTTCCACCCTGGGGTTTCGCTTGATGATTCCCAAGAAGAGCAGTAATTATACCTGAGACCAAAGGTTCAATTCTGATTACCAGTCTTTGAGCAGAGAAGAAAATGCCTGAGATCTGTCTCAGCCTACGGAGGAGTCTTTGTTTGTGGCTGTTGTTGATACTGCTGCCCAGTGTGACACTGATGAAATCCAGATGGCCCAACTTCCCTGGGGTTGAGCTCCTTGTGCACTGCTTGAAGTTAGGGGCTGGCCAGGTATCCATTGTAAATCAGGGGGCCTGTCCCTGAAAAAAACACGTTGTCCATTTTCCAAGCTGTGATCCTGGCTGTCATTTTTTGTCTGCATATAGGTGTAGAAGGAGGAATCTGTGTCCCCGTCCCCCAAATTCTTCAAAGCTTGACCGTGTTGCTGGTGACAGGGTCCAGAGGATTTCCTTTCTCAGTTGTATGCTGTGCCTAGACTACTCCTATCTCCAGGTTTCCAAATACTTTCCCTGTGAGTAGAGGAAATCCCTCCCTTTTTCAGTCCCAAGGCCTAGCTGCAGTGCTATCCTAGTAAAAGTGAAAGTTTTTTCATGAGAAAGAACAATTCTTGTCAAGTGTATTATTTACTACCTAGATGAGCTTTCTTAAAGACTTAGAGGGAAATACAAGAATGACATACACTAACTAGTATGCCTATACCACTTCTTCAGATGGGAGAGCAAATTAGTTTTAATTGAAAATTGAGTCAGAGAAAATTAGGATACTTAAAGTAAGGAGCAAAAGACAGCTAGGGGAGTGTAACTGGCAGGTTTGCTGAGTCAAAGGCTGTGTCAAGGGATAGGAAAGGATAGGTGCATTTGACATAAAAGACAGTGGTGGACATTAGAGAAAGCCTTTGTGGAGGCTAGCCTCTCCAGCTGCCAAGGCAAGGCAAAGAGAAACTTCTAGTGAAGACAATACTGATTTCCTTCTCTTCATGCTATCCTCAGTCACACTATAGTGGCCTTTGGCCTTTGTGTGGAGAAAAGGTAAGGACTGTGAAGACTTTTTCCTTGACATCCCGGGCTGATCTCAAACATCAAGTCACTTGCAAAGGGGATGGGAGCTCTGTGTTCAGATGAGTCCTGTGGGACATTCAGGAAGAACAGAAACAGTTCCAAGATGCTGGATCCAACTGCACATTAGATTAAGCTGCCTGGTGTTAAGACTTTTAGTGAAGGTCATGTGGTTACCAGTCTGCGTGCCAAAGAGCAGTGTGTGTTAAGGTCTGAGCTCATGTCCTTACTCAAGATTCCTTTTAGTCAAAGAAACTCAGTGGATATAAACTTGAGTTATGATGATACTAGGCCTTCTCATAATACATAATCCAGAAATATTTCCAAGAATGCCACTAATCATTTGTTTGGGGAACTTTCTCCCCAAATGTCAATTGGATCAGTGTTTGCTGTGAAATCAGAACACATGAGAGTAATCAGATCTGCTGGGAAGATGATAGTTTAGAATTCTTGCTTTCCAAAACATTTCACAGTTTCAGTCATGGTTTTTCCTGCGAACCCCATATCCTATGGTGTCTCTGTCTAGTTATAAACGTCTTTAGGCTATAGTCTTCAGCTCAGTTAGCACACTGTCCAACAAAAGTTATGTTCGTTTATAATACATTTCAACTACTTGGCAGGAGCTTATCAATGTGCTTTGGTTTATCAAACAGAAAGATTAAAATCTAGTTTGTATGTTTGCTTTTTTCTCTGACACAGATGTATTTTTTTTTTTTAAATCAAGACATCTTGTTCAAATATTTCTGTTCAACTTTGGATGATGTTCCAGAAAAAAATAGGAAAGAGGTTCCGTGAAATATTTTTGGGGTGATCTGGTGAGTCAAAGAGCAGCATACAGAAATACCTTGCAGTTTTTCAACACATCAAAAATGTGCTCAGAGCACTAAAGGAAAGAACTTGAAACATACTTATTTTCTGTTTGTTAGCAAATTTTGGCAATAGCCACAATTGTTTACATGAGGAACTTGAGTCAACCTAATTTAACATGATGTCAATGTGTTTTGGAATAAAAATGTGTGGTATATATGGTGAAATTATGCTCTGGCACTAGAATCAAATAATGTCAGAGCTGAAAGATCCAAGAGGGTATCCAGTGTCATTCTCTCATGTAAGAGATGAAAAAACTTGGGCCCAAACTAGTGAAATGACTTGGCCAAGATCAAATTGCCATTCATTTGTACAACTCAAATAAATCTGATCTTGTAATCTTCATCTACTCTTGTTTCTATCTTTCCACAAAGGTGGTGATATGTTTTCTCTGTGGTCCTTCTTCTCACATTTAAGTCTACTTTGAATAAATTACTTCAACTGAAGTGACCAAAGTATATCCGAATATAAATAAAAGACTCAAAATTAAAACCAGGGCTAAATTATTGCCCAGTCTATAGAACCTCTGCATCTGCTCTATTAGCCTAAAAAATTAAATAAACTTTTCAGGTAAATAGGAAAAATTCATATTTTCTCAAAAATTTACACATGATTCTGAGATTGAATTTGGCCGGAATTATAATCCATTTCTATAAATGAAAAGTAGACTTTAGGGGAAGGGCAAAATTAGAGATCAGAGATAGGGCATTAAAATCTTCCAAAGGGGAAGCTGAATCTCTTGGATACATATACTTGAAGGAAACAGTTTGTTGAATCCTGACATATTGAAGTATGGAGGAGAGAGAAATTTCCATAGGAGCTTTGATCATAGCAAGCAAAATTCAAATCTCTAGATTCAATAGTAGGTGTCATGTCAGACAGACTTGGGTTCAAACCCAGATGTGTCACAAGAACTGTGCTTTTAAGCTTGGATCTCAATTTTTTAATCTAAAAAGTGAATAAAATTATAGTTGCTCTCATGGTGTTGCAGTAAGCTCATGGCATTGTTGTAAGTAAAGCATGGCTCCTGCATATGAGTGGGGTGCAATAAATATGACATATAATATTTTATAACATCAAGAGGTAGAGTCTATTCCTCCACTTCATTGCATCTGGGCTGGCTTTGACTATGAATGTAGCAGAAGTGACGTTGCGTGAGTTCTGGGATCTACAAAGACTATGTAGTTTCTGCCTTTGCTTTTTTGAAACAGTGTGCTGAGACCACCATGACAGGAAGCCAATTTAGCCTATTGAAGGATGAGCGGTCATATATAGGTGAAATGATTTGCCTGAGTGAACAGATTGTGAGCTTCCAGACATAGAAGTGAGGTTGTCTTAGACCTTCCAGCCCAATCAAAACTCTAGATGGATGCAGCCATATGCAAGAACCCAGGTGATAAATCCAAACATGTGAGTGTACCCATGCCCATACTTGGTAGGACATACACATACTCACTTGGCATGCAGATGTTTGTGAGGTTGTGCCCTGCCCAACTTTGTCCTGAGGTTGTTTCTTTTGGAAGCTTGCTGTATTGAGAGGCCCTATGTCTACCCCTTCCCCCATCTACAAGGTTGGTGATACAGTTTGGCTCTGTGTCCCCACCCAAATCTCATGTTGAACTGTAATCCCCATGTGTCGAGGGAGGGACCTGATGGGAGGTAATTGGATCATGGGGGCAGTTTCCCCCATACTGCTCTCATGATAATGAGTGAGTTCTCACGATAACTGATTGTTTAAAAGTGTTTGACAGTTTCCCGTTGCTAGCTCTCTTTCTCTCCTGCCGCCATGTAAGTTGATGTTTGCTTCTCCTTCACCTTCCGCCATGATTGAAAGCTTCCTGAGGCCTCCTCAGCCATGTGGAACTATGAGTCAGTTAAACCTCTTTTCTTTATAAATTACCCAGTCTCAGGTAGTTTTTTATGGCAGTGTGAAAATGGACTAAAACAGTTGGGAACATTGAGTATGAGTGCTACTAGCTGTGTTGTGCATTGACATAGGGGTATGTGTGAGCATTTAAGCCCATTTATGACTTCAGCCAGTGATACAGATTGTGTAATAATATAAAAATTTAAAAAATTGTTACTTAAGGCCGGGCACGGTGGCTCACTCCTGTAATCCCAGCATTTTGGGAGGCTGAGGCAGGCAGATCATGAGGTCAGGAGTTCAAGACCAGCCTGGCCAACATAGTGAAACCCCATCTCTACTAAAAATACAAAAATTTAGCCAGGCATGGTGGCAGGCACCTGTAATCCCAGCTACTTGGGAGGCTGAGGCAGGAGAATCACTTGAACCCGGGAGGTGGAGGTTGCAGTGAGCAGATATCATGCCACTGCACTCCAGCCTGAACGACATTGCGAGATTCCGTCTCAAAAAAAAAAAAAAAAATTGTTACATGAGGTTGGAATTTCTTTTTTTAAGTACCATAAAGACACTATATTGGGTGGATTTGAAGTCCAGCCCCAGCATAAAACAAATTTTCAGTAAATATGAGCTATTCTTACTATTAATAAGTGTCAGATAATATCTTACTTAGTGTTTTAAAGTTTATCAAGTAGGCTCAACAAATTTATCTTAATTAGCCCTCACAATAACCCCATGGGGAAATCATTTTCTCTGTCTTAAAAAATTTTAACCTAAAGTTAGTGCTTTTTTAAAACCATCAAGAACAGAAGTTAGAAGCAGGGCTCGTATGCTGCTTTCTCGATACCATTTTTAGCTTCTATTTCTCTCCTTCCACATAAGTGGCATGTAAATATAACATCACTGACATCACTGATGACAGAACATTAAAGTTTGGTTCTAAATAGCGAATTAATGATGAAATTTGATTTCAACTTTTCCTCTGAGACCCTCCCTCCGTGCCCTCCCTAATGCCCTTGCTTTGAGATGAAGAAGTTATTCCTAATATCTTACTTATCTTCTTCCCCATTGCAAAAATGATGTGTAACAGGCTATCACAAATATCTGGGCCAAAAAGTACCTTCTTGGATAGCTGTCTTGCTGAAGTAAAGCCTATATTGGCTGTTAGTCATCTAGGAAGAAAAAAGAAGTCACAGCAAGATACTCTCAGAGGCAGTGGCTTGTAGTGGGGGTCATTGAAATATTTTCTGCAACAAACTAAGACAATCAGCCATTAGGGAAGTACAAATCAAAACAGCAAGAGATACCACTTCACATCTCTTATGACGGCTGTAATCAAAAGGACAGGTAATAACAAGTGTTGGCAAGATGTGGAGAAATTAAAATCCTTTTGCACTGCTGGTGGGAATTTATAATGGTGCAACAACTTTGAAAAACAATTTGGCAGCTCTTCAAAAAACTAGAGCTACCGTATGACCCATTCCAACCCTAAGTATAATACCTAAGAGAATTAAAAATATATGTTCATGTAAAATCTTGCCGTGAGTATTCATAGCTACATTGTTCACAATAGCCAAAAAAGTGGAAACAACCCAAATGTCCATCAACTGAGGATGAATAAAATGTAGTATATCCACACAATGGAATATTATTTGGCAATAAAAAGGAATGAAGTACTAATACATACCACAACATGAATGGACCTTGGAAATATCATGCTAAGTGAAAAAAAAAGACACAAAAATACATATTGTATGTTTCCATTTATATTAAATGCCTTTAATAGGCAAATCCATAGGGACAGAAAGAAGATTACTGGTTGCCTAGGGCCATGTGGGAATAGGGGAATTGAGAAATCATGTGTAAGCAGTGTTGGAGTTCTTTTTGGGGTGGTGAAAATGTTCTAAAATGGACTATGGTGATGGAAGCACAACTCTAAATATACTAAAAGGCTTTGAATTGTATACTTAAATGAATGAATTGCATGATATATGAATTATATTTTAGTAAAGCTATTAAAAAAAGACTAAGGCATTGCCTCACAATACTAGCATGCCAATAGCTGATCTAGTATGAATAATATTAATATGTTGAAGGAGAGGAATAGTCAGTAATGATCTATCCAGAATACAGAATATAGGAATTTAAGATAAAAATATTGGAGATTTGGGCCAGGTGTGGTGGCTCATGCCTATAATCCTAGCACCTTGGGAGGCCAAGGTGGGTGGATCACCTGAGATCAGGAGTTTGAGACCAGCCTGGCCAACATGGTGAAACCCTGTCTCTACTAAAAAAATACAAAAATTAACTGGATGTGGTGGTATGCATCTGTAATCCCAGCTACTTGGGAGGCTGAGGCAGGAGAATCGCTTGAACCTGGGAAGTGGAGGTTGCAGTGAGCCAAGATCATGCCACTGTACTGCAGCCTGGGTGACAGAGAGACTCTGTCCCTAAAAAAAAAAAAAAAAAAAAATACTGGAGGTTTTTCTCCATTATTAACTGAGAAAGCTGTGACCCAGGCTCAGGGGTATGAGCTCTGATCACTGATAAATAGTGTTCATTTCTCTGGATGCACTAGGCTGTTATTGATTCTATTAAACACTCATCCTGATGGTCCAACTCCTTGATCCCCAACTATGGGACATTGTAGAAAGAAGTGGTGTTGGTCAGTGTCCTTTAAAGAAGATTTCTCACTATTAATTAATAGACTGGCATTAAGACCTCTGCATGGGCAGTGGGAGAAGGTGAGTCAGAGAAAGGGGAAAGGAGCTAATGTTTATTCAGATCAGCTGCTGTATTAGGCCCTCTGTCTACCTTTTAATTCTCACAATGATCCTATGTGGTAGGTATCCTTATCTCTAATTTAGAGTTGAATAAGTCGAGGCTGAAAGACAACAAATGGTTGATCACCTAGCCCACAATTGGCATCCCCTAAATATAAAATCAGATCTCTTTCCCACCAAAGCCTATAACTTTTCCACTTAAATGTCCATTGGTGTGATTCAAAATGTCTGATTCAGACAAAAATAGTGATGCAGCAAGCCAGAGTTTGGAGCCTCCAGAACTGAGGACAGACAAAAATTCCATACAGAAATTCACCAAGGTAATGCTGGCCCACCCTTAATGTGCTCTGGTTTGACTAATCAGATTTACCTTTGATTAAAGGAATGAGGTCATGCACTGAGGCTGGAGACAGGGACCCAAGGAAGTCCTGCTGACCATCAGTACCCAACCTTCTCTTGCTGAGCACATGTGATTGTTCTTCTTTGCAGATGGCCAAAGCACTGGTCCTTATAGCTAGATGCAACCCCTGCTTCTGAGTGTCCCCTCAGCACCCAGGAGCTGCTTTGTGTAACAGGACTCCAGGCAGCTGCTGTAAGCTCAGAGGTCAGGCGAACACGGGCTGAGGACAGGAGGACACCTGCCTCTTGCGTGCAAAGATGAAACAAATGACAACATTTGTTGCCTTGGATCTGTGCAGCCCAGGCAGCATGTGTGAAGGCCTCACAAGCTCTGTTTTCTTCATGAGCATGGGTCCCTCTTTTCATATATGGAGCAGGGAACAGATGTTTCATCAAAAGACACATTTAAAATAAAGATAATTATGCAGTAGGAGGCTTAATTACATCAGCTTATTCAGGTCCACTTAATTGCCTGACAGCCCGAGTGCCTCCCACTTATTTGCAGCAGAGGCTCTTGTGTTTTGCTGGTTTATCAAATCCTTTGATGGCTCAAGGAAGATGTTATTGACTTAGCGATTCAGAAAATATCAATTCCTTATATACAGCTGGTAGAGGAAAATGTAAATATTTTTAACAAGCAATAAAGAATCATCATTTTCCTAGAGGTGGCTTATGGTGTCTTATACATGATTAATAATTGGAATGACTCAGAGAGGTAAGCCTAAACTAGATATTGCATCTTTCATTGTCTCTTGGTCATATTTGAAATCTTTCTGTCATATTAAAATTCCAGGGAGAAGGTGATTTGCTAACTTAAGAAGGCCATTTGAATCATGTGACAATGAGGTAATTGACCACACACACACACACACCCAAAAGCAGTTTTTTTTCACAATTATTTTTGTGTTTTTTTTATTTTTCAGACTGGTTATATCTGCTTCAGATGCACAATATTTTTTTACACAGCTATCTCCTTTATTAACTTCTTGAGAGAAATTATAGTATTTTTATTTCTTTAAAGTTTACTCTAACTCGTATCTGGCACATAAATGGCACTCCAACTTAAGTGTTGGGGGAGTGAATCTTTTTTTTTCTTTATTTCTTCTAAGAAAAAACATGAGATCCACATATAGAATGTGCATGTTTGTTACATAGGTATACGTGTGCCATGATGGTTTGCTGCACCTATCAGCCTGTCCTCTAAGTTCCCTCCCTTCAATGAACACCATCTTCAGTTCTCCCACCCCCTAACAGGCCCTGGTGTGTATTGTTTCCCTATCTGTGTCCATGTGTTCTCACTGTTTAACTCACACTTATAAGTGAGAACATGCAGTGTTTGGTTTTCTGTTTCTGTTAGTTTGCTGAGGATGATGGCTTCCAGCTTCATCCATGTCCCTGCAAAGGACATGATCTCATTCCTTTTTATGGATGCATAGTATTCCATGGTGTATATGTGCCACATTTTCTTTTTTTCTTTTTTTAAATTTTTATTATTATACTTTAAGTTCTAGGGTACATGTGCACAACGTGCAGGTTTGTGTTTGTTACATATGTATACATGTGCCATGTTGGTGTGCTGCACCCATTAACTCATCATTTATATTAGGTAATTCTCCTAATGCCATCCCTACCCCCTCTCCTCACCCCACAACAGGCCCTGGTGTGTGATGTTCCCCATTCTGTGTACAAGTGTTCTCATTGTTCAATTCCCACCTATGAGCGAGAACATGCGGTGTTTGGTTTTCTGTCCTTGTGATAGTTTGCTCAGGATGATGGTTTCCAGCTTCATCCATGTCCCTACAAAGGACATGAACTCATCCTTTTTTACAGCTGCATAGTATTCCATGGTGTATATGTGCTACATTTTCTTAATCCAGTCTATCATTGATGGACATTTGGGTTGGTTCCAAGTCTTTGCTATTGTGAATAGTGCCACAATAAACATACATGTGCATGTGTCTTTATAGCAGCATGATTTATAATCCTTTGGGTATATACCCAGTAATGGGATGGCTGGGTCAAATGGTATTTCTAGTTCTAGATCCTTGAGGAATCGCCACACTGACTTCCACAATGGTTGAACTAGTTTACAGTCCCACCAACAGTGTAAAAGTGTTCCTATTTCTCCACATCTTCTCCAGCACCTGTTGTTTCCTGACTTTTTAATGATTGCCATTCTAACTGGTGTGAGATGGTATCTCATTGTGATTTTGATTTGCATTTCTCCGATGGCCAGTGATGATGAGCATTTTTTCACGTGTCTGTTGGCTGCATAAATGTCTTCTTTTGAGAAGTGTCTGTTCATATTATTTGCCCACTTTTTGATGGGGTTGTTTGGTTTTTTCTTGTAAATTTGTTTCAGTTCTTTGTAGATTCTGGATATTAGCCCTTTGTCAGATGGGTAGATTGCAAAAATTTTCTCCCATTCTGTAGGTTGCCTGTTCACTCTGATGGTAGTTTCTTTTGCTGTGCAGAAGCTCTTTAGTTTAATTAGATCCCATTTGTCAATTTTGGCTTCTGTTGCCATTGTTTTGGTGTTTTAGTCATGAAGTCCTTGCCCATGCCTATGTCCTGAATGGTATTGCCTTGGTTTTCTTCTAGGGTTTTTGTGGTTTTAGGTCTAACATTTAAGTCTTTAATCCATCTTGAATTAATTTTTGTATAAGGTGTAAGGCAGGCATCCAGTTTCAGCTTTCTACATAAGGCTAGCCAGTTTTCCCAGCACCATTTATTAAATAGGGAATCCTTTCCCCATTTCTTGTTTTTGTCAGGTTTGTCAAAGATAAGATGGTTGTAGATGTGTGGTATTATTTCTGAGGGCTCTGTTCTCTTCCATTGGTCTATATCTGTTTTGGTACCAGTACCATGCTGTTTTGGTTACTGTAGCCTGGTAGTATAGTTTGAAGTCAGATAGCATGATGCCTCTACCTTTGTTCTTTTTGCTTAGGATTGTCTTGGCAATGAGGACTCTTTATTGTTTCCATATGAACTTTAAAGTAGTTTTTTCCAATTCTGTGAAGAAAGTCATTGGTAGCTTGATGGGGATGGCATTGAATCTATAAATTACCTTGGGCAGTATGGCCATTTTCACAATATTGGTTCTTCCTATCCCTGAGCATGGAATGTTCTTCCATTTGTTTGTGTGCTCTTTTATTTCATTGAACAGTGGTTTGTAGTTTTCCTTGAAGAGGTCCTTCACATCCCTTGTAAGTTGGATTCCTAGGTATTTTATTCTCTTTGAAGCAATTGTAAATGGGAGTTCACTCATGATTTGGCTCTCTATTTGTCTGTTATTGGTGTATAGGAATGCTTGTGATTTTTGCACATTGATTTTGTATCCTGAGACTTTGCTGAAGTTGCTTATCAGCTTAAGGAGATTTTGGGCTGAGACTATGGGGTTTTCTAAATATACAATCATGTCATCTGCAAACAGGGACAATTTGACTTCCTCTTTTCCTAACTGAATACCCTTTTTTTCTTTCTCCTGCCTGATTGCCCTGGCCAGAACTTCCAACACTATGTTGAAAAGGAGTGGTGAGAGAGGGTATCCCTGTCTTGTGCCAGTTTTCAGAGGGAATGCTTCCAGTTTTTGCCCCTTCAGTGTGATATTGGCTGTGGATTTGTCCTAAATAGCTCTTATTATTTTGAGATATGTCCCATCAGTACCTAATGTACTGAGCGTTTTTAACATGAAGTGCTGTTGAATTTTGTCAAAGGCCTTTTCTGCACCTATTGAGATAATCATGTAGTTTTTGTCTTTGGTTCTGTTTGTATACTGGATTACATTTATTGATTTGCATATGTTGAACCAGCCTTGCATCCCAGGGATGAAGCCACTTGATCGTGGTGGATAAGCTTTTTGATGTGCTGCTGGATTCGGTTTGTCAGTATTTTATTGAGGATTTTTGCATCGATGTTCATCATGGATATTAGTCTAAAATTCTCTTTCTTTGTTGTGTCTCTGCCAGGCCTTGGTATCAGGATGATGCTGGCCTCATAAAATGAGTTAGGGAGGATTCTCTCTTTTTCTATTGATTGGAATGGTTTCAGAAGGAATGGTACCAGCTCCTTTTTGTACCTCTGGTAGAATTAGGCTGTGAATCTATCTGGTACTGGACTTTTTTTGGTTGGTAGGCTATTAATTATTGCCTCAATTTCAGAGCCTGTTATTGATCTATTCAGGGATTCAACTTCTTCCTGGTTTAGTCTTGGGAGGGTGTATGTGTCCAGGAACTTAACCATTTCTTCTAGATTTTCTAGTTTGTTTGCGTAGAGGTGTTTATAGTATTTTCTGATGGTAATTTGTATTTCTGTGGGATCGGTGGCCATATCACCTTCATCATTTTTTATTGAGTCTATTTGATTCTTCTCTCTTTTCTTCTTTATTAGTGTTGCTATCAGTCTATCAATTTTGTTGATCTTTTCAAAAAACCAGCTCCTGGATTCATTGATTTTTTGAAGGGTTTTTTGTGTCTCTATCTCCTTCAGTTCTGCTCTGATCTTAGTTATTTTTTGCCTTCTACTAGCTTTTGAATGTGTTTGCTCTTGCTTCTGTAGTTCTTTTAATTGTGATGTTAGGGTGTCAATTTTAGATCTTTCCTGCTTTCTCTTGTGGGCATTTAGTGTTATAAATTTCCCTCTACACACTGCTTTAAACGTGTCCCAGAGATTCTGGTATGTCGTGTCTTTGTTCTCGTTGGTTTCAAAGAACATCTTTATTTCTGCCTTCATTTCGTTATGTACCCAGTAGTCATTCAGGAGTTGGTTGTTCAGTTTCCATGTAGTTGAGCGGTTTTGAGTGAGTTTTTTAATGCTGAGTTCTAGTTTGATTGCACTGTGTTCTGAGAGACACTTTGTTATCATTTCTGTTCTTTTACATTTGCTGAGGAGTGCTTTACTTCCAACAATGTGGTCAATTTTTGAATAAGTGTGATGTGGTGCTGAGAAGAATGTATATTCTGTTGATTTGGGGTGGAGAGTTCCGTAGATGTCTATTAGGTCCGCTTGGTACAGAGCTGAGTTCAATTCCTGGGTATCCTTGTTAATTTTCTGTCTCGTTGATCTGTCTAATGTTGACAGTGGGGTGTTAAAGTCTCCCATTATTATTGTGTGATAGTCTAAGTCTCTTTGTAGATCTCTAAGGACTTGCTTTATGAATGTGGGTGCTCCTGTATTGGGTGCCTATATATTTAGGATAGTTAACTCTTCTTGTTGAATTGATCCCTTTACCATTATGTAATGGCCTTCTTTGTCTCTTCTGAACTTTGTTGATTTAAAGTCTGTTTTATCGGAGACTAGGATTTCAACCCCTGCTTTTTTTTGTTTTCTATTTGCTTGGTAGATCTTCCTCCATCCCTTTATTTTGAGCCTATGTGTGTCTCTGCACATGAGATGGGTCTCCTGAATACAGCACAGTGATGGGTCTTGACTCTTCATCCAATTTGCCAGTCTGTGTCTTTTAACTGGCGCATTTAGCCCATTTATATTTAAGGTTAATATTGTTGTGTGTGAATTTGATTCTGTCATTATGTGTTAGCTGGTTATTTTGCTCATTAGTTGATGCAGTTTCTACCCAGCATAGATGGTCTTTACAATTTGGCATGTTTTTTCAGTGGCTGGTACCAGTTTTTCCTTTCCATGTTTAGTGCTTCCTTCAGGAGCTCTTGTAAGGCAGGCCTGGTGGTGACAAAATCTCTCAGCATTTGCTTGTCTGTAAAGGATTTTATGTCTCCTTCACTTATGAAGCTTAGTTTGGCTGGATATGAAATTCTGGGTTTAAAATTCTTTTCTTTAAGAATGTTGAATACTGGCCCCCACTCACTTTTGGCTTGTAGAGTTTCTGCCAAGACATCCGCTGTTAGTGTGATGGGCTTCCCTTTGTGGGTAACCTGACCTTTCTGTCTGGCCACCCTTAACATTTTTTCCTTCATTTCAACTTTGGTGAATCTGACAATTATGTGTCTTGGAGTTGCTCTTCTCAAGGAGTATCTTTGTGGCATTCTCTGTATTTCCTGAATTTGAATGTTGGCCTGCCTTGCTAGGTTGGGGAAGTTCTCCTGGATAATATCCTGAAGAGTGTTTCCAACTTGGTTCCATTCTCCCCTTCACTTTCAGGTACACCAATCAGACATAGATTTGGTCTTTTCTCATATTCCCATATTTCTTGGAGGCTTTGTTCATTTCCTTTTATTCTTTTTTCTGTAAACTTCTCTTCTCACTTCATTTCATTCATTTGATCTTCAATCACTGATACCCTTTCTTCCAGTTGATCGAATTGGCTACTGAAGCTTGTACATGTGTCTTGTAGCTCTTGTTCCATGGTTTTCAACTCTGTCAGGTCATTTAAGGTCTTCTCTACACTGTTTATTCTAGTTAGCCATTCATCTGATCTTTTTTTCAAGGTTTTTAGCTTCTTTGCAATGGGTTCGAACATCCTCCTTTAGCTCGGAGAAGTTTGTTATTACCGATCGTCTGAAGCCTTCTTCTCTCAACTCATCGAAGTCATTCTCCAACCAGCTTTGTTCCATTGCTGGCAAGGAGCTGCATTCCTTTGGAGGAGAAGAGGTGCTCTGATTTTTAGAATTTTCCGCTTTTCTGCTCTGGTTTTTCCCCATCTTTGTGGTTTTATCTACCTTTGGTCTTTGATGATGGTGATGTACAGTTGGGGTTTTGGTGTGGATGTCCTTTCTGTTTGTTAGTTTTCCTTCTAACAGTCAGTACCCTCAGCTGCAGGTCTGTTGGAGTTTGCTGGAGGTCCACTCCAGACCCTGTTTGCTTGGGTATCACCAGCAGAGGCTGCAGAACAGCAAATATTGCAGAACAGCAAATGTTGCTGTCTGATCGTTCCTCTGGAGGCTTTGTCTCAGAGGGACACCTGGCCATATGAGGTGTCAGTCGGCCCCTACTGGGAGGTGCCTCCCATTTAGGCTACTTGGGGGTCAGGGACCCACTTGAGGAGGCGGTCTGTCCATTCCCAGATCTCAAACTCTGTGCTGGGAGAACCACTACTCTCTTCAAAGCTGTCAGACAGGGATATTTAAGTCTGCAGAAGTTTCTACTGCCTTTTGTTCAGCTATGCCCTGCCCCCAGAGGTGGAGTCTACAGAGGCAAGCAGGCCTTCTAGAGCTGAGGTGGGCTCCACCCAGTTCGAGCTTCCCAGCAGCTTTGTTTACCTACTCAAGCCTCAGAAATGGCAGGCGCCCCTCCCCCAGCCTCACTGCCACCTTGCAGTTGGATCTCAGACTGCTGTGCTAACAGTGAGTGAGACTGCAGGCGTGGGACCCTCCGAGCCAGGTGCAGGATGTAATCTCCTGGTGTGCCATTTGCTAAGACTGTTAGAAATGCACAGTATTAGGGTGGGAGTCACCCGATTTTCCAGGTGCCGTCTATCACAGCTTCCCTTGTCTAGGAAAGGGAATTCCCCGACCCCTTGTGCTTCCCGGGTGAGGTGATGCCTCGCCCTGCTTCTGTTCACACTCCGTGGGCTGTACCCACTGTCCTTCACCCACTGTCCGACAAGCCCCAGTGACATGAACCTGGTACCTCAGTTGGAAATGCAGAAATCACCTGTCTTCTGCGTCGCTCACGTTGGGAGCTGCAGACTGGAGCTGTTCCTATTTGGCCATCTTGGAACCTCCCTGTGCACGTTGTCTTTATCCAGTCTGTCATTAATGGGCATTTGGGTTGGTTCCATGTCTTTGCTATTGTAAATAGTGCTGCAATAAACATATGTGTGCATGTGTCTTTATAGTAGAATGATTTATATTCCTTTGGGTATATACCCAGTAACGGGATTGCTGGGTCAAATGGTATTTCTGGTTCTAGATTTTTGAAGAATCACCATGCTGTCTTCTACAATGGTTGAACTAATTTACATTCCCACCAACAGTGTAAAAGCATTCCTATTTCTCCATAGCCTTCTCACCAGCATCTACTATTTCCTGACTTTTTAATAATTGCCATTCTGACTGGTGTGAGACGGTATCTCATTGTGGTTTTGATTTGCATTTCTCTGATGATCAGTAATGTTGAGTTTTTTTCATGTTTGTTGGCCATATAAATGTCTTCTTTTGAGAATGTCTGTTCATGTCCTTTGCCCCCTTCCAAAAAAAATAAATAAATAAAGGCAGTATTGTGGTGCTATTTCAATCTCTCCTTAAATTTAAAGACATAGATTAGTTCTGTTTCAGACTAATGTCCTATCTCCCCTTTGTACCCCTACAGCGTCAGCTGTTTTGAAGCAATAGCTTTTACTCATTGCCTTTATTTTCTCTTACCATTCATTTCTTCCTTTCTTCCACAAAACCTTGCACCCTGTCTCCTGCACACACCAGTCTTCTGAAAAAGAAGAAAAAGTCAAAGTCTGATTCTTTTTAGTCTTCATCCTGTTACATGCTCTGTAGCATTTATGCAAACTCTTCCATAATGGCTTCCAGAATATTGCACCTTCCTAGATTTACCCCTTGAATCAGAGAGTATCCTAGCAGGAAATAGATGGCACATTTACATTGAGTAATTGAAGTGAGTGTAATGAAGGGGCTCTTTATAAAGATGTGACGGGGTACAAGAAGTGAACAGCAGATTGGGCAGTACTCTTGGACTAAAGATAGGAGTGTCTGTGACCACCTCTAGGGGCAAAAGATGGGAGCAGCTATCAGAACTGCCACTTGACAGAAGCTGTGGACTTCAGAGAGGGATATTGCTAACTTGGGGTAATCTGATAGGGAGGCAGCGAGGGAGAATAAATAATCTAACTTTACTCTCTTCCTAACCTCTGATCTTGACCAAGGCTTCCCACTGGCCAAGTTAGGCCCAGTGCCAGAGGAGAAGAGAACCATGGATGCAGCTCAGACAGGTCAGCCTCCCAGAGCACAGAGCAGGGTGGAAAGTGGATTTAGAAGGGCAAATGGAAAATAGCCACCAAATCTCCATCTCACTTATGTTTTCTTCTTAGTCTCACTTATTGGTACTTCTTCCAACACCATCTCTGCAAGTCTAGTGTTCCTGAAGGCTCTATGTGCCCCTCTTCTCCTTGTCCTGGACAATCTTACCTAGTCTTTAGCTTCAAATATCACCTCTATGTTGATGATTTCCAAGTCCCTATGTTTAGTTCTTCCTTTTCTCCTGCGCTCCATTTGCAGGATGTGTTTATATTAAATAATTAGTCCTTCCTTCCATTTTAACACATTCAAACAGAACTCACTTTTCTCCCAATTAAATTCCCCTGAATTTATCTTCTGAGTTAATGTTTTTCTCCCAGACACTTAGACTAGAGTCATCATACTCATCTGCATTTCCTTCTTTTTATCCCAGTCAGTTGATTACTAGATTCCATCTCTGAATTCTCTCCAATTTTCCTTCCTTACTTTCCATGATTATGGGCAAGTCCACAGGTCATACTCACATTTTCTTATGTACACTCTTCTATCATAACCTCCTTGCTTCTACTGTTTAACTTTTACATTATGTCCTCCACACTGCTTCTGAAGTTATCTCTCTAAAACAGTTTACATTTTGTTCAACTCTTAGATAAAGGCCTTTGTAACATTAACTAAGGAATAAAGCTCAAGAGCTTAGGATGGTTTTCATAGCCCTTCTCATCATTGTTTTAATCTCTCCTTCCATCCCCGTAGCTTAGTGTATGTCTTTTAAAATAACTCATACTTCACACCTTCCTTCCTTTTATCATGCTACACCCTCTGGCCTCTTTCTTCCTTTAAATTAGGATATGCAAGTAAATGAGGAAACTAGTCCCTATAACACAAGAGGAAGTGAAGAAGATTGTGGTGATTAGAGAGAATATGCCAGTGTGAAGGGGATGGTTTTTATTTAGATTCTGTAGATTGCTGCCATGTGGGAATGTAGAGCCTTTGTTTTTATATCTTTATTTTTAAAGAGAACCTGAAAATTTAAATTTTTATCTGAAGCTCCCATGGGTGTATTTTTATGCCACCAATAATCATGTGAGTTTACCATTTGTCTAGGATCTACTTGTAGTAGAGTCTTTCCGACAGTTCAGTACAACAGAACCCTTGACAGCCACTTCAGGCATTCCCTGAAGAGAGCAGTTTGGACATTTCTTGTGCTACACAAGATATCAGATCCAGCTGCTCCAGTTGGGGTCAATGGCCACATCCCACGCCCTGCTATATACGTGTCACCCTGCTATAGTATACCACATAGCACTGTGGGGAAGAACAAAAACAAAAAATCATGGATCAAGGCAGCCCTCTGATGAGTCTCAAATGTTAGAAACTAAAATCTGTTCACACTCATGACTCCTGAGAGATTTTAGGGGAGTCCATCCATATTTCCCAACATATAATGGTAAAAGCAGATACCTATAGAGGCCCATAGTTCTGCACTCAAGAGAGAATGCAATGAAGTACGGCTTTTTCTGAGGAGGTGAAGTGATGAGTGGTTTGCAGCTTCAACATGGTAACCTCAAATGTGGGACTCACCCCAGATTTCTGAACACAGAACTGTCATGTTTGACAGGTTTATCAGCAGGGATGTGGCCAGCTCAGTGAATTCATTTTTTAAGGGGTAGATTTTGCGGGCTTTCATACGCTGAATTCTGCATTCTCACTTGATTGCCTGAGTAGAATGGTTCAATATCTTGACTAGATAACTAGAAAAAGGCTTAGGAAAGTGCCTGACGACTTCCAGAACATTACAATCTTCCCATTTCTTGGCTTTTATAGATTTCTACAGAGCTAGAATTTTGCCAAAACTCACATCATAGCAAGCCATAGTGTGCCCACACATCTAGAGACACATGAGTCTCTTGTGTGTATTTGAAAACTGCATGCATCACCAGGTAGGGACCACAGTACTGGTGGTGTGGTAAGGCCAGGTGCCTGGTGCTTGGGTCCCGAGTCTGAGTGATAGAAGCATGTCTGTAAAAATAACAAAAGCCTGGCCGGGTGTGGTGGCTCACGCCTGTAATCCCAGCACTTTGGGAGGCCAAGGTGGGTGGATCATGAATTCAGGAGATTGAGACCATACTGGCTAACACAGTGAGACTCCGTCTCTACTAAAAATACAAAAAAAAATTAGTCCGGTGTGGTGGCGGGTGCCTGTAGTCCCAGCTACTCGGGAGGCTGAGGCAGGAGAATGGCGTGAACCTGGGAGGCGGAGCTTGCAGGGAGCTGAGATCCCGCCACTGCACTCCAGCTGGGCAACAAAGCGAGACTCTGTCTCAAAAACAAAACAAAACAAAACAAAACAAAAACAAAAGCCCCTTGCAAGGAGTTCTGCTCCTAACTCGTGTACTCCTTTAGACACTTTCATGTCAGACTTTAGTTTAGATCTCACATCCTTTCTCCTACTACAGTCATGAGAGTAGATACACTTTCTTAAACAGCATACTTTATCTGCTGAATTTCACCATCTTACTCCTTTCTCTCCACATTCAAGATAATTTGGCAACTCTTCTTATAAAGGAAAATGTTCTTCCTTAAAGTACCAATTTTATCTCAGATATTTGTTCCAAGTTGATGTCTAGATTATAAAAGCACTGTTAAAATTCCTTCATGTCTACAAACATGTTTACCATCACCTGCTACAGACTGATGGCTTGATGGAGCAGTTTATTTGGTCCCACAAGCATGTTCTATTTCTACTTATTCTACATAAATTGTGACTGCAGACACTACAGAATCTGCACAGAACAACCCACTTACTCATCTGCCCACAATACAACCATTCACAACCACTAACTCTTTCCTTATATTAGGTAGTTGTCCGCTACCTGTAGAAGTCATAGACTATTCAGAAGGACCTAAATGACATATTCCGGTAATCCTAAAAACCACATAAAACATAATTTTCTTCTTACTGAACCCTGGGAGAAACCATTTGAATAAGACATGGCATCTGAGTTTATCTCAATAAATACCTGTGTGTGCTTAGAATTGTGGAATTTGTCCTTAGGGTCTAATGCTCCCTTTCACGTTTTTCTGACATAAGTGGACTTCCAATTTCTCATACTCCGTATCTCAGCTCCAGGGACCAGGGTCTGCTCCGTCCTAGACCCTGTAAATATAGCCAGTGGTACTTGAAGGCCACAAGTGAAAGCAAGTGATGAGCGGCAATACCTGCTCCAGACTTGCTCCTGCTTACTCTAAGAGGATGTTCTCTACCATCCCTGACCCCACAGAACCCTCATCAGTGGCCTGGCTTCCCGTCTACTCACAATAGGAGACCCTAAACCTTAGAAAGTGCCACATCTCTTCCTTGTCAATTACAACCTTTTCCTTCCTTCATAATCCAGTTCAAATGACCACTTGCTTTTGTGAAGTGTTCCCTGACCACCCAGAGAGAATTAATGGATCCTTCTAAACTTCCATTTTCATCTACTCAAGGGGAGGGAAAGATGCCAAATTATATAGTGAAGTTGCAACGTGGCAGATCCTGTGCTAATCAGAAATATTATCTTGTCTAGTCTTCACCACTATAATGTGAAGTCAGTTCACCACTAGCTTCATTTTTAGAAAAGAAAACTAAGGCTCAAAGAAGTATAACTTGCTTAAGATCACATAGATATTAAGTGGCAGAATCAGGATTCGTAAGTGAGTCTCTTTCAGATCAAAAATATGTGTTCTCCTCTAACACACTGTCTCCCAATTTATTTCATTTGCTTATGGAGTACATTTGGTGTTTATATCAACATCGTAAATTCAGTTCCGTCAGGGGCCCAGTGGATAATGTAATTGTGTAGAGTGGCTGAATGTAAGTCAGCAGAAAATGAGCTGGAGAGTTCATGCACAGCTTAGAACGTTCAAATTAGAAACTCAGCAAAACAAACAACTAAAACAAGGCTGTGGACCAGATTTACCTAGCGATTGTGAGTTTGCCCACCCTGGTTAAATACCTGATTTCATGACTAAACTGTAAAATCTTTAGGCCTGGAACTGTAAACTACTCATCTTAACAAACCCTATGCTGCCTAGCCCAGGATTCTTTACAAAGTAGATACCCAATAGGTATCTACTCAATTCAATTAAAAAAGTAAAACCTTGTCTTTAATCTTTAAACGGATAGTCATTCTGTTTCTATGGAATATGTCCATAACAAAGTAATTTAAAATTATTAAAATGTCTGATCATAATCCCCTATTTTTCTCTCCACCCCATGTCCGTCTATGATTTCGAAGTAAGAGATAAGACACGAAGGCCAGAAATTACAGATTGGTCTGATTCCTTGTCGTTGGCCTTTAAAAATATCACAAAATGATGCTTGGTTTCCCTGTGGTTCTGAAGATGTGGTCTGCTCAACCGGATAGAGTGGTTTTACCACTGAGATGTATTTTGTTTATTACCCACAGGCTCTGCTTAAAATGAGGGCATTACACAGTGAAAGCTTGAATGAGATTCAGGTATGCCTCATGAGTGTGCCTGTGGGAGCAATGGCTCTGGCCAGTTCCTCGTTCTGTAGTTACCCATGCCCACTAGCCAATACGTCAATCTAATTGGCTTTGGTATGTGGTTTTCAAAATACAGAAAATGAAAGAGAATTGCTTCAAGGAAGCCAAAATCCAAAAAACACTGTCAATTACTGTTGGTTTTCTGACAAGGAAGATTTATAGGTAATCTTATTTTATAAAAATTATAAAGCCTCTGAGCTAAAAATAAGTACCTGTACCCAAACCAGGGGATGAAAAGATTATTTCATCATTCCAGAATGTTTTTGCCTTCATGTTCTTCTATTGTAGATTTTGTATGAATTTCCATATACTAATTTTCTCAATATGAAGTTTAAGGTTGTCCTTAAAATAGCAGACTTTACTTAAGACAAAATTAGTAAATTTATCTTAAAGGAGGAGAAGGGTGTCTTAAAGTCATTAAAGGTATTGACTTTTAACCCTGCTCATGGGTAGAGTCATTTCGAGTAAATACTGATGAATTTTGGAAATCTTCCCAGTAAACTGAGGTTTCAAAATCATTTATTATCATTCTGCAGCTACATTAACTACTTTTTTAAGGACAGCCAAGAAGGTTGATAACTTGCAATTGGAAATTTAAAAACTGCTTCCTCTACATGTATTTAGGTATAATTAGCACATGGTTTAAATTATCTTTTGCTCTACTGTGCCCAGATTTTTTCAAATAAACTTATTTTTAGACAAATACAGATACTAATATAACACATAGGACAACCTAACATAATCGCCTAACTTTACATCTCTGTGTTTTGGCTTGCATCTTTGGACTTTCTCAGTAAATCAAAGACTTGTCTTAGTTCGTACCAGCAATACTCATACTTGAGATGTTTTAAGTTTTCTATTGATCTTTGGGTTTTTATTCTCCACTCTTACTCTGTTTTTCCTGATTCAAACACATACACCTCTCCCTACTTTATTTTCCCACTGTAGTTACATCACATTTTTAGTTGTTAAATTAATATTCAGAATTTGCTTTATTATGACCATGTAAATACATAAGTAGGTGATTATGTAAATATAACCACACATACCATGAAGTCTGTAATATACTATATTAAGCATATTTGAAATCCTTTTTATTTTTTCTGAAGTTAATAATTTGAATGTTTTAAGTTGGGCATGTACTCTCCAGTTCATTCCTTGATGACTTACCTTTGGCCACTTCACATAATTATATTACCCACTTGACACCTTGTATTAGTCCATCCTCACCCTTCTATAAAGAACTGCCTGACGCTGGGTTATTTATTTATTTTTATTTTTTTGAGATGGAGTTTCACTCTTCTTGCCCAGGCTGGAGTGCAATGGTGTGATCCTGGCTCACTGCAATCTCCACCTCCCAGGTTCAAGTGATTCTCCTGCCTCAGCCTCCCAGGTAGCTGGGATTACAGGTGTGTGCCCCCGACACCTGGCTAATTTTTATATTTTTAGTAGAGATGGGGTTTTGCCATATTGACCAGGCTGGTCCCAAACTCCTTACCTCAGGTGATTCACCCACGTTGGCCTCCCAAAATGCTGGGATTACAGGCATGAGCCACCGCACCCAGCTGCACTGGGTAATTTATAAAGGAAAGAGGTTTAATTGACTCACAGTTCTGCATGGCTGGGAAGGCCTCAGGAAACTTGCAATCATGGCAGAAGAGGAGGCAAACATGTCCTTCTTCACATGATGGCTGGAAGGAGAAATGCTGAGCAAAAGGGGGAAAGCCCCTTATAAAACCGTCAGATCTCATGAGAACTCACTCACTATCATGAGAACAGCATGGAGGTAACTGTCCCCATGATTCAATTACCTCCCATGGGGTCCCTCCCACAACTCATGGGGATTATAGAAACTACAATTTAAGATGAGATTTCGGTGGCCAAACCATATCACACCTAAGGAGATTGTTTTCTGTGATCCTGCAATCTATATTAGTAGTTTCTGACAGAATGCTAAAACACCTTTCAGTCTGGTCTAACACATCTGGTTGTCTATTCATTTCGTTTGGTTCCTTTTTTTTTCTCTTAGAAATTTCCTTTCTGGAACCTTCCATCCCACCTCTCTGATGTGTGCTGGTTGTTCTCTAAACCCACTGCCTAGATGTTGTCTTGGAACTTCTGCTCTAGGAAGTGGTATATTACAAAAATGCCCAATACCCTAAATTCATACCCTTTCCTAAATTCATACCCTTTAGAATGTGACTTCGCAGCTTCTCTTATCAAGCAAATAAACATATGTTGCTTCTCTTGAATCTTGCCTGGCTTCATGACTTGCTTTGGCTGATAGAATGTAATGCAAGTAATGACATGTCCCTTCCTCTAAGAATACTTCCTTTTTCTTTCTTGGAACTCTGCTTTGCCCCATGACAACAATGCTAGCCCAGCTGGAAAATGAGCAACTATGTAGAGCAAAGATGATCCACTCAGCTAAAGCTGTCCTAGACTAGGTAACCCCTCATTGACCAGAAGCCGAATACAGACACGTATACCCACCCAAGACCAGAAAACGGCCCAGCTGAGCCTAGTTCAACTTGGCAACCTGAAGAATCTTGTTACCTAAATAGTTGCTGTTTGAAATGATTATTGCAAAATCAGATAGAACTGGTTCTAAGAGAACATGCCAGATAACATGAATTATTTGTGGGAGGAGGAAAGACAGCATCTTGAGGATATGGAATGGTATTGGTCCTCATTGGGCCCTAGGGGCACAAGATTCTGAAGTACCAACCGCAGCTTTGGTTCAAAAGTATGCTGTGTGTTTTCCTTGTTTCTTGTAAAAATGAGATAGAATTCCTAAACATTAAAATTTACCTTTTAAAGTGGAGAATCCAGTGGATTTTAATATAGCCACAAGATTATGCAACCATCACCACTATTGAGTTCCAGAACATTTTTATCACTCCTAAAAGATACCCCGTATGCATTAGCACTCACTCCTCATTCCCTTCTTCCCACATATCTTAGTAACCACTACTCTATTTTCTGTCCTTTTGGATTTGTCTATTCTGGACATTTCATATAAATGTACAGAATGATTCCATTGATGGAATCATATGATAAGTGGCTTTCTGTGTTTAGGTTCTTTCATTTAGCATATAGTTTCAACTCTTACATTGAAATCTTTGATCCATTTTGAGTTAACTTTTGTATATGATGTGAGGTAGGGCGTCCAACTTCATTCTTCTGCAAGTGGATATCCAGTTAAGTGTTCTTTTCTGACTAAATATATTCAATATGAAGGTGAAATTCTTCCCTAAGCAATTATAATGCAAGAAGCAGAGGTAGCAGCTTTCTCACAGACACGGTGGAGGCCATATTACAAGGCACCACTCACCTGCAGGCAGCATGGAAATTCCAGGATCCCAGAGAAAAGAACAAGAAAGACTAAGTAGTTAGATACATTGGCTGGGAAAGATGAGCACCTCAAATAATACTTGCTGACTGGGCTGCCACCATTTCAAATTTCTAAGCTTTGTAAGAAGGCAGCAGTATCTCAAATACCACTCTGAGAAATGACACAGTGAGCTTAGAAAGATTGTCCACAGTAATGGTGAATGAATAGTGCCATTGATTTCAAGTTTGCAACTTGTGGATTCTGAACAACAGGCATCAACTGATTGCACATGGTGATGCTGAACCAATAGTTTGTCTACTTTGTTTCCTTCAGACATCAGTGAATGTTTGCCATATTGCCTTTAGCAACTCTTAGAACTGGGCTTTAAGTATATACTTTTGCCTGTAGTAACTGTTCTAGAGACTGGGGATTATCTTGTTTTATCAAATTGGTGGTTGTGAAGCCAGGGCTATAATAAACTTGTGTATCATAATAAATGTTCAAGATCTTAGGAAATGGATTCATGCAGAGAGCTAACACTGAACTCATACCTCTTTTGATGTTCAGAAGGAACTACATCCATTCTAAGAAGAAGCAACCTAAGAAGGCTGCTGAAGGAACCACAGCTTTACTGAGGCATTAAGAACTTAACCTGAAGGAAATTAAATTAGGAAGGATGATGAATTTTGAATTTCAGACTTTGGACTATTAAGTCACTAGGTCAGGAGAATTGATTTTTAATTTTAATGCCTTTGGACTTTAATTTACAAAGGATTTATTCATCAGGGCAAAATAACTTCAATTTGAACTTCAATACATTTGGAATGTAATGTCTTTCAATTTTAATAGAATAATAGAGGATGTTTATTTTAAAATTTGTGTCATTTCTGCATTGCTGACATTTTATTATTGAAGTTTCTTATTGCATTTTTGTTGAATGCTTTATTGAATATTGAATATTTGTTACTCAATCTCATTGATGAACTTCTTATATATTATGTCAGACATGACATAATATGTGCCTAGATATTATTTAGGGTGCCTAGATATTATTTAGGGTGGGAAATAGAATAGTGGGAAATGGAATAGTGGGAAATAGGGTGAGAAATAGAATAATATGTGCCTAGATATTATTTAGGGTGGGAAATAGAATAGTGAATGGATTTTCAGCTTTGGGTGTGGAAAGAAATTGAAGTTTTCTTAATTATTTTATTAATCAAATTCACTTTAGAGCATTCTGGGGGGAGGGAAATAAATATTTCTCCCCAATGGTGGCAGGAGAATACCCAAAGGAGAGTGGCATTGTGGAAGTAACCTCATGCAGGGCTAGTCCAATATTCCCCTATCTTCACCCTACTGTGATTGCTACCCACTTCCTTTCTGTCACTCCAAACTGACCCTGTACTTCATAGGTAAGTTCAATGTGTTAAGCAAAAAACAAAAACACCAAACTTATGGAATTCTGTGAAGAAATATGTCTCTCCTATTCCAGATGTTTCTGTCCATGGGGAGGGATCTCTTCATATAATTTCTGTCCCCTCCCTCTCCTTTTCCTTATTATACAGGGAAGGACCTTGGGTTCTCGCTACCTGGTGCTTGGTTTCTAAAAGAGAGCATCCAAAAAGCAAGCATTCTAAGAATCTCAGGCAGAAGCTGCAAGGTTTATGATCAAGTAGCCTCTGAGGTCCCAGAATGTTGTGTCCGTTATATTATGTTCGTTAAACAAATCACTAAAGTCAGCCTAAGCCTAAGTTCAATTACGATGTAATTATCCCCTTTTGATGTGAGAAGTAGCCTGCTTGTCCAGACAAGGTAGGAATTGATGGCTCCTTCTCTGGGCATCATCTACCATGCAGGCTATACCTTCTTCCACCCTTTTACTTTCAACCTGCCTGTGCTTCATAACCAAAATATGTTTCTTATAAGCAGCATAAAGTTGGGTCATAATTTTTTAATCCAATCTAATAATATCTATCTTTCAATGACTATGTTTAGTTCATTTATATTTAGTGCAATTATCGGTATAGTTGTATTTAAGATTTCCATGTTCCTGTTTGTTTTATATTTCATCCATGTATTCTTTGCTCTACTGTTCCTCCTTTCCTAACTTCTCTTGAGTGAATTGCATTAGTTTTAGTATTCCATTTTCTTTTATGTATTATCTTTATAATTTTTGTGTTAAATTTATTTTTAGTAATTGCTTTAGAGTTTACAGTGTGAATTATTACATTGTCACCTATTTGAATGAAACACACAAGAAACTTTAAAATAAAATAATTTGCTCTATCTCCTCCAATACTTTGTGTTCTTGTGATTTTATATTTTACTATTACATATGGCATAAACAGCATAATCATTGTTAGTATTTTTGCTTCAGACAAAAAGGTTTTTAAATAAATTATATATTGGCTGGGCACAGTGGCTCATGCCTATAATTCCAGTACTTTGGGAGACTGAGGCAGGAGGATTGCTTGAGCCCAGGAGTTTGAGACCAGCCTGAGCAACATGGCAAAACCTGACCTCTACCAAAAATACAAAAATTAGCTGGGTGTGTGGTGCGCAGCTATAGTCCCAGCTACTTGGGAGGCTGAGGTGGGAGGATCACTTGAGCCTGGGAGGCAGAGGTTGCAGTGAGCTGAGATCATGCCACTATACTGCAGCCTGGGCAATAAAAAAAAAAGGGAAAATAAATTATATATTTATATGTGTTATGTACTTACGTGTGCATATATTATACTTTATAATAAATATAAATATTATATAGTACTACCTAATACAAAGAAAATATATAATGTCATATAAAGAAATCATATATATGCATATATGCACAATACCTATTATATAAACCATATTTATACACACACACACAAACACACCATCTCAAGGGGTATCTCTGTTAGGTCTTCTCTGCACCTACTTTTTGTTTGTTTGTTTGTTTGTTTGTTTGTTTGTTTGTTTTTGAGATGGAGTCTTACTCCGGCCCCCAGGCTGGAGTGCAGTGGCATGATCTCGGCTCACTGCAACCTCCACCTCCTGAGTTCAAGCGATTCTTGTGCCTCAGCCTCCCAAGTAGCTGGGATTACAGGCGTGCACCACCATGTTCAGCTAATTTTTGTATTTTTAGTAGAGACGGGGTTTTACCATGTTGGGCGGATATACTGCTCCTGAGCACTCAGGGAAGACTCATGTAAACAACACTGTGTGCTTGGAGTCCTGCTCTGTGACTGGAGCTCCTTCAGATTGTGATCTATCATGCTTCCCACATGAAGCTATTTAAAGGTCATTCAAATTTTGGTGACTATGTTTCAGGTATATTCCTCTCCCTCCTGAAGTTCTGCCAGGTATGAGAGCAGTGTTGTGTCTCTTCTCTCTTGAAAAGGATATGTTACTCTCTGGTATTTTATTCACATGGCTTTCTTTGTCTCCTTTTCTGATGGGCTCTAAAAAATTATTATTCTGTAGCTTTTCCAGCCTTTTTATTGTTAGGGTGAGAGCAGCTGTCTCTTGCTTCTTTCTACATGTGAATTAGAGCAGAATTTTCTAAATTCTTTAGAGTTAAAGGGACTTTACATTTAGGATAACTTTAACCCTAAACTCTTAAATTTGTCTTATTACGTGTTTTTTCCTCAAAATTCAGATTAAATATCACTTCATCATGAGAAGCCTCCTCTAATAATCTTTTTATTTCTTTTCTAATTGTAAATCATTCTGTTCATGAGATTTTCAGTAGTTGTCATAGTGATGGGACTAATACTTTGTGATTAATGTGGCTATTGTAACCCACAGAAAACAGGGACAATTAGGGAGAGAGATTTTCAGGATAGTAGTTGACATTAGATTAGTTAATGGGTGTTTTTGTCTCCTTGCATTTCTTTTGTTGTCTTTTACTAGGAATGGCCCTATTCTTTGGGGTAATGCCTTTCCTGCACCCAAGATGTCCCTCAGCACTATCTCTCTCTCACTCTAGGTAGGCAAGTGATCTAGGCTGTGCCAATCATAGTACCCTATACCTAGTACTAGTATAGATACTATTCAGTGCTATCTGGTTGGAAGTGACAGTATCCCAACTTAAAGAAGCTTAATTAAAATAGGTAATTCCTTTGTTTATATAACTGATAAGCACAAGAACTTTGTTTCAAAAATCAAACCACAAGCATTTTTATTCAGCATGTGGAAATTTTCATTTAATAACAAAAATGATAAATGTTAATGTTGGGGCTTAGAAACCAATGCCCCAAAATATGGCATTTTGACATGCTGAACTGAAGAAGTCTCAAGGTCCCTCTAATTTGGGTCTCCCCCAAAGCATAGGATAAAGTTGATCTCTGAAGTTCCTTTATCTGCCTAAAGTTTGGGCCCACAAAGAAGAACAATTGGTTTTTCTTTCCATTCCTCTGGCCTCATTATCTATTGAAGAAAAGAAGACCAATAAAGTGAACCAAACCTGAACAGATCCTTTGGCAAGATGATGGCTGTCTCTTAGACTTATTCATACTTCAATGATAGCTATTTACTGGTTCACCTCTGTTCCCATCCATTCTGCCTGGTAATCATTTATTGCTCCTCCCCAGAATTCTCCTTCTCCCTGCCTCCCATAGCCTCTTTGGCCACCCAAGCCCCCATTCTTTCTGTAACCTCAAGATAGAATATAAATTTCTGTACCTCATTGGGGAGTTGGGTCTTCATTCTGAAGGCTCCTTTGTATACATAGTAAGTAATTTATAAGCCTTTTCTTTCATTAATCTGCCTCATGTCAGTGATTTTTGAACCTCCAGGAGGCCAAGTGTCTGGGCCCCTACATTAATGTTCTATTCTTATACTATTTTAGACATTAGGTTACTTAATAGGTTCCTTAGGATCTGATTTAATTACCAGTACCTTAACAATTGGCCAATATCCTGCAGTTAAATTGTTGTATGCCCTTCATTTTGGGGAAGGTACCTTAAATCTTAAGTGGACAATGCCAGAACCACTGTGGTTCATTAACAAAAATCTGATTGTTATGAAGAAGCATATCTGTGGCAATAATAAATTGCTAATTTCAAATGGTCTAGTCTTAGGGATACAGCATCAACAGAATGCAGACTGTCGGAGAATCTATTTACCTGCCCTTTCTTTTTCTTGTTTCTCCCTTCTTGAATTGGAATGCATATAAAATGTTTATTAGAAGGCATACAAAGAAGACAGCAAAACTAAATAAAATGACAATTTATTAGGACACTATAGGACAATGAGGAGTCTCTGAGATGTCATAGCCTCTTCTGACGGTGAACTAGTTTCTATTTAAATCATTTAGTGGAAGAGAATTCCCCAGAATGAGGATCTGACTAAGCCTGACAGGCTCTGGGGCAGGGCTCTTCAGTTGGTGGGTTGTGATGATAACACCAGCTCTGAGTACAGGAGATTTTCATTTGATGAGTGGTCTGAACATCTACTTAGTGGTTATAAAATATTTGCTGCTGAAAGCCACAGAGCATTGATAAACAGATCCTGGACAGCTGAGTTATTGCAATCTACTTAACATGAGGAGAACAAATTGTGAGTCAAATGTTCCTGTTTAATAACCTTACTCAGGGCAGAGAGAGCTGCTCAAGGTTGGCGTTAACTCTGCATGCGCTGCGCCAGCCAGGGTCCCAGAAAGGGCTGTGCAGACGTTGAAGCAATTCAGGTGGGTTTTCCATTAGGACTAAGGTACACAGAGAGGAAATTTAAAAGGGTCCATCTGGTAAAGGAAATAAACAATTTGTAAAATGGCTGTATGGTATTGAATATACTACCAAGACTCCCTCTGTGACTTACATTTCATCTTCCTTAGAATACATGTGTTTGGGCTTATTAAATCTTGTCTTCACCATAATACTGTATTCTTTTACGTTATTGGGGGAAGGGAAGAAATATTTGTCTGTTCTCTATTAGTCATTTGAACCTAGGTCAATTATTTCAGCCCAAGTACTATAAATACTTTCATTGAAAACTGATTCCTTTTCTCTACTTTCAAGATTATGCTTTACTTTAACACATGCAGAAAAGGATGGATTCATCTCATTCATGGGAAACAGATGAGGAATACATTTTCTGTGAATGCTATTTCAAAAAGTAAGTTAATTTTAAATATTTGTTTCTTAGCTGGCTCCTAGACATGCATTTGGGAGCATGTATGGAGGGCACATGTTTGAGGGTGAGTTAAAGTATTTCAACTGGGCAGTGGGAAAATGATTGTTTTTTTTTTGATGCTTATGACTTGAATATTGTTCTAAACATTTGCTTAATCAGGGCTCTAGAGTGAAGTTGTATTTGAACCTTAGCCAAACTGGAGCATCACATTTCTGTGCTACAGCACTTCGTTCACTAGCGCTCTACCCCATGCTCACCTCCGCCTCCCGCAGCAACAGGCACACGCATACACACATGCATGCACACAGTGCACGCTGGACGTGGGCTCTGACTCTTGAAGCCTTTACTCCTAAAGGTCATTTTTTCATTCTTTTCTTGACCCCAAGCCTGGAATTGCTGCTAGAAATCTACCCACAGAATCCAGAGATTTTACAGACATAGAATTAGAAAATAAAGGCATGCCAAACTATGTTTCTAAAAAATGTCCAGAACTGAATTAAGGCCACATAGTAATTTTTTTTTATTGGCATACTACCAATAGCTTCAAATTGGATTTCCCGAGCCAAGAATGTCCTTAAATGAAATGCAGTGTGCTAGGAAGGCTTTTAAGACCTTTTCACCTCAAAGTGCAAACCTCTGAATGGGGCCCAAGAAAGCAAAGTCTAGATTTGGCATGCCACTTAAACCATGATTAGTAGAGAGTATCAGCATACTAGAAATAGCTGTGTTTGTGAACCTCCTGTTCTTCAGCTCTTGACTGCCAGCCAAGCCCCAAATCAATCCCAGAGAATGAAAACTAAGATAATAATGAGAAAATGGACTTTTCATGCCAAAAACTCAGGAAAGCCTCTTATTCTCCATATGTTGACTTTAGAGCACATAACACAGAGAGCAGTGCCCCTGGCCTGCTGGTCCTGTCTTCAAGACAGTTTGCCATGGCACTATAGACATATTCTCCCTACTGTTCAGGTCTCAGTTTCCTTATCAGGAACCTGGGAGCAATTGTGCTAATGTCCTCATGTGGAGCATAACACATTTCTTATACCTATATACTGGTGGATATTTTGGGGAATAACGGTTTTTTTTTTTTAGTAGATATTAAGCCTCACTCCAGCTCTGAGTTAGTATGCGGCAGAATTGATTTTTTTCTTTCCTTTGAAATATGTCCTTGTGCATTACTTGACAAGCTGTTGTGAAATGCTTAGAAAGCTCTCTTTTGTTTTGAGGCTGTACTTGCTTGGGTCTGCATCTGAACTGGGTGGGGATGGACGCACTTAACTTTTCCTTCCTACATAGCTGGGTGGGCGTTTACTGGCTGCTGCTATTTGTTATGAAGAATCAGCCATAAATCAGTACTCATTTTCCATTTTTTTCTTATTGATGAAATTGCTGTAGGAAAATGGCTTGTCTCCCAAGCTCCTGGAGCTCTGCAGGACTGAAAGCTGCGTACAATAAAAGTTGTTTTGACAGAAAACTGACCAAACGTGACAATGGACAGAGGGGAAACACAGAAGGGCGGGGAAGGAGGTGTACTTGCTTGTCTGTTTTGAGCCAAGGAGCTCTCTCTCTTTTTTTCTTTGTTAAATTACTTTTTCATATGAAGGACACAAAGGGAATGGCTCCTACTGGCAGCCAGAAGGCAGAAAACAAACCCTTTGAAATTTCTAATTTGTTTATAGATGGTCCTCCAGGAGCCACTGGAAAATAATTTTGTCTGCCAGAGACAGCGAACAGCTACCCGAGGGTGTTGTGCTGAAAAAAATGACTCTCTAGTTTTGGTCTTTGAATGTCTTATTGTTCAACACTCAGTAGTTGTTCTGAAATCAGTCATCTGATTTCAAATGACTGATTTCAGAGAAAGAAAATGAAAGAAAAATCTCTTCCCTATCCTCTGGCCTGAGTTTCTAGGAAAGGTGCTTAAAAATTTTTTTATTTTGATGTGAGTTTAAACTGTGTGTTGATTAATTTTTGAACGACACAAAGGTTTGTTAATCTTGCTTCCTAACATGTCTTTTTCTCTCTGGGGGAGGATGTTAATTTTCATGGATACTTTCTGGACCAGTCACTTCGCACAGTTCAAAAGATGCTGTCTTCTCTCTGGGATATGCTATCAAGGTGAACTGCTTTTCTTGATAATGCCATAGATTCTACAGACCTCTCACACTGCAAGCCTAACCTGAGAGTATTTCTGAATGTGAGGAAGATGTGGGTTTGGAGGTAATCAGGGGATCTCTGTTGTCTAGCATAGGAGGTTTTCTAGAAGCTTACCCCTCAGTTTTCCTGTTTGCAAAATGTTTTCTTCAATTTATGGTGATGTGGAGGTGCCCTTCACCTGATATAGGTGAGCAGCAATGTTTTCACAAAAACTTAGAACACTAATTTGAGGGGGATTTCTTCTATAATATTTTTATTTTATAGATTAGAGAATTGAGACCCACTGACTTGAAGAAGGAGGCATGGCTGTTGGGGATAGAGTTATGATTACAATTCAGGTCTTGTCTGTTAGCCTGCTGCTGCTTCCACTATTCCTTCCATCCTTGTGGCACTGGGAGAGGTAATTATGTTAATTTTACATGAATCTCTCTGAATTCAAAGATTTAACTCCTCCTTAGAAGCCTAGCAGAGGGCCAGCTATTTGCCTTCTGAAGCTGGAGAATAATCCAATTGGTTCCATCCAACTGTTTGTCACTGCAGCCTATGCCTGCAGTACTCAAAATAGCTAGTTACACAGTTCTGAAGATTGTACAACCAAAACTTTAAAATCTTGGAGTCTACTGAGCTCTCAGTGTCAACTGATCATTCTTCTCTATTTTCTTAATGTGCTCTTGTTTCTCAAGTCTCTAGTGTCCTTTCACTTCGTATCCTACCACCTTCCTTGTCTCATTAGATGACCTTACTTTCTAATTTACAGAGAAAATAGACACCATCAGCCAAGGTCTCCTTCTAACTCCTGTCTCTGCACGCACACACTTGCATCTGTATCTATCCTCTTCTCCTACATATATCTGTAGAATGTGTATCTTTTCTCCTAAAGAAATGTCCTCTTTCTTCTGGGTTCTTAATTCCCATTGTTTGTGCTTTTGCAGAGGCCTCACTCTATTAATTGTGCTCCTTCTTCCTTATCTTTAGTTTTGCTCTCTTTGGTTATTCTTTCCAGTCTATATGTAAGCCACTCCCATGGACCCCAGATCTTCCTTTAGCTACTGCCTCATTTTTCTTTCTCTTTACAGCAAACCTTACTGAAATAAGAAGTCTATATGTTACTTTCATTTATTCACCTCTCAATCACTCTTTAACCCAAAGTAATCTGAGTTATTCTCCTGCTACTGTTCTGAGCCTACTCCTATAGGTCACAAGGAATAAGCTTGTTGCAAAATTTATTAAATAGATGCTTTTCAGGCATAATCATATTTAACCCCCTCACAGCATTTGACACTGGAAATAACTTCCTCTAACTTAAGACAATCTCCTCGTTGGCTTATGTGTTGTTATATACTCCTGGTTTCTTCCATAACTCTCTGGCCCCTTCCTCTCAGTTTTCCTTGTGTTCTCATCTTCATCTGTCCAGGTCTTCAGTGTTGGTATTGGTCACAGTCTCCTCTAAATGTAAGAGCATATCTATTTCAGTAGGTTTAATTTTCCATCCACATTCTGACATTTTCGAAATTTTTATTTCCAACACATATGTCTTTTCTGAACTTCAGACCCAGTTAAGCTATTGCCTGCTGAACACGTTTTCTTGGTTTTCTACAGGTATTTGGAACTCAGTACAGAACAATTTATCTTTTATTTCAAACCTGTTCTTTCTCTCATGTTACTTATCTCAGCTGCTCAGGCCAATAACCTGAGATTCCTCCTAGATCTCTTCCACTCACCAGTGCATTTCATCCAATGTCTTAAAGACGTTTTCACGCAACCCTAAGTATTTATCAAATCCATACAATTTCCCCACATACCTTAATTCCAGTCACTGTTCTCTCTTGCTTGGATTATTCCACAGACTTTAAAATGATTTCTTTATCTCCTGTAGTGGTCCCAATTTATTTTCCACACTACAGATGGAGTGATATTTTTAAAATAAAAGTCTGTACAAGTCATTGTCTTATTTCAAGCTCCTCAATAGCTTTCCATTGTTCAAAAAAGACAATGCTTTGACTCCTTTTTGCAGGTTACATGATCTGCTTCTACGTATTCATTCTCTTTTAATTGGCAAGATTTTTTTACTTGTTCTCTTCAGTTTAGCCATGGTGCTGTAGTTTGAATATTCTTTCCAAAACTCATTGAAACTTAATTGACATTATAACATTAAGAGATGATTAATGCCATTGTCAAGGGAATGGGTTAGTTGTCACAGGAGTGGGTTCCTGATGAAAGGGTAAATTTAGCCCCCATTCTTCCTCTGTCCTGTACTCTTGCTCACTGTTGTCCTCTCTCACCATGTGATGCCTTCCACCATGTTATGATGCAATACGAAAAGCCTTACCAGGTGTGGCCCTTGATCTTGAACTTCCCTGCCTCCAGACAGTGAGCCAAATAAATCTCTTTTCTTTCTAAAGTGTCCAGTCTATGGCATTCCGTTATAGCAGCAAAACACAAAATAAAACAGAAAATTAGTACTGTGAATGGAATTGTTGCTATAATAGCTTTAGGACCTAATGTTGTTTTCCCTCTTAGGGTTTTGGACTTAGGACCAGTTACCCTCTTTTTTCTGCCTCTTTCTCCCTTTTGGAATGGAAATATCTATCCTATGCTTGTCCCACCATAGATAACTTGTTTTGATTTCATAGGCTAACAGCTAGAAAGAATTTGTCTCCAGATGAATCATGCCTTGAGTCTTACCCATATCTGATTTAGATAAGACTCTGGACTTCAGATTTTTGAGTTGGAGGAGTAAGCTGAGACTTTGGGGGCTATTGGGATGGAATGGATATATTTTATGTGTGAGAAGTACCTTGAGGGCCAGGGCAAAATGCCATAATTTGAATGCCTCCTCAAAACATCATGTTAAAATTTAATTGCCATTGTAACAGTATTAAGAAATGAGGCCATTAGGCAGTAATTAGGCCATGAGGGCTCTGCCCTCGTAAGTGGATCAATGCCATTATCACAGAGATAGGTTAGTTATCATGGGAGGGGGCTCCTGATAAATGAGTAAGTTTAATCCCCATTTCTGTCATCATAATATGTCTTCTACTATGTTATCACACAGCAGGAAGGCCCTCACAAGATGCAACTCCTCAGTCTTGTACTTCCCAGCCTCTAGAACCATAGGCCAATGAACCTCTTTCTTTTATAAGTTACTCAGACTGCAGTATTCTGTTATAACAGCAGGACACAGACTAAGACACATGGTGAACTTCTTTTTAATTCCTCTAGTATGCCATGCTTTTGCTCTCTCTTTCAATCAGTAAGGGATTACTGAGTCTAAATATGTGTCAAGAACTATGCAAGGTATTCTCTTGTAGACCTTTTATATTTGTCTTCACTGTTTCCTCTGCCTTTACTCTTTATTTCCTTTATCCTCTTTTGAATATAGCTAAATCTCATTCCTTCTTCTAAGCTTCCCCCAGGAAGTCTTTCCTGATATTTTTCATATTACACATTTTTGCTGTATGCTTCCATGACACCTTGAGTCTCCTCTATGGCAGGGTTTGCTATTCTCTTTTATAATTGCTAGTTTAATTACCAGTCTTTCACACTAGGTTTTATGAGCAGATTATATCTGCATTGTTCACTACTATGTTTCTATCATCTAGAAAAAAAGGAGAGGCTTAGTAAATATTTATTGAATAAATAGATCAGTGAACATTTATAAGAGTTGGAGAAAGAATGTGCATTATATTATTTATAGTATCACCATTCAACTAAATGATAATAATAATGATAAAAATATCAACATGCCTTCTGCCCAAGGAGTTGAGGAAAGTTATTTTTAAATTTCATCCTGGCCAGGTGTGGCGGCTCATGCTTAAAATCCCAGCACTTAGGGAGGCTAAGGGGGGTGGATCACTTGAGGCCAGGAGTTAGAGACCAGCCTAGTCAACATGGTGAAACCCCATCTCTACTAAAAATACAAAAATTTACCCAGGCATGGTGATACACACCTGTAATCCCAGCTACTCGGGAGCCTGAGGCACAAAAATTGCTTGAACCCAGGAGGTGGAGGTTGCAGCGAGCCAAGATCATACCACTGCACTCCAGTCTGAGCCACAGAGCAAAATTCTGTCTCAAAAGAAATAAATAAATAAAACAAAAATAAAAAAATATATGTGTGTATATATATACACATATATACATATACAAAATGTAATCTTCATTTTGAAGATTTTACAACATGTTTGGAGAGATTTGGCATAAGGAAAGGGTAAGATAAATAAATTTGTTGACCCTGCACAGTTATAAATGTCTACACAAGGTCCCAAAACTAGCACCACATTGACATAATCTGGGGAGGGCTGTAGCAGGGGCTATCCTTATTGTTCTTCTGTCCTGAAAGCTAGATACTCAGGTAGCACTTGTGTGGGTGTGACATCCAGATTCTCCCTCAGATGTCCAGAATAGGAAAGGAAAACAGAAAAGTCAAAAGGAAATGCAGAGGTTTGTAGTGAATGTAGAAGTTCTTTAAACTGTATGTTTTTATTCTTACAGTTTAATTTCAAAGCTGAATGGTCTGTAGTACATCTAACCTGTGATAATGGATAAAGCAACATTCGTTGCAAGGTTGCCAAATAGAAGGTGCTCTTATTAGTATAAAATCACCTAGAGGCGCAAAAATAAAGAGTGACAGAGAATGACTTTAGAACACTACAAAGTTAATGAGCATAGGAGTAAAGAGCCTAGGGCTAAAAGGCAAAGCTTAATATTTGTGTAAGGGATAGCATAGTGATCATTAATAAGACTGATAATACGTCATTAGTGGAATCAGTGCTAGCAAAGAAGCAAAGATTCCAATATGAATATTCTAATAGGTTGTTTATAATTTGTGTGGCTATTGTAAGCAATCCCCTGGAAATATTTGCATATCAAATCTAATGGCAGATCAGATTTAATAAAAGCTCTACTGTTTATTGAATTTTATAATATGCCACAAAGTGTGCTAAGACTTTATAAACATTATTGGATTTAGTCTTCACATCGACCATGAAATGAATATTCTTATTCCCATTTCACATACTAACTGTGGTCAGATGTAGTAGAGTGGGGATTATGACTCCATAGCCTGTCTCCTAAATGCCTATTTTATCCAGTTATTCCTTTTCACAATTACTAAGAAAATACACCCAATTGGTATACATTTATTTCTCATATTAATGGTTTTATTCAAGGTATACAATTTATGTCTTACTAAAATAAAACCATTTAGGTTATGGAAAAGTCCTTTGCTTAATGTGACACATGTAGTGTGGGCATGATGGGGTGGTCCTGAAGACGAGAAAAGAGACTGGAATGTGATCTGTAAATTTCCTTCCAACCCTAAGATTATGAGTCTTCAACTGGAGTGGTTTGATGTGCTTAGATGAACCACTTATCCTAATGTGTTATTTGTAATTTACATCATCACTTTAAAAACATTGGGCAATATTCCTAGAAGATCCCTGTTAATATGCCTTAAATGGATAATACTTTAAGCTAGCAATTAAAAAACACTTATTGAAACAGCTCTATGTATCTATTTTTTACTAGGCATTGCAGGCATTGTTTTAAGCAATATCAAGTTCAGCAAGGGTGATAGACATTAAAACAATAAAATGAAATGTAAAGTATTAAGTACCATACTTAATATTGAAGCAGGGATTTGTTAAGCTGGCCCTGCCATCATCCCTTCCCCTTTTCCTAATGGCAAAAAAATTTGCTTTTTCTCAAAGGAATCTATTCTGCTTGTGACATTGAGTTATATCAAAGAAAGGTGTGGGTCCAACATTGATACATAGCCATCAGAAAGTACTCCATGCCCACGTCTCTCAGCTCATCCCAAATTTATTCAGAAATGGGCACATGACTGAAACCAAACCAACTGCATTCTCTTTCTCAGGAATGTAAATCTTATACTAAATGGCACAAGGGTAGAAAACAGTAATGTTTGTTCCATTCTGATGACAACACTCTGGAGAGATGCCTATTGTTTTTCAGCACCAAAATTCCTAGGACTACCCTGTTTCTGACCTTCCTGAGACTTGACAGTCCAATTCCTCCTGCCAGTATGAGAGACTTTTAGTTCATCAATGAATTCTTTTATGTAATTGTGCCTTTCTTTCCTTTCCTTCTTTCCCTCTCTTCTTTCCTTCCTTCCCTCCCTCCTTCCTTTCTTCCTTCCTTTTTTCCTTCTTTTTGTTGCTTTTTTTTCTTTTCTTTTTTTTTTTGAGTGGAGTTTCACTCTTGTCACCCAGGCTGGAGTGCAGTGGAGCGATCTCGGCTCACTGCTACCTCTGCTTCTCGGGTTCAAGTGATTCTCCTGCTTCAGCCTCCCAGTAGCTGGGATTACAGGTGCACACAATCATGCCTGGCTAATTTTGTAATTTTAGTAGAGACAGGGTTTCACCTTGTTGGACAGGCTGGTCTTGAACTCCTGACCTCAGGTGATCCACTAGCCTTGGCCTCCCAAAGTGCTGGGATTACAGGCGTGAGCCACCATGCCTGGCCTCTTCTTATTGCTTATAATCAACAAATCCTGGAACAGAAATTGGTATCAAGAATGGTATAACAAGTAAGCAAAGCTAAAACACTATTCCATCTCTGAGAAGTTGTCTCTACTTAACTGTCAGAAACAGTTTCTTATGATGTCTTTGCTAATTTTTTCTTGATATAGAAATATACCTACAAAAACTAATTTTGGAAAATTTTATAGGAAACATGAGGATTTTGGAGTTTGTTAATTATTTTCGTTTTAAATTAATAAACTTTATATCTTAGAGCTAGTTTAGGTTCATAGCCAAATAGAGCAGAAAGTATAAAGAATTCTTATATACCCTTGTTCCACACAAGCACAACCTCCCCCTCTTGATTGCTTTTTAAATTTTTCAATAAGATATTGTAATATGAGATATCATAAGGTACCAGCTCAGGTCTAAGCTGGACTGTCTGGAAGCAGAGAGATGAGGAGAGGGCTCTGCTGTAAGAACATTTTAAGTTAAGTGCAGTGAGCATGTACCATCATAAAGGCCTCTCATTAGGAGATAGAAGTAGAAAGAGTAACTCTAACTCTAATCCAGGTTTAGAGACCATGACTTGACAAATTCTCTGACCGCAATTAATAGTCTGTGGATTTTCTGGCAAGATAATTGTGCGGTGGTCAAGTGAAGTTTTAAAGTACTTATTTCCCCAAGGTCTATGTCTATAATCTGCTATACCCTAGAATTATTCCCCTAACACGAATTGCACTGCTGTGGCAATTAAACTCCCAGAAAATGAATATTCTTCAATACTTCTCTCATATGTGCTCATGAAGAGCAGTGAGCAAGAATGGTCTTCCCAGAGGACAGGACAAAGGGCAGTTATATCACTCAACCTAGCAAACCACTTTATTGCCTAGATAGGATATCATTACAATCCCTGTCTGGCAGGATATATGTTTTGCAGCAGTAACCATGGTATTGTAGGTGGTTTCTAAATGGTAGTGCTTGGTATATTTCTCTTGTTTTACCATCACCACCGTATATTGGGTGTATTGATGTGGTTAATTTCACAGGCTGCTATATCATTAAGAGCCTTATTTGCTTAGACTGAGACCAGAGGTCCTGAACATGGAGCTAGACATAGCAATTGGGAAAACTTTTGGATTCTCTCTTTTGAATAGTGTGTTTTTGGTTGTTGGTAGAAAAGTTCATGATGAAGGTATCTTTGAAATGGTATGTATAAGCATACCTCATTTTATTGTGCTTCACTTTATTGCACTTTGCAGATATTGTGTTTTTTACAAATTAAAAGATTGTGGCAACATTGGGTCAAGCAAATTATTCTGGGCCATTTTTCCAATAACGTGCTCATTTCATGTCTCTGCATCACCTTTTTGTAATTCTCATAATATTTCAGACTTTTTCATTATTATGTATTTGTTATGGTGATCTCTAATCAGTGATCTTTGAAGTTACTATTGTAATTGTTTTGGGGTGCCACAAACCATGCCCATATAAGACACTGAACTTACTTAAGCAATGAATGTTGTGTGTTCTGACTACTCCACCTACCCGCTGCTCCCCTATCTTTCTTATTCTCCTAGGGCCTCCCTATTCTCTGAGATATAATGATATTGAAATCAGGCCAATTAATAACCCTACAGTGGCCTCTAAGTGTTCAAGTGAAAGAGTCACATGTCTCTCACTTTAAATCAAAAGCTAAAAATGATTAAGCTTAGTGAGGAAGGCACAGCAAAACCCAAAAATAAGCTGAAAGCTAGGCCTCTTGCACCAGTTAGCCATGCTGTGAATGCAAAGAAATCTTTTCAAAGAAAATTAAAAGTGCTACTCTAGTCAATACACAAATGACAAGAAAGTGAAACTTATTTCTAAGGTGAAGTAATTTTGAGTGGTCTGGATAGAAGATCAAACCAGCCACAACATCCCTTTAAACTAAAGCATAACTCTGAGCAAGGCGCTAACTCTCTTCAATTCTATGAAGGCTAAGAAAGGTGAGGAAGTTGTAGACGAAAAGCTGGAAGCCAGCAGAGATTGGGTCATGAGATTTAAGGAAAGAAGCTATCTCTATAACATAAAAGTGCAAGGCGAAGCAGCAAATGTTGATGTAGAAGCATCAGCAAGTTATCCAAAAGGTCTAGGTAAGATCATTAATGAAAGTGCCTATACTAAATAACAGATTTTTAATGTCAACAAAACAGTCTTCTATTGGGAGAAGATGCCATCTAGGGCTTTCATAGTTAAAGAGGAATCAAAGCCTGGCCTCTAAGCTTCAAAGGACAGGCCGACTCTCTTGTTAGGCTAATGTAGTGAGTGAATTTAAGTTGAAGCAAATGTTTACTTGCCATTTCAAAAACTGTAGGATGCTTAAGAATTATGCTAAATCCACTCTGCCTATGCTCTGTCAAATGGAACATCATCTGCCTGGAGATGTCTCTTGACAGCATGGTTTCCTGATTACTTTAAGCCCACAATTGAGACCTACTGCTCAGAAAAAAAAACAAAAACAAACAAAAAAGAAAACAAACCAAAAAAACCCACTGCTTTCAAAATATTACTGTTCATTGACAACACACCTGGTCACTTAAGAGCTCTGATGGGGCTGTATCAGGAGACTAATGTCTTCATGTCTGTTAACACAATATCCATGGATCAAGGAGTAATTTTGACTTTCAGTCTTATTATTTAAGAAATACATTTCATAAGGCTATAGCCACCATAGATAGAGATTCCTCTGATAAATCTGGACAGAGTTGATTAAAAGCCTTCTGGAAAGGATTCACCATTCTAGATGCCACTAAAAACATTTGTGATTCATGGGAGGTGGTCAAAATATCAATGTTAGCAAGAGTTTGGAAGAGGTTGATCCCAACCCTCATGGATGACCTTGAAGGGTTCAAGACTTCAGTGGGGGGAAGTAACTGCAGATGTGGCAGAAATAGCAAAAGAACTAGAATTGAAGTGAGGCCCAAAGATGTGGCTGAATTGGTGCAATCTCATGATAAAATTTTAGTGGATAAGAAGTTGCTTCTTATGGATGAGCAAAGAAAGTGGTTTCTTGAGATGGAATCTATTCCTCATGAAGACGTGTGAACAATGTTGAAATGACAACAAAGGATTTAGAATATTCATACACTTAATTGATAAAGCAGTGATAGGGTTTGAAAAGATTGCCTCCAATTTTGAAAAAAGTTCTACTGTTGGTCAAATGCTATCAAACAGCATTGCATGCTACAGAGAAATCTTTCATGAAAGAAAGAGTCAATGAAAGAGGTAAACTTCATTGTTGTTTTATTTTAAGAAATTGCTGCAGCTACCACAGCCTTCAGCAACCACCAGCCTTATCAGTCAGCAGCCATCAACAATGAGGCAAGGTTCTCCACCAGCAAAAAAGATGACAGCTTGCTAAAGACACAGATGATTGTTAGCATTTTTAGCAGTAAAGTGTTTTTCAAATTAAGGTATGCTCATTTTTTAGACATAATGCTATTGCACACTTAATGGACTGCAGTATAACTTTCATAGGCACTGGGAAACCAAAAAGTTTGTGTGACTTACTTTATTGTGCTATTCACTTTATTGTTGTGGTCTGGAATGGAACCAGCAATAGCTGAGGTATGACTATGGTATGAATGTGAGCCAGAGAAGGAGTGTAATGCAATGAAAACCTGAGATCTGCTCAGCATCCCTTATTCTTTCTTTTATTTTTTATTTTATTTTATTTTATTTATTTTTTGAGACAGGGACTTGCTCTGTCACCTAGACTAGAGTGCAGTGACACAATCATAGCTTACTGTAGCCTCAAACTCCTGGGCTCAAGCGATCCCCCCACCTCAGCCTCCCAAGTCACTGGAACTACTAGTATGCACCACCATGCCCAGCCCTCTTTTAAATAAAGGTTATCCCTATTCCTGGGGGGGTAACTATTCATTTGTTTGGTGAAGATTGACTATCACCCCCTCACCTAGTACCCCTCCCCCTACTACAGGATTAGGCATCTAATCTAGGGTGTTCAATATTAAATTTATCCTTTTACCTAGTCACAGTGACTGATTTAGGGTTGGACATGCAAGCCAACTAAAGCCCTCTCTGTGACATTCCTGTTAACACTATTGGAGAAAAAGCTTTCTTTTTACTAGAATTGCTAAACAAATAAGATGTGAGTCTTGGGCTGCCCATAACCATAGGTCCACCATGTGAAGAAAGCCTTTTTGAGAAATGAAGATAAAGAGATAAAAAGAGAGATAGCAAGGGAGCTGAAACTCTATTTACATATTTTGAGCTGTAGAATACCCAAGGTCATTGTTTTTTTTTTTTTCCTAAGCTAGTTTGCATACTGTCATATACACAAAGTATGTATGAGAGAGCAAAGAAGGATAAATACTTAATTATCTGTCTGGAGACATCTTCAAAGAGGACAAGAATTTTGAGACGAGTTTTGAAGAATGAGCAAGGGTTTTCCAGTCACAGAGTGTGGGAAATGCATTCATTGAGTGGTAATAATGATGAAAGTTCAGGGGAGAGACGACTTCCTCGCTACCCTCTGAGGGTTCAATAACTGAGTCTATGATATAAACCGACAACAGGCAGATCAATGGGAGAAGTATACAAATTTATAATGTGCACAGGACATCACAGAAAAGAAAAGCGAATATACCCAAAACAGTGAGATTCACTAGCTTATATACTGTCTTTATAGGGGAGGGGGTTATAGAAAACTTAGGGGAGAATAAATAATTTTGAGGAAAGATGAATGGGATCTTAAAAGAACAGGCGACAGTCTGTGATGAAGTCTGAGTGTGGTGTTGATTTCCAGCCTCCTCTCCTGGGATACGAGTTAATCTTCCCTGGTTGATGAGACTCCCAGGGAGGGGATTCATGATAGTTGAGTTTCTTTTGGACTATCTGTCTTTAGGCAGATAAGGGAAGCCCAGAGAAAGCCTCTCCCTATATTTGCTGCTTTATCAAATGCCTTCAGTTTGAAGTAATCAGTCTACAAAGCAGCATATTTTGAGGTAGCATTTCCTAGACTCCTTAAGAAAGACTAACAAGAATATACATTATATCAAGGGAATGTACATGCCAAATACTGGCATGTGGAGTGGAGAAATGGAGGCTAAATCTTGAAAGCTAGTTGGGGTTCTGGTTATGAAGAATTTTTTTGCTTTCTAGTTGGTGTAAGCATCATCTAGCATTTAAGGTGTTTAAGCAGAGGGATCCCAGATTCCCACCAGAAAGAAGAGGCAGAATTGACAGAGAGCAGGCATGGAGGGAAGGGCAGAGGCACTGTGGCAGAAATGCCTGGAAGCAAATCCTGGCTCTGTGGATTTACTTTGAGTGAATGATTTAACCTCTTCAGCCTCAATTTATTCATCTGTTAACTGGGGGTGATACTAATAGCAATAACAGTGATTAGCTTATAGGGTTGTTATGAAGATTACATAAGTCAATGTAAAACACCTATATAAGAGCTTGACACATGGCAATTGCTCAATAGAGGTATTCGCTGCGATTTAGAAATGAAACTCTGTGGAGAGAATTGAGGATTCGGTGACTGGGGGATGTAAGGAAAACTACTGATCATTTGCAAGTGTTATCCCTTTAACACAGGTTAGTTTCTCAGCCCAGCTAGCTGTCTCCTAACAGACAGAGCAGTCACAGGAGAATAGGATGTAGGGCAAGCATGTTTGAGTAGGAGAATAGAAACAAGAAAAAAGAAAAAGTTCAGAGCATGTGATGCCACCCAGAAGATGAGACTTGGACACACTTCTTTAATTGGAGGGCTTTGGTGGCCAGAAATAACCTGAGATCTCTGGGAACTTGTAGAGAATGGCTGTGGTTGGGGAGAGAGACTCTCAAGTTCAGCAGCCAATGGAAAAATCTTGCCTAGGGATGGGCTTGCCTGTAGCAAATCAGTGGAAGAGTCTTTGAAGATGTAAGAGATGGCTCTTCAATTGAAACTGCAGACAAGGGTCTGCAGGAGGCCAAAGCAACAGCTCTGAGGGCAAGGGGCCAGATGGCTCAGTTAACACCATAGTGAGAAATTCCATAGGATCCTTAATAACTCAGCTAGTGAGGGATTGAATTTGATGCCCTATCACCCAGAACACAGGTTTAGCAAATGCTTTAGCCCCAGAAGTCAGCAGCAGGGTAGACAGTGCCCTTGAGGGCCACTACCAGGCTAAAGGCAAAGGCAGAGAAAAATTTAAAGGTACAGAAAGACAGGGAGAAAGAAAAGGAAGGAAAGAGTATATAAGAGCATCAGAAAGGAAAAAGTGAAAAAGAAGGAGTGGTGGAAAAGCCAAAGGAGCCTTATAGGGTGGGAGAAGAGGGATTGCATAAACACTTGATATATTCCCTAAAGATCATTTTGCTCCTCTGCCAGTAAGCATTCTGGGGAGGTGTGATCAAACCAGAAAATTCTACTATTAAGTATATTTTGCTTTTCTGCTGCCTTTATTTGAATGACTGCCTGTCTTGCTATTGTATAGTTGAAATACATATACAGAATTTTGCTATATTGTAAAAAATCAACATTCAACTTATATTTGCCACATAAGTTGAAACTACCCTTAGATCCTGCTGTCAGTCCTTGAAGACTTTCTTAAGCATTGAATGCTCGAGTCTGATTGAATCTACATGAGTAGTTTTAAATAAGACTATGAGGTGTATCTCATAATCTGGACCAACAGGAGACTACTTTGAAGGCTGGAGTTGTCCAGCTTTCCATCGCTCATAGTATTTAAGATAGTGTCTGGCAAATAGTAGCTGTTCAATAAATGCTAATGAATTAGGTATCACCTATTTGCTGCAGCTTAAGGCACAACAGTAACTGAGGGAGAAAAAAGTTGTATTTAGACTAACGTGGGTTTGAATCGTAGCTCCATTAATGACTACTCTGTGATCTTGGGAGATTCACTCCATTTCTATCAGCCTGGGTTTCTTCATCTGTAGCATGGTGACAGTAGTAACACTGACTCTCCAGGGTCCTGCTGAAATTTAATCAAGTTGATGTGTAGTATGTGGCATGAAGTAAATGCTCAATAAATGTTAGCTGAAGACAAAACCAAACCCTCCTTCCAGTGTAGTTCCTTAAACTATTGTCAACCACAATTTTAAAAATTCGTAAAGTTTAGAAATGTATGTTGTGTTGTGAAATTTGGAGAAAAATGTCATCTCAAGTCTTATCATTTCTGTATCATTCTGCCTGGTTTCATTATGCAACGTGACCTTCTGTACTTAAACAGTAGTTGGCCGTTGCTAGCTCTCTGATCCTAAACAAGCTCCTTATTTAAATTCATCTTAGATAGATTCAGGCTGTCTGGAATATTATTACATTTTTAATGTCTAGAACAGTGTGGTATATAGCAAGCATAAATTTTCAATATTTCTGTAAAATGGGATAGTGTAAATATAAACTGAGATGATAGTGTTTTTTGAATACTCATTATGCATCAGGCACTATTCTGAGTGCTTTCCGTTTGCTAATTCATGGAATTCTCACAATAATTCTGTGAGGTAGACAAAATTTTCTTCTTCAGTTCATATGTGGACAAATCTGGGCAAAGACAGATGAAAGAAATTGTGCAAAATCACATAGCTAGAAATGAACAGAACCAAGGTTCTTCCTTGATAGTCTAGCTCCAGAACCGAAGCTCTTAACCACAATGATATACTGACCCTCAGTGTGGATATTGTAATTGCCTGCCTAACCTCACATTTTCATTCAGCTATTTAAATCTCCCCCCATGTGAAGCTCATGTGCTTTGGAAAAAGCAGCAAAGCAGGTCAAGCTTATACTGATGAACATGAGCTCATTTGCCAAACATGACCCAATTTAGGCCAATGAGATTTAAGACATTTTCTAGGGGTTTCCAGAAAAAGGTTTCCTAACTTTCTTATTTTTCCTTTCTCATTTTTCCCAGAAAGCTTCTAGAAGCAATTCCCCCAACGCTTTCATTCTCCAACCCTCCCTTTCCCCAACCCTCCCCAGCCTCCTCTCCCTTCTCTTTGTTGGCAGCCATTTTATGACTATGAAGGAGAGCCAGCCTTAGGGGGGAAAAAAAATGCCTTTCCCTGGAAACCCCTAGAAGCTGACATACGGGAACGCACAGTCGATCGAGAGGGACTGGATCTCTATTGACACCAATGAGCCACTAAATCAAACCCTAACTTTTGATGTTGGCAAATTCAGTACAAATAACTTCTTATTTTTCAACCAATTTAAGTTGTCAATGTGATGCTCCATCACTCCTTAATACTTTAGAATTTATGTCCTACAAACAAGGATATTCTCCTGAATAACCAAAATAGAACTATCAAAATTAGCATATTAACATTAATTCATTACTTTCACCTGATTCTCAAATCACATTCGAGTTTTGTCAGTTGTTCCAATTATGACTTTTATAACTAAATAATCCAGTCCAGAATTATGCATTGCATCTAGTTTTCATGTTTCTCTGCCACTTTTAATCTGGAACAGTCCCTTGGTCATTACTTCTATGCTCTTGACATTTTTGAAGAGTACGTGCCAGTTATTTTGCAGAATATCCCTCAATCTGAGTTTGTCTGGTATTTACTCATGATTAGATTCATTTATACGTGTTTGGCAGGAATATTACAGAAGTGATGCTGTATTCTTATCATTGCATCCCCTCGGTGGTGTGTGCGTCTGCACGGATGCCCTCCTCCCTGGTTCCACATCCCGCTCCAGGTCATTCCACCACCTCTCAGGATGCTCAGGCTTCAGCTCTCTACTCTTGGCATCCACAGCTCCCCTCCCTGCACAAATGCCTACTTTGCCTAGACTCCACCCATTGACTTTTGAACTGCATTGTTGGGAGATGGAAAAGAAGAGAAAAGAAAGGAAAAAAGATGATGAGAAATAATAATAATAAGACAAAGAGTAAATCTCCAACTTTTACGCCCACCACATCTCTTGATTTTCAGTTATAATAGCCAGTGATCATCTTTGTAGCTTAAGCCAGTATGAGGTAATTTTTATTTGTTTCTGCAAACCAAAACTTATTAACCAATATATAAAGTTCATGATAAATAGTAGGCAAACAAGAAATGGAAGCTATTATTGTGATATTGGTGCAATTGCAAAAAGGCATTAAGCTTGGAGTCATAAGATCTGAGCTTAATCTAGGAAATAGCTGTGTCACATTGGACAAGACACTTACATTATTCAAGCCCTTGGTTCCTTATATAGAGAGCAGGGACAATAATTCTTACTCTCTGAATTGCTATTAACGTGCTGTTATGGATTCAATTGAGTCCCCCAGAAAGGATCTGCTGAAGTCCTAGCTCCCAGCACTCAGAATGTGACCTCATTTGGAAATAGGATTATTGTGGATATAATTAGCTAAGTTAAAATATGGCCATACCAGAGTAGAGTGACCCTAATCCTTCCCATTGGTATTCTTCTAAGGAGATGGCCATGAGAATGTATGGAGATGCAGGGGGAGCATATGTGAAGATAGTAACAGAGATTGGATTGAGGGCATCCACAAGCCACAGAATAGAAATGATTGTCAGTCATCACTGGAAGATAGGAGAGAGGCATGAAACAGATTCTCCCTCAAAGCCCTCAGAAGAAACCAACACCACAGACAGCTTGCTTTTGGACCTTTGGCATCCAGCACTGTGAAAGACAAAACTTCTGTTAAGACACCCAGTTCGTGGTACTGTGTTATGGCACCTTTTGGAACCTAGTACATGTGCTTTATAAAATTTAACGGTATAGAAACATAAGCAATTGTTATCATATCTTTCTAACTCTGCCATTGAGCATGAGATAAGTCACTTGAACATTTGAGTCCTTTCAAAAGCTTTTATATATTGTACTTATATAAATGCTGGTGAAAACACAGAAGATTGTGGACAGTCAAGAAGATGATCCCCTTCTTGTTTATATCCTGTGACACAAAATCATCACCCCTTGACCTTATCAGAAAACAAAAACAAAAACAAAAACCGGATTCATCTTTAAGATGTCCCCTGAAGTTTAGGCCTCAGGTGATGTTATCCAGACAAGATCGAACTTAGTCGTAAGGAATGTATAATATATTTTTCCGGAGTCATGATGGTGTCTTTTGTGCTTCCTGAAATAATATTAACAGTACAATTTTATTGAATAGTTACTTTGTATTATATCACTTCAAGCACTTTGTGTTATCTTGTTTAATCTCCACAACAATCTTATAAGGTAGAAACTATTATTCTTCTAATTTTCTACTTCAGGAAACTGAAGCGTGAGAAATGAAGTAACGTACCTTGAGTGATTCTGTTGGTAGGCAGTGGAGCTGAGTTTCCATCCAGGACTGTGGCTAAGCAACATGATCTCTAAACCACCACAATATACGACCACTTAAAAGCACTTCTAAAAATCAATTCTATACTAAAATGTGGTTGTGGACTAAATCATAATATATCAATTTAAGTTAAATAGCAGTTTGGAGAAGGAAATGTAATAAAATAAATGGCAAACTTTACATGTATTTATATATGCTATACATTAGCAAGTAGAGATATATGGATATTATGCATTGGTCAATAAGATATATACATCCATAACAACAGGAAATTCCTGGTTTATGTAAGTTCATCAAATATGTGCTTGAAATAGTACATCCTTTCTAGTTATTTCTTTGTAAAATTAATGTACATTCACATAACTACCAAGTATAGTGGCATGAAAGAGAGGACAAGCAACTTTTTTTTTTGAGACGGAGTTTTGCTCTTGTTGCCCAGGCTGGAGTGCAATGGTGTGATCTCGGCTCACTGTAACCTCTGCCTCCTGAGTTCAAACGATTCTCCTGTCTTAGCCTCTTGAGTAGCTGGGATTGGCACCATGATATTTACAAGGATGCACCACTATGCCCGGCTAATTTTTTGTATTTTTAGTAGAAATGGGGTTTCTCCATGTTGATCAGGCTGGTCTCCAACTCCCAACCTCAGGTGATCTGCCTGCCTCGGCCTCCCAAAGTGCTGGGATTACAGGTATAAGCCACTGTACCCGGCCCACAAGCACTTTTTTATACCAATATATGGGTATTGATAGGGGAGGAAGAATGTATTTCCCTCACCCCTTCTAGGTGCAGGGTAGAGCCTCCTATAACAAAGAACAGATTAACAAGAGAAAGACATACAAATTGATTTAATATGTGTTTTGTATGACGTGAGAGCCTTCATAAGAAAATGAAGACCCAAAGAAATAGATAAACTTGTTTATTTTTGTGCTTAGGTTTGAGAAAGAGTAGAAAGTCATGGAGAAATATGATTGGATAAAGGGGGTATGATCTAATGGTAATAAACTGGAGAAAACTCAGCAGGGCTTGTTGGTTCAGATTCTTCTCTGTGACCCTTTGTCTTCAGAGGTAAGAACATTCTTTTCATTGGGGTATAAGGAGGGTACCTTTCACCTGAGGGTCTTTTTATTTTATTTTATTTTATTTTATTTTATTTTATTTTATTTTATTATACTTTAAGATTTAGGGTACATGTGCACAATGTGCAGGTTTGTTACATATGTATACATGTTCCATGTTGGTGTGCTGCACCTGTTAACTCGTCATTTAGCATAAGGAATATCTCCTAATGCTATCCCTCCCCCCTCCCCCCACCCCACAACAGTCCCTGGAGTGTGATGTTCCCCTTCCTGTGTACATGTGTTCTCATTGTTCAATTCCCACCTATGAGTGAGAACATGCGGTGTTTGGTTTTTTGTCCTTGCGATAGTTTGCTGAGAATGATGGAAACCTGAGGGTCTTACATTCTGCTTCAGGGTGAGGTCAGAAAATCCTCCCTAGATTTTATGACCTGCTTCAGGGGACAAGGGATGAGGGGAAGGTGAGAATGACCTTTCTGCTTCTGCTATTTTTCTCAAATGCTGAAGTGCCATATTTGAGGATAGCATGTCCTAAACCCCATCAATAAGAAGTGTGATAAGATGAATTGTCACCAAGGAATGCTGCAGGAAGAGAAGCCCAAAATTATTATTCTTTCAGGAGAGTGTGAATGTGTCTATGAGGAGGCAGGTGGACCCAAGGAGGTGTCAGATTTGGAGTGAGGAAGAATCGAAGTGTGTGTAACTTGTCAACTTTGGCCTTGGTGTCATGTCAGCATACCTCAGTAAGAATAGAAGGCAGCTACTAATCCCCACCAGGGATTGTACATCTCAGTTAAAACCAGTGAGGACAGTGGCCAATGACTGGGAAAGTTATGTCTTTTCTGATGAGCTTCTCTTGGAAACTCTTCCTATAAACTCCTCTTGGATAGGAAAGAAAAAGAAGGAGAGAAAGTGCTAAATTTGTCAGTATGCCTGAAAAAGAAAATACCTGGAAGGACTAAAACTAAAAACTAAAATTATATCTTGAATTGGCACCATGATGTTTTCTGTCATTTAGCAGGGTGGTAGATAAAGAGCAAAGAGAAGTTGAGTTATAGACCATGAAATTAACACTAGTTAACACTTTTGCCTGCCTGAGTTTATGGTGATGAAGTTTGATCCTGCTACATTAATAATGAGGTGAATGTTCTTCAGCTACCTCATTTGTCTTGAGCATCACGTTTGTGCCTGGCTTATGTTCACTGAACTGCAGAATTTACTTATGTTATATTATCTCCCTGATCCTAGCTGAGAGTTATCACCAGAAGACCGCCCCCTGAAGGAGTAGACACATTCTATTTCTCTACCAAGAAAGGAAAGGACTAAGTCAGAGCCGTTGAGCTACAGGGTTCCTGAGGAGGTTGATCTCTGTGTTTATTACAGTCATCTTGTAACTCTCCAGTTCTGTTGTCTTTGATCATTTTACCTTGCAGTAATCCCTTCCCTCATGCTATGTATTCAAATGTACACAGTATTTTAATGAAGATAGGCTATAATCTCTTGTCATGCCTCCTGGGTTAGTTAAAACTTCAATGGCACTGCTCCTTCATCATTATTTCTTGTGGGCAATTTGTTTTAAAGTACATATTCTTGGTTACACAATTTTAAAGGAACATTTCTTTTGCACAGGTCAAGGTCAAAGAGCACATGTGACCTACAAAGAGCCTGAACGGAGCTCCAAAATTTATCCTGAATTTTTGCTAGAGACAAATTACACTCTGAGCACTTTCTCCTCATCTTCCTCCTTATTACCTTCTTGGTAAAAGTCCTCTCTATTATTGCATGAATTTGTTCACAGTAATTATGTTTCTTTGATTCTGGTCAGTACTACTCTGGTTATCCAATTTAGCTTTCTAAATTGCTTCTGGCGATTTCCTTGGTCATTCTCTCACTCTGCTGCCCCACAGAATCTTTCCTTTTGAGATGCACTAAGCTTAGTCTTAGTCTATCAGCTAATTCTGGGAGCCAAAAGTAAAAGCCTGTTTTCACTATCTGCCAAACGGAGGGAGGTATTTGTCCACTAAGGAGAATTTGCAAAGTTCCTTTCCTAGATAGTACCATTGATTTCATCTGCACAAAATGTTTTAAGTTATAGACTTAGTATCACTTCTACATTTGGCTTCTCATGGCAGTACTTTATAACTTGTTTTGGTAAAGTCTTTAAATATAGAAGTCAAAATGGCTATGCCTCTTACAACACAAAATGCATCTAATAAATATCAACTGGCTTTGCCACTTTGTCACACAGAGAACATTTGTTATAAATCAAAATAATCATATAATTGATTTTCCCACTAACACTAAAGCCAAGTATGTGTGTTAATCATGGAATTTTATTTAATCAAGAATAGTCAATAGCATTTATTAGATACTACCTTGTATTAGGTATTTGTCTAGGTGCTTTACCTGTATTAATTTAATCTATACATCCCTAGGAGGTAAGAGAGATCATTAGCCCTATTTTGTCAATGGTGATGCTGAGGCTAAGAGAAGTTATTCGAGTCAGTTATTCAAGTTCTTGGAATAAGTGACAGAGGCAGGATTTGAACCTGGATTGTCTGGCTCCAGACACTGCTTTAAACTCTGCTGTAAACCCTGTAAATTGTGCTGACAGCTTCTCAAGAGCTATGGATCGGTTCTTAGGAATAACATCAGATTTTCCCCTTTTCCAAGCTTAGTTACTTTCTTGTAAACTACATTTACTTGTTGTTGATTTCTAATGCATTATATTTAGTTCCATGAAATGTTTTAATTGAGTTGATATAAAATTAAGTAGTGTATTTTTCAGAGACGTTAGACAACAGTGAACTTTGTTTGGGCATTGTGTTAGTCTGTTCTCATGCTGCCATAAGGACATACCTGAGACTGGGTAATTTAGAAAGAAAAGAGGTTTAATTGACTCACAGTTCTACATGGCTAGGAAGGTCTCAAGAAAGTTACAATCATGGCGAGGTGAAGGGGACAGTAGGACACAGTCTGTTCTGCTGACCTGTCTTCACAGGACAGCAGGAAGGAGAAGTGCCGAGCAGAGGGAAAAGCCCTTTATAAAACCATCAGATCTCCTGAGAACTTACTATCGTAAGAACAGCATGAGGGTAACTGTCTCCATGATTCAATTACTTCCCATTGGGTTTCTCCCATGACATGTGGGGATTATGGGAACTACAACTCAAGATGAGATTTGGGTGGGGACACAGACAAATCATATCAGGCATGTCTTTTGGCATTTGGTTTATATTTTAGTAATAAAGTTGCATCTCAACTCCACCCAATATAAATTCTTTTTTGACCCCCAAATCTGGACAGATTATGGATAGGCTGGTCCACACATTTTATGCATCTTCATTCTCACCATTAAGTCCAGTAGCTAAACAAAAGGACATCAAGTTTCCTGATTAATAAAAGACATGAAACTGGCCACAAGAAGCCTACCAGTGACCAAAAGCAAATTCTACATTAGCAAGATATTAAATTACAAAAAAGATATGACATTTAATGAGTCTACATATAATTTCATTGATTAAAACTGTGGCTTGTCTATCAGCATTTTTTTAATGCTAGAAATAGTATCTTACCAATGCAAAAAGGACTGAGGTATGCTTTTTTTTGTTTGTTTTTTCCCCAATGATTCAAGTTCACAGAGGAATCAAAATTAAGTTATAAGATTAAGATGAGAAATAACAAATAAGGACAAAAAGAAGAGTAATAATAAATCTATAGGATCTTAGGGCTATGTTTGAACAATAAGCCCTTATGAAAAATATGCAATTAAGATAAGAGAGCAACTGAGAAAAACTTCCTGGATTTAAAGTGGTAGTACAGGAAAAAGGCAGTTAACTAAAGAAAAGTGATCTGATATCCTGCAAAACTACCACTCAACATCAGTCCTTCCCAGCATCCTGTCTGGAGCTGGGTGTCCAGACAGGATGTTGAGTGGTGTCTAGTGAGCTCAATGCCATCTGTGATAGTTAATTTTATGTATCAACTTGACTGGGCCAGGAGGCCCAGATATCTGGTTAACCTTTATTCCTGAATGTGTCTGTGAGGGTGTTTCTAGAAGAGATTAGCATTTAAATCAATGGACTGAATAAAATGAATGGCCCTTTCCAATGTGGGTGGGCCTCATCCAAGCAGTTGAGGGCCTGAATAGAACAATCAGGCAAAGGAAGGTTACATTCTTTGCCTGACTGCTTGAGTTGAGACACCAGCCTTCCGTCCTTGGACTGGGACTCACACCATTGGCAATCCTGGTTCTCAGGCCTTTAGACATGGACTAGAATTTATACCACTGGCTTTCCTGGTTCTCCAGCTTGCAGATGGCAAATCATGGGACTTCTCAGCCTCCATAATCATATAAGCCAATTTCTTGTAATAAATCTCATTTTATATATATATATGTGTGTGTGTGTGTGTGTGTGTGTGTGTGTGTGTGTGTGTATACATAGACATATATCTTCTATTGGTTTTATTTCTCTGAAGAACCCTGACTAAAATACCATCAAATCAGATCAAAGGAAAATTATATAAATTATGGCATACCTCTGGAGACCAAGTTAGCCCTCACCCTTCCAAGATCTGAATAGAGGTCATGACTGGATGGATATGAGATGTCAAGGCGAATGGGCCAAAAGCATAGTCTGCTTTCATCTTCTGTATCTAACCAAAAGAAACAAAAACTGTAGGGTCAAATTCTGTGGTTTTAACCTGAAATGTTGAAGGTATCTAGTTCCTGAAGAGAAATTCATAATGTCAGATAGCCACATGTGTATAAAAATAAACGGAAAGCAACAAACATAGTTGCATTTATTTCAGGAATATCTTAAAGAACACATTTTCCATCTGCCCTCCTTCATCTTCCCCACACACACGCTCACACATGCGCACTTTTGAGTCAAACAAAAGTGGAACCAAAAATGTATTCAGTGATTCCTACAAAATAAGAGAATAATTAAGATGTTCAATTTAGGCCAGCAGGCCTATATGTATGTACACATACATGTGTGCCTATTGGTGGAGATAGTCATATGTAAACTAATTTTCTACAAAATCAGTGGGAAATCTGGTGTTTTAGAAAGTGTGATGTCAACAAGAATGGGGCCTCTCAAAAATTCTTTCTGCCTTGCAGAACCACAGCAGCAAGTCACTTCAGAGTGCACTGGGGCAAATCACATCATGTCATTATGTCATGGATCATAATGAAGCACAGAGGCTAATTGAACCAACAGGCCTCAACGCTAATCTCCATGCCAGACTAGAGGCTTGAGAAGTTTTCTGATGGGGATAAAGGAGAGGAGATTGAAAGCTGAAGTTAATGATTAAAGCCAAATGAACCCCACAGGTAAAATTATTTCAATAGCAACATGTCTCATAGCCAAAGTTTTGATGATTAATAAAATGAATAGAGCAGGTCAGAAATTCCCAGGGTGCCTCAGGTCACTGAGTAGAGGAGTCATTCAATGCACAGCACGATTGCTTGCTGCCTGGGGGTCTAGCCAGTGATGCATGGGGAAAGTGGCGGGGAATATGGGTCATTACAAAGGGAATGGTGCTTCTTCACTTCTTACAGTTGGAAAAAGTTGAAATGTAGGCATCTTTTGCTCATGTCCTATTCATTATTTAAATTCAAGGAATATCTCAAAGAGCATCTTTTCTTTTAAAAATTTCTGGAGGAATGTTTTTTACAAAAAAGAATAAATAGCAACCTGCAAGTCCATATACAAAAAGTACCGTCAGCCAGTAACTATAACTGGCATGGTGGCACTCGCCTGTAATCTCAAAAAGACTTTATTTTAGTACTATTCACTTTTTCCTGAATATAAAAGTAATACACACCTATTGTAGAAAAAGTTGACAAATATAGAAAATTATATGAAGGAAAAGAAGTAACCACTGATACATCTGCTTTCAACAATAATGATTGCTCATATTTAGGTATATTTTCTTTCCATTGCTTTTCCATACATACAGATTTTTCTGCGATTAAAATGATAATTTAGATACAGTATGATATCCTGACTTGTTGAAGTTAATGAGATGCATTTTTGTCATTAAAATTAATTATAAAGCATTTTTCATTGTACCATTATATTTCACCATGTTTATTGACCATAATGCATTTATTCATTTCCATGTTGTTGGACACTTACTTTTTCTTTTTTTGTTATTATTATTTAACTTTGTGATGGAGATCTTAGAATTAGGACAATTGTTCATATTTCTGACTTCTTTTTTTTTTATTTTGAGACAGGGTCCTCTCTCTGTCACCCAGACTGGAGTGCAGTGGTGGGATCTTGGCTCACGGCAGCCTCAACCTCCCAGGCTTAAACAATCCTCCCACCTCAGCCTCTCAAGTAGCTGGGACTACAGGCACATGCCACCAAACCAGGGTCTGCTAATTTTTGTATTTTTTTAGTAGAGGGAGGGTTTCACCATGTTGCCCAGGCTGGTCTCGAACTCCTGGGCTCAAGTGATCCACCCACCTTGGCCTCCCAAAATGCTGGGATTACAGGCATAGGCCACTGTGCCTGGCCCATTTTTAACTATCTCCAAATGATTTGTCCTAAGTATTTTTTTTTAAACTTATGCTTCTGTTTGGGGAAAAGAGAAAGGGCCCTTAAATGAGTATATGTAATATGGCCCTAAGGTGAAGCCCTTCATGGGAAATTCTTTACTTTCATTTCTCAGTTTAACAGTATGATTCACCAGTGCATGTATCAAATTCATATTGCATAACTCACATAAATCATTCTTGCTCCAACTTTATCCACCACACATGTGAGATGAAAAGCCTATCTGATGGTCCATGTGAAGCTTCGTGGAGCTGTGGATACTATGGGAGATTCATTGCTTTAGGCATTGTAGAAATGCACTGCTTTAAGGCTGAGTAACTCATTCTATAGACTCTACCACAGCTAAATGATATCTCTGGAAAGTTATAAATTGCTCTCACTTGATTTTAACTGGAGAATGTAATACCACAATGCTGACTCTCCCGTCCTCATCAGATCACAAACAATGATAGACTTGCCATCTGATTTGACATGGCAGCTGAATCTACGGTATCCATTTCTGACTCCACAAGACTGTCAGTCTCACCACTGAATAATATAAGACCTGAGTTTGCCAAGTCTCTTGCTAACATTCCAGATGGAGGAAAACTGCCACCATATCTAATTTGTAAGCTTGAGTCTCCAATCAGGGAAAAAAAAGTCATTATTCTTGTGGCTGAGAATGGAAAGAACCATGTGATGATCCACAAAGGATGAATTTATGAAGGAGGAAAAAGAAGGGATGTATAGGTTGACAACACAACCCACCTGTTTAGACAAGGTTAAGGTGGATTTATATAAACATATGAAAGCTTCATTTTATAAAAATTGGGTGTGCTCTAGAAAGTACTTTCCCAACTTTGCAAAGATGCTGCAGTCCTAAAACTCTTTGATAAATGCGCTTTCCAAGGATATGCTTAAATAGTGGGACAGGGAAATGTAAAATACACTATACATAAGGAATTAGCCTGATCAGAATATAAATATTTTTGAATGTAAATTTGTATGGATAAGACTATGCTTATTTCTGTCTCTTCCGGCATAAAGTTATACATATATAGGCACCCCCGCTTTTTTTTTACTGTGTGATGATAATGATTGGGGTAAGAACAATAATATTTTGTTTTTTGGTTTTTTTTTTACTTTTACAGACAGGGTCTCATTATGTTGCCTGGGCTGGGGTAAAGTGGCTATTCACAGGCATGATCACAGCTCACTGCAGCCTTAAACTCCTGGCCTCAAGCAATCCTCCCGCCTCAGCCCCCCAAGTAACTAGGACTACCCGTGTCGGGCTTTGAATTTTTATAGTATTGTTATGATTTGGATTTGAACCCCTGCCCCAGTCTCATGCCGAATTGTAATCCTCAGTGTTGGAAGAATGGCCTGGTGGGAAGTGATTGGATCATGGGGGCGGATTTCCCCCTTGCTGTTCTCGTGATAGTGAGTGAGTTCTCATGAGATCTGATTTTTTTTCCTTATTTTTTTTCTGACAGAGTCCCGCTCTGTCACCCAGGCTGGAGTGCAGCAGCAAGATCTCTGCTCACTGCAATCTCCATCTCCTGAGTTCAAGCAGTTCTCATATCTTAGCCTCCTGAGTAGCTGAGATTACAGGCGAGCACCACCATGCCAGGCTAATTCTTCTATTTTTAGTAGAGATGGGGTTTTGCCATGTTGACCAGGCTGTTCTTGAACTCCTGACCTTAGGTAATCTGCCCACATTGGCCTCCCAAAGTGCTGGGATTACAGGCATGAGCCACTGCATCCAGCGAGATCTGATTGTTGAAAAGTGTGTAGCACCTCCCACTTCACTCGCTTCTTCATTCCCCAGCCATGTAAGATGTGCCTGCTTCCCTTTTGCCTACCACCATGATTGTAAGTTTCCTGAGGCCTCCCCAGCCATGGCTCCTGTAAAGACTGCAGAACTGTGAGTCAATTAAATCGCTTTTCTTTATAAATTACCCAGTCTCAGGTAGTTCTTTATAGCAATGCGAGAACAGACTAATACAAGTATGTTGTAGGCAACGAAGTACTCGTGTTCATTATTTTATTCTTTTATACAGTTGTCTCCCTTTATCCATGAGGGACATCTTCCAAGGCCCCCAGTGGATGTCTGAAACCGCAGGTAGTACCAAATCCTATATGCATTATGTTTTTTCCTATACATACATACCTATGATAAAGTTTATTAATTAGTTACAGTAAGAGATTGACAGCAATAGCTAACAATAAAGTAGAACAACTATAACAATATGCCATCAGCATTACTCTTGGGGCTATTATTTAGTAAAATAAAGGTTACCTGAACACAAGCACTGCGATACTGAGACAGTAGATCTGATAACTGAGACAGCTACTAAGTCACCATCGAAGAGCATATACAGCATGGATATGCTGGACAAAGGGATGATAAACATCTGGATGGGATGGTATAAGATTTCATCATGCTACTCAGAATGGCATGCAATTTAAAACTTATGAATTATTTATTTCTGGAATTTTTTATTTAAGATCTTTAGACTGTAGTTGACCAGAGGTAGCTGAAACCATGGAATTCAAAACCGTGGATAAGGGGGTACTACTGCCCACACACATTAAAGAACTCAAAGGTGGGTAGACATGATACTTATGTATAAGGAAACTGAGTGAAACTCAGATACGATTCATATCCAGTATTCCACAGCCAGTAAGAGATGGGTCTGGAATTGACACTCATGTTTTCTCATTTCATGTCTTTTTAGCATACTTTTGTCCATAAAGCAAAATCCGAAGATTAGTGTTAAGAAACAGGATTTGGAACTCTCAGAACAAGGCCATTGGGGGTGGAGATTTCTTACCTATGGCTTAAAGAGGTGGGTGACAGAAATGGCTCATTCAACCATAGATGGTTTAAAATAGCATTTCAATGGTTAATCATCAGCAGAATAGACAATTCGAGAAACATTCTAAAAGGAACTTTGTGGATTGGGTTCTTTGACCATTATAGTATTTCCTCTTCTAACATTCCTTTCCCTTTCATCTTTATTTCCCACTTAGTTTGCTTTTCAGTTAAAGGCAGTCAGTGAAAGTGTCACTCAATATCAGAGCAGCACATTGGAGTAGAAAAGCAACATGGGCTTTGAAGATGTAGGTGCTGTATTTGAGTTTTCAGTGATCTTGGGTATTTCAGCCAAGAGGGAAGTGGGTAAAGAAAAATTAATGGGCTGGGCGCGGTGGCTCATACCTGTAATCCCAGCACTTTGGGAGGCCGAGGAGGGTGGATCACGAGGTCAGGAGATTGAGACCATCCTGGCTAACACGGTGAAACCTGGTCTCTACTAAAAATACAAAAAATTAGCCGGGCGTGGTGGCGTGCGCCTGTAGTCCCAGCTACTTGGGACGCTGAGGCAGGAGAATGGTGTGAACCCGAGAGGCGGAGCTTGCAGTGAGCCGAGATGGTGCCACTGCACTCCAGCCTGGGTGACAGACCGAGACTCTGAAAAAAAAAAAGAAAGAGAAAGAAAGAAAGAAAGAGAAGAAAGAAAGAAAGAAAGAAAGAAAGAAAGAAAGAAAGAAAGAAAGAGAAGAAAGAAACGTTAATGATGGATATAAGTGAAAAACGCATTGAAAATAGAATAGTGAGTGCATAATTTGCTATTCTATGACTAGGATGCTATTTTAAATGATATTCTGTCTGTGTGGCTATATATGTATCTACATCTGTATGTTTGTAGCTGCATGTGTGTTTCCATGTATGTATGTGTATAAGCCTATATGTATGTGTCTCTGGTTTGATGTGTACATGTCTGTGTGTGTGGTGCATATGTGGATGTGTGGATATTTTATATTGTAGGATAAAATGTTTGGGCAATGGGTTAGAGCTGTGTACTGATGACCCCAAATGTCCTTATAAGATATTTTTATTTTTTTCATGTAAAATATTTCTATAATATTTGACTCTATGGGTAGAATTAACATTTGCACTTGAAGTAAAAATAATTATTAATCCCTTCCTGAGGCCTTTTGGTGTTCTTTGAAGCTTTTGCTAAAAATAAGAGGAAGGATCTTAGGTAACATGCTTACTTTGGGAACAGTCTCAGTATGACCTAATCACTGATTTGCTCATTGCAGTTCTCCAGAATTTGCATCAAGAATGTAGCTCTGTGTCCTCCGTTCTCTGGAGCTGAAGCATGGCCACCCCTCTAATCTCCCTGTTTTTCATCTTTCTCTCGTCTTCACCTCTTTTTAATAGACTAGCAGAGAGGTAGGAGAGTAAGCTCTAGATTTCCCCACCTTCCTTCATTTTCAAGGCTTGCATAGTGGAAAGATGGCAGACTTCCTTCCACTAGGGCTTCCTGTGTTATGTTCCCCTGGCACTCCCCAAATACCTCTTCTCTGTTCTTTGCCTCAAAAGGTGTCACTCTTTGTTGTCATGTTTGACTACTAGATTCTGTGTACCATGAGGGCAGCAGCTGTCACATTTGTGCCTGGTAAAAAGTAGAGGGCCTTGACTGAATACTGGCCTGAAGGCATAAATGAATCAATAGCAGGTAACTGGGGAAAGCTCCCAGGATTGAATGCAAATGCTGATTATAAAGAATTAGTCCTGAAGGTGGAATCCTTCTCCTCTGCTGACAAGACAAACAAAGCCAATTTTTGGAACATCTACATTATAAATAACATTAGTGGTAGAATTTAGTGGACAAATGAGACAGCCTATGTAAAAAGGCAAAAAACCTCGTTTCTGTATGTGAAGTTTCAGATCATTTTTGCCGAATGTAAAATTCTTTTGTATATTTATACAAAGGAATATTTTATTATATAGACAGAAATGCAGGATAGGGAACATTGGAAAAGAAAAGCAATTGAAATTATGTACAGAAAATGTTTTAAAAGGCTAATGAATGCACACTGTTGTATATTTGGAAGTAAAGTGACCATGAAAAAGAAAGAAAAGAGGCAGAAAAATTCCCTCTTATTTATACCAATAAAATGTAAATGCATGTTATTTCCCTATGAACATCATCATATTGGATTTGTAGAGCACTGTTTTCCAGAATTTAAAATGCAATAATCCATAGAGATAAACTGTTCCTCTGGCAACCAAACCTTGAAAAAAATTAAGATTAAAAGCAAATACAGAAAAATTATTTCTCAACCCACATACTAGAAATCAAACCAATTTTATTTCAAACTATTAGCAAGAAATACCCTGCCTATTTACCACCTGCATTTTCCCAATAATTTATAATTACAACCCAGCAGTAAGTATTGATTTCCAATTGATGGATATCATCTGTGCCCTAATAAACTGACAGACCTTCAGAAATCTATCCTGGGAGACCTTTAGAATACATGACATGAGTTAAACATATTTTATTTAATACCAGAGGAAATTTGCATTTCATCTCTCAGGCTTTTACGAAGCTGCTGTAAATGATTTAGCTTAGCTTTTAGATTTCAGAGTCATTTCATTTCAATTTGGGCACACTCCTGTATAATTCTTAGCCTTTGTTCAACCAAATGTAGACTACTGACATTTAGCATGTGGAATAACATGTCAAAAATATGGGACGCTTAAATTCACGGTTTGTGGATTTAGTAAAGATGTGAAATAAAGCTTTTGATGCGTGTAAAAATCACAGTAAAATGTAAGTGAAACCTAATTGTAAAATGTAAATGAGTTCTAATTGTTTACCATGCTCTTATAACTGGAATCCTGCTGGGTAATATGCCACGGCATCCCTTAGGATGGGGTAATGCCACATTCAATGAAGTCCAGGGAGGTTTAGCTCCAACAAATGCGATCATTGTTTATGAGTACATGGGTGGGGCATTTCTTCCAGGAACAAGATCTTCTGTTTATATGGTTAGCAGCCTGTTCAAGGTTGGCCCCTGAAAACAGAGTACCCACACAGGAAAAACTAGGTTTTAAGACAGGAAGCAAAGAATTAACATCCTTAAAAGATTTTCCTGAGCAAACTGAGGAGCCTTGGCAAATGCATTATTTTATTAGCACCTTTTCTAATCTGAAAAAAAAAAAAATAGAGTGGGAATGTTCTCATTATTAAGTACCTTGCATTACTTACATGTCAATTTACCGCAACAGCCATTTAGATTTTTGTAGCAGAACCAAATGTGGTTTTTATAAAAATTGTTTTGTTTTTAAGGAAGAAAAACACACGCACACAGGTTTAATATAAAGTGGGGGCCCTTGAGTATTTCTTTGTGAATTTTGTTTGTTTTCTGGGGGAAAAAAAAGGAACCTATTAGCAGGTTCATTTGTATAATAATCATTCATTAAAATAGACTCTGTGGCAATGAAATACTGTACTTGAATTCCAGCACAAAGCCTTTAAAAAGCTAAAATGTCAAAACAATAAAACTAATTAACGCAACAAAATAGCTTTTTCCAGCTAATGACAAGCTGGTCCAAAAACACACTTCAATGATTTTTCTTTCCTCTAGAGACACTTTAAGTAAAGCAATGATAGAATTTTCCACAATCATTATCTAGCCCAGTGTCACCTAGGAATCTAGCCCAACTGAACTGTCTGGCAGAGAGGTCACATGTCTACTTTTGGCTAGCTTCCCCCAGTCCCTCGCTCCTTCCTTCCCTCCCGTGTGGCCCTTCTCTCCCCTCCTGTCTTCCAGAAACATTTACGAGGCTTTACCACACTCTAGGTGCTGTGGAGGGACAGCTAACTGAGCCCGCTGCGGGTCCCGCAGTCAAGCAGCTGATGGAGTAGGAAGGAAGACAACACATAAATAACTCTAACCCTGGGGGAAAAAGTCACACGTTGTAAATTACAGATAAGTTGCCAGAATAGCACCCAGGACTCCTTTATACTCTTTGCCCAGAGACTGAATTCAAATTTCCTTGATGGTTCCAGCAATGTCCTTTGTGGCAAAAGATCCCATCCAGGATCAGGGGCTGCTCCCAACTCACACCTGTCTCTATCTCTGATCTGAAACAATTCCCGTTTTCATGTGTGTCTGTGTGAAGAGACCACCAAACAGGCTTTGTGTGAGCAATAAAGCTTTTAATCACGTGGGTGCAGGCAGGCTGAGTCCCAAAAGAGAATCAGCGAAGGGAAATAGGGGTGGGGCTGTTTTATAAGATTTGGGTAGGTAAAGGAAAATTACAGTCAAAGGGGGGTTGTTCTCTGGCGGGCAGGTGTGGGGGGTGTTCACAAGGTGCTCAGCAGGGGAGCTTTTGAGCCAGGATGAGCCAGGAGAAGGAATTTCACAAGATAATGTCATCAGTTAAAGCAGGAACAGGCCATTTTCAGTTCTTTTGTGGTAGAATGTCATCAGTTAAGGCAGAAACCAGCCATCTGGATGTGTACATGAAGGTCACAGGGGATATGATGGCTTAGCTTGGGCTCAGAGGCCTGACATTCCTGTCTTCTTATATCAATAAGAAAAATAAAACGAAATAGTGGTAAAATGTTGGGACGGTGAAAATTTTGGGGGGTGGTATGGAGAGATAATGGGAGATGTTTCTCAGGGCTGCTTCGAGCGGGATTGGGGCGGCGTGGGAACCTAGAGTGGGAGAGATTAAGCTGAAGGAAGATTTTGTGGTAAGGGGTGATATTGTGGGGTTGTTAGAAGAAACATTTGTCATGTAGAGTTACTGGTTATGGCCTGGATACGGTTTTGTATGGATTGAAAAACTAAACGGAATAAGAGAAGGAGAAATACAGGTATTAAAGGACTAAGAATTGGGAGGACTTAGGACATCTAATTAGAGAGTGCTTAAAGAGGGTCAGCATAGCCTTGCCGGCAAAGATTATTTATTTACTTTAAGAGTTAAGAGTGGCAGTTTGGGGATAGCACCAGGAGATATCAGCTGTGATGGCTTGGAGAAACAGTGTAAACAAAAGCAGGGCATGTATGAGTAGTTGAGAACAGTGAATAGGAGTATGACTAGACAGAAAATAGTAGGGATGACAAGTTTTTTGAGGCACAGTCTAAGTTGGTCTGGTGTCTGGGATGAGACTGGGGCCTAATAAAAAGGAGCATCTATGCAGGACCTTAAATGGGCTGTACCCTGTAGCATTCTGAGGACAGGCCTGAGTTCTGAGAAGGGAAAGTGGTAAAAGTATTGTCCAGTCCTTTTTAAGTTGGTGGCTGAGCTTGGTGAGGTGTGTTTTTAAAAGACCTTTAGTCCATTCTACTTTTCCTGAAGACTGAGGACCATAAGGGATATAAAGGTTTCACTGAACACTAAGAGCCTGAAAAACTGCTTGGCTGATTTGACTAATAAAGGCTGGTCTGTTATCAGACTGTACAAAGGTGGGAAGGCTAAAGTGAGGAATTATGTCTGACAGAAGGGAAGAAATGCCTGCAGTGGCCTTCTCAGACCCTGTAGGAAAGGCCTCTACCTATCCACTGAAAGTGTCTACCTAGACTAAGAGGTATTTTAGTTATCTGACTCGGGGCATGTTGAGTAAAGCTAATTTGCCAGTCCTGGGTGGGGGCAAATCTTCGAGTTTGATGTGTAGGGAAGGGAGGGGGCCTGAAGAATCCCTGAGAAGTAGTAGAATAGCAGATGGAACACTGAGAAGTTATTTCTTTGAGGACAGATTACCACAATGAGAGGTTTTGAGAGGCAGGCTAGTGGCTTGTACTATAGCATATCCTGCCTTTGCTGGTGTGTGGCGATTAGGCCTTGTGGAACTGCCATCAATAAACTAAGTGTGATCAGGGTGAGGAACAGGAAAGAAGGAAATATGGGGAAATGGGGTGAACGTCAGGTGGATCAGAGAGATACAGTCATGGGGGTCAGATGTGGTATCCGGAATAATGTGGGAGGCCGGATTGAAGTCCGGGACAGGAACAATCTTAATTGTGGGAGACTTAACAAAGAGTGAGTACAGCTGAAGGAGCCGGGGAGCAGAAAGTATATGCATCAGGTGTGAGGAAGAAAATAGATTTTGGAAATTATGAGAGCTGTAGAGAGTGAGTTGAGCATAGTTTGTGATTTTGAGGGCCTCTAAAAGTATTAGGGCGGTGGCGGCCACTGCACGCAGACATGAGGGCTAGGCTAAAACAATAAGGTCAAGTTGTTTGGACAGATAGGCTACAGGGTGCAGTCCCAGCTCTTGTGTAAGAATTCTGACCGCACTAACCATGCCTAGGAAGGAAAGGAGTTGTTGTTTTGTAGAAGGGATTGGGGTTTGGGAGATTAGCCGGACACGATCAGCAGGGAGAGCACATGTGATTTTATGAGAATTATGTCGAGATAGGTAACAGATGAGGAAGAAATTTGGGCTTGATGGAAGTAATGGGGGCTGTCTGTGAAGCTTTGTGGCAGTACAGCCTAGGTAATTTGCTGAGCCTGATGGCTGTCAGGGTCAGTCCAAGTGAAAACGAAGAGAGGCTGGGATGAAGGGTGAAAAAGAATAGTAACGAAAGCATGTTTGAGATCCAGAACAGAATAATGGATTGTGGAGGGAGATATTGAGGATAGGAGAGTATATGGGTTTGGCACCATGGGGTGGATAGGCAAAACAATTTGGTTGATAAGGCACAGATCTTGAACTAACCTGTAAGCTTTGTCTGGTTTTAGGACAGGTGAAGTGGGGGAATTGTAAGGGGAGTTTATAGGCTTTAAAAGGCCATGCTGTAGCAGGTGAGTGATAATAGGCTTTCATCTTTTTAAAGCGTGCTGTGGGATGGGATATTGGCATTGAGGGGTGAGGGTGATTAGGTTTTAATGAGATTGTAAGGGGTGCATGATCGGTCGCCAAGGAGGGAGTAGAGGTATCTTATACTTGTGGGTTAAGTTGGGGGGATACGAGAGGAGGATGTGAAGGAGGCTTTGAACTGGGGAAAAGGGCAGCAATGAGGTGTGGCTATAGTCCAGGAACAGTCAGGGAAGCAGATAATTTAGTTAAAATGTCTTGGCCTAATAAGGGAACTGGGCAGGTGGGGATAACTAAAAAAGAGTGCATAAAAGAATGTTTTCTAAGTTGGCACCAGAGTTGGGGAGTTTTAAGAGGTTTAGAAGCCTGGACATCAATACCTACAACAATTATGGAGGCAAGGGAAACAGGCCCTTGAAAAGAAGGTAATGTGGAGTGGGTAGCCTCTGTATTGATTAAGAAGGGGGTGGACTTACTTTCCACTGTGAGAGTTACCTAGAGCATCTGTGATGGTCTTGTAGGCTTCCGAGGTGATCGGGCAGCATCAGTCTTCAGCTGCTAAGCCGAGAAGATCTGGGAAGGAGTCAGTCAGAGAGCCGTGGGCCAGAGTTCCAGGGGCTCTGGGAGTGGCTGCCAGGTAAGTTGAACAGTCTGATTTTCAGTGGGGTCCTGCACAGATGGGACACGGCTTAGGAGGAATCCCGGGCTGTGGGCATTCCTTGGCCTGGTGGCCAGATTCCGGCACTTGTAGCAAGCTCCTGGGGGTTCTGGAGGAACACTTGGCAGCTGCAGTTCAGGCATTTGGAGTTCTTGTGTGCTGGAGATGTGGCTGGGGTTTGTCTCAGTGCAGGCAAGGAATTGCAATTTAGAAATATGTTGCTACTTGGCTGCCTCTACTCTAATATTGTATACCTTGAAGGTGAGGTTAATTAAGTCTTGTTGTGAGGTTTGAGGGCCGGAATTTAATTTTTGGAGCTTTATTTAATGTTGGGAGCAGATTCAGTAATAAAATAAAATGTATATTGAGAATAAGACGTCCTTTTGACCTTTTAGGGTCTAGGGCTGTAAAGTGTCTCAGGGTTGCTGCTAATGGGGCCATGAACTGGGCTGGGTTTTTTATAGTTGATGAAAAAGAGCTTAAACACTAACTGATTTGGGACAGGTCGGATAAATAAAAAGGAGCATTAACATTGACTATGCCTTTAGCTCCAGCCACCTTTTTAAGAGGAAATTGCTGGGCAGGTGGGGGAGGGCTACTCATGGAACGAAACTATAAGACAGACCGGGTGTGAGTAGGGGAGGTGATAAAAAGATTATAGGGTGTAGGAGCGGAGGCTGAGGAAGAATTGGGACCTAGCTCGGCCTGGCGAGGAGGGGAGAGGTCAGATGGGTCTGTAGAAAAGGAAGATTAGAAAGAGTCAGCAACGCTTGGGGTTGGGAGTGAGGGGACAGGCGGGAGGGAAAGAAGGAAGATTTGGGACGAGTTACACTGGGCACAGAGACTAGGGAGGGACTGATGTGTAAAAGAATGCCTGGACGTCAGGCACCTCAGACCGTTTGCCTATTTTATGACAAGAATTATTTAGATCTTGTAGGATGGAAAAATTGAAAGTGCCATTTTCTGGCTATTTGGAACTACTGTCGAGTTTGTACTGGGGTCAAGCAGCATTGCAGAAGAAAATAAGGCATTTAGGTTTTAGGTCAGGTGTGAGTTGAAGAGGTTTTAAGTTCTTGAGAACATAGGCTAAGGGAGAAGAAGGAGGACTGGAGGGTGGAAGGTTACCCATAGTGAAGGAGGCAAGCCCAGAGAAAAGAGAGAGTAGAGACAGGGAGGGAAGGGGTTCAGGGGTTCTTACCTTCTAGAAAAGCGGTAAACGGGTCAGGGTGTGGAAATAAGGGGTTGGGGCACAGAGATACGAGGTTGAGGCATGGAAATAAGGGGTTGGGGCGCAGAGATAAGAGATTGGGGCACGGAAATAAGGGATTGGGCAGAGAGATAAGAGGTCGGGGCATGGAAATAAGGGATCGGGGCTCAGAGATAAGAGGTCGGGGCACGGAAATAAGGGATCAGGGCACAGAGATAAGAGGTCGGTGCACAGAAATAAGGGATCGGGGCACAGAGATAAGAGGTCAGGGCAAGGAAATAAGGGATCAGGGGTTCTTGCCCCCTAGAAAAGCGGTACTTGCCTCTAAGGGTGAAGGACCAAGGCAGGCGTCCCCATGTGGTCAGACACCTCTGAAACATGGGTGAATAATCAGAGAGGTGTCCCTGCAATGATTAAACACCAAGGGAAGGCTGCCTTCCCAAGTCTGTGACCGGCGCTGGAGTTTTGAGTCCACAAATAAAACGTGTCTCCTTTGTCTCTACCAGAAAATGAAAGGAATTGAAATTAAGAGAAGGGAGAGATTGAAAGGTGGTGCCAAGATTGAAAGGAGAAAGTGGTTGAGGGATAGTGAGAGAGGTTCGAGAAGAGAGTAAGAAGAGGCCGCTTACCCGATTTAAAATTGGTGAGGTGTTCCTTGGGCTGGTGGGTCTGAGGACCCGAGGTCATAGGTGGATCTTTTTCACAGAGCAAAGAGCGAGTCACGGCACCAAATTTCATGTGCGTCCATGTGAAGAGACCACCAAACAGGCTTTGTGTGAGCAATAAAGCTTTTTAATCACCTGGGTGTGGGTGGGCTGAGTCCGAAAAGAGAGTCAGCAAAGGGAGATAGGGGTGGGGCCGCTTTATAAGATTTGGGTAAAGGAAAATTACAGTCAAAGGGGGGTTGTTCTCTGTCGGGCAGGTGTGGGGGTCACAAGGTGCTCAGTAGGGGAGCTTTTGAGCCAGGCTGAGCCAGGAGAAGGAATTTCACAAGATAATGTCATCAGTTAAGGCAGGGACAGGCCATTTTCATTTCTTTTGTGGTGGAATGTCATCAGTTAAGGCAGGTACAGGCCATTTTCATTTCTTTTGTGGTGGAATGCCATCAGTTAAGGCAGGAACCGGCCATCTGGATGTGTACGTGCAGGTCACAGGGGATATGATGGCTTAGCTTAAGCTCAGAGGCCTGAAACCCGTCTTCCTTTGATTTTCATTTTCTTCTCATTTTTGAAGATTATAGGTCAGTTATTTTATGGAATGTCCCCCAGTTTGGAACTGTGTGATGTATTCTTATGATTAGATCCTGGATAGATTTTTAGCTGGAATATCACAGAGCTTGTGCTCTTTAACTCCTCTTGGGAAACACATGAGGCCTGTTTCCCCATTACTGAGTGCTATTTACATTTATCATTTGATTTGGATAGTGTCTGCCAGGTTTTTCTACTGTGAGTTAGTTTTTGAAAAATGTGGATGAATAAATATTTTGGAGTAGATACTTTGAGACCATGTAAAATTATGTTCATCCTTCCCTGTTCCTACTAGTTATAACATCCATTGATGTTTCCTGCTTGAAATAATATTACTATAATCGTTGCCAAAAGATGTTATTCAATGCCATTATTTCCTTTCTATTTATCATTATTTTTATTAGCTAGCTCTCTGTTATAAGGAACAGTTTTCTCCTTATGTGTTTTTTTTCTTTATTTGTATCACTGTTGACTCATAAATTTCTATTATGTGAATAATCCTATTATTCTGTGAGCTATAATCCACTGGTTGCAGAATTGGGTTATAGTCCATGGGTTATAATCCAGTGGGTTATATATGTCTCCATTATTCTTTGAGCATTTCCTTACCTTCTGGTGCCATCAGATACTTCAGGCTCCTCTTGCAGTACAACAATTGTCCATTTTTCCAAGGAGCTCTGGCACATTTAGAGTGACGTTTGGAAACCAAGATTTGTGCCAACAGAAAGTCACTGCTCACTTGACTTTCTAGTGAAAAGATTTAAGATATATATGCAAATATATCCTTTTAAACATATATACAAATATGTGCACATTTATAAGTATACTTACTTTATATTGCAAGAGAAAAAAATGTTTTTCCTTTACCCATCTTACACTCTCTGGCTGGGGCCTTATAAATTAGACCAACGAAAGACAGATTAACAAGAGAAATGCAAACAGAAGTTTATAAACACATGCATCACACATACACATGGGAGTGCTCAGAGATGAGTAACTCAAACGAGTGGTTAGAACTTTGGCTTATATATTTTCTAAACAGAAGAACAAAAAGGTCAGTTATACAATTGTCTGGGCCCTCTCTCCAGGGATTCTGGGTAAGGTCCAGCCTCTGTATTTTTAAAATCTCCCTGGGTCCTTCTAATATGCAGCCATGGTTTAGAATCAGTGAAGTAGTGCTGGCTTCTTCATTTGTAGAAATAGACACTAAGAACCAGAGAGGACTCAGGTGTTGATTGTTGGCCCTGCTTTCTTTCCACTACATCTATGTTTTTCTTTTAGTCTACAAGATAATGAATGGGAAAACCTGAGAACAACTTTCACTAGTTTTTAAGGCCTTCTTGTTTTCCCTCACATTGGTAGACAGTTGGATTCGTGATGAGTACATTTACTCTTTTTCTGATTTCTTCTGCTCTAAGCAGTGTGTCAATGTTTTTACTTAATAGTTCCCTTCCTCCCCTTCTCCCAATCTCTGAAGATAAGCAGAGGGATGTAAAGAGCCAAATATTTGTTGGGCATTTTCATTAATCCTAGAAGGTCTGCCCAACCCTTTCCATTCAGATATCGGCATTGGAGTGAAAAGAGACCTGGAATGGAAAACGGATGAGTAAAAAAGAAATGGAACAAGATATGAGGTCAGTTCTGCAGCAGAGCTAGGGAACAACAAGATTCCATTCCTTTTGCCTCATCACCAATGTGCTTAGAAGGTAGCAAAACCCTCTTAATCCCCAGATATGTGGGAGGAGGGAAATGTTTGTCTGAAGCAAAGGGGAGCAGTAGAAATCATTTAAGAAGCTCAAATGCCTGATAAAGTTTGTAATGATAGGGACCAAGCTATGTATTTTCTGAGACACTGGATATCTAAAGTGTTATTTATTTATTTATTAACAAAAATGTTGTGCTAGTCAAACAAAATGTTAAAGACCAGATTTGGCACAGTGCTGCCTGCCTGTGATCTCCTTACCTAGTTACTGTTCTATTTTCTTAATTTTCTTGAGTTTAGATTATAGTGAAACTAAGTTCCTTTGAATACTTTTATTTCTCAATGCTAGAAGGATTTCCACAGGTTTTTTAGATCATAAAGCCCAGCGTTCCGAAGCTAGATCAGGTCTGAGAGATGATAGCTAAAAATATTATTTTTTATCCATAAGGAAGTTGTTGCCCAGAGAGATTAAGTGATGTGTACAAGATTGAACAACCTGGTGAAAGAGCAGCCAATTCCGGGTCCAGGGGACTGGAATCCCAGTCCGGCATGATTGCTCCCACGCCATGCTGACTATGCACTTTATGGAAAAAGCTTTATTGCATTAATTCTCTAAATGATCATTGCTTAACTGGAACTATGCCTGCTTTTACTTTAATTGAGATTTTATTTTCGCCTGCCTGGAGCAGGGAGAGCATTACGGTATTTTAAATGAGAACCAAGGAATTTCCTGCACTTCAAATATTAGCAGTTACATTCTGCTAAAGACACGTGTGGACTATCTATTAGAAGCATGTCGTAAGTAAACCGGAAACAATTCATGTTAATTGTTATAAGCGTATTATCCATCAAAATGTAAATTTCCCAAAGTAGGCTTTATGTGGATCATAATTTCCTTTATTACAAAATGGACTTGAAAACTCTGGCTGGCTGCTGGTCCTTATGTAAAACCTCCATTTCCTGTGGCGCCTCCAATTTATTTTTTCACAGCTTTAACGGCTTTCACACTGTGATTTTCTATATCTGTTGCAAATGTTCAACAATTTACAGAGAAAATTTTAGTCCATAGCTTTCTGCTTTTAGCTTTTCATGTATAAAGATTAAAGAATGAATGTGCAATCAGCAGATATATAGAAAACATCTCCTGCTAGAATAAAATAGATGGTTCATCTTCTGAAACCCCAGTGGAATTTATAATATCTACCTACAGCCCTTCCTCTCTTTTATATTGCGCCTTCTGATAAATAGGCTCCCAGAAGAGACAATTTGGGAAGCTAGAAAATACTTTTTTTTTTCTTTTTCTTTTTTTTTGAGAAGGAGTTTTTGCTCTTGTCACCCAGTTTGGAGTGCAGTGGCATGATCTCGGCTCATTGCAATCTCCACCTCCCAAGTTCAAGCAATTCTCCTCTCTCAGGCTCCCGAGTAGCTGGTACTACAGGTGCGTGCCACCACGCCCACCTAATTTTTGTATATTCAGTAGAGACAGGGTTTCACCATTTTGGCCAGGCTGGTCTTGAACTCCTGACCTCATGATTCATCTGCCTAGGCCTCCCAAAGTGCTGGGATGACAGGCATGAACCACCATGCCTGGCCTTTATTTTTCTTTATAGCACGGCATGGCATTGTCCAGGCCTTTCAGGTGGGGGAACCATCGGAAACAGGGAGGTGGAAGGAGATCGAGGGGTGGTAGTGACTGACAAATCAAAAGAAACTTTATGCTGCCTAATGTGAACCTTAAAGGTTAATGCACTTTTGGAAAACAGCACAGAATTTGAGATTACACCTAGAATATTGATTATCAGTGGTTGCTACCTCAGGACTTAAAAACGTGGTAATGCAGTGAGCCCCATAATGGTACATTTAGTTAGAGGTGACGGGCTGGTTCTTGATATTGTATATGGTGGTAGCGTGTGTGCATGCATGCGTGTGTGTGTGTGCATGTGTTTCTGTGTGCATGTGTGAAGAAGAGAGACATTTGCATTTCTTTAGAAAAAAAGCTAGCATTTGTAAAAATGGGTTTCATCAAGGTTGAATCTACAAAAGCACAACTAGAACAGAAAGGAGGGTGGATCCAGTCTGTCCAGTTTGCTCTGACTTGTCTACAGGAGGGACCATGGGTACTTCTCAGGCTATAGAAGCATCACTCACGTTAGATCTCAAATCCAATCTCTCTGCCCCCGACCCACCTGACCTAAGGCTCTTTGAGAATCAAAAACTGCCATTTCAGAAATGCATTAATATAAAAGTTCTTATTTCCATTTTTATCTTGCACCATTTTTATTTTTGGGGGACCTGATGGAAATATATGGGCTGCTCTGGGAGGTCTAACCCAGTTGCTGTAACCCGGAATGTGCATTTGAAGGCACATATTCATGACTGGGTTCTTAATGTGACTGGATACGCACAGCGCATTGGGTGCAGCACATGTGAGGACTGAAACAGGAGTGTCAGGTGCTGAATTGTGTCACTCCCTCCCTCATTCATATATTGAAGCCCTAACTCCAGTACTTCAGAATGTGACTGATATGGATATAGAGCCTTTAAAGAGGTGATTAAGGTAGCGTGAGAGCATATTGGTGGGCCCTAATCCAATCTGACTTGGGTCCTTATAAGAAGAGGAGGTTAGGACACAGACAGACACAAAGGAAGGAGATTAGGACACACCCAAAAAAAAGGACTATGTGAAGACACAGGGAGAAGATGGCCATCTATTACTACAATGAAGAACAGAGGTCTCAGAAGGAACCAACTCTTGTTCCTTGCTGACACTCTGATCTTGGACCTCCAGCCTTCACAACTGTGGGAAAATAAATTTCTGTTGTTTATGCTACCCAGTCTGTGGTATATTGCTATGGCAGTCTGAGCAGATGAACGTAAGGAATTTCAAGGATACATTAGCTTGATTTTAAATCATGTATTTTACATGGGGTTTGACTTTCTGCTAGGATTCTCATATCCAACTCCTCTGTTAGTACCTACTGTCATTATAATTCTAAAGACTATTGATATGTTTTGGATCTGTGTACCCACCCAAATCTCATGTCAAATTTTAATCCCCAGTGTTGGAGGTGGTGCCTGATGGGAGGTGATTGTATCATGGGGGTGGATTTCCCTCTTGGTGCTTTTCTTGTGAAAGTGAGTTCTCAAGAGATCTGGTCACTTAAAAGTGTGTGGCGCCTCTCCCTTCTCTCTCTCTTGCTCCTGCTCCTGCCATGTGAAATGCCTCACTCCCCCTTCACCTTCTGCCATGGTTGTAAGCTCCCCTAGGACTCCCCAGAAGTGAATGTGGCCATGCCTCCTCTGCAACCTGCAGAACTGTGAGCCAATGAAACCTCATTTCTTTATAAATTACTAATCTCAGGTATTTCTTTATAGCAATGCGAGCACAGACTAATACAACCATTTTCATTTTTTTTTTTTTGCCTAGAATATGATTGTAATTATCGCTAACATGTTTTCCTATTCAGTTGATCACTCCACTGATACAGACTTCCTAAAAAATACAGCTGTTGCCTACTCAAACACCTTAATATTTCCCCATCACCTCTGGAATGAAATCTAAGCTGTGTAAAGAGCCCTCCAGGCTCAGGCTGGCCATCATCTGGTCTCACCTAGCCTGCCTGCCCACCTGCCTGCAATTCCCCCTGACCCCCATGCATCTGTCAATCTATGTAGTTCCTCAGTAATCCTTCCACTTCCATGTCTGTGGTCTTTTGCTGGTGATATTCTCTCAGCCTGGAGGGCCTCATCACTATCTGTCAACATTCTACTCTTCTTCAAATGTCACACATTCCTTCATGCCTTTCCCTACTCTCCCAAGTCAGAATGAATCCTTCCCTGTTTCACACTCCCATAGTACTTACTGTATTCTGCTTTTACTTGGATGAGAAAATACTTGTCTCCCCAAGAAGATTATAAAGTACTCAGAGGCAGGCTTCGTGTTAGTAATGTTTGTAAACCCAGTGCCAAGTAGAGGTTGGGCTCAATATAGGTTTGTTGTAGTTCTGTGGAGTGATGCCAGAATCACATTGTAGAGTCATCCTTGTTTAAAAACGGCTGCCCTGCTAGCCTGCCACAATCTGGCTCTTGCCTTCTGCATCATCTTGAATCTTCTCTTGGTGACCTTCCTATGATGTAAAAGAGGAGATACTATCGCTAGCAGTTCTTTGTACATTACAAGCGTTGAGCCAAAATTGTGGGAGGCCATTGTTTTGGGCTGAGCTCCTGTACTAGGCCCCAGCAGAGCAGACCAAATAAAAATGGAGTCATTCATGGTAAATGCCACATAACCAAACTGAAACTTTAAGGAAGCAGGTAAATCCCAAAATAGAACAGGTTTTTTGTTTGTTTGTTTTTTGTTTTTTTCTGAAAACAGGAGATTCCTGTCTTCCCAAGTCAGCATAATAAAGAAGTCCCCTCTGCTTTAGCCCTTCCTAAAAAGTAAACTGAAGTAGCCTGATGTTAACCCATCATCAGTTTTTTTTTGTTGTTGTTGTTTCTTTTTTTTAGAGACAGGGTCTCTGTTGCCCAGTCTGGAGTGCAGTGGCACAGTCATGGCTCATTGCAGCCTCAACCTCTTGGGCTCGAGTGATCCTCGCAACTCAGCCTCCCAAGTAGCTAGGACTTACAGGTATATGTAACCATACCCAGCTAATTTTTTTAATTTTTATTTTTGTAGAGACAGGATTTTGTCCAGGCTTGTCTCAGACTCCAGGCCTCAAGCGATCCTCTTGCCTCAGCCTCAGCCTCCCAAAGTGCTAGGATTACAGGAGTGAGCCACTGCACCTGGCCCAGTTTTTTTTTTTTTTTCCTATTGTTTGATTTCCTTGTTCTCACCTTGCAAAACCCACTGTTCTGCTATTACCCATGGAATGCTGTCATTTAATTTTGTAGAATGGAAGTGGTTCCAATTCATCAATCATGAGTAAAAGTCAATTTGATCTATAGCTAAATTTATTCTAATTTTGTCTTGACACAGGGAGGAGTTTTTGGCATGAATCCACAACTCTGGGTCAGTTGATCACCAAGAAAGCACTGTGAACATAGCCCTTGGCACACATACATAGGGCAGGTTAGTGAACAGATTAGTGAAAGTGTTAGGGTGGTTGGTGGGGAGGAAGGGGTGAGGAGACAGTCATGTCCTAAGAGCAACAGCAATAATAATAATTGCAACTTTTTAAAAACTATGTATTTATTCTTTGCCATGCACTATTCTAAGCATTTTGCATATGCTAATCTATTTTGTTCTCATGCCAACCCTATGAGAACAAGGCCAGGCACAAGTGGCTGATGGACATTGGCAGCTTACCTTGGGGCTTGGGCCCAGGGCAGATGGACCATAGTGGGAAGCCACTAGTTCAGGGATGAGAGAAAACTTAGCAGCAATGAAATAGAAACGATTGCTGGGGAAGGCAGAGAAGGATTTGGGAAAAATTTCTCACTGTCTTATGAACCACACCTCCTCCACCCCTCCCATATACTGCCCCATGCTTATGAGTATGGATCATTATGTAAGAAAATAAAATAGTGAACTATCGGTATTATAAACATATCATTATGTTTATTATTATTATAATAAACATATATATGTGTGTATGTGCATATATATATATTTGACATGAGAATGTGTGTTTATTCCTATAAACCAATTAGAAAGATGTAGCGATCATATTAGTTAAAACTGTTCTGAGGCTGACATTTAAGTTTTGGGTGCTACAGCAGCACCCAGGGAACAATGACCTATACCCTTGCCACTCATATGGCACAAAGATCAGTAGCATTGCCATCTCCGCAAACTTCATTAGAAATGCAGAATCTTGGGCCCTACCTCAGAACTACAGAATAAGAATCTGCAGTTTAACAAGAACTCCAAATGGTGCAGATTAAAAATGTGAGAATCACTAATGTATAGTGCCAAGTGAGAAACATCGGTCAAGAGAAGGATCTCGGCTTATGGATAAGACGGGAGATGGTTTTACAGTGAGTTGGTGAATCAAAGACCCATCTAAGGTAGAGGGCTCTAGCACTGGGATCCATCATTTAAGCTTCTGTCTATCTCTACCAAGTATCTGCAAGATGGGGCATGTTAACAGAAGCTTCCTTCTAGGAGTTTTTTGAATGATGCCTCAAACATCTATTCATCTTCCCACGGGATCAGAGCTGCAGGGACTTGAATTTATATATTCGTCTTCTCAACCCAGCTCTGTTCTCTGCGTATAAAAATGGAAGGAGAGAGGAAGAATGATGAGGGAGAAGCTTAGAGAGCCATGGTGAAGATTTTTCTTAGATCATTTTATTATTGACTGATCCCAGAGTAAAAATAAACTCCTAGGAGGAAAATAAAGAAAGCTTTTGGTTAATGAATTGCAGTTCTTTTTAACATTTAAGATACTGAGGTCTGGAAAAATGGCAGCAGACACTATACTTTAGTAACATCATTGTCATTTTTACTATCTTTTCTTCTTCTTCTTCTTTTTTTTTTTTTTTTTTTTTTTTTTTTTTGAGACTGAGTCTCGCTATGTCGCCCAGGCTGGAGTGCAATGGTGCGATCTCGGCTCACTGCAACCTCCGCCACCCGGGTTCAAGCTATTCTCCTGCCTCAGCCTCCAGAGTAGCTGGGATCACAGGTGCATGCCACTGCTCCCGGCTAATTTTTGTTTTAGTAGAGACGGGGTTTCACCATCTTGGCCAGGCTAGTCTTGAACTCCAGACCTTGTGATCCACCTGCCTCAGCCTCCCAGAGTGCTGGGGATTATAGTCGTGAGCCACTGCGCCTGGCCTATCTTTTCAAAAGAATCTATTTGGCACCCATTGCTTTACCTGTGTGACTTCTCATTCTTACAATAACTCTATAAGAACATGTTGTCATGTCTTTATGTCTGATGTAAAAGCTGAGGTTCAAGGGATACACATTAGCGCCAGCATTGAGATTTTATACAGGGCTGACTTCAAAACCTGTAGTATTTATCCTAAGCTGTGGTTCAGCTGACCCATAATTCTTTCTCCTTTCTTTTATTTTGCCCTGTTGAACATTCACTGAGGGATCACTTCTTCTGAGACCTCAGTTTTTTCATCTGTATATTCAACGAGTTGGAATAGATGCTCTTTGAGATACTCTCAAGTTTGGTGTTTCTAAAATTTACTAAAAAGACAACCCCATACAAGCAAGGGCACAGAGCAAGGGCTTTGGTCCACAGAGTAGGGGAGGGTAGAGGTGAAATGAAAAGGAGAAAAAGCTTCAGAGACAAAGGTGCAGAGCAAAAACGAAGGGGGTGCCTATGCTGAGATGGACACTTGCTCTATTCCTCTAGTGACTTAAAATGTTGAAAATTGGTATACATAAAAATGTGTTAATATGGTATTTTCTGACGACGGAAGAGAGATGAGATGGTGAGAGCCAGGTGTGGAAAGTGGAGATGTGCCCATAGTGGATATCTTGCACATCACAATTTTGCTCCCAATTAGCAGTACAATCCTCTGTGTTAGTCTGTTTTCACACTGCTATAAAGCAATGCCTGAGACTGGATAATTTAATAAGGAAAGAGGTTTAATTGACTCACAGTTCCAAATATTTGGGGAGGTCCAATGAAACTTACAATCATGGCAGAAGATGAAAGGAAAGCAGGCACCTTCTTCACAAGGCAGCAGGAGAGAGAAGTGCAAGTAGGGGAAATGCCAGATGCTTATAAAACTATCAGATCTGGTGAGAACTCACTATCACGAGAACAGCATGGGGGAAACTGCCCCCATGATCCAATCACCTCCCTCCCTCAACATGTGAGGATTACATGTTCCTCCCTTGACATGTGGGGATTACAATTTGAGATGAGATTTGGGTGGGGACACAGAGCCAAACCATATCATCCTCCTTCTTCAGCATCACTACAAAACATCAAGGACAATTCTTTTGCAGAACACCATCAATAAATATTGCTAATTAAATCTTTTTTTTCCAAAGCAAAGACTTTTAACAACCATGGTGATAAGGGTGTGTGAAAAAAACAAGCAATATTTCAAGATATCACTATAGTGTATCTTTATATTTAAAAGGCTGAGTTGAGAAACTAGACATAGGGTTTTCTTTTTTTTTCTGAGACAGAGTCTTGCTCTGTTGCGCAGGCTGTGTGGAGTATGGTGGTGTGATTTCAGCTCACTGCAACCTCTGCCTGCCAGGTTCAAGCAATTCTCCCGCCTCAGTCTCCTGAGTAGCTGGGGCTACAGGTACATGGCAGTATGCCCGGCTAATTTTTAAGTAGAGAAGGGGCTTCACTGTGTTATCCAGGATGATCTTGATCTCCTGATCTCGTGATCCACCCGCCTTGTCCTCCCCAAGTGCTGAGATTACAGGTATGAGCCACTGCATCTGGCTGACATAGGGTTTTCGAAACATAAACAAGGTTGGGCTGGTGGGTCACACCTGTAATCCCAGCACTTTAGAAGGCCAAGGCAGGAGAATCACCTGAGCCTAGGAGTTTGAGACCATCCTGGGCAACATGGAGAGACCCCATCGCTACAAACATTACAAAAATTAGCCAGGCATAGTGGTACACACCTGTAGTCCCAGCTACTTGGAAGGCTGAGGTGGGAGGATTGCTTAAGCCTGGGAGGTGGAGGCTGCAGTGAGCTGTGATTGTGCCACTGCTCTCCAGCTTGGGTGACAGAGCGTGAGACCCTGTCTCAAAAAAAAAAAAAAAAAAAAAAAACCCAAAAAGAAACAAGCAAAAACAACAATAAAAAACATAAACAAGGCTGAATTTGGAGATTGTGGGAAAAAGGAAGAAACAAACAGTGCAAATAATACGTAAGAATGTATATCAATGCCTTCTAATAATATAGGGTCCTATAAAGCCTTTGGTTCTCCATACCAAACACTAAGAGTACGTAAGCCCAATGTATTATGTTAGCAGATATGTAAAATAAAGCCTATATGGATCTGATAAAAGTTGTTGCCTTCTTTTCTAATGAGAAGCCAGAGTACAATTAATGAAAGCTATGTAAATGTGCTCCAGGTTGTTCAGATTACAAAGAGAGTTCAGAACAGAGGATAAAGAATCTGAATAGGCTCCACAATCAATTACGGAGAAGGTCCTCCTATCTCGGACAGGCACACACATTTTGATATCTCATCAGGGAACCAATTGCATCCAGGCATCTTTTGGAAGAAAGATGTAGGAACATGCTCCCTCCTATTTGGGGAATGATACAAGGGGGCTATTTTTGAATGATTAATTAAAGGGAATCAATCTTCATTGCTTTGCTACTGATGTGAAAAGCGCCATGCCTGTGCAATAATCGCATGCAATTATTCAACTACCCCTTTGGCAAGGACAACGTAATTAGTCCTGGTGGTGTCGAGAGATTCTCTTTATTCCCAACAAATTGGCAGTTTTAATCAAGTGTTGCTGGAAATTTATCATAACACGGGGAAAACAATAGGTGAAGGTACAGGGCCCCAAGCTGTGTGACTCCTATCTACAATGGTACAAATTTACAATGCTAACAACATGATAAATACTACCAATCTGTGAATGGTTGATTATAATTTCATATCAGCACCAAGCCTTGGCAGTTCTTATTTGTTTAGAAACATGCCTGTAACCCTTTTTGTGCTGCGTTGCATTGGTTTGCTGGGGAAGTTGAGGTGAGCCCTGGGTGCTGGTGGCCTGGAACTCGGAAGGCTTAAAAGCATGGGGAACAAGGGAAATATCCAGAAATGCTAAACGACTCAAACTGTAGGAGTCTGGGAGCCACTGATAGCAACAGAGATAAGGCAAAAAGCAAGCTTGCCATGTCCTATTTTGTGTTTTACTCAGAAGAGACTTCTGCTGGGTGATTTTCTGAGTATCCAAAGACAGGCTCTCTCCACCCTCACTTTTCCTTTTTCATGTATTTTCATGCCTCCTAAAATGTTTGCTTAAAAATAATAGCAAATATTAAGCAAATTGCTTAGCACAACATGTCAGGTGTTATACCAAACAATTTCCTTGTGTTGTCTCATTTAGCCCTTTATAATACTTTATGTAAGGGAAATACTATTTTTTTAATCATTCCTGATTTGCACATGAAGAAATTGAGGCTTGGAAAATGTAGAGCAGCAGAGTAGGGGTCACAAACCTGGGTTGGGGGGACCTCATTCTAGGTCTGCAAGCTTCACCACTGTCCTGTGACACCTCCTGGGCATCTGGTGTGGCTGACTTGTTCTGTACTCTCTTAGGCTAATATGCTCATTATTCTTAAAGGCTTGGCAATAAGAAGGTGCACTTTGTGTGCTTCAACTTGCCTACATTATGTCTGCCTCCTTTCTGCAAGAAGAAATTATCTCTGTTACCTTCAGGGGTTTGTATATTTTATGGTGTGTTTTCATAACTAGCATGTATATATTTGTGTGTTTGTATGTGGGGGGAGGGACAGGTAGGAAGTGCAGAGGGTAGGTATATAGAAAGCCAGAATTTCTCAAACTGAGCTCACTATAAGAATCACCTAGGGTCCTTGTTTAAAATCCTGGATCCCACTTCTGATCTATCAAGTCACAGTCCCTAGGAACAAATCTGCAAATCTGTTAAGAGAGTGCTACAGGTAGATCCTATGATTGTGCTCTAAGGAAAAATATATCAGAGTCTGTTTTCCCAAGAGTTAGTTCTAGGGATATTAAACATTATGTGGCAAAACATTCCCCCTGGCCAAGTGATTTGGGAAAACATAGGTTAAATGGTATTTAACAAGTCTCTTCTAGGAGACTTATATTGAATGCACAGTGAGAATTTCAAGAGAAAACTGTGGTATTCAAATGTTTCCCTAACTGGGCCAAGTGTGGTGGCTCATGCCTGCAATCCCAGCACTTTGGGAGGCCATGGAAGGAGGATCTCTTGAGCCCAGGAGTTTGAGACCAGCCTGGGCAACATAGTAAAACCCTGTCTCTACCAAAAAAAAAAAAAATAGAAAAATTAACCAGGCATGGTGGCATGCACCTGTTGTCCCAGGTACTCGAGAGGCTGAGGCAAGAGGATCACTTGAGTCCCTGTGGGCAGGGGGTATCAAGCCATGATCAGGTCACTGCACTATAGCCTGGGTGACAACATGAGACCTTGTCTCTAAAAAAAATAAAATAAATTTAAAAAATAAAACAGACAAAAAACCCAAATGTTTTGCTAATTACTTTGGCCACGGAGCACTCTCTTCAAGGAACATATCCTGGGTCTAGGGATTTGCAGAACCTACCTTGGGGGATCCAGTTTCAAAAGATGCTTAATGAAAATAAGAATCACCAAGAAAACTTCAACTGCCAGCTTGAATAGTTATGGAATCATTTGGAGGCATAATCACCAGTATCTCTTCCCTAAAGGCATTTAAGGCAATTTCTAGAAAACATTTTATAAGGGAGCAGTGTTCTAGTTATTCAGGTATTAGAGGATGTGGTGAATCTACTTATTTCAGGTAAGCTGGAGAAATGTATTCTCTATCTGATGTGAGATGTTAACAGCATCTCTTTAGAGTGATGTTGGAATGGTCCTCATGAAACAAAAACATGATCCAATTTTTCTTTTTTCTATTTCTGCTGTCATAGTAGCAGCATAGGCTAAGGGAAGAAAAGTGGTTATTTAAAGGCTGTTTTGGCATTGAGAAGGAGTCTGGGATCCTAGGCTGTAAAGGGTTGGAAAGCATATCTCATAAATCAAAGGATGTTAGCCCAAATCCCATTGCTTAAAGGTGAGCCTTCTTCCAAACAAAATCTAAAAGCTTGGAGAAGTCATGATCAGCACAGTTAACACCAAAGCAGCTGATTTCTGGCCTTTGTAAAATGCAGTGTAGTTAAAGCAGGTTTCAGGAAGGAACACATCAAGAACTAACTCTCAAACCTGGCAAAGCTCATTTGTGGACAAGGCCTTGTCAGTGGCTGCCCTGATCTCACTTTCGCTCCTTTGTTCTACTTGTTGCAAGAAGGAACATCTGGCTCAGGGCCTGGAAAGCAGACTACATCCTCCATTGCACCTGCCCCAGGAGGAAAAAGAGAAATGCTTTACTGACAAAAGGTAGGATTTTCAGAGCTGCATTCCTGCCCATTAAAGCAGCTTGTTTGATCCCTTCAAAGCTCAAGATCAAAGGGAGGCTTTTCCGGACCTGCCAACCCATAAAGCTACAGGCAGAGAGAAGGACCTCTTTGTTTTTACAAAGCCAGGTGGACTTGCCATTTCAGTTCCCAGCCAGAGGAGGGGCTGTGGGCAGCTTGTAGGGTTTTCTCACATCTGGCTGGTGCCATTTGGATGCTGGACTTTCCCAGGAAAGCAGGAGCTACTCCAGCAAGATCCTGGCAAGTCAGAACCAGCACTTGGCAAAGAAACATGTAACACCTCCTCTCTCTCTTCGCCTCCACCTGGAGGCCAGATCACCAGCATTCATTTTATTTCCTAATCCCCAAGGCGTAACTACACGTTTCTGGGCCGAGAAAGCTCCCGACACCTTTCCTCCCCCATAATTTACTGAACGCAATCATGAGAAAACAATACTCTAGTTTTAAGTGTACTTAAAAATCGTCACTTTATGTGGTGCTTGCTGGCTTTGAGTATAATGGAATGCATGAACCAGGGAAATGAATTTGGACCCACTTCCCTGAGAAAGTGTGATGAGAGGCTTCTGAGCCCCCTCAGCCTGTCACCACCTCCCTGCCAGTAGCAGAGTCCTCTTGGCCCCAGGCCAGTGCCACATGCTGGCCCTGGCCACGGCTCAAGGAATGACGGGATGTAGTTTTTTTTCTGGTAAAGAGGCAGCCAGATTGTGACTTCCCCTGGCAAGGGCTTCACAGTGCTATAAGAGATTTTTGCTTTAAAAATAATGACAACCTCCTCCCACATACAAACATTTATAAGCATATCTAGCAAAAACCTTCCAGCCATTGGAAGAGGCACAGGATTGTGTAGAAAGTCAACACGAACCTGCATTAACAATGGACCCATCTTAAGCATAGAACCCACAGTAAGAGATACAGATGGAGGAGTTCAAAACAATTATGAAGCTGCAAAGGAGGGGAGAGAGGAGAGAAGCAATACTCCCTTGATAGTGGAAAATAAGGACAGAAACCAGATAAGACAAAGGCCAAGGGAATCGGATAAAGAACACCAATTTCTGTAGGAATAGTTGGCCAGGGTGCAATAGCCCAAGCCTGCTGTTAACTGCAGGAATTCATTGTGCCTTGGGTCAAATTTTTCCCTTAAGAAAGATTTTTCATGAAAGCAAAAATGGGTGGAGTCATGGGACTCTATGCACAGAAGTTTGCTGAATCATGATTTATTTTTTAAGCTATACCTTTTTTCCAGGTTCTGTATATAAGGCCAGTTGAAGGAAGGGGTGAGCTGATCTCAAGGCCAAGGTAGTATCAAAAGGGCCGTGCTGTTTTTTTTAACTCAGAGAATTCTGAATGGATTTATTTGGCAGAGAAAAGAAAGGCTACACTCACCAAGAGGGTTAGCTGAGGTTGGAGACACAGAAGTGGCATCATTCATTAATGTGGAGGGGGGCTGGACCAGGTGCAGTGGCTCATGCCTGTAATCCCAGCACTATGGGAGACAGAGGAGGGCAGATCACCTGAGGTCGGGAGTTCAAGACCAGCCTGACCAACATGGAGAAACCCCATATCTACTAAAAAAAACACAAAATTAGCTGGGCATGGTGGCACATGTCTGTAATCCCAGCTACTTGGGAGGCTGAGGCAGGAGAACCCAGGAGGTGGAGGTTGCGGTGAGCTGAGATCGCACCATTGCTCTCCAGCCTGGGCAACAAGAGTAAAACTCCATCTCAAAAAAAAAAAAAAGAAAAATGTGGAGGGGACAGGTAGGAGCCTGAGTAGTGAACAGGGACACAGCTGTGAGAAGCGAATGGTGGGGAGCCAAGAAGGGGGTAGGGGGAGCCAGTCAGTTCCCGTGCATCTCTGTGGGCAGAGTGCTGATCTGTAGCAGCAGCAGGTCAAATGGTTTGGATATCACTGAGTCACTGTCTTTTTTAATGCTCTGCCTCATGGTTGTTCTGCTCCTGTTTCCCCAGCTGGACTTATGTTAAAGTGGTGAGAGTGGATGTGGTGGTTAGACTGTATCATCCCAAGTCTGTGTCGTGTTGGGGCTGTGAGGGCAGGGCAGAAAGGTCCCTTTCCTCTCCAACACAAGGGTCATGGCTGACATCCCTGTAACAATGACAGGTTAACAAGAGAAAAGCATAATACATTTATTTAATCATAGTTTCACAGGACATGGGAGCTTCAAAGACCCAGGATGAAGTATTCATTTTTATGCTTAGGTTTAATAAATCGTGAACAGCCATGTAGTAATATGATTGTACAAAAAAGGTAGATCTAATGGTAATAGAAGGTGGGAGCAGCAAGACCTGTCTGTTCAGGTGGGGTGCAGTGGCTCACACCCGTAATCCCAACACTTCGGGAGACTGAGGCAGGAGCATCATTTGAGCCCAGGAGTTCAAGACAGCTTGGGCAACATACTGAGATCCCGTTTCTATTTTATAAAATATATATATATTTAAAAATATTTTTTAAAAAGACTTGTCTGTTCAGATTCTTCTTGGCCTCTCTGTGCAGTGATCCTTTCTTCTAGCTATGGGGCAGGACCCTTTCTGGAATGGGTCTTTTATGACCTATAATCAAATATGGTAGGTCAGAGAATTTCTTTATGGCCAGTTCTTACATAGAAAGAGTAATCTTTTTCATTCTTATGACTGGCTTTGGGGAAAAGGGGTTCTGGTTTTTATGACCCACCTTGGGGAAGAGGAATTCCAGTTTCTATAGCTTGCTTTAGGGGAGAATGAGACTGAGAGACAGGAGGGCAGAAGAAATTCAGAAAAAGATCTTTGCTTCTGAGGCTGCTTCTGTGGCCTTTACTTAGGGTTATCACTCTCTGAGCTCCAACAGAGCATAGAGAATGATACCCCAAAGTATGGTGCTTTGACGTGCTGAGCACTTCAAATGAAAAGAAGCTGGAAGGCATTAGAAGCTGCCTCAGAACCAAGGACTTTCTAACTCTCTCTTGTTTTTCCTCCTGCTAAGCACAGGGAGGGACTAAAATTTCATCTTACTAGGAAACATCTTTCCAAAAGAAATGCAATTGTTTAAAGACCCTCTCTCTAGGAATCTCATCAAATGACTAGGAAAGATTAACCACTGGGGAGGAAAAAAGACTACAGGAAAACCCCACACCTTGACAGAGTTTTCATCTCTTCTTCTGAGGGCAGCTCTGAGAAATTACCTGAGAGACTTTATCTGCGTAACAAATAACCTTTGTTCACAATGAAGTTCTGCCCCTCACCTTCTTGCCACCTATTCCAGAGCTCAGAGGAACATTGTCCCACGCCTTTCATTATCTGTTCTTTGGGCTTATTCTTTTCCCTTGAAAAATCTTTTACTACCCCTCACAATTTCCTACATCTTCCCTTTCTCTCTCCCCATTGAAGAGGATATGAAGCCCCTCAATCATCTGGCCCTTCTTTGAGTCTCATATTTTGTATGGCTCCTGTGCTTATTTATTTATTTATTTATTTATTTATTTATTTATTTATTTATTTATTTGAGATGGGGTCTCACTGTTGCCCAGGCTGGAATGCAGCTGCACAATTATATTAATAGCTCACTGCAGCCTCAAACTCCTGGGCTCAAGTGATCTTCCGTTTATTTATTTATTTATTAGAGACAGGATCTCACTGTTGCCCAGGCTGGAGTGCAGCTGCACAATTCTATTAATTGCTCACTGCAGCCTCAAACTCTTGGGCTCAAGTGATCCTCCTGCCTCAGCCTTTCCAGTAGCTGGGATGACAGGTGTGCACCATCATGCCCGTCTATTTTTTTGTTAATTTTCAAATTTTTTTTTGTAGAGACAGGGGTCTAGCTTTGTTGCCTAGATTGGTCTCAAACTCCTGGCTTCAAGCAATCTTCCTGCTCAACCTCCCACATGTCAACATGTTTGTATGCCTTTTCTTCTTCTGTTAATCTGCATGCTGTCCATTTATTTAGCAGACTCAAACACTCAAAGGGGGAGGAAGAATTCTTCCCTGCAGTAGTTTGCTCTACTGATGAGATGAAGGGGAAGAAGTAGTAAAGGTAAATATTGAGAAAATGAGACATAAACAAGGACTTTCACCAGCTTGGAGAGATCAAGCTGGAACACATAGAGGCCAAGTTCAGAGTTGGGCTATAAACCTAGCTCTTGAAGCTTGTGTTGGAGAATAGTGAGCCAAGCATCTTGCTTCACTGCGCTCCTGGCTTTATAAGAAAGCAGCAAGGGATTTCTCCAAAGTGAGAACTCCCTTGAGTCTCATTTTCTCTGTGTGTTGGAGGCAGTGCTTTATCAGGTTGTTGACTGCAGCTTAGACAGTCAGTGACAGATGTGTTTGCAATCACGTGGTTTTAGGAGAGGGCACAGATTTAGGAGATGTCTTCTCATGTCCCTGGTCCCAACACTTCTAATTCTTGGAGATATCCTATGTTCCCTAAAATATGCAGTCCCATCCCATAAAAAATAGCAAAAAAGATCCCTCCTCCTGCTTTTTAAAGACATGTGGACTGTTAGAATATTGAAGCTAAAAGGCACCTTAGTTTGTTTACTTTATCAACCTCCTATGAGGAAATTGAAACCCAGTGAAAATAATTGACTTGTTCAGACCTGAGGTGAGGCATGGTCAGTTAGAATTGTGGTAACAGGGAAACACTGAAACAAATGAGGTCGTTTTGATCCACATGGTCACTTGCCAAATTGGAAATTGGCCAGCCTTAAGGAACAGGCAAGGCTGTAAACTCAACAAAGTCAGGAGCCAGGTCTGTCAGCAGCATCATGGCATTGCCGTTTCTTAACCAAGTTCGTGACACATAGCGCAGACTCAAAATAAAACTTGCTTTTCATAATCTACATTTAATTCTTTAGCATATTATTTTGGCTCCACTTTCCAAATATATTCTCAACCCAACCACTTCTCACATTCTCAACTGACACCACCCTGGACTCAGCCAATGTGATCTCTTGCTTTGATTATTGGAATAATCTCTATATTAGTCTTGCTATACCTGATATTACCAGCTCCTCCATATAAACTATTCTTCCCAAAGCAAGCAGAATAATCCTTTAAAAAGGTAAGGTAGATTATGCCAATCTTCTGCTCAAAATTCTCCAGTGGCCTCCCTAACCCAATACACACACATCATTAACTTTAACTGTATTTCCTCCCAATCCTACCCTCTGCTCAGACACATGGACCCACTTGCTGTTCTTCCAACAAGCCAGGAATTCTGCAACCTCAGGATCTTGACAATTACTATTCTATCTGCCTGGCATGCTCTTGCCTCAGCTATCTACTTAGCTCACTGCAATGCCTTCCTCAGACTTTTGCTCAAATGCCATAATCTCAGTGATGCTTTTCCTGACCTTCCTATTTAAATCACACCCACCCACCCTACTGCTCCCATCTCTGTTCTCTGCTTTATTATTACCCAAGACACTTATGATCCTCTGATATCCTACATAACTTACTTGATTATTGTCAATCTCCCCTAAGTTGTAAACAACATGAAGTCACTTATTTTTGTCTGTTTTGCTGTATCGCCAGTGAATAGAAATGTACCCGGAACATAGTAGGCACTGGATTAATATTTGCTCAATAAAGGAATGGAAGAACAGATGCAGATCTTTTACACACACAATTAGCTTATAGTAAATTCATTGCCCTTTTTCTACTTAAGTAATACAATTATGATGCATTTGTCTTTCCTAAAATCATCCTTCATGAAAACCACAAGGTGACAACAATATGAGAGTCAAAGACCTCAGTTGTCATCATGGCTACACTATATTAGTTGTGTGAGCTCTCTGAGTCTTGGTTTTCATAAAAGTAAAATGGAAATGATAATATCTACTTTGCCAAACTCAGAGAGTTGCTGTAAGTATAAAATATTCTGTATGTAAAAGCATTTTGAAAACTATAAAGCACTTGTTGTATGTAAGTTATTACTATTTCCTATGAAATCTTCTTCCCTAAGGAAGTTGCCTTGCGCTTCAGGTAAGGTAATAATGCATTACTTAAGCAAGACAAGCCATCTTAACAAGTTGAATACTTTGTTAATTTTATAGGCCAGAAACAAGGGAGGTGATGGGGCCCTTTGAACACTATTTCACCATGAATTCTAAGCGGCAATTATCAATTCCTACAAGTTCTCTTGACCTACCCAGCATGGTGAAAATCCTGGTGATTCATTGGCAGAAATGAGTAGAAAATGGTCAGTGGTATTTGATACTCAATCCACAAATACTTATTGAATATTTACCAGCTCTATGCTAGATGCTGAGAAGAAAAATGCATTGCATAAGATTGTAAGCCCTTTCACCACGTGCTTAATCTAATAAGATACAGAATTCTAGCATACAGCCAGCAAATGTGTTTTATAGTCCTGAGTAGCTATGATTGTAATATCAACATTTCCAGCACTTCCCATTTCCTTAGTCTCATGTACTGCCATTCCTAGCTCCTATTTTATGGTTTAGCAATGCTTTCTCCTGTTTTCCTTTTCCTTTCCAATCTTTTTGCTTATTCTTTTTCTTCTGCTAAAACATGCTAATCCTTTAAGACTTGGTTCAGCTGTAAACTTTTTCAGTTCATTCCCGTTGCCTTACTCCATCAGTCTTGTTGAGTTAGATGCTGCTCTTCTCTGCTTCTCCAGCAGCATTTAGAATACAGTTCAAGTTGTGCTCCCAGTGAAATGCAAAGCATTTCCCTGGACTGTATGATCAGATCCTGGCCTCCTGCCGGGTCTTATTTTCCACTATGCTCCTCTGCAAACACTGGCCTTCTTCATGTTCTTCAGATTCTTCTAATGTGCCAAACTTAGGGCTTAGAGTCTTTGTGTTTGCTCTTTTCTCTGCCTAAACACAACAATTGTGTGTTAATTCAAATGTTATCTCCTCAAATATTTCTAGAATGGTTGATTGCATATCTGTGTCCGCACTGTCTAATAAGGCTAAAGAAATATTTGTTGAGCCAACCTGAAAAGATACTGTAATCTTTGAAAACCAGAGTCAAAATGGAAGAAACTATAGCCATTCTTCATGTGACTATTATTCACACGGCAGCTTCTGTACCATGTCAAGGTATTATATTTCTGAATATATATGATTTTGCTAATTAATTAACAACTCACAAGATCTTAGAAACTTTGTCTTTTGGTTTCAGAGATCATTCCAACTTCTTCATTTTATGAATCAGAAAACAAAGGTATTCCACTTACAGAATCCTGGGCCATTGTATCTTCATGATTTCCAAAGCAGAAGCTTGGATTCTCAGTTAAGAGAAAGATGGGATTCTGTGTATGTGGGTATGCCGAATCAGAGCAGGGAAGTAGAAATCATGGGTGCATGGATGAGCGTCAGGACTTATTGTGGAGTCTGTACCTAAATGTCAACTTTCCAGCCCTCTCTGTTTCTTATATTCCCATTATCCCTCATGTATTCCACAGTTTTTCACTGATAACACATATGAGAATGGGGTGGAGACTTGGCAAGAGGAGAGAGGTAATAAAACTTTTTAATGGCAACATTTTGGTGCTCAGACAATGTCCCTGACAGTTTGAGACTATGTCACATAGAAGGGCTGAAGACACCTATTAAACCTGAGTTGTCAATTTTGAGAGCCTCAGAGTCTTGTTACCATCTGTTGGTACCATCTCATTGTGAATGGCCATCCTAGTGTAGGAATAAAGGCAGAATGGAGTCTCCCAAAGTTTGAAAGTTTCAGTGATTATTGATTTGCTTGGACTCAGAGGCCAGGCAATATTCCAAGATCAAGCTTCTATTGGTGGTTACCTCAGGCTGTGAAAAGTGGAGACGTGCAGGTGCAGCTGGGAATGTTGAAAGCAGAGACTCACAGCTTTCTCTCAACAGCCCATTGCACACAATGATCTGCATCTAGCAACTACAGAGTCTTAATAACACTTTCATCAGATTCCAACAATCAAAGAATCATAGACTTTTCAGAATCATCTGATTCAACGTCTAATGTTAAACAGAAACCTGTCCAAAGGTGTGACAAAGGCGTGATCTATCCTATTGGCCAAAAGCAAATTGGATTCAAACCCAAAATCAATTTATATATTTTTCCATTTCTGACGAACACACTTATAATTATATATGAAGAGCAAGCTCTGAACAGCTGGGCAGAAACATTGAAGTTCTCAGTTTTCGTTTGAGTCCTGCTTAATAAATAATATAATAATTTGGCTGCTGCATTTTTCTCTCTGCATTGCTTTTAAACCTGACTTTAATCAACATATTGCATTATTTGAAAATATTGTGAAACCTTCAAAATTCCCATTGATAAATGTCACCAATATCAATGTAAAAGCATTCTGAAAATTACAAAGCACTTGAGGTTTAGTTTCCATTGTACATTTGACATATTATTATAATACTACAATTTCGTTCATTGAAAAAGGTGTATTTCATAGTAATGACTGTTGTAATTATGCTGTGCCATTGTAATCAGTATTTGGGAATCATGACCAGGTGGGATATCAAAAAAGAGAAGTAGAAAAAATACTGCATGATCTCCTGTGTGTGGAATCTAAAAACATCTAACTCATAGAAGCAGAGAGTAGAATGAGGGTTACCAGGGCTGGAGGAAGGAGGGGAGATGTCTTTCAGATAGACAGGAGGAATCAATGTTTGAGATCTATTGCACCTCATAGTGTCTATAGTTAATAATATGATGCATATTTCAAAATTACTAAGAGAGTAGATTTTTAAATGTTCACACGCCAAAATATTAGTATCTGAAGTGATAGCTATTTTAATTAGCTTGATTTAATCATTCCATAACGTGTACATACATCAAAACATCAAAAAAAAAAAAAAAAGTAGTGGGCTGGGCTAAAGCAAAGCTTTAGAGACTCAAATATCTGCATAGGACCCAGGTTGGCTAAGTACATAACGGAAGTTTGCAGGCTGGACTGAGGCTATGATGAACTGGTTTACCAGATCTCAAGGAGACAGCAACAACTCAGCTCCAAATGGTGCTCCAACCTCTACTCTAGGTAAAAACAAACAAACAAACAAACAAACAAACAAAAAACACAGAAACAGACACAGATGTATGGAATCTTGTCATTTTTAATGCACTATTTTTAGAGTAGCTTTAGGTTCATTGCAAAGTTGACCAGAAGACACAGAGATTTTTCCATATCCCCTGCCCTCCCCTCCCGCGCTCACAGCTTCCCCCATTATCAGCATTCCCCACCAGAATCTCATTATTATTAAAGTTTATGATGAATACGAACTAAAAAATAATAATTTTATGTGTCCAATGAAACATATCTGAGATTACGTGTAGCCTGTGGATTGACTCTTCGTGACCTTCAGATAAGAGGCAACTTACAACTTTTCTGAGATGTAAAATGTCATGAACCCAAAACAGGGTCTCCATCTTTCAAGAGCCATAATGCTTACTCTCTCAGCAGACAATGACATAAAATCCAAAAAAGAGTATTTATCCGCAGAGAAAAGCCCTGGCTGTTGCCATGGGTTGCTCCTTTGTTTCATCCTTCCAGTCCCATTTTGCCCCCCTGCCTGGGTCTGTGGTGCTTGCCCATAGCACAGGGTGGCCTCAGCAGATGTCTCACTGGGACAGGAGAGCCACGTGATCCAGGAGGAATTGTCAAGCTCAGCCTCCACTCTCCACACACTGAGTCTTTTCTTTTCAGAAGGGAAATAGGAGTGTCATGATTATTTATTTCCTGACAATTTTTGACAAGTTAGAACGCTTAAGCCATGATAACAATAAAAGTAGATGCGTCATTAATGAATAAGGTATTTTCTCAAACCTGGGTTATTTCCCAGTTTCATAAACAAAATTGATACCGTAAAGTTCTACAGTCAGCATTGTTTCATCATTAACACCACATTTCATGCAAATTGCCTATAATTATGTGTGGAGTTGAATTAATTAATGATATATGGAGAGGAAGCTCTGAACAGCCAGGCAGAAACTTGGAAGTTCTGGTTGTGTCCTGCTTCCTAAATAATATCATAATTCAGCTGATACCATGTTCTCCCTTCCCAGATTGCCCCTTAAACTGCATTGCCTACAACCCCCACAGAACAAACTATGTGGATCCTTTTGAGTGCAGGCTGACAGTGGATTTTGAGGTCATCAACTAGTAACACTGAAGCTTGAACATATGTTTTTTTTTAGCATGAAAATTCTGCAGCCACTAAATATTTCTAAATAGGCACACATGTGCTTTTAGAGAATGCCATTCATGTGTTTATCTTGGGCAAACACACATACTGCACCCAGTCTTAACCTAATTCTTCCATTGCTGCCGTCACCAGAATCTCCAAAAAGGGGTTGTCTTTAATATTCACTGTCTCTAAAATCACCTCTGAACTTTGAATGAATTTTTTTCCTCAGGCTACATTTCCATGTTGAATGTTTTACAATACTGCAAGCGAAACAGTTTTGCACACTGCCAGAAACCTACATTACTTGTGGCAAAGTGGTGATTTGTTATACCCAATGACATTTAGTTAAAGATACCAAAAAAAAAGGTAGGAAGGGAGAGAAAGAGAACAGAAAAACCACAGCTCACACAGCGAGGCTTCATGTCTAATCTGAATAACTTCCATCCCTGCTGAGGTCTCTTATCTTAATGATTTTGCTAAAGAAGTTGTCTTGTCAAATCTATTTAAAAGCTTTTGCCTTATATGAATAATTTACCAACAGAGGCAATTTGGGAACATTCTGATGAGATTTAAAAAAAAAAATAGCTCAGTGATAAGGAGCAAGCTTGAAAGAGTTGTATATAAGAATAGAAAAGTTTCATAGGATCTTGAGGGACTTAGTCCTCAAAAGGTCAATAGATCTGTTCTGGTTTTAGGGAGGACTTTCCTAAAGATTTCTTGTTAGGAGAATAGCCAATTTAGACAAATTTAAGGAAGAAAATCCATAACGTTCCCATAGTAATTAATCTAATTTTTTTAACCTACCAATTAGGAACATTTTATTTATATTTTCAAAATTCTGTTTTGAGAACTCTACTTTTAGTGGAGTTAAAGAGTAAATAGACATTACTCATATATGTCATATGATTGCATTGGCCACTGGGCTGTCCGTATTTGTATAAAGTTCATCATCATCACTGGGCAGTGATCTGATGTGTTTGATGAATCAATCATCTGATTGTTTTGGGCCACATTACTACAATCAGAAAATAATTCCCAGGACTATGGAAACACAGACTGAAAATAACTCCGGTGAGGCCCTTTTTGGGGACTTCCCATTTTGGAATATTGCTAGCCTTATGCTCATTTGAAAGCTGGGTGTATTTCCATCAGGGACTGCCTAGAGAGAAGAAAAAAAAATGTTTGAAAACCTGCTGTGTGGTAAATACTCAGAAAGTTGTGTTACTTAAGGATATTAGAATAGAGAAGTAAGAAAACTTATTCAAGAAACTCAGTGATGGAATGGACCCTGATACTCATTAAAAATCACTCCCTATCTCTACATTCCTTACCACCATCTGCTATGGGTGTGAAAGTAGGTACAGGGGAAATCCAGGTCACCTACAAGATTTTCACAGGCCTGAATGCTTGGAGTTAAGTCATAAAAGCTTTATCCATGCTTATCTTAAAGCAGGAAATCTCGGGTGTAGAGCAGAATAACTTAAGTAGATAATGGGCAAGAAAAGGTTTCTGTTTACTGTTGGCTTTTTCAAGGTTCCATCTCGAATCTTGTCCAAAACAAACATTTCATCAAATGCATTAAGCTCCGGGATTAGGATCTGACTGGATATCAGAGGATTAAAGGGAAGTAGAAAATGTGTCAAGTGAAAATGTGGCCGTGGGCATGAGGAAGAGAGTTATTCTAGGGAAAACTTAGTAAAAGCAATTCTGCAGATGTCAGCTTCTGATAGGCCAACCCCAGCAAAGGTGGGGCAGAGAGGCGTCCTGCGGGAGCCACAGGACTCTCTTGATAGTGCGTCCCATGCAGGGTTTCTTTTGTGTGTACCAGATAGGTGACAACACTGGCATACCCATCACAGCCTGTGCCAGGAGGCAAGGGACAGAACAAGGACAAGGTGGAGAATTAAGCAGATAAGAGGCAGACTAAATAGTCTGGCACTGGGGGGTCTGTCTGGCCTTCCACACTACCCAAGCCATAGGAAACTGACTAGGTGGGCTACCAGGTAGGGTTGTGGGCCTTTTGGGTTCAAAATTTTTTTGAATTTTCCACGGTTAGTTCCCACACATCCAGGCCTCTTTGGGTCAAATTATGAGTGCAAGTCTGGAGACTTCTAGAACATGCGAGGTTGGGGTTGGGGTAGCAATGTGACTCCATTTATAACTATTAGAACTTCTCATAATTTAGAGTTCTTTAGAACTCCAATAAACTCCTATTTGGTGATATTTCTAGATCCTGGGGAATGTTTTTACAGCTACTGAGGGAAGAGGATAAGTAAGATACAATCCCTGCCATAAGGGGCTTTAATAGAAGTCTTATAGTTTTTATTTACATGGGAAAGTGAATGATCTTTTTTACTTACATCCTTCGGAATTTTTCTTTACCACTTTCTATTACTTCTAACCCAACCAATCAGCCAGGCATCCCAATTAGGATTATAAGATTTTCTGATAATTCTAATTGGGATGCCTAGCTGATTGGTTGGGCTGATAAAATAAAACAGGATGCCCAGTTAAATTTTAATTGCAGATAAACAATAAATAATCTTTTTAGTATAAGTATGTCCCAAATGTTGCATGTCCCAAACATAAAGAGGTCTTATTGCATTAGGAAACGTATGCTTTTTCTTTTCAAATATACCTGTGGGGTGTCAGATTTAGCGAATTAAATACAGGATCCCCAGAGAAATTTGATTTTCAGATAAACGACAAGTAATTTTTTAGTCATTAGAATACACTGAAAAGTTATTTATTTATATGAAATTCACATTTAATAGGGCATCATGTATTTAACCTGGCAACGCAAATCCCAATGCTAGGAGGACATTCTTTTACCTTTTCATCCAATTAAATTTTTTGAATCCTTATTGCGTTCAAGGTGTTATAGACTGAGTGTTTGTGCCCCCTCAAAATTCCTATTTTAGGCCAGGTGCAGTGGCTCATGCCTGTAATCCCAACACTTTAGGAGGCCGAGGTGGGAGGATGGCTTGTGTCCAGGAGTTCAAGACTCTGCCTCTACAGAAAAATAAAAAGTTAGCCAGGCATGGTGGCGTGCAACTGCAGTCCCATCTACTTGAGAGGCCATGATGGGAGGATCCCTTGAACTCAGGAGTTCAAGGCTGCAGTGAGCCATGATCATGCCACTGCATTCCAGCTTGGGCAATGGAATGAGACTCTGTCTCAAAATATATATGTATTTTAAATCCCTAACCCCCAGTGTGACGGTATTTGGAAATGGGGCCTTTGGGAGATAATTGCGGGTAGATGAGATGATAAGAGTAGGGCCTTCTTGATAGGATTAAGTCCTTCTAAGAAGAGACGCCAGAATGCTAGCTCACTCTCTCTCTGGAAGCTCACAAAAAGAAGAGGTCATATGAGCAGGAAAGTGGCCACCTGCAACCTTAAGGGGATAGCCCTCACCAGCTATGGACCATGCTGGTGCCTTGATCTTGGACTTCCAGCCTCAGGAACTGAGAAAATAAATTTTTGTTGCTTAAGCCACCCAGTCTATGGCATTTTGTTATGGCATTCTGAGCTGATTAAGAAACAAAGCATGGCGTTAAATGTTGTGAAGGGATTTAAAATTAGTAAGACATGATCTCTGCCCTTGAGGGCCTCTGTCTCTGGAGAAGACAGAGACATGCACCATTGTTCTTGGTCTGCTCTGCTGCCCAAATCTCTCCTACATCTCTTCTTTCTTGTTCTGGTCATGGGCTTTGCCCGGGATAAACCCACATATTTCTACTCAACAGAAGTAGTACCCATCCATGGTATGTTTCTTTCCAGGTTTCCCATGCTCCAATTCATCCTCGACACTGCCCATCAGGGTATTTTCTAAAATATGAATCTGACCAAACAGCTCCTCAGAGTACAATCCATCAGTTTCCTTATTTTCTACAAAATGAATACAAACTAGCATCAGAGTTCTATTATTGACTATCCTTGACTGCTTACTACCCACTACCCATTCTTCTTTGTCTTTTTCTCTCGCTCTCTTTCTCTCTCTCTCTCTCTCTCTTTTTTTTTTTTTTTTAAGAAGACAGGGTCTTGCTCTGTCACCCAGACTGTAGTGTAGTGGCACGATCCTGGCTCACTACAGCCTCAAACTCCTGGGCTCAAGCAATTGTTTTGCCTCAGCCTCTTGAGCATCTGAGACTACAGTGCATACTGCCATGTCCAGCTAATTTTTAAACCTTTTTTGTGGAGATGGGGGCTGGGAGTGGGGTCTTGATTTGTTGCCCACGCTGGTCTTGAACTCCTGGCTTTAAGCAATCCTTTCACCTTGGCCCCCCAAAGTGCTGGGATCACAGCGGTGACCCACCTTACCCAGCCTCCTTTTTCTCTATGAATCCAGTGCTCAAGCACTGCCACCTTTTATGGGTTGAATTGTGTCCCACTAAAAGTATATGCTGGAGTCCTAACCCACCATATGTCAGAATGCTTTATTTGGAAATAAGGTCTTCAAAAGTTAAAATGAGTTCAGTTAAGGTAGGCCTTAATCCAATATGACATATCCTTACAAAAATGGAAAATTTGGACATGTAGACAGACAGGCACGGGGGGAGATGATGTGAAGAGACACAGGAGGAACACCGTGTAAAGACATCAGATTGGAGTGAATCATCTACAAACCAAGAAATGCCAAAGATTTCTGGCAAACCACCAGAAGCTACAAAGAGGGAAGGGAGGATTCCTCTACAGGTTTCAGAGGGAGCATGCCCTCCCTACTGTCACCTTTAACCTCCAGAAGTCTTATGAGACAAATTCTGATTGTTTTAAGCCATCCTGTTTGTGGTACTTTGTTAGCACACTTCTGGGAAATTAATACACATCCTGACTTGTCTTTTTCTTGAATGTCTTGTGCCATTTCATGTCCTTCCAATTTTGCTCATGCCAGTGTCTTGATCTCCAATATCTTACCCTGCGCCCCCTCCTCCGCCAAACACACACACACACACACACACACACACACACACACACACACACACACCCCTCTCTATTGACTCTTACTCCAAAGCCTAGCAAAACCCTGGGAAACTCTGAGCACACCCTTCAGGCTGAATAAGTTGGTCCCTCACCTGTGCTCACATAGAAGTGTGTTTATACCTCCTCCCTAGAACTATCATGTGCTAGTTTTTAGTCATTTAACACTTAATGAACATTGCAAATATTTGTTGGGCATGCAAAGTGCTCAGCGCAGAGCTAAGTGCTTGAATACTGCCATTTAACTTTCACATAAACTCCACGTGAAGTAGGTTTTATTAGTAGTTTTGTTTACAATGGGGAAACTTAATGTTAGAGGAGTTAAGTAACTTGTATGAGATCATGTATCTAGCAAGTATCAAAACCAGAATTCAAATTCAGGCAATCTGATACCATAGTCTGCACTCTTAACCACTCTGACACACTGGCTTCCATTTACGTGCCTTTCTCCCCCTTTACAGAAATTAGATTCTGTGCTTTCAACTTCTTACCTTAGCACCCCACCTATAACAGCACTCCAGAAAGTGCTTGTGATTTTGCAGGGTATTACATTGCATTCAGCTGCAATAACTGTAATATAGGTAGTATGTCTTAGATGGAAAGGATAAAACACACTACAAAGGAGAGAGATCAGGTTTACCAGATAATTGACAAAGGTTTTTAATTAACATTTGATTGCAATATTTATTATGTATTCACTCCTCATGTAGTGGAGAACACTATTCAGTTGTCACTAGGGTACATAATATCACATTTCTTCAACATTTACTTACTTTTTCCAAACTTTTAATTGATTTTTGCTTCATTCTAGATACCTTTTTCTATATCTCTATTGATCTAAATTGGGAAAAAGCTGGAAAAAGTAGTATTTCTTTGTGAGACGTAAAGATTTTAGGACTTAGAATATTAGAAGTATTTTTCATTCAACAAGTAGTTATTAAGAGATTACTAAGAGCAAAGTAGTATTCTAGAAATAGTGATTAAGAATATATTCAATACAATAAGCAAACACCCCCAATGAAAATTATATTATTTTTTCCCTAAGGGCATTATGATTTACAAATATTTATTTTGATCTGTTTGAGATCATAATGATGTTCATTTTTTCTTATGTACTCACAAGAAATGTCATTGTGTTGCTAAAAGTCCAAGGACGTCTTATGGAAGAGAGTAATGTGCTTCATGAAATATTCCCTATATGTTGGATGTTAATAACTGTTATAGAAAAATGTGTAGTCAAGTATAGGAAATGAAAATAAAGTCAAATTTTGTTTATTTGTTTCAACTACAGAACATCTCAAAACCTTAAGATGCTAGTAGTCATTTTGAATCTCAAAGATAAGAAATTGCAGCATTTTAATTTTTTGACAACATAATTTTCTCTCCTTTACCTTCTCAACAGAAGATGATCAAAGGAAAAATATTTTTAGGAACTTCTGGTTTAATATTACTTTGCAAGATATGGGAAGGAAACTGTCCCCCCACTGTTTTCATATCAGTTTATTTGTTTTGAGTACACTTGTCTTGGAATGATCTTCATTTAGTTAACAAGTGTGTCAATAATTTAAGACTTATCTACTCCATTATATTATTTACAAATACTGCACCAGATGGACAAGTTTTAGTGTCTTTTTTCCTCAGAGAGAAAATTACAGCTGAATACTGAGCTTTGTATCTATTACTGCATTCCCTTCTCCTTGAATTTAGACCAAGAAGCATCTTTACTCATCATATTTCATCATAGTCTTATAAATGGATTAATGAGTAAATGAATTAAACAAATAGCATACTTATTATATGTTGGAAATTGAGAAAAGCATTTTTATAATTACAGATGTATCATTAAAAAGTAACTAGGAGCCAGGCATGGTGGTACATGCCTGTAGTCCCAGTTACTCAGGAGGCTGAGGTGAGAGGATCACTTGAACGTAGGAGTTCGAGACTAGGCTGGGCAACATAGTGAGACACCATGTTTAAAAAAAATGTTAAAAAAGTACCTGAATTTAGCCTCAAACAGTTAAATCATAAAAATTGAAAAACTGAGAGGGAGTAAAGAGTTGAAATCAGGAGACTTGCTTGAACCCGGGAGGCAGAGATTGCAGTGAGCCGAGATCATGCCATTGCACTCCAGCCTGAGTGACAGGGTGAGACTTGGTCTCAAAAAAAAAAAAAAAGTTGAAATCAATAGTTGCATTGCCATTCAGGCATGTCAAGGGATGCAAGCAAATGAAATATCAAGTAAATGTAAGATTAACCAGTTACTTCATTTATCAACACTGTGTAGAAAACTAAGCCTGTGCTAATAGAATTCAAAGAATTTCCAACTGGTAACTATTCCTATTGCTAAAAGTAGACTTCGAGTATTCTGAGAGCAGATGCTGAGCCAGCAACTCCTGGATCAAGACCCTTCATTCTTCATCCAGGATGGTACACTTTGTTGGGTTTTAAATCATAACAGCCTGAAATAGGGGGAGAGAAAAAAGCAAGGTTAAGATAATGTTTTATATATTTCACCAATAGAGGTTCATATGCAAGGGTTAGATGATATTCATCTGTAATAACAACAATGAACGTGCTAACTCATAAATAATTCACCCACACTTCCTTCCTCCCTCCTTTCTTCTATTTTCTCTTCTTTCTTCCTTCTCTCTTCTAGCCCATGTCAGGCAATAGCTACTTATAAATATTGAATCAATGTTTGTTGTGGGAAATTCAGGTTCAGAGAAATAGAACACATCAGAAAGCAATTTATCATGAAAATTAGATATTTTCTACTACTGTGTGTGTTCTCAATAAAGGATAAAGAGTTCAATAAAGGATCAAAAGCCTTTAGGTTTGGATCAGTTATTATATCTGTAACTAATAATTCAGGTTGAATGTCCCAAAGCTGTTCAAAAAAATTCATTCTCAGAAAAAATTCTTAAGGAGAAACAAACTAATGCTTATTAAATACCTACTATAGCTGCTGTATATGTAGATTATTTTATATAATCTTCACAGTAACACTGTGAGGTAGATACTATCTCCATTTTGTAGATAAGGGTACTACAACTCAGAAATTATTTAACATGATCAAATTTGTGCAGGATGTGAAAAAGCAGATTTGAAATTGGACTTTTTGATGCACACTTGTTATTTCTTGATACTTACTTCGTTCTTCCAGCATGTTTTGATCTCCTCTTGACTTCATACCACTGGAGCCATATTTGTGTGTGATAAAGACATAGAGAAAAAGACCCAGACTGGAGGAAGTCCAGAAGACTTAAAATCTGTCTCTTACCTCTCTGTGCAGGTCATCATCAATCAGGTTGCTTCTGAAGATATCTAACCGTTCTATTTTAATTAAACATAAAATAAGCCGGAAGAGTACAATGGTATAGAATATCAGAATGTACACCAGGATTGCTCAATTAATGTTTCACTCCACTTCCCCTCCCTATCCCCAATATAGAGTTGTATTTTTTACACTGTGAATAACCAGGGTCTGGTTACAAAAACAAAACAAAACAAACAAACAAAAAAAACCAGGGTTTTTATTTTCTTCAATTTTCCTTCCCTTCTTTCCTCCTTTTGTTCTTCCTTTTCTTTTTCCATTTTCCCTTCCCTCCTCCTGTCCTTTCTTCTTATTTCTTCTCATTTTCCTTCCTTCCTTCCTTCCTTCATTCCTTCCCTCCCTCCCTCCCTTCCTTCCTCCCTCCCTTCCTCTCCCCATTTTACATTTTGTAGAATTTTCTAGATGCCTGTCGGTAATTATTCTTTATTTTCAACTTTTAGAAATGTTCCCATTTGTTGTTATATGAATTTAGCAGGGCCAAATTTATCCCATGCCACCTCTTGATCTAGAGATAGGTCTTGATTGGCTTAGGCCAGTCAGTATAATCTCACTCTCACCTTGTCCCAGCTATTGGTTAAAAAATACAGGTAACTCTTCAAATTTAGGTGGCCTTTTCTCTTTCCCTGGACGGTGAGGTTACATAATGTCTGACACTGATGAAGCCATTTTGCTACCAATGGGAAAAACAACCCAGGGATAAAACTACTATGGAGGAGAGGAAAGCCAAGAAAATCCCAAGAAAATAGATATGGAGGTGGTACTGATCAAATCCTGCAAAGTTTATACCTTCTGGATTTTTTATTTATATTGTCCAATAAATTACCTTAATCTCTAAGATAATAATTTTCAATTAACAATTAACAATTACCTTAATATCTTAATAACAATTTTCAGTTGTTAGGGAAAGTATTCTAAATGATATACTCTCCCTTTGTCCTCTCAAAGAGAATTTATTGAGTGCCTACTATGTTTCAAAGTTCTATGTGTGTCAGGAAATACAAAGAAATAAAATCTCTCATAGAAAGGCTATATCTCTATTTCTCAGTTGCTAAAGTCCATTTATCTCACTTCTATGCCTCTTTTACTATGGACAAGTCATTCTGATTTTGGCCCAGTCCCTGTTTCATGTGCTGAGATCATTAAGCTACCCTGACCTCGCATGCTGGACTTCATATATTTGAGGAGAGGAATTCCATACCACTTGGATTAAAAGATCTCTAGCACCCAAATACAAGTTCACTTCTTGGGGCTTGTTTTGATTCACTGATCTCTAGGAGTGCAATATTGTTTTGTCTTGTTAGAAAAGAGGGATTTGATTCAGATTATCCTTCTTCTATTAGCATGATTTCTTTGTATCAGTAAGGCCCAACTGTCACAGTGGAAAGTGGAGGAAGAATGGAATAAAAAAATAAAACCTGGTTGTGGGAAGAGTTGAAGCTAGAGGCCAAATTTATCCCAGGCTGACAATAGGTATAGGCCCTGGAGAGTGCCTTATTCCACCTAGCACAGTGCCAGCACTGTGAGAATAGGGACTAGGACAGTAACAACTAGGTCAAAGAGCCAGGATTCTGTACTGATTATCCTTTCATTCTCTCAGGGCATCCAATGCACTCCTAATATTAGCACACCCTGGGGACCCAAAAATAAATAAGACCCTAACTTAAAACCTAGATGATGGGTTAATAGGTGCAGCAAATCACCATGGCGCATGTATACCTATGTAACAAACCTGCACATTCTGCATGTATATCCCAGAACTTAAAGTAGAATTTTTAAAAAATTGAGCTAGTCACCCCCATTTTAAGAAGAACCAATCATATGAGAATTCCAAAGGTGGAAAAAAAAAGTTCATACTTTACAGCAGACAACCTATAGAAAGGGAGAAAATTTTTACAATCTATCCATCTGACAAAGGGCTAATATTCAGAGTCTACAAGGTACTTAAACAAATTTACAAGAGAAAAACAAACAACCCCATCAAGAAGTGGGCAAAGGACATAACAGACACTTCTCAAAATAAGACTTTTATGCAGCCAACAAACATGAAAAAAAGCTCAACATCTCTGGTCATTAGATAAATGCAAACTAAAACAACAATGAGATATCATCTCACACCAGACAGAATGACAATTATTAAAAAGTCAAGAAACAACAGCTGCTGGCGAGGCTGTGGAGAAATAGGAACACTTTTACACTGTTGGTGGAAATGTAAATTAGTTCAACCACTATGGAAGACAGTGTGGTGATTCCTCAAGGATCTAGAACCAGAAATACCATTTGATCCAGCAACCTCATTACTGGGTATATACCCAAAGGAATAGACATCATTATATTATAAAGATACATGCACACATGTTTATTGCAGCACTATTCACAATAGCAAAGACATGGAATCAATCCAAATGCCCATCAATGATAGACTGGATAAAGAAAATGTGACACATGTACACCATGGAATACTATGCAGCCACAGAAAGGAACAAGATCATGCCCTTTGCAGGGACATAGACGAAGCTGGAAGCCATTATCCTCAGCAAACTAACGCAGGAACAGAAAACCAAATGCTGCATGTTCTCACTCATAAGTGGGAGCTGAACAATGAGAAGACATGGACACAGGGAGGGGAACAACACACACTGGGCCTGTTAGGGGTTCAGGGGGAGGGAGGGCATCAGGATAAATAGCTAATGCATATGGGGCTCAATACCTAGGTGATGGGTTGATAGGTGCACCATGGTGCAAACCACTATGGCACACGTGTGTAAGAAACCTGCATGTCCTGCACATGCATCCCAGACCTTAAAATAAATTTTTTAAAAAAGTTCACACTTTAGAAGAGGGAACGAGTACATAAATGGGTAGGTGCAAATATAGAGCAATAGATATTGAAATAGAAGTAAGAAGAAATAATTGCTCTATCTAGGGGTCAGAAAAGGTTTGACGTAGGAAGGAATATATGGACTGGGGGCTCAAAAATCAGCTTGTTCATGGTCCTGGCAAAACCAGAACCAACTCTAGGCTTCCTGATTCTCAGTCTAACATGTGTCTTAAAAGATGAATCATGCCAATCTGTTGTGAGGAGCCCACATGAACTGCTACAAAAGGATACCCAGAATGCAGCTGGAAATGACAAGTAATTTTGGGAGAGGACACACACACACACACACACACACACACACACACACACACACACACACACACACCCCAAGGCCTAAAATATCAGTGTAGAAATATTCATTGGGTGACTTGAAGAAGCAGGAAACTGAGTTAAACCTGAAAGAAAGAGTGCCCATGAAAAATTAATTCTCCAAAATTAATCTGTGCAAGAACACCCCCATATAGCTGAGGCAGCAGATTGCAGGATCAGGAACGAACAAATTAGAGGATGTGTGCTAGAGAATCGCTCTAAAGACACGATACCAAATTCTTTTAGTGGCCATCTTTTCTGTACCTGGGGAGGTTTGGGGTTTCTGGGTGAGTAGTTAGTTTATAAAGAGACGCATTCCACTGATGTTTTGTAGGAATTTCCTAAAGGGAAAGAAAGAGTATTTTACTTACCATCCAACAAATTTAGATTGAGGGTTTACTTTGTGGCACTTATTACACTGGATACAATTCTTTTAATTTTTTCCGAATTATTTATTCATACACCGACTCTTCAGAGAGAAATAGAACTGCTAACAAAGATAAGTAAAACGTACAATGCTATAAGACACAATTTTATTTTTTGTTACTGCTTTTAATTCTACCAAATCTTCCTTTTTATATTATAAGGAGTCTAGAACTTTCCCACCATTTTGTTTATTAAAATTTAGCCAGTCCAGTAACTCCAAGCTCCAAATTCCAACTCAGATCTCCGGGTTTAACTGTCCCATCTCCAATTTAAACCCATCTGGACAGGTTAAATATCAAGTTGCAAAGATTCAGAGTGGAGGCGAGAGAGGGTGATATGGCTCCAGCATATCCTTTCCCCCTTCTCTCACATTTCTGTTGTTAGGGAACTGTGAGAATAGATGGGGGAGGCAAAGATGACTTTCTGTAACTGAACATTGCAAAGGCACATAGCAGGAAGTGCCCAGGCTTTGAAAACTCTGGTTTCATCTGATTCTGTTTGCTGCTGGTGGCCTCTGCAGACACAGTGGTCCTAAGTAGATGAAATAGAGTGTGCCTGGGGCAGTGCTCAGCTCCAGGCCAGCCTCTCTGCTGTCAAGGACCCCTCAGAGAGGCATCACCAATCCTCCAGCAACATCTGTGCTCTTCCGGCTCCGCCACATCTTGGGCAGCCCTAATATTCTTGCCCTTTCTCTTGCCCTAGACCCTCTCAGGTGGAGCCACAAGAACCATTGAGGTCTTCTCTGTTTGTTGAGGCTGTTTCATGGGCACCGGGTCTCAAAATGTGGGATTTTAATTTTTACTGGTGACTGTGTGATGACACAGATTGGTCAATGCCACTGAGAGAATAATTTATGACTTATATTTCCTGAGGAAGGTGGGCATGTCTTGCCATGCAGGGCCACATGGAGAACTTCCAGGTTTTCGTCAGGAAGCAGAAGCAGGAACCAGGAGAAAGCCTAGTCCAGAGCTTGATAGGGATTTCCGTGGGAAAGTCAAGGCAGAGAGAGGTAAGCAGCTTAGTGCTGCCTCATTTGAATAATATCAATGGGCTTTGGACTATAGGGGTAGTCTCTAGTTGTCTGATATTTGGCCCTGGGTTGATTTAGAGAAGGGGAAATATTGGCTTGGTGTCTGAGAGTTATAGAAAATAAGTGGTTGGGGAATAAGAACTCAGACTGGTTGGTTTGCATATGAAACGCAAGCTACCAGCCAAGTTCTTTGCCATCTCTGAGAATTGGCTAGCCCTGGGAGAGGTAGTCTCCCCTTGGCCAGCAGGATTTTTTAACATCAAAACCTCATAAGATACATTAAAAGCATGATTAATTTGCACCCATCCCATAGTCCCCCAATGCCTTTCCAGCCAGCCCTTACAAATTTCTAGGCCTTAAATGGCATCTAAATACAGTGTTGGATTCCTTTTAGAAATCCTTATCATTCCCCTCTCAGGAAGCAACACCAAGTAGAGTGGGTTGCTTGTAGATTCTATATCCCAGGTAGATTTCATCCACAGAAGACAGACTGTCACTCCTGTTTGAAATTACCCTCATTTTCTTTTGAATGATTGAATGATGTGTTTCTACCCCTCACCCCTCAGAAGGAACAAAGCGAAAATCATTACCTAGTATTATGGACTAAATTATGTCTACCCCTATCCCCCAGTTTATATGCTGGAACCCTAACGAACACTGTGACTGTGTTTGGAGATAGGGGCTCTAAGGAAGTGATTAAAGTTAAATGAGATTATAAGAGTGGCATCCAGATATGCTGGGATTAGTGCACTTATAAGAAGAGACACAGAGATACATTAAGAAGGCAGCTGCCTATAAGCCAAGAGAAGAGGCCTCAGGATAAAACTTACCTTGCCAGCACCTTGATCTTGGACTTCCCAGCATCTAGAGCTGACAGCAGTAAATTTCTGTTTTCTAAGCCACCCAGTCTGTGGTATTTTGTTATGGCATCTCTAGGAGACTAATAAACCTTGGAACACCTAATTCCCACAGGTTGGTAATGACCACTGTAAATGCTTCTTCTTCACTTCCTTCTGTTTTTTTGCTTATATCCCAGGTAGTGATGGCGGTCATAGTTGTAGGGGCATAGGGAACACTTCCTCTTCACCCTCTGAAGTTTCACCAAAAAATTAACTCACAGAAGGCAGAGTAATTGGAGAAAAGGCATACACATTTATTACCATGCGCATGGAGGAGAACCACAGAGTGATGACCCCAAACCCACGATGGGGTACAGAAGCTTACCTACCATCTTGAGGTTACAGAAAGAATGAAAGCTTGGATGTTGGCAAAACAGGTGGTGGTCAGGAGAGAAGAGGAAACCTGGCTAGCAAAGGTGATCTTGTTACGTAGAGGAAACGTCACAGGTAGAATCCTTCAGAGACCATAGATGGTAAAGTGTTTGTATCAGACCTTTAAAGGTATCACATTTTCAGTTAATCTTTCCGAGATCCAGATAAGGAAAGGCTCAGAGAAAACCCGGCTACATCAATGCAGATTTTCTCTACAGAAGCAACTCTCCCTCACAAAAGACAACTTTGCAAGGCTACTTCTGTTTGCTGGCTCTTGAGGAACAGCCATTCCAAAATAAGTTACAGAAGTGTATTTTGGGGTCGAATATTTTGATTTTCTTCATGGTGATGGTGGTGGTTATTATCAGCAACAGGTTAGCATCTTCATAAGCTCCAAGAAAATCTACTCCAACTGATAGCAGTTAAGTGGTGGCTCCCGCTTGGGCCTTAACTACAATTTTAGAATTGATCCCACTCAACACCCTGTTGTGTTTCATATCTATCCATGTGGAAACAGAGACATAACATAGCTTGGTTCATGTGGGTTATTTTTTCCTGCATATATATATATATATATATATATATATATATATATATATTCCTGCATATATATATATATTTCCTGCATATATATATATATATATATCTATATATATCTTGTCTCCTTACCCTTATTGTAAATTCCTTGAAGATGGCACTCCAAAGAACCTAGTATTGTGCTTGCCCATAGAAAGAAAGAAAGTGCTTTGCTCTTTTGCTTATTTGGGAAGTAGTATCTCCTGTTAATTACTCAGGCTTAGGCTGCATTTTTCACCTGCTGAGATCACCATAGAATTCTGCCTTCATACTCAGGAATATTTAAAACACAATAACTCCTTGAAAAAGGGAAGGAATCATTAGTCACACGGAATTTGCTTACAAGTAATTCCAACTTGCCCAATAAACTAGACTTTTTTTTTTTTTCATAAAGACCATTTGAAGAAATGGCAGCTCTGTTGAACCCACAGCTTCATTTTTTTCTTTTTTAAATCCCACTGTCTAGTCTCCCCGTTTCTTTTACAAGCAGACACTGCCTGGAAGCTACAATTGCTGCGCAATGGTAACAAGGGGTCCTCCACAGGCCACAGAATCTCCAATCAAGAACAGGTGCAGTCACACCCCCTTTGCAAACAAAGATATTTTGTTTGAATGGGCACAACATGGAAGAATGGGATGTATTAATAGCTAAATAGTGTCTTTATTAACAGTAGAACAGCTGGCAGTTCTATATGACAGTGCTCATTCCAATCCATTTTATCCAATTGCAGAACTATAAGCACGCTCCACCAGGGAACTAAGGGGACCACACGCAAGCAATCAGCCATTCAACAGCACTCTAATTGCTGCACAGTTGGAAGTGTGTTCTCCTCAGCCACTGTTATTCTTTTAGGCGGAATTGTTGGTGCACTCGCCTATCTAGAATCAAGTGCTGCTAATACAGATAAGCTGCTTGAAGAAACTTCCTTTGTTTCACAAGGCCTTGTGAGCCGTCCTCCAGGGGGTTGCTCCTTGGTCTTGGTTGATCATAAATCCCTGGTGCTGGGTGCCAGAAGGGAGCAGATGCAGGGAGTCTCAGCATCTCTGTCATCTCCTAGCAAAGTGGTTACCCTAAAGAGGGAAAAATAAACTCCCAACTCATAAAGATCCTGTTAGACCCTGCTTGAGAACCTTTCTTCAGGGCATCCTACTGAGCTGAAGAATAGATTGAGTGAGTCAGTGCAGATGTATAAATGCCTGTGACTGTAGTCCAAGTCCCTGAGCAGTGGGGAAGCTATACTGGGAGGAATCCATGTCAGGGTATAATCAGGTTACACAGGTAAGAGCCAGGAAAGGAGGGAAGGAATTGGAAAGTAAGTAAAAGCATGACTGAGGAAGCAAATTAAAAACAAAACCTGAAATATCTAAGCAGACAAAAAAAATCATTTCTTTAGTGTATTTATCAAAGAAGGACCTGGCTAAACATTATAAAAATTATTTTCAATGTCAAATAAGGGAGGCTAGGTTACTTTCTTATTCTTTTAGACTACTATTTAATTTTCTTTGTGTGTTTGTTTTATTTGCAGTTTATCCAGTTTAAGAAAATACTGTTTGCAGAGCATTGCGTCTCTGCATTTTTACAGGGTAATTCCTGTTTGGTGAGTTTTCAAAGGATCCTTTAGGGAGAATATTAAAAGGCTCTTGGCTATATTTAGCCCAGACAAATATAGGCAGATATGAAATTATAAAATCTTCCTGATATGCAGGGCTTTCTTTGTTCTGTCTGATCATGTGGGGATTAAATAACTCAGAGGAATAAGAGTTATTGTTTAGGATTTGCCAATCAGGCTGCTGATCCATCCATGGCTCACCCATTGTTGGGACTTCTTGTTTTGTCCTTGTTAGCATGTAGCTCCAGGTAATAAAATTATAGGTTACTCTCATTTTTCTACCCCCTTTTTGTTAAATTGCCCCCAAATGGCTTTCAGACAATATTTTGTTTCCATCCCTACTGATGGCACTTTCTGAATAAAGAAGCACATCTTTGGCTGTGGCAATGGATTCAGATGAAATGGAAATCATTGTTGAAAATAAAATAGACCCTAGAGAGCTCAGGACAGTGAAAATCACCCGTTCACAAAGAAAGTCGCTAAAGCTTTAATAAAAGGCAACAAAGACACAGGAGGCCAAGCAACAGACTCCAAAAGGAGGCAAAAGGTCATGTCTTTTATACGAACTCTTTCATGTTTCTTCCACGATGGGTTAAGTTTTCAGAGCAGCATAAATTCTCCATAAGAATCCTTAAATTCTCAGCCCTCCTGCCAAGAAAGTGAAGACGAATATGCATCTGTTTGGAAATCTCCCAAATGCATGTGCAAAATGGGCCAAGCAGCTTTCATTGCCAAATATTCGGAGGAGCCCTGTCACAGCCTCATGCAGAGGACTTCAGTATTAGGGCGAAGGCACCTGCAGACAATGCCGGGAAGAGAGGAGGGGGAAAGGAGGATATTTCTGGTAACAGAATGCCAGGGTCTGGTTAGAGTAGAATAAACAAATGAACAGATTCCTCCCTATTCAATGTGGATATTTAAAGAGACATCCCCGAGTGCATCTATTTTAAAAATTAACATTATCCACATGCAGTACTTTGTTAATCGCTCCTCCCCCTTACTCTGCATTATTTTCTTGCTGTCTGCTGAGTTTATAGTCAGGGAAAAGATGGCATTTCTGGCCCTTATGATTCAGGGTTTCTTAACCAGTTAAATTAGTAGCTTTCATGTCAGGGGACATGTGGAACAGTTCAAAGAAAATTCTGTATCTTCCTCTGCTCAGAGAGACATATTCAAGGTAATATCTGACTCCTGGACCTTTTTTTGAAGCTCATTACTGTGTGTGATCTTGAGTAAGTTACTTCTTTTTGTAGTGAGTAGCTGCCCTTTTTAAAAAATAAAGCTGTGAACTCCTTGAGGGTAGAAGCTGTGACTTCGTTTTCTTGGCTTCCCTGTAACCTAGCACCATGCCTTGCACATAAATACTGTGGAATGCAAGTGGCTTCCATATTTGCCACATCTCTTCTGGGTAATATGAATATTCATCTCAGTGTTTATCATATAGGTATAGAAAAATGTACATCTTTATATCTGTTTAATGCTTTCAGCATTTTGAATAACTTTAACAGTACTCTTATTAGGTAGGACAGTTATTTTTATGACTGTCCACCTATGGAGGTATTAATGGCTCAAAGGACACATACCTAACACTAGAAGCCTCCCCACTAAAGGAAGGCTTTCCCGTCATCAGAGCACCAATTAGTTTTTAGTAGAAGCAAGAGTTCAAAGGGAGGCATTGAGTAAAACTGCATTCCTACTGGGAGTGCCAAAAGCTATGTGTCTCATCAGGATTTCCTGAAAGCAAGAGGTTCGTTTTCATCTCTTTGATTTTGTTCTTTCTTGTGTCAGTACACCATCTGAGTGTTAGATCTTTTCTTCATGGAGATCTGGTATTCTCATCCAGTCTTACTTCTAACTATGGCACATAGCTACACCGTTTGTGTACTTGTAAGTTACCTTTTCCATGTAAGGGATACCAGTTACATCACGATGGTAAATCCTCCAACTCTGAGACTAACTCCCCATGTCGACTGCAGGACACTTTTGCCAATGTTGGCACAGCCATTTCCTAGATTGGCTGTGAAGAGGGATAGGAAACACCATCTGGGAAGAGTAATACCCTTCCTCATGTGCCAGACTGCACCAGCCACGTGTGTCTGAGGACGAGAGCTGGTCTTCTGTCCTACGTGGCATCAAGCAGGGTTTCCTGCCCACAGCCTGGCTGCTGGATCAGACATACTGTTCCCACCATGGGGAAGAGGAGGGGGCGGTTTCCTAATTGTAGCGAGTCTCCCAGGGGAGCTCATTTCTCCATGAATGCCTTTGTGATTCTTTGTAACTCCCGCTGTTGATTTGGTTTGGTTTCTGACATGCAGACTCTGGTATCTCAGAGTCTGACCCAGTAACTGTGGGCTTCTCTTATTAAGTGACTCTAGGGCTAACGTTATCATTGTCTGGTGTGAGATATGCCAGGATTACCTCAGAGGCTGCTGAGGCAGTGTCATACTATGCCACCAGATTTATTCCACTTTTAAAAGTGGGGTTTTCAATAAGTTGGAGCTGGATGATGAGAACACATGGACACAAGGGGGAACAACACACACTGGGACCTGTCAGAAGTCAGCGGTGGCAGAGGGAGAGCATCAGGAAGAATAGCTAACAGATGCTGGGCTTAATACCTAGGTGATGGGATGATCTGTGCAGCAATCCACCATGGCACACATTTCCCTATGTAACAAACCTGCACATCCTCTGCACGTACCCTTAAACTTAAAAGCTGAAGAAAAGAAAAAATAGATATGAGGTTGGCTATAGGTTTTTCATAGATACATTTTAGCAGGTGGAAGTTCTCTTATATTTCAAGTTTGCTGAGAGTTTTGGTCATAAATGGATATTAAACTTTGTCTAATTTTTTCCTGCAAAAAAGTGGGGTTTTCAAAACAACAGATGAATTGACTAAATAAATTCAATGGAATACTAAAGCTCCATTACAAAGGATGATGTAGTGCTGTATTTATTGATCTGAAAAGGTGTTCATGACACAATATCATGTGTAAAATTATTTTACTTATGTAAATTACAGATATCTATATCTGCACATCTATTTATATGTGTAGACACATGTCTGGAGGGTTGCTCATGAATTAACTGTGGTCATCTCTGGGTGGTAGATATTGATGAGACTAAAAACCTTTTTCTTCTAATGTTAGTGTGTGTAGTTTCAAAATTACTTGTAGTGAGAAGGTCTCATTTTTAGTTGCCGGAGAAACTAAATCTAATTCCATTTTGGAAAAAGATGTCTTCTACTGGTTTTTCATTGAGCAGCTTTGTAATCCCACCCTCTTTGGTAATATCAGAAAGAATTTACAAAGAATATATTCATAACTGAGGAATTTTTCAACACTCAATACAGTCACTTAGGTACCTGTAACCCTGTTCTTCCATAGTGTTGGGCCTCAAAAAATGATGCCCCAAAGTATAGTGCTTTGGCATGCTGAGTACTTTGAACTAAAGGAGATTGGAAGACCTCAGAAGAGCCTCATAAACAAGGCCTTTTTTCTTGTTTTTTGAGACAGAGTCTTGCTCTGTCACCCAAGCTGGTGATCACAGTGGTGTGATAGCTCACTACATCCTCCGCCTCCCACAATCAAATGATTCTCATGCCTCAGCCTCCTGAGTAGCTGGGATTACAGATGAGCACCATCACACCCGGCTAATTTTTGTATTTTTAGTAGAGACAGGGTTTCGTCATGTTGGCCAGGCTGGTCTCAAACTCCTGGCCTCAAGTGATCCGCCTGCCTTGGCCTTTCAAAGTGCTGGGATTACAGGTGTGAGCCACCATGACTGGCTTATAACCAAGGTCTTTCTGACTTCTCATCCTCCTGTCTCCCACCCATCTATCTCCCCAAAGTGAGTCATAGAAGCTAGAATTCCTCTTCCCTAAAGCCAGCCCTAAAACCTAGAAATAGAATTCCAACCTTCCCACATCTTTCTGTATAAGAGCTGGCCATTAAAAAATTCCCTGACCTTTTTTTGCTTCTATTGAGATGATCATGTGATTTTTGTTTTTAATTCTGTTTATGTGGTGTATCATATTCATTGACTTGTTAAACTATCCCTGCCTCCTACTTTGTCTGAGAGCAGGTCATCAGACCCTCATTCCAGAGCAGTCCTGCCCCATGCTAGGGAGGAGAAATGCTACCCAGAGAAGTCAAGAAGAATCTGAACAGACAGGCCTTGCCGGTTTTCCTTGCTCGGTGTATTACCATTAAGTCATACCCCCTTCATCCAACCACATTTCTACACGGCTGCTCATTCTTTATTGAACATTAGCATAAAAACGATTTCCCCTGAGTCTTTGAGTCTTCATTTCTGAAGGCTCCTATGTCACCTAAAACTTTAATTGATCTGTCTTTTGTTGTTAGCCATGGCCCTTATGATGGGTGAGGAAAGGGATCTTACCTCTCTGTCCCTACAAGAGCAAAATGAAACAGTAACATACAAGGTATACTGACAACCAAATAAAAATGAAACTCATGTATTCGACAAACATGAAGAGTCAATGCTTCCCTAATCTCTATTGCCTATTCCAAAGTCTGTGAATACACCAGTTAGAACCAATTTACATGTACAGAATTTGGATGTGAAATTTTGAGTTGCTCAGATACAATTGAAGTGGGGGTTTTAGAATTTCAAAGGTAGCCAAGACCTGCAAAGTTATTTAATTCAACTGTTCACCTAATACATTACTCCCTTCATGCTTGTAGCTCTTATATCTAATGAGAAGTGAGCAAGTTTCTGATAATTTAGTCTGCCAGAGCTTCAAAAGAAAAGAACGTCTTTTTAAAATTTCCCCGAAAATATGTTTAGAAAGCAGTTAATGGTGTTTGCCAATGGTTCTCAGGTTGATTCTCATAGCTGTTGGGTTGGAGATGTTAGTGGGATGGGGATGGGAAACAGCAGAGAAGGGGCTCTTCAGAAGTTCTTGGAGTATCATATTAGTGAGAATTATCATGTGACCATTAAATAAACAACAGGGATTAATGCATTTGTTGGTGATTAATTATATATACACAAACGTTGTTAGGATTTGGGGAGAAAAAAAAACCAAGACAGGAGAGAAATAGGAGTGTATTTGTGGAAGCAGGCAAGATATACAGAGGTAAGCATCACATCCAGAAGTTAGAATGACAAGAGAGAGGAGAAGCTAGAATAAAGGTATCATTTGATACAGAAGAGAAACTCACAAATGGCATTTAAAAGGCCAGCATTGTGAAGCTTCAACAGTAGCAAACATATTTTCTTTGACAGAGAAAGCTTGGGATTCATGAATCTGGAAGCACATAACCTTCCATATTCATGTAACATTTTCACTTACTGTTTGGACCACAAGATTGTATTTGTTATATCTATATCTATATATTATTAGATTTAATAATCTAAAAGGAAAAATAAGGATCTTTACCTAGGACTTCTAAAGGGTCCATGGACAAACAAGCAATCCTGAGACAACCCAAAGACCCTCAGAAGGAAGCAGACTGCTCCTGCAGGACCCGGGAGATACTCCAAATACTGTGAGGGCTCCAACTGCAGAAGTGGGAAAGGGAGACACTACTCTCCTGAACACACAGCCCCACTGGAGAAACCGAAGGTCTGTTTGCAGGAGAAGTTTCCGACCTTACCTGGAGCTGAGTCAATTTAGAGAGCCAAGTGAAATACAGGGGTAGAGGAAGCAGCAGAAAGGCCCTGGGAGCTTGTTGGGTCCCCTAGCAGGCCACTCCTGCCTGGCACCACAGGGATCCATTGGGAGGGTGGCCAGAGGAGCAGGGGGTAAAACTCCACAGAGAGAAGGAGATCTCTAGCTGAACTTTGTAACAGTTTGAATGGGTGAGAGGCGAGAAGCCTCCTGGCCAGGACTTGGGGGAAGGTGCAAATCTAGTATGCAGATTCCACAGCGCCTGGGGAAGAACCAAATCCTTTTCTTTTGCAACTGGGAGGTGGGTAGCCTGGGTTAAGTTTTCAAGCCCGTCTCATCCACTACCTGGAAACAGACTCGGGCTGTTGGTGGGGGTTTTGTGGGAATGAGACCAGCCCTTCGGTTTGCGTGGGAGCTGGGTGAGGCCTGTGACTGCCAGCTTTCCCTCACTTCCCTGACAACCTGCATGACTCAGCAGAGAAGGCCATAATCCTCCTAGGTACACAACTCCAGTGACCTGGTAATCTCACCCGCATCCCCCACAGCAGTCGCAGCAAGACCCACTGAAGGAAAATTTGAGCTCAGACACACCTAGCCCTGCCCCCTCCGATGGTCCTTCCCTACCCATCCTGGTAGTGGAAGACAAAGGGCATATAATCTTTGGAGTTTTGGGGCCCTGCCCCCGATGGTCCCTCTCCATACTACTACAGTTGATGCTCTCCGGAAAGTGCCACCTCCCTGCAGGAGGCCAACCAGCACAAAAATTGAGCATTAAACCACCAAAGCTAAGAACCCTCACGGAGTCCATTGCACCCCCTGCGACCTCCACAGGAATAGGCATTGGTATCCACAGCTGAAAGATCCATAGACATTGTACATCACAGGACTCTGTGCAAACAACTGCTAGTACCAACCTAGTCCCAGAAGAGAGACAACAATCACTGCAGTTCGGCTCACAGGAAGCCACATCCATAGGAAAATGGGGAGAGTATTACATCAAGGGAACACCGTGGGACAAAAGAATCTGAACAACAGCCTTCAGCCCTAGACCTTGCCTCTGACAGAGCCTACCCAAATGAGAAGGAACCAGAAAGCCAGCCCTTGTAATATGAGAAAACAAGCCTCATTAACATCCCCCAAAATCACACTAATTCACCTAAAATGGATCCAAACCAAGAAGAAATCCCTGATTTACCTGAAAAAGAATTCAGGAGGTTAGTTATTAAGCTAATCAGGGAGGCATCAGAGAAAGGCGAAGCCCAATGCAAGGAAATCCAAAAAATGATACAAGAAGTGAAGAGAGAAATATTCAAGGAAATATTAGCTTAAACAAACAAACAAAAACAATTAAAAATTCAGGAAACTTTGGACACACTTTTAGAAATGTGAAATGCTCTGGAAAGCATCAGCAATAAAATTGAACAAGTAGAAGAAATAAATTCAGAGCTCAAAGACAAGGTTTTTGAATTAACCTAATCCAACAAAGATGAAGAAAAAAAAGAAAATATGAAAAAAGCATCCAAGATGTCTGGGATTATGTTAAGTGACCAAACCTAAGAATAGTTGGTGTTCCTGAGGAAGAAGAGAATTCTAAAATCTTGGAAAACATATTTGGGGGAATAATCCAGGAAAACTTCCCTGGCCTTGCTAGAGACCTAGATGTCTAAATACAAGAAGCACAAAGAACACCTGGGAAATTCATCACAAAAATATCATTGCATAGGCACATTTTCACCAGGTTATCTGAAGTTAAGACAAAGGAAAGAATCTTAAGAGCTGTGAGACAGAAGAACCAGGTAACCTACAAAGGAAAACCTATCAGATTAACAGCAGATTTCTCAGCAGAAATCCTACAAGCTAGAAGGGATTGGGGCCCTATCTTCAGCCTCCTAAAACAAAACAATTATCAGCCAAGAATTTTGTATCCAGCAAAACTAAGCATCATATATGAAGGAAAGATATAGTTTTTTTCAGAGATGGAAATTTAAAAATTCTTTGAACTGAATGACAATAATGACACAACCTACCAAAACCTCTGGGATACAGCAAAGGCAGTGCTAAGAGGAATGTTCATGTTTATAATAGCACAATTCACAATTGCAAAATCATGGAACGAACTCAAATGCCCATCAATCAACAAGTGGATAAAGAAACTGTGGTAGATATATATGATGGACCACTACTCAGACATAAAAAGGAATGAATTAACAGCATTTGCAGGGACTTGGATGAGACTGGAGAATATTATTCTAAGTGAAGTAACTCAGGAATGAAAAACCAAAAACCATATGTTCTCACTGATACGTGGGAGCTAAGCTATTAGGACACACAAGCCTAAGAATGGACTCTGGGGACTTCGGAAGAAGAGTGGGAGGGGGGCAAGGGATAGAAGTCCATAAATATTGAGCAGTGTATACTGTATGCTGCTCAGGTGATGGGTGCACCAAAATCTCACAAATCACCACTAAAGAACTTATTCATGTAATCAAATACAACCTGTACTGCAATAACTTATGGGGGAAAAAAAGACATTGGTATGGGCAAAGATTTTTTGGGGTAAGGCCTTAAAAGCATAAGCAACAAAAGCAAAAATAGACAAATGATTACATCAAGTTAAAAACCTTCTGCACAGCAAAGGAAACACTCAACAAAGTGAAGAGACAACCAAAAAGTGGGAGAAAATATTTGCAAACTCTTCATCCTACAGGGGATTGATAACCAGAATACATAAAGAATTCAAACAACTCAATAGCAAAACTAATCATCTGATTTTAAAAAATGGACAAATGATCTCTCAATATCTGTCCTCTGTCATTTTCTTTCATACTACATCCTAATTCATCATTGACTCTATACACACTTTTTTAAAAGCTCCATAAACCAATTGTTGAAAAGCAAAATAAATAAAAAAATGGGCCATGGATAGAATTCGGGGGCCTATGAACTGGAATGGGGGAAAATAACTTTATTTTTATGAATCTCTAACTGTAATTCAGTGTTTCCTTCAATTCTGCATTTAGGCAAAAACATCACAGTAGTCTTAGAAGCACTTGTGACTTTGTCACTGATAAAACTCACAGATGATTTTGTATTGCATTAAAGTTTTTGCAGAAAGTTTGTTAATGTCCATCACTTAGCTCAGCCTTATGATTGATATTCCACCCTTCACCCTATTCTGTTATTTAATGAGTTAATAAATATGCATATACATTACTATATCACAAACCTGTCTGTTAAAACAGTTTGATAAGAATATTTCAATATAATTGATTTTCTCTGTATTCTGGATTTTATTTTCCACATGTAAAAACACCGTTCTGACAAGATGTTCATAAGCTCCACCAGCTAAGACAACCTACCTTTGACTCAGGAAGAGCCCTTTACCTAAGAGAAAACACTTACTCTGAGGCTATGTGAGCCCACCCCTGTCCAAAGATACTCTTAGAGCTGTCCTACATTCCTTCTCTGATGTGACTGACATAAGCATCCTACAGGCAGCTGGGGGGCTCTGATTCTGGCAAATGATGCCACAGTGTAGAATGGGAAGAGGAACAATCTTCCTGTCAAAGACGGTTGCTTATTTAGCTCTATTAATAAGATTTGATGGTAACACAATTTGATAGGATTCTTCTGGAAAGTTAAAACATATTCACATAATTATGTTTATAAAGGAAATAGATGTATAGAAATGACACTTAGGACACCTGCTCTGGATTGAGAATGATTTAACTGGTTTAAGTTGACATATGTGTCAGTGCTAATGTTCTGAAGGTTCCCATTTTTTCAGTAGGTATAATGATCCCAAACCCAATTGAAATCAGGAAAGCTTAAACACCAAGGTGCAAACATCCATTTGCTTTAAGCAATTGTATTTTGCCCACATTGTCTGCACCATTCTGTGCATATAACACTCTTGTGATAATTCCATCCAAATGGACAGACGGCAATGAAGGGGGCGGGGGAGGGAAACAGGAAAGCTCCATAGTTATGGTTTGTGTGTTTCCAACAAAAGACGCACCTACCCAGCTCTGTCTTTCAAGCAGCTACAGCGTGGAGCTTATAGCAGATGGTTCTGCCACGTCAGGCCCACAGCTGTGTGTGTCTGGCACAAGAACAATGTTTGAATTCTGTACAGAAATTTTGTAAGATATGTTTCTTGTTGCCTTTTCATGAATTTTATTTGGTAATTTTTTTAAAACCATAAAGAGTCTGGAGACCATATTGAGAAAACGTTGGCAAGGGAAAGCTATTTGTTAGCTAGCCAAATTTATTTAAAGAGGATCAATCACATATAATTCCTGGAAGAGAAGAAGCCCGTTGGCACTGATTGTGCATCGCAACAAACTCAGAGTCTGAACTGCAGCCACTCAGTGTTTCCTTCCCTGCTCTTTTAAAATTAGATTCCTTACCAACTTTCACAGCCAGGTAGGAAAGAAGGCCTGAGCGTTTCCTTCTTGGTGTATCCAACACGCATCTTTTCGGACTTGGGGGAAAGAAGTAGAAAACATTCAGAATTTTTTGAGCTAATAAGGTACAATATTGCCTGATTTTATAGAAGGGGTGCTAGCTCACTTCTGGGGAAGGCTTTGAAGGACTTTTGCCATCTTTTTTCTAGGAATACCCAGGATAAAATCACAGGACTGTTTCTATGTCCCCTATACTTCTGCTATCCCCAAGTTTAACCTTGCATATGGGCAGGTGTGGGCCTGGGGGTTGTGTATGTGTGTACATGTGAACAGAACTCAGTTTCATTTGAGCTGATTTTCCAAGATAACCCAGCAAATTGGAATAAACCCAGATGTAAGACACAGGACTCTCTAATTCGGACCACATGTATAATTTAGCAGGATCCACTGATGTATTTAAAGAATACTGAACTTTCAAGCAGAGATATAAACACTGTGTGGGTTTAAAAAAATTTTTTTTTAAAGAAAATGCATACCTTTCCTCTGGAAACCCTGTCATTTCCTCCTGAATCCCTTAATCCTAAACTTGGTGTCTAAAATAAATTTAGGGTGGTTCCTACCATTTTGTTGAAAGGCCCCAGGGATTGTTACTGTTATCAGAGTAAGGGGTCCAGTACCATTCATGATGTTATTCAATAGCCTGTTGGGCTGTCTGCACCTGGCAGCCAGCACTCACTCCAGGCTGTTCTTAGGAGCTGCTCTGTTGATTGACAGTATCCTGTGACCAGGGTCAGAGCCGTAGCAGCTGCACGTGGGAGCAGATTCCTCTCACTCACATTTGATGGATAAAGCAGAAGAATCTGGCAGTGAGATCCATATTAATGGCTGAAGCCAGCTTTCTCTTTCATGATTTTCTTGCTTTTTCATTTTGTTTGAGATTGAATTTGAAAGTGAACTTTGTTCCACACTGTAGCCTATGGCAGTGGGCAAATGAGATGAAACTGCACAGAGAAATAGCATTCATACTGCACATACCAAAAGTAGATGTATGAAAAATGGAAATGACAAGGGTAGTTGGGGCTGACTTGCTTTTTACAGGAGCTGAACTTCTGCCAGATTTATTGAGGGAGGCTGAATGGTGAAGAATGCACTGCAGTTTAAGAAATCTTCACATAACCCCCTTCCTGGAGAGAAATAAAAGCTGGCTTGCAAGTGCCCAAGCAGATACAAAGAGCAAGGAAATAATCATGTCAGCAACCACAACTCAAATGCCCATGCTACCCTCATTTGCTGGGTGGGATGCTTTGCTAGGAATCAAGAGGCTTTGTAAACTCAGTGTAAGAAAAGAAAACCAGAATGGCTAGTAATGACCATCTGAAAAAGACAACACCATCTCCAAAGAACAAACGCTCCCCACTTCCATCCCCATCCTGCCAGATGCTATCACCACCAAAGCAATTTTGTCAGTGGAGGCAGTTGAGGGTGCCTTTTATTTGTAATGAAACTTACTATAAATTATTCTCATCCTTCTCACGGTCTTATATTCCTACTACTTCTTTTGCGAAGAGTTTCTCCCGTCTGTCATTTGTCTTCTTATTATCTTAACACTGTCTTTCACACCGTAGAAGTTTTTAATTTTAATGAAGTCCAGCTTATCAATGATTTTTTTTTACAGATTGTGCCTTTGTTAAAAAAGTCATCACCATTCCCATGGCTGTCTAGAGCTTCTTCTATTATTTTCTAGGAATTTTATAGATTTGTGTTTGCATTCAGGTGTATGATCATTTTGAATTAATTTTTGTGAAGGGTATAAAGTCTGTGTCTAGATTCATTATTTTTGCATGTGGATGTCTAACTGTCCCTGCAACAGTTATTGAAAAGACTACCTTTTCTCTGTTGTTCTGTCTTTGCTATTGTACTGCTGTTAACAGAATACCCGAATTGGGTAATTTTTAACAAACAGAAATTTATTAGCTAATGGTTCTGGAGGCTGGGGAGTCCAAAATTGGAGGGCTGGCAACTGTCAAAGATCTTCTTGCTGTGTCACCCCATGATGGAAGAGCAAAGAGAGAGAGAGAGAGAGGAAGGGAACCAAACTCATTATTTTATAAGGAATCCACTGCTGTGATAATGGCATTAATACCTTCATGATGACAGAGACCTCAGAGCCTAATCATTAGGCCTTACTTCTCAACATCAACACACTGGAGATCAAGTTTCCAACACATAAACTCTGGGGACAAATTCAAACCATAGCAAGTGTATTTATGTGGGTCTATTTCTGGGTTCTCTATTTTGTTTCATTGATCTATTTGTCTTTCTTTCACTCATACCACATTGTCTTGATCACTGTAGCTTTATAGTAAGTCTTGAAGTCAGGTTGTGTCAGTCCTCTCACTTTGTTCCTCTCCTTCAATATTGTGTTGGCTATTCTAGGTCTTTTCTCTCTCCTTATACACTTTGAAATCAATTTAGTGATCTCTACAAAATAACTTGCTAGAAACATTTCCATTACTTCTTTTATGTGGAATCTCTCATAGTGACATATCCTAGAGAATTTTAAAAAATTGTAATGCCCAGCCCTCCTTTCAAGGATTCTGCCTTAATTAGGCTGGGGTAGGCAGGCTCATCAGTATGGTTTATAGCTTCCCAGAGGCGATTCTTATATATCAAACCAATATATCTATATATCAAATTGCTATGATTTATAAAAGAATGTTGGTAGAAATATGGACAGTAAAGGCCATTCTGATGAGGTCTCAGACGAAAAAGAGGAACATCTTATTGGAAACTGGAGAAAAGGCCATCCTTTTAAAGTGGCAAAGAACTTGGTTGAATTGTGTCCATGCCCTAGGGCTTTATGAAAGAGCAATGAAGCAGGGTATCTGGCATGAAAATTTCTAAGCAAAATATAGTCATTTGCTGCATAGCAACATTTTGGTCAACGGCAGACCACATTCACAATGGTGGTTCCATAAAATTATAACGGGACTGAAAAAATCCTATCACCTACTGATATTGTAGCCATTATAATGCAATGCATTACAGCAATACATTACTCAAGTGTTTGTGGTGATGCTGGTGGAAACAAACGTATTTTGCTACCAGACATAAAATTATAGCACATACAATTATGTACACAGTACTTGATAATAAATGACTATGTTACTGGTTAATGTATTTACTATTCTATGCTATTTGTTGTTATTTTAGAGTGTGCCCCTTCAACTTATTAAAGAAAAGGTTAACTGTAAAACAGCCTCAGGTAGGTCCTTCAGCAGGTACCCCAGAATAAGACATTGTTATAAGAGATGAAATTTCCATGCATATTATTGCCCTGAAGACCTTCCAGTGGGATAAGATATGGAGGAGGAAGATGGTAATGTTGATAATCCTGGTCCTGTGGAGGACTAGGCTAAGGTGTGTTTCTTAGTTTTTGACAAAAAAAGTTTAAAAGTTAAAAAAATAGATAATTTAAAAATGGAAAAAAGCTTATAGAATAAGGGTGTGAAAAAAGAAAATATTTTTGTACAGTTGTACAATGCGTTTGTATTTTTTTAATTTAAAAATACATTTTATTTTTTTAAATTTTTAAATTAATTTTTTTTATTTCAGTATCTTTTGAGGTAGAAGTGGTTTTTGGTTACATGGATGAATTGTATAGTGGTGAAGTCTGAGATCTTAGTGTACCAGTCACCCAAGTAGTGTGCACTGTACCCAATATGTAGCTTTTTATCCCTCATCTCGACTTTCCCGCCTCTGAATTCCAGAGTCCATTTTACCACTCTGTGTACCCATAGCTTAACTCCCACTTATAAGTGAGAACATATGATATTGGGTTTTCCATTCCCACGTTACTTCACTTAAGATAATGGCCTCCAACTCTATCCAAGTTGCTGCAAAAGACATTATTTCATTCTTTTTTGTGGCTGAATGGTATTCCCTGGTGTATATATTACCACATTTTCTTTATCCACTCATTAGTCAATAGGCATTTAGGTTGGTTCTATATTTTTGCGATTGTAAATTGTGCTGTGATAAACATACATGTGCAGGTGTCTTTTTGATATAATGAGTTCTTTTCCTGTGGGTAGATATCCAGCAGTGGGACTGCCCGACTGAATGGTAGATCTACTTTCAGTTCCTTAAGAAATCTCCATACTGTTTTCCACGGAGGTTGTATTAATTTACATTTCCAACATCAGTGTATAAGTATCCTCTTTTCACCATGTCCATGCCAACATCTATTGTTTTTTGACTTTTTAATAGTGGCCATTCTGGCTGGGGTAGGATGTTATCTCATTGTGCTTTTAATTTGTATTTCCCTGATGATTAGTGATGTTGAGCATTATTTTCATTTGTTGGCCATTTGTATATCTTCTTTTGAGAAATGTTTATTCATATCATTTGTCCACTTTTTGATGGAATTATTTGCTTTTGTTTTTTAATGCTGATTTGTTTGAGTTCCTTGTAGATTCTGGATATTAATCCTTGGTCAGATACATAGTTTGTAAATATTTTCTCCCACTCTGTGAGTTGTTTGTTTACTCTGACCATTGTTTATTTTGCTGTGCAAAAGCTTTTTAGTATAATTAGGTCCCATTTATTTATTTTTGTTTTTGTTGCATTTGATTTTGGAATCTTAGTCATAAATTCTTTGCCTAAACCAGTGTCCAGAAGAGCTTTTCCTAGGTTTTTTTCTGTAATTTTCATGGTTTTAGGTCCTACATTCAAGTCTTTAATCCATCTTGACTTGATTTTTGTATAAGATGAGAGAGAGGGATCTACTTTCATTCTTCTATATGCGGCTGATTTTCCCAGCACTATTTGTTAAATAGAATATCTTTTCCTCAATCTATGTTTTTGTATGCTTTGTCAAAGATCAGTTGGTTGTAAGTATTTAGCTTTATTTCTGGGTTCTCTATCTTTTTCCATTGGTCTATATATCTACTTTTATACCAGTACCATGCTGTTTTGGTGTCTATAGCCTTGGAGTATAATTTGAAGTCAGGTAATGTGATGCTTCCAGATTATTCAGGATCGTTTTTGGTTCCATATGAATTTTAGGATTGTTTTTTCTAATTCTGTGAAAAATGATATTGATATTTTAATAGGTATTGCATTGAATCTGTAGATTGCTTTGGGCAGTATGGTCATTTTCATGATATTGATTGTTTCAATATATTAGCATGGGATTTGTTTCCATTTGTTTGTGTCATCTATGATTTCTTTCAGCAGTGTTTTGTAGTTCTCTTTGTAGAAATATTTTACCTCCTTGGTTAAGTATATACCTAGATATTTTATTTATTTATTCTATTGCAGCTCTTGTAAAAGGGATTGAGTTCTTGATTTGATTCTCAGCTAAGTTGTTTTTGGTGAATAGCAGCACAACTAGTTTGTGTACATTGATTTTGTAACCTGAGACTTTACTGAATTCATTTATCAAATCTAGGAGTCTTTGGAAGAGTTTTTAGGGTTTACTAAGCATACAATTTTACTATTAGGAAACAGCAATAGTTTGACTTCCTCTTTTCCAATTTGATGCCCTTTATTTATTTCTCTTGCCTGATTGCTCTGGCTAGGACTTCTAGTACTGTGTTAATCAGAAGTGGTGAAAGTAGGCATCATTGTCTTGTTCCAGTTCTCAGGGAGAATCCTTTCAACTTTTCCCCATTCCATACGAGGCTGGCTGTGGATTTCTTGTGTGAGGCTTTTATTATCTTGAGATATGTCCCCTCTATGCTGCATTTGTTGGGAGTTTTATCACAAAATGATGCTGGATTTTAATGAATGCTTTCTCTGCATATATTGAGATGATCATATGGTTTTTGTTTTTAATTGTTTATGTGATGTATCACATTTATTGACTTGCATATGTTAAACTATCCCTGCATCGCTGCACTGAAACCCATTTGATCACTGGTGTATTATCTTTTTGATGTGCTGTTGGATTTGGCTTGCTAGTATTTTGTTGAGGATTTTTGCATTTATGATCATCAAGGATATAGGTATGTGGTTTTCTCTTTTTGTTATGTACTTTCCTGGTTTTGGTATCAGGGTAATACTGGCTTCATACAATGAGTTAGAGAGGATTTCCTCTTTCTCAATCTTTTGTGATAGTTTCAGTAGGTTTTGTACCAATTCTTATTTGACTGTCTGGTAGATTTGCCAATTGAATCCATTTGGTCCTAGGCTTTTTTGTTGTTGTTGGCAATTTTTGTGTTATTACTGATTAAATCTCACTGCTCATTATTGGTCTGCTCAGGATTTCTATTTCCTCCTGATTCAAGCTAGGAGGGTTGTATATTTCCAGGAATTTATCCATTTCCTCCAGATTTTCTAGTTTTTATGCATAGAAGCACTCATAGAAGTCTCGAATGAGCTTTTGTATTTCCATGGTGTCAGATTTAATGTCTCCATTTGTTTCTAATCAAGCTTATTTGAATCTTCTCTCCTCTTTTCTTGGTTAGTCTAGCTAATGTTCTATCAATTTTGTTAATTTTTTCAAGGAACCAACTTTTAACTTCATTGATTTTTTGTAATATTTTCTTTTTCATTTCAATTTTATTTAGTTCTGCTCTAATCTTTGTTATTTCTTTTCTTCTACTAGCTTTGGGCTTAATTTTTTCTTGTTTCTCTAGTTCCTTGAGGTGTGATGTTAGGTTGTCAATTTGTGTTCTTTTGGACTTTTTGATGTAGGCATTTAGCACTATAAACTTTCTTCTTAGCACTGCTTTTGCCATATTCCAGAGGTTTTGATAAGTTGTGTCACTGTTATTTGTGTCACTGTTATTCATTTTGAAGAATTTTAACATTTCCATTGTTATTTCATTGTTATGCCAATCATTCAAGAGCAGATTGTTTAGTTTCCATGTATTAGTATATTTTTGAGGGTTCCTTTTGGAGTTGACTTCTGGTTTTATTTTACCGCAGTTTGAGAAGATGTTTGATATAATTTTGATTTTTTAAATTTATTGAGACTTGTTTTGTGGCCTATCATATTTATCTATCTGGGAGAACGTTCCATGTGCTGATCAGATGAATGTATATTTTGCAGTTCATAGGTAGAATGTTCTGTAAACATCTGTTAAGTCCACTTGTTCTAGAGTGTAGTTTATATCGATTGTTTCATTGTTGACTTTCTGCCTTGATGATCTGTCTCGTGCCATCAGCAGAGTGTTAAATTTCTCCACTATTATTGTGTGGCTACTTATTTTATTAGGTCTAGTAGTAATTGTTTTACAAATCTGGGAGCCTCAGAGTTGGTGAATATATATATTTCAGGATTGTAACATCTTCTTGTTGGATTCTTTTTATTACTATATAATGGCCTTCTTTGTCTTTTTTTTTTTTTTTTTTTTTTTTTACTGTTACTTTAACATCTGTTTTTTTCTGAGGTAAAAATAGCTACTTCTGCTCTGTTTTGTTTTCTATTTGCGTGAAATATATTTTTTCATCCCTTCACCTCAAATCTATAAGAATCCTTTTGTGTTAAGTAAGTCTCTTGAAGACAACAGATATTTGGTTTGTTATTTTTTAATTTACCCTGCCAATCTGTATCTTTTAAGTGAAACATTTAGACTATTTACATTCAATGTTAATAGAGATGTGAGGTCCTGTTCCAGTCATCGTGTTGATTGTTAGCTAGATGCTTTGTTTTCTTCATTGTGTTTTTATAGGCTCTGTGAGTTTTATCTTTTGAGATTCTATTCTGGTGTATATCAACCTTTTGTTTCATGGTTTAGAACTCCTTTTAGCATTTCTAACAGGACTGGTCTTGTAGTAACAAATTCCTCAGCATTTGCTTGTCTGAAAAATACTTTATTTCTTCTTTATTTACAAAACTTAGTTTTGCTGGATACAAAATTCTTGGTTGACTGTTATTCTGTTTAAGGATGCTAAAGATAGGACTCCAATTTCTCTGGCTTGTAAAGCTTCTCCTGAGAAGTCTGCTGTTAGTCTGATAGGTTTTTCTTTGTAGCTTACCTGATGCTTTTGTCTCACTGCTCTTAGAATTCTTTCCTTCATGTTGACTTCAGATAGCCTGATGACTGTACAACTCAGTGATGTCCTTTTTGCAATAAATCTCTGAGGAGTTCTTTGAGCTTCTTATATTTGAATGTCTAAATCTCTAGCAAGGCCAGGGAAGTTTTCCTCAATTATTTTCTCACATAAGTTTTCCAAACTTTTTGCTTTCTCTTCTCCCTCAGGAACACCAATGATCTTAGGTTTGACCATTTTACATAATTCTATATTTCTTAGAGACTTTGATCATTTCTTTAAATGAAGCTTATCTCATTCCTCTGTGGTGTGCAGTTATTTATTGACTTACTTATTCCTCACATTTTATTTACTGGGTTTGATAGTTCAGGCTTTTGTTTCATGGTTTAGAACTCCTTTTAGGCAGATAGGCAACTCTTTCCATCTGCAAGAATGTTGATGTTCCTTGTAGAGAGGGATTGTTACTCCACCCTTCATGCAAGGCTTAACCTGGAGGTCATTTCTTCTCTGGAAAAATGGTCACCCTGAAGTGATCCAAAAATGCTGTCTATAGGTGTACCCACATTGAGCTCCTGTGGGAGAAGCCCCATGTGTGTCTGCAGTGGTGGATGAAGGGAGGGGGAAAGTCCTTATATTAGTCCCTTCTCATGCTGCTATAAGGACATACCTGAATCTGGGTAATTGATAAAGAAATTATAAATTAATTGACTCACAGTTCTACAGGGCTATGGAGGCCTCAGGAAACTTACAGTCATGGTGGAAGGGAAGCAAACATCCTTTTTCACATGGTGGCAGCAAGAAAAAGTGCAGAGCAAAGTTGTGTGTTGGCGGGGACCCCCTTATAAAACCATCAGATCTCATGAGAACTCACTCACTATCCCAAGAACAGCGTGGAGGTAACCACCACCATGATTCAATTACCTCCCACCAGGTCTCTCCTAAGACATGTGGGGATTATGGGAACTATAATTCAAGATGAGATTTTGGTGGGGACACAACCAAACCGTATTGTTCTGCCCCCAGTGCCTCCCAAATCTCATGTCCTCACATTTCAAAATACAATCATGCCTTCCCAACAGTCCCCTAAAGTTTTAGCTCATTCCAGCATTAACTCAAAAGTCCAAGTCCAAGGTCTCATCTGAGGCAAGGCAATTCCCTTCTGCCTATGAGCCTGTAAAATAAAAAACAAGCTAGTTACTTCCTAGATACATTGGGGATACAGCCATTTGGTAAATACACCTGCTCCAAATGGGAGAAATTGGCCAAAGAAAAGGGACTACAGGCCCCATTCATGTCCAAAATCCAACAAGGCAATCATTAAACTTTAAAGTTCCAAAATGATCTCCTTTGACTCTGTGTCTTACATCTAGGTCACACCGATGCAAGATGTGGGCTCTCACAACCTTGTGCAGCTCTGCCTCTATGACTTTGCAGGGTACAGTGCCCCTCCCAGCTGCTTTCACAGGCTGGCATTGAGTGCCTGCAGCTTTTCCAGGCACATGGTACAAGCTGTTGGTGGATCTACCATTCTTGGGTCTGGAAGGTGGTGGCCCTCTTTTCACAGGTCCACTAGGCAGTGCCCTATTGGGGACTCTGTAGGGGCTCCAACCCCACATTTTCCTTCTGCACTGCCCCAGTAGAGGTTTTCCATGAGGGCTCTGCCCCTGCAGCAAACTTCTGACTGGACATCCAGGTGTTTCCGTATATCCTCTGAAATTTAGGTGGAGGTTCCCAAACCTCAACTCTTGCCTTCTGTCTACCTGCAGGCTCAACACCACCTGGAGGCTGCCAAGGCTTGGGATTACAGTGCTGGGATTACAAGTGTGAGCAACCATGCCTGGCCTCACATCTGATTCAGATGAGCCTTTGGACTTTAGATTTTTGAGTTGGTGCTGTAATGAATTAAGACTTTTGGGACTATTGGGATGGAATGAATGTGTTTTGCCTTGTCAGTAGGGCATGAATTTTGGGGCCAAAGGCAAAATTCTATGGTTTGAATGTGTTCTCCAAAATTCATGTGTTGGAACCATAATTCTTAGTGCGACAGTGTTGAGAGGTGGGGCCTAATAAGAGGTGACTGGGTCATGAGGGTTAACTCTCATAAATGGATTACTGTCATTTTTGTGGGAGTGGGTTAGTTATGGCCAGAGTGGCTTTGTTGTGAAAGTGAGTTTGGCCCCTTTTTGCACACTAGCTCTTTCCCTTTCTTGCCTCTCTGCCTTCTGCCATGGTATGATGTAGCACAAAAGCCCCTCGCCAGATGCCAGTTCTGTGCTCTTCTTGGTCTTTCCAGCCTCTAAAACTGTGTGCCAAATAAATTTTTATTTATTATAAATTACCCAGTCTGTGGCATTCTCTTATAGCAACACAAAGCAGACTAAGACATAAACCATATATCAAACAAGTGCAGGGATGAAAACCACTGCACTCGTTTTCATCACTGTCTTAAACACTGTATGTCAATGAACGTCCTTAAAATTTGTTTGAAAAGGTACTGCTTTGGTAGAATGTCCTCTGGGAATGTGACTTCTGCCTCTGCCTGCATTGCTATACTTTTCTAGATTTTTTTACTTCTTTCTTTTCTTTTTTTCTTTCTATTGCTTTTTAGATGGAAACTCCCTCTGTCACCCAGGCTGGTGTGTGCAGTGGCATGATCTCAGCTCACTGCAACCTATACTTCCCAGGTTCAAGCAATCCTCCCACCTCAGCCTCCTGAGTAGCTAGGATTACAGGCATGCACCAACATGCCCGACTAATTTTTTTTTTTTTTTTTTTGGCATTTTTATTAGAGACGGGTTTCACCATGTTGGCCAGGCTGGTCTTGAACTCCTGACCGCAAGTGATCCACCCACCTCAGCCTCCCAAAGTGCTAGGATTACAGGTATGAGCCACTGTGCCCGGACTGATTTTTTAATTTCTTGTGGCTTTCCCTTTGCAGTCAGAAGTCTGTCCTGCCTCAGACAAAATCTTGAGCAGGCATTTTTTTTTTCTTCTGATGCCAATTCCACCCCCTGCTTCTTTACATTTAACAACAGTTTTTGTAAGAAAAATTCAGAGAAAGAAAATCTTCAACTATCACCTTACTTTTAGCATTTAACTATTTACTACATGTAAAACACTGATATCATCTGAACTTGGAACCCTTGCTTGTGTTAACATTTTCTCCTACTCCAACTCTCTAGCCTTTCTGTCCTCCTGCCATTCTTTCCTTCCCCTTTACTCTTTCTCTTATTTTCTTCCTCTTTTTCTTCTCTTCTTCTCTGTTCTCCTGTTCTCTTCTTTAGGTTCACTTGCCTACTTTAATCCTCTCTCCTACATTTCTTTCTCCATCTGTTTCACTGCTTTTATCCAACTCCCCCTAATTTGTGTTTCTTGAACCAGAATCACTTTTCTTAGAGCAGGCAGCTGAACTTGCTAATTTACTCTTATTAGAAGAGGAGGAGCAGATTTTTTTAAAATAAAACTCTGCATAATCAGAGGCTGATTTAATCAAAGAAAAAGACCAAGTATGGAGTGTGAACACTAGGATTTTTGGCCACCTTCTTGTGAAGTTACCTTGGAAACATTATTTAGTCACTCTGTGACTCAGTTTCCTTATTTGTAAAATAGGGATCTGGTAGCACCTGCCTCATTAGGCCTGTCCTATCTATTGATTTAACATGGGTATAGTGCAATTGTACCTGGCACACAATGTGTTGAATATGATTATTGTTACTCATTACATGTTGAATATGACTATTAGCAGTATTTTTAAAATTAGAGTAACCCTTCTGACAGATGAAGAAAAAAGAGTGCTTTAACAAAAAGATAAATTTATAATTTACCCATATTGTTTGGATGCAAATGCTATTCTATTGTGTCAGCTAACATTTCCCTTGTTAAAGCTATTAATTGACTTATAAATTCCTTTGTTCATAACTCAGGTACATTTCCTTTTGAACAAGTTACGCTATTCTCATGTGTCCACCATGGAATTAAGCAGGTGAAATTTGTTAGACTGGTATGACCTAGTCTCTGCATCATATAACCCTGAGCAATAAATGCTCTATCTAGTTCTCTCCTGCCCACATGATAGTTTCACAAGAAATACACAGTTATATGCTATTTTGGTTATTGACAGGCAGGAAAAAGGGTGTGCTTGCAGCTGAATTCTTGGTTCTTTGTTCTACTTATAGATGAGAATCCATCCCATTATCTTTTCCAGAACTTGAAAGTATTTTTAAACAATAAACTACACCCCTTACAAACTTCTAAATCATGAAACAAAACAGACGATAGCCAAAGGGCAGAGGGGAGGAAAGTTGATTTGAGCATTCTCTGTCCATACTCAATTGCCACTAAGGCTTGCAGAGCTTCCCCTAGAACCCTGCTTTCTACTTCCTGACACCTTCACACCTCCTGACAACAATCATCACTGTCTACCCTGCACCTCTAGATCCCATGAGCCTTAAAGAGCTGAAGGCTAAGTGGCAGTGATCTCTTCTCCTTCTATGCCATCTTTCCTCTCCATATGAAGGGCTCAGCAGTAGTATGACAAGATTCAGAGAAGTGTGGAGAAATATGATGAGGTGGGGACTATTTGGGATGTCTCTCCTTCCTCTAAAAGCATGTATTGAAACAAAAACCTCCATTCAGATGTCTTCTTTTTTTCTTTTTTGAGATGGAGTCTTGCTCTGTTACCCAGGCTGGAGTACAATGGCACGATCTTGGCTCACTGCAACCTCTGCCTCCCAGGTTCAAGTAATTCTCCTGCCTCAGCCTCTCAAGCAGCTGGGATTACAGGTGTGCACCACCATGTCCAGCTAATTTTTGTATTTTTAGTAGAGATGGGGTTTCACCATGTTGGTCAGGCTGGTCTTGAACACCTGACCTCAAGTGATCCGCCCAACTTGGCCTCCCAAGTGCTGGGATTACAGGCATAAGCCACTGTGCCCAGCCCAAATGTCTTTTCTTTACCTATAGGACTAGCTCATATGAGATATTTATAATTATCTAATCTAAAGTGATTAGATTCTGGTTGGCCAAGGACTGAAGAGTTTCCTGGGACATATAAATTTCATTTGCTAAATCAAAGACAGTCCTAGACTGACTAGGTGATTGGTCATCCTAGAAGTAAGTACTACATATGATACAGAATTATTTTACTTAGGTATGAAAAAAAAGATTCTATGTTAATAGATAACACAAAAGTGAAGTATAATCAAGGATGTTCAAAAGGTTCGCTAATTTGCACTGTAGTCTATGCTCATTTAGATCTCTAAAACCTTGCCTCACTACTCATCCCTATCTATACATGTCTTCAGCATGGCAAGTGAAACTCCCACCTCTACATTGAAGGATGTTACCTATTGCTGTATAATACATTGCCCAAAACCTTAGTGGCTTAAAACAACGATTTATTATCTCATCATTTTAAACGAGTTGAGAATTCTGGTACGGCACAGTAGGTGTGGCTTATATCTACTCTACCTGTCTGGTGCCTTCTCTGAAAAGTTCAAGGGCTGAAGGCTGAAATGATCTGGAAGCTTGACTGCAGCCAAAGTCTCCTCCCATGATGACTCATTCCCATGTCCTCTCCAGAGGGCTGCTTGAGTGTCCTCACAACATGGCAGCTAGCTTCCTCCCAGAGCTAGTGATCCAAGACAAATCATGTCAAGAATGGAAATGCTTTGAATGACCTAGGCTTGAAATTCACACACTATCACTTCCACTACATTCTAATTATTAGGAATGAGCCACTAAGTACAGCCCACATTCAAGGTGAGAAGTGAATTTTACCTTTTGAAGGATGGAGTGTCAAAGAATTTGAATGCATGTTTTTAAACTATCAAAAAGTGTTGCAGACAAATGCCTCTGAGCATGAAATGCCAAAAACTTTTCTTAAATGCTGATTTTTATTCTAACAGTAATAATAAAATAGCTTACAACAGGGTACTTATTACATTCCAGACATTGTTCTAAACTCACATGTATTCTCTTGCTAAGAAACCTAGCAACGCTATGGGCTTTTTAATCCCTGTACAGCAGATGAAACTGAGGCCACAGAGAGGTGAAGTAACTTCCCCTAGGTCACACAGATAGTAAGCACCAGAGCTGGGATTCAAACACAGCCATGTCAGCTTCACAACTCCTTTGCTACATGCGATTGCATCACAGTGATTTTTCTTTAAAAGCTAAGAAAACAAAGTTTGTGATTTTTTTTTTTTTTTTTTTTTTTTGCAGGGAAGTTATTTTATGGTTACCAGTCTAATGGTTTTTATAAAATCCAATTCTTCTCACTGACTTTACTGCTTCTATTTTATCTTATGTCAGACAACTTTGGTTATCCTAAGAAGTTACATTTTGGAAGGGAAAGGTCAGGAGTTTATAAGTTATCTAAAACCTTCTGGGTATGGTGAAAACTGTCCTATCCATCACAAATGGTAATTTTGAGATCAGAAGGAAATGATGAATGAAAGCATTATGAAATCTGTAAAACTCTCCAGAGCTAATATATGCTCCCTGTATAAGGTGGCGTCTCTGTTCTATTTTTCTGCCTTACCTCCTGAAGCAAAACAAAATGACATTAAGGTAATTAGAAGAGTCACTATTAATTTGGATTCAGCTCATGAAGACTCCTGTGGTTTTCTCTCCTGTGTGTTTTTCTAGCGTGATTTTCCCCCATTTCCCAATATTCTGTGAACTTACTAGGCAAATGTCAGCAAGACTGGGAAAGTCCTCAGGTGCTTATTGTTTGTAAGTGAACGAGCCTCCATCGGATGGGTTGCTGCTGCCCTCGCCAAGGCATGTTACTGCACGCAGTTTGCCTTGGCTGGAAGTTGTGGTTACTGGTGAGATGTGGTACAAGCTGCACCACTATGGTCTGAATGTTTGTGTCACCCGCAAATTCATATGTTCAATTCCTAACCCACAATGTGATGATATCCAGAGGTGGGGCCTTTGGGACCAGTGCTCTTTTTCTTTCTTTCTTTCTTTTTTTTTCTGAGACGAAGTCTTATTCTGTCACCCAGCCTGGAGGGCAGTGGTGTGATCTTGGCTCACTTAAACCTCAGCCTCCAGGGTTCAAGCAATTCTCCTGCCTCGGCCTCCTGAGTAGCAGGGACTGCAGGTGCACCACCACACCCAGACCACTGCTCTTTTAAAAGAGACCTGCGAGAGTTCCTTTGTTTCTTCTGCCATGTGAGGAGGCACAGTGAGAAGTGAGCTCTTTGCACCTGGGAAGTGGGCCCTTACCAAAACCTGGCCATGCTTATACCCTAACTCAGGTTTCTCCAGGCTGTGGGAAAGATATTTCTGCTCTTTATAAGCCACATAGTCTATGGTACTTTGTTGGAACAACCCAAGCAGACTAAAACACAACTGAAGCCTAAAGGTGAACATGGGCACTAGGAAGTTCACTGGGTACAAAAGGAAATGACAAAAGGATTGCAGGGGTACATGGAGGAGGGGAACAGCAAAACAAGCCAACCATACAAACTGTGTATTTTATTAACTTAACAAACCGGTAGCACTTACTATGTACCAGGAACTGTTCTAAGCTCTTTTAAAATATTAACTCATTTATCCTCGTAACAACATTGTGAGGTCACAACTATGTATGGGCTCCATTTTATAGATTAAGATTCTGTTCAGAAGCACTAAGCAGTTATGTCACTTGCCCAAGGTCACACAACTGGTGAAGAGTGGAGCTGGATTCCACTCTTAGGAGTTTGGCTCCTGAATAGTGGTTTTTATCCACTCTGTAAAGCTACCTCCATTTTGTCTCAGAGTTTGGTCTACTCCAGAAGGTTCACATCACATCATTGTTGATCTCAGAATGAAAGCCAGTTCTCACTTAATGTAGTGTTAGACATTTCCCATAGAGAGAAATGTGGCTGGTGGTGGGAGGAAGGGATACTCCTCAGCTAACCAAATATCGGTAGCTAAAAACTCTAGCCTGAATTGATATATATTGCAGCATGCTGTCTGATATTTCCCAGATGTGTGGAAATAATCTTAGAAGAACATTTAATATAATAGTCCTTTTGGCATTTAAATATGGGTGACAGGAACTCTTTAAGGCTGCATAAACAGAGCACACAGGTGTTAGAAAAACAGCTGTGAATAAAGGCCAGGTCTTTTCAAACAGAGAGAGAAGTGGTGCGATAAAAGGGCTATAACCTTGTGTTTTTAGGCTTATGACCTTTGTTTCATTAGGTGCACCTTTAACTGTGATAATCATCCACTTAAATGAATATCATTTCCTTACAATTACAGCAGGGTCATACATAATACACTCAGTTCCCCTGGCAGCCTATGTGTTAGTCATGCATATTTCATGAGCAGTTTTATTCCCCAAGTCACTTGCAAGCAATGCTCAATCCCATGGCTTTGGTGCCTAGGAAATAAAGGTCTTGTCCATAAAGAGATCTCAGGGCAATTATTGTAGCTCTGCACTTTATCAAGGAGAGCAACCGAATGACCTGCTTGTAACATCTGACCAGCACTATTATCAATTTTCTTCTTAATATACATGATTCCTCTCAGTTATCAGTGGATATGGGAAACATGTTCCTCTGATTTTATTTGCCTGATGTAAATTGTTTGAATGATGCCTAGTGATATAAGGAGAATATAAGCCCTTAAGAGAATATTTGTAGCAACCTAATGAGTGTAAAAAGAAGGGGGAAAAAAGCCATGTCCCCATGTCTACAACATACTCAATACTTGTGGGGCAGCAAAAAATAGATCACAGTCCATGGAGCATGGTCAGGCAATTTAAGTGAGTCGACATCTGTTTGTGCAATGTGATGTTTTTCCCAGCTGCATCAGCTGCTGGGAAATAAAGTGTTGGAATGATAATAAGCAGAAAGGAAGTTTGCAGTAACAGTGAAATATAAGCCTCTTCATAGTCTCAATATCTTTTGTGGGCAGTTTCCTTTTTTCTCTTTTCAAGACTATTGAGTTCATCAAGACAGCTTCATCTTTGTGAGATCTCCCACCGCACTTGGAATATGATCGAAGAAATGTGAATCCCATCTGCCAGGTCTTGCGGGTTGACTTTCTAGGTTGGATAAAACTGAAAACAATTTACTTTTTAAAAATTCTGACTTTCTAAACGTCGTCTATGCAGAAAGTAGCTTCATTGTCTTTTGCCCCCTATAACTGCTTTCAGTCTTTCATAGTTGAAATACACTGAAATTATAAGAGCTGGGCCAGGTTAGGGCCAAGATACTTGAATCATATCTGTTAGTTCAACATCCTATCTTCCCACTACACCCTGCCCCGGAAAGATTTGGGTGGAAACCCTTGTTCCGCACTCTGCAAGTTATAGAGAGGAGGGGGGAGGGGAGAGAGAGAAACATTTCCTCTTAAACCAGCAAAATTAATATTTACGTTGTTAAAACATTAGAGAAGCCACAGAAAATTATTAATCTAAAAAGGTTATAATTATCTTTAAAATGGTGGCATCCATTGAAATGTAAATCTTAATGTGCAGGGAAAAGGCTCATGTTCTTGGTGCCTGGGGCCGCCTGCCCGGCTGCTGCAGCTGCAATTGATCATTCCAAATCAAAGGGAGAGGGAGATATCTCTGGTGGCGGGCGGGCGGGGGAAGGGTGGTGGGGGGTTGTGGGGGAGCAAGCAGATAAAGATGCTCTGTTCTTTGGGTCTGTTATAAAAAAAAAAATGAGCTGGAATGTGTTTCAAATCTCTCTTCTGTTGAATTTGCAGCCCTTCAAAGCTTACCCACAATAAATAAAAGTTTTCAAAACCCATAGACTCTAAAAGATTCATTGAAAATTCCTCTGAATTAAGCATCTCTCTCTCTCCCTCTCTCTCCTTTCCTTCCTCCTTCCCTCTCCTCCTATCACTCTTGGTCTAAAGTTACCAAAGCCAGCACAGTTTGAAACAAATGTGAATTAGATGATTAAATATGAGGCATATTTAAACTCTTAATGCTTTCATTGATAATGTAGTTATTTTTTGGCCTGCATTCTGGAAAATGAATGCATTGATTACATTGCTCAAGAAGACAACCTGGTCTAAAGGAAAGAGTAAGGTCAAAGGAAAGAGAAAGAGGACCCAGTGAAAAAGCAGAGGCCAAAAGTGTGAAAGCCTGTGTCAGAGTCCCAAGGCCAAGGACTCAGGAGTTCACCAACAAATGACAGGAGACAACTGGAATCTTCTACAGCCCCTCAATATTACTGACTGTGTAGACATTTCTCAAGGTCCATTAAATTCTATTTGATGTACATTAAAAAAGATTTAATCACAGATGCCAGTCAGCTAACCAACCCATTAATCTAGCTGTTTTTCCTAAGAAAATTGTATTTAAAAAGGTCTTTTTTCCTCAATTTAATTTAGTCATCCTTTTAAATTTCATGTATTTATCATGTAAATGTGCCTTATTTGCAAAAGAAAAGCATGGGATTCAATGAAATAAATAGTTATTTCATTAAAATGGATACAAAAAACCCTGTGATTAGGGTAATTAATTTGCACACTAAAAGCTATCTTCCTGGTTCAGATCATTAATATTGATGGCCTTCGATTTTGTTCTCAGTAATGTTCCTTGAAATATACTCAGAACTGGGACCAGGGCTGAATGAGCAGCCATCAGAACACAAGTAAAAATGAGGCATCAGTGAGCATTTGGGGCTGCCTCTCTTCCCTCTTCTTCAGCCAGCAGCACATAATGTAGAGACCTGTGTCCCAAAATAAACTCGGCTGATTCTGTTTGAATGAGTTGGTGTGGTTTATCTTATCTCAAATGTCAGTTATTGATGCCTGGCACTTATTGATGTGTGTCTTCTTTTGGAGGAGGAAAAAAACATTTAAATTGCAAAATAACATTACAGGAGATTATGTCTAGGTACCACATGCTGTTATGCACAGCATTGCCAGATAACAAGGCAACGTCTGTCAATATACCTTTCTCATTAGATTTTCATCTGCATATTATGCAAATGGATTCGAGCAGGTTTCCACTTTGATAGCTCTCTGTCACAAGTTTGAGTCAAGGCACATATTTTGTTTCTGTTCTGTTCAGCAGATGTATTCCACCAAAGACCTTGTAGAAAAGGTGTCATATCAATGTGCTGCACTATCAAATGCAGCTGTAGGCTGCACTCACATGAAAATCAAATCCTGGAACAATTTGAGATTACCTCACTTCGCTGTGTCAGCATGCCCAACATTCCTGGTGATGGAAAATGAATTAACATTCTGTACTAGATATATGTATGTGCGTGCAAACAGATTCATACAGCAACATAGGAGCTGCTTGATATTTTAACTTGCATTTCAGGGTTTGCTGACAGAGATGTTGTAAATGCTTTTTAATTACAGATAAAAGTATGATTTTTAAGACTGGTTTTCATTTTCCCAACTGTTCTTCTTTTTTTTTTTTTTTTTCTGACATATTGCCCTTGAAGTTCCCCTTGCAAGAGATTATACATTTATCCAAAGTTATCAGAATTACTCTCGTGCCTCTGCTACTTTGAAGGTTGCTTTCAGACTATTAAATCTTTTCCAAAAATAAGGATGCCAGAACAGAGGTCTTTAACAATCTCCATTGTTGTTTTAGGGTCAGAAGTGCTTGTGTTAAAATTTGAACACTGTTTTATTGAGTGCAGATTGTGTCAGGGCTTTGTCTCACCTCTGATCTTGATAGTGTGAGTTCTAATGCTGGTCTTGCACTCTCCCTGCCTTTTTTCTTTTCTTTTCTTCTCTTTTCTTTTCTTTCTTTTCTTTTCTTTCTTTTTTTCTTTTCTTTTCTTTCCTTTCTTTCTTTCTTTTTCTTCCTTCCTTCTTTCCTTTCTTTGTTCTTTCTTTCTTTCTTCTTTCTTTTTCCTTCCTTCCTTCCTTCCTTCCTTCCTTCCTTCCTTCCTTCCTACCTTCCTTCCTTCCTTCTTTTTCTCTTTCTCTTTCTCTCTCTCTCCCTTCCTTCCTTCCTTCTTTCCTTCCTTCCTTCCTTCCTTCTTTCCCTTTTTTCAGGGTCTCATTCTGTCACCCAGGCTGGAGTGCAGTGGCACAATCTCTGCTCACTGCAACCTCTGCTTCCTGGGATCAAGTAATTCTCCTGCCTCAGCATCCCGAGTAGCTGGAATTACAGGTGCCCACCACCATGCATGGCTAATTTTCGTATTTTTAATAGAGACAGGGTTTCTCCATGTTAGCCAGGCTGGTCTTGAACTTCTGACCTCAGGTGATCCGCCCATCTCGGCCTCCCAAAGTTCTGGGATTATAGGCATGAGCCACCACGCCTGGCCTCTCCCTGCCTTTTAAAATGCTTTCAGGTATTTAGTTCTATACTTGGAACTATAGAACTAAAGAAGTAATTTAGTACTAAAGAAGCAAATAAGTAATTTATTCAAGGAAGATAGCTTCATGTATTTCTGGATTTCTACAGTGTTCTGTAAGCAAGACAAGGCAAAACAAAAACAAAACAAAACAAAACTAGCCAGAACGATTTCTCAGACTCTGGTGAAAACTTCGTTGGGGTCGGAGGGGCGGGAGGGGGGTGGGAAATGGAAGCTTTCTATATCTTCCCCAAGACTACTCACTGGGCCTTCTTTGCCCGTCTTGTTTTGTGCAGCGCTTGAAGTGGGGCACGCTAGGTGCCCTGTCATAAGACAGGGTGCCACCGCAGACGGCAATGTGCTAATTAAAAAGAGGAACGCAGCACCAGTCTGCTTGTTATTATTCATGGTAAGCATGCAGCAAATCACTTAGCTGTTTGCTTTAAGAAAAAAAGCTTTTTAAAAATTTCTATCCTATTTTTTCCTTTCTTTTCCTTCCTTCTTTTTTTCTCCTTTTCTTTCTTTCTTTTTTTTTTCCCCCCGGACTACCCTGTTTAAAAAGATACTCATGGTCTCAAAGACTTTTTCTAAAGAATGACATTGAAAAGACATTGCCCCGAGGTTTGGTAGAGCAAAAGTCTGGATCATTTGTACTGTTCAATGTCATGCCTTTTTTCCCCCGATTCTTCTTTTAAAACAGCTATTCACTCATTACAATATGCTTTCCACAATATGCTTTCTCTAACCGATTAACAAGTAGGTGAGATGAGTAGGGAGTATTGTTCCAGGGATTTTTTATTTTTTTAAGCATTAAGGAGAAATGATAATAAGAAAAACAGTTTTCTATAACTTAGATCCCCTGAATGCTGGCATTAGAAGGGATTTGCAGCCTGTTAGGCCATGTTCACATTTATTAAGATGTCAGACACTGAATAAAGCAGAAATAGCATTGTTTTAGAAATAGCAATCAATCAACTTCCCTCCCACAAGCAAAATCTAAGTTCAAACACCATAAACTTGGACTTTGAGATTCTGGTACTTTACAGGAGGCAAACATGACGTAGTAGACAGTGTTTTTTCATTAACATGAACCTTCGCATTTGCTTTTCCGAAATGTATCACCATTTAAAGGAAGCTGTCATAAGTATTTCAGATTTATATAATCCTTTTCTTCTGAGGCATCTAAGAAGTTTATAAATGAGCAGTCCACCTACACACTTCATTTTCTCTGATGTTGGGGCCCTTATTTTCCAAGTGTAAGAATTTGTACACGAATGTAAATGTTCCATGGCTTTTTCAAGATGACCAGAGGAATTAGAACCCTGAAATAACTACTTATTCTGTTAGATTTGGGAAACTTGGAAAGCCATTTAAATATTGTTCTTTTTTTCCCCCCCAGGCATCACTCCCTAAATAAAGAGGAGTACAAATTTTTTTGTGGTAATTCGGTTTGCTAGCTGAAAGGTCCATTGGCAATTCTGACGCTAACTCCTAGACTCACAAAAAGTATCAAACTTTTCCTCAAAAAGAATATTTTTATATAGAAAGAGGAAGCTGAACTGTTAGACACTGGGATTCCCCAGCCATTTACAAACGGGCTGCATTGCTCGAGGCTATGGTTCTAGTTCACTGCTGTGATCACTTCACTCCAGCTGCCAGAGTATCCCGCTGACCCCATTCTTTGCAGTGGAGTTGTGATGTTGTAAGTATCACTTCACTGTTTGGTAGAGTGGCTGGATTGTATGAATTTGTCTTTGGTGATCTTGTCTTACACCTTGATGCTATTCAGTAGTGTTCATGGGTTACTCAAGGAACTGGATAAGATCATAGTGGTGGCTCCAAAGGACTTTGGAGTTTTCACAGCTTCTATCTATCCAGTTTGAATAAGGGTTTGCTGTGTGTTACTGACATCCAGATAGGTTGAACAATTGAGGACATTTCTGTTTTAGAACAGAGCCTGGCTTCCTCTCTTAGCCCTAGATCAGTTGTCAGGGGATAAAACCTCCTTGCTAGCAAACATTTAATTTCCCCCTAACCCTCAGCTGAATTGTGCCCCAAATCCTCAAATACATGTATTGAAGCCCTAACCTCTAGTACCTCAGGAATGTGACTGTATTTGGGGATGAGACCTCTAGAGGGGTAATTCAGTTAAAGTGAGGCTGTTAAGGTAGGGTTTAATCCAATTTGACTAGTGTTTTTAAAAGAGGAGAAAATTTGGACTTACAGAGATCCAGGGATGCACATGTGATACTAGTGGGCTAGGGGAGGTCCCAAATGCTGGTAGTGAAGTAGGATATTTCCCTGATCCCTTCTTGGGCAGGAACTGGAGTGCAGGAGTGCTGAAACTAGCTGGCCACTTCAGCGCCAGCAGGGATGAATTCCACTTACTCTAACCTGCTGTGCTTCACCCGTCATGGCCGGCGGGGAGCACTCAGGTGAGCCAGTGCAGGAGACGGGTGAGTGCTTTCGGGCGCTGGCAGGAGTAAAACTCCATGCAGACCCTGTGGCAGTGCCTGGGGGGGTGCCCTTGACCCCTGAAGCCCCAGAAAGAGTGTTATAGTGTTCTTTCAGCTTTGCTGTCCTTGGACAGCTTAAGTGTTAACAGCTCAGTGGAGGGTCAGTGTGATAGCCATTTGCACTCACACTTGAGTTCTTGTCTGGCATCCAGGAGGAATGAGGTCCAATGAACAAATTGAAGATGGTAAATGTGGGGGAATTTATTACCAATGAAAGTGGCTTTCAGTGGGAAGGGGAGCTGAAAAGAGGACATGGAGGGAACGTAATCTTCCCATGAAGTTCAGCTGTTCCTGGCCGGACTCCTCTCCAAAGCTATGCCATCAAGCTGTCCCTCTAAGTCAAAACGCTTTTCTCTGACGTCCAATTGTAGTCTCTGATGTCCAGCTGCTTCTCCTGCTCCCTGCTGGATGATCCTGGGTTCTTATGGGCACAAGATCGGGGGTGGGGCAGGCCATGGGTGGTTTTGGAAAAGGCAACATTGGAGCAGGGAAACAGGGATGTAAGTTCTTGCTTTGGGCCATGGTTCCAGGCTTGAGGGTGGGGCCCTCTCCAGGGACCCGCCCTCTTCTGCCCAGAATTTCCCTGCTTCCTGTCCCTGTCAGTGGGATCTTGACCCCGGCTGGTGTCCAGGCTGTTGACACTGTCACAAGAAGAAATTCAAGGATGAGTTGGAAAATAGTGAAAGTACAGAGATTTATTGCAAAGGGAAAAGTACATATACACAATCAAGAAAGGAGAATGCGGGCATACGGGAGAGAGTCACACACTGGGTTTGGGGTTTGTCTTTGTGGGTTTCTTTGATCAAGTGGTGAAATACTCATGAAGATTCCTGGGAACAAATGGAGATTTTTGGGAACTGTGGTGACACCCATGTTTATAGCAAACATGGGTATTCCGGGAACCGTCATGGTGCTGGTGGATGTGTGTTTAATGTGCTAATGATGGTATAATGAGGTCCTAGGTGAAACCTGGGTCAAATCCAGTACCACCTTGGGTCTAGTCGGATTTAGCCAGCCTGGTCCACACCCTGGTTTTCAGGATCTTATTGGCCTCTAGATTATGCACATATTTCAACAGTTTCCTTTTGCTAGTCATATGAAATTTCTGCCTGGAGTTTTCTGTCCTCCTGTGACCACCCTGTATCATCCCTGTCTTACATCACAGAAGTCATACAAAGAGGTGCAAGAGGGTGAGAAGAGAGGCCTCAAAGGAAACCAGTCTGCCAGCAACTTGATCTTAGAATTACAGCCTCCAGGACCATAGGAAAATCAATCTCAATTGTGTAAACCATCCAGTGTGGTGTTTTGTTATGGCAGCCCAAGCAAACTAATACACTTCTCTTGGACAGTGAGGACTATCTTTCCTGTGATTGTAGAAAATCTGCATTACAATTATGACTTTTGTAGAATACTGATGTGTACTTCATAAAGTTCACTAAGTTTTACAAATGGCTGTTAATGTTAATTTCAAGTTGACAAATGAGAAAACCATTTCTGTGATGCTAATCTCCAAGTGCATCTTTATTTTGCTGACTAAAAATCTGTTCAAATTTTTCTCCTTGGCATTCTTACATTCAAGAGAATTCATAAAGCTATTTCATTTTGAATTTTTAAAATGAGGCATGTGTATGAATTTTATTTGAGAGGCTTAATTGACTTTTGTTAAACATGTCAAAAAATATAAAGAAAGGATTTATTAGATTAAACTTTAACGGCTACAATCAATAGAGATATGATAATGATACAGATCTTGTCTTTATTTAAAATGTTGATATTTTATTTACCGTGGATTTTTGGCATTAATTTTCATTTAAAAAATTCCACTATAATATTATTTTTCTTGATTTCTGAGCTTTGGGGTCTCCATCAATTTTATGTCTGAGATGAATGTGTTATTTGCCTCATCCTAGCCCTAGCCTTGAATTTGTAGATAAAGTGATACTGCCAGTCATAGCTGGGCACTCCTTTTCTACTCCCCTTTGGGGGAATGAATGAAGTTCATGCATTCATTCCCCCAAACTTTTCCCCAGAAGTTAGCCAAAGAATGGCTTAGCAGCTGACTCTGCTGGTTAGGACACATGTAGATACTAGCTAACCACTTAGAAAATTCCCTGAGGACTTTAAGTCATTTCACTTTATAGTTCTTGTGAAGAAGGTGATTGTTGGCTCAGTTTTGGAGAGTTTCACAAGTGGGAAAAATTTCAAGATTAAGATTAACGGTCATGAAAAAGTATGTATCAAAAGGAGAAGAGGGAAATAGAGATGAGGGCAATAGAGGCAGGCCAGAAAAGAGATAAAAGCAAAAACACACCAACAGAGAAATAATATTGTAAACTTGTAGACTGAGCAGATGCAGAAGTCCTCTTGCTCTTTATATAAAACTACAGAGAAATTCTATGCAAATTATGACATTAGCAATTGTTGTCAAGGGTGTGGAGTAACAGGAACTCTCATATTCTGCTGGTGGGAGTGTAATTTGGGAATTAGCCCTGTGAAAAAAAGTGGCAATAAATATTAAGGTTTGAATTACACATGCCCTGTGACTCAGAAATTTCACTTCTAGGTATGTAGCCCAGAGAAACTTTTATATCTGTGCACAAAAAGATATAAAGGAATGTTCATTGTGGCATCAATTGTAACAGTAACAAGGAAGAAATAAGCTAAATACTGCCTTCAGGGAATGGATAATAAAATATGGTATATTCAAGATAAAATATTGGACAGCAGGTAAAAGATTTACCTGTATTGTTATGGATAAATCTCAAAAGCAAAGCTGAAAATATTTGCAAAGCTGTAGAGAAGTTTGAACGCTTGTACATTGCGGGTAGGAATGTAAAATTGTAAGTTGTGATGAAAAACAGTATGGTAGTTCCTCAAAAAAAAAAAAAAAAAAAAAACAGAATTACCATATAATCAAGCAATTCTGCTTCCGGGTATATTTCTAAAAGAATTAAAAGCAGGGACTGAAACAAATATTTGTACACCAATGTTCATAGCAGCATTATTCACAATAGCCAAAAGGTGAAAGCAACCGAAGTGTCCATTGACAATGAATGGATGAACATAATTGTGGTATATACATGCAATGGAGTATTACTCAGCCTTAACAAGAAAGGAAATTCTGACATATGCTATAATATGGATGAAACTTGAAGGCATTATGCTAAATGAAACAAGCCAACCATAAAAGGACAACTACTGTTTGATTCCATTATATAAAGTATCTAGAGGAATCAAATTCATAAAGACAGACAGTACAATGGTTTTTAAGGTCTGGAAGAGTAAAGGAGAATGAGAGGCTATTGTTTGATGGATACAGAATTGAGCTGTACACTTAAAATCATGAAATTGTACATCTTACGTATATTTTACCAGAATACAAAAAGGTTGGTTCAAAAAAGCAGGTCACAAAAGGATTCATTAGATACAATTTGTGTAAATTGAGTGAATACATAAAATGATACTATATTTTATAGATATCTACGTGCATAGTAAAAATATGAAAACATTGCTGTGAAGAATGCATACCACTTTCAGGATAGTGGTTAATTTGGGGAAGAGAGGGAGAGAAAAGAGATGATAATGGAAGGTGACAACTTCCACTTTATTAGCAATATTTTATTTATTTATTTATTTATTTTTGAGATGGGAGTCTCGCTCTTTTGCCCAGGCTGGAGTGCAGTGGTGCGATCTCGGTTCACTGCAAGCTCCGCCTCCTGGGTTCACGCCATTCTCCTGCCTCAGCCTCCCGAGTAGCTGAGACTACAGGTGCCTGCCACCACGCCCGGCTAATTTTTTGTATGTTTAGTAGAGACGGGGTTTCACCGTGTTAGCCAGGATGGTCTCGATCTCCTGACCTCGTGATCTGCCCGCCTCGGCCTCCCAAAGTGCTGGGATTACAGGTGTGAACCACCGCGCCCGGCCACGATATTTTATTTCTAAGAGAAATAAAGTTTAATGACCTTCCTTAGGTTTTTCTGTACTTGAAGAAAAGCATAAGCTGTAGTAGCTATACCATGCTATATTCAGCTTGCTCTGTGAGTTTCAGATAGCACAACTCTAAACAACAAGAGCAGTAGCAGCAATTATCACTGTTACTTGTAGTAGTTGTATGGTGTTAGGTTAAAGCACAAATAAGAGAAGTTGGGAGATCGGGCTGAAGAACTCAGCTTCACCATTTATTTAACTGTATTGAGCTTCAATAAAGATAACAAGGTAGGCTTCATAGGATTGCAACAACATCATGTATGTACAAGCCTAGCATTTAGCAACCATTCAGTATAGGATATAACATTAGTCAAATGCCATTGCTTTCATCCTTCTTGAAAATACTTATTACTTTCACTTTTTTCATCTTGAAGTTGTTCCTTCTATTTCCAGTATGGAGAGGGAGCACATTCAGATGCCAAACAGCAATGCCTTTACTGGATTAAAAACGCCAGTAAAAATGCTGTCTAGTCCTAGAATTTAATCATACTTCATGGCTCTGCCTGTCGTGATAACCTCTGGAAAAGTTAAGTCAAAGTCCACTAAGTTATCACACTTGGGCTTGTGGGATTTTTTACCCTCAGGAGAGGAAGTTATATTAACAATTTATTCTGGTGCATACCAATGAATATGTATGTGATATGAAATGAAAGTTTCTAGGGGAGAACATAAAGAACAAAGAGGCAGAAACTCTCAATTATGTTTCTGTACTATCTCCCACAATACTGTTTGACCTTGTAAAGTTTTCCCATGATTCAAATGAAGATGACAGTACCCATTAGCTGTTACATATTTCTACCTTACAAAGAAAAGGGTTGCTGTCAGGATTAATGAGATGATGTTTGTAAACAGCTTTGAGCTCTTTGGGAGACAGATGTTCTATAAATACAAATTATTAATAAAGTATTTATACTGATGATTGCAGGAAATGTCAACACTTCTGGAAGTCATCAATTATATGGCATATTCAGTGGGAGGAAGAGTATGGCTATGGAATAGAGATACTCAACAGGCTCATGTAATTCTTTGAAAATGTACTATAAAATTAGAACGGCACCAGTTGCAATGATACCAAGGAATTGTGTTTGTTAGGATCCTTCTGATGACAAGGACAGGTAAATAGCTTAGGATATCTCGAATTAGCAATTTATTGTAGCAGGTACCTGAAAGACTGGAAACATAAGATCAAGTCCTAAACTGAAAGGTCAGACAACAAAGATGTACACCCTGACTCACCCTTGCCTGAAGAACCAACTCTTGACATCTCAGAGGACATGCCTTCTACTTTATTTATTTTGTTCTATTCATTACTGAGTTTCTCTCTCTCTTCTTTTAATGCAGCGGTAGCATGTTATTCTTCCTTCTGTCATTTCTGTCTCTTTTTACTCGCCTCCTTAACTCATGGTTTCTTTTGATTAATGGCTTCTGTAGCCTCATGGTTTCTGCTTACTGACTTTCTCTATGTGGCTCTTGTCTTTTGCTTCTCTCTCGTTGGTGGCTCTCTCTCATGTCTTGTGTTTTAATACCCTAAGAGGGGGGATTTGAGCAGTCCTCTCAGGTTGAGTAGTCACTAACGGGTATAAGAAGTATTTACTGGGAAGAGTTCTCATGCTGGGCTACCTCACAAGCCTATTTATGCCCTTTTTTGTTGTTGTTCCCTTTGCATTAGACACTAATCATTACTGCAGTGAGTTGTGGAAAGAGTTGCAGGGGACATTATGTAAGGAATGGAAGGCCACAGAAAGAAATAGACAGCCGGGTGCAGTGGCTCACGCCTGTAATCCCAGCACTTTGGGAGGCTGAGGTGAGTAGATCACCTGAGGTTGGGAGTTCGAGACCAGCCTGACCAACATGGAGAAACCCTGTCTCTACTAAAAATACAAAATTAGCTGTGCGTGGTAGCGCATGCCTGTAATCCCAGCTACTCAGGAGGCTGAGGCAGGAGAATTGCTTGAACCTGGGAGGCGGAGGTTGCGGTGAGCCGAGATCGCGCCATTGCACTCCAGCCTGGGCAACAAAAGCGAGACTCCCTCTCAAGAAAAAAAAAAAGAAAGAAAGAAAGAAAAAGAAATGGCCTTTGAACACCTATCTCAGAAGTGGCTTGAGGGCCTGGCAGTTCTCAGTGCCACATAGATTATCTACTCATAAATGAGAGTGAAAGGTGACGAATAAAGTTTAAAATTCTGATATTTACTTTTATAACCTTTTTAAGGTATTTTATATGTTACTTTTGAATATTCAGAAAACAAGAGAAGATACGTTAGCTTGGAAATACAGACTTATGTGTTGCAGATATTTACTATTTTAAAATATTTTGTTTATAGTGTCTTTCACCATAAAAGTTTTTTAAGTCCTGTATTCAAATATGCTAATCTTTTAAAATGGTCTCTAGACTTTTTGTCTTGATTATAAAGACATTTTCTTCACTAAAATCATAAAAATACTTTCCCACAATTTTCTCTAGCACTTTATTTTTTACTCTTGTTGTTTTTACTCCTAGAAATTTAGTCCCTCTTATTAAAGTGAGAGAAACATAATAGTATGACAAAACTTTTTTTTTTTTTTTTTTTTTTTTGGAGATGGAGTTTTGCTCTTGTTGCTCAGGCTGAAGTGCAATGGTGCCATCTCAGCTCACGGCAACCTCCATCTCCTGGGTTTAAGCAATTCTCCTGCCTCAGCCTCCTGAGTAGCTGGGATTACAGGCATGCACCACCATGCCCAGCTAATTTTGTATTTTTAGTAGAGACAGGGTTTCTCCACGTTGTTCAGACTGGTCTGGAACTCTCGGCCTAAGGTGATCTGCCCGCCTCGGCCTCCCAAAATGCTGGGATTACAGGTGTGAGCCACCATGCCCCACCTGAGAAAACTTTAATATAGACTTTAATAAAGACTCTTTGTCTTTAAGAGGAAAATAAAGAATAAAGAAATAGAAGACTAAATGGTATAATTAGTGATTTTAAGCAATAATTAAAACCTTATATCCAACAAATAAGGAATACAATTTTTTCTTTTAACCCTTACGAAGCATTTATAAAAATAAATCATGCAAAAGACTACAAGGAAATTCCCATATACTCTCCGAGAAGTTGACATCCCTCCCCTAGTACAAGCCAGGTGCTTTCCTGAGCAACTCTCCAGTAAAAGGGCTGATCAGAATTGAAATTGAAGACTACCTAGAAAAAAACATGAAACACTACTCATAAAAGTCCTGGGATCTAGCCAAGTTGCTACTCAAAAAAATTCATAGTATTGGCCAGGTGCTGTGGCTCATGCCTGCAATCCCAGCACTTTGGGAGGCCGAGGTGGGCAGATCACGAGGTCAGGAGTTCAAGACCAGCCTGGCCAACATAGTGAAACCCCATCTCTACCAAAAATACAAAAAATTACCCGGGCATGGTGGTAGGCGCCTGTATTCCTAGCTACTTGGGAGGCTGAGGCAGGAGAATCACTTGAACCTGGGAGGCAGAGGTTGCAGCGAGCCGAGATTGCGCCACTGCACTCCAGCCCCTGCAACCATGCAAGATTCCGTCTCAAAAAAAAAAAAAAAAAAAAGCATAGTATCAAGGACACTTATGATTAAACAAGAATGAAAATAAATATACTAGACATTGATTCACAAAATAAAAACAAAAAACAGCAACACCCAATTAAGCCCAAGAACAACGAGAGGTATAAATAGAGAGAAAAGGTAAATAGTGAGAGTAAATAGTAAATAGGAATACTGAAAAAAAAGATGAATATAATTAATTAGAAAAGAGGAAAAAGGTAGATGTAAGGAGTAAATCTAAGAATTTTTAAAGGCTTGATAATGAAACCACACCTTTGACCAGGAATTAAGGGGAGAGGGAGAGAAAAAACTATGTAATATAAGGGAAACCGTAGACACAGAAGAAATGTCATGGTTATGCTTTCATGGACAATACACGTAAAATTCTTGAATTAAATGAATAATTTCCTGAGAAAATATAAATGACCAAAATTGATCTAAGGCAAGTTGAAAACCTGAAGAAGTAAGTCATATGGATATCATAATAGGAAGAGGAAGCGGTGGCACAGGAAATAGATCAGTGGAACAAAATAAAAAATCCAGAAACAGACTTAAATATGTATGAAACTGCTGCGGCGGGTGGATCACGAGGTCAGGACCATCCTGGCTAAGACGGTGAAACCCCGTCTCTACTAAAAATACAAAAAATTAGCTGGGCGAGGTGGCACACGCCTGTAGTCCCAGCTACTCGGGAGGCTGAGGCAGGAGAATGGCGTGAACCCAGGAGGCGGAGCTTGCAGTGAGCCAAGATCACGCCATTGCACTCCAGCCTGGGCGACAGAGCGAGACTCCGTCTCAAAAAAAAAAAAAAAAAAAAGAGAAGAATAGAGGGGGAGGGTCCCTCAAATAAATTGGAGGAAAAGAAGATTATTCAATGAAGTGTGCTGGGTAATTTAATAATCATTTAGAAATCAATCGATCAGTTAATATCCTTACTCTGTACGTTACACCAAATAATTTCTATTACATTTAAAATAGAATTTAAATTTTTACATTTAAAATTTTTAAATGTAAAAAATTATAGAAAAATACAGGTGAATATTTATATAATCTTGAGAGGAAAACTCTGTCTAATCATGAACCTAAGGGCAGAAACCATACAAGAAAATGCCACTGAGTTAACCAGGTATACATTTAAAAGTTTTGTTTTCAAAACTACCAATTCATTTATAAAAGAACTTGGGAGAATATCTACAATATATGTGGTAAAAATGTGTTGCTATTCTTAATATGAAAGTTCCTAAAAATTAATAAGCAAAAGATAAATGCCCTAAAGGAAAAATGGACTAAGAATGTTTCTAGAGGAGAGATTTATCTGCCCTGTGAGAAATTCATCAGTTTCACTGCTAATCAAGAAATGCAAAGTCAAAAAAATTAGCATATTCTATCTTTCAACTGGCAAAGATGAAAACAGAATGGAAAAAGTGAAATCCCGTTCCTTGTTGGTAATTGTTATTATAAAGGTACAAACTTTTTGAGAAGCAATATGGCAAAATTCACAAGTATTCTTGTTGAAGTATTTTTAAGAAAAGTGTTTTACAGACAGCAAAAATATATTACGTAGCATTCTATTTATTGCTTCCTGCAGGTTGTTTATAGTAGTAAAAGAGAGGTGACAGACTAAATGTTCTAAAATAGTGTATTTATTAAATGAATTAGAATATATCCTTACAAGAGAATTCTATAGAGCCATTAAAGTGATGCAAATCAGTGTTTATTTTTATGAAATACATCCCCAATATGTTTCCTAATAGAAAACAAAAGCCTCCAAAGAATAAAATCTCACTTTTGTTAAGAATGTGTCTGTTGTAGATAGCCACTGCAATACATTGAGTTCCCTAGAGACGGCACCAGGGCAGGTGAGAGCCAGATGGGCACTGGACTACTCTTTGCCTTGCTGAGAAAAAATAAGTAAACATGGGCAAAGGAGAGCCTAAGATGCTGTGAGGCAAAATGTCATCATACGGATTCTTTGTGCAAAAGTGTTAGGAAGAGCACAAAAAGAGCACCCAGATGCTTCTGTAAGCTTCTCAGAAGAACTCAGAGAGGTGGAAGACCACGTCTGCTAAAGAGAAAGGAAAATTTGAAGACATAGCAAAGGTGGACTAGGCTTGTTAAGAAAGACGAATGAAACCTATGTCCCCTGTAAAGGAGAAACAAGTCTAGGAGCCCAACGCACCCAAGATTCCTCCTTTGACTTTTTTCCTGTTCTGCTCTAAGCATCACGCAAAAATCAAAGAACATCCATTGGTGATGTAGCAAAGAAACAGGGAGATGTGGAATAACGCTGCTGCAGATGACAAGCTGCCTTATGAAAAGTCTTTGAAGCTGAAGGAAAAAGACAAAAAGGATATTGCTGCATAGTGAGCTAAAGAAAAGCCTGATGCAGCAAAAAAGGGAGTTGTCAAGGCTGAAAAATGCAAGAAAAAGAAGAAAGAGGAGGGAGATGAGGAGGATGAAAATAAAGATGATGATGATAACTAAGTTGGTTGTAGTACAGTTTTTTTTTTTTTTTTTGGTCTATAAAGCATTTAAACCCCTTATACACAACTCACTCCTTTTAAAGAAAGAAGTAAGGCTACATATGATTTGTTCTTAAACTGTACAGTGTCCTTTTTTTTTTTTTTGTATAGTTAACCACACTACCAAATGTGTCTTTAGATAGTACTGTCCTGGTGGTGTTTGCCATAGCCACTAACCTTGCTTGGTACAGTATGGGGGTTGTAAATTGGCATGGATATTTAAAGCAGGTTCTTTTTGGTGCACAACACAAATTAATTGTGTATACGGATGGTAGTTTTTTCATCTGCAGTTATCTGTCATGCAGCTTTTATGAAATAATTGTTCTGTTAGCTGAATACCACTCTGTAATTGCAAAAAAAAAAAATAGTTTCAGCTGTTTGTTGACATTCTGAATACTTCTAAGTAAATACAATTTTTATTACTTAAAAAATATTTATTTTAAAAATCTGGAGTGATATAAACAAATGATTGACAAAGAGTCCATTTGGGTTAAATTATATGTGTTATAAGTGATTATTTTCTAGTTTTTTTTTGTATTTCCTAATATTTACACTAAATATGCCTTATATATGTAATAAAATAGCAAAATATTAACCAAAAAGTATTGATTCTTTGTTATTATCCTCAAAAGTTCAAAAGTAATACATTGACAACCCATAAACTCATATAATTTCAGCAATTATTAGTTTGCCACATTTGCCGTATCCCTTTCTCTCCTCTCTGTCTCTCTTTCTGCAGTGAACTATTTGTACATCACAACATTTCATCTATAAAGGCTTCAGTATGTAGTTTCTAAGCAAAGGGACCTGCTTCAAAAGCACATTCTCTACATAGCCAAATACAATGACCAAGTCCAAGAAACTCATTGAAACTCCTCTTCTGTCTCAGCTCTGAAACAACTGTCATCTGATCTTTTACTTTTCTGACGTGACATGAACTGGAGGCAGGGAAGCTGATAATTTACTTTCCTTGAAGCCCTTCAAAACAAATACACTTTTCCATACTTGATAGAAGTGATCCCAAAAACTGTGTGCACTGAATGATATGTTCCTTTGGAATTCCATTTTAATTAGAAATCCAAAATGTACTGTAATTTATCTAATTGTTCTCTCCTTGGTAATGCCTCCTAATAGTTTATCTTTCACCCTGCCAGTTTTCTTTTCTTTTTTTTTTTTAATTATTATACTTTCAGTTTTAGGGTACATGTGCACAACATGCAGGTTTGTTACATATGTATACATGTACCATGTTGGTGTGATGCACCCATTTACTCCTCATTTAGCATTAGGTATATCTCCTAATGCTATCCCTCCCCCCTCCCCCAACCCCACAACAGTCCCCAGTGTGTGATGTTCCCCTTCCTGTGTCCATGTATTCTCATTGTTCAATTCGCACCTGCGAGTGAGAACATGTGGTGTTTGGTTTTCTGTCCTTGCCATAGTTTGCTGAGAATGATGGTTTCCAGCTTCATCCGTGTCCCTACAAAGGACATGAACTCATCATTTTTTGTGGCTGCATAGTATTCCATGGTGTATATGTGCCACAATTTCTTAATCCAGTCTATCACTGTTGGACATTCGGGTTGGTTCCAAGTGTTTGCTATTGTGAATAGTGAGGCAATAAACATACGTGTGCATGTGTCTCTAGAGCAGCATGATTTATAATCCTTTGGGTATATACCCAGTAATGGGATGGCTGGGTCAAATGGTATTTCTAGTTCTAGATCCCTGAGGAATCGCCACACCAACTTCCACAATGGTCGAACTAGTTTACAGTCCCACCAACAGTGTAAAAGTGTTCCTATTTCTCCACATCCTTTCCAGCACCTGTTGCTTCCTGACTTTTTAATGATCGCCATTCTAACTGGTGTGAGATGGTATCTCACTGTGGTTTTGATTTGCATTTCTCTGATGGCCAGTGATGGTGAGCATTTTTTCATGTGTTTTTTGGCTGCATAAATGTCTTCTTTTGAGAAGTGTCTGTTCATATCCTTCGCCCACTTTTTGGTGGGGTTGTTCGTCTTTTTCTTGTAAATTTGTTTGAGTTCATTGTAGATTCTGGATATTAGCCCTTTGTCAGATGAGTAGGTTGCAAACATTTTCTCCCATTCTGTAGGTTGCCTGTTCACTCTGATGGTAGTTTCTTTTGCTGTGCAGAAGCTCTTTAGTTTAATTAGATCCCATTTGTCAATTTTGGCTTTTGTTGCCATTGCTTTTGGTGTTTTAGACATGAAGTCCTTGCCCATGCCTATGTCCTGAATGATATTGCCTAGGTTTTCTTCTAGGGTTTTTATGATTTTAGGTCTAACATGTAAGTCTTTAATCCATCTTGAATTAATTTTTGTATAAGGTGTAAGCAAGGGATCCAGTTTCAACTTTCTACATATGTCTGGCCAGTTTTCCTAGCACCATTTATTAAATGGAGAAACCGTTGCTTGTTTTTCTCAGGTTTGTCAAAGATCAGATAGTTGTAGATATGTGGCATTATTTCTGAGGGCTCTGTTCTGTTCCATTGGTCTATATCTCTGTTTTGGTACCAGTAACATGCTGTTTTGGTTACTGTAGCCACATAGTATAGTTTGAAGTCAGGTAGTGTGATGCCTCCAGCTTTGTTCTTTTGGCTTAGGATTGACTTGGCAATGCGGGCTATTTTTTGGTTCCATATGAACTTTAAAGTAGTTTTTTCCAATTCTGTGAAGAAAGTCATTGGTAGCTTGATGGGGATGGCATTGAATCTATCAATTACCTTGGGCAGTATGGCCATTTTCACGATATTGGTTCTTCCTACCCATAAGCATGGAATGTTCTTCCATTTATTTGTAACTTCTTTTATTTCATTGAGCAGTGGTTTGTAGTTCTCCTTGAAGAGGTCCTTCACATCCCTTGTAAGTTGGATTCCTAGGTATTTTATTCTCTTTGAAGCAATTGTGAATGGGAGTTCACTCATGATTTGCCTCTCTGTTTGTCTGTTATTGGTGTATAAGAATGCTTGTGATTTTTGTACATTGATTTTGTATCCTGAGACTTTGCTGAAGTTGCTTATCAGCTTAAGGAGATTTTGGGCTGAGGTGATGGGGTTTTCTAGATATACAATCATGTCATCTGCAAACAGGGACAATTTGACTTCCTCTTTTCCTAATTGAATACCCTTTATTTCCTTCTCCTGCCTCATTGCCCTGGCCAGAACTTCCAAGACTATGTTGAATAGGAGTGGTGAGAGAGGGCATCCCTGTCTTGTGCCAGTTTTCAAAGGGAATGCTTCCAGTTTTTGTCCATTCAGTATGATACTGGCTGTGGGTTTGTCATAGATAGCTCTTATTATTTTGAGATACGTCCCATCAATACCTAATTTATTGAGAGTTTTTAGCATGAAGCGTTGTTGAATTTTGTCAGAGGACTTTTCTGCATCTATTGAGATAATCATGTGGTTTTTGTCTTTGGTTCTGTTTATATGCTGGATTACATTTATTGATTTTCATATGTTGAACCAGCCTTGCATCCCAGGGATGAAGCCCACTTGATCATGGTGGATAAGCTTTTTGATGTGTTGCTGGATTCGGTTTGCCAGTATTTTATTGAGGATTTTTGCATCAATGTTCATCAAGGATATTGGTCTAAAATTCTCTTTTTTTGTTGTGTCTCTGCCAGGCTTTGGTATCAGGATGATGCTGGCCTCATAAAATGAGTTAGGGAGGATTCCCTCTTTTTCTGTTGATTGGAGTAGTTTCAGAAGGAATGGTACTAGCTCCTCCTTGTACCTCTGGTAGAATTCGGCTGTGAATCCATCTGGTCCTAGACTTTCTTTGGTTGGTAAGCTATTAATTATTGCCTCAATTTCAAAGCCTGTTATTGGTCTATTCAGAGATTCAACTTCTTCCTGGTTTAGTCTTGGGAGAGTGTATGTGTCGAGGAATTTATCCATTTCTTCTAGATGTTCTAGTTTATTTACGTAGAGGTATTTATACTATTGTCTGATGGTAGTTTGTATTTCTGTGGGATCAGTGGTGATATCCCCTTTGTCATTTTTTATTGCGTCTATTTGATTCTTCTCTCTTTTCTTCTTTATTAGTCTTGCTAGCAGTCTATCAATTTTGTTGATCTTTTCAAAAAACCAGCTCCTGGATTCATTGATTTTTTGAAGTGTTTTTTATGTCTCTATTTCCTTCAGTTCTGCTCTGATCTTAGTTGTTTCTTGCCTTCTGCTAGCTTTTGAATGTGTTTGCTCTTGCTTCTCTATTTCTTTTAATTGTGATGTTAGGGTGTCAATTTTAGATCTTTCCTGCTTTCTCTTGTGGGCATTTAGTGCTATAAATTTCCCTCTACACACTGCTTTGAGTGTGTCGCAGAGATTCTGGTATGTTGTGTCTTTGTTCTCGTTGGTTTCAAAGAACATCTTTATTTCTGCCTCCATTTCGTTATGTACCCAGTAGTCATTCAGGAGCAGGTTGTTCAGTTTCCATGTAGTTGAGTGGTTTTGAGTGAGTTTCTTAATCCTGAGTTCTAGTTTGGTTGTACTGTGGTCTGAGAGACAGTTTGTTATAATTTCTGTTCTTTTACATTTGCCAAGGAGTGCTTTACTTCCAACTATGTGGTCATTTTTGGAATAAGTGCGTTGTGGTGCTGAGAAGAATGTATACTCTGTTGATTTGGGGTGAAGAGTTCTGTAGATGTCTATTAGGTCCACTTGATGCAGAGCTGAGTTCAATTCCTGAATATCTTTCTTAACTTTCTGTCTTGTTGATCTGTCTAATGTTGACAGTGGGGTGTTAAAGTCTCCCATTATTATTGTGTGGGAGTCTAAGTCTCTTTGTAGGTCACTAAGGACTTGCTTTATGAATCTGGGTCCTCCTGTATTGGGTGCATATATATTTAGGATAGTTAGTTCTTCTTGTTGAATTGATCCCTTTACCATTATGTAATGGCCTTCTTTGTCTCTTTTGATCTTTGTTGCTTTAAAGTCTGTTTCATCCAAGACTAGGATTTCAACCCCTGCCTTTTTTTGTTTTCCATTTGCCTGGTAGATCTTCCTCCATCCCTTTATTTTGAGCCTATGTGTGTCTCTGCACATGAGATGGGTTTCCTGAATACAGCACACTGATGGGTCTTGACTCTTTATCCAATTTACCAGTCTGTGCCTTTTAATTGGAGCATTTAGCCCATTTACATTTAAGGTTAGTATTGTTATGTGTGAATTTGATCTTGTCATTATGATGTTAGCTGGTTATTTTGCTCGTTAGTTGATGCAGTTTCTTCCTACCCTTGATGCTCTTTACAATTTGGCATGTTTTTGCAGTGGCTGGTACCGGTTGTTCCTTTCCATGTTTAGTGCTTCCTTCAGGAGCTCTTTTAGGGCAGGCCTGGTGGTGACAAAATCTCTCAGCATTTGCTTGTCTGTAAAGTCGTTTATTTCTCCTTCACTTATGAAGCTTCGTTTGGCTGGATATGAAATTCTGGGTTTAAAATTCTTTTCTTTAAGAATGTTGAATATTGGCCCCCACTCTCTTCTGGCCTGTAGAGTTTCTGCTGAGAGATCAGCTGTTAGTCTGATGGGTTTCCCTTTGTGGGTAACCCAACATTTCTCTCTGGCTGCCCTTAACATTTTTTCCTTCATTTCAACTTTGGTGAATCTGCCAATTATGTGTCTTGGAGTTGCTCTTCTCGAGGAGTATCTTTGTGGCGTTGTCTGTATTTCCTGAATTTGAATTTTGGCCTGCCTTGCTAGATTGCGGAAATTCTCCTGGATAGTATCCTGCAGAGTGTTTTCCAACTTGGTTCCATTCTCCCCGTCACTTTCAGGTACACCAGTTAGACGTAGATTTGGTCTTTTCACAGTCCCATATTTCTTGAAGGCTTTGTTCCTTTCTTTTTATTCTTTTTTCTCTAAACTTCTCTTCATGCTTCATTTCATTCATTTCATCTTCCAGCGCTGATACCATTTCTTCCAGTTGATCGCATTGGTTACTGAGGCTTGTGCATTCATCACGTGCTTCTCATGCCATGGTTTTCAGCTCCATCAGGTCCTTTAAGGACTTCTCTGCATTGGTTTTTCTAGTTATCCATTCATCTAATTTTTTTTTCAAAGTTTTTAACTTCTTTGCCATTGGTTCGAATTTCTTCCTTTAGCTTGGAGTAGTTTGATCGTCTGAAGCCTTCCTCCCTCAACTCGTCAAAGTCATTCTCCGTCCAGCTTTGTTCCGTTGCTGGTGAAGAGCTGCGTTCCTTTGGAGGAGGAGAGGCGCTCTGAGTTTTAGAGTTTCCGGTTTTTTTGCTCTGTTTTTTCGCCATCTTTGTGGTTTTATCTACCTTTGGTCTTTGATGATGGTGACGTACAGATGGGTTTTTGGTGTGGATGTCCTTTCTGTTCGTTAGTTTTCCTTCTAAGAGTCAGGACCCTCAGCTGCAGGTCTGTTGGAGTTTACTGGAGGTCCACTCCAGACCCTGTTTGCCTGGGTATCAGCAGCGGTGGCTGCAGAACAGCGGATACTGGTGAACCGCAAATGCTGCTGCTTGATCGTTCCTCTGGAAGTTTTGTCTCAGAGGAGTACCCGGCCATGTGAGGTGTCAGTCCACCCCTACTGGGGGTGCCTCCCAGTTAGGCTACTCAGGGGTCAGGGACCCACTTGAGGATGCAGTCTGCCCGTTCTCAGATCTCAAGCTGCGTGCTGGGAGAACCACTACTCTCTTCAAAGCCGTCAGACAGGGACATTTAAGTCTGCAGAGGTTATTGCTGTCTTTTGTTTGTCTGTGCCCTGCCCCCAGAGGTGGAGCCTGCAGAGGCAGGCAGGCCTCATTGAGCTGTGGTGGGCTCCACCCAGTTTGAGATTTCCAGCCTCTTTGTTTACCTACTCAAGCCTGAGCAATGGCAGGCGCCCCTCCTCCAGCCTCGCTGCCACCTTGCAGTTTGATCTCAGACTGCTGTGCTAGCAATGAGCGAGGCTCTGTGGGCGTAGGATCCTCTGAGCCATGTGCGGGATATAATCTTCTGGTGTGCCATTTGATAAGCCCGTTGGAAAAGCACAGTATTCAGGTAGGAGTGACCCGATTTTCCAGGTGCCGTCTGTCACCCCTTTCTTTGACTAGGAAAGGGCATTCCCTGACTCCTTGTGTTCCCGGGTGAGGTGATGCCTCGTCCTGCTTTGGCTCATGCACGGTGCACTGCACCCACTGTCCTGCACCCACTGTTTGGCACTCCCGAGTGAGATGAACCCGGTACCTCAGTTGGAAATACATAAATCACCCATTTTCTGCGTCGCTCACGCTGGGAGCTGTAGACTGGAGCTGTTCCTATTCGGCCATCTTGGCTCCACCTCACCCTGCCAGTTTTCAATAGCTATTTTGGACTTGGCTTTCAAAGGGCATTCAGGCATACTATCTCTTGGCATATTTCCCAGTATAATACCTCATTGTTTTTGATAACCAAAATTCACACAACTTATAAATTTCTTAACAACGTATTTTCAGACCATGTTTGTATATATGAAAAAATTATATTTATGAACCAAACACTTAGTACAACATTTTAAAGTAAGCGGTATCTTGGAATGGTCTCAAGTTTTATTCTAGATTCAATTATTAGCACCTCACAATCCTGTATAGAAGCACTTAGAAAGCACAATGAATTACTGCACACCGGTAACTCTATGTTAGCAACAATATTAATTATTTGGTGGTCAGAAAGCAATGTTTTAAGTATGTTATATCCTAACATGATAATTTGTTACTTATGTATGTAGGCAATGTATTTTAGTACATTTAGGAAATTGGTAACGAGCTTTGTATTAAAGTATAGTGAATGACTTTTTTTTCCATTTAAAATAAAATAGTCTCCTGATCAGCGTTCTTAGGCAGACTTTTCTTCTCAAGGCATGAATTACTTATGTTAAGCAAGAAATATGTATATTTACTTAATTTTACCTTTTCCGCTAGCCTTAAACAGTCAGGACATGTTTATTTTCTTTGCTTCATTTGTAAAATGATGACAATTTCAACCTCTTCTGGGGAGAGATCACATCAGAGTTGTAAATATATGCCTCAGTGAAAAGGTTTTGAAATCATTTCTGATTTTTTTTCATTGGATTGGTCATATTGGTAGACTCCATTCATGCAGACCTGAATACCCTAGAAGCAGGAACATTAAAGTGAGTAAATTGAATAAACAACCATGCAAATAATAACAAAATACCACTTCTTCATAAAATACCAAATGCCAAGGATATTCTTACAGAGGGTGATTTTCATCAAGATGGAGAGATTAGAACATGAAAATCTTGAATGAGCTGAATAGAATTTCAGATAAAATACACACATAAAAGTTATATTGATAGGTGGAGCATGGGGAATTTTTAGGATAGTGAAACTATTCTGTATGATACTCTAAAGGTGGACACATGTTATACATTTGTCAAAACCCATAGAATTTAAACTGCCAATAATGAATCCTAATGTAAACTATGGACTTTGGGTGTTAGTGACATGTCAACGTAGGTTCATCAATTGTAACACGTGTGCCTCTCTGGCGTGGGATGTTCAGAGCAGGGGAGACTGTGTGTGAGGGGAGGGGTATATGGGAACCCTTTGTAGCTTTCACTCAATTTTGCTATGAACTTAAAACTGCTTTTTTTTTTTTTTTTTTTTTTTGAGACAGAGTCTTGCCCTGTCACCATGCTGGAGTGGTGCATTGGCACGGTGTTGGCTCACTGCAACCTCTGCCTCCCACATTCAAGCAATTCTTGTGACTCAGCCTTCTGAGTAACTGGGATTACAGGTGCGTGCTACCATGCCTGGCTAATTTTTTTATTTTTATTTTTAGTAGAGATGGAGTTTCACCATATTGGTCAGGCTGGTCTCGAACTCCTGACCTCGTGATCTGCCCACCTCAGCCTCCCAAAGTGCTGGGATTACGGGCATCAGCCACTGTACCCGGCCAAAACTGCTTTAATAAATAAAGTTTATTTATTTTTTTAAAAGAATATTGAAGAGACTAACTCTATGGGCTACATAATACAAAAGTTTTATTTTTCTTCACTCTCTGTTTTCAACTGCTTTGTCAAATCTCTGGGTCAGATTCTATAACTTCACATTAGTAAGTCTGGACCAATCTGAACCTTTACTTAAATCTCTTCTCTTTTCCCCCTAGAGCAGGGACAGTCTGGAGCACTGACAGCATGAGTAGGTGGGATGTGTTGGAAAAGGTGGGTGCTCCTGCTTGGAGATAGCTTCCTGCCTTTCCAAGGCCCAGCTCCTCGTGTGGGTTGGGGCCAAAGGCAAGGAGAGAAAGGAGACAAATGTCTTTGTACTCAAAGGCTGATATTGTAGCTCTCTGCTGTGCCTGATCTCTGCATGTTAGGCTTCTAAATACTGGCTGTTTTATGGGGGTACATATATAATTTCTATGGAGGATCCTATAGTGTCTCTCCACTGTGTAGTTCCCTGGCCTTAGGAATCCAGCTTTAGGTGATTTCTTCCTTTGTCCCTCAGCCCTACCCCAGTTGATTGCTCAGCCTATTGCTGTTGGGGACCCCTTGCTCAATGGGCAGGACTCATGTGAGGTGCCAGCAGAAAGACAAAATCCCAGGCATCTTCTACAGACTCCAGTTAAGCTCCGGAAAACTCATGAATTCTTGTCATTTTTGCAAAAGGAATATATACAGAATAATTCTGTGTTATTCTCTGTCATTTGTTTCCAATACTCATCTTCTCTGATCACACAAACTCAGTGCTAGGTTAGTAAGTCTGCTGCCTAAGCAGATGTCCAATCAAGGGTAGAATGTCATTTTTCACTTCCTATCATCACTCTGTCAATGAGTAACTCTTCTGGAGTTTTCCCCTCACTCTCCAAGCATGGCATCTAAGTATGGCAAAAGTGATATATCACAACAAACAGAGGACTCTCCTTCTCTCTTCTCTTCAGCCTTCTTGTGTAGCTTGGGAAGGCATGCAGGTGGAAAACTGGAGTGCAAGCTGGTGATAGGCAAGCCCAATAACCACACTTCAATAAACAGAGGAAGTGTCTAACCTCATATGTAGGTGCCTCTTTTTAGATGTTATCTTTAGAATACCACTCTTTGGACAACACATTAGCCTAATTCATTCTAAAGAGAGCCAATTTCGAGGCAGCAGCAAAAGTTCTTCTCAGCATCACATTTGATTGGTCATACTTTGCCTTGGTTTAGTTCCAACTCTGCAGCTGTCCTCTACCAGTGAAGTTGTCTTAGTGTATATAATGTGCTTGTTTACCTTAGAGGGGTAGCATGACACCCAATCCCTTCCATTAACAAGAACTCACAGAAAGAGAGGTGGCCATGTATCACTTTAGCCCTGCTAAGTAGTCCATTCCTCAAACCCCTTCTCCAAGCAGGTCTTCATTTCCTTTACCTGAAAACCACCTGGGTAGCTTTATGGAAATGTACTTATCTAGAATATCTAGGAGCCTTTCCAGAATCTCTGAGGTCATTTATGGCATCCTCCAAGGGTTGTGGGACCCTTAGGTGATGGTGTTGACATCTCCCATGCTATTTTCTTAGGTACAGGGTAGTGTGCTCTCTACTCAACCCTTGGCTCAGACTGCTCTGGCAAACCTGCTGTCTTTGGTCAATTTTCAAGTGAGAAGCAGTCACTAGTCTCTAGGTCTTTAGATGTTTCCTTCAACTCCAGGGACATGTGTCAGAGGCATCCACGAATTTTATTACTTATTTTTCAGGGTATGGGTGACTGGATGTTTTGCACTTCTTCAATAATCCACTTGGGAACAAGATACTGTTTTCCCCTACTCATTGGCATCCCTGATCTCTTTGAGCTCCACCCGCACCCTCACCTTCTCCACGTACACTTTGCTTTTGGAGGAAAGAGGGATGTAAGATCTTACTATCAACCTTGAGACTTCAGTGATTCTCCTTCCATCCCACTCCTCAGTTTATGAGGAAGAGAAAGGATGAGGCAGGGGATTGGCATATGTATGGCAGAGGTGGCAGTCAGCCATAAATGAAGCATACCCTGAGAATGACTCTATAGTCTAAGAAGAGTGTTGGTTCAGAGTAAAGCTAAGGAATCCAGGAGTGTCCAACCCAGAGATTCACTCTTTATCTGTGAAGGACATCCAAATCCCTGGCCCATCCCCTGGAACACAGGCCATACAGGGGATCAAGACCCTTTATTTTGGGTTAAATGGAGTTTGCTAGGTGGAGGTTACTAGGTGGAGGGTGCTAAGTGAAAATGTGATATAAACCACATGCTTTTTACATGTTGATAATCAATAGATTGTTGACATTTATTTGAAGCTTATTATATATTAGATATTATGTCAAGTGATTTTTATATACTACCTTATTTAATTTAACAGCTTTTTGAAAGGAGAGCCATTATTTTTCTCACTTTACAGTGAAAGAAACTGAGGCTTAGAATGTTTAAGACATTTGTTCAAGGTCACATGGCTATTAAAGGAGTGGGATTCCAACTTAGGAGCTTCTAACCACTGCCCTGCATTTTTCTCTCCCTTCCCTCATGTGTTTGATGTTGCATTACGTACTATAATAAACCTGTGAATTCATACTCTGGGCAACTTGTATGCAAGTGTTAATTTCCTGGACCGGTGCTCATCTCAGCTTCTGAAAACTCAAGAATTTATCCCCTTTATTTTGTGTTTTCATTATATTTTTACTAATTTTAAAGCATCTGTTGTTTTATATCTATGATCAGTTAAAACTTATGAATATAGAACAATCCAAAAAATATATAACCAGCATTCTTACTACCTAGAAATATTCACTGTTATTATTTCAGTTCCTTTATCTTCCTATCCTCAGCTATCTAGCTAATCTTTATTTTAACCTTTTTTTGTGATACCAAACTGTATATGCTATTTCTAGCCTACTTTTGTCCTTTCATTTAGCCACATATGAGCAATTAACATTAAAATGCCTTATTTTTAAAAAAATGTGTTTGAAAGCCAAATGTTAGGTCTAGTGGTAGACTCATATCAGAATGAGGGGAGGATGAGAGTCATTGCTGGGGAAGAGAAAGGTATTACAAAATCCATATGAAGCCACAAGTGTGGCTTTTCTTAGGCATCAGCAATCCAGCAAGTGGAGAGAAGCCTCCTGGGCCCTTAGTAGGGACTGGCTGGCGGCAGCAGCCAGTTTGGACATCAGCATAAGGGAACCAGCCATTGCACAGTGACTGTCTCTTATAAGGACACATCATTGGATTGAGGGTCCACTCAAATTGTCCAGTTTAATCTTATCTAGAGATCCTTAATTTTCAAAGACCCTTTTTCCAAATGCAGTCACATTCATAGGTTCCAGGTAGGTATATCTTTTGGGTGGGGAATATTATTCAACCCACTACAGTTCTATATTGCAGATGCTTTGAACATAAGCTGGCATGAGAGATATATAAGTAACTAATTATAATATAGTACAGTAAATGCTAGAAAACAAGCATGGCAACATCTCTGTGGGAAGACAGAGGAGGTGTGGACAGTTGGGGTGAGGGGATGTGGATGCCCAGGAAGCTTCATAGAGAATGACAATTCAGGCCAAAATTGTATGATTCATTTTGGGCCTAGACAAAGCACATTAAAACAAACAAAAAGCATGGTTAATTTTAAATATGGTATTTTAAACGTGGTTGGTGAGCCAAGTGAATTGGTGTTGGACATTAGGGAGTGGTGGGAACTGTGGTAAAGCAGAGAACAAATGCTGTAACTGGTTATATGATTGAATCTAAAGGGGCCTACAAGACCACACTTTCACACCCTTCCTCGAAATTTGACCAGAATTTCCCTGTGTGAACTTGGGTGAACTGGCCTTCCTTTTGCACAATGAGCTCCTGAGTGTCTGTTGTTAAATACATTACATTTTCCTTCCATTTCTAGTTCTAGTCTGGTTCAACCTGTCTTAATTTCTTCTCTGGAATATTCTAGTAGGTCTATTCCCTCTTCCCTTCCCTGCCCCTATCCTCCAGTATCCGGTCTATCTTCCCTACCTCATCTGTCTTTTCTCCAAATCAGTCACGTTACATCATCAGCCATAGATTACATTTAATTGTTTTCATGTCAGTTTTCCTGACTAGTTTGACAGTTTCACAAGTGCAGAGACTGTCTTTCGTATCTCTTCTTTCTCTCTTCCCAGTGTTTATTACATAATGGCACTCAGTAAATAAATGAACTGGGAAGAAAATGCACTTTCAGTGTATTGGAGTCCAGTTTTATGGAGGGAAGCCCATAAAACTTCAGTCCAAGATTTATCTTCTAATGTCAATGGTAAAGTGTTTTAGCTAATGATTGTCCACACTGGTATTAGGCCAACATGTGCAGGACTCTAGGAAAAACCAATTTCTTTGTCAATACTTCCCTAATCTCTCTAGCTTCTGCTGCATAGATATTGCTCCTTATTTCCTTGGCTGTCAATCTAGCAAGATTTGAATTGGACAATGCTAAATCACCTTCACAGAAGACCACCTAAACTGCAGTTTATGACAGTCCAGTTAATAAGGCAGTTTTCGGTGGATAGATGATCCAAATTAGCACATTTGATGAGCACAGCTGCTTTTGTAATTCTTCTCCGTTTCCATACCAGGGATCAAAAACTCAAATACAGGTATTATAAATGAGTGAAGAGGGCTCTCGTTAGACATGAAAGAATGTTGGTGACTATGGTAAATTGGGAACAAGGATGCTAACAGAAGCAGCTGTCCCTTTGCTCCAGCCATTTGTTGCCACTTGAAGATGTGGCTCTAGTGTTGGCATGTTGCCAGATGTTCAAGTGTTTCAATGGAAGATAAAAATCTGAATTTTTCTATGCCATTTCCAGAGTTTCAAACACCATGTGGAAAGAAAATAAAGTAAATGCCTATTTTGCAACTTCCAAATAAAAATAAATGTGCTAAAGCTACCAATAATTTACCTCAATCTTATTTAATGCTCTTAGAACTTTGAAAAAGCATGGAAGATTTTTCAAATCCAACTTGGAAGTTCTCCTGAAATAATTATTCCTCTTTCAAAATTGAAGTTTTATGGAATGGTGAGTCAGAAAATGAAACTTAGTGGGCAATCGGAATTATATCAATTGAGCCTCAATATCATAGCCAGGAAATTTCAAGCATAGGTTCTAAGAGTAATTTTTCATTAATTTTTAGCTAAAGTAGTCTGGCTTTCAGTTGGAGACATTGACTAATATTTGATCTGTTAATGTTTTCTTGCTGTTATAAGAATTTTAAAATGATCTATATGTCCCTTTAATTGTCATGAGCTCCCTGAAGGGAAGATGCCAGGGCTTCTCAATGAAATCACACTTCCCTTGAGTGGGATTTTTATTTTTTCAATCAGCTCCCCATCTCCCATGCCCTGGCTGTTAGATCTGACTCAGTACTATAAGCATGCATGTCTGTGCATCTACACAACCTAGTGCTTTCAACTTCAGGGGTTTTGCTGTCATCTGAAGCTCATCCATGAATCCAAGTCAGGAACCCCTAGCCTGGAGTGTAACGACAATTGAGCAGATGGGAGATGGCCACCATTCCAATGTGCCAGGCCCCTTGCTAAGTATTTTACATGCATTTTCTCATTTAATCTTCAGAATAATATTCCCATGGGGTAGGCATTATTATTACTAGATTGTAGATGAATAAACTGAGGTATATATATAATAGGACATACAGGTTATATATGTCAGCATGGGGACTGGTGTATCACAGTGTTCAAATCAAGAGTAGAGGTTTTGGCTTCAGACAGAACTGGATTTGAGACCTGCCTCTGACAAGTCACTTGACTTCTCTGAGTCTCAATTCTTTCACCATGGGGCCTAGTAAGTGCTTGGTACATAGTGATGTAAGTACAATGGGTATGAATTTGCAAATATGCTCAGGTGCAGAAAATATCCAGTTATATTTTTCCCCTAAAATCAAGCTAAATCTGATTGTAACTTACATTTTGATGATGTAGCAGAGAAGTAGCGGAGAATTCACTGCTTGGAATCATTGGGATTTCCTTCTCCTTTGCCCCATTTGTAGAGATATCAAGCACATTTTATTTAAGAAAATGTGATGAGTTAATGTCACTTTTTTTGAAATGTGCTGCTGACAACGCACACTCACATTTGAATGTACCATCACCAAAAAAAATCATATGACTTAATAACTCACTACTAGCTCTTATAAGCTACAGCTATAGCTTTTAAAGAAGTGATTTGAGTTTGTAGTTATGAATTTGAATGGACAAGGCCCAAGCTTCCACATTGTAATTTTCTTAATATTAGTTGCAGCTTCTGAATGAGCAATGGTTAGGACCTGGCATTTCCACGAGTACTTCTTCCTTAGCAACTCAGGGGCTTTCTATTCCTCCATTTTTCTGGGAAAATGCCATTGTTTGTCATTATGAAGTAGGCCTTCATGGACAGTTAGATTTTTCTCTGTTTCTATCAGTGTTCAGCTCCTTCTTAATGCTTATGGGCTCATCTTGCTTTCACATTGACATTAAGTAGCTCTTTTTCTGAAACATTTGAAGATATATGCATATTTTTTGCCTTTTCAATTTGAAGTGTTGGTCTTATTGAATCATCTTCACAATTAGTACAACAAGTATTCATTTGAACCTAATCACTTGGTATCCCATGCCAAATATCTCAGGGAGTTTAGCAAACTGGTTGTGCCTATTGTGTGTCATTGTCATTCTGTTGTTGTCTCCAGGGTGTAGTAACTCCTCGCCCCTGTATTAGTCCATTTTCACACTACTATAAAGAAATATACTAGACTGGGTAATTTATAAAGAAAGAGGTTTAATTGACTCATGGTTCCACATGTCTGGGGAGGCCTCAGGAAACTTACGATCATGGTGGAAGGGAAAGCAGGCACCTTCTTCACAAGGTGGCAGAAGAGAGTGTGAGCAGGTGAAGGAGGAGCTGTCAAACACTTATAAAAGCATCAGATCTCATGAGAACTCACTCATTATCCTGAGAACAGCATGGGGGAAACTGTCTCCATGATCCATTCACCTCCCACTAGGTCTCTCCTTCAACACCTGGGGATTACAATTTAAAATGAGATTTGGGTGGGGACACAAAGCCAAACCATATTATGCCACCCCTGGACCCTCCCAAATCTCATGTCTTTAAACATTTCAAAACTAATCATGCCTTCTCAACAGTCCCCCAAAGTCTTAACTCATTCCGACACTAACCCAAAAGGCCAAATCTAAAGTCTCCTCTGAGATAAGGCAAGTCCTTTTCAACTAGGAGCCTGCAAAAGCAAAAGCAAGTTAGTTACTTCCTAGATAAAATGAGGCTACAGGCATTGGGTAAATATTCTCATTCCAAAAGGGATAAATTGGCCAAAACAAAGGGGTTGCAGGCCCCATGCAAGTCCGAAATCCAACAGGCCAGTCATTAAATCTTAAAGCTCCAAAATGATATCCTTTGACTCCATGTCTCACATCCAGGTCATGCTGACACAAGGGGTGGGCTCCTATGATCTTGGGCAGCTCTGCCCTGCAGGGTACATCTCCCCTGCTGGCTGCTTTAATGGGCTTGTGTTGAGTGTTTGCGGATTTTCCAAGTGCACAGTGCAAGCTGTCGGTGGAATTACCATTCTGGGGTCTGGAGGATGGTGGCCCTCTTCTCACAGCCACCAATTAGTGCCCCAGTGGAGACTGTAGGGTATCCAACCCCACATTTCCCTTCCACACTGCCCTAGCAGATGTTCTCCATAAGGGTTCTGCCCTTGCAGCAGACTTCTGCCTGGGCATCCAAACATTTCCATACATCCTCTGACATCTAGGCAGAGGTTCCCAAACTTCAATTGTTGACTTCTGTGCACTCGCAGGCACAACACTATGTGGAAGCCACCAAGGTTTGGGGCTTGCACCTTCTAAAGCGATGACCTGAGCTGTGCCTTAGCCCCTTTTAGCCATGGATGGAGCCAAAGCAGCCGGAACACACGGTACCAACTCTTGAGGTTGCACAGAGCAGCAGGGCCCTGGGCCTGGCCTACAAACCATTTTTTCCTCCTGGGCCTCTAGGCCTGTGATGGAAGGGGCTTTCACCAAGATCTCTGACATGCCTTGGAGACATTTTCCCCATTTTCTTGGTGGTAAACATTTGGCTCCTCATTACTTATGCAAATTTCTGCAGCTGGTTTGAATTTCTCCCCAGAAAATGGGTTTTTCTTTTCTATCACATCATCAGGATGCAAATTTTCCAAACTTTTATGCTCTGGTTCCCTCTAAAACATAAGTTCCAGATTGGGTGCAGTGGCTCACGCCTGTAATCCCAGCACTTTGGAAGGCTGAGGTGGGTGGATCATTTGAGGTCAGGAGTTAGAGACCAGCCTGGCCAACATGGTCAAACCTTGTTTCTACTAAAAATACAAAAAAAACTAGCCAGGCATGGTGGCATGCGCCTGTAGTCCCAGCTATTTGGGAGGCAGAAGAATGGTTTGAGCCCAGGAGGTTGAAGTTGCAGTGAGCTGAGATTGTGCCACTGCACTCCAGCCTGGCTGACAGAGCAAGACTCCATCTCAAAAAAATAAAGAAAAAAAAAATCCAATTTCAGATCATCTCTCTCGAGTTCAAAGTTCCACAGATCTCTAGGTCAGGGGCAAAATGCCATCAGTCTCTTCACTGAAGCACAGCAATGGTGACCTTTGCTCCAGTTCCCAATAAGTTCATCTCCATCTGAGACCACCTCAGCCTGGACTTCATTATCGATATCACTATCAGCATTTTAGTCAAAACCATTCAACAAGTCTCTGGGAAGTTCTAAACTTTCCCACATCTTCCTGTCTTCTTCTGAGCCTTCCAAGCTGTTCCAACCTCTTTCTGTTACCCAGTTCCAAAGTCACTCCCACATTTTCAAGTATCTTCATAGCAGTACCCCACTCTCTGAGGTACCAATTTACTGTATTAGTCCATTTTCATACTGCTATAAAGAAATACCCAAGATGGGGTAATTTATAAACAAAAGAGGTTTAATAGACTCACAGTTCTGCATGGCTGGGGAAGCCTCTGGAAACCTACAATCATGGCAGAAAATGAAGGAGAAGCAAGTACCTTCTTACATGGCAGCAGGAGAGACAGAGTGAAAGCAGGGAGCTACCGAACACTTTTAAACCATCAGATCTTGTGAGAACTCACTCACTATCATGAGAACCTCGTGCCCCCATGATTCAATCACCTCCCACCAGGTCTCTCCCTCAACACCTGGGGATTACAATTCAATATGAGGTTTGGGTGGGGACAAAAAGCCTAACCATATCACCCCCACACCCTGGAACCACATGCCAAGGGTTAACCTCTCATACTTGTTCATGTTTCACCTCACTGGATTTGACATTTGCAGTGAATGGTTTCTTTGGATAAGCCATGGACTAGAAACACTGCTCTTTTAAACTTGCTTGTGATACCATATAGTTAAGACATGGTGTGAAATTAGTAAGGTATCAGGCAAAATGGCACATGTTGGGTTAGTCTCCTTTTAAAAATAGGTTAGTAATCAATGTCCTGTAGATTTGCCCTACTTTTGTTCTGTTTAGTTTTGACAGTAAGTCAGAGACTTGGTCAATAAAATGATTGTGCTTACTGTTTACTGTCGAACCTTAGGGGAGGTAGTGCCATAATAACGATATGTATGTAAGCATATGTGTGGATGTGTGTTCCTCATATTGGTGAATGATAAAATGAAAAGAGCTGACCCACCAACTCTCATTTTCTTTATTTAAAAGTCTCTACTTTGAAAACAACATGACAAAGAGGATAAATGCTTGAGGGTATGGACACCCCATTCGTTATGGTTTCCTTATTTCACATTGCATCCCTGTATCAAAACATCTCATGTGCTCTATACATATATACACCTACTATGTACCCATAAAATTTAAAAAAATTAAATTGAAATAAAAAAATAAAAAAAGATAAGGAACATCTTGTGGAAAAGAGGATTCTATTTACCTTAAATTACTTTGATTTGGAACTAGAAACAAGGACAAAAATAAGATCATATATTCAATCTCCTGTGTCCATTAATGTAAATAAATCAAGAACTTGTTTCAAATGTATGAATACAATCTTGTTAAGCAATGAAACTCTTAAAAATAAGCTGCCTTTAATTTCTAAATATAAAAAAGGTAATAGTATATATCAGGGATTAATTTCTAAACCTTTAACAATTTATTCTTAATGAAGAACTTTTAAATTTGGACTTTGTATTTAATTTAATGGTGTAACCAAAAATGATAGGAAAGGATGATTTGACGCTGCCCTCTCATGATCTTAGGCAGGGAGTACAAACTAAGCTGGAAAAAGTAATTCAAACTTTGTACCAGCATAAAAAAAGTGTAAAAAATGCATTAAAAATTCAAGATATATACCAAGATATTTGGTTGTAAATTATTTTTACATGTACTCCTAAAAGCAACCTTTTCATTTGAAAAAGGATCACTGTCCAAAAATTTGATTGGTGTCATAGCCACACCACATACTTGCTCACAACCACCCCTGACTAACACATACACACACACACCCCCACGAGTGCATACACACACACACACACAACTCTCATAGCACATTGGATAAGTAGGTCATTGCATTTATCTTCCAGTTTTAAAACTTTCCATGGCAGCAGACTGACACGTTTAGAAAAAATGGAATCAGTTTTTGTATAAGTTGCATGTTTCCAAATCACCTCCTCTCCTCAAATAGAAGTACTGTGGGTATTGGAAAATTGTCAGCAAAATTTCCCTGAAGCTAAACAATTTAAGTTAAAACTCCTTGCCCTTCAATTTGTTCAGATTTCTTGTCTCCTATAGTTAAACTGAAGGGGGAAAAGTGTTCAGTGAAATGTCTACTCAATGATTCTATCAATTTAGGAGCAGGATCAAACAAGAGAATGAATCATGCAACAAGCCTCGTACACTGGAAAATGGGTCATCTTTCTGTAAGCAGTGAGAGATCTGGAGCCAAACCAGGTTGAAAATGTCATTTAAGTAGATTCTTTTAACTTGTTTCTGAAAAAAAAAATGTCACTGACAACTATTTGTCTTCTCAGACACTACTTTCAAATACCTTATCCTGCAAGCCAAAGAATATATTTAATTCCAGAGAAAAGCCTTTCAGCACCCTGAGAAATCCTTTTTGTTCAAAACTAATCAATTTTTGCTTTGTGCACAAAAGTAAAATACTTTGTCAAACTCTCTGCAGAAATCCTTTTAGCTATCTTAAAAAATACATTTGGTACAGCCCTGGCTGATTTCTGTTATATGAGCAAAAATTTACTTTGTCAAATTATATTCTTCAGAAAGCCTTTCAGCTGACTTAAAAATCCATTTTGTGCAAAACAATGACCATGCATCAGCTCAGAGTGATTGCACGGTAGTTACTTAGCCTGGCAAATGGCAGCAAAATGTCAGCTGAAATGAAAGACACACAGCCTAGGGCTTATCAGGGAAAGTGCAGATGATTCATGTAACATCATAAATAAATAACGCCGACTTTGTGTTGAGATAGGTTTAACAGTAGAAGTTCCTTTACCAACTGTGGTTTGTTTCAAAGCAATAGTAACAGGGACCTTACCTGGTGACAATGACATGTTAAGATAAGGTATGATGTCTTTAACACTCATAATTTCAAGGTCACTAAATGTTATATTTGTGGGTTAACAAGGAAAAAATATCCTCTGTCTGATGGTCGATGATAGGGTGGAACTGAAGTATCATAAGAGTAATGATAGTCAAAAAGAGAATAAAATTTCTCAACCCAATGCCCACAATAGCCAATGTCTTTCTTCAACACTCTTGTCCTATTGTTGTCTAATTTTGGTAGGAGTTACACGGAGGAAGAAAGGGATTAGAAATGCAGAAAGTTGGGTCAAAAATAGAGATGAAGACTCTGGGCTTGGCTCATGAAATATTAGATTCTAACAAAAATATGGTTCCCATCAGCCACCTCTCAAGACAGGTTGCACAGGGTACCATGCTCAGAGGGCCCCATGCTTGGTTTAATGCTCTACCGTCACCACCTTGAAATTTATAATATTTTGAACAAGAGGCCCTGCATTTTTTATTTTGCATAAAAAACATACAAATCACATAGCTGGCCATGATTAAGGACAATCAGGACTACCTTGTGACTTTTATGGGTCCTAGCCAATTTTGCCTTCATGGACCTCTTCCTTCCTAAAATCATATTAGAATTATATTTTACAACTGCGTTCATACAAAGATGAATAGGTTAACATGTTCTTGACCTAAAAGTTAATTTTTTCCAGATTTTAAATGAAACTAAAACATTTTTTATGAACTTCAACACTATCGTGGGCCCTTGCACTGTGCCTACTCTGCTTAATGGAGATGTTGACCTTGGGGCCGAGCGGGTGGAGACGGGACATCAACAGCCCATTGCCAGCATGGCCATCAAGGCAATGTGTGCTGGTTGGAAATGAATGCTTCTGGATGTCAGTTTTCGCAGTGAAAGATGGGTCCACATTCTCTGCTCACATTTGCTGGATGATGCAGAACACATATGGCCCTCACTGCAACTAACAACTATGTGAAGAGTGAAGTCGGCCGGGCACGGTGGCTCACGCCTGTAATCCCAGCACTTAGGGAGGCCGAGGCGGGTGGATCACGAGGTCAGGAGATCCAGACCATCTTGGCTAACACGGTGAAACCCTGTCTCTACTAAAAAAATGCAAAAAAAATTAGCCGGGCGTGGTGGCGGGCGCCTGTAGTCCCAGCTCCTCTGGAGGCTGAGGCAGGAGAATGACGTGAACCCAGGAGGCGGAGCTTGCAGTGAGCCGAGATAGTGCCACTGCACTCCAGCCTGGGCGACAGAGCGAGACTCTGTCTCAAAAAAAAAAAAAAAAAAAAGAGTAAAGTCATCCCAGAGCAGCTGCCAGAGTCCACAGTCTTTTCTGTCAAAACCTGCAAGTGTAAAAAAGTTCTGAATCAGAATCATATTTCCTCAAAGCGGATCCAGTTTGTAGCAACCATATCATGCATGTTCACCTTACTCGGCTATCATTTTAGTGATAGATGGGCAACATAGGCCCTAAACAAAATGATTGAGTGCTTAGAATTAATCTTCAAACACTCTTCTACCCCTATATGCTATGCACTCATTTATTTTGTTATGTCTTTTAACACCATCAAAAGCAGCTGGTGACTCCTTTCCGTTCATCTAGAAACCCAGGAAACCCTGCCGTAGAGTTCAATGGGGTCTGCTCTGCTGGGGTCACACTCCATGTTTTGTGTATTTCATTTTCCTTCTTTCCTGCCCTCCATCAAAGCTTTCTGTCCAGGTGGTTCCAGTATCTAACCACACATAGCATGGAGCTATAAATTATTAGTTCTGATGGAACTTAAAAATTTTCCTATCTTGGTTTTCTCAGCCCTTACTATACACCAATATTACTAGAGAGTAGAAAAAATCAGATAGTCTTCGCCCCTAAACTTACTGAATCCAGATCTCCAGAGATAGTATCTGAGCATTTGTGTTTTTACAGAATTATCCAGGTAATGCTAATATTTGGGTTGATAAACTACTTATTCTTCTCACTGATCAACAGCTACAGGAATCACTTTAAAGCATTCCTGGTCTCACTTTGCTCTGCATTTGGGAGAAAGACATAAGTAATGAATAGATGTCAAATATGAGCACCCTTATGGGAGATATCCATAAACTAAAATATTATCTTCTATCTCTTTGTTTGATACTATATCACACATGGGACTATGGAATGAATTTTTACTGAATTTGAAAGGTATATTTGGGATGGCCAATTAAAGCACAGGCTATGTGGCATGTGGCATGCACACAATTTATGTTGGAAGCCTCTGGGAGCCCCTCAAAGAGGTAGGCACATTTTCAGAGTGGCAGAACTGAGGAACACAAGGAGAGAGCTGTGTGTCTGCCTTAGGGGGGACATGGGTTGTATATAAAGATGCTGTGGACAGAGAAGACTGAAAACAAATTCAAATATGAGCCTTAAATAAAAAGCTAGGAGGGAGAAACGGAATTGCAGTCATTGATTTGTGATTGTGCTGCCTCTCACAAGAGCAATCTTGAGTAGTTTTGCTTCAGGTGTAATGTTAGATGCTCAATAAATGTTTATAGTAGATGTTTAATAAATGCTTATTGCTTGGATAAATCATGGTAATGGGCTTCTTGCCATAAGTCACCTGCAATTACATCTTTGTTAAATAATCACCATTTTATTCATTTCCAAAGTTAAGAGAGATTGTACAATACCATTTTAAAATTTCGTATTCATCATTTTCCAAATGTAAATTAAAAACTTAAGCTTTCTTGTTTTGCGGTTTCTTCTGGACACTGTATGTTAGAATTTGAATTGAAGATGTTTCAAAGAGCTTCTTATGTTACCTAGAATTTGGTGTGCAGCTTGGGTTCATTATTGCCATGTTCTTTAGAATGCTCTTAGATTCAACATCAAAAGAGTTTTAATGGTATAGAACATTTTAAACACCACTTAAAATGCCAAGATTATTTGCTGAAGACTGGCTGCCCTGAGATCAGGCTTTGTCTCGAATTGAGACTGCAGACTTTCTCATGAAAAGTCTGTAGATTGGAGCTTGCATTCAGGGGGCTTTGGACTTCAGTCTCTTTTGCATGGCTCGAAGAGATGAGAGACTAGGAATTTAAAACCTAATTTATCAAGTTAATATTCCAAGAGTAGCTCACTTTACAAATCTCTGTCTCCTAGGTCAAGGTCTCAAATTCTTAACCCTGTTGTCCCGGATACCCTTGTAAGAGCAAACATCATTTCTGGTGTGGTTATTCTTAATAATTACTATCTCTCAGGAAACTCCCGTGACCTCAGTATGGCCCTGAACTTTTCTTTCCCCACTCTTCTGCTGTTCTCTATTGTATCTCAGTAGGGAGGACCCATTGTAATTTTTAATTCTCACTTCAACAATGGCTCTGATTTTGCAGATCCCTCAAAATAACAAAACTGGCTGTAGTCACCAAAACACCCTAGATTTTCACAATTATATGCTTATGTATACAAGGTAGAAAAGAACTGATTCTTATGTCCAATTCACTTTCAAGTTTAAAAAATTTTTGGTCTAACCCCAGATTTCTATTTGCAGTATGTTATATAAAGTCAGGTAGTTGAGATGAGAAAGCATCATGTATTTATAACACAAGACTGGATAGTATACGTAAATTATATGTTCACTTTTCTTACACTTCCAAAAGATATACTAGTGATTTTTTCTAATCAGTCTGCTTCATGCTTCCCCTTTGGCAGATAACAGAGAAAGAACACATTTTGGAAGCAAGAAAGAATATCTAAACGTATGCCTTTCTGAAGGTGGTTTGGAATATGGTATTAGGTATTTCAATTTTACTGGGCTTTGCCAGAAATAAATCAGACCTTTAGTCATGCTCTGTGTCTCTACAATAGTTTTATACATTTAAGTGTGAGTGACTTTGATTTATTTTTCCTCTGTCCACTCAAATTATTCCATCCTATTAGTATTTATGTCAGCTAGGTTGGAGCGTGTTTTATACCTGGGCCTCACACTCTTTTCATATTCCAATTTTATTGTGGGTCTGTTAAAAGGTCACTTTAACCTCTCTGCAAAATGAAGAGCATAAGGATATAGAGCTGTTCTGTCACTTTACTGATACATGTCGGGAAACATTCAGCTGGGCTTTTGCTATAATAAGTTTGTGAAAGAAAAGCTGTCGAGATACAAAAGATGACATGATGAATAATCAAAATAATTCTGAGCTTCAAATCTAATCCTATAGGAAGTGTTATGATGGAAAGTCCTGGGCAAAAATCACCTGATAATTTCAGCACAGAAAACAATTTATGCTGGATTTGCCTCCTTCTCCATGATACCATGCTGACTAATGTCCTCTAGCTCTGGAGGCCCTCGGGTTACAGCCAAACATTGATTATTTGTCAGATAATGCTATCAGACTTACAAAGACATCCACAGTGCTCCTGCAAGGAAATAAATGACTCCAGTATTCTTTTGGGAGGAAAAAAAGAAAGAAAGTACAATAGGATTCACTATAATAAGTGCTCTAAGAGTTTATAATAGGTTGAATGTGGACTATGTTTAATACACTTTCAAGTCTATTGTCAAGATTATTAAAATGCATTTTCTCTGCATAACGAGACATGGTTTTTACACTTCAGAGTGGGAATGATAGCGACTTGAAATTTGTTGTGTTTGTCCCCTGTGCCAGGTGCTTTAGTGATGTTGGAGTTCATTTAATTCTCTCAGCAACCATGCAAGATAAATATTGTCCCATAATACAGGAGAGAAAAATAAGATCCAGAGAGGCTCAAAGTCAACTATAAATAAGAGGTTTATTGTCTGCAAAATCTATGGTTGGTTATCAAAAATTATAGTTATATGCTCATAGAAAATTGTTGCTTATTTGTGCTCTTTTCAGAATATTTGGTGCCAATTGGGATGAAGACCAAAGTGACTTTTTTTTTTTTTTTTGTCTGTGGGAAGATATGGTGTCACATAGGGTTTGAGGAACTTGGTTCTCTGGTACCACAAAAAAATTTCCATATATCCCAGGCATTTGGTTCTTGGTTTCTCAGGTACCTACATCCCTGGGATATTTTCCTCTTACTGTTGATGACAAAGCACCTGGGGGTGGTCATCTGCTTTTTCAGGTTCTCGCTTAGTTTTGAGGGATTTACTATGGCATGACAAGTCTGATTCGCGAGGATTTCTATGTTACTGGTCACAGCTGGGGAAGGTTATTCTCTACATTTACACAGGATTAAGAAAGCTTGTGATGCTCTGTGAAAAGCAAAGTCAAAAAATAAAAATAAAAGCCTTGTCAAGATAAATAACAAAAAACAGCAAGCGAAGTATCTGTTTATGGTAGAGTCTTAACGCTTCAAAAGGTAGAGAACTTTTATCATTACGAGGCAAGGTAAAAGTGAGCATTCCAGCTTCACCCCGATACTGATGTAAGAGCAGAATAAGGACACTCATTTCCCTCCAAGCGTTAACAGGCTGCCTTTTCAGCTGTGTACTTCATGTTCACTTGCTTTAACAAGATTTACACAGTCCTAACTCACTTATTAAATGCTTCAAAAGTGTTTTAAGGCAAAGATCTTCAAAAGCAAAATGCATGTCTCAGGCGTCAGTCTGAAACCTACTGCATACAGTTCACTGATTTAAATATGTGCGCTGGAGTTAAAAAGAAACCATTCCATCTCTCTAATATTTCTAATACTTATTTTGGCTCTATCGCATGAATTCCTTTTATTGAATCCTCCTGCCCCAAATTCTATTAAAGCAATAATTTTTTAAAGTTTCACTGAGCCAAATTTGAGAATTAATAGATGTTGGATTTTTCAGGGCAGGGTTAGGGGAGAGAAAGAGAGCATGATATGGGTGTGGTTATAGAAGGGTCTGGAAAGAGATGACGGGAAGGATGTGCAGACTTGAAAGCAAAGGGTTAAATCTTGCCGGTAGCCCTGTAAAATGTGTTTAGAGGCATCAGAAATTAATTCCTGTGAACTACAATCTGCAAATAAAAACTCTGAAGTGTAAGGGTAATGAAGCAAGCAAAAAACATTTCTCTAAAGAAATGCACTAAGTTTATTCGAATACTTAGCTATAGGAATCAGCACTTTAGAAAACCCTATACAAGTTCTATTTGATTTTCCATCAGAGAAATAGATGAGAGAATTTGTGTGAACTAAAAGATTTTTAAAATATTGATTTGAGGAAACAGGAAAATGAAGAGGATGATGCAACAAGAAGGGAATTGTCTTTTTCTTGGCAGCTCACACTTCCACACCTCTGACTCACATTACTGTTGTAAGAAATGTGTTCTGGAGATGAAATATTATGGAGACAGTGGGAAGGGAAAGACCTAGGACAGGGACAATTTGCGTACATTTAGCTCTGTTAATATAATTAGGCAGGAGAACCAGTGACACTGCAGCTAAAAGCGAGAGGCACTAACCAGTGCTTTATCTCCTGTTGCCAAGGACTACATGATGAACCGTGCAGTGACCCAAATTTATTACAGAATAGTGCTCATTGCTGCTGTATCAAGCACTCTGTTGCAATTACAGCACATTGCGTGGAGGAACAAATCTCAAGGGGAATTGCCTAGTCTTTTAATCAAGTAGTAGAAAAGTCAGGGTGCATAAAAACCACCCAGTAAGACATATATACATATATACGTATACACATATATATATATATATCATCTGTACATGTGCATCTATATCTGATAACAGTCTTAATTTTGCCCAGAAAGTGCTTTTATTATATACAGGAGTCATGAATGTACAGTGTCCTCACTTAATCTTTTCTCTACTACAGCCCAGTTTTTTCTTATTTTATGTTCTCAGTCTTCAAGAACCTAAAGCTCAGGGAAATTACACAAAATAAAATGAGCACTTGGAAGAATAATTTATGATATGATACTTTTGCCTTTTCATTTTCCCAAGAAGTACTCCTTTATTTTCCTCATATACCTTTTTTTTTTTTTTTTAGACAGTAAGGGCTTCTCTGGTTTTCAGCAATCTGATTGCTTCCGGACGACCTAATGATGTCATTTCAAGGGTCATATTTTAGTGTCTAGTGGGAACAGGAAAACTCATGCCACAAGCCTGCTGAATTTTATAAGTCATTGATTAGTTGTAATGAATGGGAGGAAAGTGTATAAAAACAGAGTTAGAAAACACTATTAACAATTATAAATTTGAATCACAAATTAGTCGATGTAGTTAAAGTTTATCAAGAAACTGTAAAATAATGGGAAGAGGAAAGGTGATATGGGGTTTGGCTCTGGGTCCCCACCCAAATCTCATGTCAAATTGTAATCCCCATGTGTTGAGGGAGGGACCTAGTGGGAGGTGATTGGATCTTGGGGGCAGTTTCCTCCATGCTGTCTTTGTGATAGTGAGGGAGTTCTCACAAGATCTGATGGCTTAAAAGTGTTTGGCATTTCCCCCCTCACTTTCTCTCTCTCCTACTGCCATGTAAGAAGGTGCTTGCTTTTCTTTTGCTGTCTGCCATGATTGTAAGTTTCCTGAGGCCTCTCCAGACACGCGGAACTTTGAGTCAATTAAACCTCTTTTCTTTATAAATTACCCAGTCTCAGTTTTTTTTTTTTAAATAGCAGTGTGAAAATGAACTAATACAAAAGGAAATAAAAAGGAAGCAATAAGGAGAAAAGTAAAGACTGGAAGAAAGATGCAGGTTAGGTCCATACTCACAAGCCATTGTGAAATAGTTTACTTTGTTTTTGTTGTTATTGTGTGCACTTTAAATAATCTGTGACTTAAAAAGTCATTTAAAATGGTAAACTAGTTTCTGTGGATAATCAGCCTAAAAAAGAACATTTCAGTTAAAGTTACAGCTGTGGTGATGATCTGATCATAACATTTTAGAACTTCTTATTGATAACTTGTTATTGGAAAGGCATTCCAATCTCAAAAAGCTAGCCAAAGTATGTTTTATGTGAAAGACCCCTATTTGCATCTCAAGAATGCAGCATAAATAAGGGACATCCAGTACACCCAGAATAACTGTATTTCCAGCAACTCCTGTGGTGAGCTTCTTTGTCTTTTTGGTAAATACTCATTTCCAAATCTCATGTCTGTATCATGTTAAGTTGCAAAACATTTAGTTTACATGGTCCTTCTAAATGCCTATACATCTCTCCAACATTCATATAATAAACAGTAGACATTTACAAGGATAAGCATATAGGTAGGGGTATTTAAAAGTTTTATTTCTTACTGTAATCACATTGCTAGATCCTCCAAAACTCACCTGGAAGTTGGGACCCAATACTTTTTGAAATGTCAGTAATATAATTTTAAGCCCTTAAGCAAATGTGCCTCCATCAATATTTTTCTACTTCAGCATATGGATTTCCACTTCTTGCGCCTGCAATCAGAGGGAATTTATGTCTCCCAATTTGGTCAATTTTTACTACCTATTGTGCATGTCCAATTTTGTGAGGTACTAAACAATATATTGACAAATTAGATCAGTAGAAGACCATTTTAGTAGTGGAAAGATTGGTTCTTTCTATAATTTATAAGCTCACCCTTTCCCACTTTACTCTTTCTGTAGTATTAAATAAAGGCAGAGTGAGGCACATTGGAGAGCAGTGAAAGAAAATGAGATGTCAGAGAGGTGGACAAGTGAGGGTTGAGGAGAGAACCTAAAAAGCACAATAGGTTTTTCAAAGTAAGATCTATGACAGAATAGGGGAAGGTCTGTAGAGAGCATGAAATTAAATACGATGGACTAACAGAGATGGAGAGATCTGCGGGAAGGAAGCTGCGGACACAGCAACAGGGAGACATTTTTCTGATATCAGTGGAAGTGAGAACTGGAGACAGGGCTATTACAGTAGAAAGAGAAAGACAAATGAAGCAATAGAAAAAGACACATATATACAAGTCTCTGTGAATAGTCCCCCAAGAAAGATAGCAAAGTCAAAAAGCATTCACCAATACATACACACTGGAGAGGACGTTATCATTATTTAGTTCTTACAGAATACTTTCTATTCAGAAAAAGCTTTTATTTTATTTTTCCTCTCATTAGGGAGCAATCAGTATTATTATCCGCAGTTAAGAAATTTGAGGCACAGGCAACAGTGAATTATCCTGAAGCAAAAATTAGAAGCCAGTGCCACAGTCAGAGACTATTCATATAATTACTTTGATTTTTCAAAAAATGGTGGACATTCAATGGTTGGTCAAATGTTGAACTGTTCTGTGTTACCACCTTCCCCTTTCAGAAGTTTAAAGGGACTATAAAGCATCCAAATCCATGCATCTGTTCCCTGACCTCACCTTACTTCGGATTTCTTACAAGCTCGGTGTTTAGCTAATGTTGCTACTTAGTGGTGGCTGCTTATTTACTCTTAGACTGAAAGTGACCAGAGTGAGTATTATGCAGGCCCTTGTGAACTCAGTTCAGGAACAGTTCTGCTTGGATCTGTTGAGACTTGATCCCAGGTTGGTTCGTGGTTTGTCTAATTCTGACAGAGGAACTATGGAAAGGATTCTCCCAGAGACTCTGGGAACTAGAAACACCCAAATCCTTTAGATCTCTGGGAAGTGGCTACCAGTGATGAAGGCATTGCTGGGAATTCTGGTCATGGAATTTATATCTAGTCATAACCCAAAGTGTAATACTCCTGAGATGAACTTCAGTACAGATGTTTCCAAGACAAGCAGCGCCTCGTTTATGTGATGTATTTACTTGGTCTCCAAACCACTAAGAGAAGTTAACAAAAGACAAGTGGTTGAACTAAACTCTTTATTGATATTGATTTCAAAGCCTCATCTGCATTTGTCTGAGGGTTACATTTACTTGTAGGTCATTTAAATGTACATGTCCTAAACCTAATCAGTCATCTTAACTCCTTCATGGATATCCAACTCTTGCACCAAAATATGCTTTTCTTTATGTATGTACCACATTGCCAAATGACTTCCAAGATTCAAAAACATCAGATCATAATCTCTTTCCAAACGCATTAAGCTGCAGAATCTCATCGATTCATCCTCTTTTCTGCTGTTACATTTTTCCCATTTTCTGCCCCATCATGAGCGTTCTAGTTGAGGTTGTAATGAACTTTCATTGGGACAAAATAAACAGTGTAGATATCCTGACCATTCCTCTCTCTCAGTCCCTCCTTGTTCCACATCAAACCACATACTTTAAATAACTATTGTATAAATGTATAGATCAAATCTTTAGTAGTAGCCAAATGTACACAGAATATTCTTTATACTTCTAGGTCAGACAATCAGGAATTCCAAGTCGTGACCCTTTTCACATTTCTAATGTTAATTTTCACTCCATCTTTCTTCCTACCAGGTATCCTAAGCTTTGGAGGGTTTTCTGGAGTACAACTCCGCTCCAGGTATAATTTGAGGTGTGCCCCAGAGATCATGCCAAATTTTGAGTCATACCGATCTTCCTGATTCTTCCTGCTTGTTCTCCTTACTCTTTACTGTCCATACAAACTTTGCTCTTGCCGGTTTTTCAGCCTGCCCTCATCCCTACTTGTGGAAATCCGATAGAGCCACAAAGTAACACTCAAGTCATACTTCCTCTCTGAGACTTTCCTACATTTTATTCATGCCTTTTTTTCTAACCCTTTCTCTGCTGTGCAGTAAATGATCCTCGGCTTAGATATTGAAGGGTCTAGAATTTCTACAACTAGGGGCGTACAGATACCAAAGTTTGGAAGAGAGGACAAGGGAATGTATTCAAACTGTATTTGCATAGCAAGCACGCTACCTTTACTCACATTTTGGATTTTCAGGGCAGGTTTTGGTGATTGGTGGAGATAATGTGAAAGTTAAAGCTTCTCCATGCACCTGAGGCTTTAACACCCACCTTGGTTGGTGGCACCAAGTATGTCCTATACTACAGAGCATGGAACATATGCAAAGGGCCTTTTCAGGACTGGGATGAGTTTTGCCTTTTTATCCTTCATAGAACGTAACAGAATATAATGTCCGGTAAGTAAATAAGTAATAAATGCTTGTTGAAAATAGAAAATAAACTTTGAGCAAATATTAAAATATGAATGTTCCAAACCAACACTTGGTATAAAGCATTAAGCTCAATCAAGTTTTTGGCCAAGTGAACTTTACATGTTTTCTATTTTATTCTGTACTTCCATCAAAAGAGCCTCTGTCTCCCTCTCTTGTTATAGGATATTGATAGAACTGACCCTTAAAACAATTTCCTAGACAGGACTGCCAAAGTTTCAGAACCACACTTTCTTTCATGCCTAGACTGTGAGACAGCTGGTCTGTGAAAATTTTTTTTCCATTGTAATTCACTCTAAAATAAAGATGGGTGGAGACATACCACAAACAGATTTTAACTTGCGTTTAATCCATTATTTAATTTTGCTATTTTTTTTCTTGGACTGCTTACAGATGAACCCAAAGGGTTGTACTACAGAATCTTTTAGAAGTTAACTTATTGGCCAGGCATGGTGGCTTACGCCTGTAATCCCAGCACTTTGGGAGGCCGAGGGGGCACGGATTACTTGAGGTCAGGAGTTCAAGACCAGCCTGGCCAACATGGTGAAACCCCATCTCTACTAAAAATACAAAAATTAGCCAAGCATGGTGGTGTGCACCTGTAATTCCAGCTACTTGGGAGGCTGAGGCAGGAGAATCACTTGAATCCAGGATGCAGAGGTTGCAGTGAGCTGAGATACTGCCACTGCACCCCAGCCTGGGCAACAGAGCAAGATTCTATCTCAAAAAAAAAAAAAAGTTAACTTATTATCTTCCTGCCCCAATCTCTAGTCAGAGTTTTTGGATTGAAATAATATTTCCAAGTCAATAGTATATATGATATATGTTTATTAAAATATTTAAATTTTTGTAAGTATTATCTCTCACCATTTGGAAAATTTAGAATTTTCCAGGACATTCACATGTAGAAGTTATTTTCGACCATCTGTTTTTAACAGGAGATACAACATCTAGAGCCTTTATAAAAATATTGCTTATGGTTGCTAACTTAACAGGATTGAAAAATAAAGGTTTTACATCAAAAGAAAATGCATCATCTCTTGTCGAACATCTGCCCAGCCAAACTGTCATTTATGGTATTCTCCTGCAGCTGATTCAGGGAATTGCGTTTCTTATACCAGCCCAGGAACTGACTCAAGGGAAGCCAGGATTGAATGTACAATTAGAATATCCAGCTGACGAGACTCCGTCTCAAAAAAAAAAAAAAAAAAAAGAATATCCAGCTGAGGCCAATTTGAGGTGGCTCACACTTATAATCCCAGTACTTTGGGAGGCTGAGGTGGGAGGATCCCTTAAGCCCAGGAATTCAAGACCAGCCTGGGCAACATAGGGAGACACTGTCTCTACAAAATACTAAAAAAATTAGCCGAGTGTGCTGGTATACACCTGTACTCCTAGCTACTCAGGAGACTGAGGTGGGAGAATTGCTTGCGCCCAAGAGGTTGAGGCTGCAGTGAGCCATGATTGCACCACTGCACTCCAGCCTGAGTGACAGAATAAGACCCTGTCTCAAAAAAAAAAAAAAAGAAAAGAAAAGAAAAAAAGAAAACCCAGCTGAGTTATGACTGTAAATGTGGTGTGGCTCTTTCAAATTAGAGTCTTCAGAATAGAATCATGGGACCCAATAGATGTAAAATGCCAGGCTACATCTCCTGATCTTCATTCATCTGGCCCAGCAGTAAGAATATCCATACCCCAGATCAATCTTAACTGGAGCAGAAAGTTAAACTACAACCCTTTGGAGAAGGAACTTTAGTTGGCCCACTCTGCCTACTCCTTCAATGCCATTTGATGCCCTGATGTCGACCTTTAAATTCTTCCATTGCAATTAGTTTCATCCTATGCTCAGTGATGAACATGTTGCTTCTTCTAATCCCAGTTCTGTTAAGTGTTCTTCTTTTGCCTAAGTTCCCGAGTCCCTCATCCACTTGTGGTCATAGATCTAAGATTCTACCTGTATTCCTACCTTTTTCCCAATATCTCACCAGATGTCTCAGCTTCCTTCTAGGTCCCTGCCTTGTATTTGTCATTCTTATCCCTGAATAGTGGAGTCTTTGAACCTCACCCCAATAGCCTTATCACTATATTTCATGTCACTTGGTTATATTTTCTTTATTGTACTTAAGCATTTCTTTATACTTCCTGGTTTGATTACTTATTTTTTACTGTCTTCCTCCAACTAAATGTAAGTATAGTCAGCCATTCCTACCTGCATCCATGAATTCAACCAACCATGGATCTAAGATATTTGGGGAAAAATAACCCCACCAAGTTCCAAAAAACCAAAACTAGAATTTGCCAGGCATCAAGTACATTTTCATGATTCATGAAAATGAAGTGATATGTAGGCATTATATTAGGTATTACAAGTAATCTAAAGATGATTCATAGTATGCAGGAGAATGTGTGTATGTTATATGTAAATACAATGTCATTTTATATAGTGAACTTGAACATCCACTGATTTTGGTGTCTGCTAGGGTAGGGGTGTCCTGGAATTAATCCCCCAAGGATACTGAGGGATGACTGTATCATGAATGTATGGGCTTTGTTTTTCTTATTCTTTATTCTATGGCCAATTCCTAAAATGACATGGCCCAGTAATTGCTTAGTGAATGAACAAATTTTGTAATAAGAAAATAACCAAGATGCTCACTGTCTTTCTGCCTAGCATTTGAGCATTTACTTTCTGGATACCTTAAGAAACTCTGTTACTTCTTAGACTTGTGATACTAACAGCTATGTGAACACCGCTTGGACAGTGTAGTACCCTGGAATGCCGAGACAAACCTCAAAGCAGCCACTGTTGGTTGAACCTCACAGCTAACTGGGCAGGTCTTCCGCCAGGCTCCTTTCTAGTAGAAAACATCTAGTCCAGGGTCAGCAATTAAATGACATTGATGCCATCACCTCCCCTCCTGTTGTCAGGAATAGAATGGCTACTGTTTTCCACTGAGCCAAGCACAGTTTCATATTCATAGTATTTCAGTTAGCCAATATCAACTGATCTGAAGTGACATCTTTGTCATTCCAGAGCTAATGCAGCCTCTAACTGAATGCACAAAACCGTAACAGCTGATCATTCAGCATCTCCTTGGGCTGTATGCATGAGAAGGAGTGAATCATTTTACTGTTAGCATTTTGAATAATACTAAATTTTAGAAAGTTTTCCTAAAGTGGATTCCAAATCTGCCCGTGCATACATGGGTCCTATGGATGGGCAAAGAATATAAAGAATTTCCAATTATTCAGTCCTTTGATGCTTCTTAATATACCAAGAATCCAGACTAATAACAGCTGACATTTATTAAGCTCTTTTTATATGGAAGGCATTGTCATAAGTACTTGAAAATATCTAATTTAATTCCCAGGAAAGGTGCCTATTATTACTGTTTTGCTGATTAAGAAACTGAGATATAAAATAGTCTTCCTATTAATTACCCTTTCCTCCCTTTCCTTTTTCCTGTTCTTGGCTCATTGACTTATCTCTATTATGAGCTTTATCTTGTTGCATTATGATTAGCTGTATACATGTTTTTTCCCATGTTAGGTTGCAACTCTTCATTGGTACATGTGACATCATTATCTCGAGTACCTAGCATCTAGTATATATGAAACACATGCAGTACATTGTAAAGGGTTGCTATTTTATGAAAGGGCAGAACAATTTAAAGAGGGAATCTCTGCTCAATTTAGTTGAGAGAGTCACTAATTGAAATAAATTATTCTGGATCCCATGAACATGGGTCCAGGTTATGGAAGAATCATACAGGTGTGATCTCAGAATCAAACAATGTTTGAAAAGTCATGCATGATTGGAAGGTGCCAGAAAATGAAAAAGAAACATGTGAAGTCCCAAGTCTACATTTAAAAAAAGTAAGTAAAGAAACTTCCGACTAGTGAACTTGATATATAGTTCCCAGGAATATTTTAGAACATTTTCATCAATCAGATAGTTTATGAATTCTTAACAAACATGTGGCCATCTCTAGAAGCCAATGTCAGTTAACTAAGAACTACTTATGCCAAATTAAGGTCACTTCCTCTTAATTTATGCCAAATTAAGGTCACTTCCACAAATTATGGTAGTGAAAGGGGTTCCCAGAATACTAAATTAGGAGAATTTTCTATACACATGTGATATACTTTTCTTTAGCCAAACATTTGGTTATTTCCCATGATATTTTTGTAGATAAAGTTGTTGGATGTAGTACATTCTAAGAGGTTTCTACTTTACAATTGTAAATTGTAAGGACTGGTTAATGATGTTTGGGGAAGCATCAGATGTAGCTTAGTAGAAAGAAGTCTGTATTTATCAGTAGAAGTAGTTTCTGTCATTTACAAATGACCTGACTTTGAATATGCCGTTTAACCCCTCTAGGTCTCAGTTTCCAGCCTGCCTTGGAGGATTGTTGTGAGACTAAATGAGACATATGAAATCATTCATTAAACTCCAAGCACTATATCATGTAGCATAAGGTTAACACTGAGGGGGGACATTAGCAGAGGTCACAGCTCACTGTCCTTAGCTTTGTCCTCTATCACATGAAATGTCTTCACTATGCACAGTGAAGGCATACCTAATGTGACTGAGGATGACTTTATTCTGGAAGAAATAACACATCGAGAGATATGTAAAATTGAATCTAAAAATGATTTCAATAATCTCAGCCATTTTAGAAAATAGGAAAAAAAGAAAATAGAACTATATTCTTCATTTAAATAAAAAATATCAATTGTGCAAATATAAGGGAAAATAAAGCCAACTTGGCAGCAAATCTTTGAAAGTAGATCTAGTATTTGAGCCTAGAATGTGATTTGGCCACAAAGAACATTAATATTGATGTTCTTATTGACATTTTTGTTTGCATTCCCCACTTTTGCTGGTAGATGGTAAGGTCCCAAAGGGCAGAGACTGTGCCTTTCTTTCTGTATCCCCAAACAGACCATAGTTTGCCTCTTTCTTTCTTTTCTTTTCCTTTCTTCTTCTTTTTTTTTTTTGGACAGGGTCTCTGTCACCCTGACTGGATTGCATTGCAGTGGTATGATCATGGCCTCAACCCCTCAGGCCCAACAGATCCTCCTGCCTCAGCCTCCTGAATAGCTAGGACCACAGGCAGGAAGCACCATGCTTAGCTAATGTTCTTAAGTTTTTTGTAAAGACAGTGCCTCCTTATGTTGCCCAGTGTGCTTTCTAACTCCTGGGCTCAAGTGATCCTCCTGCCTTGACCTCCCAAAGTGCTGGGATTATAGACGTAAGCCATTGCACCTGATCAGACTATAGCCTCTAATAGATGGTTCATGTTTTGAGTTAGTCAACTCTTATAAATCTTATAGACCTCAGTCATCCAATCTCTGCAGCAAGTCACATTTAAATTATCAAAGTCCAGAAAAAAACATAATTTAAATCTACTTTGTATATAGTTTTTCATGTCTTAAATCACATTTTAGTGAATAAATTCATGATCAATACTCTCAAAATGTCATTACTCTCCTTCTCAATTCTTACATAAACCAAAACAGCCATTCAGCAAGTTCTTAAAAACTCTCTTTCCAATGCCTGAGGAACTGATTTTCTACCCAGTTCCTGCTGTCATGCTTTCATTCTGGTGTGATATTATTTTCTTTCTGTAAATGAATCTTAGGAGGAACAGGATAACAGGACTATTGAGAACTGCTGGAATTTTTCTTAGTGAATTATTGGGAAGAATCTGTCTACATATTAAATATTGTTCTTTGAGAATGAATGAAGCCCAACACAATGAAAATTAAGGCAGTGTAGCTCTTTTATCATATGCTGAATATAATTTGGTATAAATAGTTTGGTTTGGGGTGCTGAGTTTAAAAGGGACATTGACAATCAGGTTAATATCTAAAATAGGGTATCTAGAATTAAGGGGGATCTGATGCTTTGCCATACAAAGAATGGATATATTGAGCTTGGAGAAGAAAAAATGAAATGACATGTTATCTCTCTTTTCTGCAATACTTCTGTGAGCAGAATAAATTTTGAACTAGAGCTGAAATTTTGAATTAGAACTCGGAGATACAGGAAAGTTATTAGAAGGCTATTATTGATGAAATTTCTATCATGTAATTCTTAAGAGCTGCTCTGTGAAAGGGGGCTTGTGCAATGTCAGGCATGCTAGTCTTTTCTGGAGTGGAAAATTAGAAGATTGAATATAAAAGTCACAGTGACTCTGTAATCAGATGACTCAAGGAATCGCTCAGATACAAGGAATTTGGGAAACAAGTGCTTCAGAGACCACTAGGTCCAGTTCAAAATGCTAATTATGGCTTTGCAAGATCTCAATAGCTTGGACTGGGTCACTGTCATATTTGACTATCCCTGGTGCATGGGACAAGGATCCTGGAAATAGATACATTAGTTTCCCAAACATTGTCTTATTTGCTTGCCTAAAATATCTCTAAGAATTTGATTCTCTCACATCAAAGTTTCTGTTCTGTTACTATGCAAATGTATTTGCAAAAGAAAACTCTCAAGCTATCATCACACATTTTTACTATTAGGGCTCAGAAAACAATACTGCAAATTGAAGGCCTCAGAAGCAAAAGTTTTTCTCTGATCTTCTCCTGCCCTCCTGTCTCTCAGTTTCATTCTCCCCTGATGCTGGTCATAGAAACTAGAATCTCTCTTCCCCTAGGCATGTCACAGAAACCAAAACAAAAGCCAGCCATAAAACCTAAAATTATTACTCTAACTTTCCCCTGACTTTCTGTGTAAAAACTGGCCATCAACAAATTATCTGGCCTACCTTGTTTGACTATAGATAATAAGATTCCCATTTCAGAGAGGGTCCTGCTCCACACCCAGAAGGAAGGAATGTGTGCTTGGAGAGGGCAACAGGAATCTAGACAGGCCTTGCTGGGTTTCCCCGCTCAGTCCATTAGCATTAGATCATGGCCTTTTGTCCAATCATCTTTCTACACAGCTTCCACACTTTGTTGAACCTAAGCATGAAAATGGACAATTTCTCCTATAGCTTTGGGTTTTCATTCTGAAGTCTCCTACACATAGACACAAAGTCTCCCGTATATAGACATTAAGTAAATCTGTATCCCTTTTATCCATATGTCTGCCTTTTGTGAGCTGATTTTTAGGCAAACGTGTAGAGGGTGAAGGGGAAAATTTCCCTTTGCCCGTACATTACCGTATTTTAAGCTGAGTCAGATCCACCTTTGACAGAGAAGAGCATGAGGGTCTGGGCTCTTTAGGTGGAGGAAAAATGCACTGCCTGGGACTTGGGGGCCAGCATGGACCTACCACGGACCCACCACTAGCTTTCTTCACCTTTGGGCCTAGTATGAAACTTGTACACTAGTCCACTTAGGTTTGTGTTTCTCCCAGTGTATTCTAATGAACACTATTCCTGCAAGATTCTACTAAGAAAAGAGGTTTCTGGGATCAAATAAGCTTTGAAAGCCTAGATTCTAGGAAAATAGAGAACCTGGTAACCAGGTTTAAATCCATGTTTCCTGGATGAATCACCTTGGTAGGGAAAGAGAGTGGGTTGCCAATGTTTATTAACATTCCATGGATTTCATGTTCTCTGGAATAGACTGTGGGAAACACTGCCTATTTAACTTCATAGAAATATAAATCAGCTGGAGGGCTCTAGCTAACAGTTACCACATTTCATCTGTAAAGAACTCAAGAAGGAATTAGACTTTGTGGATGGCTCTTGTTTGTGGGATTCTTTGTTCCCCACATTATTCCTTGTTTAATGACCTTCTACAAGCCGAACTGTAAAGAATTGAAAGACACATCTCTTTACATGACATCTTGTTTATTTTAATATATGCCAGTTGTTCTACTTTTTATGCATTCTGATTGTTAGCCCTTTGAACTTTTGCCCTAAGGCAATTTAATCATGATTGGTTCAATTGTGGAAATCCAATAAACAAATCTTGGCCGAAGTCCCCTGGAGGTATTATCCTGACATTTCTCTGAGTGTGTTTACAAAGTCCTTTTCCCCAGTCTTAGAACCATAGCCTTTGCCATGTGTTCTTGTATTCAAAGAAACCTACTGCTTTACAGAAAAAGCATCTTAGATCACTTAAAGGCCTTTCATTCCTAAAAAGAACACATTTTTGACTGGTTTTAAGTCTCTAATTTCCTTTGTATTTATACTTTAAAAGCAGTCTCTGCAAAGGCGTAGCCACAAGGAGTCAGTTGCTACAACCACACCCAGACCTTAAATGGAAACACAACCAGCAAACTTCATTTTTTTATAGCTCTCTTTCCTAGGGATAATTTCCAGGGCTTTTACAATGTCTAGGGGTAGTCTAGTCTAGAAAGACATTTTCTACTACCTTTAAATAGTTACTCTTACTTCAAAGGCAAAGGTGTTCTTTTTCCTTTCAGTTGGAGCTCTTTCTGACCGAATGCTAAATACTGCTCAGAATGGGTCTTCTGCAATAAATATGCAAACTACGTGGCAATGGAGTTATTATGTATCGCCCCAGAGTAATATAAAAGCACAATTTGGGAGTTGTATCTAAGATATGCTTCCTCCCTCTCTTTCCTAGAAGTTGTAAATATAGGTGGGAGATTTTATATTATTAATTAAAAAACTTGAGGAAATTATCATTTTAATAGCCTTGCCTTCCTTTTGAAGGAGAGAAAAATGGGCCACTTATGTGAACATAATTTTATTTCTCCAAGCTGTTTAGATAGTTATTTTCATGTGGAATATTTACATCAGCTTGTGAACTGATATATAAGAACTTAAGTTAAAATGTTTCCACTCCATATACTAATGTTTAGCTCTGGTATTCATCCAAGAATTGGGCCCCTCACAATTACAGCATCTGTTTTTGTTTGGTTAATTTTATAATCTCAGATGTTTCCATAAATCATGAATTAAAGAGAAAACTGCTGGGACCAATTTGCGTGGGTAGGCTAAATGTAATAGTATACCATCACTGTGCAGAGATGTTTTACTTTTTTTTTTTTTCCTGTGGTTTGTTATTACAGAGATCCCATTTTGGCAAATGCTTCCATGTCTTAAAAAAAAAAAAGCAAAAAAAATGAGTGACACTGCACTGAAAATGGCTCTTCCATTTTGTTTTGGTTGGAATATGTTTGGGATTTGGGCTATTTGAACCATTGAGAAAATAGGAACAAGTGAGTTGGTCACTTTTAGCTCTATCATAAATTGTTCTGTAGCATTCATAAGGTGTTTCTAGTTCCTTAAATTATTTTAATGCACACTGTAAAATGCTTTTTGGTAATGAAAAAAAATAGAGTCATGAACAGGATAGCCAGGCATACAAAAATTCCTTATTGTTACATTCCTATATGTAGTTCAAAGAAAAGTAGTGAAAATGAAAATGCAAAAGAAAAAAATAACTGTAAAAGGGCTGAAATTCTGTGTCTTTTTTGTATTACTGGTCAGATTCTCAGGTATAGAGGATCAATAATCTACACAGTATCTTAGCATCTTTATAAATTTCTGTGCCAACAACATAGTAACAAAGAGCAGCTCTTTTCATTCTTAATTCATTGTATGAAGAATTGAACAGGTGGAGACTTTTCAAGTGGTTAGAAGATTGCAACTGAAGTTTGGGAAAGTGTAAATCACATGGGAAACATGTTCAGTGTTTTAAGGTTCCATCAGATTCTCAATTGTGGGGTACAATTTACAAAATAGTACCTGGAGCCTTTAAGAACTTAAATATTTATTTGATCATTGTCAGAGTATTTTTTTTTAAATCATTATTGCTGAAGGCAATGGAATCACAAATATAAAGAAGCATCATTGTCAACTACTGCTCCTTTGCTCTATAGGTGAAATACTCTTTGAGCTCTGCTCATTTGTGGATTAAAGATTTGGTGGACTACCCTGGAGAATTAATGTTTTTAATTGAAGCCTAAAAAGCCTGCTAGGTCTGTCTCTCAGATCATAATAATTTTTCTCAATAAAACGAAGTTATTTATCTAATTTTCATTTAGAAGACAATTGAACTTTTTTTCAAAATGGTTCTAGTTCTTTTATAAAAATTAATTGATGGCATTCATTGAAGTCTAACTTCTGAATTTTTAATTTTGGAACTAATTTTATGTGCTTTGGAGAACATAGTTTCCTCTTTATTGAGAAATGTAATATAATTTCATTTATCATTAGAGCTCTGAGGGATGTCCTTAAAATAATGTTATCCTTTATTAAGATTTCCCCTAAAAGTTATTTGAATTTTGATTATTTTAGATAAGAACTTGTCACTTTATTTAGGAAAACTTTGTAGTCAGTTTTGGTGATTACACATAGGAAAAAATGAAATACACTGAAATACACTGAAGGAGAAAGTAGTAAGTCTGATCATGTGACTTTGTATAAGAGAACTTTAGGAATGGAAAGGGGTTGATCCTTTTCTTCCCCATCATAAGGGGTCATGACTGACACCCTTAAAACAAAAGACAGGTTAACAAGAAAAAGGGATAATACATTTATTTCACACACATGTGCACAGGAATTATACAAAATGTAAAAACTCAAAAAAAAGGGCCAGATGGTTGATGCTTAAATACCATTTCTACTGAGGAGAGAAGAGATGTGGGGATATAGAAATAAATTATTTTCAGGGGAAATGAATAAGCCCAAATAAACAATAGCCTAGGACCAACTTTCTCTGAGCTCTAGAGGAGGTTGTGTAGGGAAAGGTGAGGGGCAGAACTTCACTATGAACAATGGTTGTCTTATGCAAATAAAGCCCAATCAAGTAATCTCTCAGAATTGCCTTTGAGGGATAAATGATGACCTGTAGTAAAAGTTCTTCTGCCAGACCTTTTAAAGTGTCAAACTTTCATCTCCTGTTCTTATGAGTTACCCTTCCTGAATCTGGATGAGAGCTGGGGGGAGGTGCTTAGAAAAAGCCTATTTGCATCTGCTGTTTACTTCATTTCACTAATGTAGATTTCCTCTACAGATGCAAATCTTTTCCACAAAAGACAGCTTTTCAGGGCTATTCTTGTGTATGCAGCTTTTCTGAAAAGCTGTCTCCAAATATGCAAAAGAAACACATTTTGGGGTGAAATATTCTGGTTTCCTTCAAAAGGAAGAAGTGGTATGATGGATATGGTACCCTCAGATATGAGACCTTGTATAATGCACCTAATGTTTCTGATTCTCAATTACGAATAATAATATTGCTGAAGGGCTGCTGTGAGGATTAAGGTAAAAACAGGTAACATGGCTACCATAGTGTCCAGAAAAAATACTAAGTGTATTATATGACTAAAACAAATGATTTTCAAGTATGACATAGATAATGCCAAAAACTTCCACAAAGTTTCAAAACTTTCTTTGCCAAGACTTGTGTGATTTTGTGATCTAGATATAAGTAACAGAAAAAATGTCAAAGAAAATGAGATGCTTTTTCAAGTTATCTAGTATAATAATATGCTTATTGAAGCTACTATGAGGAGGAAGTTGAAAAAGATCAATAATATTCCAATTAGTATTTATATTTCATCTAATGTAAAATCTTAGAATCTAAAGACTAAAACTGGCATCAGGAAATAATTTATTATTAATAATTTGGGAATATTCAAAGAGGAGACATACTTACTTTATTCTTTCCTGAAGGATCCTGAAGAAATTTGGTCTTATTTAAATGAACACATATTATTATATTAAAATAAAATATGTTCAATTTCTTTGAACTTTCTTTTTTTCTATATTTTGAGGTTCTACCAAATAAAATCCTAAAAATAGTTTAATCAGGAAGAGCATGAAAAATAACCTAAAAATGATCTCTAATTCCAGTACCTGTAGAACTACTTTTAACATTTTATGTATGTCTCAGGGCTGGTTTCCTAGAAGCCCAACCTACAACAGGGAATCAGACACACATGATTAATTGAGGGAGTGCTCTTGGGGCAGGAGAAGTGATAGGATATGGCAGGGGAAGGAGCTGTGAAAGCTTGTGAAATTGGCTGAAGTCTCATGCTTCTGGTCTCATGGGAAATTCAGAGCACAGTTGGCACTACAGAGTTAGTTGAGGCATGAGGCCAGGCATTTGTACTCTCTGTCATTGATTGCAAGATGCCTCCTGGGACAGGGCATTCTAACTCTGAGCAAGGCAGTTCCTTTTTAGCCAAGGACAATTCTTCAGAGAAAGGTGGCAGTGGTGAGCCTCAGCAGGCAAAACTCATAGCAGCAGTCAGAGTGTGGGTGCACTGGTCCAGTAAAAGTGATATAGAAGGGGCACTTACAGCATTCAAGACACTTTCCTTCAGAGACTCTCTCTCTCTCTCTCCATAAATATATACTATAGATATGGATATATACTATATAATGTATATGTAATATATATACATATATGTATTATGTATATATTATATAGTATATTATATATACATATATGTATTATGTATATATTATATAGTATATACTATATACATATATGTATTATGTATATAGTATATACTATATAATATATACATATATTAATTATGTATATATGTATATAGTATATACTGTATACATATATTATTATGTATATATGTATATAGTATATAATATATACACATATATGTATTATGTATATATTATATACTATGTAATATATACATATATGTATTATGTATATATGTATATATTGTATATAATATACATATATGTAGTATGTATATATGTATATATTGTATATAATATATACATATATGTAGTATGTATATATGTATATAATGTATATTATATATACATATATGTAGTATGTATATATTATATATTATATATACATATATGTATTATGTATATAATATATACATATATACACACATGTATTATGTATATATGTATATAATATATACATATATACACACATGTATTATGTATATAATATATACATATATGTATTATGTATATATGTATATAATATATACATAATACATATATGTATTATGTATTATGTATATATTATATACATATATATTTCTTATTTTTCTACATAGATACAATTACACAATGTATTATTTTTAATTGTTTTTTAAAACTTTAATATATGATGAACAAGTTTCCATGTTAACAAATAAATTTCTAGAGAGATGCATATTACATTGTAAGTATAGATATATCTCATTTATCACTAGACTATTTCTAGACCTTTCTAAGTATTTTTTGAATGGAAGAATATATCTCTATTTAAGTATTTGTTGTCTCCAAAGATATAGGCATTAAATTATTATTTTATCTTTGATAAATTTTTATATGTTACATTTATGTGCCTCCTCATCCCCCATATGAATAGTTTCTACATTGCTCTTTCTAAAGCAACTTTTTTTCCAGTTAGTTTCTATTTCACAGTCTTGGTGAAGATTACAAAACATACTAATAATGTCTTTGTATTGCTTGCTGATGTTTGAATCCAAGAAAAACTTACTTATTTCTGCCTAAATTATGAAGAAAATTAAATTACTCCTGATAGAGAGAACTTGGACAAAGAAATTTTCACTTGTAAAATGGATTTCCTTAGAGAAAACACTTTTTTCATTTTTTACACGTTTTGAAAAAAATTTTAAGTTTTACCTTTTTGTCCAACAACTTCCAAATGTTATCCAAAATGGATAACTATGTGCCCCAGAAATATTGTGTCTGAAGTCATAAAAATAGTCAAGTGGTATATATTTAAAGGTTATCAAATTTTTCTTTGATTTCTATATTCCTCATGTTTAACTACATAATATACTTTTAGATAATTTTATGTAAACTTTGAAAAGATTCTTACCTTCTGTGCATCTTAATTTGATTTCTATTATACATGATTAGCCAAAATTTATTGAGCATCTTTATTTAAATCACTGGACCAGAAGTTGTAGGAAACAGAAAATACTCATAGTCCCTGAACTCAGGGAGCTTAAAACCTAGGTGTGGGGAAAGTGTTTAAGAGGTGACTTGGCTTATTCTGAAAGTATTCAGTTATATGCATTCACAAAGAGATGGTTTGAAGTTGGAACTTATATTTAAAAGGAAAGCTGAGCATAAAGATTTGGAAATTTTGTAGGGTGGCCATATGGTAAAAAAGCAAAACCCATATTTTGGGGAGGAATTCAAGCCGGCTGCAGAAATTTGCACAAGGAGGAGCTGAATCTTAGTAGTCAAGACGATGGGGGAAATGTCTCCAGGGCATTTCAGAGACCTTCACAGCAGCTCCTCCTATCACAGGCCTGGAGGCCTAGAAGGGAAAAATGGCTTTGTGGGCTGGGCAGTTTCCCCTGTGCTCTCTCTCCTGCTACCTTGTGAAGAAGGTGCCTGCTTCCCCTTTGCCTTCCACCATGATTTTAAGTTTCCTGAGGCCTCCCCAGACATGCAAAACTGTGAGTCAATTCAATCTCTTTTCTTTATAAATTACCAAGTCTCAGGTAGTGTCTTTAGAGCAGTGTGAGAACAGACTAATACACCTGCTTTGTGGACAAAAAAGTGGAGCGCAGCAGTGCTCAGGCTCCTTGGATGGTGAGCACTTTGGGAGTATCCAGTGGATGGCACCTGAATGAATATATCACTCTTGCTGTGGTCAGGTTGGCTGTGAGTTGGTGATATGGGATCCCCGGTGAGCTTCATGGAAGTGTCAATGAGTGGGAGAACAGAGAACACAATACTCTTTATGAGCTCCCCAAACTCCATTCCCACTCATTCTCCTAGAACCAGCTGGCTTAGATTTTGAGGTGGCTTCATTAGTATATGAGCAATAGAATGGCGAAATTTGAGCACTATTAATAAATAACTTTATTTGAACCATAGATTAGTGACTCCTAGAAAAATTCAGGCTATATCAAAATTCTTGTGTGTATATGTGTATATACACACAACTATATATATATACACACACAAATACACACAAGTATTTTGATATGTGTATATATACACACATATATAATTATATTTAATTTAAATTATATATATTTTCTATATAAAATTAGACATATATAATTACATATGTGTATGTATACATATTTAAGTTCTAACTTCGGAATTTTTTGTCTATATGCATATCAATATATACATACACACATTTGTGTATTCATCTACACATATAAATGTATTCTGAAGAGATATTCTTACATCTTATTATAGGCTTAAAGAAAAAATACATAAAAACAAAATATTATTGAACATAAAGATTACCTCATTATAAAAGATGCATTTCCCCAATAAAATCTCCTATATGTGCTAATATATTAAGAAATATTTTTGTATACTCATTTATAATCTTATATACTCATTTCTCAAATATTCTTGAAAACACATTCCTAGTATTTAGTATAATTTAAAAAATATTGTCATACTGATATAATGTTGTCTAGCAAAAAGGTTATGCATCGGCAGTTGCCACTGAAATAAGCTGTCATCAGCACATTTCCTTATGAAATAATATAAATTAAAAATAGGATATTCTCTTAGCTAAAGAACAGCTCATCAGCTTGTCAATTTTCTATAATAATATACACTTCACAATATGGTGCTAACAACACACAGGTAGCATTTCATTCATTTACTATAGGGTCAAAATGGAGATTAGATATATTGCATTCAAAGAAAAGATGCCAATTAAGGGTATTCTCTCCACAGTCTGTGGTACCATACAATAATGTGATCTGTATCCTTGTTATCCAATATTAGATACTAGCATTCCACCACATTTATTTTTCTCTCTCTTTCTCCTTTGCATTATTAACTCTGGCATATTGTCATAACTACTACAAGACTTGGCAATGAGATTGCCAAACCAGGAAGTGCGTGGACACAGAGCCTAAGCAGACCCATAGGGATAGATATGAAAGCAGACAGGAAGCTTCATAATATATAGGGTAAATATGTTGGAACCTGTCACAGTGAAGTTTCAATCTTTACCACTGGTTAGCTGTCTGAATTTATGTAAATCATTAACTTTTTCAAGGCTCAATTTCCTTTCATTAAAATGGAGATATGAATTTGATCTCTTTGGGAGAGTGTGAGGACTAAATGAGATAATGTTTGTAAAGAGTTTGGCCTAGAGCCTAGTACACAATAGGAGGAGCCTAATAATTGCTAGCTCTATCCATGTGCCTCATATTTAAAATGTCATTCCATTGACTTCTGGCTTCCATCATTTCTATTGAGAAGTCAGCTCTCAGTCTTATTGTTGCTTCTCTGAATTCTTTAAGACATTTGTGTCTTTCAATAGTTCAACTAGATGTACCTAGTTGTGTTTTTCTTCATATTTATCCTGCTGGCATTTCATTGTGTTAAGTCAACATGTAGCTTGAAGTCTTTCATCTGCTCTGAAAAATTCTCAGCTATTATCTTTTTTAAAACAGCATTTAGTCCATTCTCTTTCTCTTTCTACTCTAGAACTCCAATTATACCTATGCTAGACTTTATCACTGAGTCTAGTCCCACTTATGCTTCTTTCTGTATTTTTATTCGCTTTTTTACTGTAGGTATTAGTCTGACTAAACCTCTCTTCAGCTATATATAATTTGCTTATAAATTCCTATGCTACCCTCTTTTATTGTGCAACATTCTATGATGAAAACAGTCAAACACAGAACTGTTGAAAAAATTTTATATTAAGTACCCATATATCTATCTACCAAATAGATTCTACCATTAATATTATATTATACTTATGTTATCTTATCTCTCTGTCAATTTAACAATCATCTTACTTTTCAATGTATTTCCAATTAAATTGCAGATATCAGTGCACTTCCCTTAAATACTTTAGAATGCATATCATTAATTAGAATTCTGTATTTGTTGTTTACAGATTTTATTTCTTTTGAGGTAGAATTTATGCACAATGAATTGCATAAATCTTAAACCTTTATTTCCTGAGTGTTGATAAATGCAAACACTTGTATAAACACATATTTCTGGGGGAATACAATTCAACTTATAAGACATAGAACCCATAAGATATAGGAGATTTTTATCATCATCTAGAAAGTTTTCTCATCCCCTTTTCCAGTCAATCCCGGTGTCTACACCAATGAGCAAGCACTGGTCTGAATGTTTTTTTTTCACCATAGATGAGTTTTGCCTGTTCTAGACTTCCTAGAAAGTGTATTATTTTATGTAAGAATTTTTTACTCAACATAACACTTTTGAAATTCATTCATGTTGTTAAATGCATAAATAATTATATTAGTTTCATAGGATGGCTGTAAATTAAGTATCAAAAACTGGATGGCTTAAAACAATAGAAGTTTGCTACTTCTGGAGGCTAGAAGTCTGAAATCAAGGTATTGGCAAGGTCATGCTCTCTCTTACAGTTCTAGAACAGAGTCCTTCCTTGACTCGTCTAGATTCTGGTGTTTGCCAGCCACCCTTGCGTTCCTTGGCCTGTAGATGCATTACTTCAGCCACATGACTGTCTTCTCCTTGTGTATTTACATCATTTTTCCTCCGTATGTTTATCTCTGTGCCCAAATTTCCCCATTTTATAAGATTATCAATCATATAGATTAGGACCCACCCTAATGACCTCTTTTTTTTTTTTTTGAGATAGAGTCTCGCTTTGTTGCCCAGGCTGGAGTGCAATGGCACAATTTTGGCTCACTGCAACCTCCGCCTCCCGAGCTCAAGCAATTCTCCTGCCTCAGTCTCCCAAGTAGCTGGGATTATAGGCATGCGCCACTGTGCCCAGCTAATTTTTGTATTTTTAGTAGAGATGGGGTTTCACCATGTTGCCCAGGCTGGTCTTGAACTCCTGACCTCAGTTGATCCACCCGCCTTGGCCTCCCAAAGTGCTGGGATTACAGGTGTGAGCCACCGCATCTGACCCATGACCTCATTTTAACCTCATTTTCCCCTATAATCACCCTATTTCTAAACAAGGTCACATTCTTTGGTGCTGGAGATAGAACTTTAAAGTATCTTTTTGGGAAGACACAATTCAAACTAAAATGACAGTTCATTCTCTTTTATTGCTGAGTAGTAGTATACTGTATGACTATTTCACAGTTTGGTTTTAATCCATTCTGTTGATGGATAACTGAACTGATTCTAGTTTTGAGCTACTATGAACAAAGCTGTTACAAATACACTTGCACAAGTTTTTTTTTTTTTTTTGCAATGATATGTTTTTTATTCTCTTGGTTACATACCTAGGCATAGAATCGCTGGATCACGGGAAAGGTACATGTTTAGTTTTATAAGGACCTGTCATATCTTTTTCCTAGGTTGTTGTGCTGTTTCACACACTTACTAACAATGTGCAAGAGTTTTGATTGTTCCACATTGTCACTGTCACTTACAACACGGTCATGGTAATAAGTAGTTTTAATTTTAGCTATTCTGGTGGATGATCAGTGACATCTATTGTATTTTTTTATTTTAGATGCTATTTTCTAGTTTTAGAATTTCCATTTTATTCTTTTGATATAAATTTCCATTTTCTGGTTGATTTATCTATCTTATCATCTATTATCTTTAATATATTAACCATGGGTATTTCAAAGTCTATGTATTAAAACCAATACCTGAATCACATGTGCATCAGGTCCTATTTTTTTTTCCTCATTTTTTTTCTTGTATTCCTGGTAATTTTTTGTTTAACTTAAATTATGGAAATCATGTACAAAATTTACGGTTTCTAGAAAATGTTACCTTTTTCTAGAGAGGATTTCCTTAGCTTCTGGGAGGCAATTAGCCCAGGCATGGATTACTTTAATCCAAACAGAGACTGAGCTTATTCAGTGCCATGTTTCAGTCTTTGTAAAGCTGATCTATTTCCAGTTTAATCGCACTCTTAGACTGCAGCTCTTCTGGAGTTCAGTTGAAGGCTCGAGGTTTTTATTAGAAGCCCATTCTTTCGGTGATCTTTTAATTCCATTTTTTATCTCCCCAGAATTACAAAACTGACAAAAATCATGTTTCGATTCTTAATCTCATAGCAGCTAATTTCTGCTCTGCTCTCTACCTTTCAGCCTACAGTACATACAAATCGGCAAATGCCTCAAGGGGAAAAAAAGACTCAGACTGTTGGGCTCAATTCTTTTAATATTATCCCTGGGAACTTGGCCTCTCTCAGGTCCTGGCTGCCTTAGCATCTTTAAATCTAAATTTGGTCTTCCCAGAACCTTCAGATTGCTAAGTTTCTTTAAAATGCTATTAACCGTTTAAAGCCGAAACAATTATAATGGACTGTGGGGCTTATAATATATGTTGAATTAAAACATATCACAAGAATACAAAGAATGAAGTGGAGGTTAAATAACATTATAAGGCTATATAGTTCTTGGATTGTTCTTTAAGTAGTGTAGTATTATTTGAAATGATGCTGTGATAAGTTAAGAATGCATATTGTGATCTTTAGGGTAAACACTAAACCATACGTGAAGACACCCACCTATACACACACACACAGACACATAAAAAAGTTATAGCCATGTGCTACATAACGGACTGCATATACAACAATGGTTCCAGAAGATTATAATACCATATTTTTACTGTATCATTTCTATGTTTAGATACAGAAATACCACCATTGTGTTCCAATTGCCTACAATATTCAGTACAGTAACATGCTGTACAGATTTGTAGCCTAGGAGCAACAGGCTATATCATATAGCCTAGGTGGGTAGTATTCTATACCATCTAGGTATATGTAAGTAAATTCTATGATGTTTGTGCAAGGATAAAATCATTTAATGATGTGTATCTTTGAACTTGTTCCTGTTATTAAGTGATACATGAATGCATTGCTAAAAAGTCAATGAAGTAGATAAAATTGAATTTTAAAAAACTCTATCATATTTCACCCCAAGATACACTCCTTTGCCATATTTTGAGATGGCTATTCCGAGGTCCTGCAAACAAGAATAGCCCTGAAAAGTTGCCTTTCGTGGAGGAGATTTGCATCTGTACAGAAAAATCTACTTTAGTGAAATAAACAGCCAGGCTTTCTCTGAGGCGCTCCCCTTTATTCAGACCTAGGAAAGATTAACTTAACCAGAGGCTTCCCCATCTATTCTTTCTGAAAGCTGCTACCTGTGAGGTTTTATCTACATAACGAGATCATCTTTGCCCCATGCCTTTCTTTTTCTCTCTCCTTGCCATATTCCTAGCCCCTATTTTTCCTGTAAGCTCAAGATAGTATAAAAGCAAAATCAATCTAGCCCTTTCTTTTAGTTTTAATATTTTGTATGACTCTCATGCACATGTGAACATGTTAATTTTTGTAATGCCTTTTCTCCTGTTAATCTGCCTTTTGTCAGTTGATTTTCAATGAGCTTTCAAAGGAGCCTACAGCAGTGTTAAACTGAACTGAGCAAAGCCATAATTATATTAAATGTAAATGCATTAAGCACTCCATTAGAAAGAAAGAAATTATAAGATAATAAAAAGCAAAACCTATTTACATGTTGCTTATAAGAAACATTCTACAACATCTAAAAACACAAGTTAAATTTAAAAGAGTGGAAAAAATTATTGGGCATATACCTGAAGGAGTATAAATAATTCTACTACAAAGATACATGCACACATATGTTCATTGCAGCATTATTCACAATAGCAAAGGCATGGAATCAACCCAAATGCCCATCAAGGATAGACTGGACAAAGAAAATGTGGTACACCATGGAATACTACGCAGCCACGAAAAGGAATGAGATCATGTCCTTTGTAGGGACATGCATGGAGGTAGAAGTCATTATCCTCATCAAACTAACACAGGAACAGAAAACCACTGTATGTTCTCACTTATAAATGGGAGCTGAACAACAAGAACACATGGACACAGGGAGGGGAACAACACACACTGGGGCCTGTCAGGGGGCTGGGGAGAGGGAGAGCATCAGGATAAACAGCTAATGCATGCAAGTCTTAATACCTAGGTGATGGGTTGATAGGTGCAGCAAACAATCATGGCACACTTTTACTTATGTAACAAACCTGCACGTCCTGTACATGTATCCCAGAACTTAAAATAAAATAAGAGTGGGAAAAGATGTATCACACAAGTACTAAGCGTAAGAAAGTTGGTATCTATCTTATGACAAAGGAATGCCATTTCTAGGTATTCAGCTGAGAGAAAAAAATATGTCCATAGAAAGATGTATATGAGACTTTATTCATGATAGCAAAATTTAAAGACAATACAAAGGTCTAACAATCAGAAAATTGATAAAAAAGTGTTATGTATTTGTACAATTGAATACTACTTAACAATAAAAAAGAATAAAGTCTTCACTGACTCAACAATATGGACAAACCTCAAAAATATTATTTGTTTGAAGGAAGCTAGATGCTAAAGAATTCCATGCCAATAGAAATCAGAAACTTCTTACCTTTGGGAGAAGGTAAACTAACTGGAAAAGGGGCATGAGGAAAATTTTTAGGTTGATGAAAATGTTCTATATCTTATTTGGGTGGTTGTTAGGTGGAGATATATAATTATAAAATCATTAAGCAAAACACTTAAGATATGTGTATTTTATTTTGTGTGAATTATAGCTCAAAAAAAATTTAGAGTGAAGTATCAGATTAAAACAAATATGGAATAAGACATTACTCAATTATATTTATTTGTTTGTTTTATTTATGACAGAAGACAATATATACAACTTGTTAAAGAGAAAAAAAAACTATTCCAAAGGTTGAGTTGTTTTTTTTGCCATCTTATTTTAATGGGTCAACTAGTAACATATGTAACTGAATATGAGATTGAAACCATTGAAAAGTTTAGTAGATCAATAAATTCCTTCTTCCAGTGATGGTGGTTCTAACAGAACTCTTAATGGTAGATCCAGTGTACATCTCATATGTCCAAAATATTGTATAAACCTGTGTAGAAAGGGTTTGTGTTTAAAGAGCTCAGTGTTTGTGCTCTGAGGAGTATATCAAAATTACATAAAACATTAAATAAAAGAGCTATTTACTCAGACTAAAATAACATGCATTCACAATTGTTTTATAACTTGTGCTGAAAAAATGTTTAGAGATTTCTGGGAACCAAAAGAATCTTAATACTATATTATAAATATTTTCAAAGATTTAAGGTAAAGATGGATATAATATATGAACAAATAGCGGTTCACAGTAGAGAAATGAGAACTATAAAAATTCAAATAGAAATTTGAGAAGATGGAAAATTTACTGGAGGTTATAACAACAGATTGGACAATCAGAAAAAAAAATAACTGTACTTGCAGATAAGTCAACAGAAACAAACCAACCAAAGCACAGAGTGAAAAAAGAGATTGGAAAAATTAAAAATAACCATATCGATCTTTTGATTGTGTGGCAATATCAAAACATCGAACATACATGGAACTGGAATTGCAGAAAAGGGAGAGAAAAGAATTGGCATTAGCAAAAATATTTGAAGATAACATGCTCAAATGTTTTCCAAATTGAAAAAATCTGTATGAAAGCTTAATTACTTATTAAAGATAAAAGCTTAGCGTGACTTGCAAAGTGATCTTTTCTTACCCAGCAAACTGATTTGCCATTGGGAGTTACAATTTTTAAACAGCTTTACTGAGATATAATTGACAAAATCAACTACGTATGAAGTGTACAATTTGATACATTTTGACTTATCTATAAGCCCCCCCAATTTTTCTTATGCCCATTTATAATTTCTCTCTCGGATCTTCCTGGTCTCCAGACACCTAGCCATCTGAGTTCCATCACTAAAGATTTGTTTTCATTTCTAGAAAATTTCATTTTCTAGAATTGTATGTAAATTGAATAATATGGTAGGTACTTCTTTTTTGCTTGATTACTTTCACTCATCATAAGGTTCATCGATGTTGTTGTGCCTATTAATAGTTCATTTCTTTTTATTGTTAAGTAATATAATTGCTTATAGCCAATTACTAGAACTGTTAAAACGAAGCTATGGTGATAGAAATCCGGAAAGTGATTACCTCTGCATGAGGGGTGAGGAAATTGATTGTAAAGAGCCATGAAGGGAATTTCTTTGGTATGGGTGCTGCTTATATGGGTGCATACATTTGTTGCAACCCACTGAACTGTAAACTTAAGATGTTTGCTTTTCACTGTGAATAATTTATACCTTGATAAAAATAAGAGGCAGGGTTTGAAAAAAAATCACCAGATGTGGTTTTAGTTCACCTAATTGCCAAAATACTTGTTGATATTTTCATGTGCTTGAGTCAGTGATTTATTTTTCATATATCTGGTTACTCTGAGTACCATCTTTGACATAACTTTAAAGCATTTCCCTATTATTTAACTCTTTTGTGAGGGCAAATTTATGAAAAGTTTACTGTAGGACAAGCTTTCTCAAAACATTCCAACTAAATCAATCATTACTGCCTCCAAGTTATCTTTATAAAAGTAATATCTATGCCCCAAACTGAGTATACCTATGATATTCCCCAATATATCATGTATTAAAATGGAGTAATGGAGTTGTTAATGATAATGTTTCATTCATATATATAATTTTTCCTCTATCAATAAAATATAATATGTACCCTACATACTAGATAGAATTAAATTTTATCATAAAAACCAAGAAAAATTATTCAAATGAACTTACAGCTCAAATAATTTCAATAAAATAACATTTTTATTGAATGACAAATGATTAAAGTCTAGGTATTAACTTATTTGTTCAAACATTTATTGACTACCTATAACATTTCTGATTTATATGCTTTTCCACTTCTAAGTATCTTTGGTATTTTCATAACATAATGAAACACATAAGCTACATTATAAATGGTAGCTTATATAGAAAAGTGGTTACATTTTTTGGTGTGTTTTGGTATACACAATGCAATATGAAGCTATGTATAATTAAGCCATACTCAATATTGAAGCATTATTGAATATTCAATATTACACTTAATATTTACCTCTATATAACCTAACTAGAGGACGCTGGGGTCAGAGCCCACTGGCACATGAACCACCACTTGTAACATTCTTTTCACAGTATGTTCAGTCTTCCATTTTGTTTCAGTACCATTCATTATAGCAGAGCAAAAATGTACAATTTGGTGTCTGAGTGTCTTTGAAAAATAATTATTCAGACAAACAAATGTAATATTACTGGTTTGGGTTTGCTTCTGTATGGTTTGGATTGTAATTTTTCAATTAGAACCTCAATGAAATAATCATCATTCAATTATAGTTTATCTCCCTACTTGCTCTTCTCATCTTCAGATCCCATCATCTGAGGCTCTGAATCATCCAGGACAAAACAGGAGCACCCATGCTGGGCTGCTTTTGTGCTACATGAGACTCCAACATCATTCTCCTTATTGGAAGGGACTCTCCAGGAGCTTCCTTTTGTCCTTAGAAAGATGTCAAACTCCTTGGCTTGTCAGCCCCTCTGAAGAGTGGCCCCTCTCTTACCTGTGACCTTCTTTGGCCCACCCTGCTCCCCCTGGGCTCAGCACTCCAGTTGCTCAGGTCTTCTCTCTGATCCCAGAGGCTGCCAGGCTCATCTTGTGTTTTCATCTTTAGAATGTTCTTCCTCAGATCTTCACAAAGCTAGATCTTCCTTATCATTCCAATCTCAGCTTAAATACTACTACTTAGCAAGACCGTTCTTAAAATCTCTTATGATGTGGCCCCTCTTCTTATCCTTTATGGTGCTACCTGTGGGTTTTTATTTTCTACATTGAATTCTTACTCTTATCTGATTTCCTGTTAGTTTACTTCTACATTTTCTGTTAGACCATAAGCAGGGCTGTGCATTGCCCAACTCCAGGCAGACCCCTCACATTGTTGTCTATGTGGATGTTGTTCCTGGAGTGAGACAGGGTAAACCTGCCAGCCTCACACAGTGAGCTTGGTAACAGAAGCTCCTGGTAAATGCTGTTATTCCTAGTACCTAAAACAGTGCCTGACACACAGCAGGTGCTCCAAATATATTGCTAGAAAATGAACTCTTAAATTTAATGGTTTCTAGAGGCCTAGGGGAGCTAGAGAATGTATTTTAGCTGTAATCTTTTCCATTTCTATTGCTCTGGTGTGTTCCTCCAAAGAAAACCTATATTTAAAATAGTAAATATGACTAAATTTCTGATATAAATTACAAAGAAAGGAATCAATCATTTACCTGAATTGCTTAAGAAATTGCTTAAGGCTAATATGCTCATGTTACTGATAGTTTAATTTTAATGATTATAGGAAGAATTTTTTAAAAATCTTTTTCATTAACATTTGTATTTGTATATTAATCATAAATAACTAATGTGCTACCAGTATGGGATATTACCCATCTCTATAAATCTTTTGGGATAAGACCACTTTGCTAGGTAGATTAGATTTCACAATAATTTATATGAGTCTTTGAACTGAAAAATATTCCTCATTCTCAAACATTAAATATGCTGATGAGAAGTCATAACACATTTTATTTAAAAGGAAATATAACATTTTCTTCCAAAAATTCAAGCAAACGCAATCATATAGATAAATGAAGAAAATCTGAATTTGTGAACTAAAAATTAAGATGACCAGGATTATAAAATTTAAAATAGATTCTCCATCATATATCATACATTTATTCAGTTTTAGTATAAAGATCCTGCATAGGAAGTATTTAAACACTGCAGGGTTAGGTTTTCCTCACTGTGACTCATCTTTGGACTCAAGGATGAATGTACACGAGAGCTTTGGTCAGATTAGGTGAACGTGGTCTATTTGATTAGTAATTGATCCTGCGTGCATGTCACATTCCCTGGAATTGATAACAACCACAAAAAAGCCAACCCCTTTGCCTTCAAACCCACCTATGAAATAAAAATGCTGCAGCTAGTGTGTTTTTTAAAAATAGACATTTTATTACACTGCAGCGTTTCCTCCTTTTTCTCTGTGGTATCATTTGAAGTCTGTTTTTTAAAACAGAAGTTGAACAAATGAATCCTTCTGTCCTCACTTTCAGTTGTCAGCAGTGCTTCAGTGTGAGATGAAATAAATTGCCAAGCCCTTTCATCTTCTATAATCAGCTCTGCACAGCTGAGTACACCCACAGCCCTGCATGCCGCCTCTGCCAGCGCTGATTCTATGTGGAACAGGAAGTCTTTGTTAGTGCCACATTTCCAACGCTCTACACAGGAGTGGGTTTATTTTGCTTCCCTCCTTCCTTTCTTGCTCCCTTGCCTCTTCCACCTCCTTTCTCCCTGCCTGCACAGCTGACGTGCAGTTCATTTCCTGTAGGAAAGAAGTTTGGGGGGATTGACATTATTTTTTTTAAAAAGATATGTCTGAGGTAGGTTTTTTCCATCCTGCAACACAATCATGCGTATCATTCCTTTAGTCATGTACAAATTGATGAGCATTACAAATGGGAAGTTATTTGGAGAAGTCCTAAACAATGCCTTTACTAGGTCAAGATGTTATTTTATTTTGTTTTGCTTTATTTTATTTTACTTATTTTATTTTATTTTTTAGAGACAGAGTCTCACTCTGTCACCCAGGCTGGAGTGCAGCGGTGCGATCTTGGCTCAGTCTCCCAAGTAGCTGGGATTACAGGCTCATGCCACCACTCGTGGCTAATTTTTGTATTTTTACAAAATTTCACCATGTTGGCCAGGCTAGTCTCCATTTCCTGGCCTCATGTGATCCGCTCGCCTTGGCCTCCCAAAATGCTGGGATTACAGGTGTGAGCCACCATGCCTGGCCCAAATGCTTTATTTTTAAAAGCAGAGAAGCAGCACATTTATAACACCAAGGATATCCACAGAGATTTACTTATCACATTCCAGGTTTTATATTTCTAGCACCCAAACTACGTGGACTTCTATTAGGGAACAAAGCAGGGCATAACAGGTTGGTGTAGGGGCTACAAACAAATATCTGCTAGTTATTGCTAGTTTTCATTGTTCTTGTTTTCTGCCATGAACCCGAGTTCCTTTCAAGATCGTCCTTCCTTTAGTCCATGTACTTCTGGTGGGGCTACCAGTCCCTGATTTCTCCTTTTCTGCATCTTCTTCCTCCTTATCCCCACTACCATCATTCTGCTCTTCATCATAGTTGTCAGCACGGTGGTTATTAGGTGTCAGGTGCTAGTCTTAATGCCTTACATGTATAAACTCAGTTTAATCCGTTTGGCACAGTTTGGCTAAATGATTTGCCTAATGTCACGCAGCTAGTTAAGTGGTGAAAGTGAGATCCAAACCTGGGTATTGTGTCTCCAGACTTCTGTTCTTATCTAGTTCACAATAGTGCTGCTCTAAGGGTGGGCAGATGACTTACTTGTACCCTACCTGCCTGGAAACAAAGATTAGTCCAAGGCTGGGCACATGGTCCAAGAGAAGGGAGATGGTATGGGTAGAAGTTGCACATTTTGTCTTTCTGCAGGCGTTACAAAGCTAGCAGGATGGGACTCTGGGGCTGTTAGGGGACATCATACCCGTCGTGTGCAGAGATGGAGCCTTGATACTTACTGAGTTCTGTCTGGTCCAGCTGCTCCTGAATGCAGTTTATCCAGAATTTTTTTTTTTTTTTGTAATGTGAGCCAGTAAGTTCTCTTTGTTTGCTCAAGCCAGCTACCTTGGAATGTCTACCACTGTTAGAAGAAGGGTTATCGAGTGACAGAGGAAAAAAGCAAAATGTCAACAATTCCCAAAGAATGCCAGATGTCCCCCATCTACCTGTGCCTACCGTAGCCCACCACTCCCCTCCCCCAGGGCCCTATCCAAATGCAATTAGCCCTGTAAAAATGATAGTGTCTACTCAGTTAAGCCACTGGCTTTTTATACATAAAAAACAAACCCATTTTAAGATGAGAGGATATGCTGGCTTGGAAGTGTGTATTGATCTTTTAAGGCTGAATTTATAAACTCAAATTCTGTCTCAAGTGGGAAAGGACTAGAAATGAATTATTGTTTTCCAGCCACTTTCTGGTGAGAAGGATCGGTAACACTTGGAAACCAATTATAACAGTAACAGACCAGAAAAGTAATTCCTGGGGAATGTCTTTCTCTGGGGTGCTGCTGAACACCAACAGAAGGAAAGTTATTTCTTCTTAAGATTCAAATTAGCTCTTTCCTCAAGACTAAGTTCTTTAGGAACTTGTGATATAAGGAAAGTATATAAGTTGGAAGTACAAAGTCATCATTTCCTCTTAGAGTGGTCCTGTAGTGTGCTCCCAGGTGGTTTTATGAAGACCAAGTTGATGGCCATTTGCCTGAGGTTTGCAGAATTGCCTTGTTTTATGGAAGGAGATTGTGTTGTATTTATCCTGTAAGCCTAGCACCAAACACAGTGCCTTTCACATTACAACAGCTGACATTTATCAAGCACTCTTACATCAAAACTTTTTAAAGAAGCTCATGCACTTTTTTTTAAACTTACTTTGTCTGATGATATGGGTACTGTAACGACCAGCATCCCTATTTTACAGATAAGGAAACTGAGGCACAGAGTTGTTAAGTAACTTTGGCAATCAACCAGGTACCAAGTGGGTGAAGCAAGGGTCTGAGCAGGCAGTTAGGTCCTGAGGCCATATTGTTAACCATTGTGCTATACTGACTTCTCTTGTAGAAGGTGCCTAATGCATATTTCTTGACTGGAACTGAAACTGTTGAATTTCCCATGTGGCCCAGCTAGCAAGAAAACAGGCTTTTTATGTTGTAAAAAAATAAATAGCTACTCCGAGTTAAAAGAGCCAGCCACAATCAAAATTCCTTCATTTTCCTGAGGCTTTGATTACCCCAAGATAATTCTAGTCTGTAGAATCACTTTGCTGTCATCAGCATACATAATTAAATATTTAGTAGGAAAATTAATATATTTAAATTTGTTTAAAATTAAGCTGACCACTAATAGCTCTGCTTATCAGTAGAAACTTTATATTTTTATAGGACAACTTAAGAACATTTTAATGGCCAATAAAATTGCTCCCTAGATCCTAGCAGTTTTCAGATTCCAAAATTGTAGCTGAAGATACTGTTAGTCATTCCTAAATTACTAACTGCTCATTACTGACTTCTAAATTGTCTCGTTTATCTTTACATTTGAGAAAAATAAAAAAATATGACTTCCCTAGAGGTAGATTACATACAAGGTAGATATACTTTATAAACTTATGTATACATTTAAGACATAGGTTGCTATAGAATAAAAACACACTGCACTATCTTTGTATAAATACATCTGAATATAACTAAGTCTATGTATTATCTAATTTGGGGAGAAGGGATCAAAAGATCATACCATTATAAAGTTGATTACAATAATGGTATGATTCAATTGTTTCCATAAATAAATGGATTTTTTTACCAAGTTTAAAAAATACTTACATTAATTTCTATTTTATTTACTTTCTGTGCATTATATATTTAGGGACAGATGTTTAATTATGCATTTCTGCCACTAAAATGTCTACAGTAGTAGACTTTTGAATAGATCTGATCACTTGGAGATTAGACATCAATTAAGACTATTTAACTCAAGTTATTTCATCAAAAACTTTCTAGCTATAAGTAAAAATGAAAGAAGGGCAAAAAACCACAGTGATTGTAAAAAGATGTGTGGCCGCTACATATAAATATAAAGTACTATATTTTGAACTCTCAGGATGGAGAGGATGATGATCTTGAATCATGCTTTTCAAATACATTTAAATATACTGAAGACACTGTGCAGATCTGGGCTTCTGATCTAGGTAAATCCTGGCTGAAACTGGGTAACTCTAACATCCTCTTTGGGAACTATTTCTATGACTTTTTAAAAGCAGACGAAATACACCTTATTTTATCTAGCTAAATGTATTTACTCTGAAAATTCCATGATCATTTTTATGACCTCTTTAAATTCAGTCAACTAAATAATATCAAATGCCAATTCTGTGCAAGGTAATGTGCTTTGTGCTGTGGAAGATACAAAGATAATCAGTCATGGACTTTGTCTTTCAGTTTAATTAAGGGGGACAGACAGGCAATAACTTCATCATGAAATGTGTATGTGCTATGAAAGAGTTGCAAAGTCTATAAGGAACAAAGCAGAGGCTTCAAGAAAATAATTCTGATAGAGTGAAGGCAGGGTGGCTTCAGGGAAGTAGCAGTATTTGAGGTAGACAGAAAGACTTTGACATGGAAAGAGGTGGTGGGGAGGACTTCCCATGAATGTGATCTCTTTTCACCTGAACCCCAATAATCTAGAGATGAGGAGGGGGTACATAATGTACAAATTAAGAGTCCAGTCTAATGTGGAGGGCTCATACAGCAACAATTTCTATTTGTGTGACCTTAATTCCAACATCTACTAATTGGCTACTTCCTATGATTTCTTTAAATCACAATAAATACACATTATTTTATTCTGCTTACTAATGTTGTTTCTAAGCCTCCTCTTCTCATGTACAGTTGAAGGTGAAGTATCACACAGAAACAGCCTGCCACTATTAACTCATGGTTTAGGCCTTGCACTCACACCAAAAGCTGGCTCACCATTCTGTGCAGACTTGACTTGGCAAGGCGGGGCAACATAAATTTCCAAATGTCAGGTTGAGACCCTCACACCTAGGGACTCCAGCAGGACACAGTTTAGACTGTGCTTAGGCTCCCAAGTCCAGGGTTATTCCCTTAAAACTCACCAACTATCCTCTCCTACCTGACTCTGGTATACTAGTGAGTCAGTGGATGAAGAGATACTGGGGGAACCTACCATATACCCAAAGGAAGGGCACATTGAACCCAATCTGTTTTCTCCTTGTGCTGATGATATGTTCCATTTAAAACAATACATTGTATTCTGTTGTTTTTTTAGACCTAGCCTTTGTCTTTTTGTAGCATCTACACTATCAGTCGCTTAGCCCAGTGAGCTCAAAGTTTGTATTTACCCTATAGCTGTTGATGTACAGACATAAATGCCTATTAGGTTATCATAGTGCTAATTTTGTTTCTTATGATTGAGAAATTTTAGGTATAAAAATATAAGTAATTTCTAAAGGCTTGGCCAGGAGCAGCCAGGTTCTTTGCTGTTGGTCACTGTGACCTCCCTGGCCCTTTAGTTTTGGCAGTTTTAGGTCCATAAAGGCTTAGTAGCCTGTAGGAATCTTTCTGTGTAATTTATTCTGTTACAGTTTTTTTCTTAAGTTTCTCACATTTAAAAAATTAGATTATAAAATAATTGTTTCAATGAGGGCTTTAGGCTTAAGATCATTAGATTTTTTTCCATTGTAAAGCATTCGGTAGTACATTTTCCAATATATTTTTTATTGAGGTAAAATATACATATAACATTTACCATCTTTATCATTTTTAAGTATACAGTTCGCTGGTAATAAATATATGTATCTCTATATATTTCTCCCCCTTCATGTGCACTCCTCCCTCCCCTTCCCAGGCTTTAGTAACTGCCAATCTACTCTCAATCTTCATGAGATCCACTTTTCTTTAGCTCCCCTATGTGAGTGAGAAAATGCAATATTTATCTTTCTGTGCCTGGTTACTTTCACTTTGATTCGTCAAAACCTGGTAAAACAGATGCCCGGCTGCTTCCTCATTCACTCTTCAAACCACTTCTCAGAAGTCTTTTGGTTTTCTTGATCATCTTTGAATGTGACCTTATAATTCTGATTGTAGCTCAGTCCACCACACCAAAGATAAACAGAAGAATGAAAGAGGTTGTTACCAACAATGCAGTCCATAGTCAAGCAACACACTAGTGTGTTCTTAATTTTATGAAATATATTTTACTGTCCAGGTAAAAATCCATCCACAGGGGCAAAGCTGTAGCATTCAAATCTTTGTATACATAAGAATCACTAGTCTGTTTAAGTTAGATTTCTGGCTTCATCCTTAAATAATCCAATATAGATTTGGGGTGGGAAGCAGAATCCGCCTTTTAAGTTTTTCAGATACTTCTGGGGCAGCTGGTTTGCAGAACACTTTAAGGAAAAAAAATGCAAAAGTGGCTACTCATAGTTAGCCCCTTTATATCTAGTTTGAATGGTTTTTTTTAAATCAAAATTAATGCTATAAGAGAAGAACAATGATGATTGTTGTGACTTTTAATGTTGCTCTAAATCTGAAATGGAGAAAAACACTAAAGTGCCCAGAGTTTCCTGTGATTTGTCCCTTTAATGACTTCATGAACCACGTGGAAGACCTTTAAAGATTACCACTAGGCTGTGGCCCACACTTTAAGATCACTTTTCTCAGCTGTCTTAAAATTATGGCAGAATGCCCAGAAGCTGATATTTAACATCCATGGAAATATATCTACTTGCAATCTTACAAGTGAAAACAACTTTGAGAAGCCAGTTCCCACTTCATTATTTGGCACTGGATAAAAGTTTTACATCCATAGTAGAGATCCACATTCAAAGACAGAGCCACTTCAATATTCACAATACTTTCATTTACTAAAAATAACAGCAAAGAAATGTGCCGCTGATGTCGATCCCTGGCGGCATTTAGTTTGTTTACACTCTGTCTTAGCTGTGCCCATAATCATGTCTGCAACCTTTGGATATACCTAGAAGAGCCACACAAAGTTGTCATCTATTATAGAGAAGTATAAAAACAAAAATTTCTTCAAACAAATACTTAAATATTTAAAAATGAACCAAAAGTCTATTTGCTAGAATTTAAAAGCAGCAAGTAGATAAACAAATACATATAAAATTATAAAATTATCTGACCTCAGGTGGTTTCAGTATGTTTCATTTTTATGCTTTGTTTGCTTGTTTTAGAGACAGATCTCACTCTGTTGCTCAGGCTGGAGTGTAGTGGCATAGTCATAACTCACTGTAGCCTCAAACTCCTGGCCTCAAGCAATCCTCCTCCCTCAGCTTCCTGAATAGCTATGGCTACAGGCATGTGCCACTAAGGCTGGCTAATTTTTTCGTAGAAGTGGGGTCTCTCCATTTTGCCTAGGCTGGCCTCAAACACCTGCCCTCAAGCTATACTCCTGCTATGGCCTCCTAAAGTGCATGAGCCCTGAACCTGGCCACATGTTTATGTTTAAAAAATATTTTTACTGTAGAATAATTTACATACAACAAACTGTACAAATTTAAAATACACAGTTTTATAAGTTGTAACTGTGACATGAATGCCACTGATATGGTTTGGCTGTGTCCCTACTCAAATCTCATCTTGAATTGTAACTCCCACAATTTCCACATGTCATGAGAAGAACCCAGTAGTAGTTAATTGAATCATGGAGGTGGGTCTTTCCCATGCTGTTCTCGTGATAGTGAATAAGTCTCATGAGATCTGATGGTTTTAAAAACAGGAGTTTCCCTGCACAAGCTCTCTCTCTCTTTGCCTGCTGCCATCCATGTAAGATGTGACTTGCTCCTCCTTGCCTTCCACCATGATTGTGAGGCCTCCACAGCCATGTGGAACTGTATAAATTTTTCCTGTATGAATTACCCAGTCTCAGGTACGTCTTTATCAGCAGTGTGAAAATGAATTAATGTAGTAAATATATATGTTTCCTTCCTAGCCCTTTGGTAATCTCTCCCTCTCCTCCTTATCTTCTACCTCTCTGCTCATCTTCAAGTAACCACTAATTTGCTTTTATTTTTCTGTCTCTATACATTAATTTATACTTTCTAGAATTTCATATGAATTGACCATATACTATTTTCTTGGTCTCCTTTCACTCAGCATAATTATTTTGAGATTCATCCAGGTTGTTATACCTTTGCTTGTATGCAGTAGTAGGCTTTTTCGAAGTTTTGGGCTATTTTACTTTTACATATGTTACAAATGACAAATTATGTTGTCTTTATTATTGTTTAAACAATTACCTGCTACTGAAGTTTAAAAGATAAGAAAAAAGTTTATATTTACCATTTCCAGTGCTCAGCGTTCGTGTAAACCTATATTTCCATCTAGCATCATTTTCCTTGTGCCTGAATGGCTTCCTTTAACATTTCTTGGAATGTAGGTTGACTAGTGATGAAGTCTTTCAGCTAAATTCTGTCTTAAAAAGTCTTTATGTTACCTTTGTTTCAGCCTCATGAAAGATACTTTTCTGGGTAAAGAATTTTAGGTTGACAGGTTGTTTTTTTTTCTTCCTCTTTTGAATACTTTAATTATGTTGTTCTACTGTCTTCTCAATTGCATTGTTTCTGCTGAGAAGTCTGCTGTCATCCTTATCTTTGTTCTGTCTGTAATGTAATGTGTCATTTTCTTTCCTTTTTTTTTTTTAATATATACACTTTTTTACGGCATTTGAGCATTATGCTTTTAATTTGCCTTGGCATTGTTTTCATCATGTGTATATTGCTCAGAGATTGTTGAGTTCCTTAGATCTATGGGCTTATAGTTATCCTTGAATTTGGAAAATGTTCAGGCATTACTTTTTCAAAATGTTTCCTGTCTTCTTCCTCTCCCTCTTTTGGGCACTCCAATTACATACATATTCAGCCTCTGAAATTTGTCTCACATCTCACTGATATTCAGTTTATTTTTTAAATATCCCCTTTTAATCTGTGTTTCATTTTAGATGGTTTCTATTGCTTGGTTTCAGGTTCACTAGTCTTCTTTCCTTCAATGTCTTATCTGATATTAGTCCCCTCAAAAGCATTTTTTAATGTCATACATTGCAGTTTTAATCTCTAGAAGTTAGTTATAGGTTTGTTATTAAAATATTAAATATGGTATTTTGAGATAACTGTAGATTCACATGCAGTTGTATGAATTAATACAGACAGACCTGTGTACTCATTATCTAGTTTCCTCCAGTGATAACAGCTTGCAAAATTATAGTACGATATCACAACCAAAATATTGACATTGATATAGTCAAGACACAGAACATTTCCATCACCACAAGAATCTCTCACATAGTCTTTTTATAGCCACAACAACTTCCCTCTCATCTCCTCTTTAACTTCAGGTAACCAATAATTTATTCTCCATTTCTATAATATTGTTATTTCCAGCATGTTACATAAATGGAATCATATAGTATATAACTTTTTAGGTAGGCTTATTTCACTCAGCATATTTCTCCAGAGATTTATACAGATTGTTGCATGTATCAGTAGCTCTTTCTATTTCTTTCTGAGTAGTGTCCCATCATGTAGACATACTACAGTTTAACCATTTACCCACTGAAGGACATCTGGGTTGTCTCCAGGTTTGGGCTATTATAAATAAGGCTGGTATAAATGTTTGGGTAAATGTTTTTTTGTGTGTGAACATAAGTTTCTGTTTCTCTGGGATAAATTCCCAGCAGTACAATTGCTGGGTCTTATGGTAATTGCATGTTTAGTTTTTTGAGAAACTGCCAAACTATTTCACAGCGTAGCTGTACCATTTCACATTTCATCCAGCAATGTATGAATGATCCAGTTTCTCTGCATCCTTTCCAGAATTTGATGTTGTTACTATTTTTTAACATTGTGATAGCTTCTGGTGTTATCTCATTGTGGTTAATTTGCATTTCTTTAATGGCTAATGATGTTAAACATCTTTTTATGATACATAGATATATTTGAAATCTATATATCTTCTTTGATAAAATGCCATTAGTGTTCATGTCTTTTGCCCATGTTCTAATTGGATTTATTTATTTCCCAGATACTAGTTCTTTGTCACATATGTGGCTAACAAATATTTCTTTTCACTCTGTAGTTTGTCTTTTAAAAATTTTATTAGTTTTTGCAGAACAAACATTTTTAATTCTGAAGTACAATTTATCAATTTTTCTTTATATGAATCATACTTTTGGTATCAAGTGTAAGAATTCTTTGTCCACTTAGGTCCAGAAGAATTTCTCCTATGTTAATTTTCTAAAAGTTTTATACTTTTGCATTTTATATTTAAGTCTTTGGTCCATTTTGAATTAATTTTTGTAAAAGATTGTGACACTTAGGTTAATGGATGTTCATGCTTTTGCTTATGGATGTTTTATTGCTCCTGAACTACTTGAAAAGGCTGTCTGTTCTCCATTGAATTACTTTTGCACTTTTGTCAAAAATCAGTTGGATCTATTAATGGTTGTAAGTTCTGTTCAATTAACCTATGATCTATGTCTATCCCTCTGCAAATACCATATGATCTTGATTACAGTAACTATGTAATAAATCAAATTTCTCACACTTTATTCTTCCTTAAAAATTGTTTTAGGTATTCTAAATATTTTACCTTTCCATATAAATTTTAGAATTTTTTTCTATATCTACAAAAAGTTTTACTGTGATTTTTATAGTTACTGCAAAAAAATCCATATATCAATTTAGGGAGAATTGACATCTTTACTATGTTTAGTCTCTCAGTCCATGAATGGAATGACTTTCCTTTTAATTAGACATCCTTTGATTTCTTTTATCAGTGTTGTGCAGTTTTCTTTTTTTACCCAAGAATTCAAGTAGCTTTAATTTCAATATATTCTTCTTATAAACATTTCATATTTTATTTGTTTATTTTATTTCAATAGTTTTTTTTGGTGAATGGGTAGGTTTGGTTACATGGATACTTTCTTTAGTGGTGATTTCTGAGATTTTGGTGCACCTCTCACCTAGGCAGTGTTTACTGTACACAATATGTAGTCTCTTATCCCTCATCCCCCTCCCACCCTTTCCCCTAAGTCCACAAAGTCCATTCATTGTATCATTCTTATGCCTTTTTATTCTCATAGCTTAGCTCCCACTTATGAGTGAAAACATATAATGTTTGGTTTTCCATTGCTGAGTTAATCCAGTTAGAATAATGGTCTCCAATTCCATCGAGATTGCTGCAAATGCCATTATGTCATTCCTTTTTATGGGAGAGTAGTATTCCATGTTATATATACATATATACACACACACCATATTTTCTCTCTCTCTCTCTCTCTCTCTCTCTATATATATATATATATATATATGTATATATATATATATATATGTATATATATATATACACACACACACCATATTTTCTATTTCCACTCATTGATTGGCAGGCATTTGAGCTGGTTCCATATTTTTGCAATTGTAAATTGTGCTGCTATAAACCTTCATATGCAAGTGTCTTTTTCATGTAATGACTGTTTTTCCTCTGGGGCAGTTACCCAGTGGTGGGACTGCTGGAACAAATGGTAGATCTACTTTTAGTTCTTTAAAGAATTTCCACACTATTTCCTATAATGGTTGTACTAGTTTACATTCCCGCTAGCAGTGTAAAAGTGTTCCCTTTTTACCATATCTATGCCAACATCTATTTTTTTAAGTGTTTTGATTATGGCCTTTCCTGCAAGAATAAGAAGGTATTGCATTATGGTTTTGATTTGCATTTTCCTGATAAATAGTGATGTTAAGTATTTTTTATATGTTTGTTGGCCATTTGTGTATCTCCTTTTTTTTAATTTTTTTACTTTAAGTTCCAGGATACATGTGCAGAATGTGCAGGTTTGTTACATATACATGTGCCATGGTGGTATGCTGCATCTATCAACCCATCACCTAGTTTTAAGCATTAGCTATTTGTCCTGATGCTCTCCATCCCCTTTCCCCTAACTCCAACAGGCCCCAGTGTGTGTTGTTCCTTTCCCTGTGTCCATGTGTCCTCATTATTCATCTCCCACTTATGAATGAGAATATGCAGTGTTTTGTTTCTGTTCCTGAGTTAGGTTGCTGAGGATAATGGTGTCCAGCTTCATCCATGTCCCTTCAAAGAATATGATCTCATTCATCTGTATGGGTGCATAGTATTCCATGGTGTATATGTACCACATTTTCCTTATCCAGTCTATCATTGATGGGCATTTCGGTTGGTTCCATGTCTTTGCTATTGTGAGTAGTGTTGCAATAAACATGCATGTGCATGTATCTTTAAAATAAAATGATTTATATTCCTTGGGGTATATACCCAGTAAGAGATTGCTAGGTCAAATCGTATTTCTGGTTCTAGATCCTTGAGGAATTGCCACACTGCCTTCCACAATGGTTGAACTAATTTACATTCTCACCAACAGTGTAAAAGTGTTCCTATTACTCCACAGATGTGCCAGCATCTGTTATCTCTTGACTTTTTAATAATCACCAATCTGACTGGTGTGAAATGGTATCTTGTGGTTTTGATTTGCATTTCTCTAATGATCAGTGATGTTGAGCTTTTTTTCATGGTTGTTGGCTGCATAAATATCTTCTTTCGCAAATTGTCTGTTCACATCATTTGCCCACTTTGTGATGTGGTTGTTTGTTTTTTTCTTGTAAATTCGTTTAAATTCCTTGTAAATTCTGGATATTAGACCTTTGTCAGATGAGTATATCAGAATTGCCTATTCATGTCCTTAGGTCACTTTTTCATAGGATTGTTTGTTTTGTTCTTGCTGATTTGTGTTCCTTGTAGATTCTGGATATTTGTCCTTTGTCAGATGCATAGTTTGCAAAGATTTTCTCTCACTCTATGAGTTGTCTGTTTACTGTGGGTTCTGGGTCATGAAGTCTTTGCCTAAGTCAGTGTCTAGGAGGATTTTTCCAGTGCTGTCTTCTAGAATTTTTATGGTTTTAGGCTTTAGATTTAAGTCTTTGATCCATTTTGAGTTGATTTTTTTATAAGGTGAGGGATGAGAATCCAGTTTCATACATCTACATATCCTAGCACCATTTGGTGAATAGGATGTCCTTTCCCCCACTTGATGTTCCCCAAAGATCAGTTGGCTGTAAGTATTTGGGTTTATTTCTGGGTTCTCTATTCTGTTCCATTGGTCTATGTACAATTTTTATACCAGTACCATGCTGCTTTGATGACTGTAGCCTTATATTATAGTTTGAAGTGGGTAACATGATGCCTCCAGATTTGTTCTTTTTGCTTAATCTTACATTGGTTGTGTGGGCTCTTTTTGGGTTCCATATGAATGTTAAGACTGTTTTTTCTAGTTCTGTGAAGAATGTTGATAATATTTTGATGAGAATTGCATCGAATCTGTAGATTGCTTTTGGCAGTATGGTCATTTTCACAATATTGATACTACCCTTCATGAGGATGGGATGCATTTCCATTTATTTGTGTCATCTATGAGTTCTTTCAGCAATGTTTTGTAGTTTTCCATGTAGACGTATTTCACCTCCTTGGTTAGGCATATTCCCAAGTATTTTATTTTATTTTTTGCAGCTATTGTAAAAGAGTTTGAGTTCTTTATTTGATTCTCAGCTTGGTCATTGTTGGTGTATAGCTGTGCTACTGATTTGTGTATGTTAGTTTTGTACCCAGCAACATACTGAATTCATTTATCAGTTCTAGGAGCTTTTTGGATGAGTCTTTAGGGGTTTCTAGGTACATAATCACATCATAAGCAAACAGCAACAGTTTGACTTCCTCATTACTTATTTGGATGCCCTTTATCTCCTTCTCTTTTCTGATTGCTCTGGCTAGGACTTCCAGTATTATGTTGAATAGAAGTGGTGAAAGTGGACATCCTTGTCTTGTTCCGGTTCTCAGGGGGACTCCTTTCAACTTTTCCCTGTTCAGTATAATGTTGTCTTGCCATAAATGGCTTTTATTACTTTAAGGTGTGTCCCTTATTCTAATTTTGCTGAGGGTTTTAATCATAAAGAGATGCTGGAATATGGAGAAAAGATGACAGATAGGAGGCAGGACTAACTTGCAGCTTCTACTGAGACAGATAGAGCAGTGTGTGGAGACTCACATTGTAAACTTTTGCTTCAGGAACTACCACAGGTACATACCGGGAAAGCCAAGACAATCCACGGACCCTTGGAAGGAAGTGGTTTACCACTGCAGGCTCCATGAATCTGCTGAAAAACTATGAGTGCCCAAAATGTGAGGGGAAACATCCGTCCCTGAACACACATCCCCGTTCAAGAACCTATAGGTTCAGTTCATGGGAGAAGTATTTGACCTTACCTGGATCTGAGAAAAATTTAGAAAGCTGAGCAAAATATAGGGGTAGAGAAAGCAGCAGAAAGTACCCTGTGGACACTCTTGGTCCCCAGGGAAGTTATTCCTGACTGTCTCATAGGTGTTCTTGGGGAGGGCTGCCAGTGGCATTAGGGAAAGACCACAGGGAGAAGGAAACTTCCAGCTGAAATTTGTAATAATTTCAACCAAATGTGAGGTTTCCTGGACAGAATCCAAGGGAGGAGGCAAACAGGGTGTGCAGATATGAGTATGGAAACCAAGACAGGTGGGGAGGCCTGAGACCTGAAAGCCCTGCTTGCTTTCTTAGTGGGGAGGCTTATAGCCCAGAACATGTTCTCAGCCCTGCTCACTGGTTGCCTGGAAATAAACTCTGGGCTGTTGAAGGAGGCACCCTGGGAGTGAGACTGGCCTTTAGTGCTCTGTGGGAATTGGGTGAGGCCTGCCACTGCCAGCTTTCCCCCCGTTCCCTGGCAACCTGTATAACACAGCAGAGTTAGCCATAATCCCTCTGGGAACATAACTCCATTGGCCTGAGAACCATACACCCATCTAATACAATGGCCACAGCAAGCCCTGCTCAGACACGCCTAACTCTGACCCCATCTGATGATATTTCTCTACCTGCCTTAGTAGCTGAAAACAAAGGACATAATCTCTTAGAAGCTCTATGGCTGTGCCCACCATCTGAGAAATGCAAATACTTATCCAGATAACCCTAGAGCAAGCTGTATCCTCCCTATACTACATCAGCTGATGCTCTCTTGAAAGTGCCACCTCCTGGCTGGAGGCCACCCAACATAAAACCAGTGCACTAAACAAAACTATAACCAAGGACCCTCACAGGATCCACTTCACTTCCCTGCTACCTGCACTGGAGCAGGTGCTTGTATCCACAGCTGAGAGATCTGAAGGTGGATCACATCACAGGACTCTACAGACACTCCTCAGTACCAGCCTGGAGCCCAGTGACCCCAATGGCAGCTAGACCCAAAAGAGCAATAACAATTACTGCAATCCAGCTCTCAGGAAGGCTCATCCCTAGAGGAAGGGGGAGAGCACCACATCAAGGGAGCACTCCGTGGGACAAAATAATCTGAACAATAGCTGTTGAGGCCCAGATCTTCCATCTGACATAATCTACCCAAATGGGAAGAAACCAGAAAAACAATTCTGGTAATGACAATACAAGGTTGCTTAATACCCCCAGGAGATCATACTAGCTCACCAGCAATGGATCCAAACCATGAAGAAATCTTTGAACTGCCAGAAAAAGAATTCAGAAGTCCAAATTATTAAACTACTTAGGGAGACACGAGAGAAAGGTGAATACCAACTTTGAGAAATAAAAAAAAAGTTACAGAATATAGATGGAAAAATCACCAGAGAAATAGGTAGCAAAAATAAAAGACAATCACATCTTCTGGAAATGAAGGACATACTTAGGGAAATGCAAAATACACTGGAATGTCTCAGTAATAGGATTAAACAAGTAGAAGAAAGAACTTCAGGGCTCAACAACAAGGCTTTCGAGTTAACCCAATCCAACAAAGACAAAGAAAAAAGAATTTTAAAAAATGAAGAAAATCTTCAAGAACTTTGGGATTATGTTGAATAACCAAACCTAGGAATAATTGGTGTTCCCAAGGAAGAAGAGAAATCTAAAAGTCTGGAGAATCTATTTGAGGCAATAATCAAGGAAAACTTCCATGGCCTTGCTAGAGATTTAGACATCCAAATACAGGAAGCTCAAAGAACACTTGGGAAATTCATTTGCACAAAAAATCATCACCTAGGGACATAATCATCAGGTTATTTAAAGTCAAGACGAAGGAAAGAATCTTAAGACCTATGATGCAAAAGCATCTGGTAACCTATAAATGAAAGCTTTTCAGATTAAGAGCAGATTCCTCAGCAAAAGCCCTACAAGCTAGAAGAAACTGGGGCCCTATCTTAGCCTCCTTAAACAAAACAATCATCAGCTAAGAATTTTGTATCCAGCAAAACTAAGCTTCATAAATGAAGGAAAGATACAGTGTTTTTTAGACAAATACTGAGAGAATTCACCTCTACCACTACCAAGCCAGCACCACAAGAACTGCTAAAAGGAGCTCTAAATTGAAACAAATCCTCAAAATACAGCAAAATAGAATACTCCTAAGGCATAAATCTCATAGGACCTATAAAACAATAACACAATGAATAAAAAATAAGGTATTCAGGCAGCAACTAGCATAATGGACAGAATAGTACCTCACTTCTCAATACTATCGTGGAATGTAAATAGCCTAAAGGTTCCACTTAAATGATACAGAATGGCAGAATGGATAAGAATTAACTAAGTATCTGCTGTCTTCAAGAGACTCACCTAACACATAAGGACACACATAAACTTAAGGTAAAGGTGTGTAAAAAGATATTCCCTGCAAATGGGCACCAAAAGCAAGCAGGCCTAGCTATTGTTATATCAGACAAAACAGACTGTAAAGCAACAACAGTTAAAAAATACAAAGAGGGATGCTATATAATGATAAAAGGGCTAATTCAACAGTAAAATATGAGAATCCTAAATATACATGCACCCCTAACACTGGAGCTCCCAAATTTATAAAACAATTACTACTAGACCTACAAAATGAGATAGATGCCAACACAATAATAGTGGGGGACTTTAATACTCCACTGACAGCACTAGACAGATCATCAAGACAGAAACTCAACAAAGAAACAATGGACCTCAACTATACCCTACAGCAAATGGACTTAACAGATATTTACAGAACATTCTACCCAACAATTGCAAAATACACATTCTATTCATCAGCACATGGAACATTCTCCAAGATAGACCGTGTATGATAGGCCACAAAACAAGTCTCAACAAATTTAAGAAAATTGAAATTATATCAAGTACTCTCTCAGACCACAGTGGAATAAAATTGGAAATCAACTCCAAAGAGAACCTTCAAAACCATAAAAATACGTGGAAATTAAATAACCTGCTCTAGAATGATCACTGAGTCAACAATAAAATCAAGATGAAATTAAAAAATTATTTACACTGAATGATAATAGTGACACATCCTATCAAAACCTCTGAGATATAGCAAAAGCAGTGCTAAGAAGAAAGTTCACACCATTAAATGCCTACATCAAAAACTCTGAAAGAGCACAAATAAGACAAAGTAAAGTGACACCTCAAGGAAATACAGGAACAAGAACAAACCAAACCCAAACACAGCAGAAGAAAAGAAATAACAAAGATTAGAGCAGAACTAAAAGAAATTGAAACAAACAAAAAAATATAAAAGATAAATGAAATAAAAAGCTAGTTCTTTGAAAAGATAAACAAAATTGATAAACCATTAGCAAGATTAACCAAGAAAAGAAAAGATCCAAATAAGTTCAATTAGAACAAAATGGGAGATATTACAACTAATACCACAGAAATACAAAAGATCATTCAAGCCTACTGTCAATACTGTTATGCACACAAACTAGAAAACCCAGAGGAGACAGATAAATTCCTGGAAATATACAACTCTCCTACATTAAACCAGGAAGAAATAGGAACTCTGAACAGACCAATAACAAGTAGCAAGATTGAAATGGTGCTAAAAAAAATTGCCAACAGAAAAAAATCCAGGTCTAGACGGATTCACAGCAGAATTCTACCAGACATTCAAAGAAGGATTGGTACCAATCCTATTGACATTATTCCACAAGGTAGAGGGAACCCTCCCTAAATCATTCCATGAAGCCAGTATCACTCTAATACCAACATCAGGAAAGAACATAACAAACAAAGAAAACTACAGGCCAGCATCCCTGATGAACACAGATGCAAAAATCCTCAATAAAATGCTAGCTAACCAAATCCAACAGCACATCAAAAAGATAATCCACCATGATCAAGTGTACCAGGGATGCAGTGATGGTTTAACACATGCAAATCAGTAAATGTGATACACCACATAAACAGAATTAAAATAAAAAATCACAATCATCTCAATAGATGCAGAAAAAGAATTTGACAAAATCCAGAATCCCTTTATGATTAAAACCCTCAGTGTTGTGCAGTTTTCTGCATACAAGTCCTGTACATATTTTGTAAGATTTACACCTAGGAATTGTATTTGTTTGAATAATTTTATGTAGTGTTGTATGTTCATTTTTGGCGCCCACATGTTTATTGCTAGTATATAAAAATTCAATTGATGTTTATATATCTTGTATTCTGAGATCTGCTGAACTACCTTATTAGTTCTTGGAGTTTTGTTTTTATAGATTCCTTAGCATTTTCTATATAAATAAATCATGTCATCTACAAATAGGAACAGTTTAATATCTTTCATTTCAATTGATGCCTTATGTTTCCTTTTCTCATCTTCTTGCACTGGCTAGAAGGTCTAGCATTGTCTTGAATATGACTTCTGAAAGAAGACTTTTTTTTTTTTTTTGAGACAGGGTAACGTGGATTTGAACTTCTGGGCTCAAGTAATCTGCCTCAGCCTCCCAAGTAGCTAAAGTAGCTAGGACTAAAGGTGTGTGTGCCACTAGCCCAACTCATATGTGCTTTTGGCCTGATTTAGGGAGAAAGCATTTAATCTTTCACCATTAAGTGTAATATTAACTCTAAGTTTTTTGTAGATGTTATTATCAAGTTGAGGAAGATTTCCTCCATTTCCATTTCTTTCCTGAGAGTTTTAAAAATCATGAATAGGTGTTAAATTTTGTAAAATGCTTTTCTGCTGACTGATACCAACATGTGATTTTGTTTAGCCTGTTAATAAGGTGAATTACATTTATTTATTGACTGCTGAGTATTTAGCCACCTGTCTCTGGAATAAACTCTACTTGGTAATGGTGTATAATTTTTTATGAGTTGCTGAATTCTATTTGCTAAAATTTTTATTAAAGACTTTTGCCTCTTATTCATGAGGGATATTGGTCTGTAGTTTTCTGTTATTTGTACCATCATTGTTTATTTTTGACATTAAACTAATGTCATAAAATGGGAAGTATTTTCTTCTTTTCTGTTTTCTGGAGGAGATTTTATAACGCTGTTGTGAATTATTCTTTACACATTTGGTAAAATCCTTTAGTAAAAGTATCTGGGTCTGGAGATTTCCTTTTTGGGATAGTTTTAAATCAATATTGAATTCTTTAATAGTTACAGGGCTCTTCAGTCTACCTATTTCATATAAGGTGAATTGCGTTAGTTGTTCATAGTGTTCTTTTATTCTTCACTTTATGTCTGCAGGGTCTGTAGTAATATGTCCTGTTTCATTTCTGAAATTAACCAACATTTGCTTTTTCTCTTCTTTTTTCTTAGTCTTGCCAAAGATTTGTCAATTTTGTTGATCTTTTCAAAGAACCATCTCATTGTTTCATTGATGTTCTCTATTGTTTTTCTGTTTTCGATTTCACTGATTTCTCTTGTTTATTATTTTCCTCCTACTGCTTGGTTTGTGTTTATTTTATTCCCTTTTTTTTCTAGGTTCTTTAGGTGGGAATTCAGATTATTTTTGTTATTTCTTCTCTATCTAATGTATATATTTTATGCTGTACATTTCCCACTCAGCAGTGCTTTAGCTGTGCCCCACAAATTTTGATACATTGTATTTTCACTTTTATTTCTCAGTGTATTTTTAAAATTTCCCTTGAGTTTTTGTATTTGACCCACAGACTACTTTAAAATGTATTGTTTAGTTTTCAAGTACTTAGAGATTTTTCTGTTATCTTTCTGTTACTGATTTCCAGTTTATTCCATTGTGGTCAGAGAACACAATCTGGATAATTTCAATTCTTTTACATTCATGATTCAGGATATGGCATATCTTAGAATATATTATATGGACACTTGAAAACAATGTATTCTGCTCTTGTAGGGTGTGTGTTTCATAAATGTTGATTAGATTCTGTTGGTTGTTGGTGTTATTGAATTCTGTATAACTGTTGATTTTCCATGTAGCTGTTATATCAATTTTGAGAGAAAGTTATTGCAATCTTCAAATATAATTTTGGATTTATTTCTTCTTTCAGCTTTGTCAGTTTTACTTCATGTATTTTGCAGTTCTATTGTTTGGTGTAAATACATTTAAGATTGCTATGACTTTTTGGTGAATTGACACTTTTATCATGACATATAATCTCTGCAGCTGGTAATTTTCTTTGCTCTACAGGGTACTTTATTTGATATTACTATAACCACTCTTGCTTTTCTCTTGTTTGCATGATATGTCTTTTCCACCCTTTTATTTTCAACTGGTCAATATCATTATATTTGAAGGGGTTTCTTGTAGCATATAGTTGGGAGGAGTTGTTTTTAAAATCAGTGCTGCCTATCTCTGTCTTCTATTGATGTAGTAACCATTTAAATTTAATGTAATTATTGATATGTTAAGGCTCGATTCTGCCATTTTATATTTTGTTTTTTGTTTATTCTCTGCGTTTCACTTCTTTACTTTCTTCTTTCTGTTTTTATGTGGATTATATGCACATTTCTAAAGATTTTGATTTATTTATGCTTTTGAGTGCTTTTTTTATAGCTTTTGTGGTGGTTGTTCTAGGTGTTACAATATACATACATAACTTATTGCAGTCTACTGGTGTTGTCATTTTAACATTTCTAGTGAAGTATAGAATTATCACTGACCTTTATGCTCTTCTACCATCCCCTACTTATAATTGTCTTAAATGTTTTCTTTACATACATTTAGGACCACATCAGACACTGTTGATTTTTGTTTCAACCATAAAGCAAACTTTAGAAAACTCAAGAGAAGCAAAATCTCTTCTATTTACCCATATTTTTATCGTGTTCTCTCTTTCTTTCTGATGTTCCAAGCTTCTTTTTTTATGATTTCTTTTCTGTTTATTGAATTTTCTTTAGTCATTTTAGGGTAGGTCTGCTAGTGTCAAATTATCTTAGTTTTCTTCCGTGTGAGAACACTTGATTTTTCTCTTCTTTCCTATAAGATATTTTTACTGGGTGTAGGATTCTGTGTTGACAGTTCTGTTTTTTTCTCTTTCATCACTTGAAAACTGTTGTGCCACTTCTTTCTGGTTTCCATAAGTTCTAATGAGGAATCTGTTGTCATTTGAATATTTGCCCCTATAGGTAAGGTGTCAATTTTTTTTTTCTGGCTGCTTTCAAAAATTTTTTCTTTAATTTTCAGAAGTTGTTTTGGAACAGATTTCTTTGTGTTATCATGCTTGCCATTCACTTTGCATCTTGCAAGTGTATGTTCAAATGTTTTCCTAGATTTGGTAAGTTTTCAGCCATTTTTAATTTGAGCACTTTTTCAGCCCTGCCTTTTTTTCTCCTTTCTTTCTGGGACTCAATGACAGAAATTTAGATCTTTTGTTATAGTCCCACAGGTCACTAAGGCCCTCTTTATTTTTGTGTTTTAGTCCACTTCCTCTCTGCTGTCCAGATTGGGCAGTCTCTATAGTTCTGTCTTCCATTTCACAAATTCATTTTTACGTTCCTTTCATTATGCTGTTGAGCCCATTAACAGAGCTTTCCTTTCAATTACTGTAATTTTCAGTACTAAAATTCTAATTTTTAAATATATCTCCTATTTCTTTACTGAAACTTTCTATATACTGGGTGAAGCTTTCTATTTTTTCATTTTTTCAAGTCTGTTTTCTCAGGAAAAGGACTCTTGTCAGGGCTGCTTTAAAATCTTTGCCAGATAATTTTAGCATTCCTGTAATTTCAGCATAGTATCTATTGATTGTTTTTTTCATTCATTTTGAGATTGTTTTGGTTCTTGGCATGATGAATAATTTTCAATTGAAATCTGAATATTTTCATATTATATTATTAGATTCTAGAAATTATTTAAACCTTCTGTTTTCGGTAGCTTTCTTTGACACCACTCTGGCAGGGGAAGGGGCAATGCTGCTTAACTAGGATGGGGTGCAGGTATCTTGCTTCCCCCACTGGTCTTCACGACACTTCAGGGAAATGGGGATTTGCTGCCAGTTTGCAGTGTTAAAAGACCTGGCTCCAGTCTTGACCTTCTCTGATACTACCCCAACAAATATCTTGTGATACCCCATTAAAACCTCACAAAGGAAAAAATACTCACTGGTCCTTTGCTGGAATGGAAGGGGTGGGAATGCTGTTTTTTTCTGTGATCTCTGATTGAAGACAGCGATTGTTTTCTAAAAGTTTTTTGTCTTGCTATGCTGCCCTCATAGACCTTTGGTTAGAGACAGAAGGCTTCTGTTAAGGCTTATTTTTGCCTGCAGATGTTGATATTTTGGCTTTCCCATTTGTAGAGCACCAACTCTGGGCTATCTGAGGGAAACAGAAAACCCAGGGAACTCACCAACATATTCCTTGAGTCTTGACTTCCCTAGCTGGTTTGCCTTCTTCTCCCCACCTTCAGAGTCTTATGTTTGTTTTATCTATAATGTCCAGGGTTTTTAGTTGTATTTAGTGAGAGGAATTGAGAAAAGTCTGTGTCAGTTTTGATTGACTATGTTTCCTGTTATGGGTCATATTTTCCTGCTTCTTTGTATGCTTGGTCCTTTTTTATTGTATCCCAGACTTTGTGGTTTTCACCTTATTGGCTGCTGAATATTTTATATTCCTATACGTATTCTTAAGTTTTGTTCTGGGACTCATTTAAGTTATTTAGAAAACAGTTTCAGCCTTGTGGGTTCTGCTTTTAAGATATTTTAGGCAGAACCAGAATAGTATTCAGTCTAGGGCTAATTATTCTCCATGACTGAGAAAAGATCCTTTTGTGTATTCTACCCCAATGCACCATAAATCTTGTTGTTGTTTTTTTTGTTTTGTTTTGTTTTTTTCTTTTCATTCTGGCTCATGGGAACAGGAGGCACAATTCCCAGTCCTGTGTAAGTGCTGGGTACTTTTCCTTTTCATTCTTTTGAGTGTTTCTTTTCCCAGCCTCAGGCAGTTTCTTCACATGCATGTATAGATAGCACTCAGCTGTACACTCCAGGGGATGCTCTGCTGATCTCCAAAGTCCCATCTCTATGTATGTCTCTTCTGTCTAGCTCTCTGACTTGCAAACTCTATCCACTTTGGTCACAACTCAAGGACTTTACCAAGCTCTGTCTGTATTTCCTGTCCTTGCCTGGAAACTTTCTCCAGTCAGTTAACTATGGCAATCATAGGGCTTACCTTTTTGTATTCCATCTCCTTGAGATCACTGTTCTTCATTGACTGATGTCCTACTGAAAACTGTTTTATAATATATTTTTTGGTTATTTCAGGTGGTAGGGTAAATCTGGACCCTGTTACTCCTTTATGGTCAGAAGCTTAGTATCTGTTTTTGGTATCTACAAAATGTGTGACTGGAAAAAATCATCTCTCAGCCTGTTCCTAGCTCTATTATCCTATGATTCTGTAACTTGAAGTTGAAGTTTATGGAGCAGATAGGGTCACTGATCTCCCTTTCTGTATGTGGAACACTTAGTCACAGGACAGTCTTTTAAAAGCTAACACTTAAATAGACTTGCTAAGTGCTAGTTACTGTTCTAAGTCTACAATTCCTTATCTGCAACCCTAGGAGCCAATTTTGTATTTTCCTATTTTAGAAAGGTGTGTATACCAAATATAACCTTATATCTCAAGCTGAGTCTGAGGCAGCACTCTGTAATCAAATATATTTTCATATTTCTGTAGCAAAATATGAATATTAACACTAAGTGGGATGAATAAGGATTATACATAGTCTAATTTCAGACCAAACCAAGCTTTCCTGCCAAATAAGTTTGTCAGTTTTTGTCTCTAAAGGGGCACAAAAATCTTTTAGGTTTTCACTTCTTTGGTTTGAGAATTTTAAATAAGTGATAGTATATGTGTACTCATTTATTTAATCCTCACAATCAATCTGAAATAGGCAATATAATTATAGCCATTTTTAAAATGAGAGAAATGAAGCATAGAATGTTAAGTAACTTGGCCAAGGTCATACAGCCATCACAGGGTAGATCCAGGATTCAAATCCAGACAACCTGGCCTCAGAACCTGGCATCTTATCCATTGTACAACACTGGTTCTCCTTAAGGAGCCTCCAGCCAGGGCAATCCAGGGGGTCAAGCCTGACCTCTGGTACTTTTCATGAATGAAGTCTTCTCAGGGACTAGGCTGATTTTTATTAGAAGCTGCTCTCTGTGCTACCGTGATCTAAATAAATAGATGTACTTAGTTTGGATCCTAGGTAGATTTCTGCTTGGGTTATGGATGCTCCTGTGTTTTCCTCAGGTATGCATCAGGGTGCTTGGGGGTGTATTCTGATCTAAACCTGAGTCTGGTGGAATCTAAGTTCTATGTCTGGCATGCTGGATTATCTAGTAGCTGTCTAAAATGGAAGTGAGATATTTTAGGATAGGTTTTTATTCTACCAATATTTGAAAGTTGGCCTCTGGTTATCTCTGCTGAAGGCTCTTTTTGTCATTATTGAGGTCCAAAGTTGCCCAAGACTCCTCTTTGGATTCTTCAAATTCACTTTTGGTTGAACAAGTTGTGCCCTGCAAAGAACTTATGACTAATAAGGTAATTAGGGGCCAGAATCAAATCCATAGCTGTCCACCCTAATGGACAGAACTACATCTACTGAGAGGAAGGAAGGACTTGTTCTAGCACATCCACATGTGGCCCATGGGCTACCTATGGTCCCATCTTAAGTGTTCCTTAAACCTGTAATATAGCCTGAATTTTGTTCCCCCAAAATTCATATTGGAACCCCCAACTCCAATGTGACTGTATTTGGAGACAGGATCTATAAGGAAGTTATTAAGGTTAAATAAGTTCATAAGGATGGGATCCTAATCCAATAGAATACCTATACCTTATAAGAAGAGGAAAAGATATTAGCAAGCAAGCTCAGAGGGAGGGCCGTGTGAGGATACAGTGAGAAGGGAGCCAGGAAGACAGCCCTTACCAAAACCCAAATTTGCCAGCACCAGAACTTGGTAAAAATAAGTGTCTGTTGTTTAAGCCATTCAGTCTGTAGTATTTTGTTATGGCAGCCCAAGCTGACTAATACACCCTGCTCCCATGGAGGCAAGGTAGAATGACCCTGGCAAGGATTCTACAAAATATCTGAAGCCTGAGCGCCTAGCAGCTATAAATGTGGCAAACTGAGATAGCTCTTAAAATTATCCTGACTTTTCCTTATAATAGGTTGTACTAATTATTTAAATTCAGTTTATGTCTCTTTATTTTACACTAGTTTTTGTTTGTTTATTTATTTATTTATTTTTTCAAAAACCTAGCTAAACATCAGGAGGGCTCTCACATGTCATATTCCTAGAGACCTGTCTTCTTCACAAGGCTCTAGTATTGTGCCTAATCCACATGTAATACTACACATTATTAGCTACTGAAGAGAGAAGTAGAGAAAATGTGAGCAAGGTTAAAATCAATTTACTTTTGGAGGACTATTTAGACTTGAATTTAATATGTTCAGGGAAAAGGGATCTATCTTCATCTTTCAACACTTTAAATCAGATAAGAGGGCACATTTTGTTTTCATCACTGTTAACAAAACTGTAGCATGGACATTGGTTTTTATAACAATCCTTTTGCCATAATTTTATTCTTATAACTCATTTGCTTGAATTTAATCTTGTTCTTTTGAAATTTATTTAGCAAACATTTATTTCCTTTTGGTTCTGCCTATCTATAGATTTCTTCCATTAGGAAAATGTTTATAATCCTCTGTTCTACCCTCAAGGAACACATCTTTATCATAAAAAATACTGGAGTTTTCTTCCATCTGTGAGTTTGTGTATAAGGCTAGACCTATGAGAAGAGTCAGATGATGAGGGAATACAAGAGATGTTATTGTTATAAAGCTTTTCCTATCTTTTTCAGGCAGAATCATAATTCTCTACCAGCTGCTTATTTTAGAGTCATCTGGGTCTGGGGATGGTTCTGGACAAAAATACAAATTTGGAGACCCATCACTGGTTTGTAGGATCAGGTAAAAGTCCAAGAATTACTGATTTACAATTCAAATACCAGGAAGGTAATTGAACAAATGTCTTGTTTGACTTTATTTTTATTAATGCTAGATAAGATGGAACTATTTTTGTTTTATGAATAAACAAAGTATGTTCTTTGTTTTAAGACTGAGTTTTAGAAGTCTCTTAACTTCCTCCTGCATAATGAGTGCTGGAAAATATCCTTTACTGGCTCACCACTATTGACAATGACAAAGAAATGTGCTTTTTAATAATGTATTATCACGGTATGTGCAAGTGTTTGGAGGGCGGGGGAGCAAACAGTTTTCCCTTCCAGACAACAATGCCTTGCCATAACCTTGACATGATGCACATTAATTTTACATTATGCCTGGTAGTCAGAGAGAAAATTAAAGCTGCAGATATTATCTCCCCCAAAAGGGCTGATAACCTTCTGGCACAGGGCTCAGACATGCCAAGACTGTGCCTATATCATCCATCTCTTACTGCTCTTTTAGCCAGAATGTCAGCACTTGGATTGAGAATCCCTGACATATTCATCTCAGTGGCTTCCATTTTAATGAACAGTTAGCTTGCCTTTGGTTAGAAAACATTTTAGTAAGATCAGTGCTATGAAATCTGATTCTAACCTAAACCCTATGACTTTTTTCTACACAATTCCATATATATCTAAACTTTATTTTAACCTAGGAAGCATGCAGTGTTAGGAACCTGAGAAATTGTAATACCTATATTTCTAAAACTAAGCCTAAATAAATCAGCTTCATGAAAAAGAAAAATTGAGCAGCCTGCACTTCATTCACCAGAAGTCAAAATGTCTGTAGTTAAAAATAAAGTAAAATAGACAATTTGGTCACTCAAATCTAAGCCCAGATATTTGCTGAAAAATAGTAACAGATACATGGTTGTGCTAGGGTTCTCTAGAGGGACAGAACTAATAGCATAGATAAATATATAAAGGGGAGTTTATTAAGTATTAACTCACGTGATCATAAGGTCTCACAATAAGCCAACTGCAAGCTGAGGGGCAAGGAGAGCCAGTCTGAGTCCCAAAACTGAAGAACTTGGAGTCCGATGTTTGGGGGCAGGAAGCATCCAGCATGGGAGAAAGATGTAGGCTGGGAGGCTAGGCCAGGCTAGTCTTTTCGCATTTTTCTGCCTGCTTTATATCCTGGCCATGCTGGTGGCTGATTAGATGGTGCCCACTCAGATTAATGGTGGGTCTGCCTTTCCCAGCCCACTGACTCAAACGTTAATCTCCTTCGGACCCTCACAGACACATCCAGGAACAATACTTTGCATCCTTCAATCCAATCAAGTTGCCACTCAGTATTAACTATCACAATGGTAAAGGGAAGAGTTAATATTTTATAAAAACTGACCCCAAATAATTAGCAGTTAAGAAGATTATAGTGTTATGCAGTTTTCCACCAATTATTCAGGTAGCAAAAGTTTCTTTGAATATCTGCTAGTCAAAGTTCCACGTGAGGTATCAAGGATTTCTGAATGGAATGCGGCTTTACATTAAGATCCTAATAATAATTTCTCAGAATAAAAGATAAGTTAAAAAATGTAGATATTATGAAAAACATGTTTACTCATTCTAGTTTTGAGTTAACATATTACAAGAGCATTCCTTTTGTCTAGGTTTTCTTGTGTGTTGAATCTATTATAGACCTATACTGAATTGTTTTATAATCTCTCCAGATTATATATAATTATTTATAATCTATCCACATTATCAACATGGCAAAAAGAAATTTGGAACAAGTTTGTGAGCTCTTAGCCTGGGAACAGACAAAACGGCTCCAGCAAGAGAAACAGAAATGGTCTTCTCCTCAAAATGCATTTATCCTGTGTTTAGTTCAAGAGCCACTTCATAAAATAGAATTATTTATTTTTTCATGAAATAGAGTTCCTCTTCTTTACTTTTTTATTTAAAACTGATGAAGTTGTTTGTATCTATACTGGATGTGCCAGATGGAAAGGTTTACTCATTAGAGGCAGCTGTTTTAGCAAATTACCTCACTACAGCATAATGACAGAGTTACAGCAGACTATTGAATAAAATTATTTCTCTTCCCAGTGAGATCATGAAAACTAGAAGTAATTTCAACGCGACTTTTTTTATTTACTTTGGAAATGGTTCAGTTGGACACATGAGTGATAAGGTGAGGTATTTTTATTCATATTTCATTCAATATTTATATACATCAGTGGAAATACAGGATATAAATTTACAATTTGATTTCTCTTTCAAGTAATGGATTCATTATCTATGTGGATGATCTCATTAGTTCCTTAAGTATGAATGATTCTACTGGGGAAGATTTTTCCTTTGACAATATCTCATTTCAAATATATGTATGCCTTAAACATGATCATAGATGTATCTTTCATGCTGAAGTTCACAATTACAGCATTACTCTTGAGATTCTTATGAGGAGGAGCTCTCCCATTCAAGGTTTCCTTGCTGAGCAAAATCTTCTTAGTTCCTCAGGTAAATGTTCCTTAATAGAATGCACTAAAGTCCTACTTTATACTGAATTTCCACTATTGCACATAGAATTTTAACAAGGAGGAATAAATATATGTATTCATATGTACATATTAGACATAACAATTTATAAAATGCTCATATATGTGTATATATTTCTATTCTCATTTTATTCTAATAGCCTTTAACAATTTTTTTTTCCCCATTTAACAGAGGTGGACATTTCAAGTTCAATTGTGTTTGATGACTCATTAGGTTAAAGAAGCTGTCAGGTGGTAAAGTCACCCCAGGTAATTTTCAACAATGGTCAATATCTAACTTTATCTAGAGACACCCAATTTAAACTATAATACCAAAAAACACCCACCAGAAGTATAGAGACACTTTTAAAAAATTAACAGATATGCACATTATTGCTATGAGAACTATGATAATTACATGTATAAATTTTCATGGTTATGGTCCCTTTTGTCTTCCATAACACCTTGGGGGGTGTCCATGACCATATTATAAAGTTTAGTGGAAGGGCTGACACCTGGGTGCCATAACTGAACAATTATGCCGGCCTGTATCATGCACAGCAGGCTTTATCCCCACAGCTGTATGTGCTGAACCTTGGATACAAGAATACTATTATTCAGGGCTCATTGTTATTCTCATAAGTTCAACAACTACTGTTGAAATAATTTAGACTCTAACTTTAGTTACTTTCTATGGTGACATTCAACTGAAGAAAATTTTACAAACCATATTTTATGTGAAAACAAGTTTTATGTGATCTCTCTGCATATATAGAAGCTTCCTTTTTAACATGTTTTTATCCACGTGATCTTACCTTCTGTAAGAATATATACATATACATACACATATATATGCTATGGATTGAATGTTTGTGTCACTTTAATAGTCACATGTTAAACCCCCAATCCCCAATGTGATGGTATTGGAAAATGGGGCTTTTGGGAGGTAATTAGACCATGAAGGTGAAACCATCATGATGGAATTAGTAGCCTTATAGGAAGAGACAATAGTAAGATTGCCTCCTCTCACTCTCTACCATACAAGGAAAGCAAGAAGTGGGCCCTTCCCGGGACCTAACCATGCTGGCACCCTGATCTCAGATTTCTAGCCTCCAGAACTGTGAGAAAAAGATGTTTTTTTTTGTTTAAGCCAACCAGTCTATCTGGTATTCTTGTTGTAGTAGCCTGAGCTAAGGCTCTGTACATACATATATTTTAAATATATATAGAGATAGTATATAAAATAGTATGTATATATTCTATTTCTCACAGTTCTATATTAATACATATAATATATACTAAAATATATTTTCTGAATATATATTCTGTTTCTTAATATATATGTATTCAGAAAATATATTAGTATATAATATATAATACATATAATATATAATAAATACCTAGTTTGTGTGTATATATCAAGGTAGCAGGGGGAGAGAGACAGAGACAGAGGGAGAAAGAGACAGCCTGCCAGAAGATCATTAGCTAAGGGTATTAAAGTTCTATTTTCCTTTGACATCTTAATGGACTTTAATCTTTTGGGCTTCCATCCAGAGAAATGAAGGGTATTCTCCAGAAAGTGTGGAAACCCTGCCACTGCAGGCTAATCAGGTGTGTTGACACATCAGTGAGGAGCTGGCTCACAACACCTGGAGAAGCAAGCCATGGAGGTGGAGCAGAATCAAATGAGCCTCCCACAAGGCACAAAGATTCTCAGCAAGTCAGGACATGTTACACATGGAAATTCCTACTCACCCAAGACAGATGCCTATTGCTGTGTCTCTCTCTTCCCATACTTTCACATTGTCTTGAAATATAAGCAAGATGTGAGAGCCCACAGTGCTATGGTAGGAGCCATCTGCAGTGCCATGGTCACCTGTGTCAGTGGTGGAACAAAGAGGGAAAGATGGCTTCCACATCCAGTGGTGACTTGAGTGGAAAAAGAAAAAAAAGAGCTCCTATGCCTGCTGGCAGATGCTACTGATGGGACTATGAGCAATTAGAGGAGGTTTCACATTTACTCACAACTTGGAATTTCTAAGCAAATTTTCACAACGCAAGGCAGCCGTACATTCTGTGTACCTAACACTTTGTGCTTTCTCATCTTGCTTGATCATTCAGGAAGCAGGTGGTCCATTCTTTTGGCTCTAAATATTTTGCATGTGAAGGGCATAGGTAGGTGCACCACTTTGGAGATTGTTAGCTGTGTCTGGTTCCGGGTGTCAGTTAGGCACAAATTAGTAAGGCTGGAGGGGTTAAGAGTTGCAGAGAAGTCTGACGTGATGGATAAGTTAAGGAAGAGTCCTAAGAGGCCAGAAGTGATAGAGCCCTAAAAACCAGAATGGGCTGGTCATGGCATGGCAGAAGCTGACTTATTTTTTATCTCATACAGAATGGGTGTCTACTAGTTCAGTCTGTGCTTATTTATTAACAAAATTATTCACAGCAATTCTCAGAGTCCTTCATCAAATTCAGTCTGCTCTTGAATATTCAGAAGAGATTCTTTCTGAATAATGCACAATAACTTTCTTTTTTTTTCCGAGAGGCTCCAATGTGTCCACGCTTCTTTTTTCCCCCTTATTTTAGTTTAATATAGGGTTTTCTCAGATTTTTTTCCTATAATAGTTTACTATTTTCCTAAATCTTTCCATTTTGTCATCAAATTCAACTATTTCTCACCTCATTCATCTTACAGGTTGTTAATAAATATACCAGAGAATAATGGTCCTGCTATTGATGGATCCCAAGGGAGAATTCCTATTAATCACTTCAATCTTAGGGTGAGCCATTTATTCTTACTCTTTGTATTTTCCCCATTAATGAATGATTCCCCTTTCCATGTGCAGTTTTAAGTATTCACACTGTAGTAGTTTATTTTTATTATCTTCTTAGCATTTCTCATGAAACAGAGATCCCATAATTGATGTGTATCTTGGACTCTGAAACTCTGCCTGTGTATAATGAAGGGATTGGCCTGGATGACCTCCTTCCTCTATCATTCTAGAATCTCTCTTTGTCCCAACTTGAAACCAAACAGGTGCCAGGGTCTGTCGCAGAGAAGAATAATTAGCACATCCATTAACATGGGCCCTGTTAACACATCCAGTGTTGACTCTAATTACTGGTAGATTTTAACTGAGCTCTGCTGTCTATAAGTGACTGTTAGCAAATGATAGTATATTTGATTTGACATACATCATACGTACTGAATAGTAAGCTTCAGTCAACTTTTACACAAGTACTCGTAAAGAAGCTGAAGATTTTAAGCTAACAGATTAAAAGTGGGAACAAATGATATAAGTGCAAGAGCATGAAATTAAAGCAATTATTGTTGTTTTTGATGCTTCAAAATGTGGGATTTATATGTAGTCCTTTACTTTTTATAGTGTTTATGAAAGTGGTTCAATGTGTCTTCTTTTAAGAGATCATATATCCTAGTATTAGTAACATGAATCTATAGGCTTGTCAAATATATATGTTAATAAAAAAATTTAAAACCACTTTTTCTGCATCAATTCCAGAAAGTATATGTACATTTCTGCCATCACACGAAATCCGATTGTTGCCAGATGGCACAATCGGGTTCCGTGTGATGGCAATGCCATGCGTCTCCCCTGCAGAGAGGCTGCTGCTTGCTGAGCCCTGGTGTGATAAGGGGCATAAATCACAAATCGTGTCACCCTGGCCAAGAAACAAGACATCTCTCAGTACTACCTCCCATAAGCAGATGCCACAGAGACTGCCAGATTCAAAGTCACTCTTGCCCTCTATCTGAAACAGCAACCCTTTGAAGAGAGCCCCTGGTCCCATGTGTGTTTGCAGCTCCCTATTTATAATCTGCAGGTTATTCTAGCAACTAACAATATCATTTTGGTAGTTACTAAGAGTAATAAAGCACCCTCTCTGTCGTGATCTGCCTATTTTATGACACTGGCTGGCTGGTGTCTCATAGTTTAATTACTTTAAGTCAATCATGTACATTGTTATGTTGATACTACTATTACTACCAATAAGAAGCCTCAAGTATTGAGGCCTATGGGCTAAGGCACCATACGTTATTTCAATATTCCTAACAACCTTACAAGCAAAGTATTGTTATTACCATTACATGAACTTGAGTGCAATGAGGCACAAGAATGTTAAAGTTTGAATGTTAGCCCTTGGTGGGGCAGGGCCTGGAACTCCAGCCAGTTTGATTCCAGCTCCAGGTATTTGACTCTGTACCAAACTACTTGGGGCTTTTAGAAAAAAATCCTTGTAAGAAAAGGTGAATTACAACACATAATAGTATTTACATTCTTCCTTTCTTAAAGTATCATTAGAAAAACTTGATCATTTTTCATAAAAGACTTTAAAAAATAGATTGCCAACTCTCTTGCATTGTTAAACAGAGACTCTTCAGGGCCATCCCAGAAAGAGCATCACATTTTCTGGAGAAACCTGGGCTTTGGAACCAGCCAAATCAGGGCTTTAAAGCTGAGCTTATTGACTTACCAGTTGTGTGACCCTGAGCAAAGATTTAACCTCTTGGAACCTCAATTCACTCATCTGTGGAAAATGAAAACAAACAATACTGACAACTTTGTGGCACTATTCTGATGAAGAAGTGAGATGATGTGTGTCAAGTACCAAGACGAAAATAGCAATTATGCTCCATTATTGTGAGTCTGAGATACAGTGATTATTTCCTTTTGCCTTATGGATTCTTTTGCTTTGAGAAAGCAAGAGAAAGAAAGAATGGATTTAAGTGTTCTAGTGTGAGAACCGGTCAGAATGAAATAGATGGTTGCTGTTTGTTGTGAGCAGTCTGCAAAGTGAGAGCAGCACCCAGAAAGCAGGCGGGACGGACCGTGGCATCCAACGCCCCTTCAGCCTCAGAATAGTTTGCTCTGCATAAAGCCAGCCGAGAGATGTCTATCCTAGGCATTCGGGGCCTTGGGATCCCCCAGCTAGTCTATCTGAACACTGCTGGTCCCAGGAACCCCTCACAGTGGCAGGTCTGAGCTGGAGAGAAGGGCCAGGGACTTAGGGGATGTGATCAGAGGTCCTGCAGCAAGTCAAGTTCAGGGTAGTGATGCACTTCTGGGTCCACTGGGTCACCTGTGCCTACTCCTGCTGTTCAAATAGGGGATGGTGACTTTTCAAGTTTCATAGTTCAGAAAGTATATCAGAAGGGAGGCTTAGGGGCCAGTCTTAGTGTTTCTGTGATCTAGCTGTGCGACCTGGGTTAAGTAGCTGTGCCTCACTTTTCTATTCTATAAAATGGGCATAGCAAGACCCATGCACTGTTCTGTGGAGAGAATAAATGTGAGAATGATCATAAATGCACTCCAAAAGTTTAACACTGCTGAAACACTGCTCACCTTTTTGTCATCCATACTCCACCTGATCCATTAAATATGTTGTAATGTAGTTCATTGTTATTATGATATCATCAACTATTTTACAGGATAGAGAATAGGGACAAAAGAAATTAAGTGATTTGCTCAGGGTTGCATGGCAAGTCGATGCAGGGAGGGTTTCTGGCCTTGGAGGCTGTGCCTGCTCTTGCCAGAGCATGGAGACCCTCCTGAAGCCGGCCTTGCACACTTAGTCAGCTGGCATGCTCCATGTGCATCTTCCTGGAGCATGTGGTCTCTTGGTGCTGCTCATGGAAGCAGTTGCCTTGCACAGATGTCTGAGAACTCTCGCTGTGGGTCTCACTCTGGATCCTTGTGCAGTAACCCTCCCCTAATCTTTCCCATAAATAATGATGAGCCAGACCCTGACTTTCTCTTTGACTGGCCCATCTCCCCAGTTACTCCCTCTTCCCTATAGTGCACAAACTATGAAAAATTACAGTTCATTCACACTTTAGGCCCTGGGTAGCTGAATCCAGTGCCTTCAACACTTAGCCCTCTTTGTTCCTCCACCGCAACCCAACCTGCCTGCACCCTCTTTGTGTGTATATGTGTGTTTGTGTGTTTCTATTTAACTAATAAACTTTATGCTTTAGAGCTGTTTTACGTTCATGGCAAAACTGAGTGGAAAGTACAGAGAGTTGCACATATCCCCTGTTCCACACACCACCTTCTTTTTTGAAGCTATGATAACAATGCAACTTTCCTAACGGGCGCTTTGTACATGGAAGGCTCCTTCCCAATTGAACTGCCATAGCACAATGCAGTAAAGACTCTGTAACAATAGCTGATGTACTGCACATTACAATTCTAATCATATATTTTATTGGAAGCTGTATACCTCTTAGAGCCAGCATTTCATTTGCCTCCTTTGCCTTATAGAAACACTGCTGCTGTGACAACGGGCAGCAGTAAAGCTAATGGTCTTTTCCAAATTCCTTCTTAGATTCAAAGGGAGAAAAAGTGTGAAGGAGAGGGAAAGAAAAAAATCACACAGTCATTTCCAGCTATTTGTGTTAAAATACAAAGAAAACAGGGCACATTCAAAAATGGTATGCCGGGAAGCCTCCATTAATATTTATTTTGGCATTAATATTGATAAGAAAGTACTTTGTAGCTGGGCTTTGTTGCCTACCCCAGTATCCTCAAGCTCCCTGTTATTCAAGCTGGTGGCCATTAGCTTGCGTCTTCCTCTGTACCCAGAGCCTCTGAGAGACTTGGCGGGCCTCCAGCTCACTTACGCTTAAATGGACACTCAAGCTCCGACGGACACACAGCTAAATAGAGGCCAATAATTCAATACAGTATGACTGTACTGGGGCTGCTAGTAAATCCATCAAGCAGTAAATATCATCTGAAGCCAATGCAAGCTTTTATCTTTCCAATTTTTTTGTATGTCTGAGCGAAGCCCAGGCATTCAGCGAATCATGTAATTTATTCTGCAGTGCCGAGCCTGGGCTGTCTCAGACATCATATTGACTTTTTTTTTCTCCCATCTGTCAGGGGCAGTCAGCAGCTCTGCTATTGTGAGAGCGCATCACATTACATCTATTTATTTATTTATTTCCGCTGCTTCTTTGTAGCATGATTGGGCAAGAACGCATTATCTCAGATCAGCGAATACTAAGAAAAGCATCTGAACATCATTACGACAGCATGTTAAACATTTGTCCTACCCAGTTTGTTAAATCAGCAAATGTATTTCCAGCAAATGCTTGTAATTGTTCATAAAGGGCTCCCTACTGCAGGGTTTTACTAAGCTGAAAATATGGCCTGTTATTTTCTTCAGCTCTTTAGGTCAGCGGTGATTCCAATATATTGTAAATAATGCTGAACAGCTGGTGTACTGACTTGGTGTGTGTGTGTGTGTGTGTGTGTGTGTGTGTGTGCGCCTCTGTCTGCATATGCATGTGTCTGCACACAACCACACACCTGGCTATAGCTCTGCATGTTGCACACATATTTTGTGCACATGTAAATGATTGTATAGGTCAATGCGGTATAAAGTACTGTATATGGCCAGGCAGGCCCAACACTTTGGGAGGCTGGGGTGGGAGGATTGCTTGAAGCCAGCAGTTCAAGACCAGTCTGGGCAAGAAAGTGAGACCCCTGTCTCTACAAAAAATAATGTAAAAAACGTAATTAGCCGAGTGTGGTGGTGTGTGCCTGTAGTTGTAGCTATTCAGGAGACTGAGGTGGGAGGATCCCTTGAGACCAAGAGTTTGAAGCTGCAGTAAACTATGATCGTATCACTGCATTTCAGCTTGGGTGACAGAGCGAGACCCCATCTAAAAAAAAAAAAAAAACAGTGCTGAATATTAACTTCACAAAGTTAATGATTAGGTTATGGTTTACAATGGTTAGAGAATGTCCTGCTTCCTAATCAATCAAAATTTAGCCTGAGAACAAAGCTCTTTTGGTTACAGTTGCTGTCTTCTTGAAAACTTAAAAAGTGTAGCTCCTAAATTTAAATGTTATTTATGATTCTCTTGCTCTTCTTCCTGTATAAACTTCAAATCGAAGAGACAAATAGGAGGAAGCCCCTCTTTTCACAGTGGGGTTTGAGACTGCTACTGCTGGACAGAGCCATCAGACATCTACTGATTGGATGATGACACCCCAAGTAAGATGCTTCCCCCTAGGATACCCCCCAAAGCAACTAACTCTTTCTCAAAAGCCAGGTGTGCTTCTGAGACTCATCCTGATTGACTTGATTCCATTTGAATTTGATTCATGTCCTACTCTAGATGCATGCATCAAAGAAAAGTGTTTTAGAAGTTTCTTGATTTTCTTTAATAGGCATCATAAATGTACTTCACAGAAACACCAATGCAGGATATGCAAATGGAGCCGGACTTAGAGTCAGCCATGTTGTTTGCCCAACTTCTCTTTACAAACAATGTTTAAAACCAAAAAATCCCACACCTTTTTATAAATGACTGTAAGTAAGGCCGTTGATATTTTGAGAAGCAGTGAAATCGACATTGTTTTAAGAACTTGGCTCTTCTGTATACGTATGATCAATTTTTAAAAATGGCATCCTATTCCTTTGGATAACTGCATTCATTGAAAAAATACTTGTGGTTTGTACTTGATAAAGAATATCTTTCTATGGACTGATTGTGAAAAATGACTTTGTATTTTATACTCCATTATTAGTGTCACCACCTTAGAAAATATCAAATTGGCTTTCCCATCTACATCTGACCAGGAGAATCTGGGTAAACATGAGTTTTATTCTAAGATTGGATAGAATTATGGCTCACATCCTTGGGTGCATAGTTGGGCACACTCTCCCTCTCCACACAGCAGAGAGCATCAATGCATATGTTTAATTTCCCTTTATTAACCTCCAGTTAGAAAGTCCTGCACAGTACATGCGGCTTTTAGTATTCCAAAGAGCAGACACACTGTCTTTCTAAAAAAGCATATTAAAAGGCAACTCACTGAGTCATTTTCTAACACCTGAGAGCAATTAATGTAAGCAGAGACAGGAAACATCATCAATTATTTAAAATAAAATGAATATGTAATGCTGACCTTCTCCAACTGCCATCAGTTTTATACTTACACCTGAATCAACTCAGGGGAACATGAAACCCACAAGGCACTTCACACTGCAATCTGCAGAGAGGCAGGCGCTGGTCACAGGGAAAGCTGCCTGGCTGGCTATGTTCACCCCTGAGAGGGAGGTGGAGAAGCCCCCGATACCTGATGAGGGAAAACGGATCCTCCAGCTCCCTGAGTGCATCACCACCTGGGACCAGCAACTTTATGTACAAACACTCCTGGCCCACCAGTCTTTCCCAAATATTTTCACTTGTTTCCAAATTATTTTATATTCCTACCATCTTAAGGAGGAGGGCTAAAATTTCTGTTATTTTATATTTCTGATATAAGTATATATATGGGCAGTGTGTGTGTGTGTGTGTGCGCGTATCCTATGTCTGTTTATTTGTTAATATAAATTTATTAGCTTTTTTCTTTTTTAATTCTTCCCTATCCTGAATAAAAAAGGAAGTGGGGAATGTAGGCCATGCTTATTTGGGAAGCCTAGAGAGATGTTTATATAGCTGTAATAGCCAGTTGCTGAAATTAAATGAATCCTCTGCTGTCTGAACAGAGGGTTTCTCTGCAAATATGAAAGCTCAGACATTCTCTAAGGGCACTGTCACTGACTGGAGATTGGGGGAGGGTACATCAAGGGAACATGCAGTTTATTATCTAATGTAATTGCTGTGCATGACATATGGCATGAGCCAGGATTTGGCACAGCAATGGACGAAGATTTTCAGAGCAAAGCCTATTAGACACAAAGTGCAAAAAGTCCTTTGTGACTATTCAAGCTAAACAAGGCTTGAAGTGCTGGTATCTATTTTTCTCCTGACTTGTATTAGTAATTCCAAGAAAACTCACAGAGGGCCTCATACAAAATGACCCAAGCTGCCAACTGGGTCATCCTCTTACTATCCTCCTCCAGACATTCTGAGACTTTGGCAAATAGTCTGTTTGTGAGTCTTAGGACTATGAAAGCAAAGTTGACTGTTAGTTTCTGGGACCAGATTTATCACAGAGCTACTCCTCACGGTGTTATTAAGATTCTGACTTCCTGTTACAAAGCTTTTTTTTTATGTTTTAGAAGGTTGCCCATTCAAATTGGCACAGAGCCTAATCACAAACAGGTTCCATTTGAGAAACTTAAGAAAAGACAAGGGGAATAATTTGCTAATGCTAATTACAAAAGAATAACAATAAGTTCTTTATGTTTATCTTCATAATCCTATGGCCAAAAAAGGCTTTGCTCCTTTTAACATGGCATTATACATCTTAAACTTTAAATGGCTTTCAGGGGAGAGCTAACGTAAAGAATGCTTTCTCCATTGCCTTCTTTATCACCACCATATCAGATTGTCCCTTTTACACACAGAAAGGATGCCGGATTTAGGAAATCCATGCCAAGGAGCAGAGCTAAGGTAGGGTAAGCAAAATTCAAAGACAGCATGAGACTATCTTTTCACCCAGAAATTTTTGATTAATTAGACATCCATGCAACCAAGAAGCAGGGTGTCGCCACTGCTGTTGTTATGAATTACCCTTGCCATAGGTGGAAGCACAGCTGCGGGTAAGTGGTGGACTCTCAAACACTATAAATCCAGTTATTTCAGTGAGATGTATATATACACAGCAGTGCTCATACTTGGGCATGGACAGTAAAAAAAAAAAAAAAGTGAGCAAAACTCTGGGTTATTTTGGTCACAGAATAGAATAAATGCACTTTAAATATGATAGAAACAAAGTACCATAAGATTCATGATTCTGGGCATCAGGGAAGGTTTATTCAGGAAACAACCAGGAAGGTATAACCCTGTCCAAAAGCCAGAGTTTAAAATAAAATCCTCTCACAGATCCTGTGTTACTCAGAGCTACTAAGCCTAGAAAACATGGAACTGGAGAGGGACATTTCCCAGGTCATGGCATCACAACCAGAATTTTAAGGGACACACTGAATAAAAATTCAGCTTTTTCATTGCTGTTATTGCAGAAATCTCTGCAAAAACTATTAATTACAAATGCTTAGGGTCCTGAGACTCTGCCCTCAAGTCAACTTAGAACAACTGCACATGAAAAGACTGAGAATTATGATTTGCATTCAAAGTCTTGCCAATTCAGAGCATGCACATGGAAAGCAGAAGGTATGGGTCGGGATCTGATGATGAGTAGGTGAGACAGAGATATATCCCTTAGTCACACCAGGGAAGAGTCTTTCCCATAACGAGAAGGTGTTACCACAAATTTCTTGCCGACTAGAGCAGGGGCTTAGCTTGGTCTTAATATTACAGCAAGTAAAACTGGGTAGTAGGGAGATTAGGTGGTAGGGCCTTAGAGTCAGGAGCCAGAATTATTTGCTTGATGTTTATGAAGGAGCTAGAACTAGAAGATAGATACCATCCTTTGTATCTCTTCAGATTTGAGCTTTCAATGGTGTATTTCATTCTGCTTCATGTAATATTTTCTTCATCCTAGTCTTTATATCATATCTGCATATTTGGTTTTTGTTTTTGAAAAAAAAATGCTGCTACTTTTGGAAAAGGTGTCTCAGCCTCTCCAACAATACTTCTGTCTAAGGAGTTATATCCCTAAAAAGTATTTCGGTTGGTAAAATCACCTTGACGAGATTGAGATCTCCTAGAGAATAGGAGATTAAAGGAAAAAACAAAAACACACAAAGGTTCTGGAAGGCATACAATTTGAAAACTAAACAGCTTTAGATCATTGTGAATCTTCCCTGGTCTTCCATACCTCTTCAATGGTTCAGGAACTGTGACACCGTGGCACTGTTATTCTATCAGCTTTGCCACAGGTTTTATTTTGTGCAGACTAAACCACTTCTGAACCTGTTTGCAAATATGATGGCAAATTGCACATTTAAATTGTTTTAGTGTAAAATATAAAGCTACATTATCTCAAAACCACAACTAGCAACACTTTAGTGCATGCGGGATTACCATATATTTTTGGTAGCTTTGGCATATACAGCTGTTTATAGTCTATTCGTGCTTATAATAATTGCCCATTAAACTAACATAGTTAGCTCTCTTTTCAAAGTATTATTTAGTCATTCTCAATTAATGATGCTGTCTTTATAAAGTTCTGAGTTAGAGACCTTCTCTAAGTATTGCTGTACAAGATCCATTCACAAACAGAAATATTCCAAGAGAGTGAAGAACATGTGTGGAAAGACACTGTTGAGAGAGATAGCATGGCACGTTGGAAAAAATTAAAAGGAAGCTACATGGAATAGAGGGCCTCAAGCAGAGTGAAGCAAGATGAGGCTTGAGCAACAGGCAATGTCGAGACCTTGGGAAAATCCAAATAAGACTTTGTTCTCCTTATAGCAATGGAAATTATTGAAAGGATTTCAAACTCAGGCTTGGAGAAAGATATATATATATATAGTACTTGGTCATGGATTGAATACAGAGGACAAAAGAGAGAGACAAATGCACAGATTTCTAGCTTGATTAGCTAAATACATGGTGTCATTATTCACTGCAATAGAAAATGGAAAGTAGGCTTTTGAAGAAAGTTCATGACTTTAGTTTTGGATGTGATGGATGGCTTTGGAGTATCCAAGAGGTGATACCAAGGAGGCAGTTGGAAAATAATGAAGAATATCATTCCCCATAACACACAGAGCTACACATCAAGTAACCTGCTAGACAAAGAAAAATTCTCCAAAAGATAACAATCTTAACATTTTATTTGACAAATACTGTGGAACTTTCAAGTGCATATCAAATCTCTTTTCAAACAGCCTCTTTGAAGTATGCTAAAATGTAGGTCTACTCTTTCTCTCGTTACTTTGTGTCACCAGATTTCTCTCCTCAACTTATTTCACGGCAGTCTCTCTTCCTTTGCTTATTACAGAGCATTTTTCAGAGAGTCTTGGTTTTACCTGATGAAAAGGAGCCTGTAATTTTAAAGCAATTGAGATGAGATAGCCATCAGAATTTTGGCTGATGAAGTTCCCTCTTATTTCCTCACCAAATGAAGATATTCAAAATCTTATTTTGAAATCTAAATCTGGCTTTATTTTCCCACTCAAGAAAATCAGCCTAGAAGCTCAAAAGGGAGATAAAATTTGTAAATCACCTGCATATAGGTGGTAATCGAAACTGTGGCCAAGGATGAAATTGCCTAAGAGAGACCAGCATGGTAAGAAAGAAGGCTCCACTTAGAGTCTATTACCAACAACTTTTAACTTTTACTATTTAAATGTTCTGTTGTCAGATCTCCATGTATTCAGAGCACCTGCCCACCTTGATCAGCAGTCTGACTCACCCCATTCTTCCTGTGCATAGACTGTGGTACAGTGGGTCTTGTCCACTCCCCACCCAGGCAAATCTCCAGACATTTGTAGCAACCGCTCACCTGGTTCAGCAGTCTGAGTCACACACCTTGCACAAGAAACATACTCCAGGATCGACAAAATGGTTGGCCATAAGGCAAGTCTCAATAAATTAAAAAAATCAAAATCATAACAGCCATACTATTGGAACACAGTGCAATAAAAATAGAAAACAGTACCCAGAAGTTCTCTCAAAACCACAGAATTACAGGGAAATTAAACACTTGTTCCTAAATGACTTTTGAGCAAACAATGAAATTAAGGCAGAATTGAAATTGCTCTTTGAAATAAATGAAAACAGAGACATAACATATCAAAACTTCTGGGATGCAGCAAAAGCAGTGTTAAGAGGAAAGTTTTTAGCACTAAATGTCTACCTCAAAAAGTTAGAAAGACCTCAAGTTAATGATCTAATATCATACCTGTAGAAAGTAAAAAAATAAGAACAAACTAACACATATACTAGCAGAAAAGTAAATAGCTATAGTCAGAGCAGAACAGAATGAAATTGAGACACTAAAATCCATACAAATAATTAACAAAACCAAAAATTGCTTTTTTGAAAAGATAAACAAGGTGGATAGACCACTAGCTAGATTAATAGAAAAGATCCAAATAAGTACAGTCAGAAATGACAAAGGTGACATTACAACTGATCTCACAGAAATACAAAAGATCCTCAGAGACTATTATGAACACTTCTATGCACACAAACTAGAAAATCTAGAGGAAGTGGATAAGTTCCTGGAAACACACCATCTTCTACAATTAAATCAGGAAGAAATTGAAACCCGGAACAGACCAATATCAAGTTCTGAAACTTAATCAGTAATAAAAAACCACCAAAGCCCTAGACCGGATGGATTCACAGCCAAATTCTACCAGACATACAAAGAAGAGCTGCTACCAATTCTACTGAAACTATAAAAAAGTTAAAGTCAGTATTACCCTGATACCAAAACCTGGCAAACACATAACAAAAAAAGAAAACTAAAGGCTAAGATCCTTGATGAGCATAGACGTGAAAATCCTCAACAAAATACAAGCAAACAAATCCAGCAGCACATCAAAAAGTTAATTCACTGTGATCAACGAGGCTTTATTCCTAGGATGCAAGGTTAGGTCTACATACACAAATCAATGAATGTGATTCACCACATAAACAATTGAAAATAAAAACCGTATGGTCATCTCAATAGACACAGAAAAAGCTTTCAATAAAATCCAATATCGCTTCATGATAAAAAACGCTCAACAAGCTAGACATTGAAGGAACACACCTGAAAATAATAAGAGCCATCTATGACAAACCCAAAGCCAACATCATACTGAACAAGCAAAAACTGGAAGCATTTCCCTTGAGAATTGGAACAAGATAAGGATGCCCACTCTCACTATGCCTATTCATCATAGTACTGGAAATCCTGGCCACAGCAATCAGCTAAGAGAAAGAAATAAAAGGCATCCAAATAGGAAAAGAAGAAGTCAAACTATTTCTCTTTGCTGAGAATATGATTCTCTATCTGGAAAATCCTAAAGACTCCACCAAAAGGCTCCTAGAACTGAAAATTGACTTCAGCAAAGCTTCAGGATACAAAATTAACGCACAAAAGTAAGTAGTGTTTTTACGCCCCAGTAATGTTCAAGCTGAAAGCCAAATCAATAACTCAGTCCCATTTACAATAGCCACACACACACACACAGACACACACACACAAACTAGGAATACATCTGACCAAGGAGGTGAAAGATTGTTACAAAAAGAATTATAAAACACTGCTGAAAGAAACCATAGATGGCACAAACAAACATTCCATGCTCATGGATTGGAAGAATCAACATTGTTAAAATGGCAATACTACCCAAAGCAATTCACATATTCAACACTATTCCTGTCAAACTCCTGATGTCATTTTTTCACAGAAGTAGAAAAAACTGTTCTAAACTTCATATGGAATCGAAACAGAGACCAAATAGCCAAAGCAATCCTAAGCAAAAGAACAAAGCCAGAGGCATCACACTCTCCTACTTCAACTGTGATATAAGGCTACAGTAATTAAAACAGCATGGTACTGGTACAAAAACAGACACCTAGACCAGTGGAACAGAGTAGAGGACCTGGAAATAAAGCCATGCACCTACAGCCATTTGATCTTTAAAAAATTTGGCAAAAGTAAGCAATGGGGAAAGGACTTCCTATTCAGTGCATGATACTGGGATAGCTGGCTAGCCATGTGCAGAAGAATGAAACTGGACACCTATCTTTCACTATATACAAAAATTAACTCGAGATTGATCAAATACTTAAATGTAAGATGAAAAAAGTAGGAAATACTATTCTGGACATCTGCCTTGGTAAAGAATTTATGACTATGTCCTCAAAAGCAATTACAACAAAAACAAAAATTGACAAGTGGGTCCTAATTAAATTAAATTGCTCCTGCACAGCAAAAGAAGCTATCAAGAGAGTAAACATGCGGCCTACAGAATGGGAGAAAATATTCACAAACTATGCATCTGACAAAGTTCTAATACCCAGAATCTATAAGGAACTTAATTCAACAAGCAAAAACCAAATAACACCATTAAAAAGTGGGCAAAAGACATGAACAGATACTTCTCAAAAGAAGACATACAAGCAGGCAACAAACAAATAAAAAAAAATGCTCAGCATCACTAATCATGAGAGAAATGCCAATCAAAACCACAATGAGATACCATCTCACACTAGTCAGAATAGCTATTACTAAAATGTCAAAAAATAGCAGATGCAATGAAAAGGGAATGATGTTTATACACTGTTGGTGGGAATGTAAAGTAGTTCAGCCACTGTGGAAATTGGTTTGGAGGTTTCTCAAAGAACTTAAAACAGAACAACCATTTGACCCAGCAATCCCACTACTGCATACACACCCAAAGGAAAATAATCATTCTACCAAAAATACATGAACTCATATGTTCATGATAGCCCTATTCATAACAGCAAAGACATGGAATCAACCTAAATGCCCATCAGTGGTGGATTGGATAAAGAAAATGTGGTGCATGGAATACTAGGCAGCCATTAAAAAAAGAATGAAATCATGTCCTCTAGAGCAACATAGATGCAGCTGGAGGCCATTATCCTAAGCAAATTAATGCAGGAACAGAAAACCAAATATCACATGTTCTCACAAGTGGCAGCTAAACATTGGATACACATGGATGTAAAGACAGGAACAACAGATACTGTGGACTACTAGAGGTGAGAAAGTGGGATGAGGACAGGGGCTGAAAAATTACCTATTGAGCACTGTGTTCACTACCTGGGTGATGGGGCCATTTGTACTCCAAACCTCAGTGTCTCACAATATACCCATGTAACAAATATGCACATGTACCCCCTGAGTCTAAAATAAAAGTTGAAATTATTAAACATAATAAATAAATAAATGAAGTATGTTCTGGTTATCGCACTGGTTAGATATAATGTCTCCATGTTGAGTTTTACCACTTTATTCTAGTTATTTGCACCATATGATGCTAGCTAACGGCCTTATCTATTTTCTAATGTATCCATCTGCTTATGTATTTTATCAAAACACATTTTTTTCACACTTTGATCTCCCATTTCAGTGAAGATGGGAAAGCAAACAGCTAAATGCCCATAGATCTTTTCAAAGGAGAGGTTTAGTTACCAGTATTTCCAAAAATCCTATTTCATACAACTGCTAACGAATTGAAAAATTGACTGCAAAAATGTACTCTTTACCTCTCTGCTGAAACTGTCTTTAAAACAGAGACAGAGAACATGGATAATCTGAAAATTAGATAATCCATTATAGGATAATAAAAAAGTGACTGTATAAGCAAATATTAAGGATTTTATACATCATTACCCATCAAAACTTTTATTCTTTGAGCTTTTCAATACATGCACTCTCTTCTGTACATATACTCACAGAAAGATGGACTCCCAGGAGAATCCTGTAAACTGCTTTTCACAGAAACAAATAGAGAAAGCCTCATTGGTCACAGGAAACTGATTCTTTATGAGTGAGGCCTAAAGGCATCAAAAGAACCATTGTTGTAAAGGGTGCTTTAGTGATCACCTCTACATGAAGCAAGTTACAGTCTATGATCCAATTATTAGTGGCTCTGGATTTTAGAACTGGGCTTGCTAAAAACTAATCATTTGATCTTGGTCCTTATATATCATTTCTGCACTTGCATTTTCATCTGTTAATTGATGGGTTTTGCCTAAAGGACCTCTAAAGACCCTTCCAGTCTGTATGTCATCCAATTCTAATATTCAAATATGGAGCATGCTTGGAACATTACAATGGGCTCATGGGTATTGTAGACCAACCTATCTGCCCTCATGTTTTATCATATTTGACCTGAAACATCTGTGTAGCTGGTAGGTGAATTAGCACATTATGTCCCCAGACATGTTCACAGTCTTGGTTGATATTAATTTCCATCTTAGAAAATCAATTGTGATTTTAGGATTTTCAGATAACTGGCCAATAATCATAGCTAATATTCTTTGCTCTGATTACTTGATCTTGCCTGGAATTATCTATCTTTTTATTCTTTCTGGCTCTATTCTTTCTATACTGCCTCAACTTTCAAAATGCAAATTTACTACTCTACTCAAAAACTTTAATCAGCATTTCAATTAGGGGGAATAAAAGACCAAATCCCTGGCTTGCCATTCTAGGCTCTTTACTCTCTAATTCCAAAGTACTTTGAAAGCTTCTGACATTCCTGACCTTAGCAACCCTTATGGACAATCTACGCTGGGCTCCTCACAATTCCCAATATATGCCTCTTAGCTGTGTGTCCATTCTATCAGCTCTTCCCAAAGTGTTCTTCTGCTCATTTCCTACCAACAAAACTCTCCTATTCTTTCAGGTTTGCCTCAAACATTGCCTCTCTGTGAGTCTTTCCTTACCCACCCGTAAGAATTAATTTCCCCTTCTGCAGTTGGACACCACTTAGTCTGGATGTTCATCCCTCTGGTCCATTACTTATCACAGTCTGAGGTGTCTATATTTATTGTGCTGTGATTGTTTCTTCCAGAGGAGTATGAGCTCCTTGGAGACACGATTGATGTCTTATTCATCTTTGAGCTCTCAGCACCAAAAACAAGGCTTACAAAAAAGGAAATGATTTGAATTAGTTCAGCCCCCTAAAGGGTACTTGAGGATGGGGCCAGAGTTTTATTCTCGTTTGTAACGGATGCCATAGAAAAACTGAAGAATGAATCTTTCTTGGGGTACTTACTAACTCTGTTATTTTGAGGGTGTTATTTATTGCCAAAACTAATTTTCATCATTTATAAACTTATTTTATAATAATGGTTATTGCCATTCACTGATCCCTGATTATTCTCTAATTCTGGGCACATGGTCTGATTGCATTTCTTAGTTCCTATGTATGTAAGTAAATGAGGACATGTGACTAATTCTGAAAAATAATTTGTGAAAGGAAGTAACATGCATTGCTTCCTACCTACACACTTAATTGTTGGGGTGAGGCTCCCAAAGCTTTCTTTTCCCTTCTATCACAGTGATTTGCAGCATTTAAGATGGTGGCTGCTTCACAAAACTGGGACAACTGAGTATCTAAAATACAAACCATTTTCTGTAATCCAAGATGTACATACAGCAGAAGCAAGAAATCTCTGTTGTTTCTAAGCCCCGCGATCTAAGCCCCAGACTAACAGAGATCCCTTAACATAGGAACGGTCCCCATTCTCCCATATCCTCCTGAAATTCTGTCATGAGACTTACACTATATTGTAAGAACTTGTAGAATTAGTGTATGTTCTTGGTAGGCTACTGTCCAGCATTTCTCTATGTTTTTCCTGAACCATCTGCGCCTGTATCACCTGGGAAGATTATAAAAAGTTCAGATTCCAATATTAATAAATCACCATCTTACAAAGTCTAGCTAAGGAATCTGTATTTTCAACAAATCTTCTCACTGCTGATATAAATTTCATTAGAAACTATGTGCCTCTGGTTAAGAATGTCAATTTCTAGAGGATAGGGGCTTCATTTATCTTGTTTGGCTCTTAACCCAGCATCTGGCACAAGGCCAGGCATATGGTAGGTAAGTAACCAATAAATATTTATTCTATATAGATGGGAAAAGGACTATAATTCCTGCTCCTCCATCTCAAGGGCATCCTGTGAGGATGAAATAGAATGATGTATGCAAAATCACTTTGTGTGCAGAAGAGGACTATATTATCACACCACACAAAGAAATTAATCATTTAACCAACACTGTTACCTTTGAACCCATAATGGCTTTATGCATTATGGCTTTACACAAAGGTTTTACCTAGAGCTAAAACTCATTGACCACTCTATGCTGGGCATTTTCCTAAGGCTTTCCATAAATTTAAGTTGCTTCTTTTATCTTCTCAAAAACCTTCTGAGAGAGAGAGAGAATGTTATTTCCCTCCATTTTACAAATTAGAAAACCAAGATTCCAAATGATTATCTTGGTCAAGATCAGATGAGGTTTGGATGTTTGTCCTCTCCAAATTTCATGTAAAAATGTAATCCCCAATACTGAGGTGTGACCTTGTGGGAGGTGTTTGGGTCATGGCAGTGGACCCCTCATGAATGAGTTGGTCTCCTCCTCATGGTAATCAGTGAGGTCTTGCTCTAAGTTCATGCAAAGTCCAGTTATTTAAAAGAGCATGGCACTTCCCCACCTCTTGCTACCGTTTCCTTGCTCCTGTTTCCTCACTCTTGCTCCCACTCTGGCCATGTGACACACAGGCTCCCACTTTGCCTTCTGCTTGTTTGGAAGCTTCCTAAGGCCTTAACAGAAGCAGATGCCAGTGCCATGCTTCCTGTACAGCCTGCAGGACAGTGAGCCATAATAAACCTATTTTCTTTGTACATTACGCAGTCTCAGATATTCCTTCATAGCAAGGCAAATGGACTAACACAAGATCCTACCGCTAGCTGGTAAGTGCTAGATCAATGGTTCTTAAACTGTAGCAAGCACCAGAATCACCTAGTTTGTTAAAACACAGATTGCTGGGCACCCATCACCCAAAGTTTCAATTCAGTAGGTTTGGAGGAGAGCCAGATAACTTGCCTTTTAAAGAAGTTCAGAGGTGATGGTAATGTTTTTGATCTGGAACACAGTTTGAGAATCACTATATTTGAGCTAAATTTGAATCCAGGAATTCTAACTTCAGGGTACCTGGTCTTAATTATTATTGTCTTCTGTTTTACTACCATTCTAGTCTTTATGAACACACATAGTTATTTTTAATAATGTTTCTTAATTTATTTTTAATCACAATAAATATGTAGAGATGCTGGAAAGTCAACATCAACTACAATTGGACATTTCTTAATACAGTTTTAGGATTGGCAAATAGATATCTTTTTCTGTGGCATACTTGTAGGTAAACTACCTTTGGAAGATTTTTAAAATTTCATTTTTGGGAGTGTAGGGCAAGAATCATCACTGGGAACAAATTCCTAACCAAGATTTTCAGCTATATGTTGCACCTGCTCTGCCAAGTGGATCTGCCCTTTTCATAAGATGCCTTCAGCTTAGGTGTGTTTCTTTCCCTTTACTTTCTCCATGTGTCCCTAGCATGGGAAGTTTCTATGTTCTATGAGATTAAGGAGACATTAATAATATAGAGATATTTTTATAAAATTTGAAAATTCTCCCCAAGTCCTAACCTCTGAATATAGTTAACTTAGGGCTTATTTCATGTCTTCCCTTTTTCTAAATGAAATAACTAAGGCACTATTTAATGAATAATTTATATGTTGATGAAAAGAATGCATAGTTGGAGATAAAAATTTGAGATGACCCTTCTAAATTTAATGCTTACCAGTGAGACTTTTTTTCTTGCAAATGTCACTGGATTTTTGCCAAATTCAACTTCCAAATAGAGGCTCTTGTCTTTCTTGCAATGAGTGTCAACGAGATGTCAATTCATGTGCAATTATATATATCTCCTACCACATCCATGTTGGATCTGGCTTTTGTTGTTTTTGTAAGCTAAACTGAAAGTATGCATACTCCAAACTCTGTATTCCTGCTACTCTAATGAAATCAATGTTCTAAAATTTACATTTACATCATTAAAAAAAAAAACGCTAAAGGCAGTTATTTCATTTAACACTTTCTTATGGCATTCTATCACTCAGTATTGAACAGCAACCTTCTGACATAAAAGCTATTCCTCTCTTATGTCCTGAAACAGTATTCCGTAATGGACAACAACCTTCAAATATAAAAGCCATTCTGCTTTTATGTCCTGAGCCTGATGCCTAGAAAGCCTTTGCATTGCCAACAGAAGACCATGGAACTTGCACATTTAAAAGCAATTGAAAACATGTTTCATGATGGGTAAAGGCATTCAAACCCCTTCATAAGGTGGTTTTATGGAAAGTATTATGGAAACTTGAAATAATAGGGTTTGAAAAAATTAATTCTTTTCCTTTATGCAGTTTTCAAAATGATAAGGCTCCATTCATTTGTATGTCCTGTATCTCAGCTTTTACGAAAAAAAAGTTTTTAGAGTTACAAATGACTTCTGCAGTAGTTTTAACCATATCTTTTCCCAAGTTAAGGGAAAAATACAGTTTTAAAAGGGTATAATATAAAAGAAATTATACTGTTGATTTATAGTTATATGTTGGAATCTAAAAGTGAGATTAACATTATAAAGAAAAACAACTAGAAAAATTTTCACCATTGACAGAACTAAATTTATTCTCAACATCTTATAAATACAAAAAACTTTAAAAAGGCTATCTCTTACTTTCTTACTCCTTGTTTTCAAGTTTATGATTCAGCTCAAAACAAGTTAAATAAAATGAAATAAAATAATTCAACAATGGCAAAAAAAAAAATAGCAGTGAGCACTAAATGGTAATGAACCTGGAACTCTATTAAGGGTACCAATTCCACTGGTTAGGAGAGATCAAAATTGCTGATGAAATTTAAAAATATAGTAATAGAAATATAAATGACAAACATCACAGAAGATTCTTCCAATCAATATCATAGCATATGTTAAATGCATGTGTGAGAATGTCATTATCGAGGTAAGACAAGGATAATTGAATCTGTAAAAATAATGCTACTGAGTACTGCCAGGGACGTTACTGCAAGAGGAGTCATCATGCTAGAAAGCCCCCTGCTAGAGTCACTGCATAGTTAGGATTGCATTCAGCTGCAGAGAACAGAATCCCCTATTCAGAAGCTTAAACATATCAGGGTTGATATGCCTCATACAACATGAAATCTGCACACAAACAGCCCACAGGTGAGTCAGTGGCTCAATGGCGCAATCAGAGGAAGAGGCCTCTAACTTACTACTTCATCATCCCCAGCTTGTGACTTTTAGATGCCAAATGGCTGCTGCACTTAAAGGCATTGAATCTTTGTTCCCAGAAGGAAGAAGGAAAAAAGGTGAAAGAAAAAGTTGTGCCATCTAACAAGGGGTTTCCTTTCTATTTGATAAGGGTGTCTACCCCAGGGCTTCCACAGACACTTATGGGCCAAGACTGTGGCTCGGGGCCAGTCCTGGATGCAGTGGATTCTGGAAAGGTGATGATGTTCATCTTTCAGCCTGCTCAGCAGAGGAAAGCAAAGGAAAGGGAAGGCATGAATGGCTTTTGATTAAACAATCCATAATGCGCACCTCAATGCTAGGACACCACTATAAAAATTTTTACGAGAGATATTCCTGCTTTCTGAAAACTCCTGGTAATGACACTGCTGTGTGGGAACCTCTTACTAAAGGCATGTTTGTTGAGGACAGTGTTAAATAACAGATCTTCTGGAGGTAACTCCACTTGAAACAGAACTTATAAGGAGACTCTTGCTTGGATACCTCTGCTACTGTCATACCAGGAATTGTTGGGAACAGTTGAATTAAACACACATACACATACCTAGTGCTCACAAGGACAAATGTTAATTCTCAAGGACACTGCAGCCTGAACTCCTTCAGTGAATGAGGTGATTCTCCACACAATGGAGTTTTCAGTACTTCACATAATTATGGAGAGCAATATTATTTCTTTTCTTTCTTCCCTTTCTTTTCAAATTGTTACACTAAAGGCCTGCCAGGCATGAGAAAAGGGCCCACTGCTAAGCCATCTACCCATTAATGACCTCTTCTTCAACTACACAAAGACCCAGTCAAAGCTTTGAGATTACTGTTAATAAGTATTTGATTAAATCCTTAGCCAAGGGCCCTCCAACTCCTCACTTCTTGTCTGGGGGAGGTACACTTTTATTTCCCAAATTACATCATATTGCCCAAGTAATATATATAATTGGCTACCTGCTGAGTTAGGTTCAATTGCATCTTAACTAAGAGGACTCTTTGATAGCATTCAAAGTCTTGTAGTGATATTTGTCAACTTTGGGGCCGCCCAACATTTTCCTGTTTGAAAATTAAACGTCATGACATATTCATCTTATTAGAATTCAGAACTCTGCCCTTGGCAAAAGCGAGATAGAGTTCCGCGGTAATATTCAAAGTGCTAAACAATTCATATTGCACAGGCACCGACCAAATAGAAAAAACGCTGGCCTATATTCTGTACCAGTATTTACCATTTACCAACAAGCGTTCAGTATTAGGGTTGGGACCCCTACTTCTCCCACCTAAGGCAACTGGAAAGTGGGTTCATAACTTTGGTCTGCTAACTGGATCCTCCTGCCTAAGACTTTTCTGTCCGGAGTGAATGATAAAACAGCAGAGGGTGGTTTGAGTTCATCCAGGCAATAGCATTAGTGTCTGACAGGGACAGTAGCCATTTGTGGTCAGTGATCCTACAGCCAACCTACTGTGCCCAACATTTATTTGTGCCCAACATTTATTTGTCCTCACTAAACTATTCCCGCTGAAAAGATAATTTCAGGGCTTTCTGTCTCTTGGTTCTCCACAGCTGCCTTAGTTCCTGCCGTTTTCCAATCTCACTTCTCTCTGCCCATCCATTCTGTGAACTCCTGGCACTTTTTCAGCATGTCCCTTTTCTTGTAAGAGAAGCAGATCTTGTCAGTTTTTGGTCTTTCTACCAAGAATCCTGCCTGATAATTAACTGGAGACAGGCTTACATTGCCTGCTTTATGCTTCCTTTCTCTTGGGCCAACCTGGGTTTGCAAGGCTTTAGAAAGCAGGAGGAAGACCCACTCCTGTTGTCTTTAGGAAGAGATGGAAGGCTGGCTTTCTGTGCCAGTCATATGGATTTATAAGAAAGAATGTTCTTCTCCACTTCTCTCACCTCCTCTCCCTTAGTAACTATGAACAAGAAAGACCTGTGATTTTCACACTGAAAGTCCCACATCCTTTTGGGGAGACTTTATTTGATGTCTCTGTAGACATTAGAGTATATCATTAACAGCATATACTTTGCTTTTGAGGGTTGATTGGTTAGAAAATGTTTACCCAAAGTTTGTCTATTGTATCTTATTTATTAATCACAGGCGGTGTTCTGTTGGCACCCAAGGAGTTGTTCTTTGTGAAATTTATTTTATTTCTGTATTCCCCTCTTGTGATAGAATGGATGAATATATTTCTAAAGATTAAATTAATTTGAAATAAGAAAAATAGGGTTAAAATATATACACAAGCATAAAATTGGCCCACAAATTATATGCCAAGAAATCCTACACATTTATTAGAAGTGGGAGGTGAGTTCTGCAAGTCACTCTTACAGAATAAAGCACAGTGCAATATGCATATTAAATTATCAAAATCAATGTAAAGATTTAGGTAACAGATGTTTCCTTAAATAGACTGGGCAATTTATTTTCTTTCCCCCTACAACTAGATACCCAATAACTACCAGTCCTCAACACTGTATGAGCATTTTCCAGCACTATAAACTTTAGCTGTCTAAACTGCTTTGTGATTTAGTGATAGTAAAAATCATGAATTAAACTTTGTTTCTTCAATGTCTTTTCATATAACTCAGACATTCAATTCTCTTCTGTTTGATTTCTTTGAGGTTTTGGAGAGCCTAATAGATTATCATACCCTCAGAATCCTGCAACTTGAAGTTTATAAAATGTAGGCATTTTTGTTGTATTGTACTTAAGGATCTCCTGGTTAAAAGCTATGTTGAATTATATTAAAAAAAATCATTCTACTACTAAGAAGCAGTTGTTTATTGCAAAGGGTGTAATTTAGTCCAAATTCTACTTGCCTAATGATAGAAATTGTTGCAATACTCCTTCTTAGCAGTGTGCAGCTCTACGGTAGAGCTCCACAACACAAATACTGATGGTTATTGTGTATATCAGGGCAAGCAGTGCGAGCTTTGATATCAAGCAGCCACCACAAACGAGTTCCTGTGTGACATACACAGGGCAAATCACTTTACTCTCTGAGCCTAGGTTTCTCTGTCCATGGTTTCTTTACAGAGTTGTGTGGACTGAATTAAATAACATTATTAAATTACCTTGTACAGTTGGCAGGCACAGGGAAGGAGCTCTTTGCTGTTTTTCTCTTTTCTAATTAGGTAATGAAACAAACTCTTCAATACTTTACTTATACTTAACACTGTAGTTCTATTGTGGAGAGGCGTTAATTTAAAAAATAATAATAATAAGACCAAAACAAACAAAACTCAAAACCTGTCTTGTGAGTGGTATCATAAAACCTGTGCTGAAAATCTTCAGCTTTGATAGTGTAATTAATCTCCTCCATTAGAAATGTAAACTGGTTCCAACAATGAAATAAAAACTTCTATGAGTAATGAGGAAAAGATACATTGTAGCATGAAAACCATATCATTCTCTTCTTTGTGGACTTTAAATATGTTGCTTAACATAAGGTAGAGTTCTTGGCTCCTCCACATTAGAATCACATAGGAACCTTTTAAAGAACACTGATACCTGCACCCTATCCCTAGGGATCTGATATAAATGGTCTAGGACCTGCTTCAGGTGGTCTATCATGAAGCCATGGCTGATGCCCCACTACATATGTTTATAGTTGCTGACTCTCTTTCATGTCTCCCTCTCCCTATTTAATTGAAGGAAAACAGTCCCTCTCAGAAGTCTTTCTGCACACACATCTCTCCCAATAGACTGGGTGAGGTGCCTGTGCTATTTGCTTTCCTAGGACGCTGCACTTCTTGCTTTATAGCATGTGTGACATATATTATAGTTGTATCCCCCAACCACAAGCATTACTTCCCCATGGATTCAAATATTTTAGTGTAAGGAGCTTTCAAAGACGAGATGCCAAGGAGAGTGAAGATGAGGGTGAAGACGGGGATGGGATGGGGTGGAGGAAGAGGAACAGCTGTGGCAGCGGCAAAGGGAGAAGGGTGTGGAGGCAACTAATACTAATGTGTCTGGCATAGGAAAACAGAGGTGTGGGCATGAATTAGTTATTAATTAGTTTATGGTGCTGGGAACTATGTTTTATAGTCTGCAGAATGAACCCCACAGAGTGTCTCAAGACTTTCTGCGTTGGTGGTATCTATGTTTGTGGTGGGTCAGGACAGAATGAAGTTGGTAAATTTTTCATTACCAACCTAGGTGCCTCTCAATGCGTTGATTTAGAACCTTAATTAAATCTGCTCCACTTTGCGAAGGAGTCACCAGGGACAGCATCACTCTGGCTTACTGGGGACTTTGGTAGTCTATTTGCAAGTCAACTATTGACTCTACTTCATCAAGGGACTGAATTTTCAATGTCTCCATTTACTTATTTATAAAATAGTAATATCTGTAGTTAAGTTGTGCAAATCCAATTCACTGTTGGCAGAATACCCATAAAACTTCTGACAGATTCATTTAAAAAATGAATAACATTTTACTGATTTGATTGCAATTTAGCAGATACACACTTAACACTTCAATTATATTAATCAAAATGAAGGTTTTCATATGACAGTTTCAAGCCAACAGTCTCGGTATTTGAACCTATTTCACCCTCTTCATTAGAATGTACAGTTTAAGAACTGCAGTTGTAAAATAAAACTAGAGAACTCTGTTTTAGAAGCTTTTGTGCTTTTATTCAGTCTTTCTCTGCAAATGAAAGGGTATTTCTAATTTGTCCATAGAGAAGAATGATCCCCTTGCTCACTTCTGTCACTCTTGCCCTGTAGTGCCCTGCTAGGTGTTATTTCTGTGCACATTTATCTTGTTAACTAACTTAGAAGTTTTCCTAGGCCAGGATCCATGGAAAATCTTTGTGAATCAAACTTGGAAGTTGTGTTGGACTCCTCATGGCTCCTCCATTCCTATATCCAATCAGTCATAACATCCTACCTTTCTTTTTTAAATTTGGCCAATCCCTCGGCCTCATTCCCTTCTTACAACAACCATTCCAGTTAACCTCATTTGGCCCCAATAAAATTGCAACAGCCTCCTGATGGATTTCCCTGCTTCTGGTCTTGTCCTTTGACATTCATCTTTAGCAGACACCCCAGAAACTGATCTATGATGCAAATTATAAAATATACTATGGATCTCATTCGTTGCAAGATCCTTATTTGTTTTTCCTAATGAGTTTCTGCATTAGCTATTGTTTAAACAAAGGATTTGAAATTGAGACACCTTATAATCCCAGTTTCTTGGGCTGGCACAGCAAATTGTCAAATGGACCATTCAATCTCTTAGTTGGCCAAGGGAGCCTCCCAATTATGCTAGACTGCCTGTCATTCCACACACAGCTCCAAGACAGACACTTTACTCTTTCTCATTCCCATTGCCTGGAAGACCCTTACTCTCTTCTCTTTGCCTATTTCTTAATACCCTTCATCACTGAGCTTAGATACAATGTCTTCTAGAAAGCTTTGTATATTTACCACTCTCAGTATCTCAGACCAAGTCAGGCCAGGTCAAGCCAGGCAGCTCTCACCACACAGGTTTATGCCACTGGCTGCACTTGCCACAGTGTATTGAAGGCAATTGATGACACATCTATCTCTGCCATTATACATTTCTTAAGAACCTGAAACCCAGTTTTATTTCCTTCTATATCCCCAGTGCCTAATACATGGAGTTACTAAATAAACGTTGAATCAGGCTTGTTATTCACAGAGTCCAGCGCAGTATGTGGAGTTATTGTTCAATAACTGTTAACAAACATTTTTAGGTTTGTGGATTTTTGCATAATGTAAGACAGAGCTGTCTTGAAGGGTAGCAACAACTCCTCATCAGTAATATTAAATCCTAATCTGGCATCACTTGTTAGGAACAATGTGGGGGTTGATTGGAGAAGTTCAGGTTAATTTATCTCTGGTCTTTCCTACTCTAAGATAGTATGGGTCTTGGAATATTCCAAATTGAAGGATATTATAATCAGCTACCTTTCACATTAAGAAAGCATGTAAAAAAGAAAGCACCTGCAAAAGTGAACCATCTCTCTTCTCCTTGGACTATCTTTTCATTGCAACTCTCTGCTGCTTTTCAACCCACTGACATTTCTATTTCGGCCTTTGGTGGGCTTCTCCCAGCCCCTGAAATAGTGATATTCTCCTCTGCTCAATTTACCGGTTCTTTCAAGAGATTCCCAATCATTCTTCTGGCTTCAAACAACACCTACATATCAGCAATTCCTTAATCTATATCCTAACCCTAAATATCTAACAAAGCATAAGATGGGTACTTAAGTGTTCAAAGTCTTGCATGTCCTACAAGCACCACAAACTCAATATATCCTAAAATGAACTTTCCATCTCTCCCTCAAACCCTTCCCTCCTCATTTTGGTCCCTATTTTTGTGAATGGGAGCAGCATTCAATTAGTCACCACAGGCAGTTGTAACTTATTTCCTTTCTCTCATATCCTATGCCAAACTCATTTCAAAGCCTGTTGATTCTATCTCCTTAATACTTTAATTTCCTTACAGCGTTATTATGCCAGGGGCTGTGAACTGGTAATCTCTGATAAGATTCAACTCACAGACATGTGTAGTTTAAAATTTGGGTGTAAATACATTCAGGTGGGCATTCACTCCCCAGCTTGCCCCTGGCCTAGTCTCTCCTTTATTGAGTAATACCAGATCAGTCCCCACGGTTAGGGTTAGGTCACCTACCTGGTCCCTTTAGGTTTCCTCTGGCTCACATCCACATTATCTCTCCTATATGAGCAGTCTCTGGACACCAACACAGTGTTTGGATCACTCTACTTTCCTACTTAAAACCTGTCAAAGGCTTTCAATTGCCTAAAACAGTGGACTCAATCCATTCTGCACACATCTGCATCACCTAGGGAACTTAAAAAAAAAAATCTCATCCCGGACCAATTAAACCAGAGTTTCTGAGAGCAGGGCCCAAGTATCTGTATTCAGTTTTCCAGAGTAATTATAATTTGTAGCCAAGACTAAAGCACTGGTTCACAGAATAGATCCAAAACCCTTAACTGACCTGGTGGTTGGCCAGACTCCTGTCCACAGATGTGTCCCAGTATCATTGTGGGACATCTGCTTCCATCTGCTCTCCATTGACATCCCTGTGCTTCTCTAAAAACATGGAGTTGCTTCAGGCTTCTCTTGCAGCCACAGTCTATGCTTCCTTCTCTCTTTCTGTAAGCTACCTTTACTTCTTGTCTCCCTGGCAAATATCCATACTTTCGTAAGACCCAGCTCAGGCATCGCTACCTATGAAGCATTTCCTAAAATATCTATTCCCATTCTGGAAAAGCGACCTCTGCTTCCTTTGTCTTCCACAATGACACTGACTATACAGCTGTGACAATACTGCATTGCAGGACTTCTCAGACTTTACTGTGCACACAAGTGCACCTTTGCTAAATGCAGATTGTGATTCAGTTGGTCTGAGGTGGGGCCTGCCATTCTGCATTTTTTAACAAGCTCCCAGGTGAATCAACATTGAGTAGCAAGGCTTTAGAGGACTTACTCGTTTTATACCTACTTCTCTTTCCTTTACTGTATTTTTCCTTAGGGCAATGACCACATTCTAGTCATCTTTTTATGTGAGTTCAATGACTGACAGATAGTAGTCGCCAACTAAGTAATTATTGCCTGAATAAAAAGATACATGATTAAAAATATAAATGATTAAGTAAGCTTTGGATGGAGAAAATAAGGAAAGAAGGAAGGAAGACAGAAAGGCAGGAAGGTAGGTAAAGAGAAAGGCAAGCCATTATTATGAATGTCTCTCAATTCAGGCAAACAAGTACATCTTCTCAAAGGGCACATTTTTGCAGAGCCCCTTTCAGTAGTATTTTGACAATCATGCCATAATGATAATCTCCGAGAAAGAAGCTTCTTTCTGCTCTCCAAAGGAAATAGTGACAACATTTCTGAGAAAGAAATAACCTGGATTATGGAAATCAAGGTCTGTATAGCACAAGGTATTTTATGACTCTGGAGGAAAAGTATATGTTTCAGGAAAATGTGAATGGTAATAAGGTATATGATGATAACTCATAGCCAGACAGCTACATGGCCAGTATTTTTAATGAAATGCCTGCATTTTTCCTGGAAGAGTTACTCATTCACTTTGTGTTTATGTGGTCAGATGGGTGGCAGTGAGACAGAGGTGCAGTGAGACAGAGTCCCTGAGGGCACCAGCTTTCCTGCTTCTGTGTAATTTTTGACTGAGCAAATTACTAGCTATGTGACTTTAGGCAACTTACTTTATAATACACGTTTTTTTGTGTGTGCAACAGAGTACTATAACATCAGTATTAAAGACTTTAATAAAGATTAAAAGAGATACTGCATGCAAAAGACAGCAGAGTGTTGGGCATATTTTTTTAAAAAAAAATCTCTCTGTAATGTTAGCAATAGTAACTGTTAGGATACAGAAGTAAAATCACACTGATTCCTCATTCTATGTGGACACCTTGGGAGCACACTTTTTTTTTTTTGATACTGAGTCTCACTCTGTCCCCCAGGCTAAAGTGCAGTGGTGTGAGCTCTGCTCACTACAACCTCCAGCTCCCAGGTTCAAACATTCTCCTGCCTTGGCCTCCTGAGTAGCTGGAATTACAAGCGCCTGCCACCATACCTGGCTAATTTTTGTATTTTTAGTAGAGATGAGGTTTCGCCATGTTAGCCAGGCTGGTCTCAAACTCCTGATCTCAAGTGATCCACCCGCCTCGGCCTCCCAAAGAGTTGGGATTACAGGCATGAGTCACCATGCCTGGTCATGGAAGCACACTTCAGTCAAAGAAGTACAAGCTTTGGGGCCAGGCAAATCCAAATTCCAATACCACGTTTTGCTATTTATTCCCTGTACCATTGTAAGCAAATTACTTAGATTCTCTGAATCTCAATTTCCTCATTCATAAATTGGGCAAAATAGAATCTCTCTTGCTGAGCTGTTGCAGAAAAAAAAAAAATAGCCAGCATTATAAAGGTTTGATTTATTTGTTGAATTTGAAGTTGTGTTTGGAAAAGTTTAAATGTATCTTTCTTGCTACTTACAGCCTGAAAAATAAATGTATTTTATAATACAATGATATAATATACTATAATATACCATACAGAAAGTATATGTTCAATGCATTGTGATGATTTCAACTGAGGACCGGCTACTCTGCTAGTAGATAGACTAGTAACATATCCACGATATGTTAAAGACTAGTAGATAGACTGCTACTAGATATACTTGTAACATATCCATGATCTACAGTCCAATGAAGATCTCTGGCAATCTGAAGCATGAATCAGCAAACTACAGCCTATAAGCCAGATCTGGTCCACCCTTTGTTTTTGAAAATAAACTTTTATTGGAACACAGCCACACTCCATTTGTTTATGTATTACCCATGGGTACTTTCTTGCTAAAAGGAAGAGCTGAGTAGTCACGACAGAAACCATCTGCTGTGCAAATCCAAAAATATTTATTGTTTTACAGAAAAGTTTGCTGGCCTTTGATCTAAATTAATAAAACATATAGAAATATTTTTATAGGACAGAGAAATTATGGGCTACAAACCGGTTAATATTAAAATTCCTAAAATGGCTAATTTTATCTTTTTCATAAACAGATGTTCATCATCACAATAATCAGGAAAAAAAATTAAGCTTAAAATAAGAGACAATGTTCACCCATTCAATCTGCAAAACTAAAAAGTCTGACAATATCAAATGTTGGGAGGGTTTAGAACAACTAGATCTTTTATGTATTATGGGTGGATATACAAATGATACAACCACTTTGGAAAATATATTTCTCCTAAAGTTGAACACTCATTGCTTATGACCTGGCAATTCCACACCTAGATATATATTCCAGAGAAACACTTGCATATGTAGAACAGGATAATAAGATTGTGACATAGATGTTCACAATAGGGGAAAAACTCCTAACCTATGATCTAACAGGGGAAGAGTAGATGAACAAACCTCAGATATAGAATTACATAGTACTCAAAATAAATGCAATGCGGTGACATGTAAAAGATAACCTATCTTAGTAGTATTATATTAAGTAGAAAAACTAAGTTCCAAAAGATTACACATACCCTGATATACCTTTTCATAAAGTGAAAAATAATGATACAAAAATGTTTATTGTTTTAGGAATAAGGATGGAATAAAATCATTTAAAGAGAAAGGAAGGGGCTGATGATCAAGACATTCAAGATCATGTTTACTTTAGTCTCAGGAAGTCAAGGGGAGGGGACAGGAGATCACATGGTTATTTTGTTGTTGTTATTCTCCAGACCTATGCTTTTGTTTTAGATAGTGGAGTTATAGGTGCTTATTTTATTATTAAAAGTAAACAAACAACCAATTAAACAAGTAAAAGCTAGCCATGGCCATGTTGGACAACAAGAATATGTTGTGAATCAAAAAATTGTGGATATCTATTTTGTGCATTTAAATTTTAAAAAAACTAAAAATGAAAAATTGCTAGAGTATCGCATGGTTACAGTACTTTGAACTTCACAAATAGCAGCTTGCCACCTTCCCAGCTAAAGATTTATTAAAAATATAAAATATTTTACACTTGTATTTGTAATTGCCTCCCCCATACCTCCCAATGTCTTTTCCAATCTCATGCCAAAAAACAAACAAACAAAAAAAAAAACAAACTAAAACCAAGCAATACATACTAAAGTTGAGGGAATTCATGCAAAACCATGTTAATTCTTATGACTATGTTTGAAAGCATCTTTATGAACCTAAGTTAATAATGACCTAAGGTAAAATTGCCTGTATTCCCGACTTCTTTCAGATGCATGTCCCATAGGAAGCAATCAGAATAAGGTCATTTTAACATCTGTCATCTCAGTCAAGTGCAAGGCTAGGGTACATCAGTGGTTTGGTAAACATCACTGAGCAATGTGTCTCCTTCTGCCAATAATGACTTACAATGGCATTCTATCAATTAAAAATACAGACAATTTAGCTATTAGAGATATCAATAAATGCTTCTCATACTGATTACCTTAATTAAAGAATGTGGTTCAACTTTTCTTTTTTTTTTTTTTTTGAGTTGATATCTCGTTCTGTCACCCAGGCTGGAGTGTGGTGGTGTGATCATGGCTCACTCAGCCTCGACCTCCTGGGCTCAAGTGATCCTCCTGCCTCAGCTTCCCAAGTAGCTGGGACTGTGGCTGCTGCATGCCGCCATACCCAGATAATTTTTATTTTTATTTTTTATTTTTTGTAGAGACAGGGCCTTGCTATGTTGCCCGTGCTGGTCTTGAACTCCTGGCTTCAAGCAGTCCTCTTGCCTCAGTCTCCCAAAGTGCTTGGGTTACTGATGTGAACCACTGCCCCTTGTCAGTGCAAGTTTTTTTTTTTGTTTTTTTTTTTGAGACGGAGTTTTTCACTCTTGTTGCCCAGGCTGGAGTGCAATGGTGCGATCTTGGCTCACTGCAATATCCACCACCCAGGTTCAAGCGATTCTCCTGCCTCAGCCTCCCCAGTAGTGGGGATTACAGGCATGTGCCACCACATCTGGCTAATTTTGCATTCTTAGTAGAGACAGGGTTTCTCCATGTTGGTCAGGCTGGCCTTGAACTTCCGACCTCAGGTGATCCACCTGCCTTGGCCTCCCAAAGTGCTGGGATTACAGGCATGAGCCACCATGCCCGGCCATCAGTGCAACTTTTAAAAGTAATAAAATACTCCAAATGTCTTCAACTTGAGTTCAACAGAAAATTTAGCTGTACATGCTTGATTGGAAATTTTTAAGTTTCTGACAGCATTTTTTGCTTTCCTTTATATCACACAACACTATAGTATTTCACTTGTAAAAATGTTATTGTCTTTTAAAATAAATAGCAAATGTAATCATTAAGGCAGCAGGTCTAAAAACTAAATAGTGAATAGTGGCTATAAACTTGGATTCTACAGCTTGCCTGACTGAGTTCAAATCCTGGACCCACTGCCTACCAGCTTTTGATTTAACGCCTGTAATTTAACTCTCACCGCCTAGGTTCCTCATCCGTAAAACTGGATAATAATCAGGATACCTACTTAATCAAATGGTTGTGAGGATTAATGAATATATGAATATCTGTATGTACATATGCCTGTATTCATACATCTTTATATATTCCTGTACATATAGCTGTCTTAGAATAGTGTTTAGTGCTCTGTAAATATATAAGTGATTACTATTAAGTATATGGTTTCTGTTAGCTTCTGGGGCATAACTATAAAAAGAAATATAAAAATTGGAAAATGCCATTTATCAATACATACCAATAATGCAATGATAACATGGAGGTAGCGGAAAGAAACTAACAGGGCTGTTAACAGTACCTAATTTATAAGGCTATTATGAACATGAAATGAGGTAATACATGTTCACAGCAGAGAACCTGGCATATAAATAATACAGAGTACATGATGGCTAATAGTCTTATTTTGATCATCATTATTATTATTTCTCCAACTTCATCTCTTAACAGGTACCTGCAAAACCACTCACACATACATGTGCCCATGCATACTCCTTTGTGCACACACACGTAGACATGCACATAACCTCTTCTATCCAGATGGAAAACTCATACTATAGATGCAAAATAATTAAACAATAAAACTTTGGGTTCTTGGTGGACCAAGAACATGGGATGGTGAACAACAGAGGACCTGATAAAATATTAATGGCTGTTATGCACTAGAACTTTTTTTTAAGTTCTATTAAGCCTAAAAGTTGCTCTTTTCCTTATCAAAATATATGGCTAAAGCAATTTTAAAACTATGTATTTTTGAATAATGTTAGAATTTTAGAAATGTAGCAAAGATAATACAAAGAGTTCAGTATGCCCTTCGCCCAGGTTGCCTGACGTTAACATCTATATATCCATGATATATTTGTCAAAACTAAGAAATTAACATTGGTAAAATACTGCTAACTGAACCACAAACTTTATTTGGAATTCACCAGTTTTTCTATTAATGTCTTTTTTCTGTTCCTGGATCCAATGCAGGACACTGCATTGCATTTAGTATGGTTGATTTTGAATCAACCTTTTTCTCCTGTTTTTCCCTTCTTCCTTCAGCTTACCTCTGACTTTTCAGAACAGAAAGCACCCAGTGCAGAGAGAGCAATACATTCAGGTTGAAGAGGTCCTTCCAATGAAACAGACAGCTAAAACAAGTTTTGTGAAGTACCTCTATATTGCAGCTTTAGTACAAAATTTTACAACAGTCTGTTAGAAGTCTAGTTTGAGCAAAAGAAATACTGTTGAAATATGAGAAGTGAGAGGAAGTAATTTACTGAGTAATGCTAGGTATTATTTATAAAGTTTATTTAAATGTTTATGTGAAAATTTAGGGGTAACCAATATTAAAAATGAGGTAAGATCCACATCTTTTCAATGACAAAAGGACAAAAACAAGAGGAAGGGGAAAATTGGGGATCAAAGCTATAAGAAACAATATGACACACACACAAAAACAGTAAATGGAAAGAATCAAAGAACAGTAAATAGAAAACATAAAATGATATGGTCAGAGTAACCTAAATATATCAGCAAATCATATAAATATGACTTGAAAGTGGTTATTTCTGAAGAATGGGAAATATGTCAGTAGGGATAGTGGTGAGAAGGAGCAGTAAGAACTGCTGTTTTCCCTAACATACCTCATAAAATTTGTCGCTACTTAAACTGTATAGAAACATAACCTTGGTAAAAGTTAAAACACACAAACAAAAAGACTTAATAACAAGGACATGTGTGAAACTCAAATGGTTACATAGGCAAAGTCTGTTTCTAGGCATTGAATAGTCAATACACTGGATGTTTCTCTGTTATATAAACTGTTCCATGATGTGGAAACTGAAGGAAAACATGTTAACCTCTTTTATGCAGCAAGTGTCACAGGCACACACACACACCAGGCCAATCTTATCTCTTATGAACTAAGATGCAAATATCTAAATAAATTATTAGCAAACTGAATCCAGCGGAGTATTTTAAAATCACATTATGACCAAATAAAGTATGTGAATGGAATGTAAGGATGAGTTAACATCAGTAGATCTTTTGATGTAATTTGTCTGTTAACAGATTAAATAGATTAACTTGGGAAAGCCATATTATCACCTGAATACCTGCTTTAAAAATCCATTGGATAAAATTTGACTCTCATTTTTTTAATCTAAGAAGATCTACTAAGGGGGCAAACAAACACATTTTCTGAAACTAACAACTATGTGCCAGAAACCTACAATAAAATATTTGATAATAAGTCATTAAAAGCTTTCCTACTAACATCAAGATGAGCACAAAAATATCTACTATTACCCTCAGTTTTCACCATTGCACTCAAGGTCCTAGCCAATGTAAGAGAAAAAAATAGAAATATCAACTTCTTTGGAAAGGAAGATAATAAACTTTCAGTATTTGTGGGTGTTAATTTTGGACCTGGAAAACTAAAAATATTTTTTTAGAAGTATGTTAGAAATAGAGAAGAGGCCAGTAAGTTGTTGGATATAAGATGCATATATGAAAACAATAATTTTTTTATATATCAAAAGCAATCAGTTAAAATTATAATGAAAAAAGAGCCTATTCATAGCTGCTACAAAAATAATATTCCACGAAATATCCAGAAATAAACTTAACAAAAAATGTGTAACATATGTAAGGAATATCACAATACTTTACCAAATCACCTAAAAGAAAATTAAGCAAATTCAAATTCTTATTCTTTTAATTATTCATTCCCATAAAATTCTATATATTTAATGTAATTCTAATCCATGTTCTTACCATTTTGGTAATGGATATTGATAAATTTTTAAGTTTATATGAGAAAATATACACAACTAGTCTGTAATGTTTTGAAAATCAAAGAGAAGGAATGGTCCTTCCAAATATCAAAACATACTTGAAAATAAGAGTAATTAAAACAGTGTGATCTTGGTACATGAATAAATACATATATCATAAATGGAATAAACAGCCTGAAAGCAGACTGTGTATGTGGGAATAATTTTATGATAAATGTGGCATTTGAAACCAATGGGGACATGATGAAGTATTCAATAAGTGATTTGTGACAAATGGATAATACAGTTAGATATTTAGTTAATACACAAATATCTGATGAATGGAACAACGAAGCATGAGGAAATACAAGAATATCTAGAATAATAACAATTTTAAATCAAGAGATGATAAAAGACTTCCTAAGACAGAAAATCAGAAAATATGATAGATTTGACTGGATAAAAATTGTAAACTCCTTTACAACAAAAAATCATAAACTTAAAAAGCAAAAGAGATATTGAAAGGAACAATTTCAACATATTTAAAAGATAATGGACTAATTTACAGAATATACACAGAATTCCAAATATATCATTTAGAGAAGGAGAAACAATAGAAAAAAAGGTCAAAGAATTCAAAGTGCTCTTTGAAGAAGAAATACAAATGAATGGCAAACTTACAAACAATTCCTAACTAAGTAATCGCTAAAGTGAAAATTGAAACAATAATTACTTAATGACCTGCACTGTATTGGTTGATAGTATCCTGGCTGATGATAATGTGAAATAACAGATAGCTCCACAACATCATTGATACAATGAACAGCAATTTGGTAAACAAGTCAGCAGCTCTACCAACAGAGATTGTGACTCAGAAGCTCTCATGGTGAGAAGATACTTTTGTAATTTATCCCTTATATGACTTTTCAAATGTTTTCTGAAAAGCCTTTTACTCCAAAACTAGCAAAAAGGAAATTTGACCTCATAACTTCTATTCAAGCTAAGAAAATTATTTCTATACGATGTTGAAGGAAGGGAGTGAGAAACTTGTGTGTCTCTCTGACTACCTCTTTGGTGCAGAAACTATAGATTCAGGTTGACATCCACTGATAATTTTCTTTTCGTTTATTAGCTACAAATAATAATTTTTACCAATTTGGATGTCCTTTACTTCTTTCTCTTGCATGATTGCTCTGGCTAGGACTTCCAGTACTATGTTGAAGAGAAGTGGTGATCCTTGTCTTGTTCCAGTTCTCAGAGGGAATGCTTTCAACTTTAATGTGCACAAATCAGTAGCTCTTCTATACACCAACAGTGAGCAAGTGGAGAATTAAATTGAGAACTCAACCCCTTTTACAATATCTACAAAAACAAATACAAATAAAATGCTTAGAAATATACATAACCCAGGAGGTGAAAGACCTCGGCAAGGAAAACTACAAAACACTGCTGAAAGAAATCAGATGACACAAACAATTAGAAACACATCCCATGCTCATGGATGGGGTAGAATCACTATTGTGAAAATAACCATACTGCCAAAAGCAATCTATAAATTCAATGCAATTCCCACCAAAATACCACCATCATTCTTCGCAGAACTAGAAAAAACAATCCTAATATTCATATGGAACCAAAAAAAAGCCTGCATAGCCAAAGCAAGGCTAAGCAAAAAGAACAAATCTGGAGGCATCGCATTATCTGATTTCAAACTATACTATAAGCCCATAGTCACCAAAACAGCATGGTACTAATATAAAATTAGGCACATAGACAAGTGGAACAGAATAGGGAACACAGAAACAAACCCAAATACTCACAGCCAACTGATCTTCAACAAAGAAATCAAAAACATAAAGTGGGGAAAGGACACCTTATTTAACAAATGATGCAGGGATGATTGACAAGCCACATGTAAAAGAATGAAACTGGATTCTCATCTCTCACCTTATACAAAAATCAACTCACGATGGATCAAAGACTTAAATCTAAGACCTAAAACCGTAAAAATTTTAGAGGATAACATTGGAAAAACCCTTCTAGACATTGGTTTAGGCAAGGATTTCATGACCAAGAACCCAAAAGCAAATGCAATAAAAACAAAGATAAATAGCTGGGACTAATTAAACTAATTAAACTTAATTAAACTAAACAGCTTTTGCACGGCAAAAGGAAGAGTCAACAGAATAAACAGACAACCCACAGAGTCAATAGAATAAAGGAAGAGTCAACAGAATAAAGGAAGAATCAACAGAATAAACAGACAACCCACGGAGTGGAAGAAAATCTTCACAATCTATACATCTAACAAAGGACTAATATCCAGAATCTATAACAAACTCAAACAAATTAGCAAGAAAAGAACAAACAATCCCACCAAAAATGTGCTAAGGACATAAATAGACAATTCTCAAAAGAAGATATACAAATGGCCAACAGGCATATGAGAAAATGCTCAGCATCACTAATGATCAGGGAAATGCAAATCAAAACCACAATACAATACCACAGAATGGCCATAGTCAAAAAATCAAAAAATAATGGATATTGGCATGGATGTGGTGAACAGGGAACACTTCTATACTGCTGGTTGAAATGAAAACTAGTACAACCACTATGGAAAAGAGTGTGGAGATTCCTTAGAGAACTAAAAGTATAACTACCACTTGATCCAGCAATCTATTGCTGGATATCTACCTGAGGAAAAGAAGTCATTATACAAAAAAGATACTTGCACACACATGTTTATAGCAGCACAATTAGCAATTGCAAAAATGTGGAATCAACCCAAATGTCTATCAATCAACAAGTTGGATATATATATGTGGTATATATATATATATATATATATATATATATATATATATATATATGTGTGTGTGTGTGTGGTATATATATATATATGTGATATATATCTATATCTATATCTATATATATATATATACACACATACATACATACACACACAATGGAATACTACTAACCCATAAAAAGGAATGAATTAATGGAATTGGCAGAAACCTGGATGAGATTGGAGACTATTATTCCAAGTGAAGTAACTCAGGAATGGAAAACCAGACATCATATGTTCTCACTCATAAGTGGGAGATAAGCTATGAGGATGCAAAGGCATAAGAATGACATAATGGACTTTGGGGACTCAAGGGGAAAGGGTGGGAAGGGGGTAAGGGATAAAAGACTACAAATTGGGTGCAGTATATGCTGCTTGGGTGATGGGTGTGCCAAAACCTCACAAATCACCACTAAAGAACTTACTCATGTAATTAAATAACACCTGTTCCCCAATAACCTATGGAAATTAAAAAAAATTCTTAGGTGATGAATTGTCACGTGCAGCAAACCACATGACACATGTTTACCTATGTAACAAACACACACATCCTGCACATGTACCCTGGAACTTAAAAAAATAAAATAAAATAATTTTTAAAAAACCAAAGTAATAATTTTCTCTCCACTTTAATATAAAGATCTGTGTACCTAAAGTTTAATCAAGAATTTCTAAACAAAAGGGCTGTAAAGCAGAGGTTTTTGGGGGTTTCTCAAGATTTTCCTCAGTGCAAAGATAGAGGTTATCTCTTAGCAAGGACAAGTTACGTAGGCATATTTCACCTAAAAATAGTGATTTAGGCATATTTTACTTAAAAATCACATTCTATTGTCTTGTCTGTTTCCAAATGTCTCATTTTTACATAGTGCTACTGATTGTTCCAAGAATTTTTCCTAATAATTGATTTTAATAAATGCAGGTCAAATGTTTCACTGACTTCCACATCTCCAGTGCTTGATAGAGTGATTAACAAATGTTTGTTGAATATGTGTTAAATTGATGAAAAACTGAATGAATGAGGAAAGGAGGAATAAAACCTTAAACAAATTGATTTATCAAATATAAGTATATAAGGATATACATATTCACATATATCTCAAAATATTAGTTTACTATGTTAGGTGAACCATATATAGTTTATTCCTTATTTATCCTCTTTGAAAAACAGATGTTAAAGAACTCCTTCAGGCATTGTTAAAGATAGCTCTCTCTCAGGTGCATCAAAAGGAAAACTGTCAGGCAAGAATTCTCATACCCAAAGTGGGCAGATTAGTTGAGCAGTATTCCACAGTGTCAGGAATCATTATATTTTATTTCTATGGTCTGAATGCTTTTGTCTCCCTGAATTCATATGTGGGAATCCTCACTCCCAAGTTGATGGTATTAGGAGATGGAATCTTTAGGGGTTTATTAGTATTAACCTCCAGAAAATCAGTATTATGGTATTAATTCCCTTATAAAAGAGGCTCAAGAGAGACCTCTTGTCTTTTCCACCACACGAGGTTAGAATGAGAAGACGGCTGTCTATGAGGAAGTGAGCTCCTGTCAGACACTCAACATGCCAGCCCCTGATCTTGGACTTCCCAGTCTCCAGAACTGTGAGAAATAAACTTTTGTTGTTTAGAAACTACTCAGTCTATGGTATTTTGTTACAGCAGCCAGAATGGACTAAGACAATAGAAAAGCATCTCTGATTACTTTACACTTAATAGATTTCATAAATTACCAATGTGAATATGTCTCACATTGATAAAATACAATAAAATACAACAGATACTTTTATCTTTTCTCTTACTTATTTGAAAAATCTTAATGAGGGAATATTTTCCTTTCATAAAGCAGCACTGACAAAGGAAAATATGTGAAAAGCAAACAACATGAGTTCTCATGGTTTTATTTTAAGATAACTGTGAAAATCACTCAGAGAAAAAGGTGGGTTTGAGTATATCTCAAATCCTTTAGCTTTTAACATTCTAAGACCAGGTGACTACCTCAGTTACTCAGACCAATTAGTAATTATTAGATTAAAATCTACATATAAAGTTTACATTTAATTGTTCAACCTTGTCCCCAAGGAACCATTCTCAGTATTTAGCCTAACAGTGGACCAATATTGGATCAGTCCTCTATTTGAGCTCCAACTTGAAAACCCTGGATTAATTTCTCAATAAGGATATATCTCTCTTTAGGAGATAGACCAAATTTCTGTCATCTAGAAGAATCTGGATTCTAATTTAAGGTTCATTGCTAGTTTGGTACATGGCTACTGAGCCTTGGTTTCCTGCCCTAAAAAAAAATGGATATGGTGACACACGTTTTAGAGGCATATTGTGAGCATTTACAGTGTATTATAACCGCAAGAAGCTTTGTAGATCTTTGGATTTGAACATGAATTTTGAGATTAGTGTTCTTGTTCTCAGCACTGTGTGGGTTGCAGAAATACACAATGGCTAAACAGACTCACTCCAAACCCACCCCACCAATGGAATCATGGAAAGTATCGACAGGAGCAGCTTGTGTCATTAGTTTATCTTGACACCTATTGGCCCATAAACAATCCCATTTGTCCATGCAATACTGAAATTCATCTGAAAACATTAGTGACATATCGGTGACAGATTTTAGTTCTGAGAAACTCTATAAATAACTATTGCTTAAAAAAAAAGACTAGGTGTCTTTGAGGAGTTTTATCAAAGAACCAGAATCCAGCCATTTACTTGTTGTACCAGTCCTAGCATTTTCCGGCCTTTTTTGGGTCTAAGTCACCCCTAAGAAATACTCATCAAGTTGTTTTGGTCCATCTGGGTAGGTTTTTAAAATATATGCTAAGCTAAAGTTTAAGATTAAGAAAGAAATAATTTTAAAGTTATTTCAGAAGTTTTGTAGGTCAACTGCACAGAAAATTGAGTATTTAAAGTCAGCATTTAATTGAGACAATAACATTCGAAATGGTCAATGGTTATAATTGTTACTTCAGTAGCATTGATTGTTAAGAATATCAAACTTTAATAAGAATTATCTATAGGGCTGTCCCTTAATTAAATAAAATTATATAAGCAATAAATGTATAATCATATCTCTATTAATTTATAAAAATTGTATAATTTGTTAAAGGCATGTTTCACTTAACAAGATAGATGAAGGCAAATTAACGTCATAGAGTTATATTCCCAATATTGACAATACATAGATATTTACTGAGGTGTTATTTTAATATTAATAAGATTTGGATTACATATGCAATGATTACATAATCTGGGATTTGTTACAAAGTAATGAGACTCACCTTTTAAACAATACACAACACCAGAGTTTTTAATTCTATTGGACGTTATCTACATCTGGTCTAGTTATAGCACAATGTTTTAGGAGCCTGTTCTCCCAACCGAGACTGTAAAAATGCACAATACCTTTTTTACCTTAGCCAAAAAGCACATGTAACTCTAATAACTTCTAATCTTTGCATAACAATACAGTATGTACAAAGTACTTAAAAATTCTTAATTAAAATCTTGTCGTACAAACTTTAATGAACACACAGCATTATTAATCATAGACGTGGCACAACCAAAATAAATGCCCCTAATAAAATGTATCATGGTCTAATAATTCAGAAGTATTATTATGTTGCTTTTATAAAATCTGGCTTTGTTCCATTTATTTATACATATTATATATACATACATAACATGATATTTATCATACTACTTGTATTCTCAACCTCCTTTAAGCTACCTGTAAAGTTATTTAGAGATTCAGACTTACTCATCTCTGCAACTCTGTGGTTTCTTGAACAGTGTCTTCCAAATAATTGGAGTTCAGTGTTTATCTGTTGAATTGAATAAATGATTCAAACTATTTAGGAGATGAAACTGCACATGTGGTTGTCAAAGCAAAGTTAAGCATGGGCTACCTTTTGATCGGTGCCTACATACGTGTATCTTTTATGGGTAGATTCTATTTTTATTCCTTTAACATTAATTATATCTGAGGCAAATCTGAAGGTACACTTTCCAGCGGCAGCCATGAATCATTCCCAACAGTATGTGTTTGTGTATGTGTATGTACAGTATCTGTGCACACCTATAAAATCCTGCAGCTCTGCTGGTTCCTGCTAATGTGGACTCTGAACACAGAAGAAATGTTATTTCTAGAAATCAAACTGCAGAGTGAGTGATTTATTTGGAATTCATGCTTCATTTCCATACTATTCCTCTAATGTCTAAGGTATCACCTTGTATAAGGTGCTGCTTCCTCCCATTGGTTGTCAGACATTCTCTTGAGACTGAACTCTGTGATAACTGCTTGAGGGAAAGTTTCTCAAAAGTAAAAGAACGTGCATGTAAGACAGAGTTGGGGGGCAGGGGATGGAGAGGAAAAGAAAGAATTTATAAATGTAACGGGCAGAATATTTCAGATTAAATGAAAGACTTTCCTTCTTTTGTGTGAAAATACACAATCAGGTTGATTTAGGTGAAGATCCTCAGCTGAGTTGAAGGAGCCTTTCTGTTTTCTTATTGTGTAAAATTTACTAGCATTTCATCATCAGCCATTCATTTCAGTCACAGAATCTGAACATGCACATGCTTTCATGTTATCTGCCCAGTAGGAAGGTGATTACCATAAAACTGAAGAAGCAGCAGCAAATGGAGTGATTATAAAATGTATCACGTTCTTCATAAGATGAATAATAATGCACACATCTAATGTCACCTAAGAGGAGAGGGTGGTGTTAGCACTAGTCTTGGTGGACAGATTAGATTATTTGGCAAAGAGTGAAAACAGCAATTGAGGCTGTTAATGCAATGTACTCACATCCTCTTCACAAACAACATGTAAGTGTTATTATTAAATATCTGCTCACCTCTCTTTGCCAGCTTTTTATCTGTTTATATATAATCCTAGCGGTTTTCTCCACTGAATGGCACAAATCATTTAGCAAAAGGCTCTTAAAAAAAAGATGTAAGCTACCCTAGATTTGGCACAAAATTGTTCCGTGTTTCCATTCCTGTGGAATAATATCAAGGACCCAAACTAGGACAGGCCCCTTTAATGCACAAAGTAAACAGAGGCGAAAATCTTTTCTTAATAAAAGCTGTGGTTCAGCTATACTTACTGAAACCAAATAAACAATCGCGAATTGACACTCAGACAGAAATGTGTATAAATTATTCAGAATGAAATGTTCAAGTAATATTAACCTAAAGGTATAGTCATCAATTTTGTCTTGACGGATGGCATTGGGTAGTTAGTATTCAAGTGTTACTACATAAATAAAATTGATTTATGCTAACTGAGAAAACTGAGAAAAATTTTTATCAGGATGCCCAAACTCTGTTCCTTCTGGCTTGATCAATCACCTCTCTACTGAACTGTGTATCATTTTCTTGCAAAATTCTTAGCTGAGAAATTGGGCTAAGGCAAAATGAATAATACATTCACTGCAGTGTTAGACTAATGACCCTTAAGTGCTTTTAAAAAATGAGCAGCAATGACTGCTTCCCTTATGAACAGATTTTCTCTCTCTCTCTCTCCCTCTCTTCCTCTCCCCGACCCCCACCTCGCTTTTGCTCTCATTCCCTTGCTCTCTCTCTCTCTCAGAAAGAAAATAATTAAGTCTTGAGTGGGCTGACTGTTTTGGAGGTAGAAGCGATGAGAGGGTGAGAAATCAATAAAGCCAATCGAAGCATGCATGGAGTGCAACCATTTGGTTTCCTTTGTTACTCCCTCCCCTCATCATCTTGCTTCCTCCACCCCACCCTGCATTTTGCAGTCCCATTTCAGGTTGCAAAGTTCTCATTTGTGTTAATCATTTTGATATTTCCTTTTACTGTTTTCATAACGCTATTGTGTTATCATAAAGACATTGATCAAATGGTGACAGGCAAGACAGAATGCTATTTACTTTGTAAAAGTAGGAGGGATCTCTGACAGGGCTGCATGGTTAAAATCTGCCTTGGCTGGCATTTCTGATACAAGAACAATTTTTATCACTCCCTGAGTGGGTCCCTAAAGAGACACAATAGTGACTCAAGTTTCTGTACCCAAATGTCTTTTTAAAATCTGTATAAAGCAGCAAAGATAAGACAAATGCATACATTAAACATGTTTAAAAAGGAGCTTGAGCAAGGATAGTTCAAGAGAAAGGCAAAAATTCTGGTTGAAAAATGTTGGATTATTTGGAATTAAATTGCTCTAAAACCACTGAAACAACACTTGAGGTAGAAATCAAGAATGTTTGGGTTTAGAAAGGAAGGGGGGTACACCCACCATTTTCTCGTGTGGGTGTGTGTGTGTGTTAGTCGAGAATGTAATTGTTAGACAGCTACTGACAATAGAATTGTTCTGTAAGAAAGGAGTCATTTACAAACTAGCATGGGGTCAGGTAACCTCATTATTCCCTTTGCAGTTCCCATTAGGTCAAAATAGCAATGCCCCTACCATCACTTTCATCTTAAGAAGCATGGGCTAGTTTTGCTCTTTTAACTTGAGCTTTTTATTCTAAGGAAGGATTAGATTCTACATAGTCACTGTTTCTTTTTCATTTCATTGCTATTCTATCTTTAGGGGAAATCAGCCTCACATTGTGTTATTCTTATGTCCTTAAGTAATGTTTCTTTCTTTAAAAAAAAAAAAAAGATGAATCCCTTTCAATAAAGCGGCCCCAGTTTGATGGAACTACCAAAGTGAAAAGAAAAGAGAAAAAAAAAAAAAAAAACTGTTACTTAAAAAGGGCCCATGGCATTACAGCAGTCAAATCCCTAAAGTCTAATGGTGAAGTCATTGATGCATTATTATTCTTAGGCACCTCTTCTTTCAAATAAAATGTAAAGGAAATGATTTAAAGTCTAAAGGATGTCACTGGGCAGGAGCTAAAAGAGATGCCTTCTATTCCCTAATGCTGAAGCTAAGAAAAAGTGCACCCTAATGTATAAGGAATGTATCAGGCCTCAGAGTCAGATTTTTCCAAACTAGAAGCACTCATTTACAAGCAGACACACATGCACACAAAACCAGTCAAATATGCACACATTGCCTTTCAGATGGACCCACTCCCAAACCTTCCCGGGTTCCACTGCCCTACTTTTTCCCTGTGGATGACTGAGAGAAACATATTACCAGGTATTAAATTGGATACACAGTAAGACCTTCTAGCTAATAGTAACTTTGCAACTGACACCCGCCATTCTGCAGAGCTACATAAATATTTCTGAAATGCCTGTTTCTTTCTGCCGCCTTTCCATTTCATCTGTCATTATGGTCTAATGATTTTATTATAAAGATGAGCTTCTCTATACAGGTTAAATGAATCCAATTTACATATAATGATATCATGGGAGAGGGTAGTGGTAGAGGAAAGTGGTTGGAAAGAAATGGTTACCACTAGTAATTGACTTACTAAAACTCCATCCAAAGTGCCGGGAAAAAAAAAAAACTGCTCTGGTAAAGTTATTACTGGCAAAAAATCTTATTCATTTACTGATATAAGAAAGTATAAGTATTATCCAATTTGGATAATAGTTTTCCATTATAATACATTATTAAAAGTCAGTTTTATTCTGGGTTCCAAGCACAGAATTTTTGGGCAAAGATAGACTCAAACAAGTCACCAGTTGCCATATACAGCTGGCTATGGCAAAGCTAGGTTTTGGGGAGTGGGAGGGTAGGAGAGAACAGACCTAAGCCTTCACAGCTTTTTCTAAAAATCTGACACATCTCAGCATTTCTAGGTTTTGTTTTGTGATTGCAGTTTCCCAAGAAGGAGGAAGGTCAGTGTATCTTCTAAGCTTAGGAGGAATGGGTTGTTTATTCCAAGGTTTTAATTCAATTAAATCGAATTAACATGAATTAATATAAGTCAATAAAATTACAAGGGAAGGCTAAATAACTTTCATTATTATCATTGTTCTTATTTTATCAAAGGAGTGTCCTCAATGAGGATCTTGTGTAGTAGTGAGTGTCCTGTCTTTTTAGGGAGTAAGATATTAGTCTGTTTTCACATTGCTGAGAAAGACATACCCGAGATTGGGAAGAAAAAGAGGTTTCATTGGACTTACAGTTCCACATGACTGGGAAGGCCTCAGAATCACGGCGGGAGGCAAAAGTGCTTCTTACATGGCAGCGGCAAGAGAATAAATGAGGAAGAAGCAAAAGCAGAAACCCCTGATAAACCCATCAGATCTCGTGAGACTTATTCACCATCATGAGAATAGCACGGGAAAGACGGGCACGCATGATTCAATTACCTACCTCCCTCTGGGTACCTCCCACATATGGGAATTCTGGGAGATACAATTCAAATTGAGATTTGAATAGGGACACAGCCAAACCATATCAGCCCCTAACTTGTAAAAAGAAGGTGTGCTTCCCTTCCTCATATGGGATTTTGAAGCTAGATGAAGTTTGATGGAGAGATGGGCTGCCGGTAACTTGACCAATGTCTGTTTCAGAAATAAGCTAGCAGTCAAACATATCTACTTCCCCACTTCTTTGCCACTCCCATCCCACCCCATGCAGAGATGTTCTGTACTGAAAGCAACCTCTTGGCAGACAAAATTATATATCTTATCTTATTTTAGCTTAATATTTCCCAGAAGGGAATTATAATAACTTCTAGTATTGATAAGATTTAGGAGACACCTTAGGCTTAGCAGCAAAACTCTTACAAATCATTCCCAGGAGCTTCAGTTACTTCTCTGTGAGGCTCATCTTTGCCATTGTGTTTTGATGGTCATTGGCTTCAATTTCAGAGATGTTTTAACATCTTGTTCCCAATTCCAGGGGCACTCACTATTTTGCCTTATATTTTTCCAATTTATAGACACACATGAAACTGTTAGAATAAGTGAAAGAATCAATGGAGGGCTTTGTGAAGCTTGGAGGCAGAAAGAATAACATCAGAAAGCATTGTTGGTACTATTTGTGGATCAGGATTCAGCGCAATGTTGTTAACTTCCACATGGCTTCTCCAGTTGAGATAACTGCAGCTTCCCACTGCTCTCTTCTGCATACCCAATTTTGCTGTTAATGGTCTCCAGCTGTAGTTGGCTTATTTTACCAGTTTAGTTTTGTGCTCTCATCGCTCATCTCTGAAGTAATTGCAAAGACAATGGAACTTGAAACATTGCTTAAGTGAGTAATAATAATGTTAGTCCCTTGGCTAAGTAGCAAGCCACCCTACAACTTCACCTGTTTTTATAAATTGTACAAAAAAGCAGAAAAATTCAAGCAGCTTCATCCTTACTTCACAACATGCATATTAAATAGTGTACCAGTAGTACATAGATCAGACTTGACTAAGTGAGTTCCTTTGACAGTCATAAATTGAATCTATTCAACGAGTGAGTGTGGATGCTTACCCCCATTGATACACAGATGATCTCAGATATTTCTTCCCATAGATTAAGACTGCACCCTTGGAAATCAAGTTTCTCAAACTCCCTTTTCTCTCCTAACTCCTGAAAAGTCAATGAGTCTATTAGTTTCTATTGTTTTATTTGACAACCATTTACCAATCTACTACGGATTATGGGCTATTCTCAATATGGGTGACACAGAGGTGAATAAGTGGCCCTGGAACCCTCCTCCAAGGTGACTATGGACTAGTAAGTCATATAGTGAACTAATAAGGTGATAAATACACACAGTGATTTCTGGTAGTTTAAGCGTTAAGGAGAAAATGAAACAAGTTGATGTCAGACAAAGTGACTTCAGGGGATGAGAAGGAAGGCTACTTTAAACTGGATGGCAGTAGAAAGTCCTGCTGAAGAAGTGATACCTCTCTGAAAAAGTGACACCTGAATGACCAGAAGGAGGAAGACAAGTGAAGATCAGAAGAAAGAATTGTTTTGTGGGAAACAGCTATGTGCAAAGAGTTTAAAGCAAGAAGAATCATCAGTTAAAAATAAGGAATATGGCATTTGAGGCAGGCTTCTAAGGGGAGAGTGATAAAAAATGAGGTAGAAGAAAAATCAGATTAGGAACCAGATCATGTAGATCCTTAAAGTCTTGCTAGGGAGTCTGAGTTCTACTTTTTAAGAGTTAGAAGCCATTGGAATGCTTTAAATGGAGATGTGCTACCATTTGCATTAAGCTGGCAAATGTAATGCTGACCTCTGTGAGACTGCAGACTGGTGATACACTGTGGAAGTAATCTGGCAGGGGATGATAGTGGCTTGGACAACAGCTAGTGGTGGCATAAAGGGACAGAAAGTGAATGGATCTGGACACGTTTTGGAGTTAGATTCTAGAGGACTTATAGCTGGGTGGATGGATGATCGTGCTGTTTACTGAGATGGAGAACACTAGGGAAGCAACATGTTGGGGAATGGGGAGAGGGTGGGAGCAAGAATTTTATCTTAAACATATGTATCTGAAAGTATTCTTAGACGTCTAAGTGGAGATGACAAGCAAGCATGTATGTAAATCTGGAGTTTGGGAGCTAGGTCAGGGTAAAAGTATATATATGAGTCACTGGCATAAATCTGGACTAAATGAGATCCTTTTGAAGTTTTCTTTTACTAATTCTTTATCTTCTTTGTTTTTTTTACTATATGCTGATCTTCCTGCATTTGTACTCAGGATCCTCTTGAAAACCCATTTTACCTATAAAGCTTTTCCTAGTTAAATGGGAAGAAAGTGCAGGTGATAACTGCAATTAAAAGTCTTGATGATGAGGGCTGGGTGTGGTGGCTCATGCCTGTAATCCTAGTACTTTGGGAGGCTGAGGCAGGAGCATTGCTGAGGCCAAGAATTCAAGACCAACCTGGCAAACATAGCAAGACCCCATTTAAAAAAAAATAAAAAAGAAAGTCTTGATGACAATATGACAATACAGTCACTAGCCATCTCTCAAATACCAACACAGTGAAATCCAAATACAGGATAATCAATAATTACTCACATAATCATGTCTTTAGATGTTTGAATTGGATATTTAACTATATCCCATTCTGGGTATGTTTTCAATGGTGTCTGTTGCAGTACATGTGATCCTAGTAAATAGAAATCTATTTAGTTTGCTTTGTGAAGGCTTGTACAGTCTTACATGTGTGATGAATTGTATTAAATATTACTGAATACAGAAAATAATAAATGAATCTTAAATAGCTCACATTTTCCAAAGGATTTTCAAAATATTTTCTTTATCAAATGTAAAATCCAATTTGTTTTCAATTTTTTTTTACTATGAGTTGTTCATAGTTTCTATTAAAATTTTGTTAAAGAAAAAATCTTTTTCATTCTCACATTCAGAGGAGCAGAATTGTTCTCAGGTTACTTACTGAAATAGTCACTTACCTACCTACTTTATCAAATAATGACTTATTCCAAACCAGAAAGAAAGAAAATACTACTGTAACACCTGTACATTTTGTGCAGTTGAGTAAACTGAAAGATTTTTTTTCACATTTTAAATTTATTTGGCATCATTCAATTCTTCTCGTCTTACTGCTTTTGTCTCATCTTTGTTGCAAATTTCTAGTGAATATCATATGGATTATAATTTTCTAATTAAAAAATTAGCAAACAACATTTTGACGTAATAAAAAGCAAACACAATTTTTTAAGCTGTCTCCCTGTCCACCTATTTATTTCTGAGGCCAATCTCATTATGGTATCCATGAAGAATGATAAATCAATAATGAATTTAGCATCAATTTCTGCTGAGGTTGTTGATGTAATAAGAATTATCCAAAACATATACAAACAAAAAAACTGCATTTGCAGGAGTATTTATCTCAACTATGGCAGATGATAATATCACACAAGAGATAATGTAGTGAAGCCGAAACACTCAGTGAAAGAAATCATCTGACTTAAATATAAACAGTCTGGTCCGGAGACTTCTGAAGAGTTCTCAACTCTTAGGAACTGTATGCAACATACATTATGTAAACCCGTCATATTTATTACATTTAACTTGTAGCTATCCTAAGAACACTGGAAATGTTCCAACCTAGCATGGAAGGAACTGAATTTCAGGGTAGGTATTCTGAAAAGAGAATTGGAGATATGCAGCCTGAAGACAGCAGAACATCTGGGTAAACATCCTGTAGTTAGAAATCTACTAAACCTTGTCATTTTCACTTCCTTGGAAAGAGTCACCCTGCACCCTTCAGAACCTCACTAACTTGCTCATGTGCAAGATGAATGAAATACTAGTAATGAAATACTTCACAGGGCTACGAAATAGCTAACTTAGATATTGCAATACATTGCTTATCACAGTGCCAAATAGTAAACACTCATAAATGTTATTTATTGTTATCCTTATTAATTATTTTGACTGGTCAATATAAGAGGCATGACTTTGAAAATGACCTTAAAGCTGAAGAACTGTGAAAAAAAATAATAAAAACTCTAGACAAGAAGTATTTTTCCTATATATTGTATAAATATTTTTGTTTATTTGTTGAAGACTGCCCACTAAAATGTTTCCTTCACTGCCACCAAAATTATACACTGTTCAATTAATATTTGTGCATCTACTCTGTTTATTAAGGAAGATCAGGCAGTTGCTTCACGCCTAATATAGAAAATAAAAAAGAGCATAGTTTCCATCATTTAGGAGCACAGAGACATGGAAAGAAATTGTTTGAGTAGTATGATAATTGCCCCAATTTGACACAAACAGGTGTTAAACACAGGAAGACAAGTGCTTAATTCTGCAAAGGGAAGTAAAGAGAACCTTCTAAGGGAAGTGATATTTAAGCTGAATATTGAGGTTTGATAAGCAGACAAGAAGAAAGGGCCATCTCTGGAAGATAAAATATCACAAAGGTGAAAATAAAAGAAAGAAGGGTGCCTTCAAAAGCTGCAGTCAATTTAACATAGCTAGAGAGTCAGGTGGGAAAGGAGGAAGGCAAACTAGAAAGGTGAGTAAGGACAGTCTGTGTGATGCTCAGAGCTTTCAGCTCTGTCTTGTAGGCAATGCAGAGCCAATGAAGGACTTGAGCAGAGCAGAGACCAATGAGTACTGAATTTTGGAGAGAGCATCCAGGCCACTGGGTAAAGTGTGCATTGGGAAGAAGAGCTAAAGGAAGCAAGGAGACTAGCAAGAGAGTTCAGGTAAGGGTTGTTGAAGAGATTCTAATTGAAAGCCACAGTGGTGGGAAAAGAAAAGAAGTGGTAATTTGAGATAAATTCAGAGATATAACTGCCAGGACTTAGTCATTCTTAAGATATGATATCGCAAGAAAATAGTCAAATACAGTTGCCTCTATCATTGGGTACATGTACGGCAGACTTGCTTGAGTAATCCATTAGGGTGTGGGTAAAATATTATAATTTTATTCAAAAATTATTTTTATCTTATTCATTTTTAACTTTAATTTTTATGCTTTATAATATATAAAGTAAAAGTAATATACGTGAATAATCCATATAGATATGTCTGTGTATTGGGACTATACATTCCACTTTTTTTACTAATAAAGATGCACAATTAAAGAGGCTTGGAGATCACTGCCTTATTAAAACCTCTGTGTTTGGACAAGTTAAAATATGGTGATATTAAAGGCAACATTTTTCCAAATATCATTCTAAAAGATATAGCAATATATTTTAAAAGTGTTACTGTGCACTCCCTCAAAAGCTTATAGTCTAAAATAGAGATCTCTAACTTCTCACTGCCTTACTCATCTTACTAATATAAACAGTAAGAAGGGCAGACAGACCCCCTTCTACTTTGTCCACAGCCTGGCTCAACTCTTTATTTTTATAAATGTCAACTTGAACTAAATCAAACTTGATTTCTGATTGCTTTTTTCCCCTTGCTCAACATTTCTGATAGACAAATGTGCTATGCATTTGGACACAAGCACAAAGAACTAAACCAAAGTACACACTGAATGTATAAACTATCAGTTTATATACACATTAGCTAGTGGAGTGGGAGAGAGAAACAAGCCTTGACAATGTCCACAGAATGACTCAGGAAGGTAGGGTAAATAGTACTGCCAGGATTAAAGTTGGTAAGTTCAAAAGGAAAGGAGGATATTACTGAGGAAGGCTCAGAGGGAGATGGGTCTTTGATAGTCTGCTCATGGGATTCTGAAGAAAGAAGGGATTGGCTGAGGTTTCCAGAAGATGAAATGTGTAATTTAGGTCTGATATCTCCACCCCTCACCTCCATATTCTTCTTTGCTTTACCCCTTCAAGTACTAGTGAAGTCTTTTGACTTTTTGCTTTGAAACAATAATCTGAATTTTTGACATATGCCATTTTTAAAAGATATGTACTATAGACTGTTCATCCCCTGGGAATTGCTGGGCTCTGCTTGCTCATGAAAGTAATAATAAAATATATAAACATATACAACAAAGAAAAGCTCTAAATAGAACAAAAAAAAAAAAAAACTGTGTGGCACTGCCAGAAAATAAATAAAGAAGCACTTTCAACTAGATAGGATGTAAACTAGGTCCTAGTTTAGGACCATAAGGAGAGGGTTAATGAAATAGTCAACAGTTGACTGAATATAGCAGTGCAAAGAAAAGGAACTTTGTCTAAATGACTACACATATGAAAATCTAGATAATGAGGAAAATGCATCAAAAGACCAGAAATGTACATTGTGTATACCCATTCTAGAAACTTTTTCAAGAAGTATGTGTCAGAGTGAAAGGATCCAGTTTCATCAACCTTCTTTCTCAGTGGATACCCGCCCTGGATGAAACTGTCTGAGCTACTATGACAAGTAGCAAGAGCTGCTGAATGGATTCAATGTAAGGACAGTTCAAGCAGCTCTTTACCAAATTAACCAATATGAGGATGTCAGAAGTAGATGACCCCATTTATGTATAAGTAGACACTACATTTATGTTCTTAATACTCAGAGAAATGAGATTGTCAGAGAGTTAAAAGAGAAGAAATGCTAAAAGATTAAGATCCTTTTACTTTTTGGAGTGATGCATGGCTTTTGAGGACTCAGCAATAGACACTCAATACACTACTTGGTAAATTTTATCCTTCACTTGTATCTGCATCTGGGGAAACAAAAAAGAAGGAAAAAAATCTTGTTTTAAAAATGTCATTAAGTATACACAGTATTGAGAAAGAAGCATGCAATGTAGCTCTTTATCTTTTGGAAAAGGAAGCAACAGAGGGTAATTTGAGAATTTGGAAATCACATCCCATGGGAGACAACCAAAATGTTTTCAAAACTTCAGCAAGGGAAACATAAATACCTAAGAAGTGCTTTGCTGGTTTATATAGTCTTATAATAAGTGCTGAAGTTGTTAATATTGCCAAGATCTGAGGAGCTACAAAAACATGAGCTTAAAGTGGATGGGACTAAATTTTTTTTCAATCATTAATACTGAGCTATTTTTTCTAAAGATATAAACAAATAAACAATCCTCGCGTCTCCTTTGATGCTTCTAAGGAAAGGCTTCAAGACACTATGTCTTGGAGTGACGTCAGCAAGATGGCTGACTAGAGATAGCTGGCATTCTAGCTGACTAGAGATAGCTGGTCTGCAAGCAAGGACCAAGACAACAAATAAACAGCTAAGATTTGACAGGAGAGTCAATGGGAGAGTACTGAAGTGGAGAGGCACCTGAGGTGATTGGAAGTTCAGGAGGGCAGAATGGAAGCACCCAGCATCTGCAGCCCCATCAACCCCATCCAAATATGATCAGCCTAGAGTCAGGAAGGACTCCCCATTGCAAGGAAAACATAAGCAGAAAATTTTCACCGACCCCCATTGCCACTTCAAACACCCACAATTTTTACAACAGGAGAATCCCACAGTCCTCAGAATCCCTGAGTTGAATTTGGAGAGCTGTCAGGACTTCATGCGATTGCCTTGTTCCAAATTAGGAGCACATGGTGTGTACTCCCTACCCCACCCCCACACCCTGTGAGCCAAGCAGCTGAAACCTGGTTCCATCTTGAGACCAGAGCCACCTCTGGAGTGTGCCCTACTCTGAAGCCAGTAGCCACTGCACCTCTCCAGCACTGGGGTACCAACTTTGTCATGCCAAGCCCACATGGGTGGCTGAATGCCATAACCCCAGCTATGTGGAACTTGGGCCAAGGATCAGCTATGACTCTGGTCCTGCAAAGCAGAGAAAACAATCCTCACCACTGCACTTCTAGCTGGAGGAATGGTCTGCCATTACCATCAGCCCTTAAGCTGGTCAACTTACCTTACCTTACCTATAAAGATGCACAGACTGAAAGTAAGGGGATGAAAAAAGATATTCCATGTAAATAGAAATCATAAGCAAACAGGAGTAACTATATTTATATCAGACAAAACAGACTTCAAGTTAAAAGCTTTAAAAAGAGACAAAGGGCCGGGCGCGGTGGCTCACGCCTGTAATCCCAGCACTTTGGGAGGCCGAGGCGGGTGGATCACGAGGTCAGGAGATCGAGACCATCCCGGCTAAAACGGTGAAACCCCGTCTCTACTAAAAATACAAAAAATTAGCCGGGCGTAGTGGCGGGCGCCTGTACTCCCAGCTACTTGGGAGGCTGAGGCAGGAGAATGGCGTGAACCCGGGAGGCGGAGCTTGCAGTGAGCCGTAGATCCCGCCACTGCACTCCAGCCTGGGCGACAGAGCGAGACTCCGTCTCAGAAAAAAAAAAAAAAAAAAGACAAAGAAAAACATTATATAATAATAAAAGAATCACTTCAACAAGAAAATATAATAACTGTAAATTCAGATGCACCCAATACCAGATATATATCCAGATATATAAAGCAAACATCAAATCCAAAGGGAAAAATAGATCCCAATACAATAATAGTTGGGGACTTAAATTCCCCACTTTCAGCACTAGACAGATCATCTAGGTGGATAATCAACAAAGAAATATTGAATTTAAACTGCACCATAGAGAAAATGGACATTTATAAAACATATCACCCAACAGCTGCAGAATACACATTCTTTTTACTAGGACATGGAATATTCTCAATGACTGACCATAAGTTAGAATACAAAACAATTCTTAAAACTTTTTTTTAAATAAAAATCATTTCAAGCATATTATCTAACCACAGTGGAATAAAACTAGACATTACAAATGAGAAGACAATTTGAAACTATACAAATACATGGAAATTAAACAACATGCTCCTGAACAACCAAAGGATGAAGGAAGAAATTAAGGGTGAAACAGAAAAATTTCTTGAAACAAATGCAAATAGAAACACAACATACCAAACACTATGGAACACAGGAAAATCAGTATTAAGAGGCAAATTTATAGTAATAAATGCCTACATCAAAGACTAGAAAGATGTCATATAAATAAGCTAACAATGCATCTCAAAGAACTAAAAAATCAAGAAGAAAGCAAACCCAAAATTAGTAGAAGGAAAGAAATAATAAAAATCAGAGCAGAAATAAACAAAATTAAGATAATACAAAAGATCAAGGAAACAATAGGCTAGTTTATAAAAAAGACAAAGGGAAATAACAAACCATTATCTGGACTAACTAAAAAAGAAAGAGAGAAGATCCAAAGAAGTAAAATCAGAAATAAGAAAAGAGATGTCACAACAGATACCATGGAAACACAAAGGATCATTAGAGACTACTGGGAACAATTATATGTCAAATAAATTTGAAATGGATAAATTTCTGGACACATACAACCTACTAAGATTGAATCAAGAAGAAGAAACAGAAAACTAGAATACACCAATCAGTAATAATAAGTCTTCCAACCAAGAAAAGTCCATAAACAAATGGCGTCACCACCGAATTCTATCAAAACCTTACAGAGTAATTAATATCAATTCTTCTCAAGCCATCCTAAAAAATTGAAGGAGAGGGCACTCTTTGCAACTCATTTTATGAGGCCAGTATAAACCCTGACACCAAAATCAGACAACTGCACAACAAAAATAGAAAACTATAGGACAACATGCCTGATTAACATAGACGAAAAATAATCAACAAAAGACTAGCAAACTGAATCCAACAACACATCAAAGAGATAATATAACATGATCAAGTGAGATTTATTCCAGGAATGAAAGGATGGTTCTACACATACAAATCAACAAACGTTATGCCTACATTAATAAAATAAAGGAAAAGAACAATATGTTCCTCTCAATAGATAAAGAAAAAGCGTTTGATATAATTTAACATCTCTTCATGATAAAAACTTAAAAATTAGGTATAAAAGTGAAGTGCCTCAACATAATAAAGGCTATATATGACAAACACATAGCTAACATCAAAAGTCTAAAAGCTATTTCTCTAAGAACTGGAACAACACAAGGATGCTCACTCTCACCTCTGTAATTCAATATAGTTCTGGAAGTTCCAGCCAGAACAATTAGGCAAGAGAGGGAAATAAAGGGCATCCAAATAAGAAAGAAGGAAGTCAAATTTTGCAGATAATAATATCTTATACACAGGTCTTATATATAGAAAACCCCAAAGACTCTACCAAAAAACTCTGAGAATTGATGAATACATTCAGTAAAGTTGCAGGATACAAAATGAATATATAAAAATTTGTAGCATTTTTATACACAAACAATGAACTAGCTGAAAAAGAAATCAAGAAGGCAATCTCATTTACAACAGCTACCCAAAAAATAATAATTAGAAATAAATTCAACCAAGGCAGTGAAAGACCTTTACAAGGCAAACTATAAAACATTGATGTTTTGTATAGAACTACAAGTAACTAAAGAGGATACAAACAAATGCAAAGACATCTCATACTTAAGAACTGGAAGAATTAATATTGTCAAAATGACCATCCCACACAAAGCAATCTACAGATTCAATGCAATTGTTATCAAAATATCAATGACATTCTTCACAAAAGTAGAAGAAAAATCTTAAAATTTGTTTGGAACAACAAAAGACCCCAAACAGCCAAAGCAATCCTGAACAAAAAGAAGAAAGGAAGAGGTATCATATTAGTAGACCTCAAAATATACTACAAAGCTGAGGGACTAAACAGAATGATATCGGCATAAAAAATAGACACATAGACCAGTGAAACAGAATTGAGAACCCAGAAATAAATCCACGTGTTCCTAGCTAACTGATTATTGAGAAAACTGTCAAGAACACTCACTGGGGAAAGGACAATCTCTTGAATAAATGATGCTCAGAAAATTGGATATCCATATGCTGAAGAATGAAACTAGACCTCCACCTTTCACACTATACAAAAAAATCAAATTTAAGACTTAAAAGTGTAAAACTACTAGAAGGAAACATAGGAGAAACACTTCAGAACATTGGATTGGAAAAAGGTTATATAAATAAGACCTCAAAAGCACAACAACAAAAGCAAAAATAGACAAAAGAGATTATATCAAACTAAAAATCTTCTGCACAGGAAAGGGAACAATTAACAGGATGAAAAGACAACTTACAGAATAAGAAAAAATACTTGCAAACTACTTATTTGACATGAGACTAATATCCAGAATATACAAGGAACTAAAGCATGTCAACAGCAAAAGCTAACCAAACAAACAAAAAACCTAAACACTGTAATTGAAAACAGGGCAAGTAATCTGAACAGATATTTTTCAAAAGAAGACATACAAATGGCCAAAAAATATGTGAAAAAATACTCAACATCACTAATCATCAGGGAAATGCAAATCAAAACCACAATGAGGTATCATCACACCCCAGTGAGGACAGCTATTACCTAAAACACAAAAAATAACAAATGCTGACAAGGATGCAGAGAAAAGAGAACTCTCATACACTGTGGTGGGAATACAGACTAGTACAGCCACTGTGCAGAACAGTATGGAGGTCCCTCAGAAAACTACAAATAGAACTACCACATGATCCAGCAGTCCCACTACTGTGAATTTATCCAAAGGGAAGGAAATGTTAATATCAAAGAGACATCTGCACCCCCATGTTTATTGCAGCACTATTCACAATAGACAAGATGTGGATTCAACCTAGGCATCCAACAACAGATGAATGAATAAATAAACTCTGGTATATGTACACAATAGAATACTATTCAGCCATAAAAAGGATGAACTCCTGTCATTTGCAGCAACATGGATAGAATCGGAGGACATTATGTTAAGTGAAATAAGCCAGAAATAGAAAGTTAAACATTGCATATTCTCACTTACATGTGGAAGCTAAAATAAGTTGATCTCATAGAAATACAAAGTAGAACAGAAGACACTGGAGGATGGGAAGGGTAGAGGGAAGGTAGGGTTAGGGAGAGATTTGTTAAAGGGTATAAAATTACAGTTAGGTAGGAGAAATAAGTATTAGTGTTCTAAACCACTGTAAAATGACTATAGTTAGCAAATATTCCCAACACAAATAAATTATAAATGTTTGAGATGATAGATATGCTAATTAACCTGACCTGATCACTTCACATTATACATATGAAAACATCACTATGGGCCCCGTGAATATGTAAAATTATTGTCAATTAATTTTTTTTTAAAGATAATATGTTTTAAAGCAAAGAGGTAGTTGCCTGCCCATGTCAAAGGCTGCAGAAAGAACTATGATGAACACAAAAGGATGCATCTACAAAGGGAGGAGAGGCATTTTGTGACAGTGAGATATTTTGCAATTAAATGCATGAATGACCTGATTTTTAAATAGAAGTTGATCTTACCCCTCCCATTATAGTGACATCAGCCAAGAATTAAGTCATATTTTCATGAACACAGAGATTGATTTTTAAATTGCTATCTGTATGAGATATGATTAGCATTTCTATGTTAGCTGAGAGGCACAAACTCAGGTGCAATTTCAAGTGGTAAATCCTGTGCCATTATGGTAAGTGTTAGTTCATGTCAGATTAGTGACTACAGTGCCACCCATCCCACCTAATACTGTAGACTATAAACATGGACTGGGCAAATTGTCACTGGTTCCTGGGCAAGACTTTCATTTAAAACACACAGATGCAGCCTGGCATCCATTTCAACATGAGCAGAAAATGCTATGAAGTACTAGATATCAGACCCATAATTAGGCAAATTTTCTCTCAGGGAGTCATCTACTCCCTTACTACAAGTAGATAATATAGGAAATAACACTTAGTCCTCCACTTTACCATACTAGCATTTAACAAGTTTTTTGTTTGAGTAAATTGTCTTTTCAGTGCACTAAATTGTATTGGGAGATTGGAAATAGTGAATACAGCTTCCTCAAAGTTTCTAATTGATAATCAGGTAGCAACTGAGGAATTAAAAGAATATGACTCTATTGAAGAGAACAGAACTGAGTTGTTACAAAGACACCATCCAATTGCCAGGTTTTTTCCAGCATTAGGAAGAAGGGATGATCTATTTGCTTATTCATTTATTCACTTGCTCCAAGTACAGTGCTTAAACGTGGTTTTACAGCTAAATTATCCAGTTTCGCATTCTGGCATCATTAAAAGTTAGGGCAAGGTATTTATCCTATCTGTGCTCAGCTTCCTGAATTGTAAATTAAAACTAAAAGATATATTCCTGAAAGAGCTATAATTAGGATTAAACTGGTTAATATATATAAGAATCTCAGAGCATAATGTTTGGTAAGTGTTAGCTGCTATTTCTCAACAAAGATTTACTCTGCATCAATTACATACATTTCCTGACAAATAAAATTGTGCTTCATGAGTCACAGTGGATCTACTTTGTCATAATAGCCTTATCTTCTTTCACTTAAGCTTCCTAATATTTTAAGTATTTTTTAAAATGTGCATAAATAAGTGAGTTAGCCTATTCTTGTGTGAGTGTTATATCTGATCATAGTTTGGAAGAGGGAGACAAAGACAGAACTTTCTAATCAAATGAAAACTTACCCTAATATTTAATGTTCTTAAACAGTTGTGAAGGTTCATAAGAGGAAAACAATAGTCTCCCTTGTGTTGATCAATAACAGTGCTAACCCTGTAGATAGAAAATAAGGGGGAACCATAAATTATCCTCTCTTAAAACCTCTTTCCCCATATATATCAGATTTTACTCTTGCCCCTTTGGTATCTGTATTCTCACATCGTTAGCGTTGTACATATCTCTCTCACTGGAGTTTCAGTCAGGATTCTTTCTGCTGCAAAAGGCAGAAAATCTAACTAAAGGAAAGATATTTCAATGACTTAGGTAACACGTAAAGCTCAAGGGTTGGGTGTTTTGAGAGCAACGCAGATAACATGACCAGGACACAGGCTCTGTTTTCTTCCCCATGGGCCTGTCATTTCCAGGCTCCACATGATTGCATAAATACCTGCTGCAACCTATAACCTCCCGGATTTGAGTCTCACAAGAAAGACAGTGTGACCCACAATAGCATCAACAAAAGTCCCATTGACTTTTACTGGCTTTTCAGATCACTCATCCATTCTAAGCCAATTTTAGTGATCATGGAAAACAATTTTGGGGGTGCCAAGTCTAAGTCACAGAGTTACCCGTGGATCTAGGAGTAAAATGAATTCCACCCAAAGCACAAAGCTTAGGAGAAGGGCAAGGAAAAATTACATAGAGGATAATTAATGTGTTATTATCAGCAGATAGATGAATGGATAACAAAATCTGGTTTTCTATACCTACCTTATAGTTCTAATCCTGCCAAACCCATTTTCAAAGACTCCAAATGACCTTTTTGTCTCTTGCATAAAGTCCAAAATCCTTATGTGGCATTCAAGATTTTCAGCAGTCAGAATTTATATCTTACCATGCTTCCTTCTGCATTCTAGGCTCCAGTTTGTTACCAAAATGTCTTTGTTCTCTTTTGACTTTTGAATTCCTTGCCTGCCTCCCCTCTCCATTTTGTTGACATCTTTTATATTATTGAAAATCCAGCTCAAATGCCACTTGTGTCACCCCCAGGAAAGGGCTAGGCTGGAAGGGTAGAGGTGGAAATGATGAGAAGTGAACCCGTTTGACAACTATTTGAGAGGTGGTCTCAAGAATCACATCCAGGTTTTTATTTTCAATTACCAGTACATTTGAGATACCATTTACTAAATATCATTATTTAGAATAGTCCTATCTCTAAGGAGAAAGGCAGGTAGTCTGGGCCAAGCTAAAGAAATTTCAGAACAAATGTACTCTACTGGATTCCTCTCCTAGTTTTGAATAAAGATCACATGCAGCAACTTCCTGTTGATTCTATGGCTCCGGGAGTGGAATCTAATCTTTCCCAAACTGATCCTTTCCTGCCACCACGTTGTTTTCCTTAACAATTTCAGGCTGAGAACCAGCTGGGGAAACAGATGCTATCGGTACTAAGATGTTTCAGTTGGAGTCTTGACATTTACTGACAGTCCGCATATTAGAACAGTCTATGGTGCTCCCACCTTCATGATTCCTCCCTGCTCCATAAAATCTGTGCCCAAGCTTTCCAGCACTCTGTCCTTTATCTCCTGACTAGTCTCTCTGCCTAGCAGAAATAGATATATAAAACCGGCATTTCAGCACCCTTCCGAATTTGTAACCAGACGTTCTTTGCACAAAGGACTGATAATCTTTTCCCATTTCACTGTTTCTAGAGATAAACACTTGTGGATTTATGTTGCTACGTCTGTGAAATTTTGATTTGATTTTAAGAAGATAGTATTGTGATTCTGTTCTCTCAAATAGCATCTGCTTCTTTTGAAACTTGTTCTGAATTTATAAGAGCATATGATTGTCAGAGAACTATTAATATTGCCAATGTTGTAAAGTTTACAGATCTCTCTCATATATATCATTATAAGATTATCTCAGAATACTGAGAGGTAGGCATTGTTATATGAGACAATTGAGACTCAGAGGAACCAAGTGAACTCTGATGTTATACTGCTGGAAAATAGTGCCACAGGTCTCAAAGTCATGGTCAAATCTCATGCTTTTATTTTTGTTTTGATACAGCAACTTATTTGATGTAAAGGGTGAAGAGGTTATATTTCCAAATATTCCACTATATTCTATTTGAATGTAAAGTTATTTTCTATCAAGGCCTCCAGAAATATTTATAGAAAGTGCTCTAATGGTTCCAGAGCAGGTTATCCAGAGCATTACAACAAAACTTAATGACTAGAAGGGTTAGTTTTCCTTCAAGAAAACCTCTATTTCACAACAGCAGTCTTGACTCTTTAGGCAACTTATAAACTTGTTTCTTAAGTTACTACAAGAAAACAGAAAAAGAGTACAGGCTATGTACTCCTGGGAACACAATTCAGAATATAAGCTGTGCAGCCAATATGTCAATTTCATTTTCATTTGGCAAAGGCAACAATTTCTATACCAAATGTCATGGACTCCCACCTTAACTCAAGGGCACACAGGACCTGTTAGGATGCCTCAGATTTAGAATGCAGAGCATCGCTCCCGGGAAATCTCATCAACCCTCCTCCAATGAGAATATATTTATATTTGCTATTTATGTTTTCAAAAGTGTGTTGGATGAAAACAAGTAAATTCTTCAAGTCCTTTGGAAATAAAGCAAAATTTTGTACCACATCTATACCTATATGTTATTATTTTGATATTTGTTTTTAAATTGTTAAAATGTTATGAATTTGAGTGATAGAAATGCATAAAGTCTAACCCTGAGATATTTCCAACAGGGCTTATAGAGATGAAGTAATCTGCCTGAGTAAGATGGCTGAGCTAGAAGTTGAATCCAGGCATTCTGAACTCTGGTTTAACAGCTAAGAAGGGTTAGAGTATACAGCCATAATGGGTATATATTAATGGATTAAAAAATGCTTCAGCTCCTCAACTACCAAATAAATTGGCCAACCTGATTGACCTCTTAACTCTTTTTTTTATTTCTTACTTTAAAAGGTTTTATGTATAATCAGGTTGCCTTCCCACTCCTATCCTCAAAATGTCCAAGTTATACTGAGACAAGATGTTTTTAGATCAGTCTAGATTGTTTCAGGAAAGTTCACCCTAGGTAAAACCAAGCATAATATTCTAATGAGAGCTACTGGTCATCTCCTTTGTGATAGTTAGTTTTACTTATCAACATAGCCAGGCTGTAATACCCAATAATCTGATTGAATGCTCATCTAGATGTTGCAATGAATGTATACCGTAGAAATGGTTAACATCTATATCTCTATATGTCTATCTTAATCTATTGGTTCTATTTTTCTGGAGACCTTGACTGATACAGATTTCAGTACTAAGAGTGGTTATAGAGGAACAGGATCTTAAGGATCAATTCTTTGAAATGATTTGGAGTTTCTGTAATTGATTCTCTAATCTGATTATATTTAAAGACACTAATGATTATTTCCAGTGGTAAAGAGGGCACTGATAGTCCACAGTGTGATATAGCAATAGAGATAGGCAAAATATCACTGGATACAATGATACAAAGTATCATTGGATACTCCAAATCAAAAACTTATAAGAAGCAAGGTTCCGGCTTTCTGTTGATTCTCCTTAGGGACCATCTATACCACTCCTTTTTTGCTTTTAGACCTATAACTTGACTGAAGTTCCAGCAGGCCTGAAAGGGTGAGGTACAACACGTGGCTATAAGGACATGCACTACCCTCCAAAAGAGCTTCATGATTTTCTATTTATACAGGCAGGAATCTGGGGAATACATGTAGGAATGGATATTAAGGGTGTGGAATAATAGTAGAAGAAGCATAAAGTTGGATCAGGCCAAATTTATTGATATATTCTCACTGAGCAGATATTCTGGGTTTAATGTTGCAGCTTGGGGGATTAGAAAGGGTTTTAGCTATTTATTTGGTTGGCTGAAACATAGACCAAAAAGTGCCCCACTATAAGTACAGTTGACATGCCAGAACTGGCATGGTATATTGTAAAGAATCCAAAGTCTTCAGGATTGGGGTATTTTTAGGGTAGATTTATCATTTAAGACTTGCTCGCCCACCCAAGAATGGTCCACAGATATATCTTTCATCATGACTGTGAATAATAAATTTGTGAAGGGAGTCCCAATATCCTTGAAGAGCTTTGTGATTGCTTTTTTCTGTAGGTTGGAATTATCATGGGAACTGCTACTACTGAATTAAGAAGCCCAGATACCATGGGAATAACTGGATCCCTTGGGTTGCAGGGGCAAAGTGGTAACATTCAATCTCAAAAGGCAAGTTGGGCACGGATATCATAATGGACAGCAGTGTCAAACGGGCAGTCGTAATAATCTGACTCACAGAGACCTGTGACATTGGCTAGTTGATCATAGTGTTCTTAGAAGTGAAATAGGTAGGAAGCCTACTAAATTATTACTTGATCTGTAAAAGTGGAGAGTTTTAGGTCAAGTAAACAAAAGTCCAACTTGAGTAATAAAAACAGAGTCATGTCCACTCAATCAAACCCCAGACTTCAGCAAGTTTGCAGACCAGAACCCCTTGAATGAAGAGGAGGCTGAGGATCCTTGAGGAAGGACCCCACCACACTGCCAAAAACTTATACTATTAATCTTTCTTCCAGCCTTTCCCAAAGAGACCCATAGCTGTTTACCAGAGTGACTGTTCACTGGGAAAAAGGAAATAAGCAGATATTTCAGATATTACTGGAACCTGGCTATAAATTGGCATTAACTGTAGGAGACCCAAAATGTCACTGTGGTCCACCATTTCGAGTACAGAAATATGGAGATCAGTGTTCAATGAAGTTTTAGCTCAGATCCATCTCACAATGGGTCCAGTGGATTCCTGAACTCATTATATGGTTATTTCCCCAGCTCTGGAATACATAATTTGAACATACCTGGTAACTGGTTGAATCTCCATGTTAGCTCCCTGACCTGTGGGTTGAGGGCTATTATGCAGAAAAGGACAAGTGGAATCCATGAGAACTGCCTCTATCTAGGAAATAATAAACCAAAAGCAATACTGCATTCCTGAAAGGATTGCAGAGATTAGTGACACCATCAAGGACTTGAGTGATGAAGGGGTAGTGATTGTTATCACATCCTCATCAAACTTGCTTATTTGGGCTGTACTGAACACAAATTTTGGAGAATGACAGTGGCTTAACCAGATAGTGACTCTGATTGCAGCTGCTCTGGTAGATGAATTTCATTGCTAGAACGAGGTAATGTATGCATTTGTATCTGGTATGCAGGTATTGATTTGACAAATGGCTTCTCCTGTTTTTTAGTAAAGTATACCAGAAGCAGTTTGCTTTCAGCTAACAAAACCAGCAACACACCTTCACTGTCCTACCTCAGGGACATATCAGCTTTCTAGCCCCGTGTTATAGTTTATTGTGCAGAGATCTTGATTGCCTTTCCCTTCACAAGATATCACATTAATCTACTACATTGATGGCATTATGCTGATTAGATCTAGTGAGCAAGAAGCAACACTATTCTAGACTTATTGGTAAGACATTTGCAAGTCAGAGGGTAAAAAATATGTTTCACAAAAATCTAGGGGCCTTCTACCACAAGGAAATTTCTAGCAGTGCAGTGTTGTGGAGCATGTCAAGATATCCCTTCTAAGATGAGGAATAAGTTTTTGCAGCTGACCTCTCTTACAACCCCAAAAGTGGCACAATGCTTAGTGGACCTTTTTGGATTTTAGAGGCGACGTATTCCTCATTCGAGTGTATTACTGATTGACCCAAAAAGCTGCTAGTTTTGAGTAGGTCACTGAATAAGAGAAGGCTCTGCAACAGGTCCATTCTGGTGCACAAGCTGCTTTACCACTTGGGCCATAAGACCCAGCAGATCCAATGGTGCTTGAAGTGTTAGTCACAGATGGAGACCTGTTTGGAGTCTTTGGCAGACCCCAATAGGTAAATCAGCACTGGCCTTTAGGATTTTGGAGCAAAGCCCTGCTACCTTTTGCAGATAAATACTCTCCTTTTGAGAAGCAGCTTTTGCCTGCTACTGGGCCTTAGTAGAGACAGAATGCTTGATCATGGGCCACCAAGTTAACATGCCATCTGAATTGCCCATCATGAACTAAGTGTTATCTGACCCACCAAGCCATAAGTTTCATGAAGAAATGGCCCAAATGCCCATGGTCTCCACACCTGCTACAATATATTCTTTCTCAATCCATACTTATGGATTTTCCCTAAAATCAATGACTGTGGAGGCAAAACACTCAAGTCTGAATTACAGATGGTCCTGTACAATATGTAGGCATAATCCAAAAATAGACATCTACAGCACTATAGTCCTTTATAGGACATTCCTAAAGGACAATGGTGAAGGGAAATCTCCACAGTGAGCAGAACTTCAAGAAATGTACCTGGTTGTTCATTTACTTGGAAGGAGAAATGGCAGAAGTACAAGTATATATCAATTCATGAGTTGTGGCTAATGTTTTAGCTGGATGGTCAGGAACTTGGAAGAAACCCGATTCAAAAATGGTGACAGGGAGGCTTGGAGAAGAGGCATATGCACACACACACATCCTATTGGTTCTGCTTTTCTGGAGAACCTCTCTGAATGAGCAAAAATGTGAAGATATTTGTGTCCCATGTGAATGCTCACCAAGGAGTAAATTCAGCAGAGGAGTATTTTAATAATCAAGTGTATAGGATGACTCTTTCTGTGGATAATAGCCTCTGTTTCCAGCCACTTCTGCCATTGCCTAGTGGGCTCATGAACAAAGTGGCCATGATGGCAAGGATGGATTCAGCAACATGGACTTCTATTCACCAAAGCTGACCTGACAACAGCCATCACTGAGTGATCAATCTGCCGGCAGCCAAGAACAACACTGAGTCCCAATATGGCACCATTCTCTGGGGTGACCAGCTAGCCATCTAGTGGAAGGTTGATGATATTGGAGTGCTTCCATCGTGGAAGGGGAAGTGCTGTGATCTTACCAGAATAGACACTCTAGATACAGAATTGCCTCCTTGCATGCACTGATTCTGCCAAAACTACCATCTGTGGACTTACAGGATGACTTATCCACCATCATGGCATTTCCCAGCATTGCTTCTGATCCAATAACCCACCCACTTCACAGAAAATAAAGTGTAGCAACAGGCACATGCTTATGGAATTCACTGGTCTTACTATGTTTTCTATCATCCTGAAGCAGCTGCCTTGATAAAATGGTAGGATAGGCTTTTGAAGACTCAATTGCAATGCCAGTTGGGTGACAATACCTTAGAGAACTTGGCCAGTGTATTTCAGGAGGCTGTATATGCTCTAAATCAGCATCCAAGATCTGGTGCTGTTTCTCCCACAGCCAGGATTCATGAATACAGAAATCAAGGAAATGAGTGGAAATGTGAGTAGCACCACTGATCATTACCCCTGGTGACACACTGGCAACATTTTGTTTCCTGTCTCCATGATCTCATACTCTGCTGACCTTAGAGGTCTTAGTTCCAAAGGGAGAAATGTTTCCACCAGGAGACAAAACAATGATTCTACTGAACTGGATGTTAAGATAGCCACTGGCCACTTTGGGTTCCTCATGCTTCTGACTCAACGGGCAAAAAATATACCTGTTTGTATACTGACTGATGTGATTGATCCTGATTACCAAGGGAAAATTGGCCTGCTACTACATAATGGAGAGAAGGAAGAGTATGTCTGAAATATAGGAGCTCCCTTAGGGCATCTCTTAGTATTATCATGCCTTGTGATTAATGTTAATGGAAAACTGCAACATCACAATTCAGGCAGCACTATTAATGACCTAGATCCTTTAGGAATAGAAGTTTGTGTCACTCCACCAGGTAAAGGGCATAGTGGAAGAAGGTAGTTTAAATACCAGCTAAAACGATGTGACCATTTGCATAAATAAAAATTGAAATTGTTACAAGCCTTTCTTCCTTATTTTCTTATTTTGGTGGTTTTTTTTTGAGACAGAGTCTCACTCCTTCACCCAGGCTAGAGTGCAGTGGTGTGATCTTGGCTCACTGCAACCCGTGCCTCCTGGGTTCAAGAAATTCTCATGCCTCAGCCTCCTGAGTAGCCAGAATTACAGAGGAGTGTCACCACACCCAGCTAATTTTTGTATTTTTAGTAGAGAAGGGGTTTTGCCATGTTGGCCAGGCTGGTCTCAAACTCCTGACCTCAAGTGATCTATCTGCCTCAGCCTCCCAAAGTGCTGGGATTACAGCTGTCAGCTAACATGCCCTGCCTATTTTCTTATTTTGTTATAAATTTGTGTGTATGTATGTGTGTAAGTGTAGGTGTGTTTGTGTGTATGTATGGCAAATATCTCTGTTTTCTTTTCTCTCCTCTTATCATAATGACATAAGACATATTAAATAATAGCTACCTTTCCACCATAGCATTTAAGTTACAGGACATCAAAGAGAAGAGTGAACATTATCCAAGGACTTTGCATCCCTTTGGGGAAAGAGTATATTTTTTTGTCATACACTACATAGTTGTATCATGTTAGGTGGATACAATAAAAGTGTGACTTGTTACTGTTTTATTGTTTTTACTTTGGAGATTAAGTGTGTTGTAAGGAGATGTGTATGGCTGCCAATTTGACAAGAGGTGGACTGTGATGGTTAGTCTTATGTGTCAATTTGATTAGGCTATAGTACCCAGTTATTTATTGAAACACTAATCTAGGTGGTACTGTGAAGATATTTTTGTAGACAAGGTTACTCTCTACAATCAGTTGACTTTACATAAAAAAATTACCATCAATAATGTGGGTGGGCCTCACGCAAGCAGTTGCCTTAAAAAAGCAAAAACTGAGGTTTCTCAGAAAATAAGAAATTCTATCTCAAGACTCCTGCTTGAGTTTCCAGCCTACTAGCCTACCCTGCTGATTTTGGACTTGCCAGCCCCCATAATCAAATTCCTTAAAATTTGTCAGTCTGTCTATATACCTATATATATATTCATATAATTGTATTATAGTTATACATTATATATTATATAGTTATATATGAACATCTACACACACACATACACACACACACCCTATTGATTCTGCTTCTTTAGAGAACCCTAATTGAAATACACCTGTAAATTATAGCTCTAAAATTAATTGCCCTTTTTGCTCCTTTTAATTTTATTAAATTTTATTTACAAAAATAATACATGCTTATTTTAATAAGCTCAACAATATAGGCTTATAGAAGTGAAATGTTAATATTCTTCACTTTTCTTTCCTCTAAACCTATTTCTGTTTTTGTATACCTTTCTATACTTTTCTTAATAAAACACATACATACACAAATGCACATTCATGTTCACATGTCTATAATTTATTGTGTTTTTTTTAAAGGTGGCTATATTCTACATAACACTCTATAATTTGCTTTTTAAATTAAGCAATACATTATATAACTGCCTCTAAGCAAATACTTATAGGGCCCATTTTAAAATAGTTGCATACCAGTCACTATATTGACCATAACTTAACCAAGCATTTCCTTATCAATAGCGTTTTGGGTTGTTTTAATAATTTTTGTAGTTTAAATATGACTGCCTTAAACATATTTGTACTTCCGACTTTACCTACTCATCTTTTTGTATATTTTCAAAATTGGGATGTCTAGGTCAATGGGTATTGATAGATTCTTTTCATAAAGGTTGTAGCAATTCTTTATTCTACCAGCAAAGTATGTTGCCCTATATTCTCACCAGCACTTGATATTAGTTTTCAATGTGAAGAATAGAAAGTGAGATCTCATTTATATTTTATTTTACATTTCCTTGCTACCAACATGTTTGACCATATATTCATATGGTTAAGAGGTGGTTGGCCTTTCTTTTTCTATTACTTGCTTCTTCATTTCATTTTCCATATAGCATTACTTTCCTTTATGTTTACTTACTAATAAAAAATAATTTATTTTTATGAGACAAGGCCTCACTTTGTTGTCCAGGCTGGAATGCAGTGGCATGATCACAACACACTACAGCCTCAGTCCCCTGGGTTCAAGCAATCCTCCCACCTTGGCCTCCTGAGTAGCTGGGGCTACAGGTACGTGCCACCATGCTCAACTAATTTTTTTTTTATTTTTATGTTTTAGATATGGGGTCTCACTATGTTGTCCATGCTGATCTCAAACTCCTGGGCTCAAGCAATCTTCCCACCTCAGCCTCCCAAAGTGCTGGGATTACAGGCAAGAGACACTATGCTTGGAATTTTTTGTTTGTTTGTTTGTTTTTAACAATCTCCAAGAAAGTTTCATTTTGCTGCATATGGCCTTTCAATTTACCTAATGTGGCCACAGGCATAAAGGAGTCGAGTCAATGTTTCATAGATTATTGCAGTTTATGGCACTGACACCACCACTTACCCTCAGTGAGAAAAACAAAGGACCAGCAAAAGGTGATGATGTGGTAGACCTTGAAATTTCTGTCAATGGCACATCAACTAAAGAAATTCTAAAGAAAAATCATCTTGTCAACTTCTTAAGACTAGAAATGTATTTAGACTGCAATATAGATCTAATGCCCAGCTTGCAGAATTGCAGAATTTTCCAATTTGGTGTTGCTCTAGGTTAAAAAATGTACCAGCTGAAAAATGTGAATTGGAATCATTTGCCATTGGTTCCTAATATAATGACTGATTTCCCACTCTGGATTCAGCAAGCTGCAGGCAATGGGTTTGAACTGAGTCCAGGTGGAAAGGGGCCAGACATATTAAATTTAAGGCCTCTATTGCACAACTCCCTACAGAAATTGTACAAATAATGTAGCTGAAGTGCTTTCTGCATGCTGTGTAACCCAACTCTTTTGGCAACCTGATTAATTCCTTGCCATTTTCTGTAGTACGCACAGTTAGGAAGTATACTAAAAGGTGACAGAAACCATAATAGAAGCTGTCAAGGATTACATTCAAGATGTTATCCTCTTCATTTTCAGTTTAGAAAAACATTTTTCAAAAAAAAGGCCTCATAAAGCTTGGATATAATAATTACTCCTCGGTGCTATTTTCCTTTTGTTAATACCACTAATATTAGTAATAAATAAGTCCAACCCCAGAGATGATTGTTATTCTAAATTTATCCTGTATTCTACAGAGCTGAATATAAATATATATGCAGACTTACTAAAAACTATCTATCTTAGTTAATACAAAAAAAGCTTTTAATTGGACCTCCTTTACGTTGGACTGCAATGTCAATGCTTATTTCTCTGTTTAAGTGTCTGCACAGCCTTCAGGGGTTAAACGTTCATTCACTCCCACCCTGCTTTTTGTGCCTTTTCTCAAAAGGGGGCCTGTGAAAAAAGGATACTTTTGAGTGTAAATACTAAAAAGCATTGAATCCAAGATTTGCGGTAACTCCAGTTTTAGTCTTCTCAAAGATGGAGATGTTAATATTGTCAAGGTTCCAGTGAGAACATGATGCCAAGAATGACACACTGAATTCTACCCAAGTCATCTAAAACTAAAGCTTGTCAAAAGCAACTAATGTGTTAAGTAGACACGATTTTTTTTTCCAAAATGAAAACATTTTAGAGGTAGTCTTTATACTATTTTTTAACTTGTAAATTCTTTTTAAATTGCACACTAGGAACAAGGGGGTAGTTCAATAACTGGCTAATGAATTCTAATGTGTGACTTTGAAGTCAAATTGGCAAACACAGAGGGAATAGTGACTCGGTGCATTTCCAATCTGGAGTACCTGAGAAACTCAAACAAGGATTGTATTATAAATTCTGGGCGAACTTGGCACAGCATCGGGTCAGAATATTTTATCAGGCAACCTAGAGCCAGAGCTGAATTTTCCTTTTGTTTTCTGGATTTTGATTTCTAAATGTTTCCTTAGAACAGGTACTTGGTTTAAATGGGATTTAAATAAACTCAGCTCCAGGAATTAGTAACCAATTTGCTTTTAAGAGTCATGTTTCGTGTTTCACTTAATAGGTATCACATGTTTTCAGATGGTCTTTTTTCTATATATTGATGTCAGCTTAAGTGGAAAGAAATTCAAATAATCAAGCACCATAATACTTAGAGATTACATCCATAAATCAGGCTTGGCTATAACATCAGTATATGCTTAGGATCTCATCATGTTGCATGCCATAGAATATTTGTGTGTACGTGTGTCATTCATGTCTGAAAATATTTTTGGGAGGCAGCAGTCTAGTTGTTGGCCTGCTAATCTGAGAAAAAACACCTGGCAATTAAATGGAAACAATTGTAGGGTTAATTGATAGGGGAAGACTGATAGGATTCTGGCTGTGCTTGGGATCATGATGTGACCTCTGAGATATCATGGATTGGAAACTGGAAAATATTTTACATCTTGCACTTGAAAAAATATTTGAAGTGGCACCACATGGCAGAGTTAATCAGTGTCAAAATGTATTGCTTCAAGTCTTTGGAAAACATTAAGTAAGAGGTAAGTGGAATAAAAATGTTTTCCTGTTTGTTATGGACTAAACTGTGTTTCCTCAAAATCAATATGTTGAATCCCCAACCCCCAATGTGACTGTATTTGGGGATGTGGCCTTTAAGGAGGTAATCAAGATTAAATGAGGTTAAAAAAAAATGGTAGAACCTTAATCCAATGTGACTGGTGTCCTTATAAGAGAAAGAAACACAAGAGAACTTTCTCTCTCTTTCTCTCTCTCTGCAGGAGCACAAAGGAAAGGCCATGCGAGGACACAGGGAGAAGACAGGCCCCTACCAGTCAGGAAGGGAGCCCTCACCAGAAACTGAGCTGGCCAGCACAATGGTCTTGGACTTGTAGCTCCAGAACTGTGAGGAAATAAATTTCTGTTGTTGAAGCCACCCAGTCTGTGATTTTTTTTATGGCAGTACTAGCAGATTGATATACCTTCCATCTAGTTGCCTGAAAATAGGGTCTAAGGTACCATGCGTAAATAAAACATATCTGTGGTACCTGTGGTGCCAAAGCAGACATTTTGTATTTTTGTGGATTATCTGGGGACAGACACAGCTCTTACAGCTGAATAGAAATTCTCCCGATAGTGTCTGAAGTGGTTGTAAAAGTTGTCAGAGTGAGGGGAGTGGACAGCCGTTATTTTTGTTTGCCTACATTTATTTCTCCTTCCCCTCTAACATCACAATGGCTTTCCTAGAATAAGTGAATCCTCCCTCACTCTTCTCATGCTTAGTCCACATGATTTGGGTATGGCTGACTCCACCCCATGGCTCTAAGTAGGGCAGGTGACTCAGACCTGGAAGGAGGAGTACAGTAGCCCCTGACAGAATGATTACTCAGGAGAGAACGTGTGACCATCACAGCCATTTAACATCCACTTTTTCTGGAACTGCTGGGAAAGAAACATGAAATTTCTGTTGGATTTACTAATGTGAGAGCCTGTTAGTATGGAGCTGCTTGGGACCATTTCTCAAGGAATTATGTCAAAACAGAGGAAGCCCAAGTCAAGAAGAGACTAGTGTATTTCTGAAAGCACTCTTACAGGAGCAACATCCAGTGATTCTTGGGCCTAGACTTGGACTTTTCCGTTACTATCGCTGATACATTAGCCCATTTTTGCATAAGCCTGCTTGAGTTGAATTTTAGGCTCTTACAGAAGGAAGAGACATTTTGGTTATCACTATGGCTGACGCTTAAAAGAGAGATTTAAAATTTCAACTCAAATGCCCTCTCCCTTCTCACAATTTATCCAAACTTCTATTAAGCTTCTATTAAGGCTGAGTTCAAGTTATACATTCTCTGTGGGTAGCCTCCTCCTCTGGACTGTCATGTGAACCGCACAGCAAGAGAAGCAATGTAGAGGCACTGGGTTTCACAACACATGCAGTCAATTACCTGGATGGGGGCTAGGGGTCGCCAGGAGTTTAAGGACTACTTTTTAGAAATTTATTTGTTTGTCATTTACTAATTGTAGTGAGTTGAACAATGTTCCCCCCCAAATCTGTGTCAAACCAGAATCTCAGAATGTTATTTGGAAATAAGATCTTTGCAGATGTAGTTATTTAAAAATCTCAAGACGAAATTATCCCAGATATAAGGTGGGCACAAAGTTCAATGACAGGTATCCTTATAAAAGAGGAAAGGACACAGAGACCCAAGAAGAAGGCCATGTGGAAAGAGGGGCAGAGTTTGCAGTTATGTTGCCACAAGCCAAAGAACACCAGGAGCCACCACAAATTGGGAGAGGTAAGGAAGAATTCTCCCCTAAAGTCTTTGGAGGGAGCATAGTCCTGCTGACGTCTTGATTTCAGACTTCTGGCTCCCAGTGTTATGAGAAAATAATTTCTCGTTTTTAGACACCAAATTTTTTTATTATTTGTTATGGCATCCATATGAAATGAATACACCAGTGAAGCTATAAAGTATGAGAAAGTGGGGAGAAAGCTGAAAACTCTAAGAAATGACTTTGCTGGAGAAGGGGAAGTTCATGTCAAAGTTCATTAGCATTGAGATAAAAAAGATCAGTGCTATTCCCCATACACTGTACATTCTCCCTTGTGCCTTTATCCTAATTAATCAGATGCTGACCAGGCTTTGTATATTATCTGATGGCCATTCTCAGGAAAAGCAAGGATTTGCTGAGCTTTTGCACTTTTCTGAGATGGGGAAGGCACTGAGAAAAAGGGCGCATGACGATTTTACTACAGAAATTCTGCAGTGTGATTTGGCATCATGACAATTTGGCCATCTGCTTTGTGGAGGGAGTCCAGCACCATCAACGAGACAGTGTAATTTCTGTCACTTCTTAGAGAAGCATCCTTGTAACACAACAGTCCTTTGGTGGGTTCATTGTGTGGCAGTGTAAATTTTCATGACTAGGGTCCTCGTCCATCCTGGTTTGCCTCAGACAGCCCCAATTTATGCCTGTTGTCCTGGCTGAATTAATTACAGCCCTCCCTTTTTCACTTTGAAAAGTGTCCCTGTTTGGATGATAAATTATATAGCCACCTTAGCTATGACACAATCTCTCATTAAAAAAAAAAAAAAAAAGCTGTAAAGCTTTGCAAATTGATTTACTTTCATTTTCTTGCCAACCCCACAAGATTACTTACAATGTTTTGGAAATAGTAATTACATTTTTTTTTAAAGAGAGTTTTGCCTGGGAGTTAGAAAAGGGAAGTTCAAAAAGGGAAGTCTATGCTGTCTGTTTCCTAAAGACTGTTTCGCTCCTCCACAGCAGGTGCCCCCACCAGTGCCTCCCTACCCGCTCCCAGCTTTGGTGGCAGAGCAATGCCTCTATCCAGTGAAAGGAATTTGGCTGCTTCAGCAAGGTGACAACTGCACACATCCATATCTGCAAGGCAGGTGTAAGCTGGCATTTTGCCCAAGTCTAGCCAGACAGCTTCATAAATCCTGCCCTTACCACAGCCCGAATTACTTTTCATGACACAAAGCCAAGCTGTGTTATTCACCTAATGCCCCGATTTACAGTTCCCAAGACAAAAGAACATACAGATAGAGTTTCAGGGCTCTGTTTGCCTTCACGTTTATCTAAAGGTCAGTTTCAGGTCACGCTCAAGAAACCTGACAAATGGTGGTGAATAAACCTAAAAATAAATTAAATGCAAGTGGGAAACTTAAGCATTCCTTATTCTTGTGCCAAAAGAAAACTCAACCCAATTGACATTCTTTTAATATCTGAGATAAACAGCTGTTCTCTTATTCATGGCATCGTAGGGAATTATCATGCTCCCTTCAGCTCCTGCGCACATGTACATGTGTGTGCTTCCACATAAGGTACCCACATGTACACACATACACACGTCTCGGCGCAGTTCCCGTTTAGGTATTTGTTCTTGTGTCTTTAAGGACCTGAGTTCATGGAAGACTTGAGGGTCCTCAGAGTGAGAACTGCTCTTATCTGGAACAGTGCTGTGGTTGCCCAGGAGTACCACTCATGTCCTGCCAGGCTCAGGGGCACTAGGACGTCAAGCAGAAATCTCATCACTCTATGAACGAGAAAATCAGACCAACAAATGCCGGTCCTTGGAGAGAGATAATTGCTCATATGCCAGATTCATGAAGGTGAGAGTTGAGCAGTTAACCTGAAGAATGCTTCATGCAAATAGGCTTAGAACTGCGGAACAAGAAAGTGCTGGAGCCCCACCAACTGAAAATACCTCTGCAGAAACCTCAAGACCTCAACAGTCCATTGCCGAGTTGTTGGCCATGACAGGGCTTCTAGAGCAGCACTTAATTTACCCTTGGTAATTCTAAGGAAAATGATAGACAACAACAAAAAACCCACCTTCTGCCCTTCAGAAAACTGCAATAGACTTTGAGATCTACCCCACTATGCTGTGTTTTTCTATATGTAAACCTTCTCTATGATGTAGATTTTCCTTCCTCCCACTCCATCCCCAAACCCCCAGCCTCGCTTTTCTATTCACAAGATTGGGACAGAAATTTCACTAAGAGAAGTAAGACACTGCTGGAGAAGAAACACACTGAGCCCATCACATTTCACAGTGGGTTTGTAAATTCCAGCTGCCTCTGTTAGGGTTACAGAACAAGCCCAGAGTTGTTTCTAAAGACATAGTCAAGTAAAACTCATCACTGTCAAGCTTCTGAATGCAAGGAAGAAGTGTGGCAGATGAATGTGTTTCTGTGACTGGTTTGAAAACCTGCCATATGGTTTGTGGACAGTAGCATTTGGACAACTGAGGTATAAAGGAGTCTTATGGCACCATCAGCAGCCACATTTGCTCACTCTCACCCTCTCAGCTCTCACTTGTCCCACACGTACAGATGGGGCCCTACTGCAAGACTTTTTGGCTTTCCTCCTAACAGCTTCCATTGACTTACAAAGAGTGCAGGCTGGAAGCACTGGGATTTCATTCCCCCAGAGAGCAGCCAATGGCACATGGGAGTTGGTGGATATATACCCCAGTGGTGAGAACTCTGAGATATGTTTTACACTGGCTCTCAACAGTCCCCAGTGGGGTTATGCCCCCATTGCCCACCATGATAACTGGCTCAGTAGGGCACCGTTTAGCGGCTTCTTTACCTTCCCTCTCTCATTTCCTCATCCCACTACTGGTGCTACTTGGATCCCCTCACAAATAAAGCACTTGTATTAAAATCCTTATCTGGAGTCAGATCCTGGGGGATCCCAGCCTAAGAAAGCACACTATGAGGATATCTGTGAAAAGGCAGGTGGAACTACATAGATTATGTGACTTGTGTCTGAAGAGTGAGCCCCATAGGGCATTTGGAAATGGCACAGAGGATGTGCCCTGGAGTATCCACATGTATTGATGGAGGTTATAGAATGTGAACTTCCAGATGCAAATGTACTAGTAAAAAGTGCATTATTTGTGTGCATGTGCAAGCCAGGGAGTGGGGATTGTGGGGAGAGACTAGGAGGTAAGGATGTCTCATCTTCCATTATTATTAGAATTATGACTGAGAAGACAAAGCATCACTTTGAGATTTGTCTGTGTGTTTGAAAAGGCGGATGAATGTTATTAATGTATTCCAGGAAGTACTGAACACCAACTTGAAGCTTTTATCCGCTTTTCTTTGCTCTAATTTCTAAAGCAAAAATGTCTTTCCTCCAAATACTCTATTAAAAGAACGTATGAAATTAATGAAACACATCATTACTTTTACAATGGCCAAATTGTAGATTTGTCACAGTACAGAGATGGAAACTCATTAAGCTATTGTGTTTCTGCTTCACATTTTATAGTGCATTAGAAGAAAAAGAATTTTCCAAACCTACCAAACCTTCTTCTTTTCTATTGTCTTTCCAAAACTTCTTTTATAGTTTGAGCTGCAAATCATCTGACTTATCTCTCTATGCCTATAGTATCAGTAGAACAGAAATTAAGAATAGCTGTGGCTGAAAATGAGAATCTCAATTTGGGGTTGTAAATTTCATGCTTTATTTGAGAACTAGGATAGAGTTGACAAGTCTTTCCATCCTTTGAAAGAAGATGAGTAGAGCAGCATTCTTCTTTTATCATCCTGTCAAACCCCTTCCCTCATATCTTTCAGGGAAACTGTGAATTATTTATCCCACTGGGTTTGGGCATTTTAGCAAACATCAGCACTGTTGCAGTGTGAAGCCAAGCTGATCGTTCAGTTACCCTCCACATTATATTGAACAATGCTACATCCTTTGGCTAGATGCTATGTATACAGGAAAGAATGATATGAGAAATGGAGCGTGCATCAAAGTAGAATCCATCAGTTCTCCTTCTAGACTCTACTCCTGCACTTAATTAACTACAATTACATTCTTTGTAAGAATAAGAAAATCCTCTCATGCTTATCCAAATGAACACTTCTTAGTTTCTTTTTTTTTTTTCAGAGTGAGTTTGCATTCTAAAAATTACTGCACTGGGACAATTTGAAAAGAATTATTTTTAAACATTCACAAACTTTTTTTCACCTTGAAAAAAATAAAGCATACAAAATTTCTCATGAGGCACTTTACAGAAAAAGCATCTTTCTGACCTTGATCATGAAGTTATGTGCTTCTTGTCGTATTCTGGAAAGTTGTCTAGGAAATGACCTATTGAGGGAGAAATACATTTCCTTTGACTCTTTTCCACATTCTCTTGGGTGACTTTCAGTTACTCTTTGTCTCAGTCAGGGTTCTCTAGAGAAACAGAACCTATTATATACATATATTAATGGAGAGAGATTGATTTATATTTATGTCCCCTCAATTATATGTATATATTGGAGATATCATATACATATTTATATATATACAAAGAGAGAAAGAAAAAGAGAGATTTATTTTAAGGAATTGGCTCAGGTGATTCTGGGAGCTGGCAGGTCTGAAAAATATAGGGCTGGCTGGCAGGCTAAAGACTCAGGCAGTATTTCTGTGTTATGGTCTTGAGGCAAAATTCCTTTTTCTCTGGGAAGCCTCAGTTTTTGCTTTTATGGCCTTCAACTAATCCGATGAGTCTCACCCACATTATGAAGGATACACTGCTTTACTTAAAGTCAACTGATTGTAAATTTTATTTATTTATTTATTTATACATTTTTGTTTTTTTGGTGACAATGTTTTGGTTTTTCATCCAAGTGGAATGCAGTGGTGTGATGGTCATTACTCACAGCAGCCTTGACCTCCTGGGCTCAAGCAATCCTGCTACTTCAGCCTCCCAAGTAGCTGGGATTATAGGTATATGACACCATGCCTGGCTAATTTTTATTTTTATTTTTGTTGAGACAGTGGTTCACCATGTTCCCTGGGCTGGCCTTGAACTCTTTGGTTCAAGTGACCTTCCTGCCTCGGCCTCTCAAAATGCTGGGATTACAGGTATGAGCCCACTGTGCTCAGCTGATTGTGAGTGTTAATCATATCCACAGATACTTTCATAGAAACATTTAGACCAGTGTTTGGTTAAGCAATTAGACATCACAGCCTAGCCAAGCTGACATAAAACTTACCATCACACCTCTCAAAAGGATACCATTGCCTTCATGCCTCATATTGCATTAGAAAAAACATATTTTGAATGAGAAAAACTTGGATTCAAAGTCCAGGTCTGCAGCCTGCTGGATACCTTTGGACAAGTGTAAAACTTTTTGAGCCTCAGTTTTCTTATTTATAACATTATGTAATCAATTAATATTCTTTCTATTACCAGACACAGAAAACTCAATCCAGTCAAGCTCAAGAAAACAAAAAGGGGATATATTGGCTCAAGTGCCTAAAATCAGTGTTGGACTGAATTCAGGGTTCAGTTTGATTCAGAATCCAAAAGACGTCATGAATATTCAGTTACGGTCTCATTTATCTTTCCCATATATCAGCTCCCCTTGCTCTATGTTGGTTCCATTCTCATACAGGCTCTCTCTCTGTGGTGGCAAGTCACTTCTAGCAGCTTCAGTCTATGACCTTTGAGGTTAAAGACCACTTTTCAGCTTTCCAAAGACAGGCCATTACTAACCACTTTCTGTGTCCCAGGGCATAAAGTGTTACAGCATAGCTGAGGTTGACACAAACTATTTCCTGGAGCTGAAGATAGAGCCTGTCATAGTCTGTTTTGTGTTGCTATAACAAAATATGGAGATTGGATAATTTATAAGAAACAGAAATTTATTTCTCACAGTTCTGGAGGCTGGGAAGTCTGAGATCAAGCTGCTGGCAGATTCAATTGTCTGATGAGGACTGCTGCCTGCTCCCAAGATGGTGCCTTACTACTATTTCCTCCAGAGGGGAGGAATGCTGTGTCCTCACGTGGCAGAAGGCAGAAGGGCATGCTAGCCAAATGCTGTGTGAAGCTGCTTTTGTAAGGGACTTAATCCCATTCACAGAGGAGGAACTCTCATGGCCTGATCACCTCTTAAATGCCCCACTTCTTAATACTATCACATTAGCAACACCTGAATTTTGTAGAGGGCACACATTCAAACCACAGCAAGCCCCATTCAAACAGATGGACAGAGAGCGGAGCCTGCTTATCCAAGAAAAGGAAACAGATACTAGGGAGGCAAAGACAAATGTCCACTGCATGATAATGCTAGTACTCAACTCACAGAGTGGTTATCAGGACCTAATGTGTGTTTGTAAAGCCCATAGAGAATTGCAGAATTCTATGAATGGTGGGTATTGTATTTGATATGTTTCTATTGGTACAAACCTGGGAGAACTCTAAACTGTACAGACTTTGTAGCATGTAAAAACACTGCTTCCGTCTTAGCTTTAACTCTCCCAGGTCTTTCCCTTTCTTACTCACTGTATGTTTTTCTGAAAGAACTGGCCTTAGAATAGTTCACTGAAGTTCGGTCTCTTGCCAGTCAAATGTGCTCTGATTTATGTAGCTAAGTACCTGGCTAAATAGTCTCAGGCATTGGAGGACACTGTGTCAGATCAGGAATACAAATATATATTTTAGAAAAAAAATTTCAGGTGAATTTTTAAAAATGATGAGCTATTAGAAGATTTATCTTAGATAGTTTTATCCAAAGATGGCCAACATCATCTTGATATATCATTTTTGTGTAATCAAGCTGTCCTAAAGAAAATGAATAGAAGTGATTCAAAGTGAAATTTTGGCAAATTGAAATGATAGTAGGATAAATTTTAATTAAAATTGAAATGATGGGAGTTACAAGAAGGGAAAAAAAAAAAACAACCATAATGGAAATTCTGAAAGATTCTATAATCAGCTTATCTTGCATGACAGAATTAAAAGCAATTAATGAAACAGATTGGCATCTGGGGTAAAGGTAAACACAACACCCACTACTCTAAGCTGCTTATTGCATTGTTTTAGTTCTATGCCCAAACTTTCTTCTTTCTTCTTCTTTCTAACTTCTTTTTCATCATTTTTATACTCTATTTTCAATGAAACTTTTGGGCTTGTCTATGACATCTGTGCTTGTAACTTAATTCAGTCTGCCTAGGGAGAAAACAAAGTCATGAGCGTGTGCGTGCATACACACACAGTGGTGATAGTGGTGAGGTGATATCGGAGATGTTGGAATTAGAGATTCTGAAAATAGAAGTTATTCTATTGGCAAAATCATTTTAAGCACATTGGAATTGTAAGAGATTGTTGGGAAAGAATATCCCTAAAAATCCACTGTGGCAATCCAAGTACCAAACAAAATCTTGGATCCTAGCTTTGATGGAGACTGAGAACATTGTTATTATTAATGTAAAACAGAGTGTTCAATTCTTGCAACTGCATCTTAAAGGAAAGAATGAGAAAATCACTATCAGGAGAGAGGAAAGAAGATGAGGTAGCAAAAGACAGTTAACTCCTAAGAAGGGATTTATGATAGCCACATAAAATTTATGCCCAAGTATTTCTGAATAGTTTTTCAAGTCATTCTATTTTATGTTTTTAATCCCAATTTTTTTGAAAGTTGAGGATATTTGCATAGTCAAATGTTTTTCTCTGCTATGCCAACTGCCTGGTTAGACAGTTGAGGATTACTTCTCGTTCTTTGGCTGCTGGCATTAGCCTTCAGTGGGGAGGGGAGGCAAATGTACTGAAATACTGACTTGGAAAAACACTAGAAATTTTTGAACAAATATTTAGTGGTAAGTCACATTTCAGCCCTCTCAACTCTGGCAGAGTTCCATATACATGGAACTAAATGAAAACGGAATACAAATCAAATGAGGGAGAAAAGAAGAAAAACTATTCAAGCCAAAGACTATGTAGGTATTATAAGAGTGGTATTTACTTTCTCATCTACATCTCGAATCATAAACAATGATTCATTCAAATGATGATCACTCCTTAAAATGTTAGTCTTCTAGCAAGCACTCCCAATTCTTTATATTTTTCTAAACATCACAGCAAGATTTTTGTCCATCAGTACTGTTACAGATCATCATTATGAGCATAAGCCAACTTGGCTTCAGCCCCTTTAATTGGAGCTAAGCAGAGAGGTTAATATACTGACAATAATTGAATTTTACCCATGAACAGCACTGCCATCTAGACAGAAAGACAGAAAATGATATTTAATATCAACAATAATATTTATGGAGTGCTTGCTAAAGGCTGTTTTCCAGAGATTATTCCAATCAATATGTATATATCAACCCTCTCAAGTAAGTGTAATTACCCCCAGTTTTTCAGGTGAGGAACCTGAGCCTCCAAGAGATGAAAGTAACCTGGCTACTAACAGAATTTCATCCCAAGACTTCTGGCTCCAAAGCCATATTTTTAACGACTCGTGCTATAATCAGGGGTGAACCTTGGTTAATACTGGATTTTTAAACAAATTGACATTCTTATGCCCTGTTTTGGAGATGAGACATGTCGGTAGTCACTTTAAAGTCATCACACTCTTCTTAAGCTGTGGAGTGAGGAATAGAAGTGCCTTTTCCAATTGACCTGAATGCATTGTTAGCCTACTTACTGAATGTTTTCATTGCAGCTCCCCCCATTTATGCTTTATTGACAATTTCCCATTTCTAGAATGGAATCTTGGTCAGATTTCTTAACTTTCCAGCCAATTTTGGTTCAAGACATTCTCAGGTGTTTTTGTAAAACTTGATTTTGTTCATTTTATAAAATCAGTCTCAATCTCAATTCTGAGCTAATCTTCTTTTCCTAACCTTTCCCCACTTGCCTCATTTATGCTCACCCCCCTACTCCACCAGAACCAGCCTTGGTTTCATTTTAGTGGCTTGAATTGGCTCACTGGTATCTCGCCAACTTAGATTGTAGTATCACTAGCAACCTGGCCCTCAACTTTGGGCCAATTAAATGATGCAGAAAAATCCAATTTGCCATCTTGTAACATGTATATACAGGTTTCATTTTGTACTTCAGTACTTGAGGGTTTAGAGGATTTCCCAAGGAATTGTTCTCTAGGCCTGGTCACGTCAGTCAGGACATACCTACTAGATATTTGCCTAATAAGATACATACTTTAGGGGCCTGTTCACTCTTTGAAAAATGACTTTAGGAAGGTAGATGAGGCACAAGGCTCGATTTACTGTGTTTTAGTTTATTTTAAAATAATCAACAATCTAATAAGAGTGACACTAAATGGAAAGGTGGAAGGGAAATATTCCTTTATGTTATTCTTCTTTATTCATGAAGGCCTTAAAGCATGTCTTTAAATCAAATGGACTTTAGCCCTATTCACTAGCATTATTTTTCAGAGGATATACAAATAGATACTTTAGGCGCGATTAAATGTGCACCTATAGCTGGTTCTTGTTTTTCATTATGCTCAACTCCAACTTAAGTTACTATGGCCCAAGAAAACACGCCAAAGACTACAGGCCTACACTCTCAATGGCTTCCTCATTAGATTTTCTATATTGTCAACCTAAAACTACTTACCTTGAAGTTTGTGAGACTTCCAGGGAAGACCATACTTTCTAAATATGATCTTCCACTAATCAAATCCACTGTTTTAAACTGCCTTGTTTCACTAGGGGCCATGGATGTGTTTTCCTCTATGGTCTGTCTATTCAAACTCTTGCTTTCCATTAGGATACAGGTCAAATGTCACCACCGCTGCTAGTAAGTAGAACCCACCTCTCTGACAAGGTTAGTGAAGTTCCAGTGGAAGCGAAGTACAAAATATTTATTGAAAAAGTGTGTGATTCATAGGAGTCACTACAATCCTTTAAGAAGAAAGATGAACATGTGTATATCTGCATGGCATTTTTGTCTTATTGTTGATGATTTAAAAAAAAAAAAAACATTGCCCTATAAATAAAAATATGATGGGGTACAAAACAACTAATCAGAATTTGTAAAGACTTGTAGAAAAGAGACAAGAAAATAACAGACTGCTTCAAAGACAAGAAAGGGGATTAAAAGGAATAAGAAAAAGTCAAATTAAAAAATTGCAAAGAAAGAAAACTTAATTTTTATTCAAATTGGAGTAAAGTTTTACATAAACTATAAAAGAAGATAAGAGCATTAAATAGATTATTGATTTTAGTAGGAAAAAAATGAGGAAAACAGGGAAAGGAGGCTAATCAAATCCTGTTAAAAATAGTTAGAATGTTTGAAAATTTAAAAATTTATAAATTTGTGACTGCAAAGTAAACAAGCAGTCAGTAAAAATAGTACCAAGTAAATGTTTTTAATTCAGAAAAAATCAGATATATGTACAATATACCTGTTATATCAAATATAGACTTGGAACAAAAATGGCATTGTTATTAAAAACTAAAGAAGAAGACAACTCAAACTGTTGTGGATGCTTGCGCAGGAGTTCAAAGAAGTCTATTTATGTCTGCCATTGTATAAGATCCTTCCTTGTCTTCGGGAATCCAGAACTGGTTTTGTTTAATGAGTATAATTTAAATTCCAAGAATAATAATCATATAATACATTTGAAGAAAATACAGCTGTAACCTAAGAACACAAAGAGATTATTGTCAAATGATGGACAGCAGTAAGACAGAATCTCCAGAACTTCAACTGGAAATGTACCAGGTGTGTTAACCTTTGAAGAAAAAACAAACAAACAAACAAAAAAGGGTTTATTTTTATCAGTTGACTATCTTAACCACCAGGGAGAATTTTTTAAATATCTTTTTATCTCACTCTCGTTTTTGTTGCTGTTGTTATTAGAAAAGCATGATATGACTAATAGAAAGCCTAGAAATACAGTCAAATACGGTTTTCTCTTAAACGTATTAAAATAATTATAAAAGTTCTGTCTTCTGCCCCATTTTCTAAGTAATACATTGTAATTGGTATGTCCTTAAATATTCAATAAAATTCAATTGAATAAGCTATCTCCCACTATTTTTGGGAAATCGGATTGTTTTTACTCTTACTAAACAATAACAACAACCACACAGCAAAACAACAAAACGCTCAGATTTTTGTACTCGTCTTTGATTATTTCTGAAAGCCAAATTACTCAAAGGATAAGAAAATCTAAATGTCTTTCAGATTTTTACTTTAGTTTACATACATATTCATAAAAATCTCAATTTGGTGTTTGATTTAGAAAGGTTTACTATTTTCTGAGACTTTTCAGAGTAATCTGAAAATAACTGAACTATGTGAGGAACCCGGATGCCTGACTACACGTGGCATTCCCTCCTCTCTCTTTCTCTTCACTCTAGTAGACAGGTTTATTAGGATCTTTTGGAGGGTGTGTCGATTAGCAAGTATTCCTTTTCAGAAAAGGGAAGGCTTAATTTTACCTGGATGCACAAGATACAGCACTGTCTATATATCAACATTTTTCCTTGTGGATAGTAGTAGCCCCGGATTTCAGAGTTAATATAGATTTTGATCCCCCTGGCTTTTAAAATATTCTATTGATCATTAAAATGGAAGTCTTGAAAGATGTATTCAAATTCATTAATTACCTGTAATTTCCTCTGAAATTAGGTATACGAAAACACAGGAAGTTCAATGGTGTAAGTTAAAAAATTGTGTCTTTAAAAGATGTGTCTAAAAACATCATTATATAACCAGATTATGGGCTATGTGTAATTTAAAAATACCCAGAATTAATTTGTCATGAACATAACAAATTAGAAAAGCCATATATCATTTCTATGTTCCTGCAGAATGTGTTTTGGACCTTCGCTTGTCCTAAAATATAAATTCAGAGATAACTTTATATTCAGTGAAATTTCCACTTAACTCCAATCCTTTGACACACCAGGTTTTGGCAAAAAGGCAAGACATTCTAAAATGAGACCGGTTAGGCTCAAAAACCACAAGGCCTACACTACAAAATTCTCTCCTCAGAACTACCAAAATGCTAATAATCGTGTCTCCCTAAGATTGGTAATTGTTAGTTGGTTGATTGGTAATGAATTCAGGAGTCATTAGAGTAACAGGAAAGTCAAAGCAATTATTCAGGTATTTTAAACTAAAATAAAGAAACATTTTGCTATGAAGGGATAAAGGATGAAAAGAAACTCCATGCAACCCATTATATAATTGCTCATATCTGCACTTCAGGAAGCTCCTGCCTTTGTGTCTCTTGTCTCATACTGAGGCTTCTTTCAGCCAGTTTGATTTCCTGCTCTGCTCTCTGCCTCTCCTACCTATTTATCTTCTTTCCCATGTGAAATGCCTACTTACACGTTCCTCCAGACTCCCCTCTTGTCTCTTATTCTTTGGAAAGCTGTACATTTTCCTGCTGCAAGTCTTTGTGTTTATTTTCTTTTTCTTATTCTTATGTGAATCTCAAGATGTTGCAAAAATTCCCTATGTTTTTCTGTAGAGTGTAGTAAATCATCAAATGGAGAATGTTTGACCTTTCTAGGTGAAAGACTACTTCCATCTTGAAGAAAAAAAAAGTCTCCTATGAATTTTCTGTCTTGTATTTCTAACTGCACAAGCAACTATCTAATTTCCTAGACTAGCTAAAATTAAGATGTGAATTAACAAAGATATTGACATAGCAAGTTATAAAAAGCAAGATCTCTGCTAAAATTAAGAGAACATTATAACCTGACCTGCTTATATTAGAAGAACTTTAGTTTCGCTGGATGTAGTATCATGTAGCTCTGAGAGCATATTTTCATAGAACATTTTGCATTTTTTATGTCCACTATGGGAGAGCTCTTTCAAGAAAGCTGGCTCATAAGGTTACTTCAATGCTTTTGAAATTCAAGATGCAGAGCGAGCTTTGCCAAAGAGAGTACTGTCTAGTTCAATGATCAAACACTGTGTATTTGGAAAGCAGAGCTGAATGTCTGCTAATTGTTTGCCTACATTCATGACAACCAGGTATAGCATTATCAGAACCTTTTTTGATATGATTTATTGCTTTCATTTCTTCTTTTTGAATAATTAATTCTCTACATATTTACCTGTAAGGTTTATTCCACCAAAAACCATGTTGATAAAAATCATCTCTCCTGCAGGAGCTGGATCAAAAAAAAAATCTTCATAAGCACATGTTCTAAAATTTACATCATTTGTGAATTTCAGGACAAATTCCTTCGGTGACAATCTGATCTCCTATGGATAGTACATTAAGCCAATCATATAAATTGATTTATTGGTTTTATGCCTGTCTGGCAATCCTTTTTTGCAAGTTTGCTCTTATTAATTCCCAGTTTCACTCTCTTTTTCCCCTCAGTTGCTAAATAGGCATACAATTATTGTCATATTTAAGAAATAAATACTAAGACTATGGGTCACAAATAGGCAGTCTGTTGACTGAATCCAGCATGTAGACATGTTTTATTTGGCTTGTAGCACATTAAAAAAATTTTTAAAAATCACCAAAAAAAAATCGAAATCTCCTAGCTTTGTCTTGAAAAATTCAAAGATCTGCCAATCCTCAGCCCACTTCCATGTATGCTGCATGGTAGCTGCCTGCATTAGATGAAGCCAGGATTCTCCAGTTGAATCTTGCCAGCCCTCACCTCATCCTTCCCACTCATTAATTGCCCATCTGTCCCCTGTAGGTTTGCATAGGCTAGTCCTGATTTTGAATACTTGGACAGGCTTGGATAGAAGTCCCAAAAGTAAATCATAATTTTTAAAGTAGTCCAGGCTTTTCCAATTAGCATAAGTATGATAGTGCTGACATGAATCTTCATTTATGTCGGTAATTACAGTCAATTCCTACAATTGTCTGACCAAAAAAGGGGGGAAAATGCATTTCTATTAGTTATTTGCATTATAAATATTCATAAGCATTTAGCATTCAGAGCCATCTTTTATACATTTCTTATGTAGAATTAGAAATTAATTTTATAGGATGGGATACCTAAAGTTTTATAGCTTTTGCAGATCTTTAAAGAAAAATGTATAAGGCTGAAAAGAGAAATGCAATGATCAATTGGGCCAATTAAGCCTATGGGCCTATGGGGCGAAAAAGTCCCTGTTCCCTATTAAACTGAATCTCAAGTGTATTTTATGTGGAATGCTTTTAAAAATACATTTGTTTCTTTGGATAATAAGTTCCTAGGGAGATTACTGTACATTCATTCAGCAAACTTTCTCCTAGCATACCTAGATGCTATCCACGTTGAGAGTTCCTAGGCAATCCCATGTTCTTATTCAGTATATTGCTTATCTTTGTATTTTCATCAGTTTAGAAGTCCTGGAAGATATCCATCAGCAAACAGGAAATATGTATCTAGGTAAATATATCAGGACTCAGCATATAATTTTAAAAACAATAAATGCACACAAAATTGATCACTTTTTAACTAAAAATTTGTATGTACAAGAATAGTTATCACAGACTTATAAAAATTTTTAAATTAGAAACAATCTAACTGGCCTTATTAATAAGTGCTTGGCTAAATAAATCATAACATATTCCTAGGATGAAGTACTTTTAATATTACTACTGCTATGTAACAATATTACTTAGTAGCTTAAAACAACACACATTTATTATTTCACAGTTTTGTGAGTCAAGAGTGCAGGCAGAGTTTAGCTGGGTCTCTTGCTTAGAATATCACAAGGCTGCAACCAAGATGCTGACAGGGGCTGCAGTGTCATCTGCGGCTTGACTGGGGATGGATCTGCTCCAGGCTCACTCAGGCTGTTGGCAGAATTGCAGCTATAGGACTAAGAGCTTCAGTTTCTTGGTGTCTGTCAGCTGGAATTCTATCCTCAGCCACTAGTGGTCACCTGCAGTTCCTTGCTATGTAGGGATTCTCAACATGACCATCTGCTTCCTCAAAGCCAGCAAGGGAAAGAGAGAGACTCCTGAAAGATGGGTACTCTCATTTGATGTAATATAATGTCATTCATATACAAGTGATCTTGCACGTCCTATCAAATTGACATATTCTATTTGTTAGAAGCAAGTCACAGGTCCCACTCAAACTCAAAAAGCACACCAGAATGCAAACACCAGGAGGTGGGGATAATGTGGGCTACGCTTAAAGTCTGTCTACCATACTCTGCAACATCAAAATTACGCTTTTGAGAAAAAAGGGCTTGGATATAAAAAAAAATTCTAAAAATATGGCATTGGGTTCAAAGATATAATTGCAGTATTAGCTTTTATACTAAATATATGTACAAGTTTTATTAACATATATTCAAACCTAAAAAGAAGAAAATACATATAGATACATACACACACAGAGCAAAAGTTCTAAATAATAGATATTGTTTGTTAGCAGTTTATGGGGACTCTACTTTGTATGTTTCAATGTATTCCAGCATTTCCACAGTCAACATATATTTCCCTTATAGTTAGAAATAAACCAGCTTTTAAAAGTTTCATACTTTTGAGCATGCATAACATTTATTTAATTATAAATTTTCCTTATTTTCATTATCAAAATAAACCAAGGATTTTGTTTGTTTTTAGTTTTTCTTCTTTTAGTTTATGATGAAATCCAAGCACTTGTTTTCAGTAGACTGCTTGGTTGGAACACAGTTTTTCATGAGCTGGAGCTTATTCATCATTAGCTCTGAAAGCCCTTACAGGATTCATTTTTGTTGTTTTTTTAAGAGTTAAATAATTTGTTTTAAAAAAAGAAATAATCTTTCTTTAATACATGATTATCTGTGGCTGCTGTTATCTCTTATTCCTATGTTGGCTCTGAAACGGGAAATGTTCCCTTGTCCCCTTCACAGGGCATCCAATGGGGGTGTGGCTCACTTCTTCAGTGCCCAGCTGCTCAAACCTCTAGGAGAGCATACAGATGGGCAGGCTGTGGGGCTCCAACCCTACAGCAGTGTCTAGGGGTGAATCTTTATAGCTCTTGAAGCCCCAGTGGGCATGTGTTACAGGGTGCTCTTTCAGTTTGCCTATAGGTGGCTTGTGTTAACAAGCTCAATTAGACCCTCTACCTTGTTGCAAGGACAGAGAGCTTTCTGTATCCTGGGTTCTTGCCTTGGTGTACTGGAAGAATCAGATCACACATGGGCTTTAAGAATGAGTGCAAAGTTTTATTGAGTGGAAGTAGCTATCTGCCAACTGGGGAGCCAGAAGGGAGATGGTTTTCCCCTGGAGTTGGGCTGCTTGGTGGCCCCAGCTCTTCTTTGACTGCCCCCACCAAACTTGGCCTCATCCCACCGGTTGATGGCCTGCCGGCATGCCAGTGCCTGTCGGCATGCTCTTCTGCTGGGGTGCTCCTCTCGAGGACCAGCCACTTGTGTCTTTTTCTGCCGCTGTGTTCTCACGATGTTCAGCCACTTGTGTGTCTGTCCACTAGGGTCTTGGGTTTTTATAGGCACAGGATGGGGGCATGGAAGGCCAGCATGGTCTTGGGAAAACATTTGGGCAGGAAATGCCTGTCCTCACCTAGGTCCATGGGGGTGGAACCCTAGCCAGGGACCACAATCTCCTCACCTCAGCACTTCCCTTACCCCTTCTCATATTATTTAAAGGGACCACGCTCTTCCCTCCCCAGCACTTTCGTATCAGCTCCATCCTTATGCCACCTGACAAAAACAGGATCATAAGTTCCTCAGGTCCCTTCATGCAGGACATATATTCTCTTTGGAGAAGATGGAGTCAGGCAGACCAGGACCCAAAGCCACCCTAAGCTCCCCCCAGAAAATATCAGTACTTTTTTGATGAGCTAATAACCTCAACACAAGCAGAAAACACCTAATTAAGTATACTCTGCTGGGGAAAAGAGGCATTTCAACACCCATCTTATCTACCAAAGGATCCTGTTACTTGGAATTAGCAAGCTAGAAGGCCTGAACCATAAATAGAGATAGGAAATCACCATTTAAACGTTATTTAATATTATTTAGTGAAAACCTTCAATGTTCTCATTGACGCTTTTTTTTTTTTTCCAGTTCCTCAAGATGTGAAGACAAAATGGCATGCTTTCTTACTAGGAAATACTCAAAAATCTTGCAAAGCAAAATTGAATTTTATCCCCAACTTTCAAGTTAAATCTTGTGGTGTGCATATCACAAAGTAATTGTTTGATAAAACACACCATTAGAGTAGCCTTTCTGCCTAGATGTTTGGAAAGTATACTTTGCTTCTCAAATCAAGATTTTTTTACAGGAGACATATTAGGAAAATAAAAAGAAAAACTAAAGAGGAATCCTTCCAACTAAAATGAATTTTTAGAATCGACTAAAGTAACTTTTTTTGGCTTTTGTTTTGTTTAGTTTTTCAGGTGTCAGGTCAAGAACTATTATTTTTCCCCATGAAAGCCTCATTACGGTGTCTGACCACAGTTCTTAGAAGATAGATTTGGTACTGCTGGGGAACTGACGCTTGTGTGTCAGCATTTCCTGCCAAGTCTGGTTGTTCTTGGCAAGAAAAAAAATTACTTGGATATAAACTCAGATTGAAGCTGCTGTCCAAAGTCCATGGCCTACATTTTAAACAGAAATTGTAGAGAAACTAAAGCAGCTCACCAATGGATCCTGAATCTTGGCCTCCTCTTTTTAAACTGCAATCTCTTAGAGGAATTACCCTATTCTATTTTTCCTGTGTTTACAGAGCTCCAATTTTCTCAACTTTATAACAGCCACTATACATGATACTAAACTTCAAATTGTTCCCAAATGTATGTTGAAAGGCAATTATCTGTTTGGCTTCAACTAATACATCTGTATAATATTCATCCTATCATATCTGACTTTTATATTCAGGTCATTATCCTTTTGGTTTAGTTAACTATGGTTCCAGTTTTATGAATTTGGGAGTTGTATTAGTCCGTTCTCACACTGCTAATAAAGACATACCTGAAACTGGGTAACTTATAAAAGAAAGAGGTTTAATTGACTCACAGTTCCACATGGCTGGAGAGGCCTCAGGAAAGTTACAATCATGGCAGAAGGGGAAGCAAACATGTCCTTCTTCATAAGGTGACAGGAAGGAGAAGTGGCAAGCAAAAGGGAGAAAAGTCCCTTATAAAACCATCAGATCTCATGAGAACTCACTCAGTATCAGGAGAACAGCATGAAGGTAACGCTCCCATGATTCAATTATCTCCCACCAGGTTCCTCCCACAACATGTGGGGAACTGAAATTCAAGATGAGATTTGGGTAGGGACACAGCCAAACCATATCAGGGTCTACAGTAATATTTCATTACTACATTTTAAAATAAGGGTGACTTTTTCTAGTTTGCTAGCATGTGCTAGTTCCTGGCCCATGGTAGATGTGTGATAAATATTTGTTAAATTAATTATGAAAAATGAATTAATTCAATTGCCATTTTCATAGATCAGTATTTCATATGATTCAACCTAATACTCCATAGTGATATTATAAAAAGTAAATAATGTATCTTTTGGAAATGGTGTAGACAACAGAAAATGCAATTAACATTGGCTTGAAGAGTTAGGGATTTCTTTCTCACACATAAGAAGAAGCCTAGAATTTGGCAGCCCAAGACTGTAGCATGTACTCATGTGTGATTTTCACATTTATGGTTGCAAGGTTGCTGTTCCTCCTGAAAGTCTATTATCAACATTTTATGCAGGAAAGACAAGAAGGAACCAGTATCTACCTGTTTTAAGGAAGCAAAACCTTTTTCAGAAATCTTTTTGCTGGATTCCCACTGCATCTCAGAAGCTATTACAGTGTCTCATGGCTACCACTTGCTGCAGTGGAGGCTAGAACATTAAAGGGATTTTTGTTTGGACACATTTCCGCCCCAAACAAAATCAGTGGCCTGTTAGGAAAGAACAGACTATTAATTGGGTAGGCATTAGCAATGTCTGCCAGAAATGAAATGATCCATGTAAAGTGCCTAGTGTCTGGCACAGGACAACCACTGTAGCTATTATTGCTTATTTATCAACTAATATTATTTCCCTCTTGTAATTCTCTCAGTAAGCAAATATTAAAATCATACCAGATGTGTTTAAATTTTAATATCTTTGCATTCTATCCAATAAATTCTATGAAAGCAATTATTTTTTAAATTTAGCAAATATTGTCAATATCTCTATTTTCTCTTTTTAACATTCTAAATTATTCAAATTCTTCAATCTTATCACTATTTCCATTTTCAAAAGGTTATAAACTCTTATTAAACACATCTTATGATGTAGATGTTATACTAGGCATGAATGTACTTTCAATATTGAATAAAACATGACTATATCTTATGAGTACAGTGATCCTGTAATTCATTACCCAAACAAAGACACTTTGAAAGTAAAAGAAGGAATTAAAATAATTATCCAATGTTAACTAAACTGTAGTGAATCGAGTACAAACCCAGAAATAAGGTTACCCTACTTAAGGAGTTAACCATCTTTTACAGACAGACACACACACACATAAATAGTTATGATATAATGGGCTCAAATTACTAATATTGGTGTATATTAGGTGCTGTAGAAACACAGGGGAGGAAGTAACTAACCTTTCCTGAGGTAATCAGCTTTCTCAAACTAGACTTATTCTTTGTACAGGGTATATTTCCGCATGACCACAGATGAACACATTTGCTTGGCTTTCTGGCACAGCCCTAGCAATGACATGTGCTTGTTTTTGCAGATGTGGATCCAGGTTTAGACTGCTCTCCACTCCCACCACACACACACACACACACACACACACACACACACACACACACACACACAGTGTTGGTCCCTGCATCTGCATGTTGGCCAAACTAGAGCCCTGAGGATGCTAGCTACACTACAGCAGTTCGTGACAAATTGAGAAGTATATGGATATAGCGATAAATAGTGAATGAAAATAAACCAACATGTACGTTCTTTTCCTCTTTTCCCACAGACAGACTGTCATGAGGCACAATAGTTTTGTGGCCTCTCAGAACCTCCGTTATGTTCCAGTGATCAGCTGTAACTATTATCAGGGTGGCCAGGTAGATAATAGTTCCATCCCTGTTATTGCTTTCCCTGCCTTCCTGCTTCACTCCCTTCTTTGTGTCCTTTTCCTCTGGGATTTTACCAAGGCTAATATATGCCATCATATCTTATTCTCTACATTCTGTCCCAAAGTAAACTAATTCATCTTCACTTTCAACAATCTACCCAGTACCTATTTCCCAAAGGGGGCATTTTATACAAGTAGTAAAAGTCTTTTTGGTAAATAAACACATTTTATTTGCTTTGACTGAGGTCAGGAACTAGTTGTAGGCCCCATATTGGACTATTGTAGTTGTAGGTCCCAAATTGGACTATTTTCTGTAAAGGCATTAAGACTGAATAAAGACACAAAGACATAGCTATAGAAGCAATGGCTGCCCCTTCAAGCCAGTTGGCTCTTTTTCTACAGTTTTAGATTTTGTAAACAGAAGAGACCTCAACACTGCAAGGATACTCCTGGGTCAATTCATGCCAGACTATAGTATGTTCAGACCTGTAAGAAGCAAATTCAAGAGGCATTTTTTTGGCTATTGAAATGCCAATTATTGGGATAGTTTAATGCTCCCTTTTCTGGTACAATATTCTTTTTGTTAGCAACAGACAACAGTACTGTATTTCAGAGATTGATAACTTAATAATGTAGGACATCAAGATTATAAAAAGCAGATGTCCAGTGGCTATGTTAATTTAGTACTATCATTCCTAAAACTTATTTTGCTCCATTGACAAACATATCGTTACTAGTGATACATAGCAAAAATCAAGAGAGAAAGAGAGATACCAAAGTTATGCAGTATTTGATTACTCTGTATCTTATGGAATGTATACTCTTTACATTATTTTCACATGAAGTAAATTATTTAAAATTTTTTAGGGGCAGAATGTCACCTTGACTTGCAAGGAATAATTTCTTATTATGTGTATTACATGTATTCTGGTCAAGTTTCCAAATCTTAAATTTATTTCCTTTTATATGAAATGTTAAAATAGCATTTTAAAATTTTAATTTGAGATGACACAATTGGTATAATATAATCATACAAAAAATACTATTAGTATTTTGTGAACTTAAATCAGGCAAAATTTTTAATCAAACAATTGAGAAGCAGAGTTGGTTTTAATTTTTAAATGGACCTAAGCCCTTTTTAGTAGCTTCCAAACTTACATCAAACTCAGCCTGAAAAAGAGAAAGAAAAAATAAAAGGAAAGAAAGCATAATGAAAAAGAACAAGAATATTACTTTGAAACTATATCTTAGTGAAGAGGAAAATATAGAAAAATAGGAAAAGGAAACTGGATATTTGCTTTTAAATTAAACCTGAATCCTCTTCTTTGCTACCTGGTGTACATTTTAGATAAGTCACTTAGCTGAGTTCTTTTATTGGTCTTGGGATCTATTTCATTGCTCACTACAAATTCCAAGGTGGTTTTAATATGATTTATGTATCTGTTACATTGGAGGTTAACAGCCTCCTAAATTAAATTACTCTTGCCTTACACTGAAAGGAAAAAAAAAGACTCCTTTTAGGTAAAATTGCATTTCCTTTAAGTGAAATAACTCATTTACAGGTTTTGTTTTTCAAGTAGGTTTTTGTTTCTACAAGTTTCCAACACTGTAGAAACAAAGAAAGGTGATCAAAGAAGTATATTCTCTGTAATTTCTTCTAAATATGCCAAAAACATCTCTATTTTTGCCAAAAAAATCTCTATTTTTAGGTGTTATCTAGGGCTTGCCTTAGGCTTAGAGTTTTCTTTATTTCTTTAACAATGGCTTGCAAGACAGAAAGAACTAGTTTAATTTCTTTGAAGAATAATTTTCATAATGGGAAGGTTTTCCCCACAGAAAATTTGGAAAACTCACTCCCAGCAGACATAAGGCTTTTTTAAACAAAAGTTACAAAACTTTGGATAGCTCACTGGGTAGAGGACAAGATAATGAATCTGAAGCTCTTTCTGGGATTTTTATTTTCTTTCTAGAAGACATAGTAACATCACAGATGCTGATGCAAAACCTGGCACCTGAGAGATTACTGAATGTATGTCCAATAAACAAACGTATAATGAGAAAACATTCAGTAAATGAACACCTACAGTTTATCTCTTGCCACTGTCACCTTCTAGGGACCTAGTCTCTTTATTAGGAAAAACAGGTGATAATTCAGAGGACATTCCTGCTGAAATAAAGAATCTCTGATAGACGTGTTGCTGGCTAGTTGCCCTTCCTATGTGCACATGTGATAACCTGTCCTTGTACTTGTCATGGCTGTTTAGCTTCTCTGCTTCACTAGAATATACAGGGAGAAACAGCTTAGGATGTGATACAATACATACATATTGGATGGCATAGTGACCCATCTCTCCTAAAGCTTGTAGTCATAAACTGTGAATTTATTTTTCTATCTTGAAAAATGTACACATTTTTTAGACTTAGTTGAAGACATCATGAATGTGTTTCATAATTAATATAGCTTATTTCATCCATTTTTCACATAGTTATTACACTTTCAATGCTATAATTCTTTTCATCTGATATACTGGGGCACCATATTGAAACTTATTAAGTGGACAGGGGTTAAAGAGAGGGTATGAGATCGAACTTATGGGGACTCCCCATTTCTAGAACTTCCTGAGGGTATTCTCATCTTTTAAATACCCCAAAGCCTATAGCAAAATCAGTGCCCATTAAATATTTGTTGGATTAGTTAATTAATATTTTTTAAAACAGGGTGAAATGGATTACAGAAAAGATTTTTTAAATTGAGGGCAAGGCATCGCTTTAGCAAGGCTTTTCTAGGACTTGTCTTTGTGGATAAAACCCATTTGGTAATTGCTCAGCTCTCTCCTTAATTTCATCTCTAAAGACAGAGTCAGAGTCCTCAGGAATATTATACTGATTATTAATATTTGCTTAAGTATTTCCACTAAATATAAAGTAGATAATGACAGTGGAAATACATGGACATAGTTTTGATTGGTAAATAGAAAATGATTCTGTTATTATTTCCCATGCTAGTAAATTAAATCTATCTTTTGGAGACCAGCTACATCTCTTGCTATGAAAATTTTCTTAGTATTCTTTTTATCAGGGTCGACTTAAAAGGCATTGCCAGATTTCTATGCAGACTAAAATACATACACTGATGTATTTTTCTAATGTGAGTGAACAAGTGAATGCAAAATAGGGAAATTCAGTAACTAACATGATAAAGTGGTGAAACCATGAAAAACACCAGATTGGAAAAAATAGCTGAGCGGGGGTTTTCAGTTCCCTTAACAACCAAGTAGGCAACTTGATTAATGGTGCAGATTGCAGGCAATTCAGTGACCACCTGAATGAACATAAGCAGAGCATAATCACCTGACAAATAGTGGCCCGAACGTTCTGCTTTTGAAATGAGAACTGAGTAAAACTCACATCCTAGCTGAACCAAATCACCCGGCAGCCTCAAATTAGACACGTATAGAAAGAAGTTTTTAAAGTTTCTAAAACATAGTCTAAAATATAGTACTGATTTACATTATCAAAAAGCAAATTAAGAATATGTCTACTTGTAAATAAGGAGTTCAGAGTGGGAAAATAGAGAAATATTCTCATTAGATTATTGCCCTCTTTCCCAGAAATAGATGAAAGACTTCAATTCTACATCAGGATCACTATTTCTATAATCTATAGTTGTTGTTTCTTTTGTTCCATTTTTATGTTCTCAACCATTTATCAACAGCTAAAGAGACCTATTAATCATTTTCTCTAACTGCTACACTTCATAGTGTATCAATTGTAGTCTTGAAATAAAAATAAGATAAATGATTTGGCATGAATTGTGGCCTGATGAACCAAGAACAAAGATCTGACACATGGTAGATCTAAAATTCCTGCCTTATGTTTAAAATGCGCACTTACTAGACTCTTCTGATTTGCCATTTCCTTCCTATTGGCATTCGGAAAGAAGTGCAGATTATAGAATAGGGAAGTTGAATCCAAATTAAATTGCATAGTGCTTGTAAAACGAGAATAAATGTGCCCAGTAACAGTAACACTATTCTTTTTTCTGTCTTTCAGTCTTTCATAAAGGAAGTACCAAATCTTGCCCATACAGGGTACATCACAATTATTATTGATCTTATGTATGAGGCAGGCTTCTCTGCAAGGTTACACAGCACCATGGGATGAATGATAACATTTTACTGAGTGACCAAGGGCTTTTAGTAAAGCCGGTGTTTTGTCTGAGTAAGCCCAGAAAGGAATATGTTAATATAAAAACCTTTAGAAAGATTACTGTTTATAGGTATTAAATGGGCAGTAAAATGATTAGGAGACGTCTAAAAATGTGAAAGAAGAAACATGATGTAGTTAATTTATAATGTTTAACATATGAGAGACTATGTTTTGATCCTGATTTGTGCAGAGGGCCAAACAATTGCCCAATGCAAGTGTAACTTTCTAGTGTACAGACCTGGGTCACAGAGGGCCAAAACAGGGCTGTCATTTTATTATTCCCTTGATATTTTAGTATGCAACTGACAAATACATTTATGACCACTCCCTGCCCTGTACCCACGCATTGTCAGTAATATTGCCAGGAGATTATGACCTTGGTTCTCACTGTGCCCATACAGCTTCAGCATTCTTCCCAACACACTCCTATTTAATCAGGATCAGCATAGGCTTGAGGGATCAATCCCTGATTATTTATTGTGATGTGGAGCAGCTAATTCTGTATGCCTTTTTTTTCTCATCTTTTAAAAGGCTAAGAGAGGATATAATAAAATAAATAATAAAATAACTATCATATGCAAACTGCATGTATTCAGTATTTGCTCAGGAACACAGAAGCTCTCTCTGCACTCTGGGTATAAGTGGTTTTAATATAACCATTAGGGGCTTACATGTGAAGAACTGGGGAGGTGAAGATCAAAAGAGCCACCCCTGATAATCTCAGCCTGAAGTTCTGAAGCAGGTGGTCCTCAAGAGCTCCCGGGAAAGCTGATGTGAATCTCATGTCTGTCCGTATGTCTGGGTGCAAATGTCTCAGGAGAATAATGCCTACCCATCCCTTCCACCCCACATTTTCATGTGAATGCCATTCACCAGTGAATATTAACCTGAAATCATGGAGGAAAGGGGATTCTGGGGGCGGTAGTTCCCGACTTTTCTATGATGCAGAGAACTTGCAAGGCGGTGCCTCTGGCTCTCAACTGCTCTTTGTTTTACATCTCTTCATGATACATTTTTGAGGGAATTCACCAGTTCTTAAAATTTACTAATTCTCTAATTGTGCTTATTTCAGCCTTTTTGTAACTTAAGAAGATTTTTTAAGTTCTTTTTTTTTATTTTCACGGTTCCTAATAAGCTTTTTCACATAGCTCACATTTTTCATGCCTCATTTCTCCACATCTTATTTTATAATTTCTTTTCCACTTTGAAAACAGATGAAATGAGCATCATAAGTATCCTCACTTTAAAGACTGTCAAAGTGCTTTCTAAAATTAATTTTATTTGGAATAAATTGATGGTCTCATTGTTGATTTTCTTGGTTGTCAGTAGCTCTTTTCTTTGGCCTCATTTCATGGTGGGTTTGAAGAGAGTCCCTGGCTTCAATTAATAAGACTGGATTGTGCCTCCCAGCTTAGATTAGGCATTTCTAGTCCCTGTTAACTTTTCAATAGCCAAGATTTTAGCCAACCTCCCCAAGAACCAGAAAGCTCTGAGTTTCAGCTTATTACTGGTCTGTGTTTTTGTTGCACTTCTAGTGCATGTAGATGTTTATATAGTTTTTTTTGAGCTCAATTACTCTTAATTGATTTTATCTGCCATTGCTCTGTCTTTGGAAAAGAAAGAGGTGATATGTTTAAGTGTGAAATTATGGAGCCATTTTAACCAAAGGCCTGTTTGAGACATATTTAAATATCTTAGTTTTCTGTATTTCACCTCCTTCTTCAGAAATTTTAATAATTCGTGCCCAAAGGTTTCCTGTGGAATGTATAAAATGGTCTGCAGATGTTCTGGGACAGTCTGGATTTTAAGTACTATATGTCAATAAAGAATACACATGTAGTAGTAACTAAACTTGCTTATTTATATCATTTTTTGTTCCCCCAAAGATTTTTAGGGCAATACAAATGCTATTTAAGTTGCATTCCTTTCTGAAAATTTTTAAAATAAATTCAGAAATTAGAAATAATTTTTAAAAGAATATGTAGTGTGTTTTTTGGTTCTGCAAAAATAACTTTAAAATCAAGAACAACTCTACTCAGCTCTCATGCCTCAGATAATTATTTTCTCTCATTCCTCACTCAAGCTTCAGCCATTTCCACACCAAAATAACCCATTAAATTAAAAATTGGAGTATCCACACTTGTACCCCGACTGCCCTGACATCTGCGGATCTTCCCACTTCACCAGCACTGAAGGGTTTGCCACCATGAATCATGCAATCAGTCAACCACTGTTCAGAATATCTGAATTTGAAAACCTACTTAGAAAACAAAATCAATTTTCAATGCAACCCAGGAACTGTTCAAACCAAGATTAGGAAGTGTGAAAAGACGCTCTCTGGGACTTGTTTGTTGTTCCCAATTTAGTGTTCTGGAGGAAGTTGGTACATATGAAGAACTTTAATTTGTGCTAATAAAGATGTATAACTCATTTGAATCAAGCCTCTCTTTCATCTTCTCTTTTGTTCCATACTCAATTATTTGGACCATTCATAATTTTTAACATTTAAAAGGGTTTTGAGGCCGGGTGTAGTGGCTCACGCCTGTAATCTGCACTTTGGGAGGCTGAGGCAGGTGGATGACCTGAGGTCAGGAGTTCGAGACCAGCCTGGCCAACATAATGAAACCCTGTCTCTACTAAAAACACAAAAAATTGGCTGGGCGTAGTGGCACATGCCAGTAATCCCAGCTACTGAGGAGGCTGAGACAGGAGAATCTCTTGAATCCAGGAGGCAGCGGTTACAGTGAGATGAGGTCACGCCACTACACCTGGGCAACAGGAGCAAAACTCAGTCTCAAAAAAAATAATAAATAAATAAAAATAAAATAAATAAAAGCTTTTTGAGGTGTGGGTATCATATGGGGTGAAAACATTGCCTAATTCAACAAGTTGATTGTTTAGCAAACTTTGACAGGCAACGTGAACTGATCTTATAGGAGAGATTGTCAGGGTTTTTTTCTTTTTTTTTTTAACTTTAATATAACTTTCAATTTTTTGATGTGTTTTTCTCTTTTTGAGTTGCTCAATATCATAATAAATGGATACATAAGTCCTAATGAGAAGAAATCAGGGAAATAGTACTTTGAATTTCTTGTAATAAACATTAATCTCAGCCAGAACTTTTAGCTTCATTCTTTTGTGTATAAATTTGTTATATGAAATATTTTTCCTTTTGAATACATGTTTCTAATTCATCATGCTCTAGGACTTAAAGCAGAAAAATCTAGCTGAAGGCCCCAAGTTAAGCAAAGTATATATAATTTTTTAAATTTTCATATTAATTGTTTAGAGTATTTTAAATAAATGTTTCATAAGAGTAAGATCTGCAGTGGAATGAAGCTTCGATGAAACTCTTACTGTGCATCCATAGGCCTTTTCTGACAGCTTATCCTTTACAGAACTGGGAATCCTCATTACTAGACCCAGCAGGCAATAGGAAACTGCCTGACTGATAACATTTCTGTTATCTCTTTTAATAAAAACTTAATTTCCTTTCTTTCTTCTTATACTGTCAGATATCGGCACGTTATTTATTTTCCTGACAGTTACTGGTCAACTTGTGAGCACCTAAGACTTTCTGTTTTGACTCCCACCATCTCTTCTGTCTACCTTTCCATCCTTCTTTCCCAGGAAAACCATAGAAGAATGGGTTTGGGGCTGTTTCCAGGCAAGGCCAGCAGAGTTTCCATAAACACATCACAGGCTGGCACAAAGGAGATGCAGAAGGAGCAGCCGCAGCATGTACAGTCAAAAGCACTGGTGGAAATCTGAGGATTGTTAACCAAAAGACTTGCTCCAAGTCCCCAAACGCTTTCCTTATGGCACACTGAGCACACTGTGTGTCTGGACAGACAGCTCTTTCAGCTGCCTGGAGCTTTCAGCCCAGGGTTTGAAGCATGACAGGATATGGCAGCCCTGACTCTGGATAATGTAGAACGATGCAACCAAATGCATCAAATTAGAAAATGGAAACTTTTCCTTCCCTGAACTGTAATTTAGCTGTCACTTGGCTTTAAAGCAGCTGAAAACAATTTCTTGAAAGTGAATGTTTATTTCCTGAAGTTTCGGGAATAATTATAGGCCTATTCTCTACATGTTTGACATTCCACCCGCATTTCCCATAACTATGTGAGCAGTGCAAGTTCCTAGCACGTGCATATGGTGATCCTTTGCATTAAAAGATGCTGTTGTTGAATGCATGGCACCTTTTATCTGTGGCATGTCACATGCTTTACCTACAACTCTCTTATCGAGTTCAATGCATTCTGTCAGTGTGTGTGTGTGTGTGTGTGTGTGTTTATGTGTGTGTGTGTTTCCAAGTTCATTTTCTAAATGCTATGAGAAGGATCTACTGGGAAAATTCCTGATTTTACATCTGTCTTACTACAGGAAAAGAAGGGCAATATAATGAATTTTTATGAACCACGTTGCCTAGTGTTCACTGAGAAACCTTTGCCTTTTCAGGGGAAGCTTTTGACTTCACCTGGTGAGGGAGTTGGTAACCTGATGCTATTGTTAGAATAATTATAGTCAAAGGTTTCCATGTCAGCACAGAATTTAGCTCAGTAAGGTTATATATTTTGAAATTCTTGTGCCTCTTCCTCTTAAAATATATGCTCTGCAGAATCAGGTGGGTGAAGGCCAATGAGTTGGTCATAAAACAACTTTTACATTGCTAAAAGGAATGTCTTAGATGTCTACGTGCATAAGTATCAAGTTTTACAGAGACAAGTGTTATATGCATGAGTAGAATTATTGACAGGCTACTTATCTGAGTTTCCTGATATAGGAATTCAGTTTATTCTATTGAATATTAGAGTTAATATTTGGAAATACAATATTTATTATAATGAATAAAATAACTTTTTTTTTTTTTTGAGATGGAGTCTCACTCTGTCACCCAGGCTGGAGTGCAGTGGCGCGATCTGGGCTCACTGCAACCTCTGCCTCCTGGGTTCAAGCAATTCTCCTGCCTCAGCCTCCTGAGTAGCTGGGACAACAGGCATGCACCACCACGCCCAGTTAATTTTTGTATTTTTAGTAGAGACGGGGTTTCACCATGTTGGCCAGGATGGTCTTGATCTCCTGAGCTTGTGATCTGCCCACCTCGACCTCCCAAAGTGCTGGGATTACAGGCGTGAGCCACTGCGCCCAGCCTAAAATAACTCTTTAGTTTGGAGTTGCATGATACTTTAGAGAACTATTTTTACCAGGTTCTGTAACACAACCTACATTTTTCACTACCACCTTTCTGGACAAATGGTGTTATAAGTCTTATTTTGCAGACAGAAAAACTGAAATTCAGAAAAATCTTATAGTCCTTAGACTGAGCATGCTTATGACAAGATTTTCAGAGTGCTCTTCTTAAAATATTAGGTTGGTTTCGAGGCAAACAGCCTTTGCGTGCCACCAAATTCAGCATTTGATTCCTGACGTTAGTCTTATGAATAAGCAATTGTAGTTTCCTACTTATTTTCCTATCCAGGACAGTGATGTTTCTTTATTATTATCTAGGAACATTTTATATAGCTCCTAATTATTTAGAAAATAATTTTATTTCAAACCTCCTACGTTGTGTAGATAATCAAAATTTTTGGCAATACAAACTTTATACTAGAGTTTGTTGTCTTGTGTTATTCTATGAGGCTAAAGGTACCTAAGAATTAGCACAAGTCTACTAAATTTAGTACAAGCACCGTCTTTAAGCTGGTAACGTGAATAAGTACACTTCAGAAAAATCAGCTGAAAAAATCCATCAGTAAGTTTTATTCCCATATTTGTGAATGACAACGTTTCACTTTTGCAAACTGATTCAATTGTAGTAAACTAGCATTTAAGGCATTGTCTGTGAAGACATACATTTGTTATACACAAGACAAATCCGATAGCTGTAGATCTAAGATACTAGTATACAATTATGAATGCAAACTTCTGACTATCCCTCAAGAACACCTATAAAGGAGAGACAGAGTGCTGTTTTTCATCCAAATTAATCCCATAGGGCCCAGAACTCTTAATTGCAGGGAAATATCCTTTTATCATGGTTCATTCTTTGATACCAATTGATGTGGAGAAAAATCCAAACTGGAGAATGGAGGTCATTATAAGAAGCAGATTTTCCCATTTAACAGATATTCAGAATTTAAGTAGAAGTTGATGGAAGTGGGCCCATAGCTGACTTACAATATGATCACAACTTTGATGATTTCACTCAAATTAGCATAGACACTGAGCTATCATAATACCGTGTAACTACTTTGTAGTTGAAGAGTAGGTTGCTATTGGCCACTGTAGTTTAAAAGGCCGTAATTATTTTCCAGTTCCAATCTCACATCAAAATTTCAGATTTGTATATCCAGTCATTTACTCAATGTCTTTGGATGTCTGATAGAGATTTCACATTTAACATGCCCAAAGCTGACTACCAACATTTCCTCTGACGTGTGCTCTACTTACAGTCTTCACTGCCTTAACTGAATGGTGACTACAACCTACCAGTTGCTCAACCAAAAGCCCTGAAGTTATCCTTGTCTCCTCCCTTTTCTCATGCCCTATATTAGTTGGCTGGACTGCCATAACAAGATAACATAGACTGGGTGGCTTAAACAACAAAAAGTTATCTTCTTGCACATCTGGAGACTGGAAGTCTGAGATGAAGGTGCCAGCATGGTCGAGTTCTGGTGGTGGCCCTCTTCCTGGCTTGCACAAGGCCATCTTCACACAGTGTCCTCACATGGCAGTCAGAGAGAAAGAGATCAAGCTCTGTAGTGTCTCTTCTTCGAAGGGCACCAATCCCACCATGAGGGCTGCATTTTCATGATCTCATCTAACCCTAACTATCTCCCAAATGTCCTATGTCCACATGCCATCACATTGGGGGTTAGGAGGACACATGTGAATTTTAGGGGGATACAATTCATTCCACGGTACATCTCAAGTCTAATCTATTAGGAAATCCTCTTGAATCTACCTTCCAAATATATCTAGAATCTAAACTACATATTGGAAACCTAAATAATATTACACTAATGCTGTGGTTCAAGCCACTCCCATCTCTCATCTATATTATTACAATTGCCTCTTAATTGTTCTCCTTTCTTTGACATTGCTCTCACATAAACCAGAGTGAATGTTTTAAACTAAAAGTCAAATCGTGTTATTCCTGTGCTCAAAATCTTACATTAACATCAGCTTTCCACTTCACTTGACTAAAACTGTTTCTTTCCAGTTACCTATGAAACCGCACATGATAGCCTTCCCCAACATACGCACACACCACATACACCTTATTAGTTCTCTGATCCCTTCCTCTATTCTTCTCCCCCTTGCTCACTCTGCTTCAATCACATTGGCCTTGAACTTACATGTCAGGCATGATTACAGCCTGTGTACTGATGCCATGTGTACCCAGAAGACACCCATATTAGCATGACACTCTTTCTCCTATTTCAAGTCTTTACCAAACTCTTGAGGCCTCCCTACTCTCAAATCTCCCCCAACCAACTTCCCAATAATATTTACCCCCCTTTTTTTTCTTTTCTTCCCCATAAGCTTTCATTAATTTTCTTTTTTTATTTTTTGAGATGGAGTCTCACCCTGTTGCCCAGGCTGCAGTGCAATGGCGTGATCTTGGCTCACTGCAACTTCCGCCTCCAGGGTTCAAACGATTCTCCTGCCTCAGCCTCATGAGTAGCTGGGATTACAGGAGCTCAACACCGTGCCGAACTAATTTTTGTATTTTCAGTAAAGACAGGGTTTCACCATGTTGGCCAGGCTAGTCTCGAACTCCTGACCTGGTGATCCTCCTGCCTTGGCCTCCCAAAGTGCTGGGATTACAGGCGTGAGTCACCGCGCCTGGCCTAATTTTCTAATTTACTTTCTTGTTATGTTTATTGTGTACTATCGATCTCATTCTGCTTCAGTGAAAGCTTCCTAGGAACAGAAATCTTACTCTGTTTTGTGCAGTGTCATATCCTAAGCATCTAGGGCAGTGTCTGCATATAGCAGGTGGTCAATAAATATTTGTTGAAGGAAAAAAGAAAAGTTTCGGTTGGAACAGTGACCCTTGTAATTTGAAATTATTAATACATTCCACCACTATTCTGATCTCTTTTTCCACATTCCCTCCTACTTCCACTCCAGCCAACATTAATTGGTCAATGCACACATGAATGCTAACTCACTACTACATATTTCACAAAGTGCAATATGGTAGAGATTTAAACGAAAAGATATGGCTCCTTCCCTCAAATAAGGACAAGTGATTGACAACAAACAGAAAACAATAACACATGTACTATAGGATTCTATGAAAATGTTTAAATTTTGTAAGAGTTTGAGGCAAAAAACATCAGAAAAGTTTGGAACTATAATTGTAAAAGGCTTCCCGGTACAGAAAGGGATTTGAAAAGTGAAGAATAATGAAAATAATATACATAAAACATCATATAATTGTTTTTATGATTATATGACATGTATTATATTCATTTACTTTGTTGTTACATGGAGTAATTCCTTAAATGAAATCACTGAGACTGGCTTCCAAACTGGCTGACTAGGGCCTCTAAGCAGAAGGAAAGCTTGTCAACAGATGTCACATTCTGCTAAACTGACTTACCACAAGAATAGGCTGTTGGGAGGAAGCAGAGAGGTCTCTGTGATTTTCATTCAGTAGTAAATCAGCCAAATCAAAACTCAGGGATACGATGTGGCAAAGAATGTAGGAACCTCAGGCATGTCAGGTTTTCCCTGGAGGGGAGCGGCATAAGCAGGCGAGCACAAAAGCCACATAATCACCTTATTCATGACTTTGAGTTCATCTCGGCTGGTATCGATTGGCAAGCAGTTGCAAAGAGAAAATCATGAATGTCACTCTTAGAGAAAAGCTTAAATATATTAGCTAGCTAATTGAAAGCCTTCAACACACACCAGGCTTCAAGCAGCCCCACAAGAAAACCAGTTAAATTTATCATAGGTGGAATGAGTAGAAGGGAGTCAAGATGATCCCCAAATGCTGATGCCTCCTAACTTCTAACTTTTAAATAGTACATTCTGTTTCTTACAACTTTTGTCTAGTGAAGATGTTTATGAACGTTTTTCATGTTTATTGTGTTTTAGTAATAGAAAAATTTAGAGTAAGAAAACATGCTTATAGAGTAATTTCCCTTACAGTCTTCATGATAATGTATCCAGGAAGAGCTGCTCAATGAAACTCTACTCTGTATTATTAATACTAGTAATCACATACTGCAGTTTAAAGTTTCCTGTCTTGTTAACATGAACTTAAGCAGCTTGACACATTCAAATATGTATAGTGACTCGATTACATACCAAAACCAAATGGCTATAGTTTGTCAACATAATAAAGATAGGAGATAACTATGGTTATGATAGAACAATTAGGATACCATCTGACCAGGGCATGGAATATATGTCCATTCATTCATTCATTTATTTATTCAAAAAATATTTATTCAGTGACTTCTGTTGCAACAAATAATGACTTGATAAAGTGGGTATGGGGAAAATACGAGAAACTTAAAAGTGAGGGTGAGAAATTAAAAAGTTCTGTGTCTTAAAGTAGGAAGCATTAATATTATAAACAGAGAGGTGTCTCAATGGAGCAGTGAAACTCCTGGACAGGATGAAGCAAGTATGGATTAGAGGCAGGAAATGGAAAAGGCCACACTAGGGGTAAAGCAGGGAAGGAGAGGGAGGGTGAGATGTGATCTGAGACAGCTATCAAATACACCCGTAAATAGGCCAAAGTAATAGTTGGATGAGAACAAGGGGAAATTCTTTTTTTGAAAAGTGATGAGAGCAGAAGCCTGTTTCCAGGGTATGTCAGAGGAAATGGAGGCAGTAGACATAGGCTGCTTATTTGAAAAGTTTGAAAAGAGAAAAAAATTACAGCAGTAACTAGAGAGGGCAGCTGGGTCAGGAGAACATTTTCTAAGACAGCGAAGAACTAGACATTTTTGAAGGCATAAGGGTGAAAGCTGTGAGGAGGGTTTGAAGATACCTGAGAGGGCGGAGATCAACTGAGAATTAGAGTCTTTATGGGCCTGGGAAGAGCAGAGTAGGATGGCACAAAAGTGGCTCTGAGCTTTAGAGGAGGAGAAGGACTTGCTTCTGGAGTGGAGACAGGATAAGAAGTAAGTCACTGTAACTAAATGTGCCAACCGATAATGACTTGATCTTAATAGTGATATAAATACTAAAGGCAGTATCTGAGGAAGATTATACCTTCCTTCACTTTTATTACAACCTCATCATGACAACAAAAGCACACACACTCACCTGTAATTAAAGTACATCTCTCCTTCCACACTTTGATTTCCACTGAGTTTCTAATACTGATTTTTACCATTTTTTTCTCTTACCAGTCTTATTCTCTTTTTTAAAAATTCATTTTTATGTACTTGCCCTGCCAGACACATCAATCTGCTGTACGCTGCTTATATACCCCTGGAATTACCTCCCCCGACCGTATATTACTCTCCTTCTTTTCTAAGAAATAAACTGTCTTGTATTTTTAGATAAAGACCAACAGAAATTAATGTAATTTGATCCTTGCCTGTGTTATTATCTTTTCTTGATTTTCAATTTGATTTTTACTTGGAGCATGATGTATTTGAGAATTAAAAATAGCTCTTTTTTTCCTTTCATCGTGTTTGTTTTTCCATTTTCAAATATAAGTCATTTAAGCCAGTGGGCTTCAAATAGGGGGTCACAACCCAGTGGGTGTGCAAGATGGAATACAAAAGGAAAGTATTAAAATTTCCCTGTGTTTAAGTCTAACAGTATGAAATAAATTATTTCTTCTAATATTTAGCAGGTAAACTGAATGAGGCCCAGTTCATATGTCACACTGTCATATGTCACAAATTCTATACAAATATTCAGCCTATTATTGGCATATTGCAGCTTCTGTGTGTCTGGTTAAGGAAAGCTTAATATGACCCACTTTAAAGACCATTTCTCATTAAGAAGTACAAGTGACTTTAAGAGATTCTGGCAGAGAAAAACACACATTAAAGGTTAAAGGTTATACTCATAATACAAAACAGGCAAACAACTAGAAATTGGCAGACCTGTCACTACTACTTTCTAAGTGAGCTCAATTTCAGCCAATATTCACAAGAAAAAAAACGGAAAAAGATCTGACAAGCAGTTAGCCGACAAAATTAAAATTATTGAGAAGACTGTTTTGAATATAGGTTTACTCATATTATCATTAGAGATGGCTGTAATCCCAAGCGTATATTTCACCTTTAGATACTAGTTAATAATTGTACAAGAATAAAATTTATAAATAAATAAATATTCATGTAGTGGGGGATTTTCTCAACATCGTTTTACTAATAGAGGTGTACAATAATAGCTGGGAGACCTCTGATCTAGTATATTTTCAATTGGATAATATGAATAAATTTTTTTCATAAAATAACAAAACATTAAGGTTCCCATAACTATAAAATGTAGTTTTGAGAATTGTGGAAGATTAGTATTGCTTTTGAAAATGTACCAATTTTCCCTTAAACTACTATACAGCAGAGTACAAAAGAAACCTCTCTATTGGCAAATTTTAGTAAGATATTGGCAAAGATTAGTAAGATGCTTCAAGGGTGAAGATGGACACTCTAGTGGCCTGCCACACAGCACAAGCACTGATTTTTAGGTTGAGTTACTATTATCTCTATATTTCATATACTGTTCAAGTAACCACTGCATCAAGTTTTGGAACTTGATGGCAAACAACCATGAACACTTTGGAAATTTTACTTCACTTCTATTATAGTTTTAAATGTCCTAACTCTAAAGTAGATTTTTAAGTTATCTCGGTAATTGATATGCCGATTGGGGCTTGATTTTCATCCTTGGAATACTCACAAACATGGAAATGAGTCTTCTAAATGGTTCTACTGTGCTGGGAAACAAACACTCATAATTTTGTCCTCAAAGAAAACAGATCTTTATCATGCATTATGTCCACCAGTTATACTCCATTTTCCACGAGGACACAAGAGATTTTCTCTTTTTCTATTAGTTAGCATGGGGGCTTAATCATAAATGCAATTCCATAGACTAGCATTGATTCAAGTGGACTATTACCTCCAGCAGGAATTCTCTAACTGTATTTTCCTTCCAAAATTTTAAAAGCGGCATGCCAGCTCCCATGTGTAGATATCATTACATTTAAAATTAAAGTGAACCAGCTGGGCATTTTACTAGTGTTTTGTTTAGAAACTGAGAAGCTAGCTCTGTGAGTCATTAGCTAGTCTTCTACATGGTGATGAATACTACACAATTGAAAAGCCTATTTTTTTTTGAATTATAAAAACATTCTTTAAGGTAGAAAATATCTATGGTAATGACTACTTAGATTTACATAGTATCTGTTTTAAAGTTTCCAAAGCACTTTAGAGAGTTATTAATTTTCACATTTCTCCCTGGAATGGAATATGAACAGACTGAGAAAACTGAAGTAATGAAGTCACATGATGCTCCCAAGCTTCATTAGTAAGCAATGAAGAAGCAAAAAAATACAATTAAGAATTACCTTGTGACAGAGTTCTTAGATAGACTAAAAAGCTATCTAAGCAATAGATTGTTTCAATAATAATACTTCAATACATTGTAGTCCACCTAATAAAACCATAATGTCAACTAAACTGTATATTGTCAAGCTGTCTTTGTGATGATTGCATAATTTTTAAAGCCAAATTTCCTCTGAAGTGCTAGGGTGATGTTATCTTTAAATAAAGAATCTGGGACCATTTTATTAGAATAATACTTAGTTAAGCAGCTAAGAAAAACCCCTTGTGGCAATCTAGAATATTACATATAAAAGATTGTAGGCCTGGCAGGAGAGCTCATAGAACATTTCCCTGCCCAGGAACTCCAGGCTTTAACTATCAGAGACTGAGGGTGGGCAGGAGACTTAAGAGGACATTGCAAAGCACTGAGGACCTTCATGAATGTATGACACCGTCTTTCTAAAGAATAGAGAAGTGGGTGGGGGAAGGTTGCAAACAATTTGCTGAGATAAAGAAACTAATTGGTGGTAGGACTGGAGAGAAAGAGACTCTCTGGTGTCCCCATTATCTTTTAACTTGGCAGTAAACTATAGTGGTATCTTCAACAATTCTAAAAGCTGATGATTTGGCTGTGAACACAGACAGATCTCTTCAGATCTCCATCCCAGCTAATGGGAAAGTTATACTCCCACCCTCAAAATATTTCAAGCCAGTTGTGAACTGAATCAAACTAATGCTGTAATAAAATCCAGACTCAGCTAAGCCACAGATCAGATTGACTCATTTCTAGTAGACTGACAGAAAATGGGGCAGTATTTTTCTGAAGATAAATATCTACTTTAGATTCCCTGTTCCTTATATTAAGTGTCTGGAATACACTTATAGATTACAAGACACACAACAAGTCAAGAAAATGGCATTCATTATCAAGAGTTGAAACCATCAATAGAAGCAGATCTAAAGATAGACCAAACATTGATATCATCAGACAGCTACTTTAAAATATAGATAGCAAAAATGATTAAAGATATATTCAAAACGGTGCACAACATTCATAAAGAAATGGGACATATTAGCAGAGATACAAAAACTATTTTAAAAAACAAACTAAATGGAAATGCTAGAAATGAAAATTACAACATTAGAACTGAAGAACTCATATATGGACTTAGAAGCAGATTGGACATAGCAGAGAAAGCTACTAGTAAAGTTAAAACAGTCAATAGAAAATATCTAAATTGAAAATGAAGAGTTAAAAAGAAAAAGCAAAGAGCATCTGAGCTCTGTGGAATAATGTCAAATAGTCCCAGGAGAGGTTAAACAAAATGGAACAAAAGTAGTATTTGGTGAAATAATGGCTAAGAACATTCTAAAATTAATAAAAGATCCAAGTCGCTCCAAGCATATCCAAGCAGGATACATAAAACAAACAAACAAACAAACAAAAACCCTTGTCATTGTCAATTGCTAAATACCAACAATAAAGAACAGTGCTTAAAAGTACTGAGAAAAAACAGACACGTGTACAAGTGAACAAAAGAATGGATAAGTTCTCATCAGAAATAACAGAAGACAACAAAAGACATTGAAACTGCTAACAGAACAAAATAGACCTCTCAACCTAGAGTTTTTTATCCTATAAAAATAGCCTTCAAAAAAGAAGCCAAAATAATACTTACAGGGGTAGAAAAACACTGAGCTAACTTATCTCCAGAAGACCTTCACAATATAAAATGGAGAAAGAAATTCTTCAGACTGAAGAAAATAGTACCAAATAGAACACAAAAGCTTTTCTTTCAGCTCCATTATGTTTTGGTTATATGTTTTTATTTCTTTAGAAGACCAAGTGCTTAAAGCAAAAACAATAACTATGTATTATTACAAGGTTATAAAGCCCCCACCTCTTAATACTATTGCATTGTCCATGACGTTTTGAAACCTGAATTTTGGAGTGGACACATTGAAACCATAGCAGTTTGGGATAGGCAAAGCTGTCTTGGGATACAGAAAATATTAATCATAAAGATAAAATTGATAAATTAGAACTTACCATAATTAATGTCTGCTTATTAAAAGAAATCATTTAAAATGAGCAGGCACTTGGAAAGGATAGTGAGGAGGGTGGGGTCAGGGGAAGTGGAGATGGTTAGTGGGTACAAAAAAAACAGAAAGAATGAATAAGTCCTAGTATTTGCCAGCACAACAGGGTGACTATAGTAAAAAATAACTTAACTGTACTTTTTTTAAAAAAAAAAAACTAAGAGTAAAATTGAATTGTTTGAAACACAAAGGAATAATGCTTGAGGTGACAGATAACCCCATTTACCCTAATGTGATTATCACACATTGCATGCCTGTATCAAACTGTCTCATGTAACCCATAAATATATATACCAACTATGTACCCAAAAAATTAAAAAGTAAAAATTTAAAAAATGAATAGTTCAGCCACAAACTGGGAAAACATAATTGCAGTACAATTATATGAATATTAAATATCCAGAATATTTGACAAGCTTCTACAAATCAATAACAAAAAGCAACGCAATAAAAAATGAGCAAAAAAACTTAATAACTTCACACAAGATCCTGTGAATAGATTTTGTCTTTAGGTTCAATAGAAAATAAATTACTTATCTGTATACACATACACAAAAACGAAAATATGTAATTTAGTTTTAATGATCAATGTTTAAAGATGTCAATCTCTTTTTAAAGTTTGATCATTCTTGTGACTACAGGTGATATCTCTTTGTGGTTTTAATTTACATTTCTCTGATGACTAATGATACTGAGCACATTTTCAGGAGACTATTAATAGCCTATCTCCATTGACCTTTGTGTCTCTTGTCATTGATAAAATAGCCAAGTTAAGTTTAGTGAAAGGTACTAATTTTGTCATGAGTTTGAACTTGTTCAGATCATGTATATGCATGACAGAAAACCATCTCAACATTAAAATTCTATCTTTATCTAGAGGTTCAAATACATATACTTTGTCAAATGTGAGGATTCACTCTAAGCCAAAAGAACAAAGCTGGAGGCATCACGCTACCTGACTTCAAACTATACTACAAGGCTACAGTAACCAAAACAGCATGGTACTGGTACCAAAACAGAGATATAGACCAATGGAACAGAACAGAGCCCTCAGAAATAATGCTGCGTATCTACAACCATCTTATCTTTGACAAACCTGACAAAAACAAGAAATGGGGAAAGGATTCCCTACTTAATAAATGGTGCTGGGAAAACTGGCTAGCCATATGTAGAAAGCTGAAACTGAATCCCTTCCTTACACCTTATACAAAAATTAATTCAAGATGGATTAAAGACTTAAACGTTAGACCTAAAACCATAAAAAACCCTAGAAGAAAACCTAGGCAATACCATTCAGGACATAGGCATGGGCAAGGACTTCATGACTAAAACACCAAAAGCATTGGCAACAAAAGGCAAAATTGACAAATGGGATCTAATTAAACTGAAGAGCTTCTGCACAGCAAAAGAAACTACCATCAGAGTGAACAGGCAACCTACAGAATGGGAGAAAATTTTTGCAATCTACTCATCTGACAAAGGGCTAATATCCAGAATCTACAATGAACTCAAACAAATTTACAAGAAAAAAACCAAACAACCCCATCAAAAAGTGGGCCAAGGATATGAACAGACACTTCTCAAAAGAAGACATTTATGCAGTCAAAAAACACATGAAAAAATGCTCATCATCACTGGCCATCAGAGAAATGCAAATAAAAACCACAATGAGATACCATCTCACACCAGTTAGAATGGCGATCATTAAAAAGTCAGGAAACAACAGGTGCTGGAGAGGATGTGGAGAAATAGGATCACTTTTACACTGTTGGTGGGACTGTAAACTAGTTCAACCATTGTGGAAGTCAGTGTGGCAATTCCTCAGGGATCTAGAACTAGAAATACCATTTGACCCAGCCATCCCATTACTGGGTATATACCCAAAGGATTATAAATCATGCTGCTATAAAGACACATGCACACGTATGTTTATTGCGGCACTATTCACAATAGCAAAGACTTGGAACCAACCCAAATGTCCAACAATGATAGACTGGATTAAGAAAATGTGGCACATATACACCATGGAATACTATGCAGCCATAAAAAATGATGAGTTCATGTTGTTTGTAGGGACATGGATGAAGCTGGAAACCATCATTCTCAGCAAACTATCACAAGGACAAAAAACCAAACACCACGTGTTCTCACTCATAGATGGGAATTGAACAATGAGAACACACGGACACAGGAAGGGGAACATCACACACTGGGAACTGTTGTGGGGTGGGGGGAGGGCGGAGGGAGAGCATTAGGAGATATACCTAATGCTAAATGACGAGTTAATGGGTGCAGCACACCAACATGGCACATGTATCCATATGTAACAAACCTGCGCATTATGCACATGTACCCTAAAACTTAAAGTATAATAATAAAATTTAAAAAAAAAAAACATAAAAAAAGAAGAAAAAAATTGAAAATCTTTTAGAACACAGTGTTCTTTTTTATTCTATTTTATTTTAAGTTCTGTGGTACATGTGCAGGATGTGTAGGTCTGTTACACAGGTAGATGTGTGCCACGGTGGTTTACTGCACCTATTAACCCATCACCTAAGTATTAAGCCCAGCATGAATTACCTATTTTTCCTAATGCTCTCTCTCCCCCACCACACCCTCACGAAAGGCCCCAGTATGTGTTGTTCCCCTCCCTGTGTCCATGTGAAGAACTTAGTGTTCTTTTGAAATAAGACAAGAATAAAAGGAGATAAAGAAGAAATGAAATTTTGATTTTTGTTTATTCAAAGTAATTTTATTACTGTTAATGAGTCCCATTCTCATCATTTGCAAAAGGATTTTTAACCTTTGTTCCTTAGTTCACACAGATACTGAATCAAATCAGGTGCCTGAGAGATTCCTTCTTGCTCACTATCTGTGATGAGAAACACGAAATGTTTAACACAGAGGTATTCAGTTATTGATGAAAAGGAAAGACCTCTCATATAATTCCCATGGCACTGAACGAGATTCTACTTTACTGATTCAATAGTTAATAGAATCAGTCATTTATAGGACCTGTTAAAAATTATTTGTATTTGACAAATTTTATTTAGCGACTTTTAAGTTTTTAGAAATAGAGGAGGAAAACAATCTGCCAAAATAAATATTTTGTCCGTTTATTTTTAAAACTTGGAGTTCAATTCACATGACAGGAGTGAATTGAGTAGTAGCTAAAACATAGTCATAGAAAATAAACAGGCAGGTCCTTACCAATCAATCCTTGCTTCAAATGAAGCTGAGTAACCAATTATTGTACTTTCCCTTGGTCATATCTTTCACTCTTCTTTCTATGTGTCCCTTGTTTTTTGGTAAATACAAAACCTTGCTTTTCAGTAACAAGTAAATACAAAACCTCGAGAGTCCAAAGTCCCACAATACATATTACCACAGTGTTCCCTTACAAAATTAATTCAATCTATTTTGTTGCTCATATTAAAAAAAATAAACAAGGTGTTTTTGGTAGATCTCTCATATTTGTCTTATAAATAAGCACCTAAATTTGAATAGAGTTGGTTTAAAGCAAGAAAATATTTGATGCATAACTCATCTGAACTGGCTTCTATAACGGAATGTGTAGGGGCATGTTGATTGATGAGGAACTAAGTATTAAAAAAATGTTTCCAACAATTTTTCTAGAATATTTCCAGTCATCTGAACCTGACTTTCAGTCTAACCATTTGCTTGAAAGTGTCAAGATATATAGCGACAGCTTAATCATAAATTTTCTAAACTCCATTTAGGGAAGTATATCACAATTTTCAGCAACCATAATATATAACAAATAATTATTCCATAGCTGTAATCTTTTCAACAAAGTGTGAGGTAAAAAATGAAAAAATTAGTTGTCTCAAGAGGTGTGTAATAACTGAAATGCTTGTTCTTTCTTGGAATGATCCTTTAAAGTAAATATGGTACTTGATCCAGAATTTTGGTCACTTCCCATAAAAATGTAAGTGGTCTTGATAGAGTATACCAAATACTCTGACATATGTTTCACCCCTTTAAATATTGAAATTAATAATAGTACACTCAGCTGTCATTTGCATTCCAAAAGGGTGAAAATTTTTAGATTATGTGGCCATTAATAAAATGACAAATGTTCAAACTAATATTAAGATATTTCCCCATAAAAGCATATTTTATGAGAAAATAATAGGGTTAATATCTTATGAAAAATTCCTCAGGCAGTTTGATTAATTAAACATCCTCACCCAAACCTCCTTTAACACATCAGGTGCCACTGTGGGACCTTATGTAGTTGGCTGTGCTATATTGTTAGCTTGAAAATGAAGACATAGAAAATCTTACAAGTTCTTTCAAACCTCAATAATTGCAGAAGAAGTGGTTTTACATAATTTAGAATCTGCTATAGTGGATGACTCAGGGACGCTAGAAATTTACATTTTTCTTGCAGACAATTGTGTAGTAACAGGGTCTGAAAAAAATATTTCAGCACTACGGATTTGGTGACATAAATCCATTCAGTGTATCAGTCACAGTTTGATGAGAGAAGGAGAACCCCTCTGGATGACACAAAATAAGGGACATTTTGCCAGATTTGATTGAACATGATTATGAGAGCGGATTCACCAGTCTATGGAGGTTTGCTGGTGTTGGGTCTGAAGTCAACAGGCCTAACTGTTGGAAAGGAAGATGGATTTGAATAAGGAGAGAGCCAGTACAAACTTAGAACCCATAAGCATAAGTTGACCCTGATCTCTTCCAATCATGTTGTTGCAGAAAACCTGTAGGATAAACTGGCATCCCTTGCCACAGACCTTTACGCAGCTGGCCCATGATTGGAAAAAGCTAAAGGAGAAGCTGATGGGTGCTGAAGGGGCTACAGTAATACCTTCTGTCCTGCACCAAGAAGATGAGCTAAGGTATCTGTGAAAAAGTGAGTAAGCTGCAATAATTCCTTGTCATTTGCTGATTTTCAGAGTGGTTTTTTTTTTTTTTTTAAATGTACTTCACTTCTGCCTTACTAGTCTCATACAAATTTCTTTTATGGACACCTCTAACACAGACCTACACAAGGAGAGGAATTTCAGAAAATGACGTTCCAGCTTAGCTAAATTGATGCAGTAGAAAGACATGCTAATTTAGGTACAAAATTAATCTCAATAACGGGTCTCTAAAAATACTTTTGATTGAAATAAATTTTAAATAAAATGTAGTTGAAACTTTCAGTGATAACAGGAAAAGGTTTTTCTGTGCTTTGTTTTGATAGTACTTTTCTTAGGAATTACTTTTGAGTACAAAATTTTGTGCCTCAAGGCCATTTTATATTAGCATCTTAGTGGCATCACTGAAATGTGTTAACATGTCTGGGGGTCTTAGAAAGCAATGCCCCTTAAACTATTATTAAATTTGAAGATAAGCCAGAAAGTTTCAACTAAAGAACTTGTTTAGACATGTTCCTTGATAACTGAAGAGTGTTAAGTATTTTCAGAAGTCTCGGAAATGGTTACTATTGATAAGCCTGGATAAGGTCAAACTTTCAATGATTCAGTCTTTAAAACAATATTGATTGAACACCTATCCTAATCCAAGCATTAGATAAATGAAGATGATTAAAACACAGTGGTTGTCCTCAAGATGCTTAAGGTCTAGGATGGGAAACAGAAAGATTAAACAGAAGATTACAGTCTATACTGTGGACACTATATAGTGTATACACAAGATTCAAGAGGAAAACCGAAGAGGGATACTTCATCTTGAGTTAATGGTGAAAAATGCTTTAAGACAGAACAGTTTCAGAGATCCACAGTGATTTGTGGTAGAATTTGTCTTTGTTATTCAGATGTTTGCCTTTTATTGAGATAGGCAACATGAAAGAAGCAGATTTAAGGTCATAGTTGAGCTCAGATTTGTACACACCCAGTTCAAGTGCCTGTGGCACATTCAAATAGTGTTACCTAGAGAGAGTTGAATGCATACACGTTTCATCCTCAGAAAAGTGATGCCAGGTGGAGTCAAATATTTGGGAATCAGTTCAGAGATACTCTATAGGCTTTCGCATCAGGCATTTTTTGTGGCATACTTTTTGAAACATCCTCTATTCATACACTGCCTTTGGCACTTCCACGTGGGATCAGTACCCATCAGGATAGCCCAGGGGAAACCCGTTCTGAATTTCAATTCTGATTAGCCTGCTTAGATAAAAACTACAGTATTTTGAAGCTAGTAAACATCTTTACAAAACAGCGTGCTTTATCCCTTGTGCTGGCTTATTATCTGCATTGATTACTATCATCTTGCTTTTCAATGAGAATTTTTCCAATTCCAGGATTCCAGGCCATCTGACAGGCACATATAAGATCCAAATTTGATCCCCAGTTTAAAAGAAGTTCTTCAAGGCCCTATAAGTTTGACAGCTTAATAACTATCAAAGAAAATATCTGTCAGATTTTTAAAGGTACATTTTAGCTAAACCTCTGCAAACATTATGACTACACTATCTCTCACTACTATATAATTTTCCTACAATATTCTGTATCTCACAAATACCTTTTTTGTTGTCTTTCGTTGATGCTTCTTCTACTACAACTCTGTTTACCCCTTTGTTTCACTAACACTCCAGTTATTGGAAAAACCGGGTACCACCCAGAGGAACCTCCAGCACATTCTTCCGCAAATCAAAGACTGATGCAAGAATACCAGACAGGCCAGGCCAGGCTCACTCTCTGTGTAGGACATGTGAACAGTGCATATTGTCTGATTCACTCTTGGCACTTACTGAATATCATTTTTGGAATTTGAAGGACGATTACCTGGGAGCCTTTAAGAGTGGGAAAGATCGGCTGGGCGAGGTGGCTCATGCCTGTAATCCCAGCACTTTGGGAGGCTGAGGCGGGAGGATCACGAGGTCAGGAGATCGAGACCATCCTGGCTAAGGTGATGAAACCTCGTGTCTACTAAAAAAAAATACAAAAAAATTAGCCATGCGTGGTGGCAGGTGCCTGTAGTCCCAGCTACTCCAGAGGCTGAGGCAGGACAATGTCTTGAACCCAGAAGGCCGAGCTTGCAGTGAGCCAAGATCGTGCCATTGCACTCGAGCCTGGGCAACAGAGTGAGACTCCATCTCAAAAAAAAAAAAAAAAAAGAGTGGGAAAGATCATTAATCCTTTTGCCCTCGGGGTCCAATTTCTCCCTTCAAAATTTCCATCCACTATTCTCTGAAACACCTTACCCTCTGACACTTCTTTTTATACTACAGTGAATCATCTCAATCATGAAGAATTAAAAAGCAGTTTTTGTTGCAAAGGAAGTTTTGTATTTTCAATAGCAATGTGACTACCTTGGTCTAGAGTAATGGTTCTGAGAAACCATGTCCCTCACGTCTAGAATGTGCCTAAGTGCCATAGTACAAAGGTTAAGAGCGCACACTTTGTAGCAGGGCAGACCTGCAACTGCCCCTTGTAATTATAACTATACTTGGGTAAATCACTTAACTTCATAGTGCTTTAGTTCACTCCTAAGTAAAATGGAGCATGTAATGGTCATGGCTGGCTCCCACACATCATTCCACTTTCAATGATTCTTCTAAGATAATTGTTATATCCAAGCCCCTTGCCTGTGATTGCTTCATGAATCAGCAGGCTCAAGCTACTTGGAGTCAACAAAATACAAAATAGAGACTGGTTCTGTTGGATGTACAAGGAATTATGATGCCCCATTTTTGGCAGAAGATATCCCTTGCCCAAGAGGATGATGGGCATCAGCATAAGACCAACATTGTAGAGGGAGGATGGAGAGACAGAAAGGTACTTGATGATGCTGTTGAGAAACTGAGAAGCATGAAGCCTGCGCTGTCTCTACGCTTCTGGTTACTATATAGTCAGTGTGAATTGCAGGGTGTCTTACTTACAATCCAAAGCTCAGTGATAAAGAAAAAAATAATAGACCTACCTCGTGGAGATTTGTAGCAATTAAAGAAAATAATGCATGTAAAAAGTATTTGGCTTTATACAGTATATAAGCTCATAGCAAGTTCTCAACTAAACATACCTTTTGTTGTTGTTATCTCAACACGGAAACCCAGGAAAATGCCAGCCTCACTTTGATTCTGGGAGGGAACTTAAGAAGGGAAGTAATGAATAAGTGAGCTCTGATCTCTTAGCCCCTCTCTTCCCAGCTGTATTGAGACTCTTAGATGTACCCTCTGACCTCACATTTTAATTCTTAACCGTTTTCCTATGTTCTGATATCTGCTGGTTTTCACTAGTTTTTTCTTCCTCTAGAGTTTTTACTGTATCAAATGCCTTGAGAAGAACACGAAATGGAGTAAATAGTGAAGAAATCAATCAGTGTTGTCTCCCTTTGCTTTATGTTTTCAAAAAATTACAAAGTAATTTTCTCTTTCAGGAGATGCAGACAGGGCTGTGGCTCACGGATTCTCTACTCCCTTGTGCCAGAAAGGAGTGGTAGCTTTTGTGTTTCAAGACCAGGAAAAATCATTTGCTAGGTACTACAAAATAACTGCAAGGCAGGCTTTGTTTTTGAAGATCTTGAGTAAACTAAAAATTTAAGGTGGATAATCTGGGGTAAAAGGGCTGTCCCCTGGGCAATCAAGGAGAAGAGAGGAGTAGTCTGACCACAAAGAGGTTGAATTGCATTTCCACGGCCTGAATGATAGCAACAAGTGACTGGTCCCAGAAGTTGTGTGGATCCGTTGTTTTGTCACTGGTGGAGAATCCCTCTCTTCATTAAGAGCTCTTTGATTAGCAAATGTCATGGCTTTGGGAGCTGGGATGAGGTCCTTAAGGATGAGCCTGCCATGACTCCAGCAGAGTCACTTGCTTGTCTGTATGAAATCCTGTAAGCCTAAACAATGAGCAATTCAACAGCAACTAATAACTGTCATCAGAGACTTCTCTACCATTCTCCTAAACCACATAAGCTCTGGAAGTCCTATTGTTCCACTAGGAAGGACACAGGAGTTACAAAATGTTAACCTTTATTTCAACCTTAGCCATTGAGCTTGGAGTTAGATATGACATGTCTTAGAAATACGTATATATAAAACCTTACATTTTATCCACCTGAAATGGCAAAGGAAAATTCCTACCTATTTCAAATACCTCAAGTAGATGGCCTGTCTGGCCACCTAAAGTTATCTGTTACTCTCTATTCTGATGCCCCTAGGCCAAGACTCTCCATTCCTAGACAATTCTGTATATTAATGTTATAGAGTTTTTCTTTTTATTAACTTCACTTGCTATAGTTAATCCCTGAATATTAAAAATATCAAAAGGAAAATCTTGATTTTTCTTTCCTTTTCCTGTTTTTTTTGTTTGTTTGTCTTGCAGCTTGTGAACTACAGTTTACGGTCAGATATTAGACAAGCCAATTTCTCTGCATGTGTTAGGTAGTAAAACAATCATTACACTATTAGTAACATAGCCTCTCCAGAACATCTATCTACCTGACAAAGTGTTTAAAGAGGAAACACTTAGCGAAAGCTTTGAGAACAAAATGCATTTCAACAAAGGCAATGTGGTGTTCAATACATCAAAATATGGAGATTAAAGCACGCGTCAACTTTTTTCTATCACAAAACTGTCCTACTTGTCATTTTAAGAAACTAGCCTATGAAGCATGTGCTTTGATCATTTATAATAGATTCTTTCTGACTGGTTGTCAACATGAAAATTAAAATGCCTAGTTGAGAAAGCACAACAGCAATTTTGGTAAAGAAAGATTAATCATTTGTTCCAAATAATAAAGACTTTATCACTAGTTTAAATCAATCTAATTGTATTAGAAACATCTGTTTTGTTTTCAGAAATCACATGTCATATCTAACATGTCATATCTAAATTAAGGTGGCCTAGCTGTATTTAACATCCATGATGTTTCTTCATCTATAGATTTGCACACTGACTTCAATACATCAATGTAGTACATTTTGTAGAAATGTTAAATGACAAGAGAAAGATCCATTCATAAAAAACTACATTTTTAACATATTTAAATTAATTACATTTTTAAAAAGATAATTATATCCTTTGTCTTCTAACAAGTTAAAAAATGAAGGAAACAAGATAAACAAACACAGATAGTTATTAAGAATTGTTCTTCATTGACAATAAACCTTAAACACCTTCAAAGAATTAGCTTCTAATATAGTTAAAGCATAGAGTTTTGAATTTAAAGAAATTACACTACAAAGGAAAAAATCAACAGCATAACTCTAAATATTTACTTGTAATAATTTAAAGATGAAATACAAGTTATTTAATATGTTCATTTCTATCAAGGATGCTTGAGTTTTTCTTTATTTCCATTGTTTATACAAGAAACAATATAGGCATGTGATAAACATATATTTTTTGAAAACTATGTGCTAAAATTATTGTTCATATTACCTATCAGAACTTTTATATGTCACAATTTTAGCCTAGCACAAATGATTCTTATCATAGTCCTAGCCTAGCACAAATGATTCTTATCATAGTCCTAGCCTAGCACACATGAATCATAAGTGATAGAGGCAAAAACAATCCTAATATAAGTATGTGAACATAAAGCATAGAGAAATAGCAGAGATATAAGGTAGCTGTCAGTTTAAATAAGAACACAAAATGACAACACACAAACATTGTAGAACATAAACAACCTTATCATTTTCCTTGCCCTGAACTAGATAGGACATCTTATATTTTTATTTTTATTTATTTATTTATTTATTTATTTTTGAGATGGAGTCTTGCTCTGTCGCCAGGCTGGAGTGCAGTGATGTGATCTCAGCTCACTGCACTATCCGCCTCCTGAGTTCAAGCCATTCTCCTGCCTTAGGCTCCTAAGTAGCTGGGATTACAGGAATGCACCACAACACTCAGCTAATTTTTGGATTTTTAGTATAGACGGGGTTTCACCATGTTGGCCAGGATGGTCTTGAACTCCTAACCTCATGATCCACCCCCCCCCCCCTCAGCCTCCCAAAGTGTTGGGATTACAGGCATGAGCCACCATGCTCAGCTAAACATCTTACATTTTATATCTTTACAACATGCCTTACTATATGTTCTGTCAGTTATCAATAACTGTATTTCTTTGAATTTGTTTATATTGGATATTGAAACTCCTGCAGTTAATATACCTAATGAACACTTTTCCTGGATTTAAAAACATTAAAGAAGATTTTTTTTTCTATATAGAGTGCCATTTTTCAAACCGTGTTGTCCAAAATACTAGCTCTAGAGATGTTAAGGTGTTCCATGTTTAAAAGGGTTTGTGGTCAAATAAGTTTGAGAAACTCCATAAACTGTGTGTTATCCCTTAGAAAGTTACATTCCAATATTTTTAAAAGACTCAACAGAGTTGAAAAATTTAACAAATAAAATGAAAAATACACTGGATGGGATTAACAACAGATTAGACATTGCAAAAGAAAAGATTAGTGAATTGGAAATTAAACCCACAGAAACTATTCAAAATGAAGTACTAGGAGAGAAAAAGGGACTGAATAAAAATGAACAGACCATTAGGACGAATTAGACAAAAACAAGCATTCTAATGTATGCATAATTTGAATCTGAGAAGAAATAGCAGTGGGGAGGGGGGGAATGACAAAAAATATTTAAAGAAAAAAAAATCCAGATCTGTTGAAAACCATCAATTCACAGATCCAAGCAGATCAATGAACATCAATCAAATAAACCCAACAGAAATCATGCCAAGGCTTATCATCAACTTGCTGAAAGTTAATGATGAAAAAAAAATTTAAGAGCAACCAAAGAAAAGAGACCATACTTACAGAGGAATAAACATAAGAATGACAACAGACTTCTCGTCAAAAACTATGCAAGTCAAAAGAAAATGAGGATGCCTCTTTCAGGTATATTAGAGAAATAAGGATTGGATTTATCCTACTGCCTTAAACAACTAAAAACAAACAAAATACATAGAACAATAGTTTTCAGACATTGGACAACAGGCAGCACAGGACAGTGATTCTTGAGAACAGGGAAACAAATTAAGTGAGCCCTACAATTGCTCTAGCTTACTGCCTAGAAAGAATTTACAAGCTTCAGTACAGGGAAGAACAGAGCCTGGCTGTCTCCCCAAGTTATGAAGATAGAGTTCAGAGTTCTGGAAAAGTATTTTATCAAACATTTCTGATATTTTTTAAAGAAGACTTTATAATCAATTATCTAATTCATCACTATTTTAGGTTCCTCACATGAAGTTCATTTATAATGTCTTTTAGGTCATTCATAAATATGCCTGATCATTATCATCATTACCTGAAGGAAATATGGCATTATAGTTCAAAGACTTAGCTTTGATTCATTCATCTCTGAGTTATTTTTCAATATTGTCTTGGATAGTCTTTGGATTTCCATATAAATTTAGAATAGGCTTGTTAGTTTCCCATAAGAAATAGTTCATGGTTGCAAATTGAATAGCTTTATTAGCCTTCTTCCTGCCATTTGAATTTCTGTGCCTAGAGACTTTTTGAGACTTGGAGAATTCAGTTAACTGTTTAATTAATCTCAGCACTGTTTAATTATAACTTGGCTCTCTAAAAAACTTTCCACATTTCCTATGTCTCTAATTTGGGTCCATGCCATGCCTTAAAAGCCACATGCACAATTCTCTTAGATATGCACCTCTCTCTATGTTCAGCATGGCAGCCTACAGTGGAAAAATGCCCTTCAGATTCTTAGGAAGTTTTTCTTTTTTTTAAACTAAGGTTGGGGGTATCTACTTGACATTGCCTTAAATTTTAAGTATTTTAGAAGTCTTAAGAAAGTCATAGCCACACACTTGATTTGATCTATGCCTCAGGCAGAATTTCACTTTGACAATCTTTTCAGAATGAAGGGATTAAAAATGAGAAATAGTTTTATTTTCCAACTCAGCAATTTCTAGTCCCTCTATATAGTACTCTTACATTTTTCTTCAAAAAATTGAACATTTCTTTTTTTAACTATCTTCCAAACCTTTTTAATTAAAATAAGCCAACTGACCCTTTTAACAGTCTACCTGAAAATCATCTTACCAAGATCCAAAAGTATATTAAGTATATTTCCTTTCTTCCAAGTTCTAGTAGGCAACGGTTTTCCAGTTGTTTCATTGCCACATAACATGACTCACCATTTTTTCAACCTTCAATAAAGTAATTTTTCTCAACATCTTTCTAGCTTTGTGGCAGTTTTCTTGACATTTTCATAGCCTAACAATTTCTTGCCATTATTCTGCCTCTGCTAACAGTTGGCTCTCTGACTATAGAGTTACTTTGGGGTCTTTAACACGCTAAGGTATCCTGACCAAAGTTTCAGCCTTCCATTATACTTGGCCATTTAATGGTTGATACACTTGCCTATACTTTCTTACTTCCCCACATATCCTTAGAATGATTCCCATCTTTTGGTAAATTTACCACATAATTTATTGCCCCAACCAGGACACTTAAGAAAGTGAAAGTGAACACTATTAATAATTATTCTCAGGTGACGTGAAAACAGTGACTTTTCAGGGCAGAAAGAGATGTATGTGTACCATATTTTTAGGTAACCTGAGTTATCTCTCGCCTATGCAAGGATTATGAATAACTGAAAAGATCATTATAAATATACTGATAAAGTTTTCTACTTGAATAAACAGTCTTGATAACTGGACATACTTCAGAGATAGTTAAATTTTGAAAAATTTTTTAGCTCTGAATCTTCAATATCTGATTGTAGACTTAGTTAGAGTTTCCATGCATTTTAAGAAAATCTTGTATAATCTCAGGCCTTAAAACTTTTTAAGAGTTTTGGTTTTAAGCTTTTAGGCAAATGAAGTTGTCATCAATTTTATACAGTATGTTTAATTATGAGAAAAATCACAGATGATAGAGTATTTATAAACAAATTAAGCTCAATGAATGTTAGTAATTAGGTAATAATGCATCTTTAGTGTATTAATATATACCCAAGAAAATTAATTTTATAACCTTATCAAATCTGGGCTGACTTCCTACAAGAAATCTGAAAATATGAGAGTAGAAGATAACACCATGCAGTAGTAAAGACAGAATTCAATCCAAGATTCATTCTATCCAACATTCAAGGCCCAGAAGAACATGAGAATTTTCTTTGATTAGGGCACTATAAACCAGTAGAGAGTGGATTCTATTTTCTGAGTGCCTCAGTCTGCATGCTGGGTGCAATGCAAGCATGGCCATTTTCCAGAACCTCTAGAAGCTAAGATGATTATGGATGGTCTTATAACCTAGTGGAAATAGCCCTAAGATTGCTAAATGCATCTTACATGGAATTTGTCCATATTTCCATGTATTATACTATGCCATTTGATTCCATAGTTGCCTTTGGTGTTAGAAAATCTGTGTGTATGATTTACATAGTATTAATATTTCCTGGTTCTGGTAGATAACTGTCTTGGCTATTTTACCTGCTACAGGAAGCAATTTTGTCTAACAAAACAAAAGGTTCTTTTCTTCTCCAAACTAGAATTTGTGGTCTCTAAATATGCTATTCACAGAGATTAATTGCTATACTAGAAAATGACCCAGATGCTGGAGAAAATTCATACAGAAGTTAAATTTAGATCCAAGTTTTATCATCTGAGATATAGAGTCACTCTTTCAGAGTGGCAGAGAATTAAGCCACTGGATACTTAAGCATCATCTGTCTGTAAAAGTATAATTTATATCTAGAATCCTTTGAATTTCACCATTTGATATTTATTTAATATTTCCATGAAACGTGTGGGTAACATGCTTCAACCCGGAAATGGCCTTGGAAAAATACTGACATGAACGTATCAACCACTTAACTACTTGTGGAAAACTTATTCCCATGACCAAGTCATATAGAAAATATTAAGTCTTAGGTAAATCAAGTGGCATGGGAAACTATTTTTAAAGTAGTTTTCTCCTCTAAATGATGATCTTAGACTAAATGATCTCAAAGTTGTCTTCTATTCTTAAATTCCCAAATTATGACTGCACAGGTTAACAAACTTTCTGAAAATATAGAATTAAAGTCAAATATATTCTTTATCTCTGCAAAGTGGAAATTCATATTTTGTTTATATTTTTCCCTAGAAATGTATTACAAATGCAGTCCATGTATGTGAATACACTTAGCTGTTAAGAAATGTAATTATTTCCCATATTTTTTTCCTTTAGAAATTCATTTTCTTTTTCCAGTCAGTAGTGAAGAATTGATGTGGGAGAGGCTCTGGCTCTGGGGTGTATCTGTTGCATAATTTGGATGAAATGGACATTACAGACAGATAGGCAAATACGTGTCCACCTGACTTATCTCTAGAGGCAGAAAGAGCTTGGGAGCTCTTTCACTAGAGGAATTTCATATTATTGGTTTACTCAGGAGTCAATTTGGGCTTATATGGACTCCCTGCTGCTCTGGTTTGAATGTGTCTCCCAAAGTTCATGTGCTAGGAACTTAATCCTCAAATGCAACTGAAAGGTGAGATCTTTAAAAGGTGATTAGGTCATGAGAGCTCTACCCTCATGGATGGATTAATGCCATTATCACAGGAATTAGTTAGTTATTGAGGGAGTGAGTTCCTGATGAAAGGATGAGTTCAGGCCCCTTCCTCTCTCACATGGGCACTCTCTTGTCCTCTGCCTTCCTCCATGGAATGATGCAGCACAAAGGCCCTCACTAGATGCCAACCCCTTGACCTTGGACTTTCTGGCCTCCAAAACTGTGAGAAATAAACTTATTTTCTTCTAAATTACCTGTGGTCTGTGGTATTCTGTTTTAGCAGTGTAAAAAACACTAAGACATCTGGCAAGGTGGAGCTATGTCCCTTGGGTTTGCTTTGTACAAGTTTCAGTATCTCAGGCTTTGCTCTTTGCAGAGCAAGGTTGCAGGAGCCATCTCCCAAGACTTTAAAGTCCAGGAAGGATTTGATAAGAGTTTCAACTTAAACTCAGATGTTAACATACAGAGCAGAGGGCTTTTTCTATATGATGAACATTAAGATGATAATTTTCAGACAGATTATTGTATATAAACCATAAACATTACTGTAGATCCACAAGCCAGTGTCAAAGGGAAATCAGGGAAGTCTCCATAATAATCATGAATATTCCCTAAATTCCAATTACATATATCTCCTGGCACCTTACATGCATTCTTATGCCTGGAAAAATTCTGAAATCTAATAAGGGTTCAGAGAACCAACCTGTCTAACATCACACAGTAATGGATTGTAGAGCTGTGATTCATGTCCCTGTATCATTGACTGAAAATACCAGATTTTTCTATTGCACTTCACATGCTCTCAGGATATCAAGAAAAGGAAACTATAAAGTCATCTAAGAAATCATTTTACCAAAATCCTCTTTTAACTTGGAACTAATGAAAAGCAAAAGCTTTGCCTAGAGCCTGAGAGAGCAAAACCTAGACCCAAAAATGCTAAACCTCAGTTTAGTACCCTTTTGCTTTATGTGAGATTAACATAAAATTTTAAAATAAATTGAAGTTTTCTTGCACAGTAATTATTTTCTAAGCTGTTGTATTCTCCATGGTTGCCTTAACACATGGAAGTTCTGTTTCAAGATTAATAGGTAGCACCACAAAATGCAATTAAAATTATTATCACCCTGTGTATGTGATATTAAAAACCCACCCTAGGTTATACATACACCATTGATGATTTTGCCCTTGGGGTAATATGGAGAATGTTTGGATTGCAGGATGACAGGCCTAAAAAGAGTCTTAGAGAAGGATGATGCAAAAGCCTGCTACTGTAGATGAGGAAGAGAGGCCCAGGGAAACTAATCCCACTGCTCAATGTCATGTGGTGAATTAGTGTTTCGGTTTGCACTTCGATCTTCTCATGCACTCTGGTGCTCTTTTCACCACATCACCTTTCTTTCCCTTATCTAAATTTACTCGATTTTATCTCTGCACCACTAACTCTAAGAAAAAACACTCCAAACAAAAGAAACAGGATTTTTAAAAAGATAAACCATAGGGAAATACAAAAGGTTAATGTACAGGCTATAAATCTCAGTACAATATGATTTCTAACCCTTGTTTCCCTTAGTGAGGAACATACCCAGAAAAAAAGCCTTATATTAGAGATATTCATTGAACTTGCTTCTGGCTTTTTAACTTCTTTTTTCAGTTTCCAAGGAGCAGCTATTGATATTAACAACTAAATCTCAAGCTCTCTTTTTAAATTTCCACCAGTTGTAGTTAAGGCATATGCCTTTCACGTTCTTTCAAAATTCTCTATTTCATAATGCAATCCGAAAACATTACTTTAAGAAGGGTACCTAGCCCTAAACCTTCACAAATCCTGCATAGCTATGGTACTGCTTATTTTTCAAACACTGCCTATTCTCTTTGCAGACGTCACTTAAACAGAGTCATAACGTCTTGCCTTTTGGAAGACATGTCATCTTTTTCATTCATAAAACTTGGCATCTTTCTTTGTCTAAGTGAAAAGGAATCATAAGTTCTTTGTCTTTCCTAGGGAAAAGGTCTTTATGAACTTTATTAATAAATGATATTTAATTACTGCCAAGAATAATGAGATACATAGTTCATTCATTTATGATTAAGTCCTCTCTGCATCAATAGCATTTATTTTTCTTACAGTGAGCCTATTAAAAAGGAAAATTGACCACCCCCTCTAAATTCTTGGTTTAATGTACTTTTCATTTAAAAAGAATTCCACAACTTGGGAAACAGGCACTCACCCTCGCCAGCTTCAGTCACACACTCATCCCAAAAGGCCTTCTAAACCCTTGTCTGACCTGGATACTGAAAACGCTGGCACTTGCCTCCAGATTTTCCTTTCTCTCACCTGTCATTTTCTCCAGACTCTTATTATCTGCAATATGAAATGCTGGGTGCTGATAGATATTGGCAGAACCTGGTTAAAATTCATTTCACATAGCTTGCTCTTACTTCAAAGGAACAAAGATTTTGGGTTTTTTTTGTTTTTTTTTTTTTTTTTTTTTTGGCTTTTCTTTTCAATCCTGAGAACAGAAAACCAAGTTATCTTTTAGGTGTTAAGCATGAAACTGGGTCTTTGTTTGAAAAAGCAATATCTGATGTTTCCTCTTTTTTCAACTCAAACAACTGGGCACTTCTGTATGACACATCCCCATACCCCTGCCTTGGAATTTTGTTGTGTTAGGCACTGCTGACAGCTAACAAACTGCTGTGTGAAGGGTGATGCGTACCCTCACAAAATTCCTGAGCCTGCAAAGGAAAGAAAAGGCCTCTGCCTCTAACAGGGAGAGCACATTTATAGAGATTCTCTGCTCCTTTCATGCAGCAGGAATCTGTCTCAGGATAAGATGGCTCTCTCCATCTCCAAGCAGAGAATTTGTCTGGTATCCACCCCAGCTCCCCTCCCGACCCTCTGTTCATTGGCAGGCGCATATGCACTTCAGATCACTAACTACTTGCGCTGCCAAAGTCCCAACACATTTCCAGCCAATTCTACATCACAGGAGTTTAGCCCATAAATAATAATTGAAAATGTGATATTTGAGTAAAACATAAAAATCCAACAAATGTAACAGCCAAATCATTTAACACAATCATGGTATTTTATACTGATTGATTGACACACACAGGGTTTAAATTAAGCAACCAAAATGAAGACAATAAAATTAATTATTGCTTAGGGTAGGAGACTCGGCACAGAGTTTTGCTGCCTGCCTTTGTCAGAGCACTGCATTAATATGGGTCAACAGTTACAACATCTTTAATGTCTAGCACATAAACCACCATCTAAGAAGTGTTTGACTTGCTTATCACCATCTGTCATTTAAAGAGATCTTATTTGAACTCCACTGCTGTCAACCTCATAAAAGACTTAATTTTTATACTTAGATTCTGGATAGACCATGGGAGGAAACATTCCTGTAGCATTTTTGATTGAGGCATTTTATTTTCCTCCTACAGGAAAAAGATGGCATTCTGCCCAGGTATACTGGCACATTGAACATAACGTTCAAGCTACCCTACAATCGAGCTTGGACTGAACATTCTTGAAGACAACACAATTCAGTGTTGATCACTTTCTTTACATTTCATTCTGTGCTATATTCTCCTGTGAAATCCTTGAAGCCAAATAAACAAACAAAATAAATAACAGGATGCACTTAATGTGCTTACAGAATTATAGGGTTTTGAGAGATGGCATGGTATCCCGCTAGAAGCCATAAAAATACCCCAGCTGTTTCATAGTGTGCAGAAAATATATTGGTTTTACATTTTATAATTTCAAACTCTGTTGTCAACAGGCAACTTACGTTATTTTATATTCCACTCATCACAACCCACCATCATTCCCATGGCAGAGCAAAGTAAAATATATTCCTCTGTGCTGACACTACTTATTGTTTTTTTGTCTCCTATAAATGATTTGTGGCCCTGCTTTGAATTTTGGTAAGAAAGTGCATTTCCAGAAGCTTTTATAAGAAACAGCACATTGTACAGCTCAGGAGATTCAGTCTCTTAGGAAACAGGAAAAGGCCATTTGGCTTTTTCTCACAGCCATTTATGTTTTCTCCCATTTCTTTTCGCCAATGTCCTTCAGGCTTCTCTTTTCAGAGAAATTCATCAAGCAGCTATTGAATCTATTAATCCCTTGCTTTAGTGCCCATCAGCCTACATCTTCCTCAGGTAATCATTGTAAGCCCTCTACAGCCTCCTCTTAAGGTCCAGGTCAGACTATCTCTTCTATTTCTATTTTATTGTTGATTCAAAGACTATCAGGTGATAATTGTCAAGAGCAAAGGAGAAGTTGACACCATTGTCGAGGAACCTAAAAAAGATTAGGAGCTCTGCCCAAGGCTGTATACTTCATTGGTTTCAAACATCTTACCCAAACATTGGCTATCCGAGTCATAAAAGAGGCCAGATTTTTTTGAAGAAGATTTATACATCTCACACTGAAATATTATATCTTCATGGAACTTTCTTTGGCCTCCTCAAGTCATAAACTGTTTTGACAGGGCTATCTTCTCAGGGCCTCCCGGTTTGTGTTGAAGGAGGGAATTGAGAATGGAATGGTAAATTGTGGCTCTCACGAGGGGTTGGTAGGGGCTATGTTTCAGGGATCTGCTCTGATAGTCTCCACGGATAAAAATGTGAGATCTTGTTGAGAAGAGAACAAACTGCTTCCTCAAAATGGTTCAAAGTCAAGTCAGCTCAGTCTAAATCTACCTTACTGATATTTATGAATGAAGCTTCTGTTTAACCAAAGAAATAAAACTACAGAGCAAAAAAATCATAACAAAACCACCCACATTAGTAATAAAATTATAAACCACAATTAAAGTTTCCATCTGAAAAACATTATTAAGTTTCCTTAAAACACTTCCAAGCTTGGAATTACATTTATGACAATTCAAGTAATCAAGAATCACATGCATTAAGTTCTTTGCAAATTCAGTTAATCCTCACATCAACTAAGGTGTGAGTGCTATTATTTGCCCATTTTATAGCTAAAGATTCCAAGACCAGAGAGGTTAAATAGCCTGTTAGAAGTTACACAGCTAGAAGTAGTGCAGCTGAAATTTAAACCCACGCCCTGTATCCAGAGACTACGCTTTACCCATTAGGCATACTGCTTCCCAATTTACTACTGTGATCGTTCCTTTATACTTTGCAAATCACTTGTATTTTACTTATTTCCTGATACTTCCCAATAAACATCTCCCTAGTTTTTTAGGTCTCCATTTTTATTAGTAAACATATAAATGAAGTTTTAAACAAAGGAATCCATCTTCCTTCTTAAAGGGTGCTTATATTTAGAACTGTAAGCAAAATGCCATTTCGTCTTGATGTGTACTGAGTCATCAGAGTTTATCCACCATGGCAGGGAGAGATGCGGCTGTAGGGATATCAAGGGAAGCCACAGAGCAAACGTAAAATTCACGCCTAGCTCCCATTTATTGCAAACTTATTACATGTTTCATAAAAATGGTATTTTAAAATCTGCCCTACGAATGTTTAGGCTATGTGTATTTTCTTTATTCTAAAAATAAGGAAAAAGAGGTTTAATGTTCCACAGATAAGTTATGGAATTAGGTTTCAAGCCCAGGTCCCTGTCTGAGTCCCTCACCACCCAGATCCTAACCTCTTTTCCTCTGCATTGATTGCAGTTAGGAACACGGGACTCCTTTACTTGATAATCTGAAATTCACCTTTCAGAAATGTTGTGAGTGTCAGAATTTGTTTTAAAATTCAGTAAAAGAATGCCATGCTCTGTATATTAGGCTTAAGTCTCCAGGATGGGGAATTATTTAGTCAGATTCCCAAGGGAATGGGTTCCATTTTATTTCATTAATCTGAAGTAAGCAATTCATATTTTCACACAACCTCATTTCCATTCATTCAGCTGTATTGAAGCCAGTTCCTGTGGTTGGCTTCTTCGTTGTTCAGGAGAGATTTCATCAACTAATTGAAAGGAACACAGCTCTGTCCTCAGCAGAGCTAAATACATACAACAATTTCACCACCAACGCCAGACACATTATCAGTGTCCTGATCTTTGGCCTTTGATACTTTCAAGAGATGTCCCAGGGGAAATCTTTAGCTGGAATGTTAATCTGTTGCTTCTCTGACCTTCTACACATGTACCACATTATTATTACAACCCACATGCTTCTCTTTTCACGCTGTCATTTTGACAATAGAACCATCGGGCAATTCATCGTTAGACTAGATGGCTGGAACAAAGTGCATACCAGTAAGTGAAATCAGATTGGCTAATGGTATTGTTTAAAATGCAGTAACATTTCTCTTCTGAAATTCACCCAGATTTCAAATGATATGTCATGCCTGTGGGATGCTCTGCAACAATTAGCTACTGGTGATTCATCAAAGAGCCCCAGGGTAGGGATTTCTTTTTAACTTTTTTCTCAACATGCTTTAGAAACATAAATTAGTCCCTGGATTGGATCGGTGTGGATTTATCACTCAAGTTTCCTGTCTTTACCCTCTTTCTTCTTTCATCTGGCAGATGTTTGTTTCATCTTCAGATTTACTGAAAGTGGTGCCGGAGTCTGAGAGCATTTAGCAATACTAAAAAGCCATTTCTTTTAAGACTCTGCTTAAATGTTAAATGTCACCTCCTTGGAGAGGACTTCTTTTGACCTCTCTACTTAACATAAACCCACTCCTGTTAGTATCTATCCTCTTTATCCTGCTTTCTTTTTCTTTATAACACCTCTCATCACCTGTCACATGATATATTTATTCATTGGTTGACAGTCTGTTTCCCACCACTAGTTCCATGATTACAGGGACTTCATTTATCTGTTCACTGCTCTCTTTGCAGGGGCTAGGGCAGTGCCTGGCTCAAAGCCAAGGGGGTTGTTTTGTGTATTCTTTTATGAGATGGTCAGGCAGCTATGGCCACAAGAGGAGACATAAAAGAAGCTCAGGAAAACAAAATTTATTCTACTCACAGGTCCTAGAGACAGGAGGCACAGCACACCACACAGGGCCATATGAGAAAGACACCAAGGTGGTCAGGAAGCAGAAGACAGGTGCAAAGGGAAGGTTTAGGCTACTGTTTCTATCGAAGTTTCTGAGGGAATGGCAAGGCAGGGCAGGGTGAGCAATTTAAGACTGGCTGGCTTGAATAATTGTGATGAGCTTTGGGCTATAGGGGCGATCCTCTGTTGCCTGGCCCTGGGATGATTAAGGCACAGGAATAGTGCATCCTGGGGTGTGGGGGTCCATAGAGGAGGCATCGCTCTGAACTGGTTTGTTTGCAGATCAAAGACACGTGCCCTGCTGTGCTCTCTACCACCTGTAAGCAGGGGCTCAAAAAACATTTGTATTTGTCAAGTGACAGAGAACCTTCTACTCTAAAACATATAGATAGGGTGATGTTATTGAGGCACATGAGCTCCAAATCTCACCAATAACCAATAGGCATTTTTCTGTTATGACCATATAATGAAAGCAGAGGAAAGTATATTAAACACAAATTCCTGTTTCTTTCTAGTCCAACCTTACCAACTGAAGCTTTTGAAAAATATGCCATTGGAAAGCTCTAGTCTGTTTTATTTTATGGAATCTTTTGCTATGCTTTATGCCTTACCATCATTTTCAAACATATAGAGAGTAACCAAGGTTTGTTTAAAAATATTTCATCTTAGATGCCAGGAAGTTCTGAAGCTGTTATGAATAGAGCTTTTATCTATATACTTGAGCCAAAGACAGGATACCTCTTTTTATTGCACTTCGTTTTATTGCTCTTCTCAGATATTGCATTTAACAAATTAAAGATTGGTGATAGACTGCCTTGAGCAAGTCTATCAGTGTCATTTTTCCAACAGCATGTGCTCACTTTGTCTCTGTGTCACATTTTGATAATTCTTGCAATATTTTAAATTTCTCATCATTATTATATCTGTTATGGTGATCTGTAATTAGTGATCTTTGAAGATGCTACTGTAATTGTTTTGTGCTGCCATGTACCACGACCATATAAAATGGCACACTTAATTGACAAATGCTGTGTATGTTCTGACTGCTTCACCAACTAGACATTCCCTCATCTTTCCCCTCTCTTCAGGCCTACTTATTTCCTTAGACATGACAATATTGAAATTAAGACAATTAATAACCCTACAATGATCTCTAAATGGTCAAGTGAAAGAGTCACATGTCTCTCACTTTAAATCAAAAGCTAGAAATGATTACGCTTAGTGAGGAAGGCATATTTTGAAAGCCAAGATAGTCTGAAAGACAGACCTCTTGGGCCAAACAGATAGCAAACTTGTGAATGCAAAGAAAAAGTTCTTGAAGGAAATTCAGGAAACTCCACTGAACACGTCAACAATAAGAACGCAAAACAGCCTTATTGCTGATATGGAGAAAATTTGAGTGGTCTGGATAGAAGATCAACTCAGCCCGAACATTCCCTTAGGCAAAAGCATAATTCAGAGCAAGAACCTAACTCTGTTCAATTCTATGAAAGCTGAGAAAGGTGAGGAAGCTTCAGAAGAAAAGTTTGGAACTAGCAGATGTTGGTTCATGAGGTTTAAGGAAAGAAGCTGGCTCTATAACATAAAAGTGCATGGTAAAGCAACAAGTGCTGATGTAAAAGCTGCAGCAAGTTATCCAAAACATGTAGCTAAGATTATTAATAAAGGTGGCCACATGAAACAACAGATTTCAAACAGCCATCTATTTGAAAAAGATGCCAACTAGGACCTTCCTAGCTAGAAGAAAGAAGAAAGAAGAAAGAAGAAAGAAGAAAGAAGAAAGAAGAAGAAGAAGAAGAAGTAGTAGTAGTAGTAGTAGTAGTAGTAGTAGTAGTAGTAATAGTCAATAACTTATTTCAAAGCTTCAAAGGACAGGTTGACTCCTTTGTTAAGGGCCAATGCAGCTGGTGACTTTAAGTTGAAGCCAATGCTCATTTACCATTCCAAAAATGCTAAGGCCCTTAAGAATTATGCTAAATCTACTCTGCCTGGGCTCTATAAATGGAATAGCAAAGCCTGTATGACAGCACATCTGTTAACAGCATGGTTTACTGAATATTTTAAGCCTGCTGATGAGAACTACTGCTCAGAAAAGAGATTGCTTTCAAAATATTACTACTCGTTAACAATGCACCTAGTCACTCAAGAACTCTAACAGAGATGTACAAGAAAATTAATATTGTTTTCATGCCTGCTCACATAACGTCCATCTATAAACCATTAATCAAGGAGCAATTTCGAATTTCAAGTCTTACTTTTTAAGAAACACATTTCGTAAGGCTATAACTGCCATGGATGGTGATTCCTCTGATGGATCTGGGCAAAGTAGATTGAAAACCTTCGTGAAAGGATTCACTATTCTGGATGCCATTAAAAGCATTCCTGATTCATGGGAGGAGGTCAAAATATCAACATTAGCAGGAGTTTGAAAGAAGTTGATTACAACCTTCATGGATGACTGTGAGGGGTTCAAGACTTCAGTGGAGGAAGTACCTGCAGAAACAGTGGAAAGAGCAACAGAACTAGAATTAGACATGGAGCCCCAAGATATGACTGAATTGCTACAATCCTGTGATAAAACTTTAATGGATGAAGTATTGCTTCTTATGGATGAGCAAAGAAAGTAGTTTTTTGAGGTGAATCTACGCATGGAGAAGATGCCTGAACATTGTTGAAATGACAACAATGGATTTAGAATATTATATAAACTTAGTTGATAAAGCATCAATGGAGTTAGAGAGGATTGACTCCAACTTGGAAAGAATTTCTGCTGTCGGTAAAATGTTCTCAAACATCATCACATGCTACAGAGAAACGTTTTGTGAAAGGAAAAGTCAATTGATACAGCAAACTTCGTTGTCTTATTTTAAGAAATAGTCACAGACACCCCAACTGTCTGCTACCACCAACCTGATCAATTAACAGCCACCCACAGCCACCAACGTGAAGGCAAGGCCCTCCTCTAGCAAAAAGCTTACAACTTGCTGAAGGCTCAGATGATTTTTAGCAGATTCTAGCAATACAGAATTTTAAATTAAGGTATGTACATTGTTTTGTAAGATATAATGCTATTTCACACTTAATAAACTATAGTGTAAACATCACTTTTATATGCACTGGGAACCCAAAAAATCTTTGAGACTCACCTTATTGCAATATTCACTTTATTGTGTGGTCTGGAACTGAACCCATGATATCTTCAAGGTATGCCTGTAATAGTAATTACTGGAAAATCTTCTAAGATTGGAGGATAACACATATGTATGTTTGTGGGGAGAGGACACATACCTGCACCTTAAAGTACCTCTCTACCATAAGAAAGTATCCTAAATGCTATATATCACTTCTGCCCCTTTGCAGATGGCCCAATAAAAGCCAACACTGTAAGCCATATTTACCTGGGCTCATGGGACATTATGTATTTTTGCAGAGTGACTTAGTAGCCTAAAATAGTTTATTTTGGTTCTGAAATTAACAAATTAACTCATTATTAATAAGTAACCGTGCCTGTACAACTGGTAGGGAATGCTTCAGGATGTAGTTAGGTGGCAAGGCCATAAATAATTCACTTTCCTTGGATCCTCCATGGATATTGTTATTTTCTTCTCCTCCTGAGAAAATGACCAGTCTTTTTTGGCAGATGTGGTAACAACTACACTGACATAACAACAATTAAGGAGAGTTACTATGGAAATCTACAGTGCAATCCTAAATGGTGATAAGACTAGCTAAGGAGTCGTGAAAAGGTGTAGTTCATGATCATCTGGTTACAATATTTAAAATAATTTTCCATGTTTTTTGTTTGTTTAATGTTTACTTTTCATACCCCCTCTTCCATTTTGAGGGCACTGCTACACTCTTCTAAAAAATCTGATTAAATTTCTAGTCAAGATTAATGTCACATTCCGAGTCTCACTGATGGGAGACAGGTATAAACAAAGAATGAAGAAAAGAGTAAGTCAGGAGAGGAAGGAAGATGAGAGATATGCATTGTCACTAAAACGTTATTTTATACAGGATAACGTGTCTGTGGGAGAAGGGATGATCCAAACGCACTATTATTTAGAGATAGAAGTGGTCTCTAAAAGCACTCTTTGAGTCAATGAGTAAGGTGTCCCCGAGGGTAGTGGAAAGGAAGGACATGATGTAACTAAGTGCAAATTGTAAGTTTCAAGGAAGGAAAGGTAGAAGCTGAAGAATGACAAGAATTCCAGAGCCTTCTTCCACTCCTAGAAGGAATTTCACATGCATTTTGACTTTACCACAGTGGACTGCCTGGTTAACAGTGTAGTCTTTGAATGTCAAATTAAACTACATGGTTGCTGCTTTCAAAGGATGTCAGTGGGAGCAAGAAATGAATACACAGAAGACCAGAACGCTCAGCCTCAGGGACTTTTCTTTGTGAGCAAGAGCTTGTTGTGTCCTTTCAAATCTAGCTCCAATATGTACTTTGCAGGTTTATTGCTTTTAATCTTTATTGTTAGCTCCCACTAAGGAAATTTGTAAAAATGTAATGACAAATCCCGGAGCTGCTTAAACCTGCATAGAACGCCTCTAATTTCTAATTCATCTCAATGGAGATTGAATTGTGCAGGTCAACTTTTCATTCAAGGGAGAGAGAAATGAGACCAGGTTTGTTTGAGTTAGTTCTTCTGTAGAAATGAACTGAATTTTATCAACTTTAATGTACTGTTTTACAATCAGTAAAAACATTTCCAGAGGAAATAAACAACCTTTAACATTTGGAGCTCTTATATGAGTAACCGACGAGGTTAGAAAGATAGAAGTGAGATCAAAATATAATAAAAACTTAACATTCTCTGAATTATTAAGGCAGTCAGGATATATTAATTGAGCACACCCCATGGTCAGGCATGGGCTTTAATCACAGCCATGCTGATCAGCCTCTTAGAAATGATCTGGGCAACTGCTTACCAAATAGGGGTGTCTGAGGTGCCCATCTAAGCCATGTCTGATCCCTTAACCTGGACTCTGGGTCTCACTGCCCAGCAACTCTCAAGGTACTCCGGTACATCTGTTTCCTACTGTTGCTGTGACAAATTATCACAGATTTAGTGGCTTAAAAAACAAAACTTTTTAATGATTCTGGAGGTCAAAAGCCCAAAATGGATTTTATGCAGCTAACAAAGAGTTAGCCAAGCTACATTCCTTCTAGAGGCTCTGTCAGCTCTGTTCTTTCTCTTTTCCAACATCTAGAGAATGTTCACAGTGTTTTGTTCACAGCTGCATCACTCGATGTCTACTTCTGTCATCACATTTCCTTCTTTGACTCTGACCCTCGTGCCTTCCTCCTATAAGGTTTCTTGTGATTATATTGGGCCCACCTGAACACTCCAGGATACTTTCTCCAGTTTAAGGTTCTTAACTTAATCACCTCTGCAGAATCCCTTTTGTCAATTCACAGGTTCCAGAGACTGGGATATGAGCATCTTTTAGGAGTTATTATTTCTCCTACCAAAGAGACAGAACAGCATGATTTATACTTTCATTTATCTTCACTCTCCCCTTTCTCTTGCTTCCCTTCCAATATGCTCTTGGCACTTTCCAAAACAGCCCTCAACTCTCCCAACATCAATTGCCTCTTCACAGAAACTGCTCTTTACAAGGTCTCTTAGATTCTCGTGACTGAGATATTTACCTCATCTATTTTTAGGGTTATCTTTCTTGATGTCTGTTAAGGATGACACATTGATGACCATTCTCACCTCCTTATAAGTAATAATAAGGCAGCTTTTATTATTTAAATTTTACTGTATGCTGCACTCACCAAGGTAAGCACTTTATAAATATTATTTCATTTGTTCCTTTCAACAACTCCATGAATTAAGCATGATTTTCCATACTTTATAAATGACAAAAATGGAGGGTTTGGGGGAATAACCTCAAGTACTACCTAGCTTTTTTTAGTCTTTTTTTTTTTTGATATGGAGTCTCGCTCAGGCTGGAGTGCAGTGGCGCGACCTCGGCTCACTGCAAGCTCTGCCTCCCGGGTTCACGCCATTCTCTGCCTCAGCCTCCCAAGCAGCTGGGACTGCAGGCGCCCGCCACCACACCCAGCTAATATTTTTGTATTTTTAGTAGAGACCGGGTTTCACTGTGTTAGCCAGGATGGTCTCGATCTCCTGACCTCTTGATCCGCCCGCCTCGGCCTCCCAAAGTGCTGGCATTACAGGCGTGAGCCACTGCGCCTGGCCCTTCCTAGCATTTTTTAAACCTCTGTCTCCAAACCCTGCTTTTTTTTTAGGTGATGAACCTATGCAACTGACTAGTTTTGGGTGTCTTCATGTGGCTTCCCCAAGGTGCCTCTATTTCTTTACTCAGTGAAATGCTACCACCCAAGTATCACCAGCCAGAAATCTGGCAGTCATCTCACACTTATCCTATTCTTCCTACATCCAAGAAGCCTCCATACACGGTATTGATTCAACCTTCTAAATGCCCCTTGAAGCTGCCCCCTTCTTTCTATTTTCATAGCCACCACCTTAATTTTGTCTTATCTTCACTCTCATTTTCTTGTGTTGATTACAGGCATGTAACACATAACGGCACTTTGGTTAAGGATGCACTGAATATACAACAGTGGTCTCATAAGATGATACTACTGTATTTTTCTGTAACTCTTCTGTGTTTAGCTATGTACACAAATACCATTCTGTTGAACTGTTTACAGTGTTCAGTACAATAACACGCTGTACAGGTGTGTAGCCTAGGAGCAATAGGTTATACCACGAAGTCTAGGTGGATGGGATGCTATACCATCTAGGTTTGTGTAAGGACATTCTATGAGGTTCATGCCACAATGAAATTCCGTAATGACACATCTCTCAGATCACATCCCCATTGTTAAGTGGCACATGACTGTAAAAAAATAGCTTCTTAACTGATTTCCCTGACTTAATTTTTACCCATTCACTCTATTCTCATTTTTGTAAATTTATTGTGTACCTTGTTTCCAGAACAATCTTTGGAAAGTACACTTTTTGTCCTGTTATTTCCATACTTAAAATTCTATAATGGCGTCTACTTGCCTTCTTGTCTGCCTTCTTATGTCTCTGTGCCTCTGCTCAGCTGTTCCTTCTGTTCAATACACCCTGCCCACTCTTCCCTCCTCTTCTTCCTCTCCCAGTAAACACTGAACTAAATTAATAAACTTAGAAATAAGTAAATGAACATTTGGATACTGTTTTATATTCAATAAGAATAAATACTAAAATTATGAGTTTTTTTATTTAATTAAAAAATTTGAAACAATAAAAATACTGAGATTGATTTGACATGACAGGTAAGCACTTAAATTATTTAAGAAGTGTGACGGTTTTTTCCCTCTCAGGAAATCATTTTGTTAATACATGTCAAGAACCTTAAAAGTATTTGTACATTTGACTTAGTATATCCACATCTAAGAATTTATGCTAAGAAAATTATCAAGCATGAAATGTGCAATTAAAGATTTTATTCTTGAATATAAGTATCTATGTTCAAGAAAAATGCTTTGTTGAGTATTTTTTAACAATTATTAATTACAAGCCAGTTGTGGTGGCTCACGCCCATAATCCCAGCACTATAGGAGGTCAACGTGGGATGATTGCTTGAGGAGTTTGAGACCAGAGAGGTCTCAAGGTGGATTGCTCGAGGAGTTTGAGACTGGGAAACTTAGTGAGACCTTATCTCTATAAAAAAATAAAAACAAAATTAGCCAGTCACAGTGGTGCATGTTTGTAGTCCCAGCTACTCAGGAAGCTGAGACAGGAGGATCCCTTGAGCCTGGAAAGAGGAGGTTGCAGTGAGCTGAAATTACGCCACTGCACTCCAGCCTGTGTCACAGAGTGAGACCCTGTCTCAACGTTTAAAAAAAGAATTCTTTGTTAGAAAAAAAATTAGAGACATGTCCAATAAGTAATGATTAAAAATTAAGATATGTAAATGCTAGAATATTTTATACCTATTGAAAATCATGTTTCCAAAAACATAGCTTAAGAAAATATTTATGGGTGGGGAGCAAGATGGCTGATTAGAAACAGCTGTGGTTGGTGGCCCTCACCGAGAAGAACAAAAGCGGTGAGTGAATTCTGCACCTTCAACTGAGGTATCCAGGTTCTCCCATTGGGACTGACTAGGTAGTTGGCACAACCCATGAAGAGCAAGGAAAAACAGGGTGGGGCAACAGCACACCCAGGGTTAGGGGAGCCCCAACCCCCAGCCAAGAGAGGTGGTGAGTGATTGTGCTACCCAGCCTGGGAAACTATGCTTTTCCCACATATCTTTGCCACCTCCGGATCAGGAGATCCCCTTGTGAGCTCACATCACCAGGGCCTTGGGTCCCAAGCACAAAGCTGTGTAGACTTTGGCGGCAGCTGCTTGGGTTGGTGGCCATTCAGGCAGGTACTGAGATGGAGGAGTTGTTTTGCATACTCCAGCCCTGGGAATTCTGGTGAGGCAGGAAATCTGTCCACTCCCACTAGAAGGGGGCTAAAGCCAGGGAGCCAAGAGGTGACATTCAGCAGGCCCCACAGCAGGCCATGGAGTCTCACCAGCTAAGACCTATTGGCATGGAATCCCTGTGGCCAGTGATAGCAGGCTGGAGACTGCCTAAGATGACCCAGTTCCCAGGGGAACAGGTGGCCACCATCTCTGTGGCTCTAGTCTGCTGTTTTCCCCTGCCAGTGCTGGGGACACTGGGCGGTTTGGACCAGGAGGAATTCCCCACAACACAGCACAGTGGTGGTGGCAGATCATGGCCAGACTGCTTCTTTAAGTAGGACCCTGATCCATCCCTCCTCACTAAGCAAGGCCTCCCTGTGAGAATTTCAGCAACTCCAGCCAGGGGTTTATGGACAGAACTCTGATCTCCGGGATGGAGCCTCTGGGGGAAGGGGTGGCCACAGTCTCCACGGTTCAGCCTACTTAGTCTTTCCTGCCTGCTGGCTCTGAAGAATCCGGGCAGTCTGGATGAGGGGAATTCCCTTCAGTGCAGCACACTCACTCAGCCAAGGGGCAGCCAGATTGCTTCTTTGAGCAGATTCCTGATCCCCTTCTTCCTGACTAGATGAGATCTCCCAACAGGAGTTGCCAGAAACCTCATACAAGAGCATTCCAGCTGGCATCAGGTTCGCCCCTCTGGGACGAACCTCCCAGAGAAAGGAGGAGCAGGCTGCCATCTTTGCTGTTTTGCAGCCTCCAGTTATGGGAGACACACAGGTAAATAGGTTCTGGAGCGGACCCCCAGCAAACTGCAGCAGCCTTATGAAAGAGGAGCCTGACTGTTTAAAGAAAAACAAACAGAAAGCCGTAGCAACAACAACAAAAAAGACCCCACAAAAAAACCCATCCAAAGATCAGCACCCTCAAAGATTGAATGTAGGTAACCTCACAAAGATGCGAAAGAATCAATGCAAAAACACTGAAAATTAAAAGATCCAGAAAGGCTCTTCTCCTCCAAATGATTGCAACACCTCCCCAGAAAAGGCACAGAACTAGGCTGTGGCTGAGATGGATGAATTGACAGAAGTAGGCTTCAGAAGGTTAGTAACAAAGAACTTCACTGAGCTAAAGGAGCATGTTCTAACCCAAAGCAAAGAAGCTAAGAACAATAATAAAACATTACAGGAGTTGATAACCAGAATAGCCAGTTTAGAGAGAAACATAAATGACCTCAGGGAGCTGAAAAACACAAGAACTTCACAATGCAATGATAAGTGTCAATAGCCAGATAGACCAAGTAAAGGAAAGAACCTCAGAGACTGAAGACTATCTTGCTGGAATAAGACAGGCAGACAAGATTAGGAAAAAAAAAAAAAAAAGAATGAAAAGGAATGGGTAAAGTCTTAGAGAAATGTGGGATTATATAGAAAGGCCATACCTACAACTGATTGGGATACCTGAAAGAGAGGAGAAGAATGGAACAAAGTTGGAAAACCTACTTCAGGATATCATCCAGGAGAACTTCGCCAATCTAACAAGACAGGCCAACTTCCAAATTCAGGAAATTCAGAGAACCCCAGTAAGATACTCCATGAGAAGATTAAGCCCAAGATACATAATCATCAGATTCTCCAAGGTCAAAATGAAAGAAAAAGTGTTAAGGACACCAAGAGAAAAGGGCCGGGTCAACTACAAAGGGAAACCCATCAGACTAACAGCAGACCTGTCAGCGGAAATCCTACAAACCAGAAGAGATTGGGGACCAATATTCAACATTCTTAAAGAAAAGAATTTCCAACCCAGAATTTCATATCCAGCCAAACTGAGCTTCATAAATGAAGGAGAAATAAAATACTTTTCAGACGAGCAATTGCTGAAGGAATTCATCAGCACCAGGCCATCCTTGCAAGAGCTCCTGGAGGAAGCACTAAACATGGAAAGGAAAAACCATTATCAGCCACAACAAAAACACTCTGAAGTTCACAGATCAATGACACTATGAAGCAACTATCTAAACAGGTCTGCAAAATAACTAGCTAGCATCATAATGACAGGATTAAATATACATATAACATTATTAATGGGCTAAATGCCCCAATTAAAAGACACAGAATGGCAGGCTGGATGAAAAGTTAAGACCCATCAGTGTGCTGCATTCATGAGACTCATCTCATGTGCAAAGACATACATAGGCTCAAAATAAAGGGATGGAGGAAAATTTACCAAGCAAATAGAAAACAGAAAAAATCAGGGGTTGCAATTCCAGTTGCTGACAAAAGACACTTTAAACCAACAAATATTGAAACAACACAAAGAAGGGCATTACATAATGGTAAAGGGTTTAATTCAACAAGAAGAGCTAAGTATCCTAAATATTTATGCACCCAATACAGGAGCACCCAGATTCATAAAACACATTCTTAGAGACCTTCAAAGAGACTTAGACTCCCACACAATAATAGGGGGAGACTTTAACACCACAATGTCAATATTAGACAGATCATGGAGACAGAAAATTAACAAAGATATTCAGGGCCTACACTCAGCTCTGGATCAAGCAGATCTGATAGATTCCTACAGAACTCTCCACCCTAAACAACAGATACACATTTTAGTTTGTGCCAAATGGCAATTACTCTAAAATAGATCACAAAATTTCAAGTAAAACACTCCTCAGCAAATGCAAAAGAACTGAAACCAAAACAGTCTCTCAGACCACAGCTCAATCAATTTAGAACTCAAGATTAAGAAACTCATTCAAAACTACACAATTACATGGAAAATTGAACAACCTGCCCCTGACTGACTCCTGGGTAAATAATGAAATTAAGACAGAAATCAAGAAGTTTTTTTAAACTAATGAGAACAAAACACAATGTACCAGAATCTCTGGGATGCAACTAAGGCAGTGTTAAAAGAGAAATTTATATCACTAAATGCCCATGTCAAAAAGCTATAAAAATCTGAAATTGACATCCTAACATCACAACTAAAAGAACTGGAGAACTAAGAGCAAACAAACCCCAAAGTGAGCTGAAGACAAGAAATAACCAATATCAGAGCAGAACTGTATGAAACAGAGACACAAAAAAGCCTTCAAAAAAATCAACAAATCCAAGAGCTGTTTTTTTGGAAAAAAAACCTAATAAAATATACCACTAACTAGACTAATAAAGAAAAGAGCATATTCAAATAGACACAATCAGAAATGATAAGGAGGCTATCATACTGATGCACAGAAATACACACAACCCTCAGAGAATACTATAAACACCTCTATGTAAATAAACTAGACAATCTAGAAGAAATGGATAAATTTCTGGAGGCATACACTCTCCCACGACTGAACCAGGAAGAAGTTGAATCCCTGAAGAGACCAGTAATGAATTTTTTTAATTGAGGCAGTAATAAATTGCCTACCAACCAAAAAATCCCCCAGGACCAGATGGATTTACAGCTGAATTCTACCAGAGGTACAAAGAGAAGCTGGTATCATTTCTTCTGAAACTATTCCAAACTACTGAAAAGAAGGACTCCTCCCTAAATCATTGTATGAGGCCAGCATCATCCCAATACCAAGACCTGGCAGAGATACAAAGAAAAAGAAGAAGACTTCAGGCCAATATCCCTGAAAAACATCAACGCAAAAACCCTCAATAAAATACTGGCAAACCAAATCCAGCAGCACATCAAAAGGTGTATCCACCAGGATCAAGTCGGCTTCATCCCCAGGATGCAAGGACATTTCAACATATGCAAATCAATATATGCAATTCATCACATAAACAGAACTAAAGATATAAACCACATGTTATCTCAATAGACCCGGAAAAGCCCTTCAGTGAAATTCAACATCTCTTCATGTTTAAAACTCTCAATAAACTTGGCATTGAAGGAACATACCTCAAAACAATTAGAGCCATTTCTGATAAACCCAAAGCCAATATCATATTGAATGGGCAAAAGGTGGAAGCATTCCCCTTGAAAGTCACCACAAGACAAGGAAGTAAGGAAGTCAAATTGCCTTGTTTCAGATGACATGATCCTATATCTAGAAAACCCCGTCATCTCAGTCCCAAAGCTCCTTAAGCTGATAAGGAACTTTGGCAAATTCTCAGGACACAAAATCAATGTGCAAAACTCATAGGCATTCCTATACACCAACAACAGACAAGTGGAGAGCCAAATCATGAATGAACTCCCATTCACAATTGCTATAAAAAAGAATAAAATACCTAGGAATACAGCTAGGGAAGTGAAGGACCTTTTCAAGGAGAACAACAAACCACTGCTCAAGGAAATCAGAGAGGACACAAACAAATGGAAAACATTCCATGCTCATGGATAGGAAGAATTAATATCAAGAAAATGGCCACACTGGGCAAAGTAGTTTATAAATTAAATGCTATTCCCATTAAACTACCATTAACATTCTTCACAGAATTATAAAAAACTATTTTAAAATTCATATGAAACCAAAACAGAGCCTGTATAGCCAAGACAATCCTAAGCAAAAATAACAAAGCTGGAGGCCTCACACTACCTGATTTCAAACTACACTACAAGGCTATAGTAACCAAAACAGCATGATACTGATACCAAAACAGACATATAGACCAGTGGAACAGAATAGAGACCTCAGAAATAACACCACACATATACAACCATCTGATCTTCAACAAACCTGGCAAAAACAAGCAAAAAGGGAGAAAGGATTCCCTTTTTAATAAATGATGCTGGGAGATCTGGGCAGCCTTTTGCAGAAAATTGCAACTGGACCCCCTCCTTACATCTTATACAAAAATTAACTCAAGATGGATTAAAGACTTAAATGTAAAACCAAAAAAGCCCTAGAAGAAAATCTAGGCAATACCATTCAGGACATAGGCAAGGGCAAAGATTTCATTATGAAAATGCCAAAAGCAATTGCAACAAAAGCAAAAATTGACAAGTGGGATCTAATTAAACTGTTCTGCACAGCAAAAGAAACTATCATCAGAGCAACCGGATAACCTACGAAATGGGAGAAAAGTTCTGCAATCTATCAATCTGGCGAAGGTCTAATATCCAGAGTCTACAAAGGACTTAAACAAATTCTCAAGAAAAATAAAACATTAAAAAGTAGGCAAGGGACGTGAACACAGACACTTCTCAAATGAAGACATTTACACAGCCAACAAACATATGAAAAAAGCATAACATCACTGATCATTAGATAAATGCATATCAAAACCACAATGAGATACCATTTCATGCCAGCCAGAATGGCAATTATTAAAATGTCAAGAAACAACAGATGCTGGCAAGTAACAGAGCAATCGGAATGCTTTTACACTGTTGGTGGGAATGTAGATTTGTTCAACTATTGTGGAAGACAGTGTGATGATTCCTCAATGATCTAGAACCAGAAAAACCATTTGACCTAGCAATTCAATTACTTGGTATATACCCAGAGGAATATAAATCATTCTATTATAAATATACATGCACGTGCATGTTCATTGCAGCACTATTTACAATAGCAAAGACATGGAATCAACCCAAATGCCTATCAATGATGGAGTGGGTAAAGAAAATGTGGTACATATACAAAAAGGAATACTATGCAGCTGTAAAACAGAAGGAGATTGTATTGGTCTGTTCTCATGCTACTAATAAAGACATACCCAAGACTGGGTAATTTATAAAGGAAAGAGGTTTAATTGACTCACAGTTCCACATAGCTGGGTGGACTCCCAATCAGGGTGGAGGGAAAGAGGAAGCAAGACACGTCTTACAAGGCAGCAAGCAAGAGTGTATGTGCAGGGGAACTTCCATTTATAAAACCATCAGATCTCATGAGACTTATTTCCTATCACTAGAACAGCACAGGAAAGACCCATCCCCATGATTCAATTATGTCCTACTGGATCCCTCCCATGACATGTGGGGATTATGGGAGCTATAATTCAAGATGAGATTTCGGTGAGGACACAGCCAAACCATATCAGAGATCATGTCCTTTGCAGAGACATGGATAGAGATAGAAGCCATTATCATCAGCAAGCTGATGCAGGAACAGAAAACCAAACACTCTAAGTTCTCACTTATAAGTGGGTACTGAACGATGAGAACCCATGGACACAGGGATGGAAACAACACACACTGGGGCCTGTTGGGGGTGCTGGGGGAGAGAGAGCATCCAGAAAAATAGTAGAAAAAGCAGAAGTTTTTACTGTATCAAATAAATAGTCATTTAATATGGTTAGGCTTTGTCTCGCCACCCAAATCTCATCTTGAATTGTAATCCCCAAGTGTTTAGGGAGGAACCTGATGGCAGGTGATTGGATCATGGGGTTCTATGATCCCCCATGCTGTTCTCATAATTGTGAGGGAGTTCTCATGAGATCTGTTGGTTTTATAAATGGGAGCTTCCCCTTGGATTCTCTCTTTCTTTCTGTCTCACCTGTAACCATGTAAGATGTGCCTGCTTCCCCTTCCGCCATGATTTTAAGTTTCCTGAGGCCTCCCCAGCCATGTAGAACTGTGAGTCAATTAAACCCCTTTTCTCTATAATTACCCAGTCTCTGGCAGTTCTTCATAGCAGTGTAAAAACAGACTAATACACTCATATACATAGAAAAAGAAAAAAAGAAGCCAAATAAACTAAATAAGTCAATATACTACTAACAGACATAATTTCTGATGCTAACATTTGTGGTAGTGAAATTATTAACTTTTATTTTTACTTTTCAGTATGTGAGTGTGGCCTCTGGAGATGGATTATCTAGATGCAGGTTCATATCCCAGCTCTATTCCTTACTGTCTGTGTGACTGTGAGCAAGTTACACAAGCTCCCTGAAACTCTATAAATTAGAAAACATAGTCTAGTGAGTAAAATTAAAAATAATGAATGTTTTAACATATGTAGGGTAACTCAAAGGTCTTAGTATAGTGTCTGACATAAATGGTTATTAAATTATAAAAGCAATTATTAGTTATAAAGTACACGATTATTATTACCAATTGACAATTTTTTTTTGTAATTACAAAAAATAAATAAAATTGATAATAAAAATGTAGAGGCTGAAACTCAGGTCAGGAGTCTATCTGTTAGGGCCCAAATGAGGACCTATGAGTGAAAAGATAACTACACAGTGACATTCTAATAGCAAAAAGATTATATTTCTGAAAAAAATAGAGACGTGTCCACCAGGCATGCAAAGAATGGGGATTCTGGGGCAGCTCAACCCGAGCAGAGCACGTCTCCGCATAATTTTTGAAGAAGGCTACAAGAAATGAGCTGTATTTGTTATCTATTGCTGTGTAACAAGTTGCCCCAAAACACAGCAGACTAAAATAAAACACATGTATTTTACGCATCTCCAAGTCAGGGTTCTCCAGCTCAGATTCTCTAACAAGGCTACAGTCATCTCAAGGCATGATTAGGAAGAATATCATTCTAGCTGACTCTTATGGTTGCTGGCAAGATTCATTTTCCTGCAAGCTGTTGGAATGAGTCTGAGTTCCTCACATGCTGTTGGCCAGAGATTTTTCCTTAGTTCTTTGCCACATGGACATCTTCATCGAAAAATCTCACAACATAGCAGCTTGCATCATCAGAGCAAGCTAGAGAGCAAGAAAGAGTACCAGTAAGTTAGCAGGTATTAGAAAGAAAGGAGTCACAGTCTTTTCTAACCTCATCAGGGAAGTAACACTCCAACACATTTGCCATATCCTGTTTGTTAGAAGCAAGTCACTGGGTCTAAATTGCCTTCAAGAGGAGAAGATCATAAATGCCAGAGGAGAGAGGGCTAGGTCACTGGGAGTCATGTTAGAAGCTGTCTCTCACAGTCTACCCCCTGTTCCCACTTATACATGTCCCTTCCACATGCAAAATCCTTTCAGCCCCTGCTATGATCTCCAAAAGTCTCATCCCACTACAGCATCAAGTCAGATACCAGAGGCTTATCTTCAAAATCAAGCCTATGTGTGGATGAAGATCCTCAGGTGTAGCTCCTGGGGTACACTTCTCCATCTGTAGATCTGAAAAACTAAAGGGACAAGATACCTGCTCCAACACACCCAAACACTTAACGCTGGGACAAGCATAAGATAACCATTTTAGATACTCCTGCTCAAAAGGAGGGAAAACAGAAGACAGAAAAAGTCCACAGCAATTCGGAAAAAAAGCTAGACAAATGTTGCAAATTCCTTTATCAGGTTTCAAGTTCTGGGAAAACTTTTCCATGGCTCTCAGCTCTACCCTTTGAGTACTTGGTTTGTTTCTCTGAGTCTTCATCTATTTTTCATAAAAGATAGTACATGGTTGTGGAGAAATTGCTCTCTCATCTAGCTTCCTGACAGTAGCATTTGGGGAAATATAATTCTTCTTTTCATTTTGCCCTCTCTCTGCCCCTTTCAGTTGAAACTAGCAATGTACCTGCTAGTATAGTTTTCTCAAAAACTTTGTGAGCCTCCTGTGAATCCTATTGGGGTTAAATCCACTTTAAAAACCCACAGCCACAAATGTCTTTGAGGAAAGCCCTTCTGTACCTTGAGTTCGTGCTGAGATAGCTGAGGGACAATGTTCTTCAGCTTCCTAGAGGCTACATTGCTTGCCTGAGGGAATCTGTGAGACTTAACCTGAATCCCTTTGCGTGACTGAATATTAATTCAATTTATTTTTCTAAGAATAAGAATAGTTACACCCTCAACTTTTCTCCTAGGCCAGGATTATCTCGAGGCCATGTTTTTTTCTGACAGTTCTCTGATGCCATTTCTTAATTTTAGAATTTTTTGCTGCCTGGAGGAGCTGATAATTTCTCAAAATTATTAATTTACATCTTCTTATTGTTTAATAGTCATCTCAATTTCTCTTTCTTTCTCTCACATTTCACTATAAGCAGTGAGAAGAAATTAAGCATGACCTATAACATTTTTCTTGGAAATCTTTTCAGCTAAGTTACCAAGTTTATTAGGCAAATATTCTCCTTTAGATATAACTGTAGACAACAATGTCATTAATCTTTTGCTATTCCACGACAAGGATCCACCTTCTTCTATTTTCCAATAACATGTTCCTTGCTTTCTGTTGACCCTCACTGGCAATATCTTCAATATCCAAATTTCTAGTAACAATCTGTTCCAGGCAGTCTGGCTTTCTTATCATGATCTTCAACATTCCTCCAGCATCCACTCAATGCCCAGTTCCAGTGTACTCCACATTTGTAGACGTTTGTTATGGAAGAACCCCACCCTCAGTACCAAAGTCTGTATTAATTATCTATGGCTGCATAACAAATTACCCTAAAACTTAGTGGCTTAAAACAACATGTATCATCTCACACTGTGGGTCAGGATTCTGGGTGCACTTATCCAGGTCCTCCAGCTCAGGATCTCTCACAGGGTTGCAGTCATCTCATGGCTCAACTGGGAAGGATTTGCTTCCCAATCACTCATATTGTTGTTGGCAGGATTCAGTCTTGCATGGGCTGTTGGAATAAGGACCTCAGTTCCTCAAAAACTTTTGGCCAGATGTCTGTCTCTGTTCCTTACCAAGTAGGGCTTCTCATTGCATAATATGGCAGCTTGCTTCATTAAAGTGAGCAAGTAAGAGAGCAAAAGAGAATAACAGCAAGGAAGAATTCTAGCAAGATGAAAGCCAGTATCTTTTTGTAACGTAAGCATGGAAATTGCACCTATCACTTTTGATGTATTCTACTTATTAGAAGCAAGTCACTAGATCCAGATCACACTCAAGGAGAGGGTACTGTACAAAGGCATGAATACCAGGAGTCACTGGGAACCATGTCTAAAGCTCTTTACCTCAAGAGCCCCAGTTAGTGGCCAACCACAGCAGCTACCTAAACTGATTTGATGAATGGAATCCATTTAGGAGAATATCTGTTTAAAACAATCATTCGAGCTTAGGCATAGTTGATATTTGATAACTGACAAGAATTAAAGCAAATGTTTCTTAATGCTACTCTTTTCGTGAAACTGAACTAAAAACAGAGAAAATCTGCCTGACATCTAAGTAAGTGAGAATGGTTTGTTAAATACTGCAGTGTTAATAAGCTAAGTCTCTAGCTTAATATAGATTTTTCTCTCTCTGCTTTTGCCAAAATAAAATGAAAGGCCAAATGAAAAATGACTTAAGATAAGTGTTTATAAACTGTTCATTTACCTGCTAAAGGGAACATTAGGAATGAAAGGATAGACAGCAACCCTAGCCCATATTAAAGCTTCAAAAAGTAATACGTACAGCTAATTTTCATATGTGAAAAATTCTGGCCAGATGTCATCCAGAATTCCCTGGAAGAAGGTAAGCACTGAGTAACCAAGATGTGGACAAGTATCCTCACAGCTATATCAAACAGGCAAGCAAACAAACAAAAACACTAGTTCCTAAAGATTAAAAATTCAGCAATATTAAAGACTTTCATTTATGCCAGTGGAGATACTAGTTATTGAGGGAGTTGTCAGTATTACAGTCAATCCAAGAAAACTCCCAACTCTATCTAAAGGTTGGGATGCATTGTGATCATTTGTATACTTGGAGAGAACAGGCCTGACTTTAAGCTTTGCTACTTACAGGGCATGAAACCATTTAGGCAGATATTTAGCCTTTCTGAACTTTGGAGAGTTCATCTGAAATAAATGCAAAGTGCCCAGTGCAGAACATGGTGTGTATCATATGCTCAATAAATGATAGATATGAATGACAGCACAGGCTTCTAGAGCATGAGTTTCACCATCAGACAAGTTGATGTACCTGGGGTCAAGTTTTAGTTCTGTTATTGTCTGTGAAACTTTAGGCAAAAAAAAAAACAAAAAACAAAAAACGCAATGTGTTTTAGTTTCTGTTTTCTCATCTTGAATGGATATAGTAATATATATGTTAGGAGGTTACTATGAGGATAAAATGAATGCATATCGTATAAATGTATGCAGTGCCTGACATATGGTAAGTCCTCAGAAAACTGTGGTTAGTCTTCTAATGACTGAGTAAAACTAAATTAATTTGATGTAGAATTAGCATGATATTCCAGAATGAATTATAAATGACATTGTGAGAATTCATAACTGATGATGAATTGGCCAAACAAAAAATGTTTCTAGATTAAAAGCAAAGAAGTGAAGGCATTAGAGAGTTGGGGAAAAAAATAACAATCAAAAGAATGGTTCACTAAAATTAAAGGAGTTGATTATTTAATAAGAACACATGTAGTACATGGGCTTTTAAAGGTTGGCACCAAATCTAAATACCTTCCGTTTATGTATTAGCTCCCACAATAAAGACGCTGAAAAGCTGAAAAGATATTGTGTCATTCAGAGTTGACTGAAGACCAGTGGTTGCTCTGGGAAGGCTAATGATTTGGCACCTCTCATACAATATTTTCTTTAAATATTTATATCATTTTTTATGGAAGCTAAAAGGAAAGAAACTGATTTTTTCATTAATAAAAACTGTATATGAAAACTGTCATTTACTAACCTCACTAGCTACAGAAAGGCATACATATTGTATAATGTATATTTATACATATTATATAATGTGTATTTTGAAAAATAACAGCAAAATATTTCTTACCTTTTCTGCAATTTTCTCTCTTAATTTTTTTTAATAATTTTCTAAATGAGACAATATCTTTGGAGGAAAATTAAGGGTTTAACATTTAGATAATTAAACTAAATCACTCATTCCTGGTAAGCAAAACAACATGCATTATTGATTTTTGGAACTGAGCTGATGGTGAGCTCATGTGTGATTCACAAAAGTACTCAACACAGACAGGTTGACACCAGTGAGGAGTGAAACCAATTTACATTTTGCCAATTTATTCCAGCGATGTTTCAGTTCCCCTTTTAGATCTGCATCCTAGGTAGATACTCAGCTTGCCTTCTCATTAATATGGCTCTGAATTTTACTCCAAATTCTATGGGTTGCTGAAACACGATGAAAAAATATTTCAGGGATATGACTCTTCTAGAAAAAGTGATCCTAAAGGCAACACTTCATAGGAAATTCCTGCCATTGGGTATCAAAAGGTGCTGCAGGTTAGCCTGCAGGAAGAAGGCATTAGAAAGGCAATAACTCTTACAGTAACCACAGTAATTAAGCTGGGTCAGCTCCCCTCCATTGAGCACTAAAAATGAATCTACTGCTTTTGTGGTGTTCTCTTTTTCGCAGAGTGATTCCATGACTGAGCAGGACAATCTTCCTAAGTGGAGAAAAAATATTCACCATTCCTCAGACCAATGTGCACCTAGGTTGACAATGATTTTTCAGATTACTTTGCATTGCCGTGGTAATTTGGGGGCAGGAATGAGTGGTTTGACATAAATGTCTATGACGAAAGATTGGTAATCACTCAGATAAAATACGCTAAGCTTTGGGAAAAAATACATCAATAAATATACTTTCCTCTTATGCTAGTCCAAATATTTAATAAAAACTAGAATTTATTTCCCAAGGCTTAAATCTCCATTCTTTATTTCTCTGAATTAATTGCCTCTGCATTTCAGTTGCTAGTTTATGCGTGGGGAAAAATCAGGTTCAAAAGATTTCACATTAGTCTGTTTTCAACAGTAGAATATCTTTTCGAAATTGGGAAAGAAAGTGGAAAGGAAATGACAACAGTATAAAACATGTTCCCATGTTCCCTGAACTGTATGCCAGTCTCCAAACTCAGTTTAGTGAGGTTAGTCCTAAGCTTAGGGAGACTGTGTGTGTGTGTGTGTGTGTGTGTGTGTGTGTATTAACATGTAAAGCCTCTGATATGGTTTGTCTCTGTGTCACCACCCAAATCTAATGAATTATAATCCTGAGTGTTGGAGGTAGGACTTGATGTGAGATGACTGGATCATGGGGGCAGACCTGCCCTTGCTATTCTTGTGATAATGATTTCTCATGAGATCTGGTTGTTTAAAAGTGTGTAGCACTTCCCCCTTCACTCTCTCCTGCTCCACCAAGGTAGGATGTGCTTGCTTCCCCTTTGCCTTCTACCACAATTTTTAAGTTTCTTGAGGCCTCCTCAGCCATGCTTCCTGTACAGCCTGCAGAACTGTGAGTCAATTAAACCTCTTTTTTATTATTATACTTTAAGTTATAAGGTACATGTGCACAAAGTGCAGGTTTGTTACATATGTATACATGTGGCATGTTGGTGTGCTGCACCCATTAACTCATCATTTACATTAGGTATATCTCCTAATGCTATCCCTCCCCACTTCCCCCACCCCACGACAGGCCCCAGTGTGTGATGTTCCCCACCCTGTGTCCAAGTGTTCTCATTGTTCAATTCCCACCTAGGAGTGAGAACATGTGGTGTCTGGTTTTCTGTCCTTGCGATAGTTTGCTCAGAATGATGGTTTCCAGCTTCAAACAGACACATGAAAAAATGCTCATCAACACTGGCCATCAGAGAAATGCAAATCAAAACCACAATGAGATACCATCTCATACCCGTTAGAATGGCGATCATTAAAAAGTCAGGAAACAACAGGTGATGGAGAAGATGGGGAGAAATAGGAACACTTTTACACTGTTGGTGGGACTGTAAACTAGTTCAACCATTGTGGAAGACAGTGTGGCGATTCCTCAAGGATCTAGAACTAGAAATACCATTTGACCCAGCCATCCCATTACTGGGTATATACCCAGAGGATTATAAATCATGCTGCTATAAAGACACATGCCCATGTATGTTTATTGTGGCACTATTCACAATCACAATAGCAAAGACTTGGAACCAACCCAGATGTCCATCAATGATAGACTAGATTAAGAAAATGTGGCACATATACACCAGGGAATACTATGCAGCCATAAACCTCTTTTCTTCATAAATTACCCAGTCTCAGGTAGTTCTTTATAGCAGTGTGAGAATGGACTAATACAGAATATTGGTACTGGGAATGAGGCAATGCTATAAGGATGCCTGAAAATCTGGAAGCAGCTTTGGAGCTGGGTAATGGGAAGAGGTTGGGACTGTGTGGAGGGATCAGAAGAAGACAGGATGATGAGGGAAAGTTTGGAACTTCCTAGAGACTTGCTAAATTGTTGTGACCAAAAATGCTGATAGTGATACGGACAGTGAAGCCAAGGCTGAGGTGGTCTCAAATGGAGATGAGGAACTTACTAGAAACTGGAGTAAAGGTCACTCTTGTTATGCTTTAGCAAAGAGACGAGTGGCATTGTCCCCTCACTCTAGAGATCTGTGGAACTTTGAACATGAGAGAGATGATTTAGGGTGTCTGGTGGAAGAAATTTCTAAGAAGCAAAGCATTCAAGATGTGTCCTGGCTACTTCTAAAAGCCTAACTCATTTGCATAAACAAAGAAATGACCTGAAACTAGAACTTATATTTAAAAGAGAAGCACAGCATCAAAGTTTGGAAAATTTGCAGCTGGTCATACAGTAGAAAATAAAAACACACTTTATAAGGAGGAAATTCAAGGCCACAGAAATTTGCATAAGTAAAGAGGAGCCAAATGTTAATAGCCAAGACAATGGGGAAAATGCCTCCAGAGCATGTCAGAGACACTCTTGGCAGCCCCTTCCATCACCAACCTGAATGCCTAGGAGGGAAAAATGGTTTTGTGACCCAGACCCAGGGCCCTGCTCCTCTGTGCAGCCTCAGGACATGGTGTCCTGCATCCCAGGAGCTCCAGCTCTAGTTGTGGCCAAAAGGGGCCAAGATACAGCTTGAGCTTGAGCCATTGCTTCAGAGGATGCAAGCCCCAAGCCTTGGCAGCTTCCATGTGGTGTTGGGCCTGCGGGTGCCCAGAAGTCAAGAATTGAGGTTTCAGAGCTCCGCCTAGATTTTAAACAATGTATGGAAATGCCTGGGTGTTCAGGCAGAAGTCTGCTGTAGCAGCAGGGCCCTCATGGAGAACTTCTCACAGGGCAGTGTGGAGGAGAAATGTGGGGTTGGAGCCTCCACACAGAATCTCCACTGGGGTACTGCTTACTGAAGCTGTGAGAAGAGGGTCACTGTCCTCCAGACCCCAAAATTGTAGATCCACCGAAAGCTTGTACCATGTGCCTGGATAAGCCACAGGCATTCAATGTCAGCTCATGAAAATATCTGCAGGGGATGTACAATGCAGGGCCACAGAGACAGAGATGCCCAAGGCCGTGGGAGCCCACCCCTTGCATCAGTGTACCTGGATGTGAGACATGGATTTGAATGAGATTATTTTAGAGCCTTAAGATTTAATGACTGTCCTGCTGGGTTTCAGAATTGCATGGGGCCTGTAACTCCTTTGTTTTGGCCAATTTCTCCCTTTTGAAATGGGAGCATTTACCCAATGCCTGTACTCCCATTGTATCCTGGAAGTAACTGACTTGGTTTTTATTTTACAAATTCATAGGCAGAAGGGACTTGCCTTGTCTCAGAAGAGACTTTGAAATTGGACTTTTGAGTTAATGCTGGAATGTGTTAATACTTTGGGGGACTGTTGGGAAGGCATGATTATGTTTTGAAATGTAAGAAGGACATGAGATTTGGGAGGGGCCAGGGACAGAATGATATGGTTTGGCTCTGTGTCCCCACCAAATCTCATGTTGAATTGTGATCCCAAGCATTGGAAGAGGAGCCTGGTGGGAGGTAATTGGATCATGGGGCAGATTTACCCCTTGCTGTTCTCATGATAATGAGTGAGTTCTCATGAGATCTGGTTAAGTGTGTAGAACCTCCCCATTTGCTCTCTTCCTTCTGCTCCTGCCGTGTAGGATGTGCCAACTTCCCCTTCACTTTCCACCATGATTGTAAGTATCCTGAGGCCTCCTCAGCCATGCTTCCTGTATAGCTTATGGAACTATGATTTAATTAAACTTCTTTTTTTCATAAATTACCTCTCTCAGGTAGTTCTTTTTAGCAACGTGACAACAGTCTAATTCAGGATCCTTTGTCATCAAGCAAAATTCTCTTCTTACTGCATTTGTTGGGTACTACTGCTGGAAAATTTGGTCTCTTAGTGTTGTTGCAAGGCACTTCCATCCAACTGTATCCCACCCAGTGTACTGTATCCTACATGATAGGATGAGGACCCTTATAAAAGAAACCCTGGAGAGCTGTCTTGCTTCTTCCACAATGTGAGGACACATTGAGATGATGCTGTTCTATGAGCCAGGAAGTGGGCCCTCACTAAGCACTGAATCTGCTGTTGCCTTGATCTTGGATTTCCTAGCTTCTAGAACTGTGAAATAAATTTATGTTCTTTATAAGTTATCCAGTTTTTGAAATTTTGTTATAGAAGTCTGAATGGACTAAGACAACACTGGTTGCATGGAAGAGTTAAGGGGTGCTGGAAACTCAATTTAATTCATCCCATTTTACTCTAACAGTGTTTATTTCCACAATCCTGTCAGACTCAGTTTAAAAATACTTAACTTCTTAAGGAAACTCTCTGCCTTTCAAAAATTGTATGAATTAATATCATCTTGATTTACCTTGAATTATTTGATAGCCTTGGTACTTTTACCCTGATAACTATTAGTGGGAAAACATTGACAGAGGGAGCACCAAGGCCCTCAATAAACATTTTAGGTTCTTGATTAACATTTCAATCACCAGCCTCAGCAGTATTTCAGCTTCCTCTGGGAACTAAGTCTAAATCTTTTGAGAGTGATTTTTTTTTCATTCTTTTCCATTTTTGATACAATTAAGGCTGGGGCAAGGTTTTGTGAATACAGAACATATAGGATCTGTTTTTCGCCAAGCCTATTCCAAAGATAAGAGAAACTGAGATAAATTGGGTGCCCAGAAACTCCATTCTAAGAGGCAGTCCTCTATCAATCAGCAAATATGAGCAAGATATAGCCTTTGGATCATCTCACGTGGTTTTGTGATTTTTTTTCCTCCAGTGTGGACAACCAAGGCTCCTTTGTCATCAAGCAAAATTACCTTCTTACTACCTTTGCTGGGTCCTACTGCTGAAGAATTTGTTCTCTTAAGTATCTTTGCAAGGCACTTCCATCCAACTGTATCCTACGCAGTGTACTGCTGCCAAGTTTGTGGACTTCCTATCACCTACCCCCATCTCATACCATGACCACTCCCCTTATTCCCACACTTTCCATCCTCCCACATCCCCCTATCCCCTTACTGGTCTTCTGCTCTGGAAGGGAATCTGAGGTCAACCTGAATTGCTCATTGCTTGGTCCTGGGTCAGATCCCCTCAAACAAATGTTCTAACTGATGCTCAGGGCTCTTTAGTTCTCTGGCTTTATGACAAAATGAATGACTCTTTTACCTGACCAAGTAGACCCCAATCCCTCACTGGAAGACTTTGCTAAGAGAGTTACTTTAAGGGCAGCTGTTTGAAAATGACTTCTGTGACCCTAGCTATCTTAAAGTGGACTGGGACACAGCTCAGCTCATTCATAAAAACTCACAATGACACATCTCCTTTATCTATACACTATCTGAGTAGATAATCCCTCCAAGATAAGGGTTTCTATTTTAGCCTCACCAGATTATTATGGGAAAATCATGATCTCTGTAACCAAACATATACATATATGTCTATTGCAGATTGTATTTTCAACATATGACTACAAAAGGATATCCCATCCTACATGCCCTTCTAAAATCTTACCATTTCCTCATAAAGACATAGAGTCTAGTTCCTCTTCCCTTCAAACTCATGAAGCTATGGATTTCTTACAACCAATAGAATGGAAGGGACACCAAATGACTTCAGAGGTTAGGTCATAAAAGACAACAGTGCTTCTGCCTTATTAGCTGAACTAGTCAGTCTTGATATCTTCAGCTACCATGTAAGCAGTCCAATGACTCTGTGACTGTCATTCTATTAGGCACTCCAACAGCCCATGCAGAAAGACCCCTAGGGAGGTCCTGAGCCTACATAAGGAGAATGAGATGCCCAACCATTTACCAGCTATTCCATTTCCAGTCACAGTTTGACAGCAACCCCAAGAATGGCAGCACCATAATTTCCCAGCTAAGTCCTTCCAGAGTTCCTGATCCACAGAAACTTTGAGAGATGAGAAAATGATTGTGTTGTCTTAAGACACTAAATTTTGAAATGATTTACTACATGGCAGTAGCTAATGCTATGACCTGCATGATGTGTTCCTCCAAAATTCATGTGCCAGAACCTAATCACCAATGTGCTTTTAGTAGGAGGTGGTACATTTGGGTGGTGATTGGCACCCTTATCGAAGAGACTCCAGAGACGTAGCTAGCACCTTTCACCATGTGAGAACACAGAAAGTACCGTCTAAGAAGAAGCAGGCCCTCACCAGACACTCAATCTGCTGGAGCCTTGATTTTAGACTTCCCAGTCTTCAGAGTTGTGAGAAATATTTGTTGTTTATAAACCACCCAGCTTATGATGTTTGTTTTTGCAGCCTGAATGTACTAAGACAGGTAACTAGAACAATGCCTGTATTAGTTGGCTCAGGCTGCCATAACAACATACCACAGACTAGGTGGCTTAAATAAGAAATCCATTTTCATGGTTCTGGAAGCTAAAGTCCAAGATCAAGGTTATGGCCAATTCAATTTTTGATAAGGTATCTTTTCCCGGCTTACAGAAAGCCACCGTCTTGTTATGTTCCACATGGCTTTTTCTCTATTCCTGCATGTGGAGAGAGGGGGAGAGGGAGGGAGTTTGGGGGAGAGAGAGAGAGAGCATGCAAGTGAGCTATCTCTCTCTGGTATCTCTTCTCACAAGAATACTATTCCTATGGGATGAGGGACCCATCCTTATGACCTCATTTAACCTTAATTACTTACTTAGAGGCCCAATCTCCAAATACAGCCCCATCTCCAAATACAGCCCCCAACATATGAATTTTGGGGGATGCAAACATTCAGTTTACAGTAATGCCTGAGTTCAAATTACAGTTCTACCACTGTAAAATTGACTTAGCCCGAGCAATTTACTTAACTTCTCTGAGCTTCAATTTTCTTTTGTATAAACATAGAAATAATACTCCTATCTCATCCAATTTTTTTCAGTGCTAAGTGAGAACAAGTATGAATATTTTATTCACACCTGGAGAGTGTAGATGACAAGCCCCAGGCCTTTTTAGTTAGCGTCGTCACTGCCTTCTGGTCTCTGCATAGATAGGGGCTCTGGAACATCCCACAAGGGCCAAAGTAAGTTCTCACTTCTGTTGGGCTAGTTAGTGGCCAACACCTTATTAAAGAATCACAAATTCACTTAAAAACATATAATCACACATAGTAGGGACCAGGCACGGTTGCTCACGCCTGTAATCCCATCAATTTGGGAGGCCGAGGTGGGTGGATTGCCTGAGGTTGGGAGTTCGCGATCAGCCTGGCCAGCATGGTGAAACCCTGTCCCTACTAAAAATACAAAAATTAGACAGGCATGGTGGCAGGTGCCTGTAATCCCAGCTACTTGGGAAGCTGAGGCAAGAGAATCGCTTGAACCCAGGAGGCAGAGGTTGCAGTGAGCTGAGATTGTGCCATTGCACTCCAGCCTGGGAAATAGAGCGAGACTCCGTCTTAACTAAAAATAACATAACATAACATAACATAACATAACATAACATAACATAACATAACATAACATAACATAAAATACAATAAAATGAAATATAGTAGGAGCTTGGTGTTGAAAGAAAATATAAATAAACCAAGATTCTGTTCTCAAAAAACTCCCATTCTGGTGGGACAGGGGGCCCTATTAACAAATACTTACATCACAATTTGACAAGTGCTTAATGAGAGTACTATCTATGGGAGAACTCAGTGACTTATGTAACTATCTTATTTAATATTCATCAGAGTCAAGAAAACTAAAGCTCGGAGAGAGTAAGCAACCTTCTTGCCCCAAATCACAGACCTTACAAGTGGACAAAACAGAATCAGATTCTATATGATTATATCCTAAGATTTTAATATTACATGACAAAATGAGGTTAATGGTCTAGGAGAAGAGTCCTTTCTACTTTAGTGTCCAAGGTTAGGGCTGGTGGGAAAAGGGGGCTCCCCACTCCTAAGCTACTAAATATTGAAAATCAAAATAATCTGTGTAATTTATAGCAATTAAGAGATAAGTCTGGAAAGGGGAAAGATACCTATTAGATTGTGTAGCATGAGAGTGCAGAGCATGACATGTATGGAGAGGGAAGAAGGAAGGAGGAGTCAGAAAAAAAGCAAGTAAAAAATAAAAAGGCAAAAGTGACTCCACTGAAAAATCCAGCTTGTGTCTTTGCATCCTAGTTAATTAAAATTATATATGTGTTTGTATATGCATACACAAAGAAGTAACTGAAAGGATGATCACCCAAATATTGATGGTGGTTATGTCAAAGTAGGATTACAGATACAATTATTTTTTTCTTTGTTTCTTACACTTATACATTGTTGGATTTATTTTATACTGTTTCAGTAAACAAGAAATCTGTCAATAGTTAAAAAGAGTCTTCACTGTTTTTCTAAAAAAAATAGTGATCTATTTATTCATAGTACATAGCTATCAATAGTGTAATTGATTGGACTTTAAGCAAAAATGCACATAGAGCACATAGAGCAATGTGACAAATGAAAGTGTTATGGAATGAAGTTGGGGAGTGATTCTTATAAAAAGATGATATTTACGTTTACACTTTATCTTCCTTTTCCATTTCAGGCTTGACTCTGAAACATATACTAACCAGAGAGAAGAAAGTCCTAATGGTATGGAGCTCCCACGAGGGCAGAGATCACATCCATCTTGTTTACTATTGTGTTACCAGCACCTACCTCATTGCCCCGCCATAGTAGGCACTCAGTATATATTTTGGAGTAGGGCTGTTTATTAGAGTTCTCCAGAGAAACAGAACCTATATATATGAGAAGATTTATTATAGAAATTGGCTTACATGATTATAGAGGTTGAGAAGGCACATGATATGACATCTGCAAGCTGGAGAATCAAGAAAACTGTTGATGTAATTCAGTCTGACTCCAAAGGCCTGATTATCTGGTTGCTGATGGGGTAAAAGTCTCAGTCTGAGTCTGAAAGCCCAAGAAGCAGTAGTGCCAGCATCCAAGAGCAGGAGCAGATGAATGCCTCAGCTCATGCAGAGAGTGAATTTGCCCTTCCTCTACTTTTTTGTTCTGTTCAGACCCTAAACAGATTGGATAATGCCTGCCCACATTGGTGAGGGCAATCTTTTTTACTCAGTCTACTGATTCAAATGATAATCCCATAAACACACCCAGAAATAATGTTTTACCAGCTACTGGGCAACCCTTGGCCCAGTCAAGTTTGACACATTGAAATTAACTATCACAGATTGCAAAATGTAACTCATGTTAAAACTCTGATGTACAGATAAATGATAAATCAATTGCTTAATATATAATTGATAGGGCTTCTTCCTAAATCCCCATCTTCTAGTAGTTCTGGCAGAAGAGTCCCCATTTACCCAGGACTGAGGGGTCTCCAAGAATAAGATTTTCAGTGTTAAAACCAGGAAAGTCTTGGAAAGCAAGACAAGATTGTGACCCTAGAGTGGTTTGGGGAAATTGAAGGTCTAATCTGGTTAAAATTTAGTCCATCTGTTAAACTGAGTAGTTCCTTCATGTAAAACTCAGTTTTTCATTTGCAAAACATCTTTTATTCTCTCAGCCTTTTCTCTCCCTCTATCTCTTTCCCTAAGAATAGTACTTGAGGGAGAAAGGGATGGCTCCTGTGACCTCAAAGGAGGGTGGGAAAATGACAGGTCATCAGATCCTTGTGGTATCACTGTGTTATTCCAGGCTCTTCTGGTCACTGATAGCTTCTGAGGCAGATGTCTGTAACACTTGAAGTGCTGAGTTCGGCCTCCCTCTTGACATGATCTGAACCATGGGGCACTTCCTGCTTCACTTGGCCTCCCCTTGCTCCCCATTGCCTTATAGCCTTCCAAGCCTGACACTCCTTCCATCCAGATCATTGGCTTGTCCTCTACTGTCAGCCTTTAAGTCTACCTATTTCCCTCTTTTGTGGCTCTTAAAGGAGCATCCACACTATATAGGAGTATCCTGAGGTGGAAGATGGGGGGATTGGAAGATGAGGTGGAAACTGGGGGATTGTAGGGACGCTTCATCATCATAGGTGAAAGTGTGACTTTTTCAGTGCTACTGAAAAAGTGAGGTCTCAAAGTGAGGTCTGTGGGCCGGGGCCATCTAGAAAACTCTGTTGTGCTCCACGACGAGCTAAGTACAAAATTGAAATGTGTTTCATACTTTTGTAGGAACTTGACGAAGTAATTTTTGTCTATCGAATCTAATAAATAATTGTGGCTTGTATTTTATGTCTGTTTTTTATAATTTAATTTTCCCAATAATGAGTTTTACTTGTATTGTACAAAATAATTCATCTTTGATGGACTGGAGAGAAAATGCTGGTCCTTCACCACAGATATTTTGAGAAATACCACTTTATACTACAAGTGAATTTCAGATTAAGCTCTTTGGTATGCTTAAGAGGGCAGGAGTTGTAACTGAAAATTTTGGCAAATTATCTGGCAAGAAAATAGCCTGGCTTACACATCTATCGTTTTACTCTTTAACTCTGTTTGCATGTCCAAAATTGGCATTTTTAAATAATTTTCTATTTTTGTCTTTTTAATCACCCATAGAAAGAAGGACTAGGGTGAAGGTTTTACACTGCGAAAGGCAATAGAGGAAAACACATCAACAATTTCAAAATAGTATCAAATTACAATTGTTTTATAAATGAATGAATGAAGGACCACTGGTCCTGAGGCATCCTATGTGAATGAAATGGCTTCAAGGAAGGAGGAAAAAAGATGCAGCGGCACACTAGTAGGAGGGAGAACATCATGTAGCGTTTTGCTATTTCCCAGCTCAGCCAGAAGCGAGAGCTGTTTTTCCTTTTCTATAGAGAGAAAAAGGATGAGTCTGCTCTTCTGAGGCAGTAGAATTTGCTGTTTCAAAGCATGGTGGGGGTGAGGAAATTGCTAAATAGGACAAGAGTTCTTTTTATTTTCTATTCAAAGTGTGTGTGTGTGTGTGTGTGTGTGTGTGTGTGTTGCCAGGGGAGTATTACTGAAAAGGAAACACAAATAAATGCAGTACATGTTTTCATGACCTAGCTTATATTATGTTTAATTGTTTTCCTCTGGAAAAATGTCAGTGGATGTACGTGCATATATTTAGGGCCTGAAGAACAAAACATAGGAATTCAGATAATTTTGCAATTAATATAAGAAGCACCCAATATTTGTGGCACAATTAAATGCTGGACCTGTTTAAAAAATAACATGCAGAGTCTGTTTTTTCTTTGCCTACTGTTCTATATCATCAAAAACAGGTCAGTATTTCAAAAATGATTTTCTCATTTCATGTACAGATTAAATTATTTTATCAGATGACTTTCTGCTTCTTATTCTTCCTTTAATTCCCTGGAGTGAAAGCACATTCAAAAGTGAATCATATGTCTACCTGATAGCATTGTTTACACAATGAAACAACTGTAATTTGTATACACCAGAAAACTCTATAGACTTGAATGACCTGATAAAGGAAAGTAGATGATAATCAGTTTGGTTTCTCACTTACCAAGTAAAGGTCAGAACATATTTTTAACTTCCGAATATCTAAGTTCTCAGCTGTCAGATGGGGAAATACTATCTACTCCATTCCTCCCAGGAAGAGTTTAATACATTCCAAAAAGAGCTTTCAACCATATCATTCCAATAGAATAAGTGGGAAAAATGTTTTAGTATTACTCAACAACAAAACAATGGGTGGTCTGAATCTTCATATGTTGTTAAGATAGAATTATGTTAATGAACTGCAGTTATCATTTTGTCATCATCTTTTTAAGTGCCTATGATTAAATGATGAAGAATTTTTTAAAAGTAAAATTTTAAAAAGAAACAGCAGTTGAGAGAATAAAAAGGCAGGCCACAGACTGGGAGAAAGTATTTCCAAAAGATGTATCAATAAGACTCTTATTCATAATATACAAAGAATTCTGAAAACTAAATAGTAGCCTGGGCAACATGGTGAAAACTTGTCTGTACAAAAAATACAAAAATTAACTGGGAGTGGTGGTACACACCTGTAATCCCAGCTACTTGGGAGGCTGAGGTGGGAGGATCGTTTGAGCCCAGGAGATTGGGGCTACAGTGAGCTAGTGAGACCCTGTCTCATAAAAGAAGAGAGAAAGAAAGAGAGAGAGAGGGAGAGACAGACAGACAGAAAGAAAGAAAGAAAGAGAGAAAGAGAGAGAGGGAAGGAGGGAGGGAGAGAGAGAAGGAGAGAGAAAGAGAGAGAGAGAAAGAGAGAGATAAAGAAGGAAAGAAAGAGAGAGAGGAGGGAGGGAGCAAACGAAGAAAGGACTAAATAGTAAGAAAATCAACAACTTTATTTTTTAAAATGGGCAAAAGATCTAAACAGACACCTCACTAACAATAATATAGAGATGGTAAATATGCATATGAAAATATGCCCAACATCTTGCTATTAGTGAATTAGAAATTAAAATAATGATAAGATGCCACAACCCACCTATTAAAATGGCCAAAATCAAAAACATGACAGCATCAAAGGCTGATGAGGATGTGAAGCAATAGGAACTCTCATTTACTGCTGGTGAGAGTGCAAAATGGTACAGCCACGTCAGAAGAGAGTTTGGCAGTTTCTTATAAAACTAAACATACTCTTGCCATATGATCCAGCAATCCCACTCTTTGGAATTTACTCCAAAGAACTAAACATTTACACACACATACACACACACACACACACACATACACACACACACACACACAATCTGCACTTGAATGTCTATAACAGCTTTATTCATGATTGCCAAAACTTGGAAGCAACCAAGATGTCTTTCAACAGCTGAATAGATAAACTGTGGTACAACAATACAACAGAATACTATTCAGTCCTTAAAAAAGAAATGAGCTATCAATTCATGAAAAGACATGGAGGGAACTTACATGCATATTGCTAAGTGAAAGGTACCAATCTGAAAAGGCTACATACTGTATGATTCCAATTCAAACTGTATGACATTCTGGAAAAGGCAATCTATGCAGAAAGTAAAAAGATCAATTTGTTACCTAGGGTTCAGCGGGGAGGGAGGGAAGGATAAACAGGGGGAGAAGAGAAGATTTGGGGGGCAGTAGACCTACTCTGTATGATACTATAATGGTGGATATATGTCATTTATGCATTTGTCCAAACCCATATAATATACAACACAAAGAGTGAACCCTGATGTAAACTGCAGACTTTTGATGATAATGATGCATCAATGTTGGTTTATTGATTCTAAAAAATGAATCATTCTAGTGGGAGATGTTGACGGTGGGGAAGGCTATGCCTGAGGAGGTGAGGGGAGTGAGAAGAACTCTTTGTGCTTTAAATCCTATTTTGCTCTGAACCTAAGAGTGCTTTAAAAAGTAAAGTTTATTTATTGAAAAAACAAAGAAGAAGAAACAACCCTGACACCACTCCTAATTGCCTTGTTTATTTCTATGGCTGTCTTCTTGGAAGCAAGATGAATGACTTTGTTATTAACAATGAAGTAAAGTCACACATGAAAACAAAAGAAGAAAGCATCATTTCATGAACACAATGCCCTTTCCCTGAAAAGGGCATTCTAAATTTAAATGTTTTCAACTTTTTCAAGAAGTTCCCATCACTGTTTCTTTAAGTTAGATAGTTGAAACTCTCACTAATAAAGCATTTAATAGGGAGACCTTTGTTCTAGTTTTAGCTGTTGTTATATTACATAGAGGTGATCATGGTGGGGTGAGACAGGAAAGATATACCCATCAAATAAAGATGGACCCATCAATTAGTGAGAGAACAAACACATTGCCAATTTGATCCAGATAAATTTACTTCAGAATGAGCTGAAAACCACAAAGCCTTCAGTTAAGGTGGCATCATTTACTTCAACATTGACGAAGATTTTGAGGCTGTTTTACAAAAGAATATTCCAGTTAGAATCCTTTGTCCTCAAATGCATTTGTTTACTCAGGGTGGGAGTGGAAGAGAATGCCAGGAGAAAATGAGCTTTTAAATATGGAGGAGTACATGTACGAGCCTGTAAAAGTATATCCATATGCGTAGTTAACATGCTGAAAATATTTATATAACCAGATAGACAATATAGTTAATATGTTCGAAATATTTGTATGACCAGATGTATCTTTATGGCTTATTGTCTGTGTGTTATTCTTCTTTTAATTCAAAGCATTTGAGAAAAATTAAATAAGGGAAAAGTTTACTTCCTGTAGAGATTGATGTTATATCTTGAAATATCTGTTCACTGACAGTACTTACATGCATAATTCAGTGCTATCTTAGGAAATAATCATAAATTATTAGTTTGCTCTCACATCTGGACAGCAAAATTGTGTATGGGAAGATTTGAGGGCAGAACTGTGTTTAGTCTCATTCTTGTTAAGTTTTATTTTCTACACACACACACACACACACACACACACACATATATATATCCATCATTTGGCATGGAGTATGTAATATCTGCTTTGGACCTTGCTGAGATCTTCAGGGCATCCCCATGTGGTATTTGGGTAGTTGTGGGAATTCTTGAAATTTTCAAAAGCAATGGTTCCTGAGGCTACAATCTCCATTAGTTCTGAGAGAGAATACAAAGCGGATTATCCTCAGATCTAAACTCTTTTCTCACATGGCTTGGTAACCGTGCTGGAATGTGAATTAAATATCAATAGAGTGATGGGTACATTATTTAACACAAACTGGGTCTTCACTAGAAAAAGACTATGCCTTTGCTTTAGGCCTCATGAAGGCCGACGTTCTCTCCAGGTCTGCCCGGAAGGTCTACTGGGACAGAGATACTGGTCCACTGATACGGGATTGTGTCCAGTCTCACTTCCCCATCCCTTTTCTACCTTCCTTAGCACTATGTGCTGAGATTAACTGACCATTTTTGCTTCGGAATTCAGGAAAACCCCAGGAGTTGTATGATCAAGAGATTTTGAACTGGCTCAATTTCACTCACTAGCCAGTAACCTCTAAAGCACAAAGCAAATGGCTAGTCAACAGTCCGTCTGAAAAGATGATATTGCACAGCTTCTTGTAGTGGCTGCTGTGCGCATTTTTATTCTGAAATTCTGTTGCAGGCTTTCACAAAGCATGAATGGGAAAATAATGAGGAAGAAAAATAGTCTAATGTAGGATGGTTTCTATCAGAAAAAGGGCAGTTAAGAATAAGAAATGGCATACACTCGCCTCAGAGGCCCTGTCTGTAGGGGGCAGACCAGCGTGTTCCCTTTCAAGGGTAAAGATAAGGGGGTCAGCTGTTGAGAAGAGAATGAGTGATGAATTGAATAAAATGTTTTAAATTTTAAAAGACTGATTCAAAAGAAGGTCTTGAAGGCTATTGGAGAAATACTTGAACCATGCCATAAAGGAGATAGGACCATAGCCTCCTTGCTCCGTTTCCAGCCTTTCTTTTATCAGCAAGAAATCATTTCTTCTCTCCAAACACTTCGGCACTAAAAATCAAGTTTTCATTCTCATTGGCCATGGGGATAGCAACATCTTTGATCTTCAACTTACTAAAGCAGCTGCCTACTGTTCTACTTCAAAGTACGCTTTTATGACTTACAGGCATTTTAATAAAGAGTTCTCCAAAACCCAGTCGCATATCACCTGGAATAGTAAGGAACTGTGTAGCTCATCAGGTGACACAATGCTAAAATCATAAGGAAAATTCTATAAGAAACAAAAATAGACAGAAATGATAGAGAATGGCTTTTTAAACATTTACCCTGGCTTTGTGAGTGTACACACTCCCGTACTTTGTCCTTTCTGCTTATGCTCACTTCAACTGTTTAGAAATCAAAGTTACATGCTCAAAAAAGGATCAAGAGTTGGTTTGAAAGGCTTCCATTCTCAAGAACATGTGAAAATGTGGCCTAGAAAAATGTTCATTATGTTTATCTACCATATGGGAAATGCCCACAATGTGGTAGACGTTATTTAGGTCAGGAAAGAATCTCTCCTGTTATGGAACGCAGTTTATAAACAAATCATCACATCTGTGCATTTGGTGCTATGAGAGAAATTGCAGGTATTATCTTATCTTGGGTAGAGAAAAGATTCCATTAGGCATGAAAGAGGGAAGAAAACGTACTATATCCATTTTAACCATCCGCTTATAGGGGAGCAAAGCTTCAAAGAAGTCTTAAAAGAAGGAAAAAAAAAAGCATTTTCTGACCAGAGAAGTTCATGGTAGCCAATTAATCAAAGTCTAAGGTGTGAAGCATTTAAGCCAACTTTAAAATATTGGCAATAGATATAAAATTTAAAAATATACAGTAGGAAAAGGTTCTGTTTTCAGAAGAGTAAGGGCTCACTATTTGTCTAAGGTTGAAACGTTGAATGTTTAAAACAATGAGATGACAGCTGATTTTTTTCAGGGCACCACAGTCAAACTGAGCACATAGTAAGCACAAGCAAAAACTCCAGCCAATCAAGCTGATCTTTCACCACTCAGTTTCACCACAGGATAACGTTTTTTTCACACTCACCTTTTCTCTACCTCTTTTTCTCTACCTTCTCTCCCACACACATCTTACACACTCCCCTCCTTTTCTGCTGCACTATTTGAAAATATGCTGAAGACATCATGACATTCCACCCCTAAATACTATCTCTTCAGAACAGGGGCATTCTCTCACATAGCTACAAAGTTGTGATCATATCCAAGTATTTAATATGGATAAATTAATTTTATGTATTAAACAGCCTATATTTAAAATTTTCTAATTGTCTAAAAATAGTCTTTTTGCTGATTTTCAGCTTTAATCCAGGATCCAAGAATAATCAAGAATAATTCCTTTCATTGAACTGTCACATATCTGAGTCTTCTTTAATCTGCAACAATCCACTTACTATTTTTTTCATACCATTGAAATTTTTGAAGAATCCAGGCCAATCGTTTGTAGAATGTGTCACAATATGGATTTGTTTATTTCTTTTCTCACGTTTAGATTAAGTGCTTTTGACAAAAATGCTACATAGGTGAGTTAATGTTCTTCCTACTGATTTGACATCATAGGCCAATAATGGCCATTTGTCCCATTGCTATTGGTGAGACTACATTTGAGCCCGAATTTAGTTGGTATCCAAGATTGCTCCCTTGTAAAGGTACTTTTGTCCCTTTGTAGTCAATAAGTAATCTGGGGTGTAAAACTTTGAAAACATAGGAATTTCCTTCCCCAATCCCCTATCGTGGTAGACAGAATAATGTCCCTTTCCAAAGATGTCAGTGTCCTAATCCTTGAAATCTGTTAATATGCTAGGTTTGGGGATGGGTTAGGCTAGGTTCCTTGTGCCACTAAGGAAAGATGGTCAGAGAGATATAACATTGCTTGCCTTTAAGATGGAGGAAGGGGTCACAAGCCAAAAAATGTAGACAGCCTCTAGAAGCTGGAAAAAGCGAGGAAACAGGATCCCCCCGGGACCTACATAAGGGGAATGCAGCCCTGCCAAGACCTTGATTTTATCCCAGTTAGAGATCCATGTCAGACTTTTAACCTGCAGAACCATAAGATAACAAATTTGCATTGTTTTAAACCACTAAGATTTTGGTAATTTGTAGGAATAGCAATAGAAAATTAATACCCCCCATCCCAAAATTGCATCCAATCATTTTAGCATGTATTGCTGATCCTTGCCTAAATTAAGTTTTATACTGGGAGTTGTATGTGGTGGTACTTACTAATTCCATCAATCCTTTCTCATTTAGTAAATGGCATTCTTCTGAAAGAAGAGCTCCTTTATTTTTTCCTTTCTCTTTCTCTCTCCCTCTTTCTCTCTTGAGTATCATTATGGATTCATAGATCCTTTCAAAATATTCAATGTGACATAATTCATTACTTTCATTATTTTTATGATGCTCTAATTATTCCAAATTTAACCAATGGTAGCCATTTTAAGCTGACTCCTGTGCCCATCTGGCATTGCCCTGCTAATCTGAAAGTACTTTTTTGCTTTCTAGAATTGTATCCTTTTTCTGCCCTAAATCTGGAATCTAAGGTTTTACCAAAGATATCTGGTTTCATTTTCTGCAGAATTATATTTATAAACCTGGGTAGTAAGAGGACTAATTTTTATTGATACATTGATATTTCAGTTTAATTTTAGTTTTAACATGCATTTCTCTTCATGAAGTTGAGTATCTTTTCACATTTTAAAAGACACTTGTTTTAACTTTTTCTGTGAGCTGTCTATATATTTTGTCCATTCTTTATCAGGTTGGTTTTTTCCTCATTTTCATTTCTTCATATAATAGGGAAATTAGCCTTTTATGTTATACATGTTACAATTGTTTTCTCCCAAATTTGTACCTATTCTTTGACTTTGATGATGTTTGAAATGCAAACATTTTTAAGTAGAATTTATTCATCTTTTCTTTTATTGCAACTGAATTTTGAATTATAATCAGAAAAGCTTTTTCATGTACAGGTTGTAAAGAAAGTCATCCATGTTTTATTCTAGTACTTCCACATCAGTTTTTACATTTAGAACTCTTTTCAATTTGATATAAGTTATGAGCCCCAAATCATCATTTTTGAGTTGCCTCAAGAACATTTGTTGTAAAGTCCATCTTTTCCCCCAGTTACTTGATATACTTTATTACTCGCTAAATTTCTATATGTTTTGATATCTATTTCTGTACTTCCTATTCTGTTCTATTGGTCAGTCTATTCTCTCACCAATATCACACTATATTAATTTATTGTGTTTTTATAATTTGTTTTACTATATTAGGGCTAGTCAACACTCATCGCTTTTCTAGAAGTTTCCAAGTTATTCTCATGTTTTTTATATGAATGTTAGAATTAGCTAGTCTAGCTCCCAGAAAGCTTGCTAGTGTGTTTACTGGGACTATATGCAATTTGTATTTTATCTTAGAGACAATTGAAATATGTATAATGATTCTTCATCCTATTCAAGATGAAAAAATATCTTTTTATTTGTTTAACTTACCCTTCTTCCTATAATTTTGTCCACTTCTTATTAATTTTTTGCTAAGTACTGTATTTTATCTACTTGCTTGTTATTTTGAATATTATTTTCCCATTGTTTCACTATTTCCTTTCCAATCTTTAGACCTCTGCTTTACTGGTTTTAACCTTCTAAGCACATTGGAAGCAATTGGGAAACTTTTAAAATTCTTAGGGCTCAGTAACATCCCATATCAATTAAATCAGAATCCCTGAGTGTGAGATCACAGTATCCCAACACATTTACTACATCAGTATTTATCAGTTCCTCAGATGATTCCAACATAGAATAAAATTGAGAATCACTGGTTTACTTGAAGGGAGAAAGATAATTTGGAGGCTTGATATGAAGGGAAAGAAGGAAACAAGAAGGCTTTAAAGTCCTTATTATTAGTGATAGGCTTCTATTTGGTTCTTATATATTCAAACTACTATATATTCATTGTGAATTGAGATTTTTAGCATTATAAAAGTCTTTGTCACATTTACCACCTTTTGGTCTGAATTCTACCTTGTAGAATTCAGGATTGCCATCCCTGATTCCTTATTATTTGTAATCTCATGTTATATAGTTTCCCATCCATTTCTTTGTATCTTTTCTGAATCACTTACTTTCAGATGTGTCTCTTGCATTCAGCATATAATAGGGTTTTGCTTTATGAACAAATCTGAATTTTTTTTTTTTTTTAGATGGAGTCTCGCTGTCACCCAGGCTGGAGTGCAGTGACGTGATCTTGGCTCACTGCAAGCTCCACCTCCCGGGTTCACACCATTCTCCTGCCTCAGCCTCTGGAGTAGCTGGGACTACAGGCACCCACCACCACACACGGCTAATTTTTTGTGTTTTTAGTAGAGATGGGGTTTCACCATGTTAGCCAGGATGGTCTCAATCTCCTGACATCGTGATCTGCCCACCTCAGCCTCCCAAAGTGCTGGGATTACAGGCATGAACCACCATGCCCGGCCCAAATCTGAATTTTTTAAAATGTGAGATAAGCCCATTTTGCATTATTTATATGACAAAATGTTTGGTCTCAGCTTGGTTGTTTTATTCTATGTTATATTTACTTGTATTCATTTCCCTATGTGCTCTATTTTCCTTGACCCTTTTCCTATAGTGCTTTTATTTACTAGAAAGATTTGTGTTTTTGTGCTAGTGGTTACGTCTATGTTAATCATTTGTATAATACACTTAGTCCTCCTTTCTCTTATTTAGACATCTACTATGTGTTTTGACAGCTTCAAATATTGACTGCCTCTATTACATGATAATCAGTGAGTTTATCTAGTTCTCTTTCTGTCTTTTCCTCCTCCAGTGTTTTTGTTGAATTTCTACTATGTCAGAATACATACTTTGTTTTGTTAAGCTGCATCCTAGAATTGACTAGCCTGGTTACATCTTCTTAGGAGTATAGTGGAAGCTTTCAATGTCTAAGAGTATGCTTTTCTTTCTAGAAAATGTTCTTAGATTATAACCTGAAATATTAGTTCTATTTCATTGTTTCAATTTTCTTTTTCAAAGTCTCAAGTTATGTAGATGTTGGATCTATCTTCTATATCTGTCATTGTTTCTCTGATTCCTTTTATCTCTTTATTTCATTTTTCATCTTTTGGCTATTTTTATCTTTTCCTTCGATGTCTTCTGTTATATTTCTAGTTGGATCTATTCTCTCTTGAACATTTCGCAACTTAGTCTTTATTTCCATATTTATTTCATATTGTTCTTCAATTTCTTTCCTTAGTTCAGTCACTCACAATTTATATTTCTCTTTTTGGTCCATTTTGGTTCTTCATTTTTGAATTTCTGATTTGACATATTTTGTTCATATCTACAAATGCTCATTTAAGCATATTTAATTCAGGTTGTGGTGTTATGGTGTAGTTTTCACCTGCTTCATTTTTGTTAAAGAATTTTTAGCAACAAACATCTGATTCTTATCTTTCAATTCTCTTTTCTTATGTATAATACTTCTGTATGAACGTTGTCTAATTTATGCTAATTTTGAAATGTCTTTTTCTGCATTGGCAATAATGATGTGTATAAGCAGGGGTGAGCAGTATGTTTGGGTTACAGGGTTTCTTAGTGTGTGGAGGATGCCCTCTTCTATTTGCATATTGAATTATAATTTTTAAAAATTAATAGTGCTTGGTTTTGATGGGTGAAGGTATTTTATGTCTTCCGATTTGGGGAATTCATCTATTTCTGCAAACCCCTTAAGTTACAAGACTTGCTTCCTTCTTCCTCTTTACCACCAAACCTCCCAAGCAGCCCTTCCCTTTCCAAGTCACCCCCCTGTTCCCAGAAGCGGTGCCTTTTTGAGATTTCTACCCCTTATCCAGCACATTCTTAAGTCTCTTCCTATGGATTCCTCAGCAGCCAGGGCTCTGAACCACCAAGTCTCAGGACTGCTGTAAGGTAGGATTTAGGGTATTAGTCTCTCTTTCTAGGGGATGACTTTTATGTTTTCTGTTGTATTAGGATTCTCTTCTCTTCTTTGTTTCCATATAGTTTCTGTCACCTTTCCTTTCTGGGGCACTCTGAAGCTTCCTCTGCTGCTCTCAGGTGTTGATTTCCTACTTACTCATAGTTGGAAGTCTATAGTATTCTGTGATTTCCTACTTAGATTCTAAGTGTGGGTTCGAAACAACTTTGTTTGCAGTCTTATTGCTCTGATTTTTTTTTAATAGAACAGGTTAAAAAAATCTCAGAAGTTTCTTATATATTCCTAAAGTTGATATCCTAGCATTGCTTTCTTCATAATATTAATATCTTACATTCATACAGCATATTATGTTTCTCATAGCACTTTTACATACAGTCCTTCATTTGCTTAATAACTCCTTGAAACAAGCATAATTTCAAGTGAGAAAACTGTGGCTTAGATACGTTATGTTAACTCTTCAAGTCACACAACTACATATGGTAAAATAGTTCAAACAGAAATTAAGGTACCCTGACTTCAAATTTAGTTTTCTTTCTATACCACCATTCCACCATTTTTCATGGTATAATAATTTATGGAAGTTCCTCCTGGAAAGAATTAAAGTAATTAAATATTTTCTGAAATAATTACTAAATAGGCTCCAGAACGAGGTAATGACTCCCAAGTAAGGTATTGGAAACAGTGAAACGTTACAATGCTTTTTTTTCTTTTAATATCTGTGGTGTGGATATCACCACAACTAGGAACAATAGTTACTCATTCTAAACAATACAATGAGATTAAACTGTGAAAGGCAATATTAAGAGGTCAATGTAATCTCACTTCAGTGCTTACTTCCAATCCCACTTAAATTCATGACATATTAGAGTAGGTAGTTGCAGAGATGATATACACCATAGCTTTTTACTGAGAATGACTGACCATAGTGTGCAAAAGCAGTCATAAACATGGCAAATAGAGGGAAATTGGAAGATATTCTGACCCCTAAATTTTGTGCTTAATGAAGGAAACGGTGTTGATATTTACCAGATATACTGCTTACTAAGTGTTTATACTTTTATAAGACAAGGAAGAAATAAAAACTAAATTATGAAATTAAGGTAACTAAGTCCTCTTCCCATATCACACAACATTTTCTCTGGCCTTGGGAAACATTATAACATTTTACAATTCTAACAGATACAGAACTAAAGGCAACTACATAAACTACATAAAGGCAACAGAACTAAAGGCAACTACAGCTTTTTGAGCAAATATCTACAGAATGTCAATTCTCTAATCAACATTAACTTGGTGAGAGGACCATAGGAGTGACCCCATAGTGTTCTCTCTCCTTCGATATAATCTTTGTAAAAATTAATCAAAATTATGATTAAAAGTTAGCATACTCATCAAAATTATAGGTTAGCAGGCCAGGCACGGTGGCTCACGCCTGTAATCTCAGCACTTTGGGAAGCTGAGGTGGGCAGAACACCTGAGGTCAGGAGTTCAAGACCAGCCTAGCCAACATGGTGAAACCCTGTCTCTACTAAAAATACAAAAAAAAAAAAAAAAAAAAAAAAAAAAATTAGCTGAGCATGGTGGCACATGCCTGTAATCCCAGGTACTTGGGAGGCTGGGGCATGAGAATTGCTTGAACATGGGAGGTGGAGATTGCAGTGAGCCACAATGGTGCCATTGCACTCCAGCCTAGACAACAGAGTGAGACTCCATCTCAAAAAAATAAAAAAAAAATAGAGATAAAAAAATAGAGATTTAGAAAAAACAAAAGCAAATATATACAGTTATACAAAAAAAGTCATAAGAATATCAATTACCTACATACTCTACATGAGCCAGTTTTGTGACATGGTGCCTTCAAGGTTGAAGTCATCTAAAGAAGCAAGATGACTTTACAGTTTGGAAGTATGAAGGTAGCAGTTTCTGAATGGCGATTTTAGGAGAGATGTTGGCAAGTTGGAATGCATCTGGAAAAGGTTAGAGTCTGGAAACCATGTCACACAAAGAACTATTAAAGGACTGTGCATGTTTGGTGTCATTAAAAAAAAATTATAATACCACATAAATGCTTCCAATATTTAAAGGACTGACCTCTACAAGGCAGACTGGATCTATTCTCTGCTATATCAGAGAAAATCTGGGGTCAGTAAAGTGAGACTTATGGTGTTGACTGCATTAAATAAAATTGTTTAACAATGACAGCTCTTCTCAAATGAAATAGACACTTTTTAAGTGGCAACTCCCCACTGCATACTGCCCACCTGGCTTCCCTCCTCCTTATATCTCACCTCACTCTGCTCTCCCCCAAACCAAAAATGCCTAATAAGAGTTCAGATAATCACCTACTGGGAAGTTATTTCAAAGTTTCCATGTTATGTAGTCTAGACATTTTCTAAGACAGTGGTTCCCAACCATGGCTACATCAAAACCATATTGAGATATCTCTTAAAAATATAGTCTGGAAACCTAACCCACAGACTTCTGCAAATCTAAGGCAGAGTATACAAATGTGTTTTTTAAATTATTTATTTATTCATTTATTATAAAATCATTTATTTATTCATTCAGTCAGTTAATTGACTGCTAGTACCAGATGCACTTTTAGATACTGGGATAGAATGGTAATCAAACATCACAACTTCTTATCATATGGAGTTTACAGTCTCATAAGAGAGATGCAGATTAATTTAGAAGTTATACTACTGAAGTTATATTTAGAAGTTATACTACCAAGAATATAGTTACAACTCACATAAGTGATCTAAAGGAAAGAATTTGGGGAGAGTGTAAGAGAAGAATATGGCTTAGCCTGAGGGCCAAGAGAAGGGACACTTAGCTAAGACCTAAAGGATAAGTCTATAGTTATTCAGAAAGGGTTTGGCTGGAGGGGCTATAGTTCCACGTGGAAGTACAGTTACATGAGAAGGTTCTGTGGCAGGAATGAGAATACAGTGTTGGGAAAATCAAAAGAAAAGTGTGGCTGGATCAGGAGTAGAGGGGTGGGAAAGAATTAAAGAATGGGGATGAGAATTAAGATGTAGGCAGGGTCTGACCCAGGTAGGGGTCATGAATAATATGTTGAAGGTTTTGTCCTTGATTCTAAGAAGAAAGGGAAATCATTTCTGCAGTTTACACATTGTGTGTATATGAGTGGAATGTGGGTACAAAGTACCCTGATCAGGGTTACATTTTTAAATAACCCTGGCTACCTTGTAGAAAACAGATGGGCATTATACCAGAACAAACGTTAAATACTATAGTATCACAGACAAAGATGATGTGGAATGAAAGAAGAAACAATATATTTGGAAGCCATTTAAGAGGTATGGTAAACAGGACTTTGCAATGGATTTGACTTGGGATAAGCATTACGGTGTTCCCAAATATAACTTCTGGTTTTGGGGTTTGTGCAAATGAATGGAAGGCAGTGTGATTCATTGGGACAGGGTCACTGAATGAGGGCAAAATGTGGTGAGGACATTGTGATTCATTCTTGAATATGTTGAAACTTGAGATGACTTTGTGATATTGCAACGGACTTGTTGAATAAAGTCTGGAAGTCTAAGCAGAGGCCCGACACTTGGTTCCATACAACTGCAAAGTGTGCTGTAAAGAAAAAAGGCCCACAGAAATAATCTTAGGTAGCAGCTACAGCAATTTAAAATTATATTTAATGTTAAATATCAGGATTATTGGCATATACCCTGCGGTGTCATCTATTAATCAAATCAAACCCAATTTTAAAGAACAAAGATAAGTCTGAAAGCCCTCGGAGTTGTGGTTAACATACTTCGCTATGTCTACAGTTGCACTAAAAGTGATTTTTTGATAACGAGATAGTGTGTGCACTCTCGTGGGAGCTGAAACAACTTCAAAGAAATCTTCCCCCTTCTTCTTTCATTTCTGCAGGAAAGAAGGCAGAGCATGTGGAGCGAGTGAATAGGGTGTGCAAGGTGAGAAAGCAGTCCAATTAAATTTCAGGGGAATGATGGGAGTGAATAAAATACAATAATAAAACACAGTATCTCTCGTAAGCAAGTAAGTTTGAAAAGAATTGGCAAAAATACAAGAAAAAAAGGCAGCCCCCAGCTATGTTAGAATTTTCCTCTCTGACCATTTCCCTCTTTATTATTTGGCAGTCTGTGATAAAATGTGGCTCCATGGACACTACTCCTAATAAAAACTTCATTGGCAAGATTTATTCTATTTAGCATTGCTAATAGAGAGGCATCTCTGATTAGAAAGCCAGGACACTTTTGGAGGGAATACGTGCTGTGAGTTTCCTGGCAATTGGCTACAGAAGGGAATGAGAAGTCTACATTCTATGGTGTTTCTTTAACGACTCACAGAGATTTACTAGACGCTAGATGCATGTGGCTTTACCTGGAAAAGTAAAGTTGCCTAACAGGGAACTCTGAAGGAAATTTGAAAGTTCATCACAACTATTCCTAAGCCTTCAATTTCCCATATTCACTTTCTTTTCCTTTCACAGTTTTGAGTATTTATATTAATTAATTTTCTATATGCCTGTCCTTTATGGTTAATAATCTAAAATTCTATTTAAAAAGTAACACATGCAATTATATACATATATATGTATGTATGTTGTATGTATGTATGTAGTGGAACTAGGATGGTTTGAGTCTGAACTGCACATGTAGTCCAAACCTGTTTTTGTTTCAAGGATTCGATTTGGCCTTCTTTTTGCCCAGACTCATGCATTCTCACAGGCTCTAGCCTTTTATTATTCTGTGGAAAAGACCGCTGAGTGAAATATCTGAAGGTAGTAGACAAGCAACGCTGCCAGACAGTGAGAATATAACATCCCTCTGCTTCCCAGTGTAGGCCCAGTGGGCAGTTAACCATTTCAGTGCCACCGTGGTGCACGCTTGACTCGCACACCTAGGCTGGTGGCTCAGCACACACCCTGCGTTTCCTCCCTGATCCATTTTTACCCTGCACTGAGGCAGTCAAGGAACCCCTTACAGTGTTCTCACTAATTATCTCTGATGTGCGGTTGGCAAGATTATTTGCTACGCTCTGTCTATATTCTCTGCTAGGTTGGCCTCACCCCTTGGGAGATAAGAAGATGTGTGTCTTTGAATCAAAAGATCTGAAAATGCAGTCAAGATGTACTCCTGTGATCCCTTAATGTACTTTAAGCCAGGGCCCCTTTTATTGTCTCTCAAACACCATTTCCCAAGTGCACTGCAGTGTCAGCCTATTCTTCAAAGTGCCCTTACAGAGAGCACCTGATGTCCCCAGCTGGAAGAAAAGTGAAGGACAGGCACGACCCTGCTGCTTATCATGCAGGGCCTAGAAATACGTCATGAGGAAGCACCATTTTTCCCACTGGGACTGGGGGTAAATGCAGAATCTCTCTCAATTTCAAAGTCCTCCAATGCTTCCTGAAGACAGCGGTATGTATATGTGTGTGTCTCTGTGTGTGTGTGTCTCGTTTTTTAATATGGCCTGATTATACAAATGACATTGAGAGGTGACAGTGTGCTGGCAGCCCTCACAGCCCTCACTTGCTCTCAGTGCCTCCTCGGCCTCGGCGTCCACTCTGGCCATGCTTGAGGAGCCCTTCAGCCCACCACTGCACTGTGGGGGCCCCTCTCTGGGCTGGCTGAGGCTGGAGCCAGCTCCCTCAGCTTGCAGGGAGTTGTGGAGGCAGAGGCGCGGGCGGGAACCGGGGCTGTGCGCCGCGATTGCGGGCCAGCGGGAGTTCCGGGTGGGCATGGGCTTGGCAGGCCCCGCACTCGGAGAGGCTAGACAGCACTGCTGGTCCCGGGCAGTGAGGGGCTTAGCACCTGAGCCAGCAGCTGCGGGGGTGGCGCTGGGTCCCCCAGCAATGCCGGCCTGCTGGTGCTGCTCTCAAATTCTCGCCGGACTTTAGCTGCCTCCCGGTGGGGCAGGGCTCGGGACCTGCAGCCTGCCATGCCTGAGCCTCCCCGCTGCCATGGGCTCCTGTGCAGCCTGAGCCTCCCTGAGGAGTGCCACCCCCTGCTCCGTGGCACCCGGTCCCATCCAAAGCCCAAGGGCTGAGAAGTGTGGGCGCACAGCGTGGGACTGGCGGGCAGCTCCACCTGCGGCCCCAGTGCGGGATCCACTAGGTGAAGTCAGCTGGGCTCCTGAGTCTAGTGGGGACTTGGAGAACCTTTATGTCTAGCTAAGGGATTGTCAATACACCAATCAGCACTCTATGTCTAGCTCAAGGTTTATAAATGCACCAATCAGCACTCTGTATCTAGCTTATCTGGTGGGGACTTGGAGAACCTTTATGTCTAGCTAAGGGATTGTGGATGCACCAATCAGCACTCTGTGTCTAGCTCAAGGTTTGTAAACACACCAATCAGCATCCTGTGCCTAGCTCAAGGTCTGTAAATACACCAATCAGTGCTCTGTGGGGACTTGGAGAACTTTTGTGTCTAGCTCAGGGATTGTAAACACACCAGTCAGCACCCTGTCAAAACGGACCAATCAGCTCTCTGTAAAACAGACCAATCACCCTCTGTAAAATGGACCAATCAGCAGGATGTGGGTGGGGCCAGATAAGGGAATAAAAGCAGGCTGCCTGAGCTAGCAATGGCAACCCGCTGGTTCCCTTTCCACACTGTGGAAGCGTTGTTCTTTCGCTCTTTGCAATAAATCTTGCTGCTGCTCACTCTTTGGGTCCACGCTGCCTTTATGAGCTGTAACACTCACCACTAAGGTCTGCAGCTTCACTCCTGAGGCCGGTGAGACCATGAACCTACCCGGGGGAATGAACAACTCCAGATGCGCTACCTTAAGAGTTGTAACACTCACAGTGAAGGTCTGCAGCTTCACTCCTGAAGCCAGCGAGACCAGGAACCCACCAGAAGGAAGAAACTCCAAACAAGTCCAAACATTAGAAGGAACAAACTCCGGACATATCACCTTTAAGAACTGTAACACTCACTGCGAGGGTCCACGGCTTCATTCTTGAAGTTAGTGAGACCAAGAACCCACCAATTCCAGACACAACATCTCTTTATGAAAAATTAAAATTGAACTCAAAAGGCAAGCTCGCTTGTTTGATGGAGGTTTAGGAACTTGAGGAGAAAGATGTGCTTCTCTTCCCTTTTCTCCTTGTCCTCCTTTTCCTCCTCCTTCTCTTATCCCCTTACTTAATACTTTCAAAATGTAAAAGCAATTCTGAGGGGCCATATGGAAAACAGGTTGCAAGCCAGATTTGGCCCTCAGGCTGTAGTTAGAAGGCCCCTGTTTTAGATTATCTCAGATTATAACGACATCATTATCTTGGCTTTTAATTAAGAATATAGAAACAAAAACAATATTATAGGATATCTTACTCCCCATTCTGAATCTTGCCTTTTGTGTGCTCTGTGAACTACAGCCCCTGTGGCCTACCTTCTGTTCCTTTACTCACTCTGCTTTAGGAGAAGGGCCTGATCTGATGGTAAATTTGGGGAAATCTAAGCATGCTTGGCTCAGTTCAGCTCTTCTTCCCCTTGAGTGTGAGCTGTTAATTCATTCTCCCATTTAACAACAGTGGTTCTGTGTGTCAGACCCTGTTCTAGGCACTGGAATTCCAGTGAATTTAAAATCTCTTACATTCCAATAGGAGAGGTGGAAAACAAACATAATAAATTAAACAAGTATTTTTAAAGTGACACATTTAAAAAAAAAAAAACTAAATTAGCGAGAAGAAATATCAAAAGTTTCAGGGCTGAAATTTGAGATACACTGCCCAGGAAAGGCTCACTGGGACAGTGATTGTAAATAGCACCATATAAAAGTGAGTAACAGAAGTTTGTGGATATCTGAGAGAAAAGCGTTCTCAGAAAATTGCTCTGGAATAGTGCAAAGGTCCTGCTATGTTCTGAATGTTTGCGCCCCCACCCAAAATTTATATGTTGAAATCTAATCACCAACATGGTATTAGGAACTGGGGCCTTTGGGAAGGTGGTTAGGTCGTGAGAGTGGAGCGCTCATGAATCGGATTAATGCCCTTATAAAATGCTCCCAGAGAGCTGCCTTGCCTGTTCTTTCATGTGAAGATGGTGAGAAGTCACCATCTATGAAACAGAAAGCAGACCCTCACTGGACACTGAATCCACCAGTGCCGTGATCTTAGGGTTACCAGCCTCTAGAACTGAGAAATAAATTTCTGCTCTTTATAAGCTATCCAGTTTATAGAATTTTGTTATAATAGCCTAAATAACTAAGACAGGCCTTAAAGCAGAGAATGTCTCCTGAGTTTGAAGAACAGCAAGGAATGCAGAGTGACTGGAGCAGAGAGGCAGCCTAATTTGGCTTGTGTTTTAACTCCTGAGATAAGACTTGTGGAGGGTAGGGGCACTGAAAAAGGGATTAGAGTTAAGCAGTTATTGCAATAATCCAGAGGAGTGATGATGGTGCTAGCAGTGAAGGTTGTGAGAAAGAGCTGGATTCTGGATTTATTTGAAGTATGACTGACAAAATTTGCTGATACATTACATGCAGCGTACAGAAAGATAGATATCAAGGATTTAAAAGGTTTTGACCTTGTTGGTGAAAAGAGTCAAACTCTGTAAAATATTTGAAGAGATTTATTCTGAGCCAAATATGAGTGACCATGGCCCATGACACAGCCCTCAGGAGGTCCTGAGAAAATGTGCCCAAGGTGGTCGAGGTACAGCTTGGTTTTATACATTTTAGGGAGGCATGAGACATCAATTAAATACATTTAAGAAATGCATTGGCTTGGTCCAGAAAGGCAGGACAACTCAAAGGTGAGGGGAGTGGGGGCTTCCAGGCTATAGGTCAATTTAAACATTTTCTGGTTCACAATTGGTTGAGTTTGTCTAAAGACCTGGGATCACAGAAAGGAAATGTTCAGGTTAAGATCAAAGATTGTGGAGACCAAGGTTCTTCTGAAGTCTTATAGTGGCTCCCCTTAGAGACAATAAATGACAAATGTTTCCTATTCAGATCTTTGAAAGGTACTAGACTTTTAGTTAATCTCTTCAGGATTGGGAGGGCCTGGAAGTAAAAGATCTAGCTATGTTAATAGAGATTCCTTACAGATGCAGATTTTCTCCCACAAAGGATGGCTTTGCAGAGCCATTTCAAGATATGGCAGAGAAACATGTTTTGGGGTAAAATATTTTTATTTTCTTCCGTGTCTCATAATATTATGCCAGAGTCATATTAGAAAGTAAGCCCCAATATATATGGCTAAATAAAACCCTGATAAGAATTCTGATAAGAATTTCTAGGGCATGAGTCCCCACACACCTGAGATAGGAATTTGAGCAAGATAAAAAAAATTAGATCTTAGTCCTCAACCTGAACAACTGAAGAATGGATTTACCATTAACTGAGGTGGGAAAGACTAGGAAAGGAGCTGTTTGGGGTGAAGGTGGGGAGAAAAGATCAAGAGTTCAGTTTAAACATATTAAGTTTGAGGTGCCTATTATACATCCAAGTAGATTGAATGGGGGGTGAACACATGATTCTGGAGTTCAGAGGAAAAGCTTAAGCTTAACATCAGCTCAGAGACAGGATTTAAAGTTGTGGGACATGATGAGACCATTTAGAGAATGAGTGTAGTCAGAAGAACAGATGTCATCCAACGTCTAAATCCTCAGACACTCTGACATTTACAATTGGAAGCAAGAGGCAGGAACAGCATAGAGACCAAAAGAGGTAGGAGGAAATGAGCTGAGTATGGTAACATATGTTTGAATACAGGTTCCATGGCTCATCTACTGGGGGATGCTTGCCTGGGTCCAAACCTGTTTGGGTCTCTCCATGGATAGTTCTGCCTAATTCTGATGTCTGGTATTGATAACCATACTTGGCTAATAGACTTGGATAAAGCCACGTCTTTTTATCTGACCATGAGTGTCACTTTTGTTATTTTCTAAAATTGTTCAGGACTAGATGGGAAAGAATGCTATTACATATTAAGACTCCTTTGGGGCCTCCTAAGAGAAAAAGGAAAAACTGAACAAGTACATTTGGCTTGGAGAACTAAACTAATCTTTGGATTTTTTTAAACCAAGCACCAAATGTATCATATATTTAGGGTACTATAGTATTTTTTCCAAAAAACAAAGATAATATATTTTGAAACATATCATGGTATTTTTGTCCATTATTTAGTTTTACTTTCCTTTTAATATTTATTCTCAACAACCAATGAGCTATTCTTGTTGTTCTTTGGAATTCCATAATTTAGTATTTGGTTAGGATAATTCATCATTTTTTTTCCAGTAAATTTGCCTGTAACATATATGGTGAACATTTTGAGATATGAAAACAGGAAATTTTTAACTCAAAAATTTTTTCTCTTAAAACTTTGTTTTTTTTATTCTTGCTGATGTTTCTTCTTCTTCTTCTTTTTCTTTTTTCTTTTTTGAGACGGAGTCTTGCTCTGTCACCCAGGCTAGAGTACAGTGGTGCAATCTCAGCTCACTGCAACCTCCACCTCCCGGGTTCAAGTGATTCTCCTGCCTCAGCCTCCCAAGTAGCTGGAATTACAGGCACCCACCAACATGCCCAGCTAATTTTTGTGTTTTTTTCAGTAGAGATGGGGTTTCACCATGTTGGCCAGGCTGGTCTTGAACTCCTGACCTCAGGAGATCTGCCCATCTCGGCCTCCCAAAGTGTTGGGATTACAAGTGTGAGCCACCGTGCCTGGCCATTTCTTCTTTTCTTAAGAAAATCCAGTCACTCATGGAGGAGCCTTCATACTCATCAGCTTTTATTCCATATATTTGTCCTGTTTTCACTTTTTCTTCAAGGTAACTTTTTTTATTCAAGGTAGTTTTCTCAAGGCCAAAACTGGCTCTAAGAACTGATATTCTATATCATCAGTATTAAAATTGTGTATGACCTTCAATACTTTTTTTAGCGATGACAACTTTTCTAGTTCACTATGTTGTCTCATGATCTTCTATTCTATTGATTGATTATAACTTTTATGGAGCATGGTCAAGGGGGTGGTCTCAGCTTCAATAATGAACATCTTTCTTGAAGAGAATTGAATACTGGGTTTTGGTGTGTTCATCCCACTTTACCTAATGCATTCTCTATGTGACTAAAATTCCTTAGTTTCCAGAGTGATGTGACTTTTTTCCTTTGCCTTTTTAAAACTTTGCTTTTTGTTTAGAATTTTGTTCAGCTTTAGAAGAGAAAGACTTTGTAAACCCACTTTTACATTGCTTTTTTTTCCCAAGAAGCTTTTGATTTCTTTAAGAAAAAAAAAAAAAAAAGTTGCAATAAAAACTTTGGCTTATTTTCCCTGGCATCATTTCATCTTTTTAAACTGAAAAATGATAAGTGGGTGCAAAGTGAAAGAGCATTGGCATGAAAGTCAACTGCAAAAACCTAGAAGTAGGCAGCTTCTAAGAGATACTGTCTGCATGAACCTGATGGGCTTTTTAGTTTAGTTTGTTCTCCTTTGATAATAGTGTCTGCATTCTATTGTAATCAGAGTGCACATAATTATAGTTCAGAAAGATATACTCTGGAGTTTGTGCTTATTTACTGTCCACCCCAAATATTACATAAACCAGGTGAATTCAGATGTGTACTCTGACTCAGTTCATTGAACCTTTATAAATTTTATGTGTGCATGTGTTTAAATTAACTTGCTTCTTTGACTCACAGAAATGTACTCACTTGGTAATTTTTTTCCTTTCATCCTTCCTTCCTTCTTCTAAAATCTAATTTACCCTCATATTTTATTTAATGACTACTTATTAAGAAGACTAAACAAAGGTATTTTTTTCTTCTCTAATTTTGAATCTACTATCCAGAAGACTGTTTCTCCTAAATAACTTACTAACCCTTACATTTTTGCTTGAAAGCCACAAAAATGCCTGCAGTATAAAGCTTATAGGGATTTTAAGGCTACTCATTTTTTGCATAATATTTCATCTTTTAGGGCATGTTTATCACATACATAATCCTGAACTACATTAGTCATTTAATTATTTGTAGTAAGTTAAATTAAAGTAACAGTACACAGCTCATGCTTGCTTTTTGTTGAAGAACAAATGACTTGGCCCTCTAAATGTGTATCTGTCTCTGTCACCCTTGTTCTTTTCTCTCATTCCTTCCCATATATTCTGGGAAGGGTCCTATGTGGGCATTATTTTGCCTCCATGATCTCTGGCTTTTGTGAGTTCTGTTATGGTACAGGGAAAAGGGGACTTTGTAGATGCAATTAATGTTACTAATCAGTTGACCTTAAGATAAAGAGATTATCCTGTATTATCTGTGGGTGCAATATATGTGAGCTTTTAAAAGCAGGAGAGAGAAGTAGAAAAAAAAATGCCAGAGAGAAGAGATTCAAGATATAAGGAGGACCCCACATGCCTACATGCCATTGGGGCTTTGATGAGAGAGGCACTGTGATAGTGAATGCAAGAAGCTTCCAGGAGCAGTCAGCAGACCCTGGCTGGCAGCCTGCAAACAGATGGGGACCTCAGGTCTGCAAGGTCTCCAGAAAAGAGCCTCACCCTGCTGACACAGGGAATTTCATTTTGTGAGACCCAGAGCAGAAAATCCAGCTTATTGCACCCAAACTTTTGACCTGCAGAAGCTGTAAAATAATAACTTAAAAGGAGGAGATTAAGATACTAAAATGGGGCTGGGTGTGGTAGCTCACACCTGTAATCCCAGCACTTTGTGAGGCCGAGGTGAGTGGATCACGAGGTCAGGAGATCGAGACCATCCTGGCTAACACGGTGAAACCCCGTCTCTACTAAAAATACAAAAAAAATTAGCCGGGCGTGGTGGCAGGCGCCTATAGTCCCAGCTACTTGGGAGGCTGAGGCAGGAGAATGGCGTGAACCCGGGAGGCGGAGCTTGCAGTGAGTCTTTAGTCTCACTGTTAGTCTTATGGGCTTCCCTTTGTGGGTAACCCAACCTTTCTCTCTGGCTGCCCTTAACATTTTTTCCTTCATTTCGACTTTGGTGAATCTGATAATTATGTGTCTTGGAGTTGCTCTTCTTGAGCAATATCTCTGTGGCATTCTCTGTATTTCCTGAGTTTGAATGTTGGCCTGCCTTGCTAGGTTGGGGAAGTTCTCCTGTATAATATCCTGAAGAGTGTTTTCCAACTTGGTTCCATTCTTCCTGTCACTTTCAGGTACACCAGGGAGATGTAGATTTGGTCTATTCACAAAGTCCCATATTTCTTGGGATCTGTCCATTCTCAGATCTCAAACGCCATGCTGGGAGAACCACTACTCTCTTCAAAGCTGTCAGACAGGGATGTTTAAGTCTGCAGAAGTGTTTGCTGCCTTTTGTTTGCCTATGCCCTGCCCCCAGAGGTGGAGTTTACAGAGGCAGGCAGGCCTCCTTGAGCTGTGGTGGACTCCACCCAGTTCAAGCTTCCCGGCTGCTTTGTTTACCTACTCAAGCCTCAGCAATGGCGGACGCCCCTCCCCCAGCGTCGCTGCTGCCTTGCAGTTTGATATCAGACTGCTGTACCAGCAGTGTGCAAGGTTCCATGGGTATGGGACCCTCCGAGCCAGGCACGGGATATAATCTCCTGATGTGCCATTTGCTAAGACTGTTGGAAAAACACAGTATTAGGGTGGGAGTGTCCCAATTTTCCAGGTACTGCCTGTCACGGCTTCCCTTGGCTAGGAAAGGGAATTCCTCAACCCCTTGTGCTTCCCAGTTGAGGTGATTCCCCACCCTGCTTCAGCTCATGCTCTGTGGGCTGCACCCACTGTCCGACAAGCCCCAATGAGATGAGCCCGGTACCTCAGTTGGAAATGCAAAAATCACCCATCTTCTGTGTCACTCATGCTGGGAGCTGTAGACAGGAGCTGTTCCTATTCAGTCATCTTGGAACCTCCCAAAAAGGCAAGTCTTATACAAAAGACACAAAAAAAGGAAAGGCAATGAAATAACTAAAGAAAAGATGAAAGACATTAAAGGAAGCTCAAAAAGAAGACCAATGTGTGTGTTGGTGGGAGGTGTACATATATACTCAATAGATAAATCCTTTGGCATGAAGTTTAGTACTTCTAAAAAAAATAGAAAATAATTTATTGGTAAAAAAAATTTTAAATTCTGAAAATGCATATTGAAAATATTCAACAATAACAGAAAAAATAATAGCCAAATACCAAGAATTATTATATATGTTTGTAGATTGAAAAGAAAGTACAAAGACTTCAGTTTCTCTTCTATAACACTAACCACCAAATAATAAAAGACTATTACAGTATTTTAGATGGCTTTTTTTCTTATTGAAACCCAATGTTTTGAGTGGAGGAGAGAAATCAATATGCAGAGAGGGTCAAGGAAATCATAAGAAAGAAGGAAGCAGTAGCTATTCCTAGAGTCTCAGAGACTATATTGTACTCCTGAATACTTCTAATAAATTACCTTTAAAGTAATATTTGTTTATATATTCAGTAAATATTGAAGGTCACAAAGAAAGAAGGAAATCCAATCATAATTCCACCCCCATAGACAACTGCCAATAACATTGTATTTTGCATATAGTTGCATATGCTTCACTATAATTGAGATCACAAAATACATACTTTATTATGCTTTGCTTTTTCTCACTTAAAAATATGTGCTGACAGCTTCCTAAATTAGCCTCAGCTTAAACCTCCCCATCAGCTTCAAATCCAACTTCCTGGCTGGCAGCCCCACATGGATATGAAGATCAACATATCTAAAACAAAGGACTTGATTTAAAGCATCCCATTTCCTACACTTTCTATCTCTTCATCTCCCTTATCTCAGAAATTAGTATCACTTTCCACCTATTTTCTCCTTAAGCCACAAACCTGGAAATCAACCCTGACTTCTCTTTTCATGCCCCCATCCAAATTATTAGAAAATCCTAGCCATTCTACTTCCAAAACATGTCTCAGATATTGACGCCGTTTATGAAAGAAACTGCAATCTATTTATGCCACTTTTCTTTCTCACCTGGACTACCAGGTAGCCTCTTGTCTAGTCTTCTTACTTATGCCTCTCTTTCATCAATTCTCCACTCAAAAGACTTTTTATTTTTGCAACAACATAAACCAGATTGTGTTTAAAATCAGTTCAAACACTTACATGAGAAACACTTTCACTACGAAACAAATCTAAACCCCTTGCCTTTGAAGCCTTGCAAAGCAGTGAATGGACAGATCTCTGACTTCTATTCAGTCTTCTACGTCCTGACTCCCCTATTTGCTGAATGTGTTTTTTTTAGTCCTGCAACCTTCCATTAATCCAAAAACCATATATGCAGCTCTAGCTCTTTCTAGGGTCTTCACATGCTGTTCCCACTGCCTGAACTGTTTTTCTTTCCACTTGTTATATGACCGCATCTTTCTAATTAATTTGGTTTTATGTTTCTAACAGATTGATATTAGAAATATCATCCCTTTCATTTACTTGGTATTACATCAAGGTTTATGATTTTATATTTGTTTGCTTCTTTATCTCTTCCACCAGATTATAAACTCAATCCAGACAGAAACATTGTATATTTTATTTATCTAGGCATAGTTAGCCCTTGCTATGATATTTGAAATTTAACAAATTCTCAATAAGTATGTTTTGAAAAAATAAAACCTGAACTTTTTCCATGTTGTTATACAGGCGTCAAAAATGTGATTTTTCTTCACTAAAAAAATTCAACACAGGAAAGAATTGTAATGTATTAAATCATTCATATTATTACACATTTAGGCTTTTTCAGTTTTACACATAACAAAAATGCTGCTATATTCAAACATTCTTATCTTTAACTACTCTTTAAGAAAAAATTATTAGGATCAATGGCTAAAACTAGGACCCAGGTCAAACTATATAAACATTTAAGTGGAGAGTTAGAGTATGTTTCAGGATGGTAAGTTTGGATACTTTGAGTTATCAATTTTTGCCAAAATTATTAATTAGCTTAACACTAGTTTCCCAGGAAAATTCCAGTGGGGTCACTCTACTACCAATTAAGATGTAGAAAGCCACAAAAAGACTGTTGCTACTATCCTAATAATGAGAACAAGCTGGATAAGCAATAAGATTCTAGTTTTGTTTTGTTTTAGTTTTTAAAATCACAAAGCCCAAGGCACAAAGATATCTAAATGAGGTAAATTTTAATCATGATAAGCTCATCTGAGGAGAGAAAAACTTTGGGGGTTTTTAGCTTTGGAAGAGCTGTAGGACAAGAAGAAATCCACCGCAGATGAAGGTAAAGACAAACCAGCTAAAATTGTAATGAACTTCTAATGCCTATAAACGTAAAATACTAAGCCCCCCACTGACTGAAGGGACGCCCTGTGGCCAAGGAAACTCCAAAAAAACCTTAACACTGAGTTCCCAGCCGTGACAGGACAGCAGGTCAGACATATCTCATTATACCTTCTCCCTTTTTGAGTTTAGACACAACTGACCAGCATTCATGTTAAAAATAGAGATTGTATGGCTGAAAGAACAGACTTTTTGGGGCAATAAGATATCAAATTAAAAACAGGACCAAAGGGCATACTAGACAAATGTTAAGCCACACACCCCTACATTTAAAGAATAAATCACTGATATAAGAGTTAAGAAAAAATCACTTAGGCAGAGAGCAAGGGTATGGGAGTCCTCAGTAAGGCTTTTATTTTTAATGAAAAGCAGCCCCAAATCATTTTCTAACAAAAAGCACCCTGCAAGCTGGAAGTTTGCACAGGTGGATGCTGGCAGGAACTAAGGATTAGGTATGTTCAAGATGGTGGTTCCATCTTCCCTTCTTTGCCAGCCAGGTGTACTGTAAAGGAGCAGACAAGATGGCGCTAATCAACTGGAAAGCCCAGTTGCATAAAAAGATTAGGCTTCCCTGCGCACCATGCAAACGTCATATCTGATCAAACCAATCTATGAGCTCTATGTAAATCAGACACCACTTCCTCAAACTGGACTATAAAACTCGATGGATTCACCACCAGCTGGTCTTTTCCGCTTGGAGACCCCTTCCTCTATAGAGGAAGCTGTTTCTCTTTGTCTTCTCTCCTACCCATTAAACCTCTGCTCCTAAACTCCTCATGTGTGTCCATATCCTAAATTTTCCTGGCACGTGACAACAAACCCCAGTGTATACACACCCCAGACAACATAGCCACTTCAAAATGGGGGCTCGTCTGGGATACCAATGTATAACATTCATCAAAATGATGAGAGTAGAGGAGAGGACTCCAACTCTGTCCTTTTATTCTGAGGCTTTTGGCCTTCATTTTAGAACCAAATAAAACCAATTACTGGAATCCCTTCAGCCATTTAAAAATGATTAGCATGAATGCCAGCCTTACAAGATTCGGGAACAGGCTTGCTCGGAAGAACATGGAGAATTCTCCAATACCCAAGGGTTGCTGGGCATATTGGCTATGTTTAAACCAGCTTCTTTTCATGAAGGACTTAGCCGTCACGTGGGACTGGAAGAAGTCCTGTGGCAACTGAGGATTTCTGGCCAGGGGTCCCGCCAGTGTTATCCAAAGACTTCTGGACTCACCCCAGCCTCTGACCGCCCCAATGGGGTGTCAACAACAGGATCTCCCACTTTCCTATCATAATTTCTTCCTTTTCTGTCCGCAATCGTCGTACCTCTTATCCTCTCTGTGTATGCAATGTGTGGGAAGTTCTATAGTTCAGGGAAGTAATCTTGTTTGGCAAGATCAAAGAATGTAATAGTAACTGGAAATATACCTCAGGGGAAGGCATCTTTGTGATTTTCTAAGGACAGAGACCGTCCCCAACCCCCACCCTGCCGCCTGGACACTGAGCATCTCTCTTTGCCCTTGGTCTGGAAAGCACGTGGCATTTCCAGGTCTCTCTCCACCCTTGGTCTGGAGAGCACATGGTGTTTCAAGGTCAACAGCACCACCTAGTGGAATAGAGATCCTCTCCATGAGGCACATTGTCAGTCCTTTACTGAAACACCCTTGCTTCCCAATTCTCTTCCCTTTTTGCGCCTCTCTACTAAAAACCAGGCTTCGTGCTGCTTCTGTAAATGGGAAAATTCGGCCTTCAACGATTAGGGGTAAAATTCCCTCCAAAGCCAAATTTTAGTCTCAATACTGTCCCATCAGAAGGAAAATGGTCATTTGGTTGCTACATTCTTTTAAGGCACTTATTCTGCTTCTATTTAGAGTGGCACTTAATTAGAAAGGAGATTTTAAGTTCAGAAGTTAACCGGAACCATTCTCTAAGAGTAAACACTTCAGCACAGGCCATAATAGCAGGATATAGAGTTCAATCTAGCACACCCCCTTCATTAAAGGGGCCTTGACCAACTATTATGTAGCTTTTCTTGAGATCCATTTTTCAGGGAGCCAGGCAGGTCACAAAAGTCTAGGAAGTCAGAGAAATCACAGGCAGAGAACTAGAGCCAGTTGGGTGAGCGCGACTAACCCCAATGGCTTAGTTCCTCTGGTTCCATGGCTGGGGGGGGTCACACCTGCCACCATGAGTCACATGTTCAACAAGGTGCCAGGACCCAGGAACCATGGGGAGAAAACAGCAGGGGGGATGCCCCCACTGTCTTCCTCTCCATCCCAGGTCACACCAAAAGGAAGGAGACTAACGAGATGAATTTTTCTCACTTCTGTTTCTAGCTGGGTATCATCTTCAGCCTACACTCCCCTGGAGTGCATTCTGAAGCACTGCAACTCCTTTCACCCTGAAACTTTAGAGAAAAAGCGGCTCATTTTCTTTCGGACAAGGGCATGGTCTTCTTATCCTCTTGAACCAGCTTGGCCTGTGGAAAGGAGCCTTAATTTTAATATTATCCAACAATTAGATCTTTTTTGCAGACAGGAAGGCAAATGGCCCAAGGTGACTTCTGTACAGGTTTTGTTGTTGTTGTTGTTGTTGTTGTTTGCACTTTTTTTTACACAACCCAGTGTTGCTTGCCAAGGTCTGAGAGACAACCCAGACTTTGGCAAGCATTACAAAATCAACCTAGCTGTTTCAGTAGTCCTATCAGGCAGGCCTACAGAGAATGATTCTCCAAAGTTAGAGAAGCATCTGCCAGGGCAACAATCTGAGGATCCCCCTTATTTGGGGCCCTCTCAAGTTTCCTTCTTATTACAGGACCTTAGGCAAATAAAGGGAGACTTAGACCAATTTCTAACGACCCTGATAGGTATATAGAAGCTTCCAAAATTTAACTCAGGTATTTGACATGACAGGATGTTATGCTGCTCCTAAGTCAAACCCTAACCACAGCGGAGAAGCAAGCAGCTCTGTAGGCAGCAGAGAAATTTGGAGATGAGCAATATAGCTCCTAGAGTAGGACTAAAAGAAAAAGAGAAAAAAATGAAGGCAAAGAAGTAGGGAAAACATCGTTCCCAAGAGGAAGAGAGGCAGTACCTCTTGACAACCTTAACTGGTTTCTATGATAATTTTCCTTCTTTTGTGGCTTAAAATGGCTCCTAGGATTGCAACCCCTGCCTTTTTTTGTTTTCCATTTGCTTGGTAGATCTTCCTCCATCCTTTTATTTTGAGCCTATGTGTGTCTCTGCACGTGAGATGGGTTTCCTGAATACAACACACTGATGGGTCTTGACTCTTTATCCAATTTGCCAGTCTGTGTCTTTTAATTGGAGCATTTAGTCCATTTACATTTAAAGTTAATATTGTTATGTGTGAATTTGATCCTGTCATTATGTTGTTACCTGGTTATTTTGCTCGTTAGTTGATGCAGTTTCTTCCTAGTCTTGATGGTCTTTACATTTTGGCATGATTTTGCAGCGGCTGGTACCGGTTGTTCCTTTCCATGTTTAGTGCTTCCTTCAGGAGCTCTTTTAGGGCAGGCCTGGTGGTGACAAAATCTCTCAGCATTTGCTTGTCTGTAAAGTATTTTATTTCTCCTTCGCTTATGAAGCTTAGTTTGGCTGGATATGAAATTCTGGGTTGAAAATTCTTTTCTTTAAGAATGTTGAATATTGGCCCCCACTCTCTTCTGGCTTGTAGGGTTTCTGCCGAGAGATCCGCTGTTAGTCTGATGGGCTTCCCTTTGAGGGTAACCCGACCTTTCTCTCTGGCTGCCCTTAATATTTTTTCCTTCATTTCAACTTTGGTGAATCTGACAATTATGTGTCTTGGAGTTGCTCTTCTCGAGGAGTATCTTTGTGGCGTTCTCTGTATTTTCTGAAACTTAATGTTGGCCTGCCTTGCTAGATTGGGGAAGTTCTCCTGGATAATATCCTGCAGAGTGTTTTCCAACTTGGTTCCATTCTCCCCATCACTTTCAGGTATACCAATCAGACGTAGATTTGGTCTTTTCACATAGTCCCATATTTCTTGGAGGCTTTGCTCATTTCTTTTTATTCTTCTTTCTCTAAACTTCCCTTCTCGCTTCATTTCATTCATTTCATCTTCCATTGCTGATACCCTTTCTTCCAGTTGATCGCATCGGCTCCTGAGGCTTCTGTATTCTTCACGTAGTTCTCGAGCCTTGGTTTTCAGCTCCATCAGCTCCTTTAAGCACTTCTCTGTATTGGTTATTCTAGTTATACATTCTTCTAAATTTTTTTCAAAGTTTTCAACTTCTTTGCCTTTGGTTTGAATGTCCTCCCGTAGCTCAGAATAATTTGATCGTCTGAAGCCCTCTTCTCTCAGCTCATCAAAGTCATTCTCCATCCAGCTTTGTTCCGTTGCTGGTGAGGAACTGTGTTCCTTTGGAGGAGGAGAGGCGCTCTGCTTTTTAGAGTTTCCAGTTTTTCTGTTCTGTTTTTTCCCCATCTTTGTGGTTTTATCTACTTTTGGTCTTTGATGATGGTGATGTACAGATGGGGTTTTGGTGTGGATGTCCTTTCTGTTTGTTAGTTTTCCTTCTAACAGACAGGACCCTCAGCTGCAGGTCTGTTGGAACACCCTGTCGTGTGAGGTGTCAGTGTGCCCCTGCTGGGGGGTGCCTCCCAGTTAGGCTGCTCGGGGGTCAGGGGGTCAGGGACCCATTTGAGGAGGCAGTCTGCCCGTTCTCAGATCTCCAGCTGTGTGCTGGGAGAACCACTGCTCTCTTCAAAGCTGTCAGACAGGGACATTTAAGTCTACAGAGGTTACTGCTGTCTTTTTGTTTGTCTGTGCCCTGCCCCCAGAGGTGGAGCCTACAGAGGCAGGCAGGCCTCCTTGAGCTGTGGTGGGCTCCACCCAGTTCGAACTTCCCGGCTGCTTTGTTTACCTAAGCAAGCCTGGGCAATGGCGGGCGCCCCTCCCCCAGCCTCGCTGACCCCTTGCAGTTTGATCTCAGACTGCTGTGCTAGCAATTAGCGAGACTCCGTGGGGTAGAGGTTGCAATCCTAGTCTCTGATAAAACAAACTTTAAACCAACAAAGATCAAAAGAGACAAAGAAGGCCATTACATAATGGTAAAGGGATCAATTCAACAAGAAGAGCTAACTATCCTAAATATATATGCACCCAATACAGGAGCACCCAGATTCAGAAAGCAAGTCCTGAGTGACCTACAAAGAGACTTAGACTCCCACACATTAATAATGGGAGACTTTAACACCCCACTGTCAACATTAGACAGATCAACGAGACAGAAAGTCAACAAGGATACCCAGGAATTGAACTCAGCTCTGCACCAAGCGGACCTAATAGTCATCTACAGAACTCTCCACCCCAAATCAACAGAATATACGTTTTTTTCAGCACCACACCACACCTATTCCAAAATTGACCACATACTTGGAAGTAAAGCTCTCCTCAGCAAATGCAAAAGAACAGACATTATAACAAACTATCTCTCAGACCACAGTGCAATCAAATTAGAACTCAGGATTAAGAATTTCACTCAAAACCACTCAACTACATGGAAACTGAACAACCTGCTCCTGAATGACTACTGGGTACATAACGAAATGAAGGCAGAAATAAAGAGGTTCTTTGAAACCAACGAGAACAAAGACACAACATACCAGAATCTCTGGGACGCATTCAAAACAGTGTGTAGAGGGAAATTTATAGCACTAAATGCCCACAAGAGAAAGCAGGAAAGATCCAAAATTGACACCCTAACATCACAATTAAAAGAACTAGAAAAGCAAGAGCAAACACATTCAAAAGCTAGCAGAAGGCAAGAAATAACTAAAATCAGAGCAGAACTGAAGGAAATAGAGACACAAAAAACCCTTCAAAAAATTAATGAATCCAGAAGCTGGTTTTTTGAAAGGATCAACAAAATTGATAGACTGCTAGCAAGACTAATAAAGAAAAAAAGAGAGAAGAATCAAATAGACACAATAAAAAATGATAAAGGGGATATCACCACCGATCCCACAGAAATACAAACTGCCATCAGAGAATACTACCAACACCTCTACGCAAATAAACTAGAAAATCTAGAAGAAATGGATAAATTCCTCGACACATACACTCTCCCAAGACTAAACCAAGAAGAAGTTGAATCTCTGAATAGACCAATAACAGGATCTGAAATTGAAGCAGTAATCAATAGCTTACCAACCAAAAAGAGTCCAGGACCAGATGGATTCACAGCCGAATTCTACCAGAGGTACAAGGAGGAACTGGTACCATTCCTTCTGAAACTATTCCAATCAATAGAAAAAGAGGGAATCCTCCCTAACTCATTTTATGAGGCCAGCATCATTCTGATACCAAAGACTGGCAGAGACACAACCAAAAAAGAGAATTTTAGACCAATATCCTTGATGAACATCGATGCAAAAATCATCAATAAAATACTGGCAAAACGAATCCAGCAGCACATCAAAAAGCTTATCCACCATGATCAAGTGGGCTTCATCCCTGGGACGCAAGGCTGGTTCAATATACGCAAATCAATAAATGTAATCCAGCATATAAACAGAGCCAAAGACAAAAACCACATGATTATTTCAATAATTACAGAAAAGGGCTTTGACAAAATTCAACAACCCTTCATGCTAAAAACTCTCAATAAATTAGGTATTGATGGGACGTATTTCAAAATAATAAGAGCTATCTATGACAAAACCACAGCCAATATCATACTGAATGGGCAAAAACTGGAAGCATTCCCTTTGAAAACTGGCACAAGACAGGGATACCCTCTCTCACCACTCCTATTCAACATAGTGTTGGAAGTTCTGGCCAGGGCAATTAGGCAGGAGAAGGAAATAAAGGGTATTCAATTAGGAAAAGAGGAAGTCAAATTGTCCCTGTTTGCAGACGACATGATTGTATATCTAGAAAACCCCATTGTCTCAGCCCAAAATCTCCTTAAGCTGATAAGCAACTTCAGCAAAGTTTCAGCATACAAAATCAATGTACAAAAATCACAAGCATTCTTATACACCAATAACAGACAAACAGAGAGCCAAATCATGAGTGAACTCCCATTCACAATTGCTTCAAAGAGAATAAAATACTTAGGAATCCAACTTACAAGGGACGTGAAGGACCTCTTCAAGGAGAACTACGAACCACTGCTCAATGAAATAAAAAAGGATACAAACAAATGGAAGAACATTCCATGCTCATGGGTAGGAAGAATCAATATCGTGAAAATGGCCATACTGCCCAAGGTAATTTACAGATTCAATGCCATCCCCATCAAGCTACCAATGACTTTCTTCACAGAATTGGAAAAAACTACTTTAAAGTTCATATGGAACCAAAAAAGAGCCCGCATTGCCAAGTCAATCCTAGGCCAAAAGAACAAAGCTGGAGGCATCACACTACCTGACTTCAAACTATACTACAAGGCTACAGTAACCAAAACAGCATGGTACTGGTACCAAAACAGAGATATAGATCAATGGAACAGAACAGAGCCCTCAGAAATAACGCCGCATATCTACAACTATCTGATCTTTGACAAACCTGACAAAAACAAGCAATGGGGAAAGGATTCCCTATTTAATGAATGGTGCTGGGAAAACTGGCTAGCCATATGTACAAAGGTGAAACTGGATCCCTTCCTTACACCTTATACAAAAATCAATTCAAGATGGATTAAAGACTTAAATGTTAGACCTAAAACCATAAAAACCCTAGAAGAAAACCTAGGCATTACCATTCAGGACATAGGCATGGGCAAGGACTTCATGTCTAAAACACCAAAAGCAATGGCAACAAAAGCCAAAATTGACAAATGGGATCTAATTAAACTAAAGAGCTTCTGCACAGCAAAAGAAACTACCATCAGAGTGAACAGGCAACCTACAAATTGGGAGAAAATGTTCGCAACCTACTCATCTGACAAAGGGCTAATATCCAGAATCTACAATGAACTCAAACAAATTTACAAGAAAAAACAAACAACCCCATCAACAAGTGGGCAAAGGACATGAACAGACACTTCTCAAAAGAAGACATTTATGCAGCCAAAAAACACATGAAAAAATGCTCATCATCACTGGCCATCAGAGAAATGCAAATCAAAACCACAATGAGATACCATCTCACACCAGTTAGAATGGTGATCATTAAAAAGTCAGGAAACAACAGGTGCTGGAGAGGATGTGGAGAAATAGGAACACTTTTACACTGTTGGTGGGACTGTAAACTAGTTCAACCATTGTGGAAGTTAGTGTGGCGATTCCTCAAGGATCTAGAACTAGAAATACCATTTGACCCAGCCATCCCATTACTGGGTGTATACCCAAAGGACTATAAATCATGCTGCTATAAAGACACATGCACATGTATGTTTATTGTGGCATTATTCACAATAGCAAAGACTTGGAACCAACCCAAATGTCCAACAATGATAGACTGGATTAAGAAAATGTGGCACATATACACCATGGAATACTATGCAGCCATAAAAAATGATGAGTTCATGTTGTTTGTAGGGACATGGATGAAATTGGAAATCATCATTCTCAGTAAACTATCGCAAGAACAAAAAACCAAACACCACATATTCTCACTCATAGATGGGAATTGAACAATGAGATCACATGGACACAGGAAGGGGAATATCACACTCTGGGGACTGTTGTGGGGTGGGGGGAGGGGAGAGGGATAGCATTGGGAGATATACCTAATGCTAGATGACGAGTTAGTGGGTGCAGCGCACCAGCATGGCACATGTATACATATGTGACTAACCTGCACAATGTGCACATGTACCCTAAAACTTAAAGTATAATTAAAAAAAATAAAATAAAATAAAATAAAAGATAAAAAAATAAAATAAAATAAAATGGCTCCTGTATCTTCTTTTATAATGTTGTTCTAACAGGGGAAAAGTTAATTTTCCAAAATTTAAAATGTTTGGCTTAGAGTTGAGCTAGGGGGAAGGCAACCCAGAAGCGTGACATGCCAGCAAAAGGGTAAAAATTTCTTACCAGTCAGGCTTTTGTCTTCTCTCTCCCTGTGCAAACCAGTAAAAGGGATAATAAGAATTATTATTTATATTCTCTGCATAGTTTTCATTAATAAAACAGATTTGTGAGGTTGGTTCTAAGCTGTAGCCAATCTGGTGTGTTTTGTGCTGCTTTCTGTATGGTTCTGTTAAAAGAAAGGGTACCTTAGGTTAGGATGCAGATCCAGAGCCCCATAAGCCTACTGTTCAAGCCAGCCCAACAAAATGGTTAGTAATAAACTTGGCTACAGGCCTCCATCTTGTTTCATGTCCTTGGGAACATGACCTGTAACCATATGGCAATACTTTGTTTTAGTCTCCACCATTGTACAATAGTGGCTGTCTTGTTGTGCTAAGTCAGTACGTAACTGAGGGTCACAAAATCTGATAAGCCAGTTTATCAATCTGGGTGGTGCCAGTTGATCCATCAAGGGTGGGGTTTACAAGCACTGATCTTATTTAAGCACTGATCTTGAAAGCAGTTTAGGGAGGGTCAATATCTTGTAGCCTCTAGCTGTATGACTCCTAGACCATGGTTTCTAATCTTGTGGCTAATTTCTTGGTCTGGTCCTAGGCAAGAGGGAAATATATCTTAAGAAGGGGCTGTTATCTTCTTTGTTTTTGACTGGCAACTGTAAACCAGGCTCCTCCCAAATTTGGTTCCGCCTGTGCCCAAGGATGGGAAAGGAAACCTTGGTGGCTGGAAATAAAATGAAGTTGTTTGAGTCAGATCTCTTTCACTTTCTCAGTCACAATTTTGCAATGACAGTTTCAAAAGCTGTTTATCACCCCTTTGAAAATACCTCATACACTTGCAGTTAAGTCATAACCTAATTAAGGCTTGTTGGTTTCACCTGTGAGGTACTTGTTGTGACATTCAAAAGCCAAAAATCTTAACTGCTTGTCATGGCTAGAGTCAAGTAATAAGGATTTAAAGGAAATTTCTTAAAGAGCATTCAGCTTAATTAAAAGTAGATATTCAAGTTATAGGTATATTTAAAAGGTCTTCATGTTTTTCTCTTCTTGGATCTTGTTTTCTGGAAAAGGGCTTTTTGTTGTTGTTGTTCTCAGTCAACTGAATTATTTTTTCTCCATTTTTTTGTCTCGCCACTCTTAACGCACATATGAGAGGCCCTAAGATAACTTCTGGTAGCATGAGACTCCTTGGGAAAAACAGAGGAGGTGGCACAGACCATGTGTTGGGAAAAAAACCTCTGTTTTTCTCATGAAACCCCAGGAATTGAAAGCATATAGCTCCCTCTCAGAATCAAAGGCTCTTTTCTGTTTTGCATTGTGTTTTCCGACTGTTTTGAGTTTTGGGGGTATCCAATTACTTCACATTAAGAGAGAGCTTTGGTGTGTAATAACTAGGCAGGAAATGCACTTTAAGGGATACTTAATAGTAGTTATAAATCAGAGAAGCATGTTCTTGACCACCTGAAAGACATAGAAACATCACCACCTGCCACTGAGAGATTAGACTCCCATGGGGTATAGGATGATTACAAAATAAGCCGATAGGCTTTGGGTTGCCTTGCAATGAAATACATGGTAGAAAGTAGAAGCACTGCACTGTCTTCTGCCATAGCATCTTCCTCCTTTTGAGGATCTAAAATCAGTATAAAATGGCACCCTTAATTTTAGAGATCTGTCTTTGCTTTAAGCTGTGTCTGCTTATTAGGCCCTAAAAATGCACGCTACCTGGCCCTGTTCCTCCAAGGGCTCCACCCTAAAGCCAATAATACAATTAAGAAACTGGCAAGTGAAAAATCTTATACAAGTGCTGAATCTTTTTTTCTTTTGTGTGTGTGTTTATAGATATAGATATAGATATATAGATATAGATATAGATGTATGTATATATGTGTTGTGCGTTATGTCTATGAAAAGAGCTCTAATTGATTGGCTTAAAGAAAAATAAGTGCTTAAATCAAATTTTTTTAGTTCATGTGACTTTAATCACTAAGAAATAGAAATAGTCTTAAGAATTATTGGTAAAATGCAAGTGTCATCAAAATGCAAATAGGTGATCTAAATCATACAACTTAGATACTAGGTTTGCTAAAGATTCCAAGGTTGTATACTGTCTTCTTTAAAGGTAGGTAAGGCCTGGGACATGTGGAGCTAGACACTGGAGCGGGTCAGACCTTACTTGTACTTCTGTCTGGGTCCTAAGCTTCATACTTGCTACGTATTTAAAATCATTTACTAACCAGGTTTTTCACCAAAAGTAAAAGTTGCTAAGAGTTACAGTGCAACATGTATTTGAGATCACTAAACAGTGTTATATGCAAGGCATATAAAAACAGTAAAATGTGTCTTATAGTAAAAGAATATAAGAAAGCATGGAAATGTAAATTTTGCCCAGGGATGAAGGATTATCTTAAATTTGATATGATGAAGCTAAAAAGTTGTGGAAAGATTGTAAAAATTAATCTTGCCAAAAATGTGTAAACATTAAATTCAAAAGGGTATTATATGGTCTTTCCATAAACTGAGCATTAAAGTAAAAGCACAGCAAGGTTGTCTTAAGACACTAATCTGCCCTTTAGCAAAAGGGGTTATAAAGTGTTTGTAAAGATTTTACCTCATGGTCAAATTGGTTAAGAATAGATGGAATCGTCTATAAGGTTTCATTTAACCAAATTGGGGTTAACATTAGTAAACTAATGCAAGGGTAAAATTTGGCTTTGAACAGGATTTTTGTGTAATAATAAAGGCTAATAAGAGGTCTTTGCCTTTTGAGTCATCATTTTGGCAAAATAAATAATTTGTGACAATTTGGATTTCTATTTCATAACACGAAGTGTTTTAAACCTCCAACATTTAACAGGCATCCTAAAATCAAACTTCAAGTTTCAAAATTGTCTTTCCTGATGCCTGGCTTTCTGGATGGTTCAAGGGGTCCCTGAAACATTCAGAAAAGAGGTGAATGGGATTATTCAACATGTTTAGTCACATGAGATTGCCAAAGTATGTCCAATCTTCTTTAAGTTTTATTTTGGTGAATAATACTAATATATGTTCCAAAATTGTATGGATTTCTAAAATTCTAATGTCTGAGTATTTACTACAATCATAATTAAGGGTGAAGTTATTGTAAACCACGGAGATAACTAAACTTCGTCAGTCATGTTTTTAGCTATAACTGCCCAGTAAACTTTGTCATTTGTAGACCATTGTTGTCTTGCTTTGTTCCTTCTGAAAAGATAATAAAGCTATATTAGGACTTTAACAGGTTGTTAATAGCTTTGAAGGTTGTAACATTGGGATAGAGAAAGAATGTATGGGACTCATGAAGAACTGAAATATTTACAACCATCAAGCAAAACAAGTGTTAACTAAATGGACTACATGCAGAAAGTTAAAGCAACCTTTTTGACTCTTACTTGGAATATTGCTGATCCTTGTTTTGTTTTTCAGAGTCAAGAAAATTTATTTTGAACTACTTATGGCCTTCAATAATTGAGTAAGGTATACTCCTGTGAACAAATTGGAGCATGTTTGTTTCTCTCTGCCTAGTTCCTCTAGAATTTGGAAACTGTCAGTGAGCACTTTAACTTATGGCAATATAGTTGTTTGCATCAGTGGAATAAGAATCTATTTTCCTTCTTCAACAGGACACAATTAGAAAAACTGGTTATTTTAGCAAGTCTTTGACTGCAAGGGTGTGTTTCCCTTTGAGGAATCAAGCTTGACACTCAGAGCCAATAAAAGTCCCCTGGGGAGAACTGGCCTCATACCTCGGCTACACAGTCCCTGCATGGGATTAGAATCCCAAGGGTCCCCAGTCACAGAACAAGCCTACACCCACCCAATAACACTCCTGAAAGCCTAAAGACGGCCATGGGAGAGGTGCGTTGAAGCCTATTGGTGGAACAGGAGAGTTGAGGGGAAATTCCTCCACATTACTATAAGAATTCGCTGCTATGGGCTGAAGGCAGAAAGTAGAGCTAGAAAACTAAGAGAACTCCTCCCTGACCAGGCACCCCACACATTCACAGAACACCCAGCAATAGCCCGCTGAAGGTTGAGGGCAGGCAGAAGAAGGAGTGAAGTCTCTCAAAGGCATGCTGCACCTTCACTGATGCTGAAGCATCAGTGCTGAATGCTGGGTCAGAGGAGCCAGGTTGACAGAGTCTTTCAGGACCCAAAAAGCTAGGAAGGACTGCACAGGAAAACAACAAAAACAAAAACAAGACAACTCCCCAGTGATCCATAAAGTTGTCAATCAGCTTATAAAACAGAAAGAGATCTGGCATTTAGAATGCAAAGCATAAAGAGATACCTAAAATCTAGCTAGTGCTCAGATCCCAGGCACTGCAGGAAAAAATAAGTGCTGATTCCACACTCAAACCATTTAAGGTCAATAATAAACTAAATTTAACTAAAGCTGTAACACAACCCCAACTGAGCTTAACTGCAGATTAGTAGCATTCAGCCCTCCACAGTGGCAACATGACCAACGAGGTATGCCCTTTTCAGGGGGTTAATAATACTTACTGGTTGGCATATGTCAAAATGTATCATAAAACTAGTAACTGGCATATGATCAAATATTATGAAACCTGTGAAGAATCAAGAAAATGTTAACACATGGTAAACAGAGGAATATAGTCCCAAGAAGGAGGTGGCAAAATGGCCCAAATAGTTACATTAACAGAAAGAGATTTCAAAATTATCGTGATAAAATTAAGCAAAAGAGTTGTAAAAAAATTACAAATGAAAACCTTATGAGTCAAAAAAGAAATCTGAAGAGAAAGTTAAAAATATTTTGAATTGAATGAAAACAAAACCACTACATATAAATATATATAGGATGAAGCTTTAGCAGTGATTAGAAGAAACTTTATGACTTTAAATAGTTAACTTAGATGAACAAGAGAACTCAATGATGTAATTTCCATCTTAAACTAGAAAAAGAAGAGCAGAACAAACCCAAACTTAGTGGAAAGAAGTCAATAACTCTGAGCAAAAATCAGTGAAATAAAAAACAGAAAAGCAAAAGAGAAAAATCTATGAATCTAAAAGCTGATTCTTTAAAAAGATCAATAAAAATCATAAATTTCTAGCAAGACTGACCAAGGATAAAAAGACAGAAGATTCAAATTACTAGTATCAGGAATGAAAGAGGGAATATCACATAGATCTTACATATATTTAAAAAGATATTAAGGGAATGTTATAAATATGCATATGCCCATCAGTGAAATGGACAAATCTCTGTAAAGATATACAGTACCAAACTTCACTTAAAAATAGCCTTGATAGCTCTGCATATATTAAAGATACGAAATTCACAAAGAAAACTCCATGGCCAGTTGGATTTACTAGTGAATTCTACATTTAAGGAAAAAACAATGATGGTTCTCCACAAAATTTTCCAGAAAATTAAAGAGCAAGAAGCACTTTCCAACTCATTTTATGAGGTCAGCATTACCTTCTTACCAAAACCAAATATTATAAGTAAAGGAAATTACACACCAATATCTCTCATAAACATATACATATTTTAATAAAACTTATAAAAATAAATCCAACAACATATAACAAAAGTGACATAACACAAATGAATGAGATCTTTTCCAAGATAAAAAAAAATTGCTCAATATTTGAAATCAAATCAATGTAATTTATTATATCAACCATGCTAAAAACCATATGATTATCTCAATCGATGTAGAAAATAGTATTTTGCATAATTCACCTCCACCTTATGTTAAAAGTCTGTCTGCAAATTAGGAATATAAACTATTTCCTCAACTTGAATGAAATCACGTCCTTTACAGCAACATGGATGGAGCTAGAGGCCATTATCCTAAATGAACTAATTTGGAAACAGAAAATCAAATTTCATGTTTTCACCTTTAAGTGGGAGCTAAACAATAAGTATGCAAAAACAGAAAGATGGAAATAGTAGACACTAGGGACTCCAAAAGTGGAGAAGATGGGAGGGGATTGAGAGCCGAAAAATTACGTGTTGGGTACAATATTCAATACATGGGTGATGAGTACAAAAGAAGCCCAATCTCTACCATTATGCAATATACCCATGGAAGAAACATGTGCATGTATCCTCTGAATCTAAAATAAATAAATAAATAAATAAATAATACTTCTTCAACTTGATACAAGTAATGTACAAATATCCAATAGCTAACAATCATACTTCAAGGTAAAAAACTGAATTATTTCTCTTTTAGATCAGGAATAAAACAAGAACTTTCTTAGCATATCTATTCCATTTTGTCATGATAGTCCTACAAATGTAATAGGAAAGAAAAATAAATACAAAGCATTCATATTAGAAAGAAGTAATTAAATCACTATTTATACATAGACAACATGAACATTTGTGTAGAAAGTTCCAAATAACCAAATAACCTATAATTTTTTTCCAAAGTCAGCAAGTAAAATTAGCAAACTTGCAAGATTCAAAGTTAATGTACAAATATTTTTGTGTTTCTATATACCATGAACAAAAAACTTAGGAATTGATATCAAAAAGTAGATCGATATAATTTAATATTGTATCAAAATATGAAGCACTTAGAAATAAGTCTAGCAAAATATGTGCAAGATTTGCATACTAAGACATGTAAAATATCACTGAATAATCTTAAAGAAGACCTAAATAAATGGAAAAACACACCATATTCATGGATTTAAGACTAAAACTTTTTAAGATGTTATTTCTCCACAAATTGGGCTATAGCTTTAATGCAATCCAAATTTAAAAAAATACACTAATAGCTTTAATGCACGTGAAATCCCAGTCATTCTAAAATGTAAATGTAAATGAAATAATTTAGTATAAACAAAATGTTGAAAAGGAAGTAGGAAGCTGGAAACTCACACTACCTAATATTAAGGTTTTATATAAAGCTATAGTAATCAAGAAAGCATCCTATTGTAAAACAATAAATACACAGTTAATATACATAAATAACACACAATCAATAAAACATAATCAAAACTCCAGAAATAGACACACACATATATATTGGAAATTTATTTTTGACAAACGAAATAAGATAATGTAATAGGGAATGAATAGTTTTTCAACAAATGGTCTTAAAATCATTGGACATCCATATGCAGAAATAAATGTATTTTGACCCATACCTTACATCTTATACAAAAATTAACTCAAAAGGGATCACAGGCCAGAACAGGATATAAATAGGATGTTTAGGTATATCACAGTCAACGTGCTGTGAAACTAAAGATAAACAGAAAAAAATAATGTCTTAAAAGCCTTCAGAAAAAAATAGATACATTACCTACTGGTGAACTACAGTCAGAATAATAAACTTATGAGCAACAACATAAGCCAAAAGACAATAGAAAGATATCTACAAGTGTCAAGAAATGTCAAATATAACTCTATGTCTAGAAAAATAATCCTTTAAAAATGAATTCAAAATATAAATATTTAGAGACAAATCCTGAGAAAATTTCTCTCTGGTATACTGCACCACAGAAAATGCTTAAAATGTACTTCAGGCTGAAGAGAAATATTATCTAATTAAAACTTAGATCTAATTAAAACCTAGATCTGTAGAAAGAAATGTGGTAAATATAAGAATGCAAATGTATTTTTAACATATATACCATGGGATACTAAGCCGCCAAAAATGAAGAACAAGCTCATGTTCTTTGCAGGAACATGGATGGCACTGGAGGACATTATCCTTAGCAAACTAATACAGGAACAGAAAACCAAATCCTGCATGTTTTCAGTTATAACGGGGAGGTAAATGGACAGAAAGAGGGGAAGAACAAACACCAGAGCCTGAAGATAGAGGGTGGGAGGAGACAGAAGTTCAGAAAAAAAAACCAAAAACATCTCCAGTAATATGGTTAGTACCCGAGTTATAAAATAATCTGTACACCAACCCCCAACTCATGAGTTTACCTGTATAACAAACATGGACATGTACCCCTGAACCTAAAATTAAAATATTAAATTAATTAAAAAACACTTTAATTATAAAAGAAAAGGAAGTGAAAAACCAAGTTCTCAAAAAGTTCATGGAAAATAAAATTAAAATATAAAATTAACATATACACTTTATTTCTCAACATAAACTCCTTCAAAAGCAAGACACTTTTGTAAGCAATAATACCAGGCATTCAGTCCATCCCTAAAGAAATGAGGGATGTAGAAATGTAACCATGTTAACACAGTCTTCTTTACATTATTAACTGAAGAAAAAAAATGGGTGCCAAAGACAAATATTTTTTAGGATTAGGAAACAAAAAGAAGTCAGAAGGAGCCAAATCAGGGCTGTTAGGTAGATGCCTAATGATTTCCCATAAAAACTCTCAGAAAATAACCCTTGTGTGATGAGAGGAATGAGCAAGATCCTTGTCATGGTGGAGAAGGACTCTGTGGTGAAGACTTCCCAGGCATTCTTCTGCTAAAGCTGTGGCTTTCTCAAAAACTCTCATAATAAGCAGATATTATCATTCTTTGGCCCTTTAAAAAGTCAAGCAAAATGCTTTGATCATCAAAAAAAACTGTTGCCATCATCTTTGTTCTTAACTGATCAACTTTTGCTTTGACTGGACCACTTTTACCTCTTGGTAGCCAGTGGTTTGATTGTGCTTTGTCTTCAGGATCATACTGGTAAAGCCACATTCCATCTCCTGTTACAATTATTCAAATAATTGCTTCAGGATCTTAATCACACTTTTAATTTCTATTGAAAGCTCTGCTCTTGTCTGTAGCTGATTTGCATTCAGTGGTTTTGGTACCCACTGAGTGGAAAGTTTTCTGAACTTTAATTTTTCTGTCAGAATTGTGTAAATTGAACCAATGGACATATCTGTGGCATTAGCTATTGTTTCTGCTATTAATCATTAATCCTCTTCAATTAGGACACAAACAAAATTGATTTCTTTTCCTCTCAAATTGATATACATGGTGGGCTGATGTGGGCTTCATCTTCAACAGCATCTCGTCTCTTAAAATGCGTTATCCATTTGTAAACTGGATTTATTTCTTTGGGGTATTGTATCCATAAACTTTTCATGAAGCATTAATTACTTCATCATCCTTCTACCCAAACTTCACCATACATTCAATGTTTGTTCTTGCTTCAATTTTAGCAGAATCCATGCTGCTCTGATAGGGGCTCTTTTCAAACTGATGTATCATCCTTCTTAGTGCCTCAAACTAAATCCTCTTCAGACATGTTATAAAAGTTAGTATGAGTTGGCCGGGCCTGGTGGCTCACGCCTGTAATCCCAGCACTTTGGGAGGCCGAGGCGGGCAGATCACGAGGTCAGGGATTGAGACCATCCTGGCTAACACAGCGAAACCCGTCTCTATACAAAAAGAAATTAGCTGGGTATGGTGGCAGACACCTGGAGTCCCAGCTACGCAGGAGGCTGAGGCAGGAGAATGGCAGTGAAGCCAGGAGGCAGAGCTTGCAGTGAACCAAAATCGCGCCACTGCACTGCAGCCTGGGGGACAGACAGAGACTCAGTCTCAAAAAAAAAAAAAGCTAGTATGAGTTCACTTTGGTGCAAAAATTTTTGAATTCTATTTACAGTTTTTTTCACAATACACATTTTTCATGAACTTTTTGAACACCGTGTGTGTGTGTGTGTGTGTGTGTGTGTGGAGAGAGAGAGAGGGGCTTAAACTGTTGGTCTTCTGATCAAATAATTTTACTTCTAGTAACTTAAACTAGGAAAATTATCAAAGATGTTGATAAGATGCATATATAAGATGCAGATAGCCAGGCGCGGTGGCTCATGCCTGTAATCCCAGCACTTCGGGAGGCCGAGGCCGGCGGATCACGAGGTCAGGAGATCCAGACCATCCTGGCTAACATGGTGAAACCCCGTCTCTACTAAAAATACAAAAAATTAGCCAGGCGTGGTGGCGGGCGCCTGTAGTCCCAGCTACTCGGGAGGCTGAGGCACGAGACTGGCATGAACCCAGGAGGCAGAGCTTGCAGTGAGCCGAGATCACGTCACTGCACTCCAGCCTGGGCGACAGAGCGAGAGTCTGTCTCAAAAAAAAAAAAAAAAAAGAAAGAAAAGAAAAGATGCAGATAATAGTGTTATGATGAACCACAGAAAGAATTTGTCAAAAATTCTAATCATCCTCAAACTAAAAAGCCTCTGCAGAGCAAAGAAAACAATTAATAAAGTGAAGAGAGAACCCACAGACTGGAATAAAATATTTGCAAAGGATAAATCTGATAAGGGATTAATATCCAAAATATATAAGGAATTCAAACAACTCAATAGCAAGGAAAAACCCCAATTAAAAAATAAGAAAAAGACCTGAATAGAAATTTCTTTTAAGAAAAAGACATATAAATAGACAACAAGTTTATGAAAAAAATACTCAATATCACTAATCATCAGGGAAATACAAATTAAAACCACAACGGGATATCACTTCACACATGCTAGAATGGCTATTATCAAAAGGAGGAATGATATTATAACAAGCATTGGTGAAGATACAGAGAAAAGGGAACCTTTGTACACTGTTGGTGGGAAAACAATATGGAGTGTATTCGTCCACTTTCACACTGCTGGTAAAGACACACCTGAGACTGGGCAATGTACAAAAGAAAGAGGCTTAATTGGACTTACAGTTCCACGTGGCTGGGGAACCCTCACAATCACGGCCAAAGGCAAGGAAAAGCAATTCCCATCTTACAGGGATGGCAGCAGGCAAAGAGACAATGAGGAAAACACAAAAGCAGAAACCTCTGATAAAACCATCAGATCTCATGAGACTTATTCACTTCCACGTGAACTGAGGAAACCACCCCCATGAATCAATTATCTCCCACAGGGTCCCTCCTACAACACATGGGAATTATGGGAGTACAATTCAAGATGAGAAATGGGTGGGGACACAGAGCCAAACCATATCATGGAGGTTCCTTAAAAAATTTAAAATAGAAATACCATATGATACAGCAATCCTACTTCTAAGTATATAGCCAAAGAAAATAAAATTTGTATGTTGAAGAGATAGCTGCCTTCCTATGTTCATTGCAGCATTATTCACAATAGCCAAGATATGGAATCAACCTGAGTGTTCATCAACGGATGAATGGATAGAGAAAATGTGGCATACATATACACACAATGAAAGACTATTCAGCTTTTAAAAAGAGGAAATCTCTACATTTGCAATAAAATGGATGAACCTGGAGGTTATTATGTTAAGTAAAGTAAGTCTGGCATAGAAAGACAAATACCGCACGATCTCACTTATATGTGGAATCTAGAAAGTTGAACTCACAGAATTACAGAGTAAAATGGTTACCAGAGTTGCCGGTGGGGAGGGCAGGGAATTGAGAGATGTTGGCCAAAGATTACAAAGTTTTAGTTCTACAGGAGGGATAGGTTTTTGAGGTCTATTGCACAGAATGATGACCATATTTAATTATAATATATCATATATTTCAAAATTGTCAAAAGAGAAGATTTAAATGTTCTCAGCACAAAAATAATAAGTATGGGAGATGGTAGATAGGTTAATTATCATGATATAATCCACAATGCATGTACATATATATATTATATATTTATATATAAACATCACATTGTATTTGTGTAATTTGTGTATTTGTATATTTGTGTATGTGTGCACATGTAAAAATACACAATTATTATTTGTCAATGAAAAATAAATCTAATTACTCAAAATCAGCATAATTATTTAAATATAGGAGACACAGATGATAAACTATGATGTGAACTTTTAAAGTCATGTGTTCTGGACTGAATTGTGTTCCCCCAAAATTCATATGTTGAAGCCCTAACCCCCCAAGATGACTGTAAGTCGTGATAAGGGCTTTAAAGAGGTATTAAAGGTTAAATGAACTTAGAAGGATAGGGCCCTAACCAAATAGAACTGGCACACTTACAAGAAGAGGAAGAAATGTCAGGGGCATGTGTACATGCACAGATAAAAAAGGTCATTGAGGACACAATGAGAATTTGGCAGTCTACAATCCAAGGAGAGAGTACTAAGAAGAAACCAAACCTACTAACAAGTGGATCTTGTACTTCCAGCCTCCAGGACTGTGAGAAATAAATTTCACTTATTTAAGAGCCACCCAGTCTGTGATATTTTGTTATGGCAGCCCTAGAAAACTAATACATTTTTGTGTTCAAAAACGATGTAATGTTGTAAGAAAATATATATTGTTGCGATATAGACAATATAAGAAACTAAATCTCTTTATCTCTCTTTCTGCCTCTCTTTGCCTCTTTATTTCTCTTTCCTCTCCTCTCCTCTCGTCTTCTTTCTCTCTCTTTCTCTCCCTCCCCTTCTCTCTTTCTCCACCGCCCACCCACACACATACACACACTGGAAAGTTTTATGCCCAGATTTTACTTTGGTTGGTATGGGTAGCTTTAATTATCTTCCTTATAGTTATGTTTACATTTTTCTATAATAAATATATCATGATAATTATAAATAAATTATACATTTTAAAAGTTATTGAGTTCAAATACTCAGTTCCTGCAGATGTTAGAATACTCATGGAAAATGAAACACAATTCTGTTGACATGATAATTGAAAAGAGAACTTTTTACTCCAAAGCTGCATTGACATTAATTGCTTTTTGCTTCCCAAAATACAATTATTTTCATAAAACAGGTTTCCTATCTCTGTAAAAAATTTTTTTAAAAATAATAAAAGGTGAAATAATTATTGGAAAGAATTAGGAAAGATGAAAAATGTGAAAGCAATGCTACGATGCCAAAATAGCTATTCTAAACATTTGTGCTTGCTATGGCTTGCAGTTAAAATTTAAAAATAGCACTTAAATATGCGTGTTAATAACATCCAGAAGGCATTTCTTTCAAGCCTGTTTGGGCTGTTGAAGGGTTTAATTTAACCACAGCATTCATTTATGTCTAGCAGTTAAATTTTTTCTTTTAAGCTCAAAGGAACTGTGAGTTGTAACTATGATCTAATTGGTAAGGAATGAAGAATGTTTTTCATGTTTTATAGACAACATGAATCCTGATCACTTTACAGCAGTAAATTATGAAGTACTCCACTTGTTGTGTCTCCCTGTGGAAGCCAGGGCTTAGCTCATTAAACTATAAAAATAACTTGCTGGGTTCGGCAGCTTCTAGAAAGGCTCTCTGACAAGGTGGGTTATTTTTATTTCACTAATACACATTCACTAGGCAGTCCAGAGCAAGCGAGATTCTTTATGGTCCCCAACTAAATCAATTTATAACTACATCTACATGTCAGAGGGGACGTGCAAAGAACCTAAACTGCTATATAGGAAGATAATTTATTATTGATTTTTTCAACCTTTTTTTAAAAAGCAGCTACATTTCACTGGCTTCCTGGTTCCTTTCTGCAACGCAAATGACCTGTACAACACTTGTGACATGTCAAACCAGTCTTCTACGCGGGGAGAAAAAGGGCATACAAGTCGGGAGTGCCTGGTTTCCTGATGGCTTAAAGAGAAATAAAGAATGACCTTTGGGACATTTGAAAACAAGGAGCAAAAATCATCTGTCCACTCTCCCCATTGTGAAAGACCTTAAAAAATTAAGTGCTAATGATCTACTGTTTAATATGCATACTAAATTACCTCTTACCTAATAAACCAGGTAACTTACTTAATTTTACTGGAAGAAAAATTACTATAAATTTTATACTTTTTCTCTTGGCCTTAAAGAGTCAAATATCCAGTTGCAAATAACTTGAAAATCATGCCCACAGCTCATGACTGGAGGAAGTTAGAAAAAGACTGTGATACAAAATGTGTAGCCTGCAGAGTTTGCTATCGAGCCCTGTAATGATCGATTCCATTCACTTGACTCTGATTCTATAGTGAATAGACTCTTTAGCAAGGACTTAGCAGCAGCAATTTCAACAGAACATTTTTTTTCCATGATTAGAACAACAGCCATGTACTTAGACTGCAACTCTAAGTTCTACTTACCACAGAGTTATTTTACCTGTATTCCTTATATTTACAAAGTCAAATAAAAACAACCTCTGTTATCAGAATACTGTTAGGATTTACTGGTAAAATATTAAATACCATGTACCATGACAATAGATTACATGAACAGTTATCCTATAATGATTGTGACATAATGAAAATAACAAAAGTGTCTTACGCATATTTCATCCCATTTGGGCAGAAAATCTACCAAGAATTACCATCGTTCCCACTCCCACTGCCATTTCTCCCACACTATCCTTCCCCCATGGCTGGTGTTAAGATTTTATTTTGTACATTCTTGGTAAACTTGTTAAAGCTAAAACTTACTCCTGCAAATGTTATGATTTTCCTCCCTTAGATTAGAAGACTTTATTTTACATTAAAATGCTCTCACAGGTAAGTGGGAATTATGGGATTTAGGCCCCTCACGTAGTAGATTCTGAAACACTTGAAATCAGAAGTTTTGGGTTTGAATCCTGACCACCACCTACTAGGTTGTAATAATCTAATACAAACCCTATTTCATAATAAAGTGCTGACTATCTCACATAATTTATTGAATACTGTACTGAAAGTGAAAAACAAAATGGTTGTACTCGAAGTACAGTCTCTAGTAATGCATATCACTTCTGCACCACTACAAAGTGGAAAAATCCTCAAACTATTGTAAGTCAGGGACTATCTACCTATTTTTCTCTTGCTGCTTTTAAGACTTTTTTCTTTTCCTTCGTCTTTTAACAGTATGATGTGCCTAGGTGTAGATTTCTTCATATTTATCCTACTTTGGGTTTGTTGAACTTTTTGAATGTGTAGTTAACGGTTTTCATCAAATTTGGGGATTTTCTGGCCATTATTTCTTCAAATATATTTTCCATTGCTTTCTTTTTCTCTTCTTCTGAGTCTCTAGTTACACCCATGTTGGTACACTTAACATGGTCCCACATGTCTTTGAGGTTCTGCTCATATTTCTTAAATATTTTCTGTGTTCATCATTTCTATTTATCTATTTTCTATTTCATGGATTTTTTCCATCTCCCATCTGCTGTTGAGGTCTTCTATTGCATTTTTTATTGTATTAATTGTACTTGTTAATTTTAGAATTTCTATTTTGTTCTTTGTTTTTAACTTTAAGTTCAGGCATACATGTGCAGGTTTGTTACATAAGTAAACTTGTGTCATGGGGGTTTGTTGTACAGATTATTCCATCACTCAGCTATTAAGCCTAGTGCCCATCAGTTATTTTTCCTGATCCTCTTCCTCCTCCTACCCTCCACCCTCCAATAGGCTCCAGTGTATGCTGTTTTCCTCCATAGGTCCATGTGTTCTCATCATTTAGCTCCCACTTACAAGTGAGAACATATGGTACATGGTTTTCTGTTACTGCATTCGTTTGCTGAGAATAATGGCCTCCAGCTCCATGCATGTCCTGGCAAAGACATGATCTCATTGTTTTTGATGGCTGCATAGTACTCCATGGTGTGTATGTACCACATTTTCTTTATCCAGTGTTATCACTGATGGGCATTTGTGTTGATCCTATGTCTTTGCTATTGTAAATAGTGCTGCAATGAATACACACATGCATGTGTCTTTATAATAGAATGATTTATATTCCTTTGGGTATATACCCAATAATGGGATTACTGAGTCGAACGGCATTTCTAGCTTTATGTCTTTAGGGAATCACCACACTGTCTTCCACAATGGTTGAACTAATTTACACTTCCACTAACAATGTATAAGTGTCCTTTTTCTTCACAACCTCACCAGCATCTGTTATAGTTTGACTTTTTAAAAATAATCATTATGACTGGTGTGAGATGGTATTTTATTGTGGTTTTGATTTGCATTTCTCTAAAGATCAGTGATGTTGAGCTATTTTTCATATGCTTGTTGGTTACATGTATGTCTTCTTTTGAAAAGTGTCTGTTCATGTCCTTTGCCCACTTTTTAATAGGGTTGTTTGTTTACTTCTTGTTAATTTGTTTAAGTTCCTCATAGATGCTGGATATTAGATCTTTGTCAGATGCATAGTTTGCAAAATTTTTCTTCCATTCTGATGATTGTCTGTGTACTCTGTTGATAGTTTCTTTTGCCATGCAGAAGCTCTTTAGTTTAATTAGATCTCATTTGTCAATTTTTACTTTTGTTGCAAATGCTTTTGGTGTCTTTGTCATAAATCTTTGCTCATGCCTATGTCCTGAATGATATTGCTTAGGTTGCCTTTCAGTGTTTTTACTTAAAATAATTTGTTTTAAAAATCCTATTTTTTAAAAATTTCCATCTCCTTATTAAGGTTCTCCGTTGACTGATTCATTATTGTCACGTTTTCCTTTAACTCATTAAACATTATTTCTTTCAGTTCTTTGAACATATTCATAATAGCTGCTTTAAGCTTTTGCTAAATCTAACATCTTTAATTGGAGTGATCTACTGCTTTTTTCTGAGTTATACTCTCCTTATTCTTTTATATCTTATATTTTTGTTGAAAATTTTTAAAAATAATACATGATACCAGTTATGAATTCTGATTTCTCCCCCAGAGTTCTTATTGGTGCTGGTTGTTTGTGTTTTTAAATGTTTTTTTGTAATTTGTATGGTCCAAACCTATAAAATCTGCTTCATGTGCAGTGTGTGGCCACTGATATCTCTACTCAATTTTTGAAATTATTATTGTTTTTATTTTTAAGATTAGCCTTTAAGGGGTTGCCCCTGTGTTTGCCTAGTTTTACTGTCATCCAGTGATTGGACAGAGGTTGTTCTCAAGCCAATAAATATGTTTGTTACTAGTGCAGTGCATTCAAAGTTAAGGCTGTCTTCAAGACTTCTCTGCAGAACTCAAGACTTCAAGTAAAATCAACTCTCTGTTGGGTTCTTTTGCATTTCCCCTTTGCCATTCATTGAGATATGAAAAAGAGATTAAAGAGAGACTTATAAATTTGTATTGCTTTTTCAAGTTACCCGGAAATTTGCATTTGTGTGTCTGGTGACATTCTAAAAGGTGGTGGGAGAGGGGAAGAATCTGGAGGCAGTAGTTGCATTTAAGAACATAGTGCCCCCAATTAGAGGGGAAACTCCTTCAGGTCATGACCGTATTTCACATTTTTGTATCTTCCCATGTTGGAGCACAGGGACTTTAAATGTGAAGATAGGTATATTTTCCATAAACATTTTTTAAATTAATGACAATAATGATGAAAATAATGTAAAAAAAATACAGATGTATGTCAAGTTAGCAGAAGAACTTTAGGAAACAAGAGCAGAGTAAAAAGGAAAACAAATCTTTAATGTTAAAAATAGTGGATTGGTTCACATTAAACATGCTCTAATTGGAGGTAGCAATTCTTTAGTTAGGGATTATGAAGAATGATAAAATACTAAGAATGTTTTTAACCCTTAACCAGAAAACTGTTCAGGAAAACTTTAGAAAACTTTTTATACCTCAGACTAGGCTACCAAAGAGAATTTGTATAATTTCTATTTGCAAAAACATATTTTGAAATTAACATTTTCCTACCAGACAGCATAAAGGGACACATCTTTGCATTTCAATTGCCCCTTCTGAAGAGTCATTTGTATATAATTGATTGATGCCTGTATGTTTTCAATGAATCTTTAATGAGTTTCTACTATATTTACCAGCACTTATTTTTCTTTATATTAATCAGAGGCTTACTCATGGCTTCCTTAGATCTCAAAAAATCTATACCCAAGTTAGTGAAAGCCTTGAATGAAATATTCCTAAAGTAAAATATTTCACAGGAGATGCTATGGTTTTCCTAAGGATTTTAAATATTTATTGGTATTTGCAAAGATATCTTTACAGAAATTTTAGAAAGACTTAAAAATCCAGCTGTAAATGATTTTACTACGTTACCTCTAAATCTAATTACATGCTTAAGAGTACGACTATAAAATATTTCAGTATTTCCTATAAATAGCATTTTCCATAATGATAACATAATTATTCAGCCTAACTCCAAGGACCATTTATTTACTCACAATTCTCTTTTCAGATATGAGAAAGACAGACTATTTCAAATTCTTAAGTTGCAAAGAAACGGATTTGCTTTTGCTTTGTTCCACAAGCAATTTAAGTCTCACTACTCCAATCCCCAGTGGTACATAAGCAATACAGCTGCCTTTCAAAGACATATCAATAACCATTTTCTTGGCAAAGTTTTATTGAACACATCTTTCTTCTGCAGCAAAATGCAATCTGGTTTTGATGAGTAGAAAGGATGGTGGACAGAAAGGTGAAAGTATCACTCAGTTAAGAAACAAGTATTGGCCAAAAGGAAAAAAAAAATGTAAACCACAGTCTGAATACTGTAAAACAGATGAAAGCTATGGGACTAAGGGAGTGGTATCCAATCACATAATAAAAGCAATAGATGAGTATAATTATCCAAAGCAAATAAGCAGTAACATGACCTACAGGGAATGAGACATAAATTTAGGAAATCTTGATTAATACTGGCTCAGTATTACAAAGCATAACCATCAAGCATGAGCCAATGTAATTATGATTTGCAAAACTATAATTTACTCAAATTTGAAAAGGCAATGACACAGTATGTCATAAAATATACAGATGCACCCACCAAAATAATCTCAGCTCCTTAAGCACTTACAAAGTATTTTCTATTTAATTTTATGCATGCCCATATATTTGTAATCTATCTGAGATTTCTGTATGTTTGAGTCTGAAATAAGTTCAGTTCCAGCTGAGTGAGATGCCTGCTGAATGTTAATGAGACAGATTTTCTATTTTAATATGTGTTTTTGTACAAACTGATTATATTAAAGTATGTTGTAATTGAATTATTTTCCAGACTATTATTTAGGAGTACTTGTTACTTTTGAGCTCTGGTTTTTTAACATACCAATAGTGATGTTGAAATGTTTAAAATAACACAGTTTGTAAAAGAAAAAAGATCCTATTACCAGTAAAGGTTACTTGTATAACACATAAAAATAGACTTCTTGGAGGATTTTATAGTTCTATTTGGAGGTTGTTTCCCTGTGCTTTTCCATTGCAGCAAAATTGATTTAGACTCAGACCAAACACTCTACTTCTCTTCAATCCACCAAGAGCCAAACATTGTAAATTAGTTAAATCTCTGGTCACATAAAAAGCAATCGTGTCATTAAAGTTCCTATTTTATTCACCTACCAAATTCTCCCACATGGTCAATATTCTGAATTATGAAACCATCTGCATACACATAATTGAAGCCAGTTTCCCACAGGTGGCCCTCAATTTGTGAAAGTTCATTTCCAAGGTAGTAAAATTGATTACATTTGCTTCTGGAAGGGCAACAAGAAGTGGAGCCCTTCCTAATTTTCTTTCATAGAATAATGTTTCTAATTTGTCCACTTCAAAACCCACAAATATATCTAATATAAGAAAAAAATAAACAATAGCAATAATGAAAATAGGTATCATTTAATGAATACTTATCATGTCATAGGCAAACACTAAGTATATTATAAATGTTATTTTATTTAATGTACCCTAGCAGATAGCTGTTAATATCCCTGTTTTTGTCATGAAGAAACAGGCATAGAGAGATTTGGTGATGTAGCCAATTAAATGACGTAGATATAGCTTACTGAAAAATAAAAAGCAAGCACATATTTATTCTGAAAGGAGTTTGATAACAAATAAGGAAACTCTCTAGCCTCGTATATTATAATAAGAAATTTTAAAACAGTATTCTGTAGGTACTTAGGACATCCCAAAGCACTTGATTGAAACCTCTGTATGTATACATATTTATATATTAATCAATGTTATAAACTATAAAGCTAATTACAGTTTATTACGTAATATATTAACATGCAAGTTAACATGCACTTCGATTTTAACTCAGTTTTGGAATAAAAGCTTAATCTACCATACTAAGAACATGTTTAAACTTCTCATAAATACGTCATTTGTTGGGAGGTTTGTAGCTTAGGACTTACCCTTTTGAAATTTTAGTTCAGTGAATATGCTTATAAAATTTGATATCACATGACCTACTTTAGTTCCTAATGTTACATGGGTAGATCTGCCAGGGGAAAAAGTCCATCCCAACATAACAAGTTCACTGACAATCCCCAGAATGTGTCAGCACTTAGTCATGATGATATTACTTATACTTTTATATATTATTTACAGTTTGGAGAGCTCATATTATATGTTACATTGTATTTATATCTTGAAATAATACCTAATATCTGTTGAGCCCTAACCATGTGCCCATTATACTGATAAGAAAACAAAGTTACAAAATGCTTAAGTAATTTGCCCAGTGTCAAACTTCTAAAAGAACTGATCTTTGAAGGCCTACAGTCTTACTGCATAACATTTCTAATCCCTGGTACCTCTCAAAGATAAGGAATGAGAACACTTATTAGTCTTATTAACTCAAATTTAAAACAAAATAGCTCTACTATTCTACTTTGAAGCTACCGAATCCATTTAATTGAAGAATATCCTCAGATTAAAATGTAATCTTTTAGAAAATATCATCTACAGGTACATACATTGATCAGAACATTTACTTGATATGCTGAAATAATGTTTATAATTACAAACTCAAAATTTTGTGTTTGGCATCAAAGAAGCTTCATTCTTCTCATTAACCGATTGCGAAGTAAGTAAATGTACACTTAACTCATAAACTACACATTGTTTGCTGATAAAAGCCACCTTCATCTGTTTTGGACATTGAGTACCACATATTACTTCATTCGAGGAAATAATCTAGGGTTAAAAAGTGCAAATAGTAGAAAGAGAAGAGGTTTTAGAATCTAAAGAACTGATGTTGAGTCTTGGATTACATGGTGTTAGGCAAATTACTTAATTGCTCTAAACTTCAGTTTAGACTGGAAGAAAGAAAGGGGGAAGTACAGTTATTAAGGGCTTACTGTGGGCCAGGTGTCATGCTATCCTTTCATCATTTTCTCATTTAATAGGAGCAGTAACATCTACTTTGGAAGATTATTTTAAACAATAAAGGAGAAAACACCTGTAGAAAGGATTCTATAATGTAATACTGTTCAAGTTAGAGGGCTGGTAGAAGTCTAGCAGTCACTAGCCAATCAACAGAGGAATCATCCACGCAACAAAAATGATGGAAAACCTACTGAGGGCCAAGGGCTGAGGCAGCAAAGTGATATCTAAGTATGTGCCTGGTCTGTCTGTAATTCTAATTCATGAGAATGGGCAGTGGAGATAATAAAATTGTTCAAGGATCCTCATGAGATAACTTGAGATGAAATCCCTGAAAGTGATTCCTGGAGTTGTAAGAAAAACAGACAAGTTGATCTCAGAAAGGGGAAAGCTTCATAAAGTGTTTTCCCCAACCTCTGCCTTTTAGGAGAGAAAATGAGACTTGTTCATTGGAACCACATAGGTGATATACGACTTGAGAATTCTTTAATAAAGTACAAACAATATAGCACAAACTATGATTGCCTCAAAATATTTGAAGGTTTATCAAATGGAGGAAGACTTGAACTTCTATTGATTTCTAAAGATAGCTAAGCATAGGTGGTTAGAAATCAGATATCGAGAGATAGTTTGGGACTTAATACAGAAAATCATTGTCTTAACATTTAAATTCTTTCCAGAGTAGAATGGGTTAGAAATAAACCCATTTCTAGTGCAGAAAATTTCTTATCATTCAAATCCCTAGAACACGCTTACTTACTGAAATCAATAGAGTTTGAAATATCTGAGACACACTTGTAGAGGAGTCAAAATTGTATTCCTAATGACTGGCAAGGGGTAAATCCAGTCCCCTAAACACATTTTTCAAAAGGGAAATCGATAACCCAGGGGGAAGGGTTATAGGTCATTGGAAGGCCAAATTTTGTCATAGTTATGAGTCTAGGATTTACAGTCAGATAGACTTGAAATCAATTCTTGGTTTTGCCAACACTTTGTTCTCAATTATTGACTTTGAAATCAATACTATGTTCCACCATTCAGTGTCATTTTTCTCACACATTAAATGGGAGTAATACTTATCTTTCAGAGGTGGAATAAGGATAAAATTAGAAAATATATGTAAAACACTTACTATAGTGCCTGGAAAAGAGAAAGCACTAAAAATGTTTGAAATTAGCACAGGAGAAAGAGGGGAAAAGGCACCTTTCTGATGTGTTTCAAAATTATCTATTTTTAATTAAGGAGGTGATCTCATTCAGGGCAGAAATACTGTTCCTACTGGAATATAGCTATGCTAAAATTCCCTTTCTTTACTGGAAATAAAGTCTACGTAAGGCACTGTTTTAACCATTGTATAATTGAAGGAATATCCACACCGTTTTACAATGTATAATTGAGAGCATATTCTAAGTAATCTTTCACCTCTCCAGAAGAAGCAGAGACTTTTCTACTTCTGACACCTGACAGCTTATTTTGCTAGTACAATTTCACAAGAAAAGAAGAAATGAAACTGAATGTCATTGAGATAGAAATATGAAAGAATTACACTAGTGGTAACAACAAAATATAAATTGTCATCTTCCATCTATTTCTGACAGTGCAAACATAATATTTTTACTACTTCTAAAAAGAATGCACGTGAACCTCTAGCAGATGTTTCAAATATTAAGCACTAGTGACCCTCAATTGTCAAAATAGCATAGCTCTGTTTTGAACCCCTTTTCTGGAATTGGACTTGTTTGCATTACGTTTTGGCCTCTCATCCCATTCTGAATGTTATCACATATACCAAAATGTTTAGGATTATTCAACTATCATCCCTGTTCCTGGAATCAACTCCCTCCATTTTAATACACATGGTTTTCACAGTATACTCCTTATTAATTACAGTATCCATACATCTAGTTTGTTTTATAGCTCTTGTTTATATCTGCTGTGTCATCAGATTTAGCATTTGTTCAGGATTTGCCACTGGTTAATGAAGTAGCGTTATCAATAGTTGCTTTGAATTAAGCCAGGTGGGTTTTGTGGACTCCACTCTATCCTCTGACTTCTGCAATGGTCATATCCAAAAGAGTAAGAGAGCATCAGCAGTGTACAGATTTCTCACCACTCAGCACCTGACTAAATCGGAAAGATGATCAGCCATTGAAAATTATCTCTACAAAAGCAAAAGAGAACCTGAAACTGACGTGATGAGAACTCAAGCAATATGCAAGATCTAAATTTAAAATGCTATAATTATGTTGTTATTCATTGTAGTAAAGGTATTTTTTTTAATTTGGGCTTAGAAATAATTTTAAATTTATAAAAGGTTGCTAAAATTATATTATTAAAGGTACACTCATATACCCATTCCCCACATTTTATAATTAACATTTTGCCACATTGGCTTTATCATTCCCTCTCCTTCCCCTCTGTCACCCTCTCTCTCTTCTCTGCTTCCTTCTTTCTCCCTTCATCTCCCCCACACCCTCTACCCCTTCTCTCTCTGTCTCCTGAGTCATTTGAAGGTAAGTAACATACATCATGGCCCTTTACTCTAAATATTTTATTGTATATTTCCTAAGATTAGGAATGTTCTCACAGCTACAGTTACCAATTTTATAAATTTATATTGGCATAATACTTTTGTCCAATCTACTGTCATGTTCTAATTTTGTCAGTTGATCTAATAATGTTCTTTATAGCATTTTCTCCATCTGGTACAGGATCCACTCCGGAGTCATATATAGGATTTGGTTGTTAGTGGTCATGTCTCTTTAAGCTTTCTTTAATCTGGAACATTTTCACAGCTTTTCTTTCTCTTTTATGACATTGACACTTTTTAAAAGAATCTAGTCCCCCCAACTTCTTCTATTTTAATATAGTGTTACAAAGAACATTTTCATAGATCTAATTTTAAATGAATGAATTTTAATTCTGTGCTAGAATGTAACAAAATTAAGAAATTCCATGATTTTATGGCATCTAAATATGAGAAAACATTCAAGAAATCATAAATAGTGATATCCTTGTTTATTAAATTTTGTCTTTTAGAATGATTTTCCAAAGACAGATACTTTAATTGGAAGCAAAAGACAGGACCTGTGAAAGTATTTTATCTGAAATATTTTTGTATTTCAACACACAAAAAATAGAAATGAGAACATCTACATTGAAATTCTTCATTCAGCAGAGTTTTTTTCCTACCTCAGGATCTATAGGGAGAATATTTTCTCAATTTAAGATATTGTGGTCTCTAATGTACAGTGATCTCTAATGTAGAGTCACAGAAATGTAACTTTGCAGAAATTACAAGCAACTTATGAAAAATTAAAAACGAATGAGAATATATCAAATTACATTCTATAGAAAGAGATTCTTACCCCCTATTAGGGACAGATACAGTTCAAAACTTGTTAAAGTACATGAATACATATGCTAAAAGAAAAACTTCAGGGGAATTAAATTTAAAGGGGTTTAATTGAGCAACGAATGATTCACAAATTGGGCAGCTCTCAGAATCGCAACAGATTGAGAGAGACTGCATGGGTGCCTCATAGTCAGAAGAAATTTATAGACAAAAGAGAAGTGATGTACAAAAATCAGAAGTGAGATACAGAAACAGCTGGATTGGTTACAGGTTTGCATTTGCCTTATTTGAACACAGTTTGAACACTCAGCAGTGTTCTATCAGTCTATGAGTGGTTGAAGTATGAATGCTGGAATTGGCCAAGACTCAGCTGTTGTTACAGGTGCATACTACTAAGCTAGATTTTCAATCTTGTCTGCCTGTTAAGCTAGGTTACGGTTCGTCCACAAAGACTCAAATATAGATGTACGGAGTCCTTCTCAGGCCATATTTAGTTCACTTTAACATATATAAAGAACAATTATTTTGGTCATTTTGAGCAATAAAACACACAAAATGTATTTACTAAACACCTATTGTATGCCCAGTACAGTAGGAGTTTATAAGTGCAAGATGCTCAAGTGTACAAACAATCTAAGGAGACAAATCAAAAACAAAATAATTTGAAAGCTCACTAAAGGAGTAAAGGAAAAGATAGATTTCAATGGAGTACTCTCTAAAGCCAAACAAAATTTAAGTGGGAAATGTTGTGACTGACCTTTTAGGAAGGTTGGTTAATCCAGTGGATGGTAGGTTGGGAGGTCCATGGCAGAGCTGATGAAAGCAGGAGAAACATACTTAGCTGTGGTATCAAGGAGGCCTCCCTCACTTGGTTGGTTATAGGGGACGTCTGAAAGAAGCATCATCTCTTCTCCAACATTTTGCACTTGCAAAATATTGGCAACTTTTGAGGTTCAACATACCAGCTCAGTAGATACTAGAATCCAGACTTACTTAAATAAAGGATTTAACAGCATCTGTTGAATTTCTCCTGCACAGAGCAATAAAATCTCATTGCAATTTTATGTCTTTTCATCCCTTTATCCAGCAAATATCAAGTGCCCATTATGACTAGGTACTAAAGCCACATTGTCATTTTTTAAAGTTTAGATAATTGACATAAATAATTTATTTTATTTTTTGCTTCATTGTACACAGATGTTAAGTCATTTCATTCTTAGGGAAAGAATATTTATTTGAATAACTTCGAATAAGATATTTTTAAGGAGGTGCCATCACAACTAATTTGTTGGTAAGTAAACAATATTTCAAAAACTCTATACAGACAGCCCTTAGTATCCATGGGTTCTGCACCCACAGATTCAACGAATCACCAATCAAAAATATTAAGAAAAAAAGAATGGCTACATTGTGGAAGACAGTGTGGTGATTCCTCAAGGATCTAGAACCAGAAATACCATTTGACCCAGCAATCCCATTACTGGGTATATATCCAAAAGATTACAAATCATTCTACTATAAAGACCCATGCACACATATGTTTACTGCAGCACTATTTACAATAGCAAAGACTTGGAACCAACCCAAATGCCCACCAATGACAGACTGCATAAAGAAAATGTGGCACATGTATACCATGGAATACCATGCAGCCATAAAAAAAAATGAGTTCATGTCCCTTGCAGGGACATGAATGAAGCTGGAAACCATCATCCTCAGTAAACTAACACAAGAACAGAAAACTAAACACTGCATGTTTTAATTCATAAGTGGGAGTTGAACAACGAGAACACATGGACACAGGGAGGGGAACATCACACACTGGGGCCTGTCAGGGGGTGGGGGGCAAGGGGAGGGAGAGCATTAGGACAAATACCTAATGCATGTGGGGCTTAAAACCTAGATGACGGGTTGATAGGTGCAGTAAACCACCATGGCATGTGTATACATATGTAACAAACCTGCACATTCAGCACATGTATCCCAGAACTTAAAGAAAGAAAAGAATGGTTACAATTGTACTAAACACATGCAGACATTTTTTCTTGTCATTATTCCCTAAACAATACAGTATAACTATTTGCATAGTATTTACATCGTATTAGGTATTGTAAGTAATCTAGAGATGATTTAAAATATATTGGAGGATATGCATAGATTATATGCAAATAGTACACCATCTGATATAAGGGTCTTAAGCATCTGTGGATTTTGGTATCCACAAAGGGTCCTAGAACCAATTCCCCACAGATACCACGGTACAACTGTTACTTTGGTTATTTTAGCACCCAATTGGGATAATAAACTATTTGATCACCCTAATAAATGTGACTGCCTCTTGGAAAGAGCTTACTTACTCTTCCACAGGTAGCCAACTGGTCCAATTTGAGTCAATCAGGGCCCTTCACTAAAAATATTGGAATTGGAACTTAAAAAAAGAATTAAATATATTTTTAGGTGATAGGACTGTAAGATAACAGTGACATGTTACGTATCATATGGATTGGAAAAGCAAAAGAATCAGGTCTACAGAGAGTGAGACAAAAACCTAAGCAGAGAGGAGCTCTTCCCAATATTAAGGCTTACGAAGGCCAGGAGAGATGGGGAAGGAGAGGAGAAGAAGAGAAAAGTTACACAGGAAAGAACTGTGCTCCACTGGTAGTTCTCCATATTCTTAGGCTAGACTTCTATTTCTGCTTTCATTTTGTAATTCTACCACCTTCTGTTGTCTTAGGGATGTATCACAATTGATGTTAACTTAGCAGAACCATCAACTTCCCTCTGGCTATTGTGGCTTCAGATGAAAACTGTTATGAACTCTAAATGCCTATACATTCATACTTCTATTTCCAATATATGTAGGTACAATAGAGACTTTAGTATTTTTCAAAAGACACCTCTTGAAGAGAAAATCAGTAGCTTTTTCCTCCTTCCTCATTCAATAAATATTTATTGAGCTCCTGTGTGCCAGGCCCCCCTCGTAGGTTTGGGAATAAAGCATCGAACAAAATAGACAAACACCTCTGACCTCTATTTGGGAGACGATAATTAAATGAAACACATATATGTCAGATGCTGATAAGTTCTAGGGTGAAAAAAAAAATAGAAGTGAGGGAGAAGGAGTACTAGAGCTGGAGGGCTACAATTTAAAACAAAATGCTCAGGAAAGCCTTCTCAGAGGAGGGGGTATCTCAGTAGACACCATGAGGAATGTTCCCAAAAAGGGGACAACAAGAGCAGAAGCCCTGAGTTTGCCTGGCAGGAGTTCCTCAAGCCTGTATTTCCCCCTTTTACCTGTTTTCTAAAATCTGCTTTCTACCTTCAATTGGTAACTATTCAAGTTTCTCAACAGCTGCATTTTTCTGTTGTTGTTTCAAAAAATAAAATCTTGCATTTTATATTTTTGCTAAATAGACACACACACCCATATAAATTCAGCACAAAATTGCTTTTGGCAAAGACTTGCTATCATTTAGACTTATGCTGATTGAAAAGTAAGATTCACTGTACATCTTCCAAAACAGCAACTGAAATGCTCGAGCTCTCACAAGTATTGTAATCTCTGAATGTTCATGCATTTAACATGATTAATCCATTGTAGATTGTATAGTTTTAGGGGGCTTTCCTTCTGTTAACAGTGAATATCAAAAACATCATTGTAAAATCAATCCCCATAGAACAAGTGAGGTTAAGTATGCTTAGGACTGAACACCTGAAAATTATTTCCAATTCATAAAAATCCCTGGTTAAGATCAATAGTCTCTATGTAGAAACTGTACTTTCTAAGTTATAACTATTTACTGGTCTTCCCAAGCTGAACAAGACTAATACAAAATCATCCCTAATTATTGTGATTGGTTGACCTTTTCAATGGGAAGTGGCTAGAAAATAACCCCTCCCCCACCATCTGTCAAGTCAAACCAACTCACAATTGCAGCTCTGTTTAGTTGACATTTAACTTCACCGTGTACTATATTGAGCACATTCTAATCAAGGGCACCTGGGAGATCTACATTGCTTCCTGGAATTCCAAATATTTTCCTTGGTTCTCTTTTTTTATCTTCTATAAAATTAGACTATAAATAAGTAATCCTATGCAGAACTGAATGAACAGTCAAAAAATTGTCTTATTTCTATCACCTTCTGTCTGGCAAATGAATTGGGGCCAAATGAAATCTGAAATCCCAATGACTTTTTGTGTTATTTTATTTTGGAGACACCAGTCTAGCCAAGACTTTTCTTTAACCCAATATGGTGAGAAGTGCAGGATAAATATTATATTGAAATTTGTAAGAACCAAACATCTCCACCTCTCAATAGTTCCCACTGCCACACCTCCACAGCTTAGCCTCCACCTGTTAAGGGACTTCACGTACTGTAGTCCCCCTCTGTTGACTAGGTACTAAAGCCACATGGTCATTTTTTAAAGTTCAGCAACCCAATCGCTCTAATATTCTTGACTTATCCTTTCTTAAACCCATAGTTAAAATCTGCAGCACTAATTTGACATATTCTAATTATTTTATCATCAGTTACTATCTTTTGAAGTTTATTGTACATTTCTTGATGACAGTCTCAGTCTTGTCCAGTTTTCCGATTGAATAATTGACGGCATAATGAAATGGTATTTCACACAAAAATGAAATATTCATCAGTAATGAGCAAACATGTTCTAAAAGAGGGTATTAGCAGCTCTGATAGCATAATTGCTTGTCTTGTGAGGAAAAGCTAAGAAAAGCTCCCAAGACAACATTTTCTAAATTCAGTAACAGTAACTAAAAATATCCAGGGGACAGCTACAAAAACTACAGTGATATTATTATTATTATTATTACTTAAATAACAAAAAGCAAATAAACAGAATGAAATTCCGAGCTGGGAAAAATCTGACTCAATGTAGAAAATGTAACAGTTAATACATAATATGAAGTGATTAATTTAGTGATAGGTTTCCAGTGACAATGTAAACCATGAGAAAAATGGCAGATAATACTAAATTCTCTATTATATGCATTTCATTGCTAATAGCAAAATAATTGCCTCTGCATTGTGTATGTCTTTAACAAAGTAGAAATTAAGTCTAGTAGGTAAGGCATTTTTCTAAAGTAAAGCTACTAAAATCACTTCTATACTTGATACCAAGATGATGTCCCATGAAAGCAACAGATTCCATTACCCCCAACTTGCTTTTGCACACCTGCCCCACAGTGCAGATCCAGAAGACTTCCAGGGTGCTAACTCCTTGTAGGAGTATTACTACAACTTTCCATGCAGTTCTCACTGCGGGAACTCAAAGCTGCCTGTCAAGGGTAAAGATATTACAAGGAAAGCTTCCACATTTCCTTGAGACATTTCATTTATTAGTGGTGACACTAGTGTCATGATACGGTAAACTTATATCTTAGAATCCAGAGGTTTATTCACATATTCAATTCATTTGACAAATATTTATTGAATACCCCCTATGTACTATATTCCCACATCATTACATGCAAGTTACATATATCAGTCAATGTTCTTAACGTGCAACCAAAAGATATTCAGGAGAAAAGGAAATTTTCAAAACTTTAACAGGTAGGGTACAGACCCACAGGCTTTCTCAGAACAGAGGGAAGCCACGCTGCTTGAGCCACAGCCCAAATATACCACAGACGCAGTGTAGTAAGAACACCATGACCACCACCACTGGACATAGTTCTCTAAAACTTGTGCCCACTCCACCAGCTTCACCAACATTGCCATCCCAGGAAATGGACATCCATGTCTTCACCACCATCACCAAAAGAACTTTCTCTTGTCCATGAGCATTATGACACTAGCTCCAGAAATAAAATCAAGGGTGACTAGATCTGGTTGGCTGAGTCCTATCAAAATGATTTTTTTAAATTCTAAAACTTTATATTTTAGCCTGAGGTTCATAAAAGAAAACCTGAGAAACAAATATTTTGAAACTGAGTATACATGAAAATAGTTCTGTTAAATCATGCCCATTGAGAAAATATTAATCCATTTCCAATTCTTATTGAAGTAATCTTTCTATAAACTATTATTTTCAAAAACATAATGATAATCAGAATTTCAAAGTCGTAGATCATCAAAATTTTTCTCTGCACTGTTGAACAGAACCCTGGTTTTTATTTATTTGCTAACAGTTCATCCTATTGCTTAAACTAACTCACTACCCAAATAAAGAGGCTTCTTCCTTGAAGCTGATACCATTTCTAGCATTTCTCTGCTCACTTTCTTTCTCTAATTTCCAGGCAGCCAGACATCTTTTCCCCCTTGTCTAAATTATTATGTTCATTTAATATCAACTCTATTAATGGAAATTCCCACTAATGGGAAAGTTTTTTCTCATCCTCCGAACTATTTTTTATTAATTTAATGTAAACGTTAATTTAATATCATTTCACAAACTTTTCCTGTTTAATGTCAATTAAGAAGTCACTGGTTTGCTACTCAAAACAGCACTTAATGTCAATTATTACAATCAGCCTTTCATTTGAAAACTGAATTTTTATGTGAAACTTATTTTAATATGTCTTTAAATGTGCTCAGTAATGAGTTGAGCAGATTATACAAGACAAGTCTTTAAACTTTTTATTATTGTTAAGGAACTGGGAATAGCTACTTGAGTTTTCTAAGTAATCAAGACTGTACATCAAAAAATTAAATAATACAAAATTGCTAGCATTAATTCAGGTGACTCTTGAATATATTAGCCAAAGATTTGCTAATGCTTCCAGATAAATTATTTTACCATTTCTACCAAACTTATATTTTTTCCTGTCCTCAGCACCTATGGCACAAATATCATTTTGATTATTTTCTTAGTTCTCCTTTTGTCAAGATTCTTGTCAAATCTTTATGCTTTACATAAGTGTACCATCATATGAACTTGGTTATATGAAAAATTTCAAGAAGTATGTTCTACCTCTAATCATGTAAGCTATTATGAACATGTTAATTTGCATGTCTAGGAACAAATTATGATTCTGTCTTACAAAGACATAATAAAGAGAAATATTACATTTATATCATAGCAAATTTATTAAAATTATAGTAAAAAATGTAGAATATCATATCAAGGGTAAATTATTTCCTCTTACCTAATTTGACCACTCATTAATGTAACAAGAGATATTATTTAAAAGTTTAATGGTATAATAAATTTAGATCTCCGATTCTTTAAAGAGGTAAACATTTCACTTAAAATATAAAAAGTCACACCTCTTCGCCATACATTAAATTCTTAGCTTTCAATCCATGATATACACCAAATTATATATTCTGTATTGTCTTGCTTGTATTTGGTCATCATGTATAGCTTCAAAATTGAATTATATTAAAATGGTTTCTGATAGTCATTGCTCATAAGTAGTTATTAGGTGGTCAGGTAGCCTCAGAAATTACAAGTGGCCTTTACTTCCCTTGCATTCAAGTTATAGCTTATAATATTCCTAATCTTCATCTGTTTTTTGGTTTGAAAATTCCAGAGTTTCCCAAAACTATAAACAAATCTCATGTCACATAACGTTATTCAGAAACAATAAGAAAAACTTGTAATTTTAGTGAAAAAGTCTTGACAAATGTCAAAATATTGTCAAAACTATTGAAGCCAAGGCACCTAGGAGGTTAGTGTTACCCATTTAATATCTTTCACATGACCACAGTATGTCCTTCCTGGGGAAATATGAATTTTCATAGGGCATGGCAGTAAAGAACATTTCAATTCTACATTAAATGGTCCTTTTAAAAAATGACTTCTTAGTAGGACAACCAAGAAACTTCAGGAGTTGCTGAACCAACATGAGGTCTCTTCCATGACTACTGTTATTCCTCAACAATCTGAGGGTGGAAGTGAAGATAGAGGAAAAAAAATGAAGAGCTAAAAAGATATCTTGGCAAGCCAAAGGCTTTGTTTCACCTTTTGCCCTTTGTGATAAAAAAATGATACTTATAAAACTTTTATCCAATTATCAAGCTGGAAGGAAAAGTGTAAAGATATGGATCCTAGTTTCCATTGCTTAACCTTTATGGTACTCAATTTCATCCTCTGCAAAATGGCAAATACACGCTCATATGGTTAATGTAAAGTTTTAAAGCCTCAAATAAAGTAATATGAGATTGTGATTTTAATATTTAATATTTAAAACTGCACATATGTGGAACTTTGTGCCAAAGTTTTATACAAGATATGAAATTATAAACCTGTATGAATTCCAACATAAAAGTGCAAGGACACCTATAATATTTTACATATGAAAATTGCACAATATTTTATATAGTATCAATTATTACACCTACTCAGCACAACATACTTACTCCACAAATAACATACTTACTCAAGTTTAAAATGCCCCCTCAATGTCATCAAACTCTTTATCAGTGATTCATTATACAATTTAGGAATGGAATTAGATTCAGAGGCAGATAACTAAATCAAGTCCCAGTTTGCTTCTAATTATCCATTTTGGCCTTGCACTATTTCCCTCATCTTCTGGGATCCTACTTTCTCATCAGTAAAAAAAAAAAAAGAGGTTGAATTACATAATGTCTAAAATCTCTCTCACTGCCACAATTTGAAGATTCTGTATAACTTTCTTTTCTACTTGACCAATTCCAACTGTTTCACAGATACATATTTACATATTTAGTTTGGGAATGTGCTTTTCTTTAAAGTTCTGTCTTTCATTACCTAGCTTTGGGTATTAAGATGAAAAGAGTAAGACAAATCACAGCCTGTGTATCAGTGATTTTCCTTCAGAATGTTGTTTTCTCCCATTGAAAACACAAGCAGTTTCTGTAATCAGTGAGAATGTTGTAGCCAAAAAATTTTCTAATGTTCTGTTTTGGAATGGTAATATCTATCCTATGCCTGAAACACCATTATATTTTGGAAGAACAAAAATTGTTTGATTTCACAGATGCACAGCTGGAGAGCAATTTGCCTCGAGATGAACTATACCTTTGAGCCTCACCTACATCTAATTAAGGTGATATCTATATAAGACCTTGGACTTTAGGCTTTTGAGTTGATGCTGGAATGAGTTAAGACTCTGGGACTATTGGGATGAAATTAGTATATCTTGCAAGTGAGAAGGGCATGAATTTTGAGAAGCCAAAAAGGGAATTCTATAGTTTGAATGTATCCCTTCAAATTTTAGGTGTTGCTAATGTAATAGTATTAAGATTTGAGGTCTTTAAGAGGTGATTAGGCCATGAGGACTACTCGTTTGTGAATGGTATTAAGAGCTTTATGAAAGAGAGTTCAGCTGCATTTGGGTAGCTTGCTCTTCCATTCTTCCTTCATATGGGAACATATCATTCACCTTCTCTTGAATTCTACTTTCTTCCATGTGGAGACACAGCAAGAAGGCCCCAATCAGGTGACGATAACTTGATCTTGGACTTCCCAGCCTCTGAAACTGTGAGAAATAAATGTCTGTCCTTTGTAAATTACCCAATCCCAGGTATTCTTTTATAGCAGCACAAATGGACTAAAGCAGCCAGATAGTAACTATTTGGGGATCTGTGGTTTATACAGTCTCTGTTGTAACTACTTCATGCGCTCTTTTTATGCAAAAGCAGCCATAAAAAATATACAAATAAATGAATGTTGCTATATTCCAATAAAACTTCATTTATGAAAATTAGGGCCGGGCGCGGTGGCTCATGCCTGTAATCCCAGCATTTTGGGAGGCTGAGGCCGGGGGATCACCTGAGGTCGGGAGTTTGAGACCAGCCTGATCAACATGGAGAAACTCTGTCTATACTAAAAATACAAAATTAGCCAGGCAGGCTGGCACATGCCTGTAATCGCAGCTACTCAGGGGCCTGAGGCAGGAGAATCACTTGAACCAGGGAGGCAGAGGTTGCAGTAAGCTGAGATCGCGCCATTGCACTCCAGCCTGGGCAACAAGAGCGAAACTCCATCTAAAAAAAAAAAAATAGGTAGCTAGATTTGGCCTGTGGGCTACTTTGTCACCCCCTGTTCTATACCCATGACAATACTCTCACTGAGCCAGCTGATTCAGCTTATTTGTGCCAGAATGGAAGTTGCATATAATTTTATCCATGCATTTATTACATCATATTAAAATCATTTGATTATATGTATGAGTCCCTTATAATAGACTAAGTTCTTTACAAATAGAAATTATGTCATATTCATTATTGCATCCCAATATCTAACATAGTAGCTACTATATTAAACATTCATTACTAATTTGAAGAATGGCAGGAATGCAAGAAAGAGAGAATTGGAAATCATTATACATTTACAACACCACAATTATTTCAAAAACATCTTGCTCTAAATTGATACTACTTTCCAGCTTGCAGGCTCCTAACAGAAGCCCTTTTTTTCACTCTCTTTTCCAAACTTTTCAAGAGTGTAATAAGACATTTATTTTTTATTTATTTATTTTTTTTATTTATTTATTTTTTTTGAGACGGAGTCTTGCTCTGTCACCTAGACTGGAGTGCAATGGCACAATCTCTGCTCACTCCAATCTCTGTCTCCTGGGTTCAAGCGATTCTCCTGCCTTACCATCCTGAGTAGCTGGGACTACAGGTGCGCACCAACAGACCGAGCTAATTTTTTGTATTTTTGGTGAGACGGGGTTTCACCATGTTGGCCAGGTTGGCCTCAAACTCCTGACCTCATGATCCGCCCACCTCAGCCTCCCAAAGTGCTGGGATTACAGGCGTGAGCCACCCCACCCAGCCCAATGTCTGGATTTTCAATCCGTTCTCAGCTTTCCTCCCTTTGGTTTTGGCTTCACTTTATGCAGTTATAGCATTCCTATATAACTAAAATTTTACCATCTTTCAAAATATTTTTAAATATTTCTTCATTCATTTCTTAAATGAAAAAAATGCAATGTCCAAAGTCATTTACAAATTTCAGTTATAAAAATTAACCTAAGTTTTCTGGTTAAACTTGAGGAAGTAAATGCATTTTTGGTAACTTTTTATTAATATGTATTTGTTGTACATATTTTGGGATAAATGTGATATTTTGATACCTGTATACAATATGTAATGATACAATCAAGGTAATTAGGATATCTATCATCTCAAACATTTATCTTTTATGTTGGAAACATTAAAATTCTTCTACTTTGAAGTATACAATAAATTATTGTTTACTATTATTTTCCTACTGCACTATCAAATTCTAGAACTTATTCCTTCTATCAAACTGTATTTTTGTACACTTCAACTCCTCTTCATCCTCCTCTCTCTCTTTCTCTTCCCAGACTTTGATAACCACTACTCTACCCTCTACCCCCATGAGATCCACTTTTTTAGCTCCCACATGTGAGTAAGAGCATGTGATGTTTATCTTTCTTGCCTAGTTTATTTCACTTAACATGATGACTTTCAGTTCCATCTACATTGCTGCAAATGACAGGATTTCATTCTTTTATGGTTGAATAATATTCCATCGCATGTATGCGCCACTTTTATCCATTCATCTTTTGATGGACATTTAGGTTGATTCTGTATCTTGGTGATTGTGAATAGTGCTGCAATAAAAATGGGAATGCAAATACATCTTCAGTATACTGATTTCCTTTCTTTCTTTGATATATACCCAGCAGTGGGATTGCTGGATCATATGGTGGTTCCATTTTAGTTTTTTGAGGACACTCCATACTGTCTTTTGTAATGGCTACACTATTTTACATTCCCACCAAAAGTATATGAGCACTCCACATCCTTGCCAAAATTTGTTACTTTTTTTCCTTTTTGATAATAGCCATTCTGACTGGGATTAGATGATATCTCATAGAGAGACGTTGAGGATTTTTTGCATTTCCCTGATTATTGATGATGTTGGGATTTTTTTGCAATATGCCAGTTGGCCATTTGTATGTCTTCTTGTGAGAAATGTCTATTCAGGTTTTTGCCCATTTTTAAATTGGATTATTTGATTTTTTGCTATTGAGTTGAGTTTCTTCTATATTTCGGTTATAAATTTCTTGTCAGATGGATAGTTCGCAAATATTTTTCTTCATTCTGTGGTGTCTCTTCACTTTGTTGATTGTTTTATTTGTGGTGCAGAAGTTTTTAGCTTGATATAACCCCATTTGTCTGTTTTTGCTTTTGTTACCTATGCTTTTGTAGTCATACCTGAAAAATCTTTGCCCAGACCACTGTCCTATAGCATTTCCCCCATGTTTCCTTTTACTAGTTTCCGAGTTTCAGGTCTAACATTTATGTTTTTAATGCACTTTATGTTGATTTTTGTGCATGGTAAAAGATGGAGATCTAGACTCTTTCTTTTGCATATGGATATGCTGTTTTCCCACCACCGTTATTAAAGATAGCTCTTTCCCCAATGTATTTTCTTGGTGACTTTGTCAAAAATAAGTTTGCCAAAAGTGAGTGGATTTATTTCTGTGTTCTGTATTCTGTTCCATTGGTTCATGTGTTTGTTTTTATATCAGTACTATGTTGTTTTGTTTACTATAGCTTTGTAATATAATTTGACATCAGGCAGTACGATATGATGCCTCTAACTATGTTCTTTTTGCTCAGGATTTCTTTAGCTATTCAGGGTCTTATGTGGTTTCATGCACTTTTTAGGATTTTTTTAAATTCTATGAAGAATGCTATTGGTATTTTGATAGAGACTGCATTGAATCCATTGATTGACTTGGGTAATATAGACATTGTGGCAGTATTAATTCTTCCAATTCATGAGCATGGGATATTCTTCCATTTTTTTGGTGGTTTCTTGAATTTCTTTCATCAGTGCTTTGTAGTTTTCATTTTACATATCTTTCACTTCCTTGGTTAAATTTATTTCTAGGTATTTTTTTGAAGCTATTACAAATAAGATGCTTTCTTGTGTTCTTTTTCATATTGAGAGTTGCTAGCTTATAGAAACACTACTGATATTAATATTGTATCCTGTAACTTTACTGAATTTATTCATTCATTCTAAGAGTTTTATGGTGCAGTCATTGGGTTTTTATAAATATAAGATCATCTTGTCTGCAAACAAGGAAAATTTGACTTCATCCTGTCTAATTTAGATGTCCTTTATTTTTATTTTATTTTTTTTTTTTCTGAGATGGAATCTTGCTTTGTCGCCAGGCTGGAGTTCAGTGGCACAAACTCAGCTCATTGCAATCTCCGCATCCTGGGTTCAAGCGATTCTCCTGCCTCAGCCTCCCGAGTAGCTGGGACTACAGGAGTGTGCCACCATGCCCCACTAATTTTTGTATTTTCAGTAGAGATGGGTTTTACCATATTGGCCAGGATGGTCTCCACCTCTTGACTTTGTGATCGGCCTGCCTCGGACTCCCAAAGTGCTGGGATTACAGGCGTGAGCCACCGCTGCCTGGCCCTTCATTTCTTTCTGTTCCCCTAACTACCCTGGCTAGGATGTCTAGTACTATGTTGAACACAAGTGATGAAAGTGGGTATTGATATCTTGTTCTAGATCTTAGTGAAAAGCCTTTTAATCTTTCCCCGTTTAGTATATTATCTATGGTTTTGTCCTATGTGGCCTTTATCATGTTGAAGTATGATCCTTTTATACTCAATTTGTTGAGAGTATTTATCATAAAGGGATGTTGAGTTTTATTGAATGCTTTTTATCATCTATTGAAAAGATTATATGATTTTTGTCCTTGATTCTGTTGATGTGATGTATTATGTTTATTGATTTGCATATACTGAACCATACTTTAATCCCTGAGATAAATCCCATTTGATGGGATATGATGAATAATATTTATATTGTATTGTTGAACTTGGTTTGCTGGTATTTTGTTGAGAATTTTTGCATCTATGTTCATCAGGGATATTTGTCTGTAGTTTTTTTTGTTGTGTCCTTGTCTGGTTTTTGTATGGGTAATGCTGGCTTCATAGAATGAGTTTGGAAGTATTTCATCCTCTTCCATTTTAAAAAATAGTTTGAGTAGAATTAGTATTAGTTCTTCTTAAATATTTGAATTCAGCAATGAGTCCATCAGGTCCTGGGCCATATTTTGATGGGAGACTTTTTATTACTGCTTTGATCTTGTTACTCCTTATTGGTCTGCTCATGATTCAATCTTGGTAGGTTGTATGTGTTCAGGCATTTAACTATTTCTTCTAGGTTTTTTAATTTGTTGGCATATAATTGTTTATAATAGTCTGTAATGACCCTTTGTATTTTTGTGTTATCAGTTGTAATGTCTCTTTTTTATCTCTGATTTTATTTATTTGGATTTTTTCTCTTTCTTAGTCTAGCTAAAGGTTTGCCAATTTTATCTTTTTTAAAAAAGCAACTTTTTGTTTGTTGAGGGTTTGTAATTGTTTTAGTTTCCAATTTATTCATTTCTGTTCTAGTCTTTATTATTTCTTTCCTTCTACTAATTTTTTGTTTGGCTTGTTCTTGCTTTTCTAGTTCCTTGAGATGCCTGTCATACTGTTTATTTGAAGTCTTTCTATTGTTTATTTTGGTGTAGGCATTTATTGCTATAAACTTCTCTCTTAGTGCTGCTTTTGCTGTATCCCATAAGTTCTGATATATTGTGCTTCAATTTTCATTTGTTTCACAAAATTTCTTAATTCCCTTCTCAATTTATTCATTCACCCACTGGTCATTCTGGAGCATGCTGTTTAATTCCCATGTATTTCTCCAGTTTCCAAAGTTTCTCTTGTTATCAATTTCTAGTTTTATTCCACATGGTCAGGAAAGGTAACTGATATAACTTTGACTTTTTTGAATTTGTTGATACTTGTTTTATGACCTAACATATGGCCTATCCTGGAGAATGTTCTATATGCTGATGAAAAACATATGTATTCTGCAGCAGTTGGTGCAGAATACATCTAACTTTGACGTTTCTTTGTTGATTTTCTGACTACATTATTTGTCCATTGACAGAAGTGGGGTGTTGAAGTCCCCCAGTTATTGTACTGCAGTCTATCTCTCCCTTTAGATCTATTAATATTTGCTTTATATATTTGGGTTCCAAATTTGGGAGCATACATGTTTATTTTTGTTATATCCTTTTACTGAATTGACCCTTTTATCATTGTATAAACACCTTGTCTCTTGACAGTTTTTCACTTAAAGTCTAATTTATCTTATATAAGTATAGTATATTCCTGCTTTTCTTTGTGTCCATTTGCATGGTATATCTTTTGTCATACCTTCGCTTTCAACCTATGTGGGTCTCTATAGGTTTAGTGAGTTTCCTATATGCAGCATATAGTTGAGTCTTGTTTTTTAAGTCATTTAGACACTCTATGTCTTTTAATTGGAGAATTTAGTCCACTAACACTCAATGTTATCATTGATAAGTAGGACTTACTACTGCCATTTTCTTACGTTTTTGTATTTGTTTGGTAGCTTTTGTCTTTCTTTCTTCATTACTGTCTCTTTTTTGTGGTTAAGTGATTTTCTCCAGTAATTTGCTTTGTGGTTACCATGAGACTCACAAAGAACATGCTATAGTTATAATAAATTACTTAAAACAAACACCAAATCAACTTTTATTATTAAAAAAACAAACAAAAAACCCTCTATACATATTAATTCCATTTTCTCCTCACACTTTGAATTTTAATAGTTCTGTCGATAAGTCCATTTGTACTGCATTATTCTTTCTAGAAAATTTAGACCCTCACTTAAAAAATTAGACCACCAGTACAATTTTATTTTCAATAACACAATCAACTGGTCACAATTCCAACCATGATCTAGTTATCCAGCTTTCCAAGAACTATGAAAAGAAAAGAGAAGCTTGAGTACCAAACTGCTATCTCAGATCTCAAGGAGACTATAGACTTTATCTAAGAATATCATAGTTATAAAAGGCTTAACAAAAGACATTAATTAGAGGTACCAAAGCCAGGGTGTTTGTGGAACACGTAAGAATCAAGGAAGGTACATTTTGAGACCTTGCTAGAAACAACAGAATGTCAGGGTACATAGAGCTCAATGGAAAACCCAAGCCACTCATAAAACTTTTGATTCTTTTAGTGATACTCTTAAAATTAAGGCATGCATTCTTGGCTTATTTTGATCTAAAAGAATATTTTTACCACTTGCCTAATACTGTTAGAATTGTAGAATATTTTAATTCCATTTACCCTCATCTCACTTCTTCCAGCTGTATTAAAATTTTAATTCCATTTACATTGTAAATTCCACAGGACATTACAATTATTGTTTTTGCAACATGAGTATTTATTTTAATTTATTCTCACTACTTATCTAATGTTCTTTATTCCTTCTGGCATTACCATGTTTTCTCTGGGTACATTTTCCCTCCTTTTAGTATTTATTTTATTTCAAGCATGATGGTGTTAAATTCCCTTGGTTTTTGTTTGTCTGGAAAACATTTTTATTTTACCTTAATTTTGAAGGAATTTTTCTTGGTAAATAATTATATACCATCAGTTTTTATCTTTCAGCACCTAGAGATGGCATTCTACTGTCTTCTGACTTACAACATTTCAGTTGAGAAGTCAGCTTTAATTTTTGTTATTGCTTCTTTGAAGGTAATATGTCTTTTTATCCATTGGTTGTTTTATCTTATTTTTTCCCTTTGGCTTTCAGAAATTTGCCTATTATATTCCCAGGTGTGGGTTGCCTTATATTTATTATGCTGGGGTTTCGCTGAGACTTACAAAAATGAGGACCTTTTAGAACTTTTGGTCTGGCTCCACAGCTCCTTACACAGAACCAGGACGGTGTAAATATTTCCAGGAGAGAACCAATCATGCATTTAAGACCCCTTATGTTTTTAATTTGTCACTCTAGCTCATGTAACCAATAAAAGCCTTGTAGGTTACTTTTTCCTTTCAACAGAGATTCTTTTCCAAGGCTAGGACCAATCCTCAGTTAGTTCCCTGAATCAACAAGTGCCCCAGGGAAGAAATTTCTGCTAATAGTCAAATGAACTCAGAACATTTTTCCTCCTCTCTGAAATTTTAGCTCAATTACTCTACTTTCACTCCATTGCCCTCTATTTTACTTAAAATATTACATTTTAAAACTCACTTGACTTTTTCTAGTTGTTTCAGAATAACGTTGGCCTCCTAGATAAGATAAATAGGTGAACTGGGCCAGGTTGAATGCCAATGAAAACTAAGATTAGAGATAACGGATAACTGACATATGACCTCAGTGTGGGTGGTATATTTTTATTTTGCTGCATAAAAACTACCACAAAGTTAGTGATTGAAAACAATACACATTTACTATCTCTCAGTTTTGTGCGTCTGTAAGCTCAGCATGGCTTTTAACTATGTCCTCTGGTCAGGGTATCACAAGGCTGCAAACAATATGTTGGTCAGACTACACTCCTTTTTACAACTCAGTATATTTTTCCAGGTTCACATGGTGGTTGGCAGAATTCAGTTTCTTGTGGTTTTAATACTGAGGACTCATTTTCTTGCTGTCCATCGCAGCTGGGAATTTCTCTTAACACATGAGGATACCTGCAGTTGGTGGCCCTCTCCCAGACACTCACACAGGCCCTCCCACAATAAAATAACTCACCTTTTCACGGTCACAAGGAGAATCTCTCACCAATCTGCTAAGACGGAGTTTTCTATAATGTAACTCAATTCTAAGAATGACTATCCCATCACCTTTGTCATTATTCTCTGGCCTAGAAAAAAAGTCAGTTTCCACCTGCATTCAAAAGGAGGGGATTATACAAGGTCATGATTCACCGGGGTCACCTCATTATGCTCACCACAGTGATAGAGCTAAGAATGGTAGAAATTGCGGCCAACTGGGTAACACATCTCCTCTCAGTGGAGAGATGCTACTATCCAGCTTCAGTGCTACTCTGTATTCAGTAATAAGTGCAGACCCAATATTTTCAAACCTTCCAGTTGGATGAGGGAGGGGTTGAGGAAAAGCCAGAGGTCTAGATATTTATGAGAACTCATCCAGCTTTTAAATGTTAACAATGAAAATACATTGTTCAGGTTAATAACTGTCAGGCCAAATACAGCATATCAGCTGGCTACATATATCCTCAGAGCTGCTAGTTTTCAGTTTCTGGTCTACTAACAAACCCTCTAGACAAAGAAGTCTCTTGAACATCAAAGACTGAGGGAAGACATGTGTCCAGAGAAAAATACATACCTTTTGAGAAAGTATTTAGGAATATAAATCTAAATGGAAATCACAAAGCACCCTTTCTTACTATGCAACCACACATTCACTTGCACTATTTTCTTAGCCAATATTTCCTTTAATTCAATGACATGTTCTAATCATAAATAAAATAAACAAAATAAGATCTATCTATAGAATCTGCACCATAGCAGAAAAAAGAAACAAATGGAAAAGTTGCTAAAGAAAATACATTTCAGGCCAGGCGCCTTGGCTCACGCCTGTAATCCCAGTACTTTGGGAGGCTGAGGCAGGCAGATCACCTGAGGTAAGGGGTTCAAGACCAGCCTGGCCAACATGGTGAAACCCCATCTCTATAAAAAACACAAAAATTAGCCGGGCATGATGGCAGGTGCCTGTAATCCCAGCTACTCAGGAGGCTGAGGCGAGAGTATTGCTTGAACCTGGGAGGCGGAGGTTGCAGTGAAACGAGATCACAGCATTGCACTCCAGCCTGGGCAACAGAGTGAGACTCCATATCAAAAAAAGAAAGTACATTTCAGAAAATAGTACTCAAGAAAACAAGCCAAATTTGAAATAATTTTATATGATTATAAGACCAATGAGTAATTTAATCTTATTGAGTATACAAGATTTCAGAAAATACATATTATAGTAGAAAATATCTGTTTATTCACACACTCTTTAAACATTTATTCCATGTCTTTTATGAGCTAAGCTTTGTAGAGGCACTGAGAATGCAGTAGAGAACATGATAAGCCAGGTTATTATCATTATTTAATGGATGAAAATCAAGACTACAATAAAGAAATAAACCAATTTTTTGAAAAAAGATCATTGCACTGTTTAAGTTCCCTCAATAAAATAAGCAGGAAAAAAAAAAAGGACAGCAAACGAATTTTTAAATGTCAAGGTAAAAGCATTCCTGAAATTAGGAAGTATCTGAGATAGCATATGAAAATGGTGTATTGAATTCAAGAGAAGTTGGAAGGAGTGGCATGGTGACTTGTATTAGTCCATTCTCACATTCCTATAAAGAAATACCTGAGACTGAGTAATTTATAAAGAAAAGATGCTTAATTGGTTTACAGTTCCACAGCCTGTACACAAAGCATGATGCTGGCATCTGCTCAGCTTCTGGAGAGGCCTCAGGAAACTTAAAGTCATCACAGAAGGTGAAGGGGGAGCTGGCACTTCATACGGCCAGAGCAGGAGCAAGAGCGGAAGTGAGAGAGGTGCTATGTACTTTGAAACATACAGACCTCATGAGAACTCATTCACTATCACAAGAACAGCACCAAGGGGATGATACTAACCCATTCATGAGAAATCTGCCCCCATAACCCAACCACCAGGCCCCACCTCCAGCAATGGGGATTACAATTGAACATGAGATTTGGGTGGGGACACAAATCCAAACCATATCAGGACTAACGTAGAATCAGCAACACAGCATTGGTTAACTCTGCTGCAATTATGAGTTGCCTCAAAATCTCAGTGACTTAAAAAACAGAGTTTATTTCTCTGCCTATGCTACATGGCTCCAGGTTGAGTTTGGCTCTACTCCACGTCTTCTCATTCTTGGACCAGGGTTAGAGGCAAAGCCGTGATCTAGGATATGCAATTCTCTTGACAAAGAAAAGAGTAAGCAAGTTAGCAAAAACACAATGACTATAAAAGCTTCTGGTTGAGAACTGCTACCGTGTCATTTCTCCTTACATTCTATTGGTCAATGCAAGTCACGTGGCCAAGCATGATACCCGGTTGGGAAAATACACTCCTCTTACAGGTTCAGGGATCATTAGGAATAATACAATTCACGATAAATGCCCAGACGCTGCATGATATAATTGAACTTCAAAAATAAAGAAAAAGGTTCTTTGGTGTCAAGATTTTTTAAAAAGAAAGTAGGAGGATGGGAGAAAACTAATCAGGCCCTATAGTAACACTTAGTGCCAGTGGTCATTGGAGAATATTTATATGGGAAAGAACACATTACTCAATTTTATAAACAGTCAAGGTATATTCAGATTATCTATTGATAAGCAGGTACCATTTTGTTCCTTTTATGTTCTCCTCTGTATTGCAAAATATAAAGACTGGCAACACTATTTTCTATAATCCCAGCCAGCAGATTTCCAGATTGGATTTTACCAATGAGAGGAACTTGCACAGATTTAGAAGGCAAAAAACTGCAGAAGCTATCATGGCTTGGTGCTGGCAGCAGGCAAGAATAGAGGCTTTGGCAAATAGCAGTTTCTAGGCATCCTCCTGGAAGGCAACTATTTGAGTGCCAGAGGTCCCTTAGATCATCTGTAATGGTTATCCTTTCTGATTTCCTGAATGTCAGCTGTGCTGACTTTCACTACGTCAGCTCTTTGAACTGTTCAGTAAACCTCTGCCTTCCTCAAATTCCTCCCTTCTTGAAATGCCTAGAGTAATCTTGTGTTTCCCTATTGAAACTTGACTGAATGTACACAAAATAGGCATTCTGGTGGATGCAAAAATTCAGGCAATAACCATCCCCATTTCTTTTCTTTTTTTTTTTTTTTTGAGACAGAGTCTTGCTCTGTCGCCCGGGCTGGAGTGCAGTGACGCGATCTTGGTTCACTGCAACCTCCGCCTCCCGGGTTCAAGCAATTCTCCTGCCTCAGCCTCCCGAGTAGCTGGGATTCCAGTCGTGTGTCACCACACCCAGCTAATTTTTGTATTTTTAGTAGAGACAGGGTTTCACCATGTTGGCCAGGCTGGTCTTGAACTCCCTACCTCAGGTGATCCACCCGCCTTGGCCTCCCCTAATTCTTGTAAAAAATGCCTGGATATAAAATACGGTTTTTTGAAAAATATATGAAAACAAAGACCTTAAGAATAGAGAAATCGGCCAGACGTGGTGGCTTACACCTGTTATCCCAGCACTTTGGGAGGCTGAGGCGGGCTGACTACCTGAGGTCTGGAGTTCAAGACCAGTCTGACCAACATAGTGAAACCCCGTCTCTACTAAAAATACAAAATTAGCCGGGCATGGTGGTGCATGCCTGTAATCCCAGCTACTTGGGAGGCGGAGGCAGGAGAATCACTTGAACCCGGGAGGCAGGGGTTGCAGTGAGCCAAGATTACTGCCACCACACTCCAGCCCGGGCAACAAGAGTGAAACTGTGTCTCAAAAAAAAAAAAAAGAAAGAGAATAGAGAAATGGATATACACAACTAGGGAAACATAAAACCAAGACTTTAAAAACTGCAGAAAAATAATTGTAGAACACAGAATTTTAATATTATAAACCTTGACACTGTAATATTCAGAATTACCACAATCCAGATTTATTTATAAAAACATATATTTATAAAAACACATATATTTTTATATTTGTATATTCATTGGTCTGTTTTTCCCACTAGAATGTAAGCTCCATGATGACAGGGACTTTGCTTTGTTAACTCATATCCCCAGTGCCTAGAACTGTGCCTGGCATGTATATCCAATGCATATTTACTGGATGAATGAGCACATGAATTTCCTGCCTGAACATACAATATAAAGTATCCCTCTCTCTCCACTTTGCTATGATTTGCTGGTGAATTAGAATAAGCTACCCTCCTCCCACACAGATATTTCTGTGATGCCTTCCTCTATCACTCGACTCAAAGATTTTACAGCAAATTATTATGGAAACTCTCTCATTTTATACATTGGGTTTTGTTTAGCTCTTAGTCATACTGATGGCCTATTTATCTCCCACTATATTTGATAAAGCAAATATTGATATTTTATGTGTGTATGTGTGTGTGTTGTGGTATGTCATATGTTTGTTTAATGTTTTTATCAGAAAATTTGATTATCTTTGACCTTGACTAACCCTGATATCTGAGATAATTTTTCTATTTAGTAAAACTAATTTATGTAGAATGTTTTTCTATTTTTTATTTATTAAGCAAGAGGTTGTAAAATGCTTATTCTTTTCAGATGCTATATTTATCCCAAAAGAGCTGAAAAAGTATCACTGAACTGTCAAAGAAAGGTGGTATGAAGTAGTTTAACTTGAAATATTATTTTGAGAAATATAAAGACAATGTATCTCATTAGATCAATTTTTTTCAAGAAAGAATATAGGACATCCATGTCCCATGTTAAGTTCAGCATCACAGAACTATACTGATTGAGATTCAACCTACTTTCAATTCATAATAAAATACAATTGTTGCTTTTCTTTTAATTTTCAACTAGCAAGTAGTACTCTCTCCATTAACATCAATGGAAAAACAAAAACAAAACAAAACCAGCGTCTCCACTTGGCAGGAAGTATTTATGGCTGTATATAATGCAGATAAGTTTGTTTGAGAATGTAGACAGCATTCTAGACAATCACTAGAGATAGGACCTTAATTTAACCCCAAGCCTGAAGCATTTCCTCTGGGATGTGGATGACTGATAACACGGAGGAGGGCAGAGAAAGTATAGATTTATTGAAAAATGGATGTTGCAAGCAGGGGGTGTTAAATTTCTTCCTCTAAATCATTGTTAGAAGAACAAGCTTAGATTTCTGCTTCAGGATGAAAATCCTAACTGTTGGAAGAGAGAGAAATTTTCAAAATCACAGGTAGCCGGCATTTCTAACTTTCATTTCAAAAGCATTAAACCACATACTTACCTCTAGCTCATCTTGCAATAAGACAGCATGACTACACTTGCTTTTAATATCCTCTACACAAGATTCTTCCGTGATTTTTAATTTAAAGAAAATGAGCCCTTTACTGACAGCTCGATAACCTTTCCCATGGGAACAACAGAAAAAGGTTTCCCGTTCACAGCACTAATGAGCAGTATATAATAGCCAGCTTCTTTAAATGGTGTAGTAAATATATCTTTATTAACAAACATTATGTATTATGTGTTTCTAGATCACAATATTTAAGAATAACCTTTTAACGAAGTGAATAAATAAGCCATAACAGGTTTCTTGCCCTTTACTAAGCAAAATATCAAGAACTTCTGCAAGGGCAGAGGTTAAGTGACTCTTTTATTTACTAATGATAAAGTTAATTGCATGAAACCTAATTCCACCCAGTTGGAAAAAGAATTTTTCTTTTAACACTTGACCCTCACAGTCATTTTTGAGAAATATTGCAATTCTTCAAATGAAGCTTACCCTCATCTCGCCCAATAGGTTTAACTATTGCAAGCAAAGCACTGGCTATATTCCATTTATAATGGCTAGCTAGGAACAGTAAATGTCTACTTCTTACCAGGGCTGCTCAGAGTAGCAGTTTTAATATCATTTAATAGTAAATATTCTTTATTATTCTTTTCACTGTGAACTAACCAAGTGGCACAATTCTGTGGCTAATTATAAAATCGCCTACATTACAGAAGAATTAAAACAGCAAATGAGTCATCTGGAGAGCTGCCATGGTTTTTCTAAAATTCTACACACACTGCACGTGAATTTTAATATGTAATTTTAATTACACAACTCTTCCCAGCAAACTCTTCTCATTACTTAGGCAGTGTGTGTGTGTTTCTTTTACCTTGATTACAAAGTCAAACCATTTTAGCTGAAATTAAAAATATCTGTGTATTTATAGAGAAAACAGAGGGTTGTGTTTTGATAAAGCCTCCAGAGGAGGAGGGCAAAACTTAACCCTGTAAGGAAGGAAGGCTGCCTGGTCTTCATATCAGACAGCGGCTAAGGAAATCCTAAGAGAGTTTGTTACATGAACCAGTGGGTTGAGGCAACCTTTAACGTACAGGAAACTGGAGTTAATTAAACTGTTACCGGGATCCTATCTATCATCCTAGCGTGTGCTCTATCCCAAGTCCATTTACATTTTAGAATTGAAAAAATGTTCTCAGGACTGTTGATAAACCATGTTTACTGTCTCTATTGATTTGCTACTTTTGCATAACCTTTATGTTTTAATTATCTTATAGTATTTCTTGAAGGCTCTTCTGTAGCGGTTGCTATCTGATTAGACTTTACTGGCAATTATTAAACACTAGGAGTACACCTTTTAATGGATTAATCTGCTTCAAAGTTATAAGATGACTACAGGAGTGAAACTGCCAGGAAAAAATAATGTCACCTTACTCAGTGCTATTTTCAAGCCACAGTTATTGTGTTTACTGTAGAGGAGATATGCTCAGATTATATGTGTGGAATCAGGGGAAGGGTCTTTTACATATAGTATGTCTGACACGGCATCTACCATTAATCATTAATCATATAATCAAAATACAAATTTAAAATCTCATGAATTAGCATTCTGTGAAAGAGCTAGAGTTTGACCTTTTTCTGATAATAAATATTTTTACTGAATGAAATTTTTGTTCATTGTAAATTAGAATTGCACAATGTATGTTTATTTCTTCATTTTAACTAACATTTACTGAGTACTTACAATGTATCAGGCATTGTACTAAGAGCTCATTACATGGATCACCTCATGATCATGGACTACATTAGCCCCATTTTACACATGAAAAGACAGAAGCACAGAGAGGTTAAGTAGTTTGCCTCAGGACACACAGCCTACAAGTATTTCAGTACTACAAGTATTACAGCCTGCAAGTATTGGAAACCCAACAGATTTCCAACTTAAAGTATTTGATTCTAGAACTCTGTAGCTTTACTACTAGGCCATACCCTATGGGATATATTTCAGTAATGGAACCCAAATACCACTAAATGAAGAATGACCAGGTCATGTTATGCTTTTAATATTTTAATATCTAAATACTTGCCCAGAGCTTTAATTTGAAGATCCAATTATGACAAACTGGATTCCAAAATTCAAAATAGCTCAGACCCAATTATAATATTGTTTAAAGTTTATGTGCATATATTCTATTTCAAGAAGCTTGACCATTCTGAATGGATTTCTGTAAGAAGATATAACAAGAAAAATTGATTAGATCCTGTCTGCACTTCTAAAACAAACAAAATATGATCCTGAATTTGCTGATTTACCACTATTATCTCAAAGCCAAACATTAACATCAGGAAACATATAGTATTTATCTACACAGTGTTGGTTGTAGTTAACAGGAACCTGGTAACATTTTCCCCAAACACTCTAATGACAATCCTGAGTTGAACCTTCCATTCATTTATTTTAGTTTTGAGTGTGGGAGGGAAGGAAATCCCTGATCTTTCTAGCACAAGTAGTGGACTCACAACCACTAAGTTTCTGGTGGCACATAGGATCAAAGACATCAAGCTCAGTAGGTCATATAAGCCCCTATTTCACCTTCCTCCCATCCATTCCATATTGAGTAAGCAAAACAGAATAGTGCAGTAGTTCTAAGGGCACTCTAAAGCCAGGCTGCCCGGATTCTCAAAGCTCTGCCTCACACTAGCTGCATGACCACAGACAAAATAGCCACTCTGGGGCTTAATTTCGCCATCTGTGAAGTGGGAATCATATATATTGAATATAATTTATGATGAGGATTAAATGAATTACTACTTGTAACGAACTCAGAAGAGTGGCCTATAAATAGCAAGCACAATGTGTTGTATTGCCCTATTATTAGTGGTAGAACAGTATCCTGGGCACTATGCTAGGCACAGTCTTATAACAGTCTTATAACTTTGATCTACTTAGGGATTTAATTTATTGGAAAACTAACAAATTACAGCAATAGCAAGACCTAGACCTTGACCCCACACTGTCACATCTTTTCTCTTATTTGTCTAGCCAGTGTTTATACTCCAAGGGGAACATGGCTGAAAATAGGGAAGGTCTGGATGAAATGTCAGCCTAGAGTGGCCCATTTCCCAAGACCCTCCAGGGTAATTCTGGATATGGTGATGTTCGCATGCTCCCCTGCCTAGTCAGCACCAGGGCAGCATGCAACCTCACTGGCCACACATGGGCTGCTGCCCAAGACCTTTCAATGTAACATTCTGCTTCAGCTGGAAACTTTTGCAGTATCTGCACACTCCCCTAGGAAAACATTGATCTCTTTCACCATGCTCATGGGCTGCAGGTACAAAAACAGGGATCATTTACTGAACCCTTCAAACTGGTTTGCCTACAAAGGAAAAAGAGGCATTCTTATTTTTTTATATCAGTTGATCTTACTCTATTCCAATAATAACCCACCCACAGTTACAAATGCAGAGGAAACTGACAGACAGGCACTGTCTGCCTTGTCATCTAACAGTTCATTGTCTCTCTCCCTCCCTGCACCAGCAGTGATCCAGGATGAGCAGGATATAGGTTGGGCCACGGTTCTCTAGTGCCAGCTCTGCATACCTGTGGATTCAGCAATGCACTCTTTAGCCCCCAGCCCCCCTCAGGAATTCCTAGAGGAGCCCAGCGCTCCCTCTCTTCCTGGCCTGCCTGTGGCCCAAAATACCCTTCCTTGAAATCCAAAGCCCAAAGCTTCCACCTACAGAATATAGGCAATCTGGTCTACTTCCTTTCTCCGTGTTTAACCCCTTACTGATCACTGTAGGGCTTGATGTAGTCCAGCGTTACCTGTTTTATGTGTAATACTGGGGTTTCACAAGATGTATAGGTGGCAGATGGACACACTATTCTACCCTGTATTTTAATAATTACTTATTTTAATATATTTAGATACATTAGCATATCAAAATTATCATTTCATCAATATTCTTGCTTATAATAAATCCAAGAAAACAAAAATAATTTAAAGTTATACAATGGAAAAAGAAAATAATTTTGTGTAGATGATCTACGAAGATAGTACACAAACAAGTGGAGTTTGAGGAAGGCCATTGACCTACCTTAACTATATATATGGTGAACTCAATTTTATGGCTAAGAATAAGAACATTATTCTGCCTGTTCTATATTAGCTGTTTTACTAAAAACTTTAATGAACACTAATGAAATGATACAAATAGATGGCTAATGTTTCTCCTAACTTCTGTTGTTATATTTTCCCTTTTAAAGGGGTATAGTTTGTTGCAATGCTGGAAAAGCTCCATCAGCCCGCCAAATGGGGGTCTGTCCCACAGGCTTGAGATGCCTCTGCAGTCCCCACACTAAGGGACCACCTGGTGACAAGCAGAAAAATGCACTGTTGAACGGCATGCAAACACTGGAGGATTTTCCTCAGCAATGTACCTGTAAGGCTTGCCCTTTGCCTATGCTAATACTTAATTAAAATCTGTTGTCTCCAAAAGGGTGAGGAGAGAAAGATGACTTAGTTTAGGTTGATGGGGTAAATTTGCATTTACAGTCAATTTGTATTTCTTATTAGCAATTTGTTTCTAACTATATTTTACATACTAAGAGAGAAAAAAACCATCCCAAAGGAGATGCTAAATCTTTAGAGGTTGAGGTAGGAAAAGATTGAAGTAACCTTATCAAGTTTTCCATTCAGTTAATTTTTTTTTTTTTTTTGAGATGGAGTCTCACTGTGTTGCCCAGGCTGGAGTGCAGTGGCGCAATCTCGGCTCACTGCAACCTCCCCTTCTCCGGGTCAAGCAATTCTCCTGCCACAGCCTCCGGAGTAGCTGGGCTTACAGGCACACACCACCACACCTGGCTAATTTTTGTATTATTAGTAGAGATGGGGTTTCACCATGTTGGCCAGGCTGGTCTCAAACTCTTGACCTCAGCTGATCCGCCCACCTCGACCTCCCAAAGTGCTGGGATTACAGGCGTGAGCCACTGCACCCAGCCCATTCAGTTAATTCTTTAGGGGCAACATGGAAGAGCTAAAAGAAAGGAAAGTTCTTAAATTACTTTACCTGTTTTGAGATAGGGTTGAACTGAATATGAAAACAACAGCCAGAGCTGGGCTTTTGGCTACTCTTTTTGCAATAATTATGTAAAGAGCTGGTCACAGGTCCATTTTCCTCAACTTGGAGGCAGCCCAGGAGCAGGGAGCCAAGTTCCTGCAAAGCCACACAGTAAGCATGGCACCTCTTCCTGAAGTTCAAGTTAGCTTGATAGTAGATTTTTTTTTTTTTTTTTAGATGGAGTCTTGCTCTATTGCCCAGGCTGAAGTGCAGTGGTGCAATCTCGGCTCACTGCAACCTCTGCCTCCTGCGATTGTCCTGTCTCAGCCTCCCAAGTAGCTGGGATTACAGGTGCCCGCCACCACACCAGGCTAATTTTTTTGTATTTTTAATAGAGACAGGCTTTCACCATGTTGGCCAGCTGGTCTCAAACTTGTGACCTCAAGTGATCTGCTCACCTCGGCCTCCCAAAGTGCTGGGATTACAGGCGTGAGCCACTGTGCCTGGCAACAGTAGATTTTAAATCATTTTTATATTAAGATGATATCAACACATACTGGAACTGAAAATAAATTACTCAAGAATTTTTAAGATAAGTCTCTAAATCTGAAGGAAATATTGAGCTTGTAACAGACCTTTTTAGCCTAAACTCTTTCTAATTCCTGGAGTGGAGGCCGGGAGGGGAGATACAATGTTTCCCTTTCCTCTGCTCTTAAAAGGACTTGGATGGACAAATGTTCAGTGTCTCTGATGCTCCCAACTATTCTCATCTGTCACTGCCTTTTCAGTGCTTCCAGCTCCTTGAAGAGAGCCTGTAAAACTCTCTTGGGGGAGAGTTGTGGGGCAGGTCTGCAAAGATATTCTCAGCATCTGCAAGAGCCTATATTTGAGAAACCCGTCCTTAGAGATTTCTCTCCTCCCCATAAGAAAGCTCTAATATGAGCCCTTTCTAAGCCAACATGAATTTCATTCTACTTTAGCTCTCCGAGGCTCACTTACGTTTCACGCTTTCTCTTTTCTCATACAATTAAAGACTTTGCCCCCATTAAAGGGATTCTTGGCTTCTGTGGGCAAAAAAGCTCATCTCTCAGGACCTGCTTCTGTGTATGCCCCTCCCGCAAACAGCCCCTTCTCTCTCCAGACTCTGGAATATTATATCTGGCAACAGGCTTAAATTTGGAATTCCATCCTGTTTTCCCTAGATAAATTTGAGCTAGTTGGCTATCAGACTCTCCTCTCTGCCCATCTCACACTCCTTGGGTTGAGGTACTATCCTGAAGGAATTTTGACTAGTTCTGCCTGGTGCCTCAGCCCAACTCACAAGGCAGAGAGTCCTTTAAATATTCATATTCCGCTCCTGGAGTGATCATTACTATTCCAGATCAGAACTGTTCTCATGCATTTAAATGTCAATAGTTCCCAGCTTAATTCATTAGTCATCCATTCAAGTAGGTGATCCTATAACCAACCTATTTGCTTGTCAGGGTCTCCCAGTCTGCGCCAAGAAGGGTGATTTCCTTAGCACTGATGAAATTGAGACGCAGTTCTTTTATTTTAACTGTAAATATGAATTAGGTGCTTGGTACACATTAGTGGTTTTAAAACCATCCCTTTGTAATGTAATTTGTCATAGTGTCTTCATCACCATGACAACTGGACGGCCTTCACTGTTCCCTCTGAAAGGAAAGTTGAAAACAATGATTAAAAAGAAGCCATATTTATTTACATTTTGTTTCCATAGAGGTGGGGAGCCAGAAACAGTTTGGGTCTATTACCTAGCAAGTTGTAAATGCAAAGATGTCAAAGCTTATTATGCATGTGTCCTCTCTGGTGGCAGAGTGATTACACAGAACACTGTTCCCTTAGCTGTCTTCTTTGGGCCCAAGCTCAGAGGCGGTGCCCCACACAACAAAGTGTCGATAGTCAGCAAGCCTCTAGGAAGTGCTGCTGTGGCTGGTTACAGATCAACCCTCCTCTCTGCGAGCGTCCCTGGGACAGGATTTAACCCTCTCCTCTCTCAGGATCTTTGTCTTGTTTATGCTATTAGTACTGTTGCTTTTCTTTGTTTCTTCCTTTTTAAAAGTTTTTCATTTTCTCTAGCTCTCTCCTTCCCAAGGGATGTCTGTCAACAGGCTCTCTCAAGGTCAATCTTGTTACATGGACCTGACACAAGCAAACTTTACCCCTCCCTCGCCCCCACCTCTGTTGTCACAAGCCCGGATGACTGGGCAGCTCCTCCTGTGTTCAGGACTGAGATTCAGAGGTGCAATTCTCAGCCCAGTGTCCAGGAAGGCGAGAGGATTCCTCTCTTCTTCCCCATCTCTTCCCTGTTCCCCAAAAGAGTGCAATATTGTATCTGTTGAACTTAACACTGGCAGCCACTAAAAAAGAGTTCCAGAATTAAAATGCATTCACCACTGGCATGGAAAGAACAGGACGCGGAGAAAGATGAGAACTGTTAACCTTTATTCATCACATTCAGTTTCCCCAACATTAAAAGGCGCAGCATTTTCTAACAAAGGTGATTTCTGAATACCAGGACCTGACGGTTTTTTACATACCAATTATAGAACACAACAGATAAAATTTATATGGAGCATTTGTGTCTGTAAGTCCTGTGAAATTTGGGAAATTAAGAAGGTTTTGCCCCCCTCCTTTCTTTCACTAGCATGTGAAAGCATTCTTTTCCTGCTAAATGGATTTAGTCTAACTGCCTAATTCATTATGCTAAAACCATGAAGCAATTTCCTGTTCAAAGCCCAGCTCACAGGCTCTCTGTTGTCAAGTATTTGAATTTCAGATTAGAAATGTGTTCATTTGGATAGCTTGAAAGGAAAGCTTTGTTGTCAGCTTGGCTTTATGTTCTGCCAGGAGCCAAATCCCTCCTCTTCAGCAGTCACCAGCAAAATACCAGATCTCAACTCCGGACTCAATATCTTGAAACAAACACAAACACCTCTGGCCTCTGTGGTCAAAGCAACGGCTTGAGGTTTGCTTTCCCTCCCTAATAATAAAATTATCTCAGATGATGATTTCTGACAGATAGGAGCAAATGTTTAGAGTTTCCACTCCACCTTCCCCGCCATTCCACCATCACCCACCACACATTCTTTTTAAAAAGCAGGCAGGAGTATTTCTGCCAGAATGTCCTTCAGAGTGGCTTAGTTCTATGAGTAACTGAGACATTTGCTACAGAGCAGTGAACTGAAGTGGGGGCTGCGTTTTTGTCAACCTTCAGCTGTCATTTACACTGTGCAGCACTGTCCCATCCACTTGCCATTTCCAGTGATTTTTTTCCCCTGATTGATCTTCGAAAAATATATACAGCTGCTCAGAAAGTCAAAGGTCATGTTTTTTAGCTGAAGAAACAAAGTCCAGGGGGAAAATGCCCTGATACATCTAGAAGAAAAAAAAAAGAAAATATGTACGTGATTGGCTACTAATCATGGAAGCTCTGATACTGGGTAGGAATTCAGGCAACTATTTCTTGTACAAATTTTTTGAATTTTCGAAGCTGCAAGATTCTAATACGCTGTCACACTTTGGTACTTTGGTTCCACCATAACCATCTAATTATTATTAATCAATAAATATTTATTGAGGTTTCTTTTATCCAGTTACAAATATATTTCTTATCACAGATGACATTATGCAGTATTTTGGGTTGTTGCTGATATTGACAGCTAATATTTGTTTGGTGCTTTATGGTTTTCAAAGTGCTTTCAGCAGCATTACCTCATTTTATTCTTTCAGATGTTTCTCATCACAGTCCACAGTTTATGAATGTGGAAACCAGTCAATCTTTACATTGCACAAGGAGAATTAAGTTGCAGAAGGAGGAGTTTCAAACATAGATCTTTGACTATGAGAATGTTTTCATTAGTCCATCCTGACTCTGCTGCTTACTTCAGCCTTTAAATAGGGAGAAGCTATCATCATATCCTCTCTGTGGTCTTATTCTTAGGCTAAATACGATGAAACGATTAGCCTTGTATCTATTTGGCTTATTCTAAATTACAGAAATTTTGTGTCTGTGCATAATGACAGTGCTTCTAAGTAATTTGAGGATATCCATTGCTTTCAGTTTGAAAATAATGGTCTCTATGTGGATTTAAACTGCAGGCCAAATTTAATTATGCTAGAGAAAAGCGGAACATTTGTCATTTACACTTTTTGACATACAGAGAAAATAGTGGCCAATTTGCTAACCTGTAGTGGAAATAATCCAGGCCTTATTACAAAGAGAGGAAAAGTAAAATTAGAGCAAAATTAAACACAACTAAAGAATCAGGATCGTTTTTAAGGAAATGCCATTGAGGGAAAGGAACTGTTAAACTAAAGCTGACCCAGTTCATGGTCTTCAATTGCATTATAACCCTTGGCCTACTTTATTCTGCAGGGCCTTTTCTGGAGCATATTAATTTTCCTGAATTGGCAATTAAGCCACAGGATTTTTAAAAAATCATAATTCTGATCCAAATTGTATTCTGACTCAAAAATTGTGTGCTGATCCAATAATATAATTCCATTTGGAGAATGAACTCCCAGTCTCACACACACATTAATATATTAAAGACAAAATGTCTCAACCACAGGAAAAACACAGTTCCTACCATAATACACAGCCATTTTTAGGCATATCTGTTGTCATTTTTATTGAATTTTTGTAGAGATTCAAAATAGATACAGACAGATTTTTTTCTATGTTCTTTATTTTCTTATCATGTAAATTTGTCCTACTTTTCCTTCCTGAGTTACTCTAATCTTAGTCTTTATTATTTTTTTTTCTCCTTGTGTAGTAGAACTGAATAATTTGACTAGTTCCACCTCTGCCAGCAGTAACACGTTGAGGCCACATGTGCTTTCTTCATCCCCAAAGCTGACTGACACGATGGCAGGTGCTGAGTTTATCATGTCCCTCCCAATCTTCAAGGCCTTTGCCTGCACTACTTCCCTCAAGAAACTTTCCCTCACAGTGCTGAGACACAGTGGATTTTCCTCCTTTGAACTTGGCATTTGTAAAAATCTCATTTTTCTCTTCTATCACTTTTCTATTTAACCTTTCATGACTTTATGTCATCCTGCTCCCTTAAATGCCTTAAAAGTGAGCACCTTATGTGCTATCTCTGTATTCCTGATGACTAGCTCAATGCAACTTGTGAGTCTAACTAACTTTTAAGAGATGTAGGGGACGAGGTGAAAGTTTGCCCCTTGGCCCTTTGAAGGTTTGCTGAAAAATTAACTTGCAAAAGGCAGATTAATTGGAGAAAAGGCATACAAATTTATTTATTTATTTATTTATTTTTAGGTGCATGCACAAGGAAAATCACAATATGATTGCCCACCCCACAAGGTGGTTCAGAAGCTTATACGCTATCCTGGCAAAACAGGCTATGGGAGAGGGGAGAAGAGGAATTCTGTGGAGGGGATTACTAGGGAAAATGAATGGATCTAGGAACAGAGATGAACTTTTAAATAGTTCCCTTTGGCAGTGAAAAGGTCTGTTCAGGTATGGTTACATTCTCGGTCTGACAGCGAGGGGAAGAAGACACAGTTGTTCCTTTTGGTAAGTCTGGATCTTAGGCAGACAACAGTTTTGGGACAGATGGTGGCAAGGCAAGGTCAAAGAGACCTTGAGGCTTCTTCTTCAGTTTAGCGTGTCCACATGCCATATTTTAGGATATCGGTTTCTGAACCCCAACAGTAGATAAGAAAAAGTTAACTGGTTACCCATCTGAGGGGGACAGTGCTACAAGTGGGGGACAGGGACAAGAGGGGCAGTCTAGCATTTGCTGCAGAACCACTCTCCAGTCTTTGCAGTCAGTCATTCTACAGCATGGCCAAAGGAGGTATTGTAAAATTATACCTACTGTATCCAGCCCTGACTACTTTCTCTTCTCCTCTCCTCTTGTCCCCCACTGTAAGTTCTGAGTTGAGAATGGTGAGAAAAAGATGAGTGAGACATAAAGAGTCCCTGCCCTTGGGGGGCTTGCTGTGACACCTACTTGAAGTGTCTGCCAAGGAGCAGGGGATGAGAATGTTCAAGGAAAGCTCACCGACACTCTGCACAGAGCCCCACACTGTCACTCTGATGGTCTCAACTGCATGGACCTGGTTGATCTGGAACTACATTTCCAAGAATCTCTTTTCCTGGGTGGTTGCAGGCTAAGAACTAGTATGACTTTTGGGAGACAGAAATGAAGCAGTAGCCCTTACTCTTTGCAGGTGCCTGTGGCTAAATATGGACACCAACTCAGAGGTGCTAACTTACACCAGCTTGTCCTCACTGCCCCCAGCTTTGTGTCCAGCTCTTCCTTGTGACTGCCAGCACTGCCTACCAGCAACAGCCCCAGGTTCACCAAACACTTGGCCAAATTCCTCCAGAAGCAGTGGCTGCCACGGTGCTAGCTTCCACAAGCCCTTCCCTAGCTCCCCTTGATAGCCCTACTCTGGCAACTGGACACATGTGCCTCTGAGATTCCCCTGCAAGCATAGACCTTCCCACCAGCTCCAGTGCCTTGGGACAGCTGGCTGGATCCTTTCTCAGATCCTCCATTTCTCCCTCTGGATCCTTCCTTCTCCAGCTTCTCCAACAATTACATAAGATCTCACTCTTTTAATGAATCTTTTTCCGTAATATACTGCTTCACCTTTCCCAATTGAATGTCAATGATTCGGTAATACACCTAATAAATGTTCCTTTTCTTGATGAGCTGTGGCAGGGAATGTGCTGCCTTAGGGAATGACAGGAATAGGGGAGATAGGTCATTTTGATTCATCTCTGTCGTCTCACCCCTTTGTTCTTTGTGATCAGATGTACTGATTTGGGATAAAATCGGCTGATGAAAGTCACAAATGTTTTGGTGGCCACTAAAAAGGCTTACAATTCATATGAAACTAACTTATTTTAACAGTGATCAAAGCAATGACTACTTTTCTACTTTCTCTGCCAAGTAAGATAATGGCTGTACTGAAGATTAACGACAAAATGTCCGCATTTGGAAACAGCTGTGAATGATAATAGGTGATTCTTCATATTGATAGCAATAGAAGTGCTTAGCCTATTCATTGTCAACACAATTTAATATATTTCATCTTGAGACCATGTCCATTTCTAGAATTTTGAGGTACACTCTCATCCCTAAAGAGCTTTCTCATTAGTAAAATAAGTCATTTTTTAGCCAATTTTTCCTCCTAGTTTTTCTGTGACCCTAATTTAATTAGACGGGAGATCAATGATGGCCTGAAGGCAAGTCATAATGAGGCCAAAATAGTAAAAGACTCTGAAAGTGAAAGCTGAGGCATGGAAAACAGAAATGAAGATCTAGGGGCCATAGATTAGGGTGCTAACCAATGTCATGGGACACCCTGAGAATATGCAGAGGAGGAAAGCTTGGATTGGAGCTATAAACAGTGGGCTGGGCATTGGGCATAATCCACAGCTTACTTTCATGTCCACAAAAGTGTAAGAAGAATAGCTGACACTGATGGCCGTGTGGCCTGTGTGACAAATTAGAACATTCCTCACCAGGTGTGCTCTGCACTAGATCACAAAGCCTCTGCTCTCAACTAAAAGATCAGGGACTCTGTTTTTCTCACATTAATACTCAAGCCCATATCTAGTGCAGAAGCTAACACACTTAAGAGAGTCAATAATTGTTCTTTAAGTGAAGAAATATGCCCTTGGTAGAGATAAAATAAGAGATGTTAGATACCAAGGGGAGGGCTAGTCTTGTTAAAAAGATGCTCAAATACATTCAAGGCCTATTCGTGACATTACATAGCACTTACTCCCCAATACCCTAATTTGTTGACAAATAAGTCTGATACAATTCCAAAAGATCATCAAATGAACAAACCCTTTTGCTTTTAAGTATTTTCCAAGCTTAATATATTAAATACCTATAAAGCTTGACAACAAGAGGGGATTAATACAGATACAAGTCCAATACTGAGTTCCTACAGGTACAGTTGCCAGACAACCACCACACTACAACACACGGGACTGTCATTATGGATCAATCTTCCTCTCCTTTAACTCCTTCACTACCAAAAAGAAAAGCAATGTAGGCAATGATGTCACTTGAAAAGGTCCTTTCTCCAGGTACCCTTGCTGGCTAAAGTCTTCTCTTGCAGAAATGGCAGCACACTCTGCTGATGGCAAAATGATTCCATGTTATTAGAAGGTTTCCTTTCAGTATAGAAAATGCCCTTACACTGAGACTAAAAAGATAATATAGGTTATTAAACTTTGCAATTAGCAATGTAAATTATTTATTATAAATTAATATAAGACACCAGGGGTCCTACTTGCAGCAGTATAGGCGGTGTCTTATTTGTACTCTGGTTAGCACTCAGATTTTCTCCATGGTAATTTCATCCATACCACTCACAGGATGACAATTTTATATCATAAGAGGTCCCTTGGTAGTGGATATTAATTTATAATAGAGGGAAACAGCAGGGAGAATTTTTTTTGTGCTCCTTGCCAGTAAAACACACAAACTGCTCCCTTGAGGCACATACAGTTATATATTAAACCATTAGTGATGGCACTAGAGTTAATAAGAGATATAATATACAATACAACCATATATAGTATATATTAACAATCCACGAAAAGATCGTATAGATCCTAATGGAAAGCTCCCGGGATAAATTGTGTTCTGTGCTTCCTCACGGTTTAAAAAAGCATAGTCTCAGAAAACATGCAATGCATCCTCAGTGGGATTCACAATTATCTGAGGCCAAATATCTGAGAACTATTTTTTTTTTCCAGTGAAGCATAAAACATAAAATCTTCTATTGTTGTCTGCAAACCATAATAGAACTGCCAGTAACCAAGGGATAAAATAAATGTTTCCTAAGTAATAGAAAGCATTAAGCTAGATTAGTGGTTTCCTTAGTTCCTTAAATGATTCCTATTCCACATGCAAAATTGTTTTCCATTTGCCTTCCAAAAGTGAAAAATATATAATACACCTACTTCCGCCTATTATGAAACACTAATTTAGGATCTATTTAGTGTAACAGACTTTTGCATTTTGATCAAGATCTAGACATAATCTTGCATAGAACATTTTAAAAAATCTATCCTTCTAATTCAGGAACTTAGAAATATTTTCATAAAATAATTTTCTAATGGGAAAAACATAATTCCCTGTTTAGGAGCTCAAAAAGCACTCAATTCCCAAGTGGATGTTAACTGGTGTATGAAAGATCATGTGACAAAATACTGGCAGAGCTTAGAACAAACCAAGTGTACTTCATTCAAGGCAAGCTGCACCTTCAGTAATGAGCTAGAGTTTTTGTCATGTTCCTAGAGATTAATGCCTTGTTTGCCACACAGCTATCCTTTCAAAGTAGTAAATTATGTGTCCTTTATGAGTCTGGGCCAGCTGGGAGATCACAATGATAATGAGACCAAAGTTCACAAGTGCTATTCTTGGATAGGCCAATTATATCAACAACTAAAGTGGCTACATGTAGTATTCTTTCCAGCCAAACACATCTGAAATTTTCTAGCTCTTCCTTGAGCACTGCTTAAAACATGGCAGTGTTTCTTCTCATTCAGTATCTCATTCTGGTTGATCCCATATGTTATGTGACTGCAACTATCATATCAACAATGTGATGCTTCCTCAAATACCCAAGAGCAGCCCAGATCCATCTCCTTAGCTCCATATCCCATTTTCCGATAGCTTACTGGTTAGAGCTTACTGTTTGCCCCACTGGCAACTTTAAACATTCTACCTCACTTCATGGTATTATCATCCACCCAAACATTTTTATTTCTCATAATTAAAACTGGTAATAACACCTGCCTCACAGAGTTGCTCTGAAGATTAATGAGATCTTTAATTTAGTGTCAAATCATAGGTATTCACTGTTAGCTGCCATTATCAATAATACTAATTATTAATAATTAAACCTCAAGCATGTTTGACCCCTTCCTCTTTCTAATTTTGAAATATCCCAAATGCCTCTTTTGTCTCTTGCTGTCTGCCCTCAGTGCAACTGATTTAGTGAGTCTTTTCTTATCTCTGCCCTGAATTGTTGCAATAGCTCCCTGACTTCCATTTCTATTGCATACCGTTCTGCTCCATTGCCACCATAGCTATGTTTTTTCTGAAACACAGATCTGATCATGTAACTCCCCTGCTTAAAAATCTTTACATCGTTGGGAGGCCGAGGCGGGTGGATCATGAGGTCAGGAGATCGAGACCATCCTGGCTAACAAGGTGAAACCCCGTCTCTACTAAAAATACAAAAAAAATTAGCCGGGCGTGGTGGCGGGCGCCTGTAGTCCCAGCTACTCGGGAGGCTGAGGCAGGAGAATGGCGTGAACCCGGGAAGCGGAGCTTGCAGTGAGCCGAGATTGCGCCACTGCAGTCCGCAGTCCGGCCTGGGCGACAGAGCGAGACTCCGTCTCAAAAAAAAAAAAAAAAAATCTTTACATCGGCACACTCAAGTTCAAAGTCCTTAGTTTAATATGTAATACTTTTACAAACTGGGCCAGTCTAGCTTCTTAACCTCACAGAGGACATTCCAGAATGTTCCTCAACACTTTTGCCCTTTCACATCCCATTGCCCTGGCACATACTGTTTCCTCTGCTCTCCCATTTTTTTTTAACCTGGTGTGCTGGTTATTTTCTACTTCTCCGAAACCCATTAGGATTCACTCTGTTTTACTGTACCATTCTCACCGCCCCAGCAGACTGACTGCTAAGTTCTAAATCACCCAGATTGCCTCGCCTCTTCACTTCTTGATGGGCTCAGCCAATGAGAGCACTTGCGAATGATCCAAGGACAGAAACAGAGAAAAGCCAGGGTATTTACTCTTCCTTCTACATTCCACTTTGCCATGGGTCTAGCCAAGGCAGCATCCCTGGGTAATCACAGCTTCAATAAGGTAGGCCCCTCCTGCAGCTACAGCTCCCAACTAGAACACAAGAACATCATTCCTGTTCCCTTCCCATCAGATCTTGGGGTGGTGTTGCCTTCCTGCTATTACTGGTACCTTCATTAAAGAGTATTTTCAGAAATTCTTACTGACCTGCCAAAAATATGTAATCTGAATTTAATCATGAGAAGACATCAGAAAAATCCAAGTTGAGGGATAGTCTACAGAAGTAATAGAGTCTAAAAATGTCAAGGTCTTTTACCCTCCCCACCACTACACTCTTACTATAAACACTCATACACATGAAGTCTGAAGAACTGTTCTAGATTCCAGGAGATTACAGAGATAAGACAACTGGATATAATATATAATCCTTATTAAATCTTAGAATGAGAAGGAAAAGAAAGAACTATGAAAGATACATTGCACAGTTGGGAAAATACTAATATGGACTGTGGATTAGACAATAACATTGTGTTTTAGACTCCTGATATTAATAATTACGCTCTGATTATTTAAGAAAATGTTCTTGTTCTTAGGAACTACATACCAACATGTTTAGGAAAAAATGGACTTGATGTCTGCAAATTATTCTTAAATGGCTCAGGAAAAAGATTAAGATAGATAGATGATAGACAGACAGATAAGAAAGGAGGCAAAATGGTCATAATTGGTGGATCCTGACTGATATACTTGTGAAACTCCATTCAACAATAAACACTCAAATTTATTATTATCTTCCTTATAATAACAATAACTGTAAATCAATACAGTATACTTTTTTCAGAAAATTTATAGCCAATTATCATTTTATCTTTATAACAACCCTTTAAGAAGGATTTGTCACTAACTCCTTTTGAAAGCCCAAAGGGCTGATGTGACTCTTAGAGCATGAGTCCATTTGACTCCAGAGTGCAGCCTTCTCACTCTCATGTTGTATTTCTGCCTTTAGCAATGCTCATGCTGTCTTCCATGTGTCTATAGTGCTTTACGTGTGATATTGTAATTATTTTCTAAACTACGTGGGTGTTACTCACGTCTGCTTCCCTCCAACGTAGCACTAAGTCTGACACATACTAGGCTTTCAGTAATGAATAAACCAAGGAGTGAGTGTTTGCATAGTTTTCCTACCCTTTCACCACCACAGGAAAGACAATTCAATGGACCCTGGAGTGGGATGGCAGATACATCATCATCTGCAATCGTTCGGTCAAAGTGGCAGCCACTCGCCACATGTGGCTATCGAGCACTTGAAATATGGTTAGACTGAATGGAGATGTGCAGTAAGTATAATATATACAAAAGAATTTATTATAAAACATTATCATTATTATGAAGATTAAAATGTAGAATATGTCGTTAATATTTTTTCACAATGATTACCTGCTGAAATTATACTATTTTGGAAGTATTGGGTTAAATAGAACATTATTAAAATTAATTTTGTCTGTTTCTTTTTACCTTTTTAATGTGGCAACTCAAAATGTAAAATTACACATGTAGCTCACATTATATTTCTTTTGATTAGTGCTGATCTACACAGATGAAAAAGTTACCAATTAAACTGCTTTCCTGATTGATTATTATTATGTGACAAGGGCAGCAAATAATTTTGGGCTTCTTCATTCTTTTTTAAAAGAATAAAGTCTACTAAGGCAGCATTCTTGAACTCCGATGTACATACAAGTCACCAGCAGACACCTTGTTAAAATGAGGATTCTGATTCAGTAGGTCTGGGCAGGGCCTAGGAGTCTGCATTTCTAACAAGCTGTTGGGTGTTGCTGATGGTGCAGGTTCTGAATCACACTGTGAGTGGCAAGGGACTAAGGCACTCCAGGCTTTTATTTGATACAGGTGTTGGCATATAAATATTTCATTAACCTAGGGAAAGCCAGTATTTTCTGAAGTTTAATTGCTGCTAACAACCTTTGGTTATATCAGATAGTCCTAAGAATGTGATTTTCCCAAACTCACAATATGAGTTGCCACACTATTAATAAAAATGCTTTCAAAACTAAACAAACCTTTATATTAAGACAATTTAAGAAGACACAGGATTATGCCAGCACTTTTCTAAAAACACACATAGTATTTTAACTACTCTAACTTTGCCTAAGGGGGTGTTATAGGAAGTCAGCTGGACCTAAGATGGCCTCTGAATTCTGGCATTATGCATGCATTTTAGAAATGACAGCAGAGTAGGAGAAAAGATTAGCCTCCTCCTATGTGCCTAGCATTTCATCTAAAAATTTCTGTAGCTCAGAATGGTTTTTCTTAATGAAAAGAATGCCCTGTCTTCTTATCCATTTCTGGGTAATAACACACAGAAGTTAATGTAGGCCAGACACGATGTAGTAAGACATGACAAGTAGCAACCACAGCTGGAGCAATAACAAGAGAGTTTTCTACACTGTCAAACACCAAGCCGGATATGTCAAAACTCTAATAAGGGTGTACAGGTGGGGAGCTTGTGATGCACCCCAAGGAATGAGAAAATCTCCAGCGTTGTGTGGAAAATAATAATTTCCAAGGGGAAACCTTAATGGTAGGGAAATATTTATATGTACTTAGGAATAATACCAGTATTACCTTTCAACATATTTTATCAGATTGACTCCCTGTGAGGTAAAGATTATTGTTTTCATTTTGTAAGAGGAAACAACAGATCAAATGAGAGCCAAGACTTGAATCCAGGACTTTACAACTACACCCAGTTCCATTTCCAATAACATTGCATGAACCTTTGGTAAGAAGCAAAGGAAACAAGTTGGAGTCTGGGGTAGGGGGTCACATTAGTTCAGGTCCAGAGCCGGCTCTCAACAGAAGTTCATCTGCCATCTCTTCTTGACCTAAACTGTAACCAATGTCTTTGTAATACTCTTCCCTTTTTCACCCTTGAAAATATTCCCCTTAAGAAAATATCTGATAAGCACAATCATACTAAAGTAGGAATGACTTCTAAGTCCAACAAAACGTAATTGCTAAATCTCAGGTAGCAGCTAATGGGATGGAGCTGGGCGGAGAAATCAGCTGGGGAAGACGGCTGACCATCACCCTGAAATCAAATCACCTTAGGCTATGTAAGGCAAGTCCTATCCAATTCATTCAGACATCCAAGAAATTCTACCAATAGAAAGATAAATCATTTTTACAGTAGTCATGAAGATAAATTTATAGACAGATGATCCAAAAATGGAGTTGAGAAGAGATTACACTGACCATTGTTTTTGCTTCTTTGGGGTGTTTTTTGTCTTTTTGTTTGTTTCCCAGAAGTGTTTATTAATTAACAAAGCACCAAGAAAAACAGGTATTTGCTAGAGGTGGATGCCTATTTCCTTCTGTATAGTGATAGGCAGATGACAAAAAGTTGGCAAGGGCAGCTAGGGGTGGAGGAAGAGAATGGATATTACTTTGGAAAACTGGCAAGTGACACAGATTTTTATTTCAGTATTCAGTTCTTCAAAGCAGTTATAAATAAAGCAACATTAATTCAAATGAGTTTTTTTCTGTGACTATTAAAACAATATGCCAAGTCCAACAAGATATAATCTGTAATTGATTAAGATTCTTATCTCCTGAGAGAACTACCTTTCTATTTCTAGATTTTGCTGGGCCCTTCGGTGTTATCACACTGGTCAGAAAGGGAGATCTGTTGATAAATTGAGTACTATCATTTGGCAATAAAAAAGCAGTAGAACATCCATCATATGAGTCAATGAGGGAAATTCATTTAACATGGATCAGATTCCAAATCAAGGCACTTGAATCCCTTTAACTACGGTTAGTGTGGCTTTTTTATTTTGCATGTATGGAGAACACTTTTCCATCTCTGTACTAAAATGAAGTTCTGCTACCTGGAGCCCCTTAAAATGCACAGAGAAGAGGCCACAGGTGAAATAACTGTTTGCATCAATTGCAGAAAGACAGAGTTGTAAGTAGTAAGAGATGAAGACAATACTATTAAGTTACTGAACCTTGTTCTCAAGGTGGAGTTGCTCTGTCAGTATCCAGAAAACAAATTTCACTCTGGCAGTCCAATTCCAATTTTTTTTTTAAAAAAAGAGTTCCTCCACAAATTCCTGATTATCCCCAGATGGAGTTGTTGCCTTTCATAATGGTCATAGGCAAAAAATATGCTCATTCACAAATTGATAACCACTTAGAATTCTGAAATCCCCTTTCTTTCCTCTCCCTCAGAACTCTTCCTGGATACTAGGAGAAAATACAACTTGAAAGTCAGCTTGCTTAGCATTAGTGTGAAAGGCACATAGCACAGAAGAAAACCATACAGATTTATTATCCAAATTAAAGGCCCATGTCATGGACATAAAAAAGAAAAACCAGAGTTGACAATGAATGAACATAGATGTGCAATTTGACCACATCATCAAGTTCTCTGACTCAACATAAAATTGTCTCCTGAGGAACATGCTGGGACATTCTAATCTTAAATGAAGTGGAGAGATGATAATGCAACCTTGGAAACTCTTGCCTGTGAGACCTATCATGCTGATCTGGCTTTAATATCAGAGACCTGTCCCGTCTCTAAGAAGGGAATAACCACATGTTAGACATGTATTTTCCCTAATCCTATAGAAATAGTCTCTCTTTAAAGGAAAAACATCCCAGAATTGTTTCACCATTAATCTTTTCTCTGCTTCCACTTATTTAATAATTCTACTTTTCTTTTTAGCAATTAACCTGTAGAATTTTTCTTTGGAAAAGCTCAAAAAAATACCTAAAAACTCAAGTAAAAAATGAAAAATTGAGTTAGGTGTATTGTACATATAGCAAGATGGATATTTCTTAAAATAGTATTAAGTAAAGGATGAAAAGAAAAAGGAAGGAAGAAGGAGGAAAAAAGAAGGAAGACAGAGAAGAAAGGAAGGGGGAGAAAGAAAAGGTAGCAGAGGAGGTGGGCGAGGAATAAAAAAGAAATGGTGGTGAAGAAATAAGAAAAACAACAGCAACAACAAGAAACAGAATGACAGAGTTCAATATCCTTCTTATAAATTAAACACGCACACACATGCACACATGCAACACACACTAGCACTTCGTATTTTATAAGATGGCCAAATTTTTATTTATGTACCTAGCGTATAGCATACACACAAACAAAAATGTTTGCTGAATGAATGAATGAGTTTACATTATTCATTGAGGACAAGAACATTAAAAAAAAAGTAGATGCAAGTCAAACAAGAAGACAAAACAAACAACATGAGGATGGAAAAGGAAAGTGTAATCTTTTTTAACAACCTTTAACTATTCTTTCTAAAATATCAATAATGATCGTTCAAAAAATACAAATTAAAATAATAGAGATACTGATAAATTAAAACAATGAGATAGATGCCCCTTACATGGCTCAGAATGGCAAAAATTTGAAAAGTAGATAGTACCAAGTATAGATGAAGATGTAGAAAGATAGAACACTTTTAAACTACCCACAAAAGTTAAAATAGGTACAGCAGTTCTGGGAAACAATCCAGCAATATTTAATGAAATAAGTGTGCTTAAGCCCTACAAGCAATACCATTCCTGGGTAAATACGGTAGAGAAATACTCACCCAGGTTGGGAAGGATCACATAAAATATGCTCATTATGACCATACTGTATTTGTGCTAGTAGAGAGTTGGAAGCTACCTAGGTGTCCATCACTGGGGGAATTGACAAGTAAAAGATGATATTCATGTTCTATGAACACTACGCAGTAATTAGAAGCAATAAACTCATTTCAGACAGCAATTTGAATAGATCTTAAAAACAACATTAGGTGAAAAAAGTAAGAAAGAAAATGAGATGTACAGCTCAATGCCCTTCATAGTTACATTTTTTAAAAGCACACACAAAAAACAACACTACGTACTTTAAAATGGCACAAATTGCAGGACATAAGACAAGTGCACATGGGCAGCCTGTGAGGTGGAGGGCAGGCTGGGATTTGGAATGGGAATTAGGGGTTAAATAAAACTTTTCAAATTAGTAAATCAAATAACTATCGCATATATATTTTCCTTCTAACGGGAGAAATTCAGGGGATTTGTAGCATATAGCACATGAATCCTAATGGCCATTGATAGAACTCTGAAGAGCAAATTCAGACTCAGTCAACCAGATGGATCATCTCTCAGCTCAACACTGCTGGCCCCCAAGATGGCTTGACCAGTGCTTGGTTTATAGCTGTTTTTATTCTCAGTCATATATTGTTTAGTTTAGATCTTTAATATTAGTTAAAGAGTAGATGCATAAAAATCACTAATACTAAAATACACATTAATGAGTGTGCACCTAAGGAGCATTAGTGATTGTCAGACCTGCTCTTAACATTTGGGATCATAGAGCGAAAGTACAAATGAAGCCTCAAACATCGGTGTCTACACATTTTAATGTTACAAATCAACCTAACCAATCACAAAATAAAATCTGTTCTATCCTCCCAACTTCATAAATACAGTTTCTTAGTAACCTGGCAGGTGAGATTTATATGTTAAATCTTTGTACTTTTCAAAGTTGGGTGCTGGGACACAGCGGCGTGGGAAGAACCAGCTCTCTTCTTTCCCTTCTCTTTCTATCTTTGGTTCTATCTTGTATCATGCCTGTGGATCTCCCAGCCAGCACTTAACAAGTTCCAACCATTCTTCTCCTACAAACTGCTACCCCTTAGCCATCTCCTAGGCTTTCGGGTGGCAGTGTAGTTCACACTCAAGAAGAAAGATTTGGGGAAAGGGACCTTGCAGGCCCAGAAGCAAGGGCAGGCTATTTGAGTAGGAAGTTCTGGGGTCCCAGGCACTCAGTCACCTGGAAGGGAGTGTGTGGACTCTGCACATCTTCTTGGCCCTGCAGATCCCTCAGTCTATTAGGACAAGAAACAGAGCAAATCCCAAAGAGTGAGGTGGGGCCCCACTTGTCTGGGCCAAAGCATTTCTACAAATGTGCTATTATGCACTGAACGTTTATGTCCCCGACAATTTACATACTGATGCCCTAACCCACAATGTGATGGTTATTTTAAGATGAGGCCTTTGGGAAGTATTTTAGGTTTAGATGAGGTCATAAAGCTGTACCCTCATAATAGGATTATTGCCCTTATTCAGACAAGGAAGAGATACCAGAGCTCTCGTTCTACCACATGAGA